>NC_000008.11:90714222-91964222 GCF_000001405.40 Homo sapiens | reverse complement strand
CTTAGGGACAAAGAGAAATGCTGATTTGAAACAAAGTGTCGAATACCTTCAGTATGCAGTGTTGGCATTCAAAAGCTTCAGTCCATTGATTCTGTATATAGCCTTGTATTTAGTATATTTAGCAAAGGGGAGGTTCGTGTTCAGCCACAAATTCTTCATCTGAGTCACAACCTAACTTTGGTCAATTGACTTATTCTTACTTTTCAGATAGGGAGGAAAATATTCTTTATGCCAAAAAGGGAATAACATTATCACAAATAAAGGAATACTATAAAGTGCCATGAGCTTTGGGAATGAAATTTGCTGTGATATGGATATCCGTGAGCTTTCTACACTATTATGGTAATTTCAGTGACATCACTCCTTAGAGGCCTGAAAGGGAAGCTCAGTCATTTAAAAATAAATAAATAAAACAATTATCAGGAAATAGTATCTTGAATATAAAATGCACAAACTGCAAAATGTAAAATTAGATTAAGCCATTGACTGCCTTTATCCCAGCCCTTGTGGATAGACACGTGGCTGTTAGACACAGTTTGCAATTTCCACCTTTGTGAACAGTAGAAAGCTTAGAATGATCCAAATTGGAGTACTCAAAAGATTCTGCACCTTCCGCTGTTTCCAGAATTGTGACTATTCAGGGGCTGAGTGCCACTGATCAGGCATCAGTCTTGCAGGTATGGATTAGCCAACAGTAAATTCACTAGAGCATCCAAGAGAAATATATTAATAGAAATTGCTCTTTCAGTTTTCTAATGAGCTTTTAAGAATGAATATGCGCATTGGAGCGTTTGTTAGTTGAACACTCACTAAAGTTCCCTACACATTCACTGCAATGCAATGTCAAGAGAAATAAAAATTTGCAGATTTTTTTTTAACCAGATCATTAAAATTGCTCTTTTTGTAACTTCCTACAGCTGAAGGTTGTTTTTTCTTTTGTCCCAGTGGTGGGTGGTAAATGAATAGTATCAAACAACTTGAGAATGAAACTAGAGGTAAAACTAGCCAGACCCCTTAACTCCTGGATCAGAACCAGACAATACTATGCAAGAAGGCTCAATTCCCAGCAGCTTCACGATCCAAAACATCTGTTTCTGTATTTGGCACAATTCCACTTTTTTATTTGTAAAATTGTTCCCATCTTTGAAAACACTTTAAAAAATAAAGAAGCCCCCATTCTGTCTCCCTTTCCACTTCCCAGCACATGCATCTGTAATTACCTGGTTTAGTCTGTGTGTTTAATCAGTTTAAATTGAGAATGTTGCATACATCTGATTTCAATCTGAAGGAGCCATTGAGTATTGGACAGTTACCACCCTGTGTCTGCCAAAACGTGCCTCTGCCAAAAAACGGATAGGACTCACACCAGGGTATTTCCTAAAGAAGCCACTTGACTCAGATTAGATGTTTAATTTCCTTAAAATATTGTTTTGGATGTGAGTCTCTGTTCTCTAATTGGAATATTCTGATGTAATTTAGGAATATAGCTTATTTGCTGAGTTTGTTCCAGGATCCAGCTGGCATTATTCTAAAAGCCTAAACCTCAAGGAAGTTAACTTCACTCTGAGCACTGAGTATTATACCTCACAGCTTTGAAGGGTGGGCCAGGCCCACGTTTGCTCACGTCTTTGTGGAACCATTGTACATGCAATGCAGTTGAATTAATTTTGAGAGAGAAAGGCTTCTTGTTATGGTAATGAGACTTGCGATCAGAGCTTCACATCTTTTGAGATAGTTTCTTAAATTAATTGAAGTAGGAAAAAATTGTTTTGTTCTACTACTATTCATTCAAATTTTAACTTATGACATTTTTTGACATATCAACCAAGTTTCTAGATTTCCTCAGCAATAGTCACTTAAAACACCTGTCATTGGCCAGAGTTTGAGATTTTAAGTTTTTGTTTTGTTTTTGTTTTGTTTTTCCGTGTTGGATTGTAATTTCTTTTTTATTTCTGTTTTTTGTTTGAGCTTTTCTGCTCAACATAGCAATGTCTGATGGTTAAAGAAATAAGAACGTGGAGCTGGGCTCTTTCTAAAAGTTTTAAATTGGAGTTCTTGAGTTCAAAGGCTTTCAGCACATGCCAGCCTCTGGGAGCCCATTTATTTGTTAACAATGTTAGGATGGCTGCTAAAAATTCCCTTGCACGTTTTGCACAGTGGTAAAGCCATACACAGGGTGATGGGCTGACGTTTCCTAGGAGTATAGTATTGTCAGCAGCTCATGAGCTTACCTTAAGCCACACAACCAGCATGCTGGAAGCAAAGCAAATGTAGAGAACACAGTAGGGAGACCTGTGAATACCTATGTCAGGGCTTTAAAAATCTTTCTTATCACACAAGCACATAGCGTCAGCTGTTTGGGGTTACCAGATTGTAGTCAGAAGTTTGTTTTTCAAGGACATAATCAAAACCAATGAAGTTAAAGAATAAAAAGTTGAATGACATAAAGCTAAGATTACTTACTACAGTTTTGCATAATGGGATCGGTCTTGCCAAAGAAACTAGGAACATTTAAACATTTAAAGTCAGCTTTGTGAGGTCCCCCTCCCCACCACACTCATAGGAGGATCCCTGAAGGTTAGTTTCTTCCTCATTCCTCCTTGCCTGCTTAGGGCCTGTCCCCAAAAGGTGCTCTTCTGTCTCTGGTATGTTTGTGCTCTAATTCGTGATGCATTTATCTTAAAGTTTAAATCCTGGTGGCAGCCTCAGTCCCACTTTTCTCATGTCTTGCAAAACACTGCCCACAACTGGCAGTGAACTTACTAGGGTTTGAGTTTTGTTCTCATCACTCCCAAATGAGCCCCAGTTCCCTCTGCTTTTCTGACTTCCCAGAGTTGCTGAGGCACACAGGAGCAGCAGAGCAGCTCCGTTGGCTGGAAAGAACTGTGTGCAAATAGAATTGTTATTTGGCTGGTTTTAGCATTTCTCATTTCTCAAAGCCAAATAAGGCGTAGTCTAATTCATTCATTTCACAAATATTTATTGAACACTTCTATCTATCAGGCACCCATTCTGGGTGCTTCAGATACAGGGAGAAAAAACAAACTGAGGATCCTGTCCTCCAGGGAGCTGAGGTAAAGGGGGTTGTTTTAACACAGTCCTAGCATTTGGTTGTAAGGTTCACTGAATGGATGCACTGAAAGAACTAAAGACATAGAGAGGTTAAAGGACTTTGCCTCACCTTGTCTAGTCTGAAGGAGCAGGGAATAGAATCCCTTATCTACTCTATTATATTTATTTGAATCCAATATAGATATGGTTCTGGTAGTTTCTTTGTGATTCCTTTTGGTATCTAAAAGGAAGAAGCTTCTGCTCAGATATATCTCTGTGTCTGACTATTGTGGTATAGGTATTGGGAAAAGATTTGGAAATAGTAATTGCTAGTCAGTATGAGTGAAGGGAGAATTTACATACAAAGATAACCAAACCTAAAAAGAAAGGATGTTATAGTAAGAACTTAAAAAGTCTTCAACTGCTTTGTCAGATGCCATAGTAGTTGTTGGCAGAGCAGTTTGGACAACCATCCCATCAAAACCTGCATCTTCTGTGTTTAGTGTTTGTATCCATACGTGAACACCTGGATTTTTCATCCTGACTGTATAGTTCTTGAAAATAAGGCTACAGTGATGCCTAACATATTTGTCAGACTATTGTCTTAACAGTGTATTAACTTGGGATCTTGCTTTCTTCTGCCTTCTCCTTTAGAGTTGCTGGAATTGTGGCCGTAAAGCGAGTGAAACCTGCAGTGGCTGTAACACAGCCCGATACTGTGGCTCATTTTGCCAGCACAAAGACTGGGAGAAGCACCATCACATCTGTGGACAGACCCTGCAGGCCCAGCAGCAGGGAGACACACCTGCAGTCAGCTCCTCTGTCACGCCCAACAGCGGGGCTGGGAGCCCGATGGACACACCACCAGCAGCCACTCCGAGGTCAACCACCCCGGGAACCCCTTCCACCATAGAGACAACCCCTCGCTAGACGTGAACTCAGAACTGTCGGAGGAAAGACAACACAACCAACGCGAAACCAATTCCTCATCCTCAGATGCTCAAAGTTGTTTTTTTTGTTTGTTTGTTTATTAGATGAATTATCCTATTTCAGTACTTCAGCAAGAGAGAACCTAACTGTATCTTGAGGTGGTAGTAAAACACAGAGGGCCAGTAACGGGTCGTAATGACTTATTGTGGATAACAAAGATATCTTTTCTTTAGAGAACTGAAAAGAGAGCAGAGAATATAACATGAAATGATAGATTTGACCTCCTCCCTGTTATTTTCAAGTAGCTGGGATTTTAAACTAGATGACCTCATTAACCGATGCTTTACCAAACAGCAAACCAAGAGATTGCTAATTGCTGTTGAAAGCAAAAATGCTAATATTAAAAGTCACAATGTTCTTTATATACAATAATGGAAAAAAAAAAAAGAGGAAAACCCTCAAGGGCATGAGCATTGGATACAGCAGTAGACATTTTAACAAGAAGATGAATGGCGTCCGTGGGTTGCTAACTGAACTTTGAAGACCCGCTACAAAACGCGCAGATGTGCAGCAGATTGGAAGGAGACACAGATGTTCGGTTTTTTTCCTGTTTCTGAAAAGAAATAATAATATCCAGGTCAACAGAATGAAAAATGAAAGATGATTTGCAATGGGATGTATGAATACAGCAGCAAGAAAAAAAAATGCCATAATACAAAAGGCTCCATATATATATATATATATATATATATACACACACACACACGCACATATACACACACACACACACACACACACACACACACACACACACACACACACACACACAAGTAAGAGACTCAGCCTGCAGTTAATTAGCATTCTGGCAGTTTTGACATCAGCCAGCTGCCCTAAATAACCCTTCAACGTTTCTTCACTTTTGCAAGGTTCCACAGAGTAAGACATTGGGTCTATTCCAGCTCATTCATTTTATATTGAAAAAAATAATTTTAAAAATGGTGGCTTCAGCTCCAGCCCCTTTCCAAAATTTTTCAACCCCACCCTGTTTGGATTTTTAATTAAAAACTAGTAGTTCTCTTGGTGTTAAAACACTTCTGTCCTGTGAGGTTTCCCAATGGTGTTTTTCTTGTAAATGTGTTGGACAAATGTGAAGATGCATTGTAGTTTAACCATATGCCCACATTTAGTCTCTTTATTCCTAGTTGGTGAGAAACCTGTATCTTTCTATGCTGCTTTTATATCTGTATGTATTAGTGATATTTCTCTAGTAGTTAAAAAAAAAAAAAGGAAAAAAAGACTCTTTTTGGTTGTCCTCAAGAAAAGAAAAGAAGAAAAGCTATCTTTCGGAGCTGCTATTTCACTCTCTTATAGGATTTTTTTTTTTCCTGAAAACCAGCATGCTTCACGGAATGCTAACATATTGGTGTTTTTGTAAGAGGGATGTACATAAATGTATTTTGCACTGTCACAATGACTCCCTAGGCATGCTTTTTGTTTTTTTTTTTTTTTTTTTGAGCAAATTCTTTTTAAATATGCTAGAGCCATTTCATCAAGTTTAGCTGTAGCATAGAGTAGTCGTGGAATTTTTCTTTTTTTTTTTTTTAAATCATTATTAGGGACTTTTTTAAAAAAATAAAATAACAAGATATCCTACTTTAAAAAAAAAGGACAGTGCATGCATATTGCTGTAAGGTCGTTTAAGTATTTCTAATTTTACAAAAGTAAAAATCATTAGAGCTCCAAATGCTGAGGTGTAGATTGACAGCTTTAACACTGCTGAATGCCAGGTTATACAGTATTCTTACAAAAAGGGAAGTCAGCCAAAGACTGATCTGATGGACCAAAATCGGAATTTTGAAAAGCACCAGTACTACTTTCCAAATGATCAGCAGGTTAAACATGTTCAGCAAGGTATAGTATGAATCCATTAACCCTTCGTTGTCCAGGGTCCAGACCAGAACTACTTGTTAGTTTTGAAAACAGTAGCCCAGGATGTGGTTGTGTGCTTTAGGAAAGTCAGCAGTGCTGCAGGCTGTGTAGACAACCAAAGTTTACAAGGCTGGGAAGACACTTCTCCAAATACATATACACCAGGCATTTCTTTAAAATCAAAAACAATCCATTAGCTTTGGGGCGGGGGGTGGGGGGAGGGTTAAATGTAGGCCTTGGAAACAGTTTTAAGTGGCTTTTAAGTATCTGCATAGAGGCAATCCTAAGGTTTGCTTTAAGTCTCTTAAATCTAACATTTTTAAAAGCATTTCTTCCCTGTATTTTCATATACAAGTTGGTTTTAATTTTGTTTGGGTGGTGTTATTTTTTTTAAATGACTTTTTAGTTTAGAAAGTTCTGATGAGCAAATAAATACATCTATCTACATGTTGGAAGTCCATCTGCCAGCACACCTGCTTAAAGTGAAATGAAAGCACATAACCAGGCTCTGAATGGGTTATATTTTATCATGGTGCTCCCAGAATCCTTTGACCTCACTCTGCTTTCTAGTCTGCTTGTGACACTGGACAGTCCTTTCTTACAGAGCTATTATATGTTCTAGGCTACGAAGGGTTAAATAATCCCAAAAATGAGGTATGTCATACCCACACGTCTTTATCTCTAGAAGCTGTGATGTATGTGAAACAGCACTGTTATTCTTAACACTAGTGTGTAAAATAAGGATTAGTACAGTACGTCTCATTACTTTTTAATTCAGGGCACCCTGAGTGAAAACAAATACAAAAAAAAATCCCTAACTCTGAGCTCTATCTCTGATTCCTCTTCCTCCTTCCCCTCTTCCTCCTCTTCCTCTCCTCCTGTTTTGCTACATTCTCCTCAGTGGCAAAAAGTTTCACTCTACCTCTGACAGCATGTATATTGCACCAGTAGCTAACAAAAACTGGTCTAGTCAAACCAAATGGGCACAAAAGAACCAGGATACCAAAAGTTAAGCTCATACAGCTGCAAACCATATCACTTCTTGGTAACAATGCAGACCTCATAAACCTAAAGAAGAGAAAGAAAAGAAAACTTTTGTTACTTTCCTTTTTTGCTTGTCACTTATATACAGGCTATGTGAGAATATAATTTGTAGGTATAACACATTAAGAAAAAGTTATCTTCATTGGATAGAATTGAATGGTGGTCGCTGATAGGAATAGGGCGTCCTCTAGCTCTTATCTCTGTCTCTTACTCTTTTCTCTTTCTCTTTTTCTCTGTCATGAGACTGTGTGTGACAGGGCCACCTGTCTTTTTTTTTTCTTAAATTTTTTTTTTTTTTATGTGTAGGTGCATGTCTTGGGGATTTAAAAATTTCAAGGCTGGTTTACTTATGCAAAGCATGCCTACGTCTGGAATACTTAGGGAAAGAAAGCGACTCCATGTTGTCCGAATTCCTCAAGGGACAGAAAAAAAATTGGAGACTGTTGAAATGCAGATTTGAAGTAATTTTTTTAAAATATTATTTTGGGTTCTGCGACATTGTGAAAAATTAAAGTTGTTGTGCAATACTTAATTCAGACATGTACCACAAGTTAATGGTAGACTAACACTGGGGGGTGGGGTCTAGGCATCATGCTTTTGTCAGCATACTCTTGAGCTTTTAAGTCTACTATGTCTGAACTGTGGTTTCTTGTTTATCCTTTTTTCCTTAGTTGGACTGTAATGTATGGTCTGTCAACCTGTGAATCTTTAAAGTATGATTCAGGTATTGTTGTATTCTTTACTGTGTAATAAAAAAGTTGAAAAAAATCTGGATCCTCTGTCTCCCTCGTCCCCGGTGTGCCATGGTTGCCCACCAGTGACCCCAGCCTGAGGAGTCCATCCTCCATGGTGCTGAATCAAATCTGTAGAGTTTATTCAGCTACAAAGCGTGGCTCTGTAACAGGAGTTGGCTTATCCATGCGTGTTGAGTAGGGAATGATGTCAGAACTTTGCAAAAGTCGAGCTCATTCATAAGGGGATGTTTCTCAGGCAGGAGGAGTAGGAAGAGTGGGAGGAGAATTACTACCTTCCATAGGAAAGGAGAGCTTGGCTTGCCTAGATTAGCTGCTGCATAGATAGCAGAGGCCCTTTTGGCTGTGTTTTGATAAAATTAGAAATGAGTACCTAAATCTGGATCACTCTGCTCAGAGAGGTTCGTGCCAACCTCATGAGGCTCTGACTCTTGTCAGGTTGCTTGGCTGCCTTGTGCATACCCGAATGGCAGATCAGCTGACATGACATGGAACTGCTCTATCTGCCTTGTCCCCTCTCCTCTAATTAAAAGTCGCTACCATTGTCACTCTTGGTTATGTAGTTAATATCCACTGTGGCTATCTCCAACTTGCTGGGACATCCAGTTATCTCCTCTGACACATATTTTTTCATTCTCTAGTTACAAAGTTTGTTAGAGTTTGAAAAACAAACCCTTCTCCCCTACCCTGTGAATGCTGTTAGTTTTTATGTGTAGTTTTCAAAACACAGATTATCTTATATACTGTGTTGTAGCAGAAATTCCTGTTTCCTCTGAATGTTCTGACTTTATAGACCAAAATAATCGTTGCAAAAAATCAAGGATGGCACAGCAGGTGCATGAGCCCGTGTCTGGAGAAAGGTTATGAAGGTGAATGCTGGTTACATGGGAGGGTGACTTGGAGCCCTCTAGTTTCCTTCTTGTGCCAGCTGGGTTCCTGTTTCAAGGCCAGGCTTCTCTAACTTGTCTTCCTGGGAAATGTAGCTTTTCCAAGAATTTGGTAGTGCACACCAGGAAAAACTAGGTATCAGAACAGATTTTTTTTTAAATAGTGGAAACACCCTCACTCCCACACTTTGGACAGTTAGGGTTGGATATTTAATTTCATAGTTACTCTTTTTTTCCACAGAAGAAAGGCCAGCCTGACCCAAGTTGCCTATTTTTAATGTGTTACTGCATCTTATTTTCTCTTCAAAGTGAAAAAGGCCAGAAACTAGCAGATAGAAATGGAACCCGTTGACTTAGTTCCCTTATAAGAAGTTCTTGCAAACACCTCTGTGACGTTTTCATTCAAGTGGATATGTTGGACAAATAGGAAACAGTTTTAGTTTACGCGAACAGTATGAGACTTCCAGGTGGTGGACGCCATTTTTTTAGAAGTGTTGATGATGTATTTGATAACATTATAAAAGTATGTGTCTCCCGTGAAAGAACATTGAGCTATTTCCCTGGAATGGATGGGGAAGAAATGAGCAAAGGAGTGCTGTTCTGTATGGGTGTCTATACCCTTATTCCAAGGTGAATAAATAAAGTTGTGTTTGCCTAATCATGTCCTTGGTCAGTCTATTCTCAGTCACACTGGGGAAACAGAGGAATGCAGACATGTATTTTCCCATCCCACTTCTCCAGCCACACAACCAAGGAGGTAGGACCAAAGTTCTTTTCTTTTGAAATTTTCAGATTCAAATAGCATTTGCTGAAAACTTTGAGATTGTACATGGGGAGCCTATGAGAATGCCTTGAGATCAAGACAATATGATTATCAAACTTAACAATAAAAAAAATAACATTTGAAGGGGAAGAAAACAGAGGGCAGGTAAAAGAAGGAATATCCGCTTGTAGTTCCCTGTGCTAACGCTCTGGTGTCTGGTGTTCGTTTTCAGTGCCTAATACAGAGCCAACCGCGCTCAATAAATATTAATTGTAAATACAATCATGAGTCTGCAGCTAGAATAATGTGGTGTCATTTTACCCAGAAATGAACAAATTGGCTGGAGGAAGAGAAAGCGAGGAAAATGACTTAACAGGCTGGAGGAAGGGGTCAGAAAGGGAAGATGGAACCATATGTAGCTTGATCAGACGGTGATGAGGTGTGGCAAGGTGACCACTGTTTACGAATATCAGAGGGTATAAATGCCACAGTGGGGAGGGAACTGTCTAGTTCATTATGTGGTGGTTGACGATGGTTACTGGTGAGAAACATATAGTTAATTGTTACAGTTTTCTGTTAATTTCTTCACATAAGATGCCGCCAATGAGGCATTAGAAAATATTTTAGGCATCTAACAGCCCACAGTGAAAACAGTGGTACAGTCAGGACCTCATGGTCTCTCTCCTGACCACTTAGGGCTCTTCTGCCTTCCAGATTCCTATTTCCACTCCGTCTTCTCACTGGTTTGTTCACCTTGAGTTTCCTTCACTCTCTTTAGGTCTTCCTCCCTCTCTTTTCCTCCATCTACTCTACAAATAGTGGGCCTTTTTATATTTGTAACTATTTCCCTTTTTAAAAAGTTATTTATTTAAAGAGAGAGGGCCTCACTCTCTTGCCCAGCCTGGAGTGCAGTGACACTCTTATAGCTCACTGCAGCTTCAAATTCCTAGGCTCAAGCAATCCTCCCACCTCAGCCTCCAAAGTAGCTGGGACTACAGGTGTGCACCACCACACCTGGCTGATTTATTTTTTAAATTTATTGTAGAGATGGGGTCTTGCTATGTTAAGCAGGCTGGTCTCCAACTGCCAGCCTCCCAAAGTGCTGAGATTATAGGCATGAACCACCATGCCCAGCCCTATTTTCCTCTTTTTATCTTAATACTTTCTTAATCAGGTCATACTTGCCTTCTTAAAATCCCATGAAGGCCCTTCTGTGAAGCTTCTCCCAAATCAAGAGCAAGATACCTGCTCCCCTTGGTCTCTCTGAACCAAAGTCACAGCAATGTGTGGCCCAGATGCCAGTGAGTCTGGTGGTGACTTGCCACCGCTTAGTTGCTCCAACAGTGCAGACCTGGGGACAGCTGAGGTGCAGGAGACACAGGTTCAGTCCAGACCTACTACTGACCTGGAAAAGATGAACACAGGCAGTTTACATTATAATTAAAGATTCGACTGTACTTTCCTCAAACACATCAGTCTAACCCACCAAATCACTTAAGAGGAATTGGTGATGATAACATAGACATTGAAGGTAAAAGAAAAGGAAGGAATGTTCCATGTAAACGTTGTGTGATTGCAGCTAAAAATGGGCAAAATATGACCATGATAAGACTTCATGTGCTGGTGTCCAGTAAATCAGTAGCATATACTCTCCTTGATATACAGTCACTTCCCAATTACTTGGCGATAATACCATTTACCTAGGGAGTTCCTGCTTTCCACCTCCCTCTGACACTATTATTGTTATTGTGTAAATGATTCCTGGCAATTCACCACAACATTGAGTCACGGGCTTTCTGGACTTGGAAGGGAAAGCCATTTCTCTTTTGTTTCTTTCTTTAAAAACTAAAAAAAAAAACAACAAAATAAGACTCTAACAACAAAATAGGCCTCTAACGACAATGCCCACCTCAGACTTAGGGAAAGTCTAGTGTCAATTCATGCCTTCCCAGTGCTGTTCAACTTAGTGGCTTCAAAATTACCTGGGCTGATCGGGCACGGTGGTGGGTGCCTGTAGTCTCAGCTACTTGGGAGACTGAGGCGGGAGAATCATGAGTTTGAGCCCAGCCTGAGAAAAAGAGTGAGACCCCTGTTTCAATAAAAAGAAAAAAGAAATTACCTCATCTGTTTTTTTTGTTGTTGTTGTTGAGCAACATGGCTGTTTATTTCACCTGGGTGCAGGCGGGCTGAGTCCAAAAAGAGAGTCAGCGAAGGGAGATAGGGGTGGAGCCATTTTATAGGATTTGGGAAGGTAATGGAAAATTACAGTCAAAGGGGGTTTTTCTCTGGTGGGCAGGGGTGGATCTCACAAAGTACATTCTCAAGGGTGGGGAGAATTACAAAGAACCTTCTTAAGGGTGGGGGAGACTACAAAGTACCTTCTTAAGGGTGGGGGAGACTACAAAGTACCTTCTTAAGGGTGGGGGAGATTACAAAGTACATTGATCAGTTAGGGTGGAGCAGGAACAAATCACAATGGTGGAATGTCATCAGTTAAGGCTGTTTTTACTTCTTTTGTGGATCTTCAGTTACTTCAGGCCATCTGGATGTATACGTGCAAGTCACAGGGGATGCGATGGCCTGGCCTGGGCTCAGAGGCCTGACATTCCTGCCTTCTTATATTAATAAGACAAATAAAACAAAATAGTGTTGAAGTGTAGGGGTGGCGAAAATTTTTGGGGGGTGATATGGAGAGAGAATGGGCGATGTTTCTCAGGGCTGCTTCAAGTGGGATTAGGGGCGGCGTGGGAACCTAAAGTGGGAAAGATTAAGCTGAAGGGAGGTCTTGTGGTAAGGGGTGATATTGTGGGGATGTTAGAAGAAACATTTGTCGTATAGAATGATTGGTGATGGCCTGGAGACGGTTTTGAATGAATTGAGAAGCTAAATGGAAGATACAAGGTCAGAATAAAAAGAGGAGAAAAATGGGTATTAAAGGACTAAGAATTGGGAGGACCCAGGACATCCAATTAGAGAGTGCCCAAGGTGGTTCAGCGTAATTACTTGCTTGGTTGGCAAGTTTTTGGGCTCTATCCTTGAGTTTTTTTATGTTGTCATACACCAGGCCAGACTGATTTAGGTAAAAACAACACTCCTCATTTAAGAATATGCAGAGTCCTCCTTTTTCAGCAGTAAGTAAGTCAAGGCCTCGGCGGTTTTGGAGGACAACTGCAGCTAAAGAGTCAACTTGGGCCTGGAGGACTGATAAAGTTTGTGATTTTGAGGGCCTCTGAAAGTATTAAAGCAGCAGCAGCCGCTGCACGCAGACATGAGGGCTAGGCTAAAACAGTAAGGTCAAGTTGTTTGGACAGAAAAGCTACAGGGTGTGGTCCTGGCTCTTGTGTAAGAATTCCGACCACGCTAACCATGCCTAGGAAGGAAAAGAGTTGTTGTTTTGTAGAAGGTGCTGGGGTTTGAGAGATCAGTCGGACACAATTGGCAGGGAAGGCACGTGTGTTTTTATGAGAATTATGCCGAGATAGGTAACAGATGAGGAAGAAATTTGGGCTTGATTGAAATAATGGGGGCTGTCTGTGAAGCTTTACAGCAGTACAGCCTTGGTAATTTGCTGAGCCTAATGGGTGTCAGGGTCAGTCTAAGTGAAAGCAAAGAGAGGCTGGGACAAGGGGTGCAGGGGAATAGTGAAAAAAGCATCTTTAAGATGGAGAACAGAATAGTGAGTTGTGGAGGAACGTATTGAGGACAAAAGAGTGTACGGGTTGGGCACCACAGGGTGGATAGGCAAAACAATTTGGTTGATAAGACGCAGATCCTGAACTAATCTGTAAGACTTATCCGGTTTTTGGACAGGTAAAATGGGGGAATTGTAAGGAGAGTTTATAGGTTTTAGAAGCCCATGCTGTAGCAGGCCAGTGATAACAGGCTTTAATCCTTTTAAAGCATGCTGTGGGATGGGATATTGGCGTTGAGCGGGTTAAGGGTGATTAGGTTTTAATGGGATGGTAATGGGCATGTGATCAGTTGCCAGGGAAGGAGTAGAGATGTCCCATATTTGTGGGTTAAGGTGGGGGGATATGAGAGGAAGACGCAAAGGAGGCTTTGGGTTGGGGAGAAGGGCGGCAATGAGATGTGGCTGTACTCCAGGAATAGTCAGGGAAGCAGATAATTTGGTTAAAATATCTTGGCCTAATAAGGGAACTGGGCAGGTGGGGATAACTAAAAAAGAGTGCATACAAGAGTGTTGTCCAAGTTGGCACCAGAATGGGGGGAGTTTTAAGAGGTTTAGAAGCCTGGCTGTCAATACCCACAACAGTTATGGAGGCAAGGGAAACAGGCCCTTGAAAAGAAGGTAATGTGGAGTGGGTAGCCTCCGTATTGATTAAGAAGGGGACGGGCTTACCTTCCACTGTGAGAGTTACCGGAAGCTCGGCGTCCGTGATGGTCTACGGGGCTTCCGAGGCGATCGGGCAGCATCAATCTTCAGCCGCTAAGCCGAGAAGGAGTCAGTCAGAGAGCCTTGGGCCAGAGTTCCAGGGGCTCTGGGAGTGGCTGCCAGGTGAGTTGAACAGTCCAGTTTCCAGTGGGGTCCCGCACAGATGGGACACGGCTTAGGAGGAATCCTGGGCTGCAGGCATTCCTTGGCCTGGTGGTCAGATTTCTGGCACTTGTAGCAAGCTCCTGGGGGAGGAGGTTCTGGAGGAACACCTGGCTGCTGCGGTTCAGGTGTTTGGAAGTTCTTATGTGCTGGAGATGTGGCTGGGGTTTGTCTCACAGTGGAGGCAAGGAATTGCAACTTTTTCTATTATTGTACACCTTGAAGGCGAGGTTAATTAAATCCTGTTGTGGGGTTTGAGGGCCGGAATTTAATTTTTGGAGTTTTATTTAATGTGGGGAGCAGATTGGGTAATAAAATGTATATTGAGAATAAGATGGCCTTTTGACCTTTTAGGGTCTAGGTCTGTAAAGCGTCTCAGGGTTATATTTGATGAAAAAGAGCCTAAACGCTATCTGATTTGGGATAAAGAAAAAGGAGCATTAACCTTGACTATGCCTTTGGCTCCAGCCACCTTTTTAAGAGTAAATTGCTGGGCAGGTGGGGGAGGGCTAGTCATGGAACGAAACTGTAAGCCGGACCAGGTGTGAGGAGGGGAGGCGATAAAAAGATTGCAGGGTGCAGGAGCAGAGGCTGAGGAAGAATTGGGACCTAGCTTGGGCTGGCAGGGAGGGGAGAGGTCAGATGGGTCTGTAGAAAGGGAAGATTAGAAAGACTCAGTGACGCTTGGGGTTGGGACTGAGGGGACAGGCGGGAGGGAAAGAAGAAAGATTTGGGACGAGTTGCACTGGGCACAGAGACTAGGAAGGGACTGATGTGTAAAGGAATGCCTGGACTTCAGGCAACTCAGACCATTTGCCCATTTTACGACAAGAATTATTTAGATCTTGTAGGATGGAAAAATGGAAAGTGCCGTTTTCCGGCTATTTGGAACTACTGTCGAGCTTGTATTGGAGTCAAGCGGCATTGCAGAAGAAAATAAGGCACTTAGGTTTTAGGTCAGGTGTGAGTTGAAGAGGTTTTAAGTTTTTGAGAACACAGGCTAAGGAAGAAGAAGGAGGAATGGAAGGTGGAAGCTTACCCATCGTGAAGGAGGCAAGCCCAGAGAAAAGAGTAGAGACACGGAGAAGGGGTGGGGGGTTCTTGCCCTCCAGAAAAGCAGAGAAGGGGTTGGGGCATGGAAATAAGAGGTCAGGGTGCGGAAATAAGGGATTGGGGCGCAGAGATAAGAGGTTGGGGTGCGGAAATAAGCGATTGGGGGGTTCTTGCCCCCTAGGAAAGTGGGACTTGCTGCTAAGGGTGAAGGAGAAGGGGTTGAGGGGTACTTGCCCCTGCCCCAGGAAAGCGGGACTTGCCACTCAGGGTGAAGAAGGGGTTGAGGGGTACTTGCCCCTGCCCCAGGAAAGCGGGACTTACCGCTAAGGGTAAAGGAGAAGGGGTTGAGGGGTACTTGCCCCTGCCCCAGGAAAGCGGGACTTGCCGCTAAGGGTGAAGGACCAAGGCAGGCGTCCCTGCGTGGTCTGACACCCTTGAAACGTGAGTGTATCATCAGAGAGGCGTCCCTGCAATGATTAAACACCAAGGGAAGGCTGCCTTCCCAGTCCATGACCGGTGCCGGAGTTTTGGGTTCACGGATAAAACATGTCTCTTTTGTCTCTACCAGAAAATGAAAGGAATTGAAATTAAGAGAAGGGAGAGATTGAAGTGTGGCGCCAAGATTGAAAGGAGAAAGAGGTTGAGGGATAGTGAGGGAGGTTGGAGAAGAGTAGAGGCCGCTTACCGGATTTGAAATTGGTGAGATGTTTCTTGGGCTGGTCGGTCTGAGGACCTGAGGTCGTATGTGGATCTTTCTCACGGAGCAAAGAGCAGGAGGACGGGGGATTGATCTCCCAAGGGAGGTCCCCCGATCCGAGTCACGGCACCAAATTTCATGTGCGTCCGTGCGAAGAGACCACCAAACAGGCTTTGTGTGAGCAACATGGCTGTTTATTTCACCTGGGTGCAGGCGGGCTGAGTCCGAAAAGAGAGTCAGCCGGTCTGTTTTTTAAAACAAGATTTTTAGGCCCTGGGAAAACTGACTTTCAGAATCAGAATCTCTATGGAGATGTTTGTGAACAAGACCAATCCCTGTCCTCCTGAGACTCATATTCTGATAAGAGAGAAAGATAAACATGTAATTCAATAATTGATAAATTATTGATAAATGCTAAAAGAAACCTAAAGCAGGATTAGGGAATAAGGAGTGATGGACTTGAGGGTAGCACTATTTAATTTGGGAGGCCCAGGAAGACCACTCTAAGGAAGTGACATTTAAGAAGAAACCTGAATGATGTAGAATGGGGCACATGAACATCCCAGGAGACAGTATCCCAGGAGAGGAGCAAGTGTGAAGGTGCCGGCGTGAGGACAAGCTGGAGTTAGGAGCTGTTGGCGGTGTGCGTAAGAAAAGGTGGTAGGGATGAGATCACGCTAAGCAGGAGGCAGGTTGTGACATTTTTGTTTCCTTCTAAGCAACACATACAGCTAACTTTAGGGTCCACTGATGGTGATAGTGAAGCCATGTTTATCCTTGTGCTTATTGGAGACCTAAGTCTTTCTGATAAAGGGTTAGGGTGGGCAAGTAGTCAGCAGGGAGCAGAGGGAAGTGGCTGTAAAGCTTTCCAAATCAGTTCAGTTAATAACCCATCTGTTGGAGGCTCTGAACTTCAGGGAAAATTCTCAGTAGGAGCAACATGCGAATGAGGGCAAGGAGATGCCAAAAGAAAAAAAAAAAGTCAAGGCAATGAGGGGGAGAACCACTCCTCTCTGAGGTGACCCCACAAGGACAGACACGGGTGCCAGAACCAACAGGGCATGCCTGGGAAGGAACACACTCCTGAATTTTGCAGAAACGTAAGATATAAGACAAGGCATTTTTTTTCCAGAGGCAGGGAGACTTTTATAAGAATAGCCATTCTATCTTTCTTTCTTTTTTTTTAGAAGGAGTCTCACTGTCTTGTCCAGGTTGGAGTGCAGTGGTGCAATCTCGGCTCACTGCAACCTCTCTCCCAGGTTCAAGTGATTCTCCTCCCTCAGCCTCCTGAGTAGCTGGGATTACACCCAGACACCACCATGCCCGGTTAATTTTTGTATTTTTAGTAGAGACAGGGTTTCACCATGTTGGCCAGGCTGGTCTTGAACTCCTGACCTCAGGTGGTCCACCTGCCTCAGCCTCCCAAAATGCTGGGATAGCAGGCGTGAGCCACCACACCCTGCGAGAATAGCCTTTCTTAGAAGACTGATGGTGGTTTGACTTGGTTATTCTGTGCAAGAAGTAAATAAATAAATCATTCACTCTTTGCTTACTTGAAAACGAGGTCAACATTGTCTTTGACAGAAAGAATTCTGTATTCCCAATTAAACTTGTTGCAAACTCTTGTTTTAGATGGTGTATACTGCTACTTAAAACCTGTCTTCTAAAGGTGTGATGAAAGATGGAAAGTCTGAAAAAACCCAACAGCAGCCTTTTACAATTCCGCTTATTACAATTGTGCACTTTGCTGACAAGGTCTCAGGCAGTAAAATTAAGGCAAGTGCAAACCACCAATTTTTAATGGCAAGTAATACATTCTTTTTGCTCTGTTAGCAAAGACTTTTAAAAATGTTAGCAAGGTACTTTCTACTGTTCTGCTATGTAATATGTTATTCATGAAGCAAGTGTAAGGTAATAACTATCACTGAGTTTTGTGGAATTAAATATAAGGAATACACACACACATATACACACAAATACATATACATTTATATATACCAATGTATATATATACATATAATATATATACATAAATATACATATATATACATAAATATAAGCATACATATATACATATGCATGCATATACTATATATATATTCACATTAGTTATGATCTACCTACTTTCTTTTTTTTTTTTTTTTTTTTGAGATGGAGTCTCGCTCTTGTTGCCCAGGCTGGAGTGCAGTGGCACAATCTCAGCTCACTGCAACCTCTGCCTCCCAGGTTTGAGTGATTCTCCTGCCTCAGCCTCCTGAGTAGCTGGAATTACAGGCACTTGCCACCACACCTGGCTAATTTTTATATTTGTGGAAGAGACAGGGTTTCACCATCTTGGCTAGGCTGGTCTCGAACTCCTGACCTCGTGATCCACCCGTCTCGGCCTCCCATAGTGCTGGAATTACAAGCGTGAGCCACCACGCCTGTCCATGATCTACCTACTTTCATAAAGTGTTATTTGTTTTGCTTTTCTCTTGGTAAAGCATCTTGCTATGTTGCCCAGGCTAGTCTCAAACTCCTGGGCTAAGATAATACTCCTGCCTCAGCCTCCCAAGTAGCTAGGATTATTGGCAAGCACCACTATTCTTGGCCATAAAATGTTCTTACGGTGTCATCTAAATTGATTTCAGTAACTTGTTGACCTATGATTCTAAGTAAAAAATATTAAATCGAATACAAATATGCTTATAAAAGGTCTGAGGCTGATAATCCAAGGCTGGAATAAAAAATAATAAAAGAGCTGCAACTTGGCCATTAACTAGGATATTAGTAACTCAGCATTTCTCAAACCAGGCTCACTGGAACTTGGAACTAGAAGTCATTAATAGGCAATTTCCTATGGGAAAAAGTGTAAAAGTGCTCAATGATCAACATGTGGATAATGTTATAATTTATATTGCCTAAAGCAGAGATCCCCAATTCCCAGGCCACAGACCAATACCATGGCCTGTTGGGAACCAGGCTGCAAAGCAGGAGGTAGGCAGGGGCAAGCAAGCGAAGCTTCATCTGTATTTACAGCCGCTCCCCATTATGTGCATTACCACCTGAGCTCTGCCTCCTGTCAGGTCAGTGGCAGCATTAGATTCTCACAGAGCGTGAACCCTGTTGTGAACTGTGTACATGAGGGATCTAGGTTGTACACTCCTTATGAGAATCTAATGCCTGCTGATCTGTCACTGTCTCCCATCACCCCTAGATGGGACCTTCGAGTTCCAGGAGAATAAGTTCAGGGCTCCCACTGATTCTACATTATGGTGAGTTGTATAATTATTTCATATATATTACAATGTAATAATAATATAAATAAAGTACACAATAAATGTAATGCGCTTGAATTATCCCAAAACCATCCCCCTACCCTGGTCTGTGGAAAAATTGTCTTCCATGACACCAGTCCCTGGTGCCAAAAAGATTGGGGACCACTGCCCTAAAGGATCTGAAAAGTCTAACAATGGAATAATCAGGGAGTTTTGTGTATTCTAACATTTCCCAAACTTATTTGAACATTTTCACAGGCACTTATTCATATGAATTTCTGTAACATATTTTTTCCTTTCCTCTGTCACATCTATCACAACCAAGACCTCACATAGAAAGAAATCTCACCAGTCTCTCCCCTTGTGTTGCACTTACAAAGCACAGAAGTTAGCTCTTTATCATCTCCAACTGCATACGCGTAAGACAGACCAGTCTTCCCCAAGTTAAACTTTTAAAAGTAGATGAATTCAGAAACCTTCACTGGCAGCTCAGTTGTCTTCGTTTATTTCATCTGCTATAACAAAATACATTATACTGAGTAATTTATAAACAGAAATTTATTGTGCCACAGTTCTGGAGGCTTGAAAGTCCAAGATCAAGGCACCGGCAGGTTGAGTGTCTGGGGAGGGCTCACTCTGCTTCATAGATGGTGCTTTCTGTGTGTCCTCACATGCTGGAAGGGGCAAACACTCTCCCTTCAGCCTTTTCTAAAGGCACAAATCTCACTTACAAGGGCAGAGCCCTCATAACTTAATTACTACTTCTTTTCTTTTCTTTCTTTCTTTCTTTTTTTTTTTTTTTGAGACGGAGTTTCGCTCTTGTTGCCAAGGCTGGAGTACAATGGCACAATTTCAGCTCACTGAAACCTCTGCCTCTCAGGTTCAAGCAATTCTCCTGCCTTGGCCTCCTGAGTAGCTGGGACTATAGGCACACGCCACCATTCCCAGCTAATTTTTGTAATTTTAGTAGAGACGGAGTTGTACCATGTTGGCCAGGCTGGTCTCAAACCCCTGATCTCAGGCGATCCACCCGCCTCCGCCCCGCAAAATGCTGGGATTATAGGCGTGAACCTCCGCGCCCGGCCATGACTTAATTACTTCTTACAAGGCCCCATCACCTAATACTGTCACATTGGGAATTAGGTTTCAACACATGAATTTTGAAAGGGCACAAACATTCAGGCCATAGCAGCTCTCTTCAGAATAAAGGCTGAAAGTCACTGTCTGGATTTAAGATTCCTCCTCCTTTCCTTCCACCTCTAGGTCCCACTACTACCCTTACAAACGTCCTTGTCGGCCTTACTAACTTACAATTCCTACAAATTATTTTTCTTCTACTTGGGCCTTTGTTCACACCTTCTTCACCATTAGAGTGCTTTTGATAGTCCGCTCCAGTGAGAAGAGTCCCCATTGACTCAACAACCCCACTTCCTCCTCCTCTTCAGCACAAACAATATCGTCCCATTTTCTGAATTCTTCATATTGTGCCGTGCTGCTTCTTCCAGCATCGTGGGCAGTTGGAGAATGAGGAGTTAGAGTGGTTAAGAATAGCATAGGATAGGAATTAGGTCATTTTCCAGTCTGCCTGACTGTGTGACCTTGGACAAAAGTACCTAACCTCTTTTTGTCCCAAATCCTTTTTGGGAGTAGATGAGAATATACAATGAATTAAACATGAATTTATGGTAAACATTTTATGTATTTATTCTTTGTATCTCTAACCACATTGTAAGCATTCCTATCTTTCATCTTCCCATACCTTCCTGTATAGTGCCTTGGGATTCAAGGAGCAAATGCTCTATCATCTCCATTGCTACCCATTCTGCAAATTGTTTTTGCACATACACAAGTCATGACAAATACCTCGCCACTGCTGCCTGGCCAGCAAACATTGGACGATGCTATTTATTGGCTATAAGATGCCTCAGAGCCTTGATGTGGTGGCTCACACCTTAATCCCAGCACTTTCAGAGGTTGAGGCAAGAGGATCACTTAAGGTCAGGAGTTCGAGACCAGCCTGAGCAACATAGTGAGACCTCATCTGTACAAAAAAACAGAAAAAAATTAGCCAGGCACGGTGGCAGGCACCTGTAGTCCCAGTTACGCAGGAGGCTGAAGTGGGAGGATCACTTGAGCCCAGGAGGTAGGGGCTGCAGTGAGCTGTGATTGCACCACAGTACTCCAGCCTGGGCAACAGAGTGAGATCCCATATAAAAAAAAAAGCCTCAGATTTCAAAAGTTAAAATCCAAAAGATGTGTCACATAATAAATGAAATATACTATTTCATTATTATAAATGAGATTCATTCAGGCCTTGAATGGTGGCTCACGCCTGTAATCCCTGCACTTTGGGAGGCCAATGCAGTTGGATCACGAGGCCAAGAGTTCAAGACCAGCCTAGTTAACATGGCAAAACCCTGTCTCTTCTAAAAATACAAAAAAAAAAAAAAAAGTATCCAGGACTGGTGGTGCATACCTGTAATCCTAGCTACTTGAGAGATTGAGGCATGAGAATCGCTTGAACCCAGGAGGCAGAGTTTGCAGTGAGCTGAGATTGCACCATTGCACTCCAGCATGGGAGACAGAGTGAGACTGTCTAAAAACAAAAAAAAAGAGAGAGATTCAGGTGAGTTAAGTTACTTTCTTGTCATTATAATGATAATAAGCAGAAAAACCTCATAAGTTACTTTTTTTTATCATTATGATAACCAGCAGAAAAACCTCATATTGTCCCAGGATTGCTTTTGAAGCTTTATTCCTATATAGCACAATACCTCTCTTCAGTTGAATGCCTTCCAACTGCTTGAAATCAGTAAAATCCACAGCAGCTTCAAGACTTAGGTAAAGGAGCAGTTTTCAAAGGGGTTACTTTCTCTGAGTAATCTTATGGCCTAGCCATGTTTCCCAGGACTTAGCATCAGGACCTCTAAGGCAACTGCCTCATTAGCAAGTTGTTATCCTTTGGTGGCATCCAGAGAGAAAGATAGCTTCTAAGAACTACAGCCTCAGGTCCACATCTGGCAATGGAGAAGGAGTGTACGGAAAAGAATGGAGTTAGTTCATGTACACATCTGCTCCCCCAGCTGGTATCAGTCCCTATATATTCACTGGACTCAAAGCTCCAGGATAGACAAGGTAGTTGGAAGTCTTTGGGTTGCTCAGTTAGTGTGTTCTTTATGTAGAAGTGTTAATAGCTTGCATAGTGGCTAATGAACCTGGCTTTGGACCTAGCCAAAGTACTCAATAACCGTTTACTGGCTCTAGGACCCTAGACAAGGAACTCAACCTTTCTATGTTTAGTTTCCTCATCTGTAAACATAGAAAAATGATATTGACTTCCTCATATATATGTTGTGGGGATCAAATGAAATAATGCATGCACAGTACTTAGCAGAATGCCTGGCTCATAGTAAGTACTCAATAATTGAGAGCTGTTATAATTATTACTGCATTTTAAAAATCTAAATATAAAAACAGGCAGGAAGATAATTCAGGAGTGAAAATGGCTCTGCTATTCCTCTGATTCCTTCTCTGATTCCCTGGAATCCCTGGAAATTTATTGAAGATGATAGCAGCCATATTTTTTAAAATGCAATCTGATTTGCATTTGCTGGGCTTTCAAATTCCTAATGCTCTTCTTTTTGCTTATACAGTGTTTACTTCTGTACAAGTAAGTAGATCCAGTATTTATCATGGATATTAGTAATAATGATTTTTTGTTCTTAGTAATCATTTTAATTTGGGAATCCACAAAAGCTAAACACTCGTGGGCTGAATATTCATTTAGTGATCCTGCTATTGTGAATATGTTTGGTGAAAATAAACTGGCAAATGTGAACCATGAAGACTGTCCTGTTTGCATCTTTATACTAAACTATCAGTCTGAGTCAATTCTGCATTTTGCCTTTTTTTTTCTCCATAGAGACCAATGACATTTTTTTCACATCTCACATTGTCGGTGAAGCTTTAGAAAACAAAAATTATGAGGCTTATTCATCTAATTACTAAAGATCAGGAAAGGCTGTAGAAACTTGTTTTTTGTTTGTTTGTTTTCTTTTAACTTGCTATGCCTTTATGGAACAGAAGTGCATAGAGTGTGAAAGGCAAAATAATGAACATGTATTGACTGCTAGGTGCTGGATTGCATTATCTCAGTTAACCTTCATAACAAGCCTATGAGAAAGGTATTATTACAGTTATTGTTACATTTTATTATTTTTATTTATCTTAAACTTGCTTATTATATTTTATTATTTATTTGTATAGTCATAATTAAAAGTATACAGAAGAAAAGATTGAGACACAGGATGTTTTGTAAATTGCCTAAGGTCACACAGCTGGTAAATGTGAAGCTGAGGTTTTAACCCAGGTCATCTGACTCCAAAGCCTGTGCTCACAACTGCTTTTTTGTGCTGCAAACATTAAAGGTTATTCCAGCTCTAAAATAAGATTCTATGTCACTAATTCATTTAAATGATACTCTTTATTTGTGTTTTAAAATGTTTAGTGAAAAAATATGTTATAATTTTGGGAGAACAGCCGTATGCTTCATTTTTCTTTTGTGGCATGGATAACTGAGAGCTCTCTATAAGTAAAACCACACTCTTTATTCTCCCCTTGGAAGAAACCTGAGTAAGAGGCTCTTTGCAAAGCAATGAAGTAAGAAATGTATTATCCCCCAATTGGGTGAAATGATTGCCCTTAGAAGGAATAAGATCCATAATCTAAGTCATTCTCTCTCCATGGTAAAATGTTCTTGTGCCTTAATTAAGGAAGAGAGAACATGAGAGTTCAATAAGAGTCAAAGTTTGTCTTGTTGTGAAGCATCTTAATGGATTTTCACACCTGATTTCCATCTGTAGATGTAATCAGCAAGAATGGAAGAAGCCTGAGAAGAGAGCTCTTATGGAGTTCAAGGAAGCAATACTCTAGATATTTTAGTTTTAGCTGAGGTTTACAAGAGCAAATCGATATTTTTCATCATTTCTACCAGGAGTATTAATCAATACAATCAATATGGCTACTTAAGAAACAATGTTTGGACACAAACATTGGAAAGAGAGAGTAGTGAATATTATATGTTAACTAACTTCTGGACTTAGAAGAAGCAATGTCACAGTCAATGTGATTTATAGCCATTATAATCATTACATGGTGTTTTGAGGCCAATTTGTGCATGTGTGGCAATTAAAAATGATACAAAATTGATTCCCTAAAACAACCCTACTAGAAATGATAAACTCAAGCATTCTGTAGTTGTTGGAAACCCATATTGTCAATGTATTTTTCTTCCCAATTACTAACTAGTCACTTATTTGTTCTATTTAATCTAAATAAATGAAATCCTTTTTGCTACTACCAGTTGAAAGAATTCATTACAAAATATTAACTGCTAAGTTCTGTGGCAACGCAGGGACTATAACTGGCACAAATGTGAGTGAGACATGACCCATGATTTCATGGAATTTACAACTTAGTGAAGTGATGTCAGTGGGTGGAGCCAGAATTCAAATCAATTGTGTGGGCTAAGTGTGATCCTCTTAAACACTATGTAAGAGTTATTTCTATATCCCTTAGAAACAAATTTCTCCATCTTGCTCCCTCCTTTAAGCCTCATGAATCTTCTGTGAGTTTTCTATTATAATAATATCCTTTAATAAGCTATTTTTCTGCTTACACTAGCTCTGAGAATCTTACTCTAAGATTTATTTATTCATGTCAATATTTTGAAGGTGTTTACAGCCTGGCATGTATTTATGAACTTGCCATTTAAGAACTGCAGAGACCTCATATTATAAAAATACATGGAAGCCAATCAGAGCGAGGACAGCCAGACTTCACCAAAACTTAGGAGTCATCATGTAGCAGCCCTGTCTTTCCTGAGGCTGCTGCTTTTCCCCACGAACCTCTGCTCTATTCTCTCTCTGAACCTGCTTCCTCTAAAAGAAGCATTGTTTCTGTTCCCCCATGATTTTGGTTTCCATATGACTTTATGTTGTCATTTCAGTGGACATACATTTTGGTCACCAAGAATCTTTCAAACAGACTTCTTATGTTTGGAGGGTTTTCCACTATAAGATCCACCTACTCAATGGAAGCCAGAACTCGATTTCCCAGCCTCCAGCTAGGATGTAGGCTTTGCCCAACAGAGCTATTCTCCTGAGATTGTTTTATTTAGAATGGAACAACATGAAGAAACAGGTGCAGTTGCTTCATAGAATCCATATTCTCATGAGAGTGGCAGAGCACAGAGGAGAGATACCAGGCATTTTGAAGCAGTAATGGCAGATGTCCCTGGGATAGTGATGATATGCACAAATGCAGTGGCCACTGTGTGACCAGCCATGCCTGTACCCAGAAGGACCTCTACTGGTTAGGCTCAGTGTACAATTTGGGAATTGTTCTTGGATATAATCTGATAAGCCTACTGAAGCCTCTGAGTTTCCTAATATGCTGTGATATACTCTTTTTCTACTTAAACTAGCTTAAGTGGGTTATGCTACTTGCAAGCAATATCTTTGGTGATTATAGATTTAAACTTCAAAGCTATAATTTTCAACAGGTTTAGAATTTAAGAATATCAAGTACAATGAATCATATCAATCGGTAGGCATATTCTGATGTGGTAAAGCAGACAGGTCAATTTGTTTGTATGATTGTCAGAAAAGTGAGTCAGGATGAATGTGAGAACTGAGAGTCAATGTGGCTTGGTGCTTAACGATTCAGGAATTAAAATAAAAAAAGGTTGGAATTGAGTTAAAGGTCCACTTACTGACAGATCTTGATCCAGTTATTTAATCATTTGGCTTTTCATTTATGATCGGTAAATAGGGATAGCAAAATTACACGTTTTTGGCATATGAAGAGTGCTCAGAAAATGTAAGCTGTCCTTATGGTGCCACAAATAGGTATTCACATTGATATTTATGATGTGTTAATAATTATTATGTATTGGCTTATTATCCAGGAATCTTAATGGAGGCAATATGATCCAGATCATCATTGATTCCTTGTGTTTTACTAGCTGGATTAATCAAGACAGAATAACTGATCCAACAAAGAACTCTAAAATCTCAGAGGTAGGCTTAACACATTAACAGTTTATTTAGTACTTAGGAAACAGTCTACTCATTTTTGCTCACTTATCATCCATGTGCAACTAAGGGACCTAGATCCTTCTGCATTTTATCTCTTCCCTTCTTTAGGTTCTTGGAGTTCCCTCCATTTAGACCAAGAATGGGAAAGGAGAACAGATGGTTGTGTGTAGGAGGCCAGGCCTGGGAGTGGCATGTGCCACTCTGCCCACAATCTATTGAATGCAATTTGCTCTCATATAGCTGTATTTAAGTGCAAGGAATGCTTGAATATGTTGTATAATCTTGCGCCCAGAAAGAAATGAGATACAATTTAGTGAACAACTAACTTATGTTCAGCACCCTATTTCACTTTTTTGGTCTTGATAAATAGAGCTGAGTTTCAAAATTGGGATGGAGCGGCATCCAGCATTTTGCTTAGAATTTTTTGCCATCTGAATCTTCTGTGAGATTCCTAGTGGGTTTCATACAGACAATGAGTGTAAATCCCAACCAAAAATTATCTCTTATGAAGAGATATGTCTCAGTTCTTGCTCATTCTGAATAAATATGATAGCTGGATTTGGCTGCTGTCACATACTGGAGAGCATCTTTGTGTTAAAATGAACAGAAAGAAACTCAGATTCTGCTTATGTAGGTGTGAATAATATTAATGATCAGAAATAAATCTTCTTGGCTGGGCACAGTACCTCATGCCTATAATCCCAACACTATGGGAGGCTGAGGCAGGCAGATCACCTGAGGTCAGGAGTTTGAGACCAGCCTGGCCAACATAGTGAAACCTGACTTTACTAAAAAAAAAAATACAAAAATTAGCTGGGCATGGTGACTTGCGCCTGTAGTCCCAGCTACTTGGAGGCTGAGGCAGGAGAATCGCTTGAACCTTGCAGATGGAGGTTTCAATGAGTTAAGATCATGCCACTGCACTCCAGCCTGGGTGACAGAGCAAGACTCCATCCCCCCCACCCCCACAAAAAAAGAAAAGAAATATAAATCCTCATATCTGGAAGTTTCATTTTTAGAGTAGATTGACTGATTAACCTAACAGAAGCAAACTGGTTTAATCTCAGCTTTCTGATTGGGATTACTCTTTGGGCTTGTAAATTGTGCAGATGGAAGGCCTCTAAATAATCAATATTTATTGAGTAATAATATTTATCTCTAACTATATTACCATGGTCTTACATTTTATCCTGTAAATTTTTATTCCTAAAAATAAAAACTTATTAAAGAAAATAATGGGAAGAGAACATCAATGCATTCCTGTTTAACTTTGAAGGAATAAATGTGAATTCTCATGAAATCAACAGAAATGATACCAGTTATATATTTTTAGTAAAGGTGAAAAACACAGAGTATGTATTCTCCATTCAAAGGTAAAATAACACAAAACAGTAGTATGAGATTCAATTTGTGACACCTTGTTGAACATCCATTATTATTGCTCTGGATTTTGAGTGTTAATGCTTTGAACATCATTCATTTCTCTTCCAGTTATAGGAAACACAAAGGGACTGCTTTGAAGGTCATTATTTTGATGACAAAAGTTTGTGATGGGATCAGAAGGACCTCAGGATGACAAATATGTGGCATGAACACTGCCATGCTGACATCACTAATGAATAATCATATTATTTTCTGCTGGGTCTGTGCTTGACCTCAGAATCCTTTCCTTATCCAATCTCCAGTAGTATTCTCAACATATCAGAATTATCACTTGGATAAAACCCTTTCATGATCTTTATAGTAAACTTTGGTGGCCTCATTTAAAAGAACTATTAGGAGGAATGGGAAGTGAAGAACATCCAAATACCAAGCTTCATTGTTCAAACTAAGTGGATTTAAGCCTCCAGTCCTCAGTAAGGGGTTGATCCCAGGATCCTTCAGATTCTTTGTGTCATCACCTAAGTCAGACTTAGGTGGAGCTGAAAAGACTGCACTAGAGTTCAGGGGTCACCTCTGCACATGGCGCGTCTGGACCTTGTACACATTCTGCACCAGCTGTGTGTCTTTAGTTTGACTCCAGTGGTTTATGTCTCTTTAGGGGTATAAGCTAAGCTCCTCAAATTTTTGGAGAATAACTAGTGTCACAGAGCAGACACAAAAGTAAAGAAATCAGCACAGTTTCATATTCTTGGGAGCATGTTATCCTCTTTGTCATCAGAAAGGCATACTAAAACTGGGCTAACCATGGTTAACCTGGGGAAAGCAACTCACATCAGCTGAACTGACAATTTGTCTTGTCTATACTGAATGTCAAATATCTCTTCTTATTGGTGATCAGAGTATGTTAAAATGTCAAGATTGAAAAGGACCTTAAGGAACATTTAGTCAATAGGTAAAATATATTTTTTTATCCAAAGAACCTTTATTATAGGCAAAGTAATATAAGAAATCCAAGTGCGCAAGGGAGATTAATCCAGAAGCAGGGGAGTTGAAGCCAGGGAAGCAAAATCAAACCCCACCTACATGGCGTCCTTTCCTCTCTTGGAGCAAGCTCTGCTTTGAAAACGTCTTTTCCTAGATCTAAAAATTTTAGAGATAAGGAAGCAGTCCCTTTTATTATTTAATATTATTTTGTACATGTCTAATTTGTCATGGATGGAGGCCACTACAATATATTGGTCTCTGATAAGTAATATATTAATAGCTCCTTTCTGAAAATAACTTTGGAGATTGCTATGATCTGAATGTTCGTGGTACCCCAAAATTCATATGTTGAAATGCTAACCCACAAGGTGATGGTATTAATAAATGGGGTCTTTGGGAAGTAATTATTAGATCATGAGGGCAGAGCCCTCATAAATGGGATTAGTGCCCTTATAAAAGAGGTCCCAGAGAGCTGCCATGCCCCTTTCACCATGTGAGGACACAGTGGGAAGGTGACATCTATGAACCAGGAAATGGGCCAGGTCTATACTGAATGTCAAAAATGCCAAGTCTGCTGGTGCCCTGATCTTGGATTTCCCAGCCTCCAGAACTGTGAGAAATAAATTCCCGTTGTTTATAAGTCACCCAGTTTATGATATTTTGCTATAGCAGGTTGAATACACTAAGACAGAGACTATGAGATAAGAACTAAAATAGGTTTAGAGGCGATAAGGTATGTTGGAATGCTGGTATCAAGGGAGATGGGTGAACAACTGCTTTATGTTAGTATAATGGCCATTATTTGCCAGGAAGCAACATCAGCAAAGGGCAGTATTTGAGTCACAGATGGGGCAACTCCCTTGGAACAGACCACATTATGCAGCTGGTAAAGCCAAGAAGCCAAGTTGGCAATGCTGACGACTGGGCAAAGCCCAGGATTATTATCTTGCCAGGAGTATTTATTTTGTATGTTCACTGAGTGATTGAATAACAGGTGCCAAAGCTGTTTCTTCAGCCCAGCATTTTCTAAAGTGTTATTTGTGGTAGTCCTGCTGTTCACCAAAAATATTTGACTCCCTCTCTTCAGAACACATGGTAGAATTAGCCTTCCCTTCTGACACTGAAGTTGAGCATGGCAATAATATTATTCACCTTGGCCAATGGGATTGACAAAAAAAAAAAAAAAAAAAAGAGTAATGTCACTTGGGGGAAGTTTTAAAAGTAGTGCATGATTTCCTGAATTTCTTTCTCATTGTTGTAGTGATTGTGAAAGGAAAAAACAACTCACCTGATTATCTGAGTGGATACAGTAAGCAAAACTTTCCTCAGAACCACATTAGATATGTAGTATTAAGTGAGAAACAAACTTTACAATGCAAGTCACTGATGTTTTGGGGCTTCTTGTTATTATGACATGACTAAGCATGTCCTGACTGCTATGGTGTTGTGTTAGGTATTAGGTATAAAAATGGCCTGTGGTCAACTAAATTTGGGATATTCCAATTTAAACAATTTTTTTTTCTTCAGGATCTCTGGAAGGCTTCACTACACTAACATGCACTGTGAATTTCCAAGAATGTGATATGGCAAATAGTGCTTGTCAAACTTATGTGATTCTAGCATTCTTTGTTTCTTCCTATGAAGCATCTCCTGATGGAATGCTGCCTTATAAAAACTACATATGGGATGTAGTGAAAAAGAATACACATCACAATCAGCAAATGTATCTTTAAATAGGAAGTATGTTTGTCTATGTATTGTGTGTGTGTGTTTGTGCATGAGAGAGAAGGAGTGAGAAAAAAAGATAATGCAAAAGAAGAAATTATCTTTTTGTCTTAGATGTGTTTACTGTTCTACTTCATCTGAGTTAAGGAAATATAATTTTAGTTCTAAATTTATAAATATTTTTGCTTGCTTTGGTGCACTGAATTGGGTAGAAAAATTCTTATGATTATACCTTTTATGTAGTACTTTTGATACATAATAGTGATTTCAGAGAGAAGTACTGACTTTATGCTTCTTCCAAAGATTTATACTTACATAAATTACAATTCAGCTAAATAGCAGATTTAAAATTTAAAAATCATTTTTCCAACTATAATAATTAGAAAAAATTTTGGTCAATAAAAAAGAGCATGCTAGAACAAAATTCAGGAGCTCTGCAATGTTAGTATCATGTGTGCCTTTTATATTTGACTATGTCTAGGGTTACAGTGGCTTGGTATTTTAATGCCTCATAAAAAGGCACAGCACCAGTTGTTTGCAACTTCTAATGGCACCAGAAGAATCTGGAAGACACATATTACTACAGTTCTACTTAATATATTACTTCCTATGTGTGTTAGTGAATACAGACACACAAAAAAGGGACACTTTAAACAAGTGCTATTGATTTTTCTCCTCATTTTCTCTTCCCTTTTTCTCTCTTGATTCCACTTCCAAAGCAATCATTCTTATCTATTTACTTCCCTGATCTAAACTGGATGAGATTCTAAAAGTCATTTCTTTTTTAAAAATTTTTCCATAAGTTATTGGGGTACAGGTGGTATTTGGTTATATGAGTAAGCCCTTTAGTGGTGATTTGTGAGATTTTGGTGCACCCAGCAGTATACACTGCACCATATTTGTAGTCTTTTATCCTTCACCCCCTTTCCATGCTTCTCCCCAAGTCCCCAAAGTCCACTATATCATTCTTATGCCTTTGTATCCTTATAGCTTAGCTCCCACCTATCAGTGAGAACATACGATGTTTGGTTTTCCATTCCTGAGTTACTTCACTTAGAATAATAGTCTCCAATCTCAGCCAGGTCGCTGCAAATGCCATTAATTCATTGATTTTTGTGGCTGAGTAGTAGTGCATCATATATGTATATATATACTACAGTTTCTTTATCCATTCATTGATTGATGGGCATTTGGGTGGATTCCATGATTTTGCAATTGCGAATTGTGCTGCTATAAACATGCGTGGGCAAGTATCTTTTATGTATAATGACTTCTTTTCCCCTGGATAGATACCCAATAGTAGTGGGATTGCTCGATCAAATGGTAGTTCTACTTTTAGTTATTTAAGGAATCTCCACACTGTTCGCCACAGTGGCTCTACTAGCTTACATTCCCACCAGCAGTGTAGAAGTGTTCCCTGATCCTGCATCCACACCAACATCTACTGTTTTTTCACTTTTTCATTATGGCCATTCTGGCAGAAGTAAAGGTGGTATCAAATTGTGGGGTTTTATTTGTTTTGTTTTGTTTTGTTTTTTGAGATGGAGTTTTGCTCTTGTCGCCCAGGCTGGAGTGCAATGGTGCAATCTTGGCTCACTGCAACCTCCGCCTCCCAGGTTCATGCGATTCTCCTGCCTTAGCCTCCCGAGTAGCTGGAATTACAGGTGTGCACCACCACACTCAACTAATTTTGTATTTTTAGTAAAGACGGGGGTTCACAGAACAACTTTATATTGGAAGAAGATGCCATCTAAGACTCTCATAACTAGAGAAAAGTCAATGCCTGCCTTCAAAGCTTCAAAAGATAGGCTGACTCTCTTCTGAAGGGCTGATGTAGTTGATGACTTTTAAGTTGAAGCCTGTGCTCATTTACCATTCTGAAAACCCTAGGGTCTTTCAGAGTGATGCTAAACTACTCTGCCTGTGCTCTCTAAATGGATCAACAAAGCCTGGATGATGGTACATCTGTTTACAGCATAGTTTACTGGATATTTTTAGCCCACTGTTTAGACCTAATGCTCAGAAAAAAAAGTACTTTCAAAATATTACTACTCATTGACAAGCATGTGGTCATCCAAAAGCTCTGATTGAGATGTACGGGGAGGCTGATATTATATTCATACCTGCTATCCAACATCTTTTCTGTCCCTAATGGATTTGCTTATGAGTGGAATCATATAATATTTGTTCTCTGTGTATCTGGCTCATTTCACTTAGCATAATGTTTTCAAGGTTCATCCATGTAATGGTGTGTATCAGCATTTCATTACTATAATCGGATACTATTCCATTGTATGAATATACCAAATTTAGTTCATTTGTTGATGGGTTGATAAACATTTAGGTTGTTTCCACTTTTTGGCAGGTGTGATTAGTGCCTCTATGAACACTATGACTTTCTATTTGAATACCTGTATTCAATTCTTTTAGGAGTGGAATTGCATAAGCAAATCCATTAGGGACAGAAAGTAGATTAGTGGTTGCCACAGGTTAAGGAGAGACAGAAAAAAGGAGTGACTGCTTCATAGGTACAGGATTTCTTTCCGAGATGATGAAAATATTCTGGATTTTTATCCAAATCCAATAGAAGTGATGGCTGCACAATATTTTGAATGTACTTAAATACCACAGAATTGTACACATCAAGAACGGTTAATTACAAATTTTATGTTATGTTTATTTAACCACTATGTTTTTAAAAGGACAAGAAAAAGTTGAGAGGAATAATAATGATTGAGGAGGGTTTATTTCACCAAATAACATATTATAAAACTACAAAAATTAATCGAATATTATACATGTACTAAAATAAATGATTGGTTAGAGAAGCAGAATATAATCCTCCAAATACAGTTTAGAGTGTTTAAATCTTTAGTATGTAATAAAAGTAATTTTTAAAATTGTAAGAAATATTGGGTTACCTTATGAATGACTGTGAGATGGGTAAAATCAACTGATTAAAGAATTAAGCATAAACATGAAATAGTAGAAGAACTAGAAATATATGGGCAAATATTTACATAAATTTTGGCAAAAGGAACATATTTGTAAGCTTCATACTAAAATATAATAGAAAATTAAAAGGTTTGATTATCAAAAATTATAAAACTTATGAATATAAACAATTTCATATGATACAATTAAGGTATGCTTATATCATATAAAACTCATGTAAACATATTTACAACATCTATGTGACAAAAGATTGTTATCCTCAATAAAAAAAAGAAATGCTCTGAGAAAGAGAAATTTAAGAAATGTTGACATGGGTTAAAAATAGGTATCCCCTTAACATTCTTTTAGAAATTACAACAAAAATTTGAGTTGTTTTCAGTGACTCTTGGTCTCCCATGCACAATACAATTCTCTCAAAACACCTTCTGTGCTCTCTCCATCTCATAAACCTGTCTCCTCACTTGAGACAGGATACAGGCTCCGCTTTCATCTTCTGCCTCTTCTCCAGCCTTCCTGGGTATGTTCTTTCCATCCCTCCCCACTGCCATTTCAGTAGATTTCCCCCTTCTAATCCTGGTGTGGGTATTTGTCTTCACACAGGAGGTGCACTGGCAATGGTGGGAATAACTCAAGCCACTCTTCATACAGTGGACACAACAAAGTAGAAACTGAAACAAGAGAGAAAAAAACTGCCGCAAATACCCCATGCGGTGACAGTAGCTCAAAGACCACTTTTAAGCACTCCCCTTTGTGATTTCCACAGTTAATGAGGAAGAGAAGAGACAGCAAATGTTAAGGTCCTGAATGAAGTAGGTAGAGGCTCAGAGCCACTGTATTTTATTTGATTTTGCCAACAATCTCCTCTTTCTCACGTGAAGAACTGATAAACATAAGGCCAATCCACTGATTTCAGAAATAAATAGTGAAACTTACCAACAGATTACTTGATTATGAGGGCATAGTGTTCCAATAAGTGAAAAATAAATAATTAACATTGCAAATGAAGAATGCAAGGTGAAACTCTAATATTAATGTATATTAGAAAAAATGTTTAAATTAAAATCAGATTTAAGTAAGATTATTTGGTGAACAAGTATATGAGTGGAAAGTTCTTGTATTTTGATATTCCTATTGATGTGAATAAATTAATTTTCTTTATCTCTCCCTCCCAATGGTATTATAAGTATTTACTTTGTATTTTGTAGCTGTACATTTTTGTTAAATAATGTATTTTCTTTGAGTATGATTATGCTACCTATCTAGATAGCAAGTGCCTCCAGGACAGAGATGTATTATAGCATTTTTATCACATTTCCTTCAATGAAACCCTCTTTTTCTTTGGTCTCTGATGTTTTTCTTGATTATACCCAACCAGGACTAAGCAATATTAAAAAAGCACTTGGCAGGTCAAATACAGCAGCTCAGACCTGTTATTCCAGCACTTTACAGGCTGAGGCGGAAGGATCACTTGAGCCCAGGAGTTCGAGACCAGCCTGAGCAACAGAGTGGACCCATGTCTCTACAAAAAAAAAAAAAAAAAAAAATTCAGCTGGGCATGGTGGCACATGCCTGTAGCTCCAGCTGCTTGGGAGGCTGAGGCAGGAGGATCCCTTGATCTAGGGAGGTAGAGGCTGCAGTGAGCCATGATCAGACCACAGCACTCCAGCTGGGGTGACAGAGTGAGACCCTGCCTCAAACAAAAACAAAAACAAAAAAATAAAAACAAAAACAAAAAACAAGTAAAAAGAAAAAAAATAAAGAAAAATCTACTGACAAACTAGAGCATCTGTGTTTCTGAAATTCTTGATGAGAAAACTGACCAAGCAACATGTCAATGCCATGGAAAATCTTATTCAGCATCTGTTTGATATATTTGCTACTTGTAGTGATGATTACTAGATACATCTATGACTACATATGTAGTCTATGATATATCTACATAGACTATCATAGACATATCTATCATATGTATATCTATGACAACATATAAATGTAATGATTCAGTGGGCATACTTTAAACAGATTCTACGAGACACTATGTTGTTCTAGTAGTTTTCCTTTAACATGGTTGGTTATGAAAAAAATATACATTTCTCCCTCAGGCTTTTTATTGATTTAATCCTATTCCTTGATATTTTGCTTTTGTCCTGTCTCTTTTATGCTTCAATCTGTCTTTTTTTTTTTTACATCTTAATTCCTAGTTATTTTGGATAGTTGATTATTTTTCTGAGCAGAAAGATCTTCAGTTGAATGTAGTTCAGAAAGCAAAAAGGCACAAAAATTATTAACCTTCTATTTCCAATTTATCATGAGATTATCTGTTAGAGTCTTCCATTAAATTCTATTAGAAGTCAAGAAAGGAGAAGGGGGATTATTTGCAGAAGCTGCAGAAATCATATGCTACAATCTAAAGAAGAAATCATACTTTTTTATCACCAGTAATAAAAAAAGGTTTAAGAAGAGGCCAGTTAGTGAAAGATAGAGATACCAGCAATATTATAAAATCAAGAGTTGTTCCAAAAAGATGCTTTTGAATATATGGTTTGCAAAAGAGCCTGAACACATCTTTCAAGTATAAAAGAAGTCAATGAAAAAATATGATGTGGTTTCCAAGTACATTTTCAAGAACACAATTATTATATAAGAGAACGTAGAGTGAATTTTTATTTTTCCCATTTTTATTGTTGGCAGATTATATCTCTTTTAAATTAAAAATATCCTGAAAGAAACCATTTCACAAGTGAAATGACAAAAGTAATTCACCTTCTAAAATAGTCTCATTTTACACTACTTTGTGTTGTAAGCTAACATGGCTTAATATGCTTTAAGACTGAAAGGAAAGATAAAATTAGTTTCTGAAGGTTGAAAATGAATGTGTTGCCTATCCATTCTTGTGTAGATATGAACTAGTCTTCATAAAGCAAAGTAAAACTTGAACTTGGTAGTTTCAAAAGTATTTTTTATATATATGCTATATTAAAAAAAGACAACACACTTGAATGTAGATCATGACAGACAGTTACATCTGAGATGTAAGAAAAATTCTGGCATTATGAGGGTGTCAACATAATCAGTAAAAAATTATTTTTGATGACATGAAGAGGAAAAGTGTTAGCAGAATGAGAAGAATTTTCAAACAGCAGATACATAGCAAAGTCCTTTCCCCTTGTCTGCCAAATGCACCCACACTTGTCATCAGTGAATGCAATTAAATTTTTTTTTTACAATACAGAAGAGACTTTTGGCAGTCAATGAGGGCTAATTTTTTTCCTCACTTGTACACCCCTTTTAGCCACTGTGAAGATGTGACTTGAACGATGTTCATAGAGTTGACTTTGTCCCTTCATATGAATTTGTGAACAAATTGAGACAAAACTTGGGGGAAATGGAAACAGATCACACACTATTCTTTACATTTTAACACAGCCTGAGTTAAAAGGTTAAATCACTTAAGGGTAAAATAGTTCCTTCTGGTGTTCTCATGTGCATTTTTTTAGAAAAATACATTTTTGTTCTTTAGACAAAGAAAAAAATAGTGAAGTGACAAAAATCTCTTTATAACCTCCTTAGGCAACAGCTAGCATAAAAACTTAATAATTATTTAAAGACCATGAGAGATTACATGGCAAGAATTTATAGCACCTTTCCATGCATATTTCATTTATCCTTTATGAGCCTCAAATAAACATCACAATACCTTTTAGTTTTGCAAATGTCAAATATGTTACAGTCTTTGAATTTTATTCTGGTCTGTGGTCACTTCAATAAAGCAAAATATGTGGTAGAGTCAAATTCTCTCGGTCTAGTTTGTTTACACTACTATACACGCTCAAAGAGATATGCACACAATTTTTTTTTTTCAAGTGATTGGGCAGAATGAAAATGAGAATGTTTTAAAACTATAGAAATTATAAATCAATGAAATTATCTAGTTTGCATAGTCAACTGATTAATTCATGCAAAAAGATATTGGCAGTGGCTAGGTGCATTGGTATGCCTCTGTGCTTTCCTGCAACCCCAGTGACTACCAGGCTATACCTTCTAAACCATATTGTGGCAAAATGGAAAATAGATTAAGTTTCTAACCAGGGTTTTAATTGACTACTTAAGTTAACTGTGTGTTCTTTCTTCCATCTCCAATCCTTGATTTTTTCAAGAGACTTAAGTGGCAAATATTTTAATCTCTTTACCTGGGTTCCTCTTTGTTGAATTAACAGTGAAAATAAAACCCTAGTGTTGCTAGCCTTTGCTAAGATGAATCTTGGGGTAAAATACGTCTCAACTAAATAATTTGCACCTAACTTCCCATCAACCATTACTTAAATGTGCAATTAACAGAATGCTAATTCTAAATGAAATTCTGTATTTAACATTTTCTATTTGGTGTAATGTTACTGACCCCATATCTACAGAATGGGCATTAGTGATCATTCCCCAAATGAGAGTCATGCAGGAAAAAAAAAAAAAAAAGGCCTACTATGTGGTTCTCTAGGTTTCTGAAAGCAGTGGAGATGATTTATTGGCAGGTTAGTCATATTTCACTACTCAAACCCTCATGTAGCCTTCTGCTCATATTGCCAAAGGCACATCAGTACAGCTGGGTGAGTGCTAGTTGGAACTACAGAAGTGAAACAAGTCAGGTTCACACAGGTTACTAGCCAATATGGGAATTTCTACTGAAACCAGAACTTCAGCTTCATAGGCACTTTTGCACAGCAGACTCTTTATTGTGCTCTCCATAACACAGTATTTCTCTTGGCCACTTTTGCCAGCTAGAATCCTTAGCTGGTGATGCCCCCACCTGGGCCTTATTTAGCCCTGGGCCTGCCGCATGGGGCATCCTGCACACTCGACCGGCTGGGCCACACGTGATTTGCACATGGCTTAGCCCGCAGCTGGGCTGGGTGTGCCCAAGCCTGCCTGTGTTACAGCTGGTACCTGTGTTCAGCAGTTCCCAAGTTCTTGTTCCACATCCAAGAAGAATGAGGTTACACTGACAATCGAAGGGTGAGAAGGGTGGAGAAGAGCTTTATTAAGCAACAGAACAGCTCTCAGAGGAGAGGGGATGCAAGGGTGGACCCCCACTCGAAGTCAGATGGTCTTTCCCAGGGTGGCTGAGTCCAGGGCTTTCATGGGCTCAGAATGGGGGAGTGCGTGCTAATTGGTTTGTGAGTATGCAAAAAGGGGTAAAACAAAGGCACCACTCAAAGGTAGGCATGACAGTGTAAAATACAAATTACGGAAGGGTACGTATGTGTAAAATAAGTGAAAGGTAAGGATCAATACGAGGAAATCACGCCAAATGGGAAGAGAAGTTCTCAATCCAGTCTGTGGATTTACTCGACTTGTAGCTTGTCTTTCAGGCTTTAAACTGTCTGGTTTGAAGGTGGAGTTTCACCAGGGACCCGTCCCTGTCTGTTTAGGGTTGTTCTGCCTCCTGCTGCTATCATTCAGACAAAAGAGATTTTATTTAAGGGGCCTGGTAGGGAGAGCCCTTTCTTTCTTCTTAATATTCTTTATGGCATCATTATTAACACTCTTCTTTTCATCTTCTTATATGTTATATCAATATTAGGTTATAAGACAGTAGTTTAACACCAGTCATTTTCCTCTAAGTGTGTTTGGACAATAGGAAAAGGCAGAGGAAACATCACACAATAAGCCGAATATAGCAATAGAAATAGGAGTACTCACCACTACCATTCATTTTGACTTTAGTTAGGTGACAGTTTTTGCTTGTTTGCTTTTTTCTTAGATCTATTATTAAAAATGGAGGCCAAAAATAGTACAACAATCTTTAGGAGTTAGAAGGGAAACTGAAAAAATTCACAGGATAGGAGGAGGTAAGGATTGAAGGTCTGTGAAAAACAAATATTACCTAGGAAACAAAAATGTACACTTTGTTATATTTTGCTAGGTATGAATTACCCTCTGCAGAATTGGATCTAATTATCTTGCATTTTCAAGAAGAAACTATTAGAGAAGTGAAAAATACACATTTAATGGAGTTGTTTTGTGTGCTCATTTACTGTATATTCATTTTTAAAATATAAACGTGATATATTAAATGTAAGAAAAATAATTGTATTACTAATAAAACTGTATCACAAATAAAAACACATGGAATTAGGGGAACTCACTGTTACTGGAAAGGGGTCCCGATTCAGACCCCAAAAGAGGGTTCATGGACCTCACATAATATAGAATTTGGGGCAAGTCCATAAAGTGAAAGCAAGTTTATTGGGAAAGCAAAGGAATGAAAGAATGACTCCTCCATAGAGCAGCAGCATGGGCTGCTCTACTGAGTGTACTTATAGTTATTTCTTGGTTATATGCTAAATAAAGGGTGGATTATTCATGAGTTTTCTGAGAAAAGGATGGGAATTTCCAGAAACTGAGGGTTCCTCCTTTTGGGTAACTTCTGAAAATTTCCCATGGCATTTGTAAACTGTCAAGGGGCTGGTGGTAGTGTCTTTTAACATGCTAATGCGTTATAATTAGCATATAATGAACAGTAGAGATGGCCAGAGGTCACTTTCATTGCCATCTTGTTTTTGGTGGGTTTTGGCCAGCTTCTTTACTGCACGCTGTTTTATCAGCATGGTCTTTGTGACCTGTGTCTTGTGCTGACCTCCTATCTCATCCTGTGACAACAAAAATACAGTATAAAAGTTAATAAGAAAAAGGTATACCTGTATAGGCCACTTACCATGAATGGAGCTTTCAAGACTGGAAGTTGCTCTGGGTGAGTCAGTGAGTGAGTGGTAAATGAAAGTGTAAGCCTAGCACATTACTGTACACTACTGTAGACTTTATAAACACTGCATTTAGGCCATACTAAATTTATAAAATATGTTTCTTTCTTCAATAATAAATTAAGCTTAGCTTACTGTAACTTTTACTTCATGAGCTTTTTTTTAACTTTTTGACTCTTTTCTGTTAATACTTAGCTTAAAACATAAACACATTTTTCAGCTGTACAAAAATATTTTATTTCTTTATAATCTAATTTTATAAGCTCTTTTTGATTTTTAATTTTTCTAACCTTTTTGTTAAAAACATAAAACACAAGTGCACACATTAACCTGGGTCTGCATAGAGTCAGAATCAACAAGATCAGTGTCTTCCACCTCCAATCTTGTCCCACTGGAAGGTCTTCAGGAGCAATAACATGCGTGGAGCTGTCATCTCCTATGAATCGCCTATAACAATGCCTTCTACTGGAATATCCCCTGAAGGATCTGCCTGAGGCTGCTTTACAGTTAACTTTTCTTTTTTACTATGTAGGAGTGCACTCTAAAATAATGATTAAAAGCATAAAGTAGTAAATACATAAACCAATAACGTGGTCCTTTATTATCATTATCAAGTATTATGTATTGTACATAATTGTATGTGCTATACTTTTACATGATTAGCAATGCAGTAGGTTTGTTTATGCCAGCATCACCACGAACATGAGTAATGCATGGCACCACAACCTAAAAATGGCTACGATGTCACTAGGTGATAGAAATTTTTCAGCTCCATTATAATCTTATGGGTTCACCTTGATATATATGGCCTATCAAGACCAAAAAGTTGGGTCCACCTTGATATATACGGCCTATCAAGACCAAAAAGTTATGTGGCACATGATGTAATTGAGAGATTTACCATACTACAATAAACATATCTACAGAATTGAGAGACACTTAAAACCTCATAATTATTTCTGCTTTTGAATCAATAAATTCAGGCTCTCACCTGCTTGTTATAGTCTCTCACTTTAAATAATTATTTAATATGCATGAATACCTTATAGTATGCTTGATGCTTTTCAAGGCATAGGCATAGATTCAGTCCTTTTCTATATAAATAAGACCCACAAGATGAATAAGACAACATGATGCATGCCAGACTCTCACAAGTGAGCAATGATTGGTTTATTTTAACATGACTTTGCTTTTGCTATTTTGTGAAGTAATTTTTCCTGATTACAGAAGCATGGCAAAAAAGTTGGAAACACAAAGAAATATAAAAAATGGAAAAGTAAATTACTCTTAATCACATCACCTAGGGCTAACTACTGCTAATATTTTGGCGTATTATTTTTTGTATATTTTGTGCATATAATAGATTTGTAACTATAATACATATACAGTTTTATTCTGTTATTCATATTTAATTTTTAATTATATATGTAATTTGCTATTACCTTAATTAGTATTCATGAATAGAATTTTCAAAATGGCTTATAAGCCAAAAGGCTCTTTCCACCCCTTTTCTGTTTTTTCTAACTCACTCTACCTTAGAATCTTTCCACTCTTAATGCATATTATCTTATTACTTTCTAAAAAGATTGTATTAATTTAAAACCTTACTACTAGCCTATGAGAGTGCTTGCTTCACTGCCTCCTCACCAACAATGGGTATCATTACTTTTATAAATCTTGACGATTTGATATTTAGAGAATGGTATTTCAATATTCCTTTGAGTATTACAGGTTTTTTTAAATTCCTTCTAAGAATTATCTATTCATTTTCTTTACTTATCTACTGGAGTGTAAAAGTATGTCTTATTACTTCTTACATCATCTTTATATATTGAGAACATTAAATTCTAATCAAATTAATTTTTGTAAATGTTCCCAATTTCAGTTTTATTTATAATTTCTTTAACATATAAGTGTTTAAATTTTTATTCAGGGAAATTCATTGGCCTTTGCTACTTTCGTTTTTTTGCATTGCCTTTATGTACTGTAAGACAATTGATTATTTATATATACATTTTTTAAAGTATTTTGATTTTCAGAAGAATGATTAAAATATTTGTACATCAAATATTCATAGTGTTTCAATTTTAGTATATGTGCTGTTTAAATGAGTATATAAACTAGTTTTTTGTGGTTTGATTATGTTTTACATTTAACTCTGGTATACTGGAATTCATTATTATGTTGAGAATCCATATTGACATTTTTCACAAATAGCCAATTTTTGCAGTATAATTTGTTAAATAATTTATCTCCCCCTACAGGCTTCTGATTTTTTTTTGTTAAATATTAAATTATTGCATCTGTACATGAAAATACCTAATTTATGGCTGTCCCATTCCAGCCACCTATCTGTAGATTCTACTTGATGACATAATATTGTTTTAGTCTTTGGAGCTTAATAAGTATGTTTTAATATCGGTTAAAGCAAATCCCTTTGAATTAGTCACTTAAAAAAATTCTGTATTATTCTTATCTATTGTTTGATGAACTTTAGAATCATCATATCAAAAATTAGTGGCTGGGTGGGGCGCAGTGGCTCATGCCTGTAATCCCAGCACTCTGGGAGGCCGAGGCAGGTGGATCACCTGAGGTCAGGAGTTCAAGGCGAACCAGGCCAACATGGTGAAACCTCGTCTCTACTAAAAAATACAAAAATTAGCTGGGTATGGTGGTGCACACCTGTAGTCCCAGCTACTCAGGAGGCTGAGGCAGGAGAATCGCTTGAATCTGGGAGGTGGATGTTGCAGTGAGACAAGATCACGCCACTGCACTCCAGCCTGGGCAACAAAGCGAGACTCTGTCTCTAAAATAAATAAATAAATAATTAAAAAATAAAATAAAATGTGCCATATGGCACTTAGCACACATCTTGGTACATAGTAAGTGCTCAATTAATGTAAGCCCTTAGTTATTCTTTTTCCTCTGTCTGGAATGTTTGCCACTCCATCTTTAATCTTCTTCACCAAATTAACACATGTTCATCCTCCAAAACACAGGTAAAATGTCCCATCTAAAAATGTCATAGATGTTCTTAATGGTATCTAAAATGGTGAATCCTTTCCAGAGGGTATTCAATTTACTTTGCCCAGATCCATCAGACGAATCACTATCTATGGCAGCTCTAACCTTACAAAATGTATTTTTTAAATAATTAGACTCGGAAGTCAAAATGATTCCTTGATCCATGCACTGCAGAGTAGATGTTGGATAGCAGGTGTGAATATAACATCAGCCTCCTTGTACATCTCAATCAGAGCTGTTGGATGACCACATGCTTTGTCAGTGAGTAGTAATATTTTGAAAGTACTTTTTTTTTTTTCTGAGCATTAGGTCTAAACAGTGGGCTAAAAATATCCAGTAAACTATGCTGTAAACAGATGTACCATCATCCAGGCTTTGTTGATCCATTTAGAGAGCACAGGCAGAGTAGTTTAGCATCACTCTGAAAGACCCTAGGGTTTTCAGAATAGTAAATGACTTAAACTTAAAGTCATCAACTACATCAGCCCTTCACAAGACAGTCAGCCTATCTTTTGAAGCTTTGAAGCCAGGCATTGACTTTTCTCTAGTTATGAGAGCCTTAGATGGCATCTTCTTCCATTATAAAGCTGTTCTGTCTACATAGAAAATCTTGTCTTGGGTAGCTGCCTTCATTAATGATCTTAGCTGTATCTTCTCTATAGCTTGCTGCAGCTTCTCCATCAGCACTTGATGTTTCACTCTGCACTTTTATGTTATGAAGCTTCTTAAACTTTATGAACCAGGTTCTGCTATCTTCAAATGTTTCTTCTGCAACTTCTTCACATCTCTCAGCCTTCACAGAATTGAAGAGAATTAGGGCCTTACTCTAGATTAGGCTTTGACTTTAAGGAATGTTATGGCTGATTTGATCTTCTATCCAGACCACTAAAACTTTCTCCATATGATTATTCAGGCTGTTTCACTTTCTTATTATTCATATGTTCACTAAAGTAGCACTTTTAATTTTCTTCAAGAACTTTTTGTTTGCATTCACAAATCGGCTGTTTGGTAAAAGAAGCCTAGCTTTTAGCCTATCTCAGCTTTTGATGTAACTTCCTCACCAAACCTAATCATTTCTAGCATTTGATTTAAAGTGAGAACTGTGTGACTCTTTCAGTTGAACAATTCGAGGCCATTGTAGTGTAATTAATTGGCCTAATTTCAATATTGTTGTGTTTCAGGGAATAGGGAGGTCCAAGGAGAGTGAAAGAAATGAAGGAAGGGCTGCTCTGTGGATCAGTCAGAACACACACAACATTTATTGATTAAATTTGCTGTCTTATATGGGAGAAGTTTGTGTTGCCCTAAAACAATTACAAAAGGATCACTCATTACAGACCACCATAACAAATATAATAATAGTAATAAGTTTGAACTATCGTGAGAGTTACCAAAATGTTACACAGAGACACAAAGAGAGCACATGTTATTGGAAAACAAATGGCACCAATAGAGATGCTCAAAGCAAAGTTGACACAAACATTCAATCTGTAAAAAATGCCATATCTGCTAAGTGCAATTATATGGTTTTGTTTTGTCCCCACCCAAATTCTCATCTTGAATTGTAATTCCCATAACTCCCATAATCCCCACATGTCAAGGGAGAGACCAGGTGGAGGTAATTGAATCATGGGGACACTTTTCCCCATGCTGTTCTCAAAATAGTGAGCTCTCATGAGATCTGATGGTTTTATAAGGGGCTCTTCCCCCTTCACTTGCACTCCTCTCCCCTGCTGCCTTGTGAAGAAGGACATGTTTGTTTCCCCTTTTTGCCATGATTGTAAGTTTCCTGAGGCCACCCCAGCTATGTGGAACCATGAGTCAATTAAAATTATTTCCTTTATAAATTACCCAGTCTCAGGTATTTTTTATTGCAGTGTGAAAACAGACTAATACCTGCAATAAAGTGAAGCACAACAAAACAAGAATGACAAGAATATATGTATATTAATTTTCACAATAACCCACAAAGTAGGCACTTTCAAAAATGTGCATTAACAGATGATGTAACTAAGGCATAGAAAAGTTAAACAACTTACAACTTGTAGGTAATGGGTACAAATCCAGACTCATACTCTGACTCCAGTATGACTTCAGGATTTATACTCTTAACTGCTATGCTATCTGGTCTCTCTGTACAAATATTCTAAAGTGGGAAGATGCACTTTACATTTCTGTGTCTCAAAGAAGGTCTGGAGAGCTGACAAGAGCAGAGGAAGCTGAATCTGTTGAGGCAGGCAGGTATCGGATTGAATTAGTAGAACGTGGTAAAGATTTTGATTTTTGCCCTAAAAGTATTTGGAAACTACTGATAGGTAGTCATTAGGAAGGTGACAAGATTATATTAGCATTTAAAAAGGATTTCTCTGGCTGTGATATGAAGAACGGATTGGAGGAGGTAGAATAAAAGCAGACAAAACCACTTGGGAACTATTTCACTGATACAAAATAGAGATGATGGTAGATAAGAGTTGGTGGTTGTGGTCACAATAGAAAAAATATATGCTTGAGACATATTTTAGAGCCAAAGAAGAAAGGAATTTTGATCAATTGGATATATAAATGAGATAAAGAGAGACATCATGCGCATTTTAGGCACAGGCAACTGAGTGGAGGTAACAATTACTAAAATGGGAATCACCTATTAATTTTAAGAACACAGAGAAAACAGAAAAACAATCTTTGATTATTTTTCCCTCTTGGGTTGCTTTAAGATTTTTTCTTTTCTTTTTTTTTAAATTAGTATACAATCTATCCTAACATAGAACAGCTTTCTTAACCTGCTCCATAAAATTACCAGCAAGAAAGAAAAGTACAAGAATAAGGTTTACAGTTGAATCAGCTTGGTGTCATAATTCCCTATTCCAGTATCCTCAGAAGGATCCTATCTATCATACATGGAGAAACTGCAGACACATTTGAATGGTTCAATCTTGATTCATCATGAACTCCCTTAAGCCCAGCAGTTTCTCATTCTTAAAAGTTAGGTTATTACAGCCCAAAAGCAATCTACCTTTATATATTTGCAAATATGTGTTAAGGAAGACAATATAATTCTCCAATTACAAAATCAATAAGAAAGGCAACTGTTCTTTGCACCTGTGGGATGAACATGAAGATTTGGAATGGGCCATGAACAGTCTGGCTGGGGGCTTTGGAGCAGGAAGTCTTGGAAGCCAGTAGATTGTAAAGTTGTCCAAGAGACCCAGAGCTCAACTCAAATATCCAATCCTCCCGTAGCCACTGTCTTTACCAAGACAAAGTCTGAAAAAACCTAATTAGTACATAGATCCAGCTCTGTTCACACAAGAAAAAATCTCTCCCTAGGCCCTGTGCAGGCCAGGCCAGAAGAACAAGGGTGACTCAGGACACTCCATTTATTGACCCCCAAGTCTAACAAAACTAAAATCTCTGCATGGTGTTTTAAGAGGACCTTGACCTTGTTCCCACCCTATGCTCACTGAAGTCGGCTCACTTATGTTTCTGTAGCCTCTGCATCTGTTTTCTGAGAAAGTAAGAGGACTTCATGTGCCTATTTCCTTCACAGTCTCTCAGCATTTGTGATCATCTTACGATGCAGAGGGAAAAAGCCAGCAAGAACCAGAAGCTTTTCCATAGGTTTAAAAGAGGTGGGTAGCACAGCCAATCCAATGCTGGATCCTGTCCAGGTTGAGGGCAATGAGATTTTCCCCATGACTGTTGGGAAATGAATCATAGGATCCCAGCTGCTCTACCAAAAGACCATCCCTGGGACACTTGCTGTGAGCAGCCACAATGGTGTAAAAGGGCCGGTTGGCAAAGCTGCCCAGGGCAAGGCAGATGGTTAAGTGGCCCCCATGGTAGGCCTTGCAGAGGAGAGTAGTGAGGTGGACCATGGTGCGGCTGGCATGTGGCTCCTTGGAGTGTCCCACTACCCACACCAACCACCTCTATGACCTTGGCGGTGCAGAGGACTGACACAGAAAGCAGCTGCAGGTGGACACTGGGCCGTGACACCTGGCTACCCAAGCCGGAAAACCTTGACTCTGAAAGCAGATAATCCACTCACCCCGCAGACTTTTGTCTTTGTCTTTGACTTTCATTTTCACTATGATGTTCATAGGTGTGTTTTTCTTAATGTTTACCAGGCTTAGGTTTGTAGTACTTCTTGAATCTGAGTCTTGATGTCTTTTGTCAATTTTGGAAAGTTTTTAGTCATTATTTCTTAAAATATTGCATCAGTCCTGTTCTGTTTCTCCTTTCTTTTGGGGAATCCAGTTAAATGTATGTTAGATCTTTGAATTTATGCTGTGTATTATCTCTCCATTTACTCTGCAGCTTCAGTCTAGATATTTTTTTCTGTTCTATCTTCCAATTAATGAATTCTCTCTTCATCTCTCTTTAACCTGCTATTAAACCCACTGTGTCAGTAATTGCATCTCAGCTTCAAACCCAGCTAAATGGGTGTCTGCAAACCATGTTTCTACTTTGTCAGTTGGTTCCATATTAGGATTTGCCAACAGGCAGCAATAGAGGGATACAGCAATTTTGGAAAAAGGAGGAGGCATTTGCTTCTTCTTATTTGTTCCCTGTGGGCTTTCTATAGAATTTCTTTCTCCTGGTAGTTCCTTTGAGCATTACCCCAGTGATGCTTCTCAAAGTGCCTTCCTGTAGCAGCAGCTAAAACCAGCTTATAGTTTTTCTATCTCTTGAAGAATTGGCTTCAGTGACCTTAGAGACCTCAGAATCCCAGAGATTTAAGTTCCAGGCTCAGAGACACCACCAGAGCCAAATGGCGGGTGCCTCCTCCTCTGAGTCAATAATTACATTTACTTTTTTCTCCCAAGCTTTTGAGGTATAGTTAACACATAAACATTGTGCATACTTATGACGTTTCAATAGATGTATATATTGCGAGATGATTCCTTCAATCAAGCTAACTAACCTATACATCATCTCACATATTTATCCACCCCATTGTTTTTTTGTGTGTGTGAGAGAACAATTAAGACCTACTCACTTGGACAATTTCAAATAGTTATGTGTCATTTAACAAGGAGAATACATTCTAAGAAATGCATCCTTAGGTGATTTCATCATTGTGTGAACTTCTTAGAGTATACTTACACAAACCTAGATGGTAGAGCCTACTACACACCTAGGCTCTATGATATTGTCTATGGCTCCAAGGTTGCAAACCTGTGTAGACACAAATTCAACCTAGGTTTTTTGTTTGTTTGTTTGTTTGTTTTTCTCCTTACTTACTGATCAGTTTGCAATGCGACTTAACTATTTTAGTTATAGAGGTTTATGTCAAGTCTTGTCAGAAAGAAGAGAGTTCCTATTCCTTATTCAAGTTCGATTGCCTACAGTATGTCTGTATAAAGTGAATATGGTTAGAAATATCCCTCAGAGAAATTATCTTGGCTTTGCAGCTTATACTACTTTAGTAGAGACAGTTTTTATTTATTTTTATTTGTTTTGAGGTATGGTCTCACTCTGTTGCCCAGGCTGGAGTGCAGTGGCAACATCTCGGCTCACTATAGCCTCAACCTCCTGGGCTCAAGTGATCCTGCCACCTCAGCCTCCCTAGTAGCTTGGACTACAGGCACACACAACCACGCCTGGCTAATTTTTTTTTTTTTTTTTTTTTTTTGTAGAGATGGGATTTTGCCACGTTGCCCAGGCTGGTCTCAAATGCCTGAGCTCAAGCCATACATCCACTTTGACCACCCAAAGTGTTGGGATTACAGGGGTGAGCCACTGTACCCACTTTAGTGGAGACATTTTGAAAAGCGAGCATTAATTTAGATATTCTGAAATGATCATATTAATATAAACTTGAGGTGAGTTTTCATAAACAAATCTGGATCAATAAAATGACCTTAGATGTTATAACCAAATATTCAAAGGAATGAGAACCATCAGGCTAGGACATATTTTACTCTCTTTGAGCCATGAGCCATGTAGTCTATGGATTTGGGAAGTATTTAAAAAGATGTATAAGTCCATCAAGTTTATTTACTTATTTTTTTTGAGATGGAGTCTCACTCTGTCACCCAGGCTGGAGTGCAGTGGTGTGATCTCTACTCACTGCAACCCCTGCCTCCTGGGTTCAAGCAATCCTCCCACCTCAGCCTCCAGAGTAGCTGGGACTACAGGCATGCACCGCCACCCAGCTAATTTTTGTATTTTTAGTAGAGATGGGGTTTCAGCATGTTAGCCAGGCCTGTCTCAAACTCCTGACCTCAGGTGATCCACCTGCCTCGGCCTCCCAAAGTGCCGGGATTATAGGCATGAGCCACCATGCCTGGCCAAGTATAAGATACTTAAAGTTAGGGGGAAACGATACTTCAGAAATTTTAGTGACCAAATTAATGAAATATCAAGTCAAGTAACCTAGTCTAAGTAGGTCAAGGTGCAGGCTTTTGTGAATAAATAAAATAAGTTGATGACATAAAAGGGTCGTGGGCCACCGGGCCACTTTCTTTAAATCATAGAGTAACTCCCATAGCAATTATAAATAGAGTTCAGTGTGTTCCTTCAAGGTCACAATTGAGAATCCAATTAGTGTTCAAGCTGAAATCTCTGCTTGTTATGTGGCTTTAAGCATCTGAGATAGTCTCCCCTTAAATTGCTTGGGATGGTTAACGTTTTTTCCCTAGTTTGTCATCGTCTTCAACCCTGGAAAATTTTAGAATTAGGTGTAGAAGTGTTTAAGAGACTTAAACACATTGCTCATTCCCTCATTTCATTCAGATGCCCTCTCTGATTCTACATTCTGTACAAGAGAGCCCCGCCCACTCCATCATTGCTATTCCCTCATTGTGCTTTATTTTTGCTCTATAGCATGTTGCATTACCTACAATATGTTGTATATAATAGAATATATTTATTTCTGCTATTTGACTCTGTTTTTCCATTGGAATGTAAGCTCCTCCAGGGTGTGGACTTTTGTTTGTTGCTATATCTCCAGAACATAAAGCAATGTGCCTGGCACACAGTAAGTTGTTATTACATGAATGAAAAATACTGAATAAAGGAGGCCTCTCTTTTCATGATCCTAAAGGAATCTGGGGAAGTTAAAAATGAGAAAGTAATTCCTTAGCACTACTTTGTTTTTGAAATGGCAGAACAGCCTTTCATTTTGAATAGTCTATATTTTAGCAATCACCCTTTTTATTCTTACATTTTTTGGTTCTAAAGGACACAATAGAGATGGTCATTATGCACTTCTGTATTCTGATTATCCACCAAAGAAATTAAACAAACACACTTAGAATCTTACAATGTTGCAGGCTCTTTGCTAGATGTTTTAGATTTGGAGATTCAAGACACATCCTTGTCCTCAAGAGGCTTCTAGTATTGTTGGGAGGCAGCAAGAAAACAATTCTTATGACATGCACACTAATACTGTGATGAGACATTTACACAGGGTGCAAGGGGAGCCCAGAAGTAGGGCATGCAACCCAGAATGAGAGAGTCCGCGAAGATTTCCTAGAACAGATGGTGCTTAAACTCAGCATTGAATGATAAACATTATAATAACAAAAATATTACTGTCATCATTCCTTGAGTACTTAGTATATGCCAGTCAATTGACAACCTTAATGTCATTGCTCCTGACAAGAACCCTTGTGTGGTAAATAATACTGAGAGGTGAAGCTGGCTGGGCTTCTGGGTCGAGTGGTGATTTGGAGAACTTTTCTGTTTAGCTAAAGTTTTGTAAATGCACCAATCAGCACTCTGCAAAAATGCACCAATCAATGCTCTGTGTTTAGCTAAAGGTTTGTAAATACACCAATCAGCACTCTGTAAAAATGCACCAATCAACGCTCTGTGTCTAGCTAAAGGTTTGTAAACGCACCAATCAGCACTCTGTGAAATGGACCAATCAGCGCTCTGTAAAATGGACCAATCAGCAGGACGTGGGCAGGGCCAAATATGGGAATAAAAGCTGGCCCCTGGAGCCAGCAGTGGCAACCTGCTTGGGTCTCCTTCTATGCTGTGGAAGCTTTGTTCTTTCACTCTTTGGAATAAATCTTGCTGCTGCTCACTCTGGGTCTGCACTACCTTTACGAGCTGTAACACTCATCATGAAGGTCTTCAGCATCACTCCTGAAGTCAGCAAGACCACGAACCCACTGGGAGGAACAAACAACTCCCAGGTGCACTGTTTTTAAGAGCTGTAACACTCACTGTGAAGGTCTGCGGCTTCACTCCTAAAGTCAGCAAGACCATGAACCCACCGGAAGGAAGAAGCTCTGGACACATCTGGACATCTGAAGGAACAAACTCCAGACACACCATCTTTAAGAACTGTAACACTCACAGCGAGGGTCCGCGGCTTCATTCTTGAAGTCAGCGAGACCAAGAACCCACTGGAAGGAACCAATTCTGGACACAATATTATTCTCAAGTTGTAGACAAGGAAAGTGTGTTTAAAAATAATTAGTAAGTTACCCAAGATTACATAGGCACTAAGTGGCAGAATGGAATGCTGGGAGGAGGTGATGAGGCCAGCACAAAGAAAACAAAATTTGCAAAACACAAAAGCGTGATGGAGCATAACAAAGCAGCAACTAATAGGATTGACCAGGTGGGGTGTGGAGGGCTTTAGAAGGTTGGAGTGGAAGGTGGGGAAATGTTTTGATATAATGTTGGAGAAAAAGGGCAGGGTCAGATCACGATGGGTAAGGGTCAATCCAAGGATTTTGAAGTTTAGATGTGGAAATTTCTGATCCTGATATTCTAAAGAATGATTATCCAGCTCTGCATAGAATTTAGTGGAAAAGTTTAAGATATAAGAGATTCCATAAGTAGTTTCTCACTCTTTAAAGTGAGAGACCCTATTAAAAACAACTGTTTTGCCTCTGGGTTTATGAGAAAGACTAAGAAGAAAGGAGACAGAGAAAGGGTTTTAAAAGGGTTTGAAATGCAATGTTTCTGCATAGAACTTGTTCCTTGTCAGGCTTCTTGATATTTATTTATTTTTTAACTTTTATTTTAAGTTCAAGGGTACAAGTGCTTGTTTGCTGCTTCGGTAAATTTGTATCATGGGGGTTTGTTGTATAGATTATTTTATCACCCAGGTGTTAAGCCTAATGCCCATTAGTTATTTTTCCTGATCCTCTCCCTCCTGCTTTCCACCCTCTGGTAGGCCCAAGTGTATGTTGTTCTCTTCTATGTGTCAATGTGTTTTCATCATCTAGCTCCCACCTATAAGTGAGAACATATGGTATTTGATTTTCTGTTCCTGTGTCCAACTCCATCCATGTCCCTGCAAAGGACATGATCTCATTCTTTTTGAGAGATCATCCAGGAACCAATATTTATTTTCGGTCTGCTATGTGTCAGTGAATGGGCTTGGATTTTCACATCATCTCGTTGATTCTCATCCTACAAAGTAGAAAAGTAGGAAAATTTTCTTCATTCTATAGATGAGGAAACTGAGCACTGATAAAACTAAGTAATTTTTCAGGGCTCACATGGCTAGTTAATGGGGAAGTCAGACTTAAACCTATATAAAGACTCAAGCTCTTTCTAGCTTAAGCTGTGTTCTTCCCTAGAGAACAGTACTTTTCTAACCAGTAGATCATGACCTAATAAAAGATCATGACTATCAAGGTAGTGGTTCCTAATTACCATTTGAAAAAATAAAATAGGTTGGGTACAGTGGCTCACGCCTGTAATCCCAGCACTTTGGGAGGTCGAGGTGGGCGGATCACCTGAGTTCAGGAGTTCAAGACCAGCCTGGTCAACATGGTGAAACCCTGTCTCTACTAAAAATTCAAAAACTTAGGCAGGTGTGGTGCTGCACACCTGTAGTCCAGGCTACTCAGGAGGCTGAGGCAGGAGAATCGCTTGAATCTGGGAGGCAGAGGTTACAGTAGGCTAAGATAGCACCACTGCACTCTAGTCTGGGTGACAGAGCAACCTCCGTCTCAAGTAATAATATAAAATAAAATCGAGAAATAGATTAGCAGCATGCATTGCGTGTAATAATGGTTAACATTGGTTGAAACTTTGTTTTAGTTATACATATATATAAAAATATAAATATTTATATGTACTGAGTTGTTATCAGAAGTGTGCTTCTTATTATTGGCTGGGGTTTAAAATGTTTGAAAAACTCATTCAGCAAAATATCAGTCGGATCACTGTTATCACTCCACTACTCCATAGCGAGCACTTTTTCCTGTGAAGTTAAATGTTTACAGGTAACTGACAGCCTAATACACCTCAAGTAGATGACACGGCAAGAATAGAAAGGGAATGAAAAGGAGAAGTTTTGTAGGGGCTGAGGAAGATTAGCTGACCAGTTCTTTCCCATCTCATTTCAATCAATGGCAAGCTGTCAAGTGAGGCAGGAGAATAGGGCCTGGAGGTAGGGAACCTAAGGCCAATTCACACTGACTTCCTAGAAATAAATCAAAAGGAAAACCCCAACTTTCCACACCCAAGTAACAAAAGAACAGAGGCTACTTCCTTTGCCCCACTCCTTTCTGAATCACAGATGAGAAATGGAAAGTACCTCTGATTATTCCCATACAACAACCAGTCAGACTGGTCACAGGCCTAGTCTTCATTTGCATAGGGGTATAACTTTGTAAGTTTACTTCAGCCTCTAATTGGTCCCCTCCTGCAACCAATCAGACATTTGCATAGTGTGTTAACTTTGTAACTTCACTCAGCCTCTGACTGGTCACCTTCCATGACCAATCAGACTGGTTGCAGGTCACTACCTCATTTGCATAGGGTGTAAACCAAATAACCAATGGGAAACTTCTAGAGGGTATTTAGATCCCAGAAAATTCTGTAACCAGTGCTCTTGAGCTGCTTGCTCAAGCCCGCTCCTACTCTGTGGAGTGTACTTTCATTGTAATAGATCTGTGCTTTTGTTGCTTTATTATTTCATTGCTTTGTTTTTGCATTTTGTCCAATTCTTTGTTCAAAATGGCAAGAACCTGGACCACTCATAGTCAAGACCCTTCACCAGTAACAAAAGCTTCTTTAATTTAACATTTCATCTGCTGTATTGAGGGAAGGCAGACAGTAGCAATTACTATTTCGAGAACATATATGTGTGGATCATTTTTTGATGTGGTAAATTGAGGAAGAATTTTTCTCTCTCGATTCTTGTCCTGTAAGGAAAAGGAGAAAGAAATAACCAGAACGCACCAAGCCTAGGTGGTGGTGGAAAGGTGATGGGGCTGGAGGACACATCTAAACACGTGGAATCCCAATGCCGGGCAGCCAGGGCCAAATCTATATTCTCCCAACATTGGGTACCCTGGAGGCCCAATCCTGCCCACCCACCACCTATCAATCCACCCTTTCCCCAGGCCCCTTTCCTCCTCCCTGAGGAGCTCTGCAGGGCAATCCAACTTTTCCCCCAAGTGGAGCCCCTCATCCTGTGCCACAGCCACAGTATCCAGGATGCCAACCCTTGGTTCCCCACCCTCTTTCACACCCCCTCCTGCCCCTGGAATGCCTCCTGTGAATCCCTTGGCTCCTGACATGGTTGGACCAGGAGTGATAGTGGACAAGAAGATTCAGAAGAAAATGAAGAAATTTCCTAAAAAGGTACACAAGCACTACAAGCACCACAAGCATGCCAAGCATTCCTCCTCCCCTTCCTCCTCCTCTTCCAGCAGTGACTCTGACTGAATACAGGCCCTGGACCCTTCCCTCAAGTCTCATCAGTTCTGCTCTCCCATCTAGCTTCAGATGCCATGATCTACTGGGGAAAAGTAGCCCTTGGGCTCTCCACCCCTACCCCCACCTGAGCCTCACCTTGCTCTTCAGCCCTGAGTGGCTAGGGAAGATGGGAAGAGGATTGCCATGGCATGGCCATCTTCTTGCTGCTTGGATAGATCCTATAGCTAATGAGTTTAGCAGGGGAGTTATTTCTTTAAGATGATGAACTAAATGTTGAAGACAAGCTTGAGATCTGTAAAATGTGATTTTTTTACTTCCTCTTATAATACTTGTGATTGGGGAGGTTTGTGGAAATTTAATTATAACAAAAAGCCTCCGTCTTTTTTGTAGTGTTGGCATATTTGGGGAATTTAGTGGCAAATACATTCCTCAGCAGGCCTTTTGTTGGTTGCACTAACTGCAAGGTTGCTGGGAAGTAGAGTCCGTTCGGTCGATGAGCTTTGACTGCCATTTAGGAAACTCACCTCTCCTCCTTAGCCCAATATGCTGTCTCAGGTCCTATTCTCGTTCTCCAGCTCTCAGTCCAAACAAAGTTATTTCTCCTGGAAAAAAAAGAAATAACATAAGAAATAGAAGTGTATATGTATGATAATATTCATACTTATTGAACACATGTGCCTATGCAGATTTATTATCTATGCTATATATAATTATACGTTAAATCTAACAAAACTCTATGTGTGTGGTGTTAACTCACAATCTGTTTCTCTTTGGAACCCCATTCTGTATACAAACATTTTTGCAACACATGTGGATTAGTAGTAGGAATAGATGGTTTAAAAATATTATGTTAAAACAACAACTTAAGTCACCATGTTTAAGAAACATAAAAATCAAAATAGTACAGTAATTTCTCTGTAGCAGTGGAAATAAGAGGGAAATACTAAAATGTGGAAACATATAGATTTCTGTATATGCATATAAATGTTTCAGCTGTTGTTAATATCTCCTGAAAGAATCTTAGATACACTAACCTCCTCAATAAATATTTCACATTTAGTAAAGAAAATGTACTACCTATCTAGTAAAGGAAATGTTTACTTGCCATTTTGCCCTTTTTCTGATTTTATATTTGAACATCAGTATTAGTGGTGTCTTGATGAGCCTAGATTTTACTCTTTAGCATGTCTGAATAGATTATTGTAATTAGCTAGTTGGATTAATTTCACTGGCTTTCTGACTAGTCAGATTGTAGAGTATTAAGAGGCAACAAATTTAATTGCATAGGGTCAACCATTTTCAAATGCATGGTGACACCAATCAGAGTGGACTTAGCTATAGTGAAATAAACAATTCCATGTGCATGTCATTTAGGGCACAAAATATTTAAATATGCACAAAACTAACTCTTCCTGCAGCATTGCTTAGTATAAATTAACATAGAAACATGGTTGGCCAGTGGCACAGACACTGACACAGTAAACATTTTTTTGCTGTTGTTGGACTTGTGTGCACTGCAGATGGGTGGTGTTCAATCATTACTAAATCATTACTATTTGTCCAATTTGGCTGTTTTAGGAAAAAGATAAAGAATTATGTATTGGACATGGAAGTCATGGTACCTGTCACACACATACCTGTTGTTAGTTTATATTGCCCCACCTAGAGCCCTTTGCTCAGGAGTCTGTTATTTGTTCAGAGAAAGGGAATTTATTGACTGATATAACTGAGAAGTAAAAACTAGGGCTAAATTCAAGTGTGGCTGGATTCAGAAGCTCACATATTGGATTTAGTAGCTGGTCTCTATCTGTCGCCCAGCTTGGCCATACTTTCTTCCATGTTTTGGCTTCATTTTCAGAATCCATGTGGTTACAATATGGCAGCAGCTGCTCCAGCCTCACACCTCCTCAAGTTAAAGCCCAACAGAAGAAGGAAATGTCCGTTCTGTTTAAATATCTCTTTCTGGTTAGTCAAGTAAAAGTCCTGAGATTAGTTCTGATTTATTCTGACTGACTTGGCTTGAATTAAGTGTCTATTCTTGGATCAAACTGCAGCCAGAAGAATTCAAAGTCCTGATTGGCCAAACCTAGGCCTTTTGTTCTATCCCCTAAACCAGGAATTAAGGCCCAGTGCAAAGCATATGGATTGAAAGTTGGGAAGAGTTACAGTTACTTGAATAAAGAGAAGTTGGATGCTTAGAACTGAAAATATCCACAATGCTAAGATCATTTTTATATTTATTCGAGCTAATTCAACATTTTAAAAACGGGAATAGGAACTTTATCTATATAATACCAGCTTCAACCCAAGAGGAGTATGGAAAGACCTCTGATATTCCCTCCAGGACACTTGCTGGCTTTGTGATCTTGGGTAGATCACAATCTCTGATTCTTGTTCTTCCCAGCTGCAAAATGGGGATAATATTGTCTCCCTATCCATATCACAGATGGTTATGAAGATTCAAAAAGGTAATATTTCTAATAAAAATCATAATATCTAATATCTAATGGACAGTTTATGTAGAAACTATGTTGTTTAATCCTTATACTAATTCTATGCAGTACGTATTACTATGGTACTCACTTTTAAGAGATCTAAGGCTTAGAGAGGTTAATTTGCTTGGCATCACACAGCATTAAATGACTAGATCAGCATCCATGTCTATTTCATTACCAAATTCATGATGATAGCCACCATGACACAGATATAAAGATCGTTACTGGATTTAAATGACTCTAAGATTCACATTTCTTCCCATTTTAACATATTTAAAATCAGCATGAATCTTACAATTGATGGTTAGGAGCCAATCTGACATAGTAGTCATTAGTTGCTTATGTGTGAACCTGGTCATTGCTGGTCTTATTGTTGTTAATTCAACTGAGTCAGCCGTATGTGTTGAGTTTAAATGCCATGCAAAATGTTCTTAAAAATATTACACTATGATTTGGCATTGAAATAGACATTTATGTAACAGAAAAGCACAGAAGCATAGCAATGAAGCATCAATATGATATAGTGAAGAAAATGCTCATCCCTGTGGAAATTACCACAACTTCATATTTTCTTATAAGGCAATAACCACATGCCTTATGAGATCTTAGAAAGAAAGATGCCCCAAAGTGGAATCCATGTTATGCCTGGTACTGAGATGTGTGCTAAAGGATTTTCTGTCACATGCCAAGATTTACAAATGTCATAATAAATTGATTTTGCTTCTATTTTCCTTTCTACATGGGACTTGGGTGATAAATATCTATGCCCAAATAAGTCTCAAATAACTGTGTCATTAAATGGAAAATAAAGATGTTCAGTATAAGGAGGCATGAACCATAGTTTAATTGGCATTAGCCTTTTCTTTTTCTAGAAAGGCAGACGATATTTGTATTTCTTGCAGTTTGGACTCTTTGATTCTATAAAGTGCAGTATTACTGTATTGAAGAAATAATAGAAAGCTTTATATTTTGAGGAGGTGTTTTAGCAGATCCGTAGTGAATCACCCGTTTTCAAGATCTTTAGCCTAAAAATTAAACCATTTACTATAAAAATTAAGTCATAATGGAGAGATCTGGGGAAAAAACTCAGAAGGAATTATAAGTACTTTATTACTCATATAACAAATATAAGCGAATTGGCTAAAATAATGGAAACAGGAACAAGTTTCAGGCCAGGTAATTAGCCAAACTAGCCTTTCTTTACCAGAATCTAGACAGATGTGCAAAGTTTTGAAATTAGCTCTTTGGGGCTCCGGATATCTATTTATCACTTTACCTGCCTTCATATGAAACAGGAAGTTTTTTTTTATGTTTTGTTAAAATATTCTCTATCATCCATACCTAAAATTTATGGGGGGGGGCGGTGAAAGGGGTCAGGTGAAATTGAGGGGTCCTTATTTCTTACCATTAATGATTCCTTTCCTCCAAAGAAATGACTTTTATTTAAATTAGGACATCTTTTTTTTCCCATAAAACAAATATTACAGACAAAAGGTATTTATTCTCACAAGGTATCCATTTTGAGGTGTTTACTTAAAGAAACACACTTTGCTCAATCTTTGCAGTCACTGAACTGCAGAAGTCACAAGAACCCCTTTTTCAGAAGCTGTGAAGTCACTGAATGAAATAAAGTCAAATTTGGCCCAGTATTGCATTAGGAAATCTCGTTTGCAGAGGCTAGGCATTTTTTCCTTGCAAGTGAGCCTACTTATCACTGTTTATTGATGATCTTCTAGGCCTCAATAGGCTCGGTAATAATAAAATCTTTTTACCACTAAATCATGTTGAAAATACAATATATTTTCTCTTCTAAGAATATGGCAATATGCCCTGGTTCCAAATCTTAGTAAATCTGATTTGATTTCTAATTTCATATCCCTAGAACTTTATAGATAAAGCATTTTAAAGAGTTACTAAATCCATGCAGCTTTGCAAATGAATAATAATCGTTATGTTCTCAGAAATTATTACTGTTATTACTACCAGTTCTAAATAATCTTTGTATGATACTTTATAAGATTGTTTCATGTCTCTTATCTTGCTAAATTCTTTTATGTTTATTGTAGAGCACCTAATCATTGAAGGGAAAATATCATATTTGGTCTTGCACACTGCTTTCCATATATTGACTTAAATATATTCCTAATACAAAGAAATACCCATGCTCCACTTGGTAGAAGCTCCCAAGGATTATTCCGTGTCTGTCAGAATGGTCTCCCAGTTAGTTAGTCATGATGCCTAATCTTCGTAGCATTAGAATGGTTATGATACAATGTGTCAAAATAAGACTTGAAGAATCTGTGACGGCCTAAAAAATGGTGTGAAATAGAAATTATTGAACAGAAAGAGGATTAATACTTTGAAGGCTTAAAAAGAAAGCAGAAAGAGGAAACAAGCATTTACCACACCCCAAACATTGCCAATTTTGTTAGTTGAAAATTAAGTGTCTAGCTTTTAAAAATTTATTTAAATATTCTGTCATGCAGACACATGCTCACCTTAGTCCATGATTTTGGTTTTGGGATTTGATTTGGGATTCTGGGATCCTGCTTTCATTCATCAAAAAAAAAATAATTATCTTAAAAATACAGTCTTTCATGAGCTAAGCTTTTTATTTTGAATGAAAATTTCCTTATTTGTTTTATAGTATTACATGTATTATGTATGATTTTTCTTTACCAGGATGATGAAAAGAGTTGTGTAAATTTCAGTGATCAGATAGTCTCCGTAGATTACTATTAGATAAGAGAATGTTCAAACCGGGTCCCTGGCAAGCTTCAGTAAGCCAAAGCCCCTCAGCATGAACCAGCAGGAGGAAAAGATAGGTTGAGAGGCAGTCAGCAGAAGCTCATACTTGCACATATTTATTTTCAATAATTAGCATAGTGTTAATAGAAACATCCATTTGAAGCAAAGGCTGCTTATTTGCACAGTGAAAATATGTGGTACTGTAGTTTTACTATAAAGACTACAAAATTAAGCAACAAACGCTAAACTCAACGTAAATTCAACAACATATTTTCAGAGAGAACTAGGACTGAACATCAAAATGTACATATATAATTTTTAACTTTTATTTTAAGTTCAGGGGTACATGTGCAGTTTTGTTATATAGGTAAGCTTGTGTCATGGGAGTTTGTTGTACAGGTTATTTCCATTACCCAGGTATTAAGCCTAGTACCCATTAGTTACTTTTTCTGATTCCTCTTCCTCTTCCCCCACTCCACTCTCTGATAGGCCCCAGTGTGTGTTGTTCCTCTGCATGTTCAATGTGTTCTCATCATTTAGCTCCCACTTATAAGTGAGACAATGTGGAGATTTAGTTTGGGTCTGTGTCCCCACCAAAATCTCATGTCAAATTGTAATCCTCACTGTTGGAGGAGGGCCTGGTGGGAGGTGATTGGGTCATGGGAGCAGACGTCCTCTTTGCTATTCTCATGATAGTGAGTAAGTTCGCATGAGATTTGGTTGCTTAAAAGTGTATAGCACTTTTCCCTTTGCTCTCTTTCTCTTGCTTTGCCATGTGAAGATGTGCCTGCTTCCCCTTCACTTTCCACCATGATTGTAAGTTTCCTGAGGTCTCCCTGGCCATGCTTCCTGTACAGCCTGCAAAACTATGAGTCGATTAAACCTCTTTTCTTCGTAAATTACCCAGTCTTAGGTAGTTTCTTACAGCATTGCGAGGGTGGAGGTATTTGGTTTTCTGTTCCTGTGTCAGTTTGCTAAGAATAATGGCCTCCAGCTCTATTTATGACGCTGCAAAGGACATGATCTTGTTTTTTTTAATGGCTGCATAATATCCCATAGTGTATATGTACCATATTTTCTTTATCCAGTCTATCACTGGTGGCCATTTAGGTTGATTCCGTGTCTTTGTTATTGTGAATAGTGCTTCAATGAACATATGCATGCATGTGTCTTTTTTCTTTTTTTTTTTGAGATAGAGTCTCACTCTGTTGCCCAGGCTGAAGTTCAGTGGTGCGATCTTGGCTCACTGCAACCTCTGCTTCCTGGGTTCAAGCAATTCTCGTGCCTCAGCCTCCTGGGTAGCTGGCATTACAGGGATGCACCACCACGCCCGGCTAATTTTTATTTTTAGTGGAGATGGGGTTTCACCATGTTGGCCAGGCTGGTCTCAGGCTCTTGACCTCAGGTGATCCACAAGCCTCGGCCACCCAAATTGCTGGGATTACAGGCATGAGCCACTATGCCTAGCTGCAAGTTTCTTTATAATAGAAAAATTTATATTCCTTTGGATATATATCCAGTAATGGGATTGCTGAGTCAAATGGCAATTCTAGTTTAGGTCTTTGAGGAATTGTCACACTGTCTTATAATGGTTGGACAAATTTGTACTCCCACTAACGGTGTATAAGCATTCCTTTTACTCTGGAAACTCACCAGCATCTGTTATTTTTTGATTTTTTATAATAGCCATTCTGACTGATATGAGATGGTATCTCATTGTGGTTTTGATTTGCATTTCTCTAATGATCAGTGATGTTAAGCTTTATTTCATATGATTGTTGGCCACATGTATGTCTTCTTTTGGGAAGTGTCTGTTCATGTCCTTTGCCCATTTTTTAATGGGGATGTTTGTTTGTTTTCTTGTAAATTTGTTTAAGTTCCTTATAGATGCTGGATATTAGACCTTTGTCAGATGGATAGATTGCAAAATTTTTCTCCCATTCTGTAGGTTGTCTGTTCACTCTGTTGATAGTTTCCTTTGTTGTGTAGAAGCTCTTTAGTTTAATTAGACCCAATTGTCAATTTTTGCTTTTGTTGCAATTGAAAATGCCTATTTTACTACAGAACAATGTTCTTAACATAAGTGTTTTTTTTAAAAACAACAACACATTTTTTGATATATAACTCATACTACACAAATCATCCTTTTATTGTGAGATGGAGTCTCACTCTCACCCAGGTTGGAGTACAATGTCATAATCACAGCTCACTGCAGCCTCAAACTCCTGGGCTCAAGGGATACTCTTCCCTCACCCTCCCAAGTACCTGGGACTACAGATGTGTGCCACTGATGGCAGCAGTGGGCCATCTGGTGCAGCCACTGCCATCACACCAGCAGCTGCCGGGAAGGCACGGGAAGGAGGTGGACAGCCCACCATCCTGGAGACCACTATGATGGGGCCAGTCCGGGTTATGTGCTAGGCCACCACTGAGTGCTGGGGCCACAGGAGGAGCTTGTGGCAACATCGCCCCTGCCCTGAATGCCAGCGCAGACCCAGCGAGGGCCTGGAGCCCCTGTCCCAGGAAACAAGGGAGCATGACTGGGTGCCAGGCTCCATGGAGCCAGTGGGAATTGGGGACAAGTGGGAACTCTGCCCCTTCCAAGTTGGCAGAGCAGGAGCTCCCCAGGTGCAGCTGCAGATTCCCAAGCCATGGCTGAAACTCAGGCACCCCTGTTCTCTTGGGAGCTGGGAGTAGGCAGGTATACTATAGATTTGTGTCACTGATGGCTTGCCCCCACCCTCCCCCTGGAGAGGCTACCCTCTCCAGGGCCTTTTCTCTTCTGAGAACTGAACACCTGGTGAGACAACCTGCTTACAGAGAGCAGCTACCCACTCTGGGTCTCCTCTGAGCTGTTGTAACACTCAGTAAAGCTCCTCTTCATTTTGCTCACCTTCCACTTGTCTGCACATCCCGTTCTTCTAGGACACAGGACAAGAACTTAGGCAAAGGTGCCACCAGCCAGAGAAGTTTCTGGCCAGAAAAGCAACACCCCAAAGATCCCATAACACCACCATGCCTAGTGAATTTTTAATATTTTTGTAGAGACAGGGTCCCACTATGTTGCCCAGGCTACAATTCACACTTTAAAAATATACAGTTCAAAAACTTTCAGTGTAGCCAGAGTTGTGAATCCATCACCATCAATTTTAGAACATTTTAATTGCCCTAAAAAGAAATGCTGTATCCCTCAGTAGTCACCCTCCAATCTTCCCATAATCTACCAACTCTATGCAACTGCTAATCGACTTTCTGTCTCTATAGATGCATCAATTCTGGTCATTTTATATTAGTGGAATCATTCCACATGTAGTGTCTTGTGTCTGGTTGCTTTAACTTAGCATAACATTTTCAAGGGTCATCTATATTGTAGGATGTATCAGTACTTCATTTATTTTTTATTGCTGAATAATATTCTGTTGCATAAGTATAACACATTTTATTTATCCATTCATTGGCTGATGGAAATTTGGGTTGTTTCTACCTTTTTGCTATTATAAATAATACTATTATGAGCATGTGTGTTCACGTTTTTCTGTGGGCATGCATTATCTTTTCTCTTAGGTATATACCTAGGAGTTGAATTGCTGGTTCATATAGTAATTCCATGTTTAAGTTTTTAAGAAAATGGCAAATTGTTTTCCAAAATGGCTGCACCATTTTACATTTCTACCAGTGATGCATGAAGGCTCCAATTTCTCCATATTCCCTTCAACATTTGTAATTTTCTCTCTGTGTGTGTGTGTGTGTGTGTGTGTGTGTTTATGTATGTGTGTGTTTTTATTGTAGCCATCTGAGTAGCTATGAAGCAGTATCTTATTGTTGTTTTGATTTGTGTTTTCTTGTTGACTAATGACCTAGAACATCTTTTTTTCCTTTTTAGATTTTAACATATTTATTTATTTATTTTTAGAAACGTGGTATTGCTATGTTGCTCAGGCTGGTCTAAAACTCCTGGCCTCAAGTGATTCTTCTGCCTCAACCTCCCAAGTACCTTGAGCACCTTTTCACGTGCTTATGGAACAGTTGTATATCTTCTTTAGATAACTGTCTATTGAGATCTTTTGCCTATTTTCAATTGCGTTGTCTTTTTACTACCGAGTTTTAATAGTCATTTATATATTCTAGACACTAGTCCCTTATCAAGTATATTACTTACAAAAATTTTCTCCTGTGGGTTGCCCTTTTGCTTTTTTGTAGTGTCCTTTGAAGCACAAAAGTTTTAAATTCTGATTATTCCCAGTTTATCAATTTTTCTTTTGTTGTTTGTGCTTTGGGTGCCTTTTTGTTTATTTGTTTTGTTTGTTTATTTGTTTGTTTGAGACAGAGTCTCTCTCTGTCACCCAGGCTGGAGTGCAATGGCGTGATCTCAGCTCACTGCAACCTCCGCCTCCTGGATTCAAGCAATTCTCCTGCCTCAGCCTTCTGAGCAGCTGGGACTACAGACGCGTGCCACCACACCTGGCTGATTTTTTGTATTTTTAGTAGAGACAGGGTTTCACTGTATTAGCAAGAATGGTCTTAATCTCCTCACCTTGTGATCCTCCTGCCTTGGCCTCCCAAAATGCTGGGATTACAGGTATGAGCCACCACACCCAGCCTGTGCCCTATTTAAGAAGCAGTTTTCTGTTTCAAATTACAAAGATTTAAACCCAAGTTTTCTAATATTTTTATAAAAAAGTATACATTGTAAATAATCTTTAATAAAAATTATTTTAAAATAATTTTAATCACTTAATTTAGTTATTTGATCTATTTTGAATTAATTTTGGTATATGGTGTAACAGAGGGTTCTAACTTTCTTCTTTTTGTGTGTGAATGTCCAGCAATCCCAGAACCATTTGTTGAAAAGATAATTTGTTTTGTCACCCTTGTCAAAAGTCAATTGACTAAAAATGTGAGGGTTTATTTCTGCACTCATAATTCAATGTCTAGTCTATTGCTAGTATCACACTGTTTTGATTATTCTAGCTTTCAAGTAAGTTTCAAAATTAGAAAATGTGAATCCTCTAACATAGTTCTTCCCTTTCAAGATTTTTTGGTTATTCTTTTTCTCTAGCATTTCCATGGGAGTTTTAAGATTATCTTGCAAATTTCTCCAAAAAAGTTAACTAAGATTTTAATAGGAATCATTTTGAATCTGTAGATCAATTTGCAGAGTATTGTCATTTTAATAATGTTAAGCATTCCAAGCCATGAACATGGGATGTCTTTCACTTCGTTAGCTCTTCTTTAATTTCTTTCAACAATGTTTATAGTTTTCAGTGTATAAGTCTTACATTTCCTTGGTTAAATTTATTGTCAAGCATTTTATTACTTTTGATGTTTTAAAAATATAATTGTTTTCCTAGTTGTATTTTTGGTTTGTTCATTTTTACTTTAGAGAAACACAATTGGCTTTTTTTTTTTTTTTTTTTTTTTTTTTTGATGGAGTTTTTCTCTGTCACCCAGGCTGGAGTGCAATGGTGCAATCTCAGCTCACTGCAACCTCTGCCTCCTGGGTTGAGCAATTCTCCTTCCTCTGCCTCCCAAGTAGCTGGGGCTACAGGCATGAGTCACCACGCCTGGCCAATTTTTGTATTTTTGGTAGAGATGAGGTTTCACCATGCTGGCCAGGCTGTTCTTGAACTCCTGACCTCAGGTGATCTGCCCACCTTGGCCTCACAGAGTGCTCGGATTACAGGTGTGAGCCACCGTGCCCAGCAACAGTTGAATTTTACATATAGATTTTGTATCTTGAAACTTTACTAAGCTTGTTTATTAGTAAATAGCTTAATTTTTACAATAATCTTCCAATCCCACATTTAAGACTTAACTGCTTAAGACTTACAGGCATTACATTCTTATGACTTTTTTTGATGAAATTAGAGACATTCTAGGTTATAGCAAAACAGTTTGAAGAACAAATATAAAAACGTAGTATTTATTTTCTAGATGAAATAAACAATACAGTCCATTTTGTAGTGATAAAATTCCATTATATTATATAATATTGAATTTTTGTTAATAATGTGGATTTGAATTTAAAAAGAGAGCCACAAATTAGGTACATAAAATTCTGCAACACATTCTTTCTCAAAATGAGGTCCCCAGACCAGCAGTACCAGCGTCACATGGAAAATTGTTAGACACTCTTGTGCCCGACTGTATACTTACTAAATCAGAACATCTGGAGTTGGGGGTTCAGCAGTCTGTTTAAACAAGACTTCCAGCTTATTCCAATGCAGGTTAAAGTTTTCAGACTACTGCTGGAACTCACCAGGTCTCTGGTCTGTACATCAGGATCATCTCAAAGAAATTAAAAAAAAAAAAAATACAGATTCCTAGTTTCTATTTCAGGCACTAAAAAATCCGAATTTCCGAGTGGAGGTCTAAGAATATGTGCTTTTCTTTAAAAAAGCATCCTAGGTTGATCTGATGTGCAGGTTTATGATCTGCTGCTCTAGAATATAGTATACTCTCACATTTAGAATGGTTAGATGAAAGTTTTAAAACTGGTGAAAATAGCCATATTGTTAAAATTTTGTGTATAATATTTCAATCTTTGTAGCTGAACGAAGACAAATATATTTATGCTTTATTTATTTTATGAATTCCTTTAATGACAGCACAGTTTTAAATGATTGGAAATATTGATAATATAATTTTTAGAGACAGTTTTCTTCCTTTCCAACCAGGGTTTGGCAAACATTTTCTATAAAAGGTCCAAATAGTAAATATTTTAGTCTTTGAGATTATGCATAGGTTTGCCAGATAAAATACAGGACACCCAGTTAAATCTGAATTTTAGATAAGCCATAAAACATTTTTGTAGTTTAAGTATATCACGATTGTTGCATAAGTCATACTTACAGGAAAAAATGATTTGTATTTTAATAAAATTTTATTTACAAAAATGGGACCAGTGCATGGATGGGGTCCCTTCCTACTGTGTGAGCCGTGTGTGGTATGGTTCAGGTGCCTCCTTCAATCCATATCCTCCGGCCCTCACCTAGTTCTGAAAGTCTCATGCCACACTGTCCTGATTTCTAAGTCTTTAAATCTTGTAGTGTGAATCAGTCAACTTTGTTGTTGTTTTTCCAAAATTGTTTTGGTTAGTCTATGTCTTTTGCTTTTTCTTTCTTTCTTTTTTTTTAATTTATTATTATTATACTTTAAGTTTTAGGGTACATGTGCACAATGTGCAGGTTAGTTACATATGTATACATGTACTGTGCTGGTGCGCTGCACCCACTAACTCGCCATCTAGCATTAAGTATATCTCCCAATGCTATCCCTCCCCTCTCCCCCCACCCCACAACAGTCCCCAGAGTGTGATGTTCCCCTTCCTGTGTTCATGTGTTCTCATTGTTCAATTCCCACCTGTGAGTGAGAATATGTGGTGTTTGGTTTTTTGTTCTTGCAATAGTTTACTGAGAATGATGATTTCCAATTTCATCCATGTCCCTACAAAGGACGTGAACTCATCATTTTTTATGGCTGCATAGTATTCCATGGTGTATATGTGCCACATTTTCTTAATCCAGTCTATCATTGTTGGACATTTGGGTTGATTCCAAGTCTTTGCTATAGTGAATAATGCCACAATAAACATATGTGTGCATGTGTCTTTATAGCAGCATGATTTATAGTCCTTTGGGTATATACCCAGTAATGGGATGGCTGGGTCAAATGGTATTTCTAGTTCTAGATCCCTGAGGAATCGCCACACTGACTTCCACAATGGTTGAACTAGTTTACAGTCCCACCAACAGTGTAAAAGTGTTCCTATTTCTCCACATCCTCTCCAGCACCTGTTATTTCCTGACTTTTTAATGATTGCCATTATAACTGGTGTGAGATGGTATCTCATTGTGGTTTTGATTTGCATTTCTGTGATGGCCAGTGATGATGAGCATTTTTTCATGTGTTTTTTGGCTGCATAAATGTCTTCTTTTGAGAAGTGTCTGTTCATGTCCTTTGCCCACTTTTTGATGGGGTTGTTTGTTTTTTTCTTGTAAATTTGTTTGAGTTCATTGTAGATTCCGGATATTAGCCCTTTGTCAGATGAGTAGGTTGCGAAAATTTTCTCCCAGTTTGTAGATTGCCTGTTCACTCTGATGGTAGTTTCTTTTGCTGTGCAGAAGCTCTTTAGTTTAATTAGATCCCATTTGTCAATTTTGGCTTTGGTTGCCATTGCTTTTGGTGTTTTAGACATGAAGTCCTTGCCCATGCCTATGTCCTGAATGGTAATGCCTAGGTTTTCTTCTAGGGTTTTTATGGTTTTAGGTCTAACGTTTAAGTCTTTAATCCATCTTGAATTGATTTTTGTATAAGGTGTAAGGAAGGGATCCAGTTTCAGCTTTCTACATATGGCTAGACAGTTTTCCCAGCACCATTTATTAAATAGGGAATCCTTTCCCCATTGCTTGCTTTTCTCAGGTTTGTCAAAGATCAGATAGTTGTAGATATGCAGCGTTATTTCTGAGGGCTCTGTTCTGTTCCATTGATCTATATCTCTGTTTTGGTACCAGTACCATGCTGTTTTGGTTACTGTAGCCTTGTAGTATAGTTTGAAGTCAGGTAGTGTGATGCCTCCAGCTTTGTTCTTTTGGCTTAGGATTGACTTGGCGATGCGGGCTCTTTTTTGGTTCCATATGAACTTTAAAGTAGTTTTTTCCAATTCTGTGAAGAAAGTCATTGGTAGCTTGATGGGGATAGCATTGAATCTATAAATTACCTTGGGCAGTATGGCCATTTTCACGATATTGATTCTTTCTACCCATGAGCATGGAATGTTCTTCCATTTGTTTGTATCCTCTTTTATTTCCTTGAGCAGTGGTTTGTAGTTCTCCTTGAAGAGGTCCTTCACATCCCTTGTAAGTTGGATTCCTAGGTATTTTATTCTCTTTGAAGCAATTGTGAATGGGAGTTCACTCATGATTTGGCTCTCTGTTTGTCTGTTGTTGGTGTATAAGAATGCTTGTGATTTTTGTACATTGATTTTGTATCCTGAGACTTTGCTGAAGTTGCTTATCAGCTGAAGGAGATTTTGGGCTGAGACAATGGGGTTTTCTAGATATACAATCATGTCATCTGCAAACAGGGACAATTTGACTTCCTCTTTTCCTAATTGAATACCCTTTATTTCCTTCTCCTGCCTAATTGCCCTGGCCAGAACTTCCAACACTATGTTGAATAGGAATGGTGAGAGAGGGCATACCTGTCTTGTGCCAATTTTCAAAGGGAATGCTTCCAGTTTTTTCCCATTCAGTATGATATTGGCTGTGGGTTTGTCATAGATAGCTCTTATTATTTTGAAATACGTCCCATCAATACCTAATTTATTGAGAGTTTTTAGCATGAAGCGTTGTTGAATTTTGTCAAAGGACTTTTCTGCATCTATTGAGATTATCATGTGGTTTTTGTCTTTGGTTCTGTTTATATGCTGGATTACATTTATTGATTTGCGTATATTGAACCAGCCTTGCATCCCAGGGATGAAGCCCACTTGATCATGGTGGTTAAGCTTTTTGATGTGCTGCTGGATTTGGTTTGCCAGTATTTTATTGAGGATTTTTGCATCAATGTTCATCAATGATATTGGTCTAAAATTCTCTTTTTTGGTTGTGTCTCTGCCCGGCTTTGGTATCAGGATGATGCTGGCCTCATAAAATGAGTTAGGGAGGATTCCCTCTTTTTCTATTGATTGGAATAGTTTCAGAAGGAATGGTACCAGTTCCTCCTTGTACCTCTGGTAGAATTCAGCTGTGAATCCATCTGGTCCTGGACTCTTTTTGGTTGGTAAGCTATTGATTATTGCCACAATTTCAGATCCTGTTCTTGGTCTATTCAGAGATTCAACTTCTTCCTGGTTTAGTCTTGGGAGAGTGTATGTGTCGAGGAATTTATCCATTTCTTCTAGATTTTCTACTTTATTTGCGTAGAGGTGTTTGTAGTATTCTCTGATGGTAGTTTGTATTTCTGTGGGATCGGTGGTCATATCCCCTTTATCATTTTTTATTGCGTCTATTGGATTCTTCTCTCTTTTTTTCTTTATTAGTCTTGCTAGCGGTCTATCAATTTTGTTGATCCTTTCAAAAAACCAGCTCCTGGATTCATTAATTTTTTGGAGGGTTTTTGTGTCTCTATTTCCTTCAGTTCTTCTCTGATTTTAGTTATTTCTTGCCTTCTGCTAGCTTTTGAATGTGTTTGCTCTTGCTTTTCTAGTTCTTTTAATTGTGATGTTAGGGTGTCAATTCTGGATCTTTCCTGCTTTCTCTTGTGGGCATTTAGTGCTATAAATTTCCGTCTACACACTGCTTTGAATGCGTCATAGAGATTCTGGTATGCTGTGTCTTTGTTCTCATTGGTTTCAAAGAACATCTTTATTTCTGCCTTCATTTCATTATGTACCCAGTACTCATTCAGGAGCAGGTTGTTCAGTTTCCATGTAGTTGAGTGGTTTTGAGTGAGATTCTTAATCCTGAGTTCTAGTTTGATTGCACTGTGGTCTGAGAGATAGTTTGTTATAATTTCTGTTCTTTTACATTTGCTGAGGAGAGCTTTACTTCCAACTGTGTGGTCAATTTTGGAATAGGTGTGGTGTGGTGCTGAAAAAAATGTATATTCTGTTGATTTGGGGTGGAGAGTTCTGTAGATGTCTAGTAGGACCGCTTGGTGCAGAGCTGAGTTCAATTCCTGCGTATCCTTGTTGACTTTCTGTCTCGTTGATCTGTCTAATGTTGATAGTGTGGTGTTAAAGTCTCCCATTATTATTGTGTGGGAGTCTAAGTCCCTTTTTAGGTCATTCAGGACTTGCTTTATGAATCTGGGTGCTCCTGTATTGGGTGTATATATATTTAGGATAGTTAGCTCTTCTTGTTGAATTGATCCCTTTACCATTATGTAATGGCCTTCTTTGTCTCTTTTGATCTTGGTTGGTTTCAAGTCTGTTTTATCAGAGACTAGGATTGCAACCCCTGCCTTTTTTTGTTTTCCATTTGCTTGGTAGATCTTCCTCCATCCTTTTATTTTGAGCCTATGTGTGTCTCTGCACGTGAGATGGGTTTCCTGAATACAGCACACTGATGGGTCTTGACTCTTTATCCAATTTGCCAGTTTGTGTCTTGTAATTGGAGCATTTAGCCCATTTACATTTAAAGTTAATATAGTTATTTGTGAATTTGATCCTGTCATGATGATGTTAGCTGGTTATTTTGCTCGTTAGTTCATGCAGTTTCTTCCTAGTCTCGAAGGCCTTTACATTTTGGCATGATTTTGCAGCGGCTGGTATCGGTTGTTCCTTTCCATGTTTAGTGCTTCCTTCAGGAGCTCTTTTAGGGCAGACCTGGTGGTGACAAAATCTCTCAGCATTTGCTTGTCTGTAAAGTATTTTATTTCTCCTTCACTTATGAAGCTTAGTTTGGCTGGATATGAAATTCTGGGTGGAAAATTCTTTTCTTTAAGAATGTTGAATATTGGCCCCCACTCTCTTCTGGCTTGTAGAGTTTCTGCCCATAGATCCGCTGTTAGTCTGATGGGCTTCCCTTTGTGGGTAACCCGACCTTTCTCTCTGGCTGCCCTTAACATTTTTTCCTTCATTTCAACTTTGGTGAATCTGACAATTATGTGTCTTGGAGCTGCTCTTCTCGAGGAGTATCTTTGTGGTGTTCTCTGCATTTCCTGAATCTGAATGTTGGCCTGCCTTGCTAGATTGGGGAAGTTCTCCTGGATAATATCCTGCAGAGTGTTTTCCAACTGGTTCCATTCTCCCCGTCACTTTCAGGTACACCAATCAGACATAGATTTGGTCTTTTCACATAGTCCCATATTTCTTGGAGGCTTTGCTCGTTTCTTTTTATTCTTTTTTCTCAAAACTTCCCTTCTCGCTTCATTTCATTCACTTCATCTTCCATCACTGATATCCTTTCTTCCAGTTGATCGCATCGGCTCCTGAGGCTTCTGCATTCTTCATGTAGTTCTCGAGCCTTGGTTTTCAGCTCCATCAGCTCCTTTAAGCACTTCTCTGTATTGGTTATTCTAGTTATACATTCTTCTAAATTTTTTTCAAAGTTTTGAACTTCTTTGCCTTTGGTTCGAATGTCCTCCCGTAGCTCGGAGTAATTTGATCATCTGAAGCCTTCTTCTCTCAGCTCGTCAAAGTCATTCTTCATCCACCTTTGTTCCGTTGCTGGTGAGGAACTGCATTCCTTTGGAGGAGGAGAGGCGCTCTGCTTTTTAGAGTTTCCAGTTTTTCTGCTCTGTTTTTTTCCCATCTTTGTGGTTTTATCTACTTTTGGTCTTTGATGATGGTGATGTACAGATGGGTTTTTGGTGTGGATGTCCTTTCTGTTTGTTAGTTTTCCTCCTAACAGACAGGACCCTCAGCTGCAGGTCTGTTGGAGTACCCGGCCATGTGAGGGGTCAGTGTGCCCCTGCTGGGGGGTGCCTCCCAGTTAGGCTGCTCGGGGGTCAGGGACCCACCTGAGGACGCAGTCTGCCCATTCTCAGATCTCCATCTGCATGCTGGGAGAACCACTGCTCTCTTCAAAGCTGTCAGACAGGGACATTTAAGTCTGCAGAGGTTACTGCTGTTTTTTTGTTTGTCTGTGTCCAGAGGTGGAGCCTACAGAGGCAGGCAGGCCTCCTTGAGCTGCGGTGGGCTCCACCCAGTTCCAGCTTCCTGGCTACTTTGTTTACCTAAGTAAACCTGGGCAATGGCGGCGCCCCTCCTCCAGCCTGGCTGCCACCTTGCAGTTTGATCTCAGACTGCTGTGCTAGCAATCAGCGAGACTCTGTGGGCATAGGACCCTCCGAGCCAGGTGTGGGATATAATCTCCTGGTGCGCCATTTTTGAAGTCCGTCAGAAAAGCGCAGTATTCGGGTTGGAGTGACCCGATTTTCCAGGTGCCGTCTGTCACCTCTTTCTTTGACAAGGAAAGGGAATTCCCTGACCCCTTGCACTTCCCAAGTGAGGCAATGCCTCGCCCTGCCTCAGCTTACACAGGGTGCGCGCACCCACTGACCTACGCCCACTGTCTGGCACTCCCTAGTGAGATGAATCCGGTACCTCAGATGGAAATGCAGAAATCACCCATCTTCTGCTGGGAGCTGTAGACCGGAGCTGTTCCTATTTGGCCATCTTGGCTCCACCCTTCTTTTGCTTTTTCACATAAATGTTAGGATCTGCCTTTCAGTTTTTACAAAAGCCTGCTTGGATATTGAAATTGCATTGAATCTGTAGATCAATTTAGGGACAATTTACATCTTGACAACTTTGAGCTTTGTAATCCATGAACATCAAAGATTTTTAATTTTTCTTATCAATATTTTGTAGTTTTAACATACAAATCTTGTGCAGATTTTGTTAAATTTATATCTAAGTAGTTGGTGTTTTTGATGTAATTTTAAATTATACTTTAAAAAATTTGTGATTTTTTCCTTGCTTTTATACAAAAATATAATTGATATTTGTATATTGTTCTTATATACCAAGACCTCATATCCCAAACTCAGTTATTAAATATAGTTGTCTTTTTCGTATATTTTTGGATTTTTAAAATGTAGACAATCATGTCATTTGTGAATATAAGTAGTTTTTTTTTTATTTTTAACTGTATTCTTTAATTTTTTTTCTTCTTTTGTTGTACCGGTTAGGACCTTGCATACAATTTTGAACAGAAGTGGTGAATAGCTTTTTAACTTTTTAAAATGTTTCATTTACTATTATGTGATATTTGGAAATGTGGCGGAGGCACTTTTTTTATTTTTTGACTTTTTTATTATTATACTTTAAGTTCTTGGATATACGTGCAGAACGTACAGGTTTGTTACATAGGTATACACGTGCCATGGTGGTTTGCTGCACCCATTAACCTGTCATCTACTATTTGTCCTCATGCTCTCCCTCTTCTAGCCCCCCACCCCCCTGACAGGCCCCAGTGTGTGATGTTCCCCTCTCTGTGTCCGTGTGTTCTCATTGTTCAACACCCACATATGAGTGAGAACATGTGGTGTTTGGTTTTCTTTTCCTGTGTTAGTTTGCTGAGAATGATGGTTAGGGGAGGCACTTTAAAACATAAAATTCCAATATTCTCATTTTTTAATCATCAGAAAAATCAATGAACATTTTGGCAAAAAAGGAAAAGAATAGTCTGTGTGAAATTTTACACCAGCATTTGATTATGGAAATAGAAATGGGAGAACCTTGGAGATCAATTTATCCAATTATCTTATTTTACATATGAGGAAACTAAAGTTCTCTATTCCTTAACATACGATTTCTTAAGAGAAAATAACATCTCTATAGCCACCGGTTCAAGTTTTAATTTTGGGTGTCCAGAGCTCAGCCTCTGCCTCCCTTAACACAGCATATCAGAAAACACCATAGCTTTGTGCTTTGAGGAGTGTTCCTTTCTGTTTGAGCCTTGTCCTCTGCAGGAACTGTTTAGAGGTAGATAATGCTGTTATCCACCCCCGGAGATGATGACTTAATTGTTCTGGAGTATAGCTTGGGCACTGGGTTTTTAAAACACTTTCCATGTGATTTTAATGTGCTAACAGACCCATTCCTAGGGCAGTATGGCACTCAGAACCTTAGGTGGAAGCTTGTTATAATCTTAGAGTCAGATGTGACTCAGGTGTTTTGGATTTTAATAGACACCAGGTGCAGGATCCCCTTCTAAGGGCTGCGTAAGTATGCAGCGTCCGTCGCTCTTGGCCTACTGCCTATGAGGACCTGCAGAGGTCTTACAGGGTAATTTCTGCTGCCGGGGAAACAGCCTTTCTGTGCATCGACTTTCAGTGACCTTCCAGTCGTGATTCCCTCCTGGCCTTCACCTGCAGATGTCCGCCTGCCTGTTCTTGCCGGCTGGCTCGGCAGAAACACTCATGCCATCTGTGCTGGGCTGTCTGGACCAAGAAGGTTTGGACAGAGGGCGGACATTCCTGTGGAGTCAAAGGCCAGCAGTACTGCCCTGGCTCAGAGCAAAGAATTTTAAGGTAGCTCTACCTCCATGCAGCAGCTTCTCACATTGTGTCTTAGAAGAGGTGCAGAATTATCAGGTAAGTCCTCTATCCTTAGCAAATCTGACCTTCTTCTAACATTTTCTTTTTTAAAAAAACAAAAAGAGTAAAAAGTGGCATATTTGCATACCACAGGGGACATACAAGTCTTATTTAAGGAACATAATTATGATATTTTACCCTCATTTCACTAACCATTTTATTCACTGTAATAAGAACTACTCCAGAACCAAAGACTTAAAACATGAACAAATTAAAACCATGTAGGGAGCATTCCTGAAGCATTCCTCCTCATTCTGTTTTCAAGATCTATAAACACCATATGTTGAGTGGACAGTATTAGAGTGTTCTGGCTTAAACTATGGTCTGTTTTTCTTTCTTTCTTTTTCTTTTTGTATTCCCTTGAGACTGACCTAATTGATTCAAAAGACAAAAGACCAAGGACATTACAAGAGAAACAGGAATCAAATACTAAGAATTCACATGCATATGGAATTACTTATTTTATCAAAAAATGTTCCTGAACTTCACACAGCAAATGGCCAAAGTGATTCTTTTACCATCTGATTGTTCAGTTAATATAAAGAGTCCTGTACTGCATTCTTAGCATGAATAACACACAGTGAATTAGACACATAGAAAGTTGTCTTACCTTGACCAAATAGCAGTTACACTTGGGTGAAGAACAAGTTTTGCTGCTGAGAAACTTAAGAAAAATTGACAGACATCCAATTTCACATGATCATTAATTCTTTTTCTCTGGAAATAAGGCCAAGTTTTATGGACGATGAACACCAATGAGAGTAAAAGTTCTTTAGGAAATCGCTTTCTAGCTAAACCTAGTTTCTTATTACTTTCCACCCACCTGTCTCTCTACTTATTCAACCCACTTCAATTCCTCCTTTCAAATAGACAGGCAGACGTTTCAGGCAACTAGACCTGCTTTTTCAGTAGCCTTTTCCACTAGGGTGGTGAGTGGGCAAGGCTAACATTTGTACAAGATGCTCATGTTGATATAACTGAATCTGTGAGTTCAAGGACTCAATATGCCACAATTCAAAAAACTGTATCAGCAACCATATGTATTTTTTAATGAAATAAATATTACTGACAGCACATGCTTTATTAAATTGATAATGCAATGCAGCATTGTCTTTTCTCAGGATTGGTACATCTGGCTGTACATCAAACCCCATCTACTTACATACAATAGCGTTGTTAGTTGTAACATTCAGTAAGATTCATCATCCAGTAAAATCACCTTTGTCAAGTGCTGAGCCACAGACAACTGCACCCTGGCATTGGAAGCCATACTTTTTGATCCCATGAATAAAGATGAAATCTAAGACCTCTAAAATGCAGTCAAGATAAAGTAGAATCCTTTGTAACACCACTCAGGGAAACGCATGTGCTTGCAAATGTCTGGTTTCCCAGCTTTCATGGCAGTGCACACTGCATTCTGGGGATATTGCTAGACAGGTGGGTCAGGATGCAAGCCTAATGTGCACCCCTCCCCTTTCCACCACCACCAAAGCAAGTATACCTCCTTTCTTCTGAGAGCAGAGAAAATGGGTTTAGACAAGAGGGATACTGACAGGAAGAGAAAAAAAGGGAGAATCTTTCTCATTCTATTTGTTATGGGAGAAAGCTAAGCAAACAATTGAAAGCAAACCCTATTTCCACAGCCCTGGATGCTTTCCAAGTAACATTTTAAGGAAATCTAATAACAACTAATATTTTTGAGCATTTGTCATGCATTAGGCACTTTTCTCAATCACATGAATTAACTAATGTTATCCACACAACAATGCTACTATTATTTACCATCTCCATATTTCTAAAGAGAAAACTGAGGCTAAAAGAAGTTAAGAAAATTTCACAGATAGTGTGAGGGTCAAGTTTAAAACTTAGCCATTCTTGGGCCAGAGTCTGCATTATTAACCATTGCTTTCTACAGACGTCTCTGACAAGAACTTGATATTCATTATCTTATTAAACCTCAATAATTCTGTGAGGTGACTACTGTTTTTCTACTTTACAGAAGAGGCTATGGAGACATACAGAGGTTAAATAATTTGCACAAGTGAACACCATTTGTATACTCCTGGAGCTAGGGTTCAAACCCACACGAGTTAACAAATGACAGCTAGCCTAACCTTCTTGCAATATTCACAAGACATCTAATCAAAGGGCCCAGCAAACACTACATCTGTGTGGTCTTTTGCTACATCCCTTCTGTGCCTTTGGCATCGCCATCTCCACCTCTGTCCTAGGAGGAGCTCATGTGGGCACCAGATCACATGTTGATGGTATGACTGTCATTTTTACCATTCTAGACTACAGGTTGCAGCTGGCTGCATTTCAAATCATGTCATCATTATACTTTAGGACTGATAATAATACTGCGGGCAATATTTCTACTTAAGCTTGACATTGTGACAAAAGAGATCTATGCAAACCAATGCATTTTCAAATATCAAAGTATGCTTCAAAATACCATGAAATACTTAGACTTCCAACATGAGTAGGTGCATTTAGAAGGCAAGCTGTCTTGTATTCAATATACATTTTATCTGAGGGAGCAAAAGTTAGAATATATTTTCCTTGGAGTCTATAAAAATCACATAGCTTGCAACAGAACATCATAAATTTACTCAGGCCTTTTCAGATATTGAACTAAATATATCAAATATAAAATACATATGCATATCTTTAGCCTGCACATGTTTATGGTAACTGGTCTCCGAGGAATTTCTCTTCTCATTATATAATGGTGTAAATGCTTTGAGAGGCAGTGAGAGAAGATACATTCCTTCAATATCTCCAAATGATAAAAGATAGACATCTTTTGTTTGATGAGAACTATAGTCAAAATAACCATTTAAAGAGTACATAAAAAGAAAGCACAAAGTACAATTGAATAAAACCAGACCTGAGTTTCTGTGGCAGAGAGAGTCCAGACATAGCACAGATGGATCCAGAAAAAGGCTAGCACCATTAGATTTTGAAATTAGGGACGCAATCTTTGATAAGAGGTGAGGGAAAAATGCTTCTTGGCTGTTTTCCACTTTGGAAGTGGAATGAGAATGAGAGGAGTTTCCTTTTGATAATAGCCTCTTGGATGGATTTAATCACTTTAATTTTGGATTCCCTCTATTTTCTCTTGCCAGCTACTAATACTTATAACAATTCTCAGATTCTGAATGTCTATGTAAATGCAACTACAAGCCCTGTGTATGGGGTGTGAAGATTTTACTACATTATAAGATATTTTAACTGTTATTAACTCTTAAAAACCCAAGTTGAAGCTTTAATGTTTATGTAGATTTTCAAACAGGAATTTTTGTTCAGAAAATTTTCAGGTTTGTGAAAGGGTCAGTGTTAGAGAAAGGAAATCCCTACTTTCATGGTTTCTAGTGATATTCTGGCAGAGGATAGATAGATTCCAGATGTTTCTTTTGGTCAAAGGATGAGAACAAAAACTATTGCTCTGAAAAATCAGAGCCACCTGGCCCGAGACACATCATGGAATAGCGGAGAGAATATTAAGTGGAGAATGAGAAATTACTGATTTTCACCAATAGAGAAATGTAGTAGAGACTGCTACAGACTTAAGTTGCTTAACTATTCTGAATCTCAGCTGTTAAGATTAAAAACTAGGCAGTCTCTACAGGCCTCTTCCAGCTGGAAAAGTCTAAGGTATAAATTTATTGTTAATAGTAGCTGTTATTATTCTTCTTACCATTTATTTATATCCCACTTTGGAACATAAAGTGTTTGAGGTTGGCCAGGTGCAGTGGCCTATGTCTGTAATCCCAGCACTTTGGGAGGCCAAGGTGGGTGGATCACCTGAGGTCAGGATTTAGAGACCAGCCTGGCCAACATGGCAAAACCCCGTCTCTGCTAAAAGTACAAAAATTAACCGGATATGGTGGCACACGCCTGTAGTCCCAGCAACTCGGGAGGTGAGGCAGGAGAATTGCTTGAACCCGGGAGGTGGAGGTTGCGGTGAGCCGAGATCGTGCCACTGCACTGCAGCCTGGGCAACAGAGCAAACTCTTGTTTTATTATTAAAACTCAGTTTTAAATAATAATAATAATAATAAAGTGTTCGAGTTCATGCCTTAGAGAAACATTATTCACAACTGGATACAATAAGTAGATAAATGGGTCAAAGGAAGACTGAAGTAGTTAACTAAAATAAAGATTAGTGCCACTTCCCTGATATCAGTATTAAGATGGTGTGAAGTACTGTCTACAGGTAGCACAAGGTTTTACTCAGAGGAAGATCTAGGTCCTCTTGAACTTTTATATACATGGGTTCTGAGATCCCAAAGTTCAATTCTATAGGGCACAACCACACCAATTTATTTTGGAGGATTTTCAAACGAAGTATTGATGATTGCCTGTGGTAGTATAAAATAGTTTCCATAAGGATATATGCAGGTCAGCTAATTTAAACCAATTTAGCTCTTTTACAAAAATCAAACGTAGATTAGTGAGAAAAATATAACCCTAGATAGTAAAACAATTTGATTTCATGTGGAGAATTGACAGACACTTGCCGATTAAACATTGGAGGACACTTGTCAAAAGTGATTATTTTGGCTTTAAAATTTTGATTTTCAACTCACTCTTTTTAATGAAAATCACATGGAAACTTGTTACTTTCTTTTGGCTTTATTTATTCTTAGCTACTTGGGAGGGTCATTGCCTTTCAGCCAGCATGTAACCCCAGGAGCAATGGAGGAGACACTGTCTAGTTCATCAGTTCAAACCTGATAAGCAGTGAGTTCACAGGTAATGCAACCAAATCACTTGATTATCCACCTGAAAACAATGAAATAGAGAAGCACATTTAGCTGTCTGTATTTGGTAGCAGAAGAGCCATTGTTCCCGCATTTATCATTAAGATCCAAGGCAAAGAGAAAGTGGCTAAAAACCCACCACCATTTTACGTACTTAAAATTTGATATCTAGTATATACATGAATAACAATGAATCTGGAGTGAATTCATACATAATTAGTTTCTGTCCATAAATTCGAAGGTTGAATAGCTATCAATGAGAGTTGCAAATCTTCTGCTGCATCTCCGCGTTTCTCAAAGGATGATACATTGTGTAACAATCATCAGCCATGGAAGAGCCCACCTTCTTCCTGTGTAGGATGTTGGCCTATTTACAATTTGTTGCCCCAAAAAAGAAAGTGACATGAAATTTGGAAAATATCTTTAACAAGCCAGTAGATTCATAACTTGCTGAGATCCCAGGATTTTCTTCAAAGAAAAGTGATTGTCTCTACTTTGGGTACCTCCAGAGTAGGGGTGGGGGCCACATCCATAGAGTTAACAATGGAAATGAAGAGTCAATGATCAAGACCCACCAGAAGTAATCAACCTAATGAAATTCTAGTATCAGAAAAACAAAGATTCTTCAAAACTCTGTCATTTCTTTCTGGAGAAAAACAGTCTTTCTAGATGCCAATCAGGATTGGGACTTTTATTATTGTATTCACTGTTCACCAAATTATACCAAGGAAAACCATATAATAGAATATGACCTCATTCCATTTCTACTTGTCCAAATCATATCTCACTATCAAAATTCCTACATTCAAATTTCATGAGGGTGTAAAGAGCTTATAGTGAAATTTAAATGAAATAAACACTTAGGTGACTATTTCCAAATTCTGTCTCCTATGTTACTCCATCAACCCAGTTAGGAGTACTCTTAGCTTCTTGGTGATCTTCCTCAAAAAAGGAATAAGAGGGCAAGTCCCACAATGGAAAAATCTCATAGCATATGTGCCAGTCTGCCAATAATATATTGATAGGGAAATTTTATCTACTAAGATAACAAAGATACAGTTTCAAAAACTTCCCAGTTATGAAAAGTCACTAATGGAGCTTTAAAAATTCTCATTTCATTTCAATTTTTAAAACACTTTAAATCTTACCAATCCAGTCTTATGTCTGGTACATGAGGGACTGTACCATATAAAAAGTATGGTGTAATCTCTCACTAGGATTAGTGAAGGGGCCTCCTCTACTGTGTTATATGTGGTCTCAATAGGCAGCTACATGTGTTGGTAAGCAAAGAGGGTAATCATAATAATTGTTGGTTCTGCAGGAAGTGACTCAATGAAAATTACCCCCAAATTTGTTTTAGGTACTACAACTTAGGACCTTTATATAGGATGTTTCATATGTATTATCACATTTAATTCTCATGGCATATACTTGCATAGGATCATTTTACAGACGAGGAAACTGAGGGAAGTATGTTTTGTAAATTTAGTACACATTCTCCATGTCTGGTGTAGCCTCTTTGAAATAAAAAAGCATTTCTTAATAATTATTTCATTAAAATTTAATGTTAAAGCTTTTACTGTCTTAGTAGTTTATAGTTTGTAAAAGTTAAATCACCTGTGTTTTCTCTTTTGAATAGGAAATGGTATTGGTTTTTTGTTGGTGAAATGGTTACCTACTTCAAAGATATGACTGTGATAATTTTACAAAACATTTCTAAGTACAATGTAGCTGAGAGCTGTTTTCATATTTCCTATGGTACAGCATGTTCTCTGATTTCATAATTTATCTTCATTTTCATAAGCAATATTTTCCTTGAACTTGTTTTCAAAGGAAATTGCAATTAATATATGAGTTTTCAATGAGTTGATATTCATCCAAATCTGATGGCTCAAAGAAAATTGCATTGTATTAAAAATGTTGGGGTATCTCAACTGTTTGCCTTTTAGCAACTGTTTGGCAAAACTCTCACATTCCAAATCTCCACAGAGCAGTCTCAGGAGACGAACATGTCTTGCACATGATTTGTCTTTAGGGATATAAGAATCCAACTTTTAACAGACTAAAACCCAACTGAGGAATGATGTCTTTAAAGTATGTGTCAGACAACCCTTCAAAAAAAGAAAAATGAAATGGATAAAAATCTCTAATACATTTGGGAAAATATATACTCTACTATACTTTCCATATGGTAAGTGAAGGAATAAATTACATTATTGATTAACATATTTTCTAGATGAATTTTATCTTCTCAGTCCTTCTAGAGAAGGTTATTACTAAATAGTTCTATATCAAATAACTGGAAGTAATGAAAATTGCACATGTCAATGATCACAGATGCCTTTAGGATATCCTTGTGGAAAACAAAGATAACCACATGGATTTCATGTACTTTTCTTTAAAAAGCACTTAGCCTTTTGTCAACTTTGAGAGATTGAATCAAAAGAGGTATATTTGGTAATGTTATAAACTTTCTCTGCTAGAAAAGCTGCCATCAATTCTACAACTCTGAAAATCTTAAACCACAAAGTACAAATCTTTAAACAAAGCCTCTTTCCTCCAAGACTTCTCAGTTCTTCACTCCCAAGTACACGTTTTTCTCTCAGAGATTGTCAGTTCCCCAAGCCTTCTCACTTCTCCCAGTTTATTGCCAGCTTAACTCTCCAGCACAAGGTCTTCTATCTTTTCCCCTCAACTGCCCTGTAAACCCTCAATAATGGCTCAGTTTACTTACTCATCTGTCTCCATTATTTATGTTTTTATTTGCTATCATTATTTTTAAAGAGATAGGGTCTCACTATATGGCCCAGGCTGGTCTTGAACTTCTGGACTTAAGTGATCCTCCTGCCTTGGCCTGCCAAATTGCTCAGATTACAGGTGTGAGCCACCGTACCTGGCCCTCATTTCTTTTGAAATTTTAGAGCTGCCAGCTCTACTGGGGAAGTCATTAGGTTCATTCTTCTTTGGAACCCAAAAGCTGGCAATATACAAAATTAGAGGTTTTCATCTTTCTCCTTCCACTCATATGTTCTCCTGTGCCCCGTCCCATGTCAATGAAGGGTACACTGCCCAACCAGTATATGAGTACCTTGTACAGCACATCTAACCATTCTCAGACTTGTTGACTTTCTCTCTCTAATATGTCCAGAATCTACTTCCCGTCTCAACATTCTTACTGCCATTGCTTTAGGACATTCCATCATTATTATTTCATGTTTGGATTGCTGCACACATGTCCTACCTTGATACCCTCCCTCTATTTTTACCCTTTCTAGTCTATTCTTCTTATTGAGATAGAGTCATTTAAAAAAAATTCTAATGTATTATGTTGCTTGTCTCTTTAATCCCTCCATCGACTTTCTGCCACAAACAGTCTAAGAACATGTGTGTCCCTTAATATGACTATCAAGGTCTTTTGTGACCTGTTACCCACTTGCCTTTTTTGACCTATATTCTACGGAATTATTGCAGTTTTCTAATGGTAAATTTTTTTTTTGTTTTTTCATAGTTTTCCCCCTGTGTTTGAAGTGCCATTATCAATGTTCTTCATCCATAAAATCTATGGTAGTTCCTCTAAGACAGCTAGATGCTTCCCCATCCTGAATCCTGACTTATCTTCTTACCTTACTCTGGGGTTCATATTTCTCCTGGGTGCTTCCTTAGTACCACAGCATAATATCACCATGTATCAATGTTATTTGTCCACCTTATCTGCCAGATTACATGCTTTTTAAAAGAAAGGGCAATGTTCAGTCCTTATATCCCCAGAATCTACCCAAGAGTATGCCACTTCTCAGAAATGTTTGCTGAACAAATAAATGAAGAATTTATTAAAAGAGTGAACATATGAATGGATGAATGCTCTCAAAGGACTCATATGTTTTTCTCCAGGGGAGAGGCAAGGGCTAAAAATAAGAATAGAAGATTTAGTTGAGTAATAGGCTAACTGCTAGGAATATAAAGGCATATTACTGTAACATTCAAGAATACAGTAAGCCAGGTGCGGTGGCTCACACTTGTAACCCCAGCACTTTGGGAGCCCGGGTGGATCACGAGGTTAGGAGTTCGAGACCAGCTTGGCCAACACAGTGAAACCCCATCCCTACTAAAAATACAAAAATCAGCTGGGTGTGCTGGCTGGCGTCTGTCATTCCAGCTACTCGGAGGCTGAGACACGAGAATTGCTTGAATCTGGGAGGCAGAGATTGCAGTGAGCTGAGATCATGCCACTGCACTCCAGCCTTGGTGACAGAGCTAGACTCTGTCTCAAAATAGGTAAATAAATGCATAATAAAATAAATATAAAGAAAAAGAATACAGTAGCCCCTCCACACCCTTATTCATGGGGGATATGTCCCAGGACCCCCCAGCGGAGGCCTGAAACTGAAGATAGTACTGAAGCCTGTATAAATTATGCATGATTTTTTCCTTCAGAATTTCACAGGCAGAAGATTCATCCTTACCATAGATTTTAGCAACTTAAGCAGGCAATTTTTTTTCTTCTCTTGTTGAGAACTTTTCCCTTCTTGCTTAAAGAAAGCAATTTATGGCTTCTTTTTTGGTATATCCAAACAGCCAGCATCACTAATGTTGTGCTTTGGGGACATTGTTAAGTCAAATAAGCATTACTTGAACACAAGCACTGTGACACCAGGACAGTTGAGCTAATAACTGAAAGGGTTACTAAATGACTAAGGGCAGGGTGGTAGCATCTATAATGCAGGTTCACTGGACAAAGGGTAGATTAATATCCTGGGCGAGATGGAGCAGGACAGTCTCAGATTTCATCACACTACTCAGAAATGCATGAAATAAAAAACTTATAAATTGTTTATTTCTTGAATTTTTCCATTTAATGTTTTCAGACTGCAGTTAGTGTCAGGTAGCTGAAACTGCAAAAAGTAAAACCATGGTTAAAAGAGAACTACTGTATAGTTTGGGAGCAAGATTCCCAGGGTTCAAATCTTAGCTCTCTCTGGCCTTATTTTCCTTATCTGTTAAGTGAGACCAAGACTAGTACCTACCTCTGGGTTCTTCTGAAAATTCAATGAGGTCGTATGTGTAATATTCTTAGACTTTGCCTGGCACATTCTAAGTTCTCAATCAAAGTTGGATTTTATTTTGTACCCTTTCTGACAGCCCAGACCTCTACTGGAGATAACAAGAGGCTTGCAGGATTTGTTTAAAGTCAAAAAATTTTTTTTTTCCCAGATGACTGTTTGGAGATTACCTCAAATAAATGTTCTGTAAGAGGCAAAAAGAACAAGTTGCAGTTATGTTGGCTTGTTCAGTTGGGGAGCCAGTGTTAGTTAAGAGTGTGAGTCAGCTACACACAACTAATGGAAAGTGCTTTAGGCCAAAAATGCGCAGACCCTGACTGCTTACAACCACATTTATCGCCTCTCTTCTACAAGCCCTTTATTTGCTTGCTCAGGATGTTATTAATAGAATAAAACAAGGAACGATAGCCAGGGACCTCGTTTTTGGTCCCAGCCATGCCACCAATGAGTTGTGTGACTTGAATCAACTTGGTTAAATTTGGTATTCTCTATTTCTATAAAATGAGAATTAGATAATTTCCCTACTTACTTCAAGAAAAATAACTGATATGAAACTATTGAGATAGGAGGGCTTTATACTCTTAGGCACTTGACTTTAAGACAGAAATTCTGTCCAGCTTTGTATAATACCTTTCTTTCTTTTTTTTCAGAGATTAAAAAAAAATCCATAAGTGTACCTCTTTAGTGTCATCTCTCTGTCCGCCAGTGCTTGCTCTCTTGGTGGTTATAAAAAATGTGGAGAAACTCCACATGGCTGATTTGGGCAGGGGCTGGAGTTAGTTGCATCCAGTTTCTAGGTGTGCATTGAGAACTGTTAAGTGCCAACCTTCTTGATAGGTGTGCAGAATATAGTAATAAGTAAGATAGGATGTAATCCTGGGAAGCTCACATTTATTGAGGAAGCCCTGGTAACTGACCTATGTGTTTTAAAGGCCATAGGTCTGTGAAGAGGTTTATTTTATCTCCCTCTAGCAAAAGAAAAACTGTTTGTAAATTTGTTATAAAACAGTACAGTACAAATTTGTTTTATAACAAATTTGTTATAAAACAAAATTCAGACTTGTTAGCATATTTTAATTTTTTCTATATTAAAAAATGGTGATTCTTAGTTATGAGATGAGGTCAGTACAGGAGACCCACAGTCTCTAAAAAAATGTGCACCCTCAGATATTTTGGACACAGATATAATAAACCAACCACTCTGTATTGAAGATAATCAGAATCAATACAGATCTGATGAGATTAGCTACCTGAACCAGTCAGTTGGGGCCACAGAAGCTTGTAAGCCTGCTGTCCGGGAGTGAGGGGTATATTATGTGTGGCTTATCTAGAGGCCAGGTGTTCCCAAATTCAATCAAGATGGTCAGTGTCCTCCTGGAAAATATAACTGTATTCTAACTGATAGAAATAAAACCATCATCTTTGCAATTGTAGTGGAAAGAATGTGAGGTGAATTGCAAAATAATGGAAAGGTGATGATTTATGATTTACACTAAGTAGAGAAAATGCAAGATTCTGTGTGCCTTTTGAGGACTGCCCAAGAGACGAATGTCCTGATGTTCACAAACACCATGTCTGATAGTGATATGGTTGCCAATGTAGACGTTCTTCAAGAGAAGACTGTGCATGCAGCTAGCCAACATAAATATTCTTGACTGCTCCATGCATATTTTTCACTGGAAATTAATAAGTGTACTGAACAATCTTTGTGTTGTACTCCTTTATAGTCTTTTAGAACTTTTAAAAAATATCCTGACTTTCTGGCAGACTGACATTGGGCAAGGTTAGTGAATCTCCTAAATGCTTAGTTTCTTCATCTGGAAAGCAGAGATAAAATACCTGCCTCAGTGTTGTTATGGAAATTAAATTAGCAATACATCAAAAGCACTTTTCACAGTCACTAGTGCATGGGCAGTACTCAATGAATGGTAACTGTTATTATGAATATTATTGTAGCTTTGGGTAATTCCCAGAAATCTCTTCAGGCATGGCTGACCATTTTTTTTTTGGGGGGGGGATACAGTATCAGGCAAATAAATAAATGTGTATGAGTGTGTGTCATATCATGCAAATAAATAAGTGTATCAGGGTGACATCACACCAATAAACAAGACTTTGTTTAGAAATGGTGCTATTGATAATGATTTCTGATTGATTTGTAGAAACAATATTGCTTGGTGAAATAAATGATTTAACTATGGGTCTGTGCTGTTCTGTAGGCCCCAGGACCCCCCAGTGTTTAGACATGATGGGGACTCAATAAAACATAAATTCTCCTTGATTTATTGCTCAGTCAGCCTCCTGGATCACTAGTCAAAGAAAATGAAAATACTGATTTATACCCTCATGCTCAGAATTTCCACGTTGAATCTTTCACTGAAAATCAGACTTTTACGAATGTTGACAAAGAAAAATTTAAAAACTGTGGCAAGGTACAGTTTATCCTTGGTAGGACATCTGTCGATTGTCACTAAGCCTGGGCCTTTACATCCTAGCCAAGTGGGTAATAAATTAGCTATAGAAAATAGTCATTAAGAGACTCTATAAAACACTAGGTAAGAATACAAACTCTAGAGTAAGCTTGCAGAGATTTGGCTTTTTCATTTTCTAGCTCTGTGATCTTGAGCAAGATACTTGAGCTTACTGTGAAATGAGGATGGTAACAGTTAGTACCTAATCAAGAAGAGAAAAATAGTGCCTAGAATAGGGATGCAGAATGTCAGATGAGGAGGTAGTGGAGGAATTTTAAGTAGGATGGTCAGGGAGGTTTGCGGAGAAGGAGACTGAAGATCTGAAAGAGGATGAAGATGAAGAATGCAGAATTGTCTTGGAAAAGAGGACATGAGGCAAAAGGAGCAGAGCAGGTACAAGTGTCCCCAGGAGAGAATATGCCCAGTATGATGGAGATAGATTGTGAGCACTTTGAGATGAATTCATAGAGTACATGGAGGAGACACGTGTGAGGTCATTATAGTAACTTTGAGTAAGGAAGGCGTTGGCAGGTGTGGAGGGTTGAATTGTGTCTCCTGAAAAGACATGTTCAAGTCCTAACGCCTAGTACCTATGAATGTGGCCTTATTTGGAAATGGAGCCTTTGAAGATGTCATCAAGCTTAGATGAAGTCATACTGAACTAGGTTGGGCCCTAATCCTGTGACTGACGTTTTTATAAGAAGAGGGAAATTTGGACACAGACACACAGGGAGGGGAACACCATGTGAAGATGGGAGCAGAGACTGGAGTGATGCAGCTGCAAGCCAAGGAATTACAAGGAATTCCAGGATTGCCGCTGGAATCTAGGAAGAGGCAAGGAAGGATCCTCTCCTGGAGCCTTGAGAGAGAGCATGGCCCTGCTGACACCTTGATTTCAGACTTCGAGGCTCTAGAACTGCGAGACAATCAATTTCAGTTGTTTTAAGCCACTCAATTTGTGGTGATTTATAATGGCAGCCCTAGGAAAACTAATACAGAGGATTTAGAACACACAAGCTTGCTCCTACGACTGAGTTGACAATAGATTACAGAGGAGAAAGACTGGAAGCAGCAAAGTCAGTTAGGAGCTATTACAATAAATCAAGCAAAAGATTGCATTTGCTTTAGAGTAGAGTAGTGGTGGTTGCAGTGGTGAAAAGTGATTGGATTCTGGATATTGTCAAAAGGTAGACTAAATAGCTTTACTAATGAGTCATATATGGGATATGAAAATAAAGGAGGTATCCAGGAAGATTCTAAGTATAGAAGAATGGAGTTGATTTAACTGAGATGAAGAAAACTTTGAGTGGCACAGGTTTGGGGCAAAGATCAAAAGTCCAGTTTAGGGCAAGTTAAGTTTGAGTCATCACTTAGAGATCCAAGGGGAAATGCTAGTAGGCAACTGAATACCTGAGTCTGGAGTTCGGGACAGTGTTTAGGGTGGAGGTGTGTTTTAGTTTGTTCTGTTATAACAACATACCTTAGACTGGGTGGCTTATAAACAATAGAAATTTATTTCTCACAGTTATACTCTGGGAAGTTCAAGATCAAGGCACCAATAGATTCTTTTTTTTTTTTTAAGTTGATATGGAACTTTATTTATTTCTTTATTTTTTGAATTTTTTTTTTTAATTATACTTTAAGTTTTAGGGTACATGTGCACATTGTGCAGGTTAGTTACATATGTATACATGTGCCATGCTGGTGCACTGCACCCACTAACTCGTCATCTAGCATTAGGTATATCTCCCATTGCTATCCCTCCCCACTCCCCCCACCCCACAACAGTCCCCAGAGTGTGATATTCCCCTTCCTGTGTCCATGTGATCTCATTGTTCAATTCCCACCTATGAGTGAGAATATGCGGTGTTTGGTTTTTTGTTCTTGCGATAGTTTACTGAGAATGATGATTTCCAATTTCATCCATGTCACTACAAAGGACATGAACTCATCATTTTTTATGGCTGCATAGCATTCCATGGTGTATATGTGCCACATTTTCTTAATCCAGTCTATCATTGTTGGACATTTGGGTTGGTTCCAAGTCTTTGCTATTGTGAATAATGCCGCAATAAACATACGTGTGCATGTGTCTTTATAGCAGCATGATTTATAGTCCTTTGGGTATATACCCAGTAATGGGATGGCTGGGTCAAATGGTATTTCCAGTTCTAGATCCCTAAGGAATCATCACACTGACTTCCACAATGGTTGAAGTAGTTTACAGTCCCACCAACAGTGTAAAAGTGTTCCTATTTCTCCACATCCTCTCCAGCACCTGTTGTTTCCTGACTTTTTAATGATTGCCATTCTAACTAGTGTGAGATGGTATCTCACTGTGGTTTTGATTTGCATTTCTGTGATGGCCAGTGATGATGAGCATTTTTTCATGTGTTTTTTGGCTGCATAAATGTCTTCTTTTGAGAAGTGTCTGTTCATGTCCTTTGCCCACTTTTTGATGGTGTTGTTTGTTTTTTTCTTGTCAATTTGTTTGAGTTCATTGTAGATTCCGGATATTAGCCCTTTGTCAGATGAGTAGGTTGCAAAAATTTTCTCCCAGTTTGTAGGTTGCCTGTTCACTCTGATGGTAGTTTCTTTTGCTGTGCAGAAGCTCTTTAGTTTAATTAGATCCCATTTGTCAATTTTGGCTTTTGTTGCCATTGCTTTTGGTGTCTTAGACATGAAGTCCTTGCCCGTGCCTATGTCCTGAATGGTAATGTCTAGGTTTTCTTCTAGGGTTTTTATGGTTTTAGGTCTAATGTTTAAGTCTTTAATCCATCTTGAATTCATTTTTGTATAAAGTGTAAGGAAGGGATCCAGTTTCAGCTTTCTACATATGGCTAGCCAGTTTTCCCAGCACCATTTATTAAATAGGGAATCCTTTCCCCATTGCTTGTTTTTCTCAGGTTTGTCAAAGATCAGATAGTTGTAGATATGCGGCGTTATTTCTGAGGGCTCTGTTCTGTTCCATTGCTCTATATCTCTGTTTTGGTACCAGTACCATGCTGTTTTGGTTACTGTAGCCTTGTAGTATAGTTTGAAGTCAGGTAGTGTGATGCCTCCAGCTTTGTTCTTTTGGCTTAGGATTGACTTGGCAATGCGGGCTCTTTTTTGGTTCCATATGAACTTTCAAGTAGTTTTTTCCAATTCTGTGAAGAAAGGCATTTGTAGCTTGATGGGGATGGCATTGAATCTGTAAATTACCTTGGACAGTATGGCCATTTTCACGAAATTGATTCTTTCTACCCATGAGCATGGAATGTTCTTCCATTTGTTTGTATCCTCTTTTATTTCCTTGAGCAGTGGTTTGTAGTTCTCCTTGAAGAGGTCCTTCACATCCCTTGTAAGTTGGATTCCTAGGTATTTTATTCTCTTTGAAGCAATTGTGAATGGGAGTTCACTCATGATTTGGCTCTCTGTCTGTTGTTGGTGTATAAGAATGCTTGTGATTTTTGTACATTGATTTTGTATCCTGAGACTTTGCTGAAGTTGCTTATCAGCTGAAGGAGATTTTGGGCTGAGACAATGGGGTTTTCTAGATATACAATCATGTCATCTGCAAACAGGGACAATTTGACTCTTCTTTTCCTAATTGAATACCCTTTATTTCCTTCTCCTGCCTAATTGCCCTGGCCAGAACTTCCAACACTATGTTGAATAGGAATGGTGAGAGAGGGCATCCCTGTCTTGTGTCAGTTTTCCAAGGGAATACTTCCAGTTTTTGCCCATTCAGTATGATATTGGCTGTGGGTTTGTCATAGATAGCTCTTATTATTTTGAAATACATCCCATCAATACCTAATTTATTGAGAGTTTTTAGCATGAAGGGTTGTTGAATTTTGTCAAAGGCTTTTTCTGCATCTATTGAGATAATCATGTGGTTTTTGTCTTTGGTTCTGTTTATATGCTGGATTACATTTATTGATTTGCATATAGTGAACCAGCCTTGCATCCCAGGGATGAAGCCCACTTGATCATGGTGGATAAGCTTTTTGATGTGCTGCTCAATTCGTTTTGCCAGTATTTTATTGAGGATTTTTGCATCAATGTTCATCAAGGATATTGGTCTAAAATTCTCTTTTTTGGTTGTGTCTCTGCCTGGCTTTGGTATCAGAATGATGTTGGCCTCATAAAATGAGTTAGGGAGGATTCCCTCTTTTTCTATTGATTGGAATACTTTCAGAAGGAATGTTACCAGCTCCTGCTTGTGCCTCTGGTAGAATTCGGCTGTGAATCCATCTGGTCCTGGACTCTTTTTGGTTGGTAAGCTATTGATTATTGCCACAATTTCAGATCCTGTTATTGGTCTATTCAGAGATTCAACTTCTTCCTGGTTTAGTCTTGGGAGAGTGTATGTGTCGAGGAATTTATCCATTTCTTCTAGATTTTCTAGTTTATTTGCATAGAGGTGTTTGTAGTATTCTCTGATGGTAGTTTGTATTTCTGTGGAATCGGTGGTCATATCCCCTTTATCTTTTATTGCGTCTATTTAATTCTTCTCTCTTTTTTTCTTTATTAGTCTTGCTAGCGGTCTATCAATTTTGTTGATCCTTTCAAAAAACCAGCTCCTGGATTCACTAATTTTTTGAAGGGTTTTTTGTGTCTCTATTTCCTTCAGTTCTGCTCTGATTTTAGTTATTTCTTGCCTTCTGCTAGCTTTTGAATGTGTTTGCTCTTGCTTTTCTAGTTCTTTTAATTGTGATGTTAGGGTGTCAATTTTGGATCTTTCCTGCTTTCTCTTGTGGGCGTTTAGTGCTATAAATTTCCCTCTACACGCTGCTTTGAATGTGTCCCAGAGATTCTGGTATGTTGTGTCTTTGTTCTCGTTGGTTTCAAAGAACTTCTTTATTTCTGCCTTCATTTCGTTATGTACCCAGTAGTCATTCAGGAGCAGGTTGTTCAGTTTCCATGTAGTTGAGCAGTTTTGAGGGAGATTCTTAATCCTGAGTTCTAGTTTGATTGCACTGTGGTCTGAGAGATAGTTTGTTATAATTTCTGTTCTTTTACATTTGCTGAGGAGAGCTTTACTTCCAAGTATGTGGTCAATTTTGGAATAGGTGTGGTGTGGTGCTGAAAAAAATGTATATTCTGTTGATTTGAGGTGGAGAGTTCTGTAGATGTCTATTAGGTCTGCTTGGTGCAGAGCTGAGTTCAATTCCTGGGTATCCTTGTTGACTTTCTGTCTCGTTGATCTGTCTAATGTTGACAGTGGGGTGTTAAAGTCTCCCATTATTAATGTGTGGGAGTCTAAGTCTCTTTGTAGGTCACTCAGGACTTGCTTTATGAATCTGGGTGCTCCTGTATTGTGTGCATATATATTTAGGATAGTTAGCTCTTCTTGTTGAATTGATCCCTTTACCATTATGTAATGGCCTTCTTTGTCTCTTTTGATCTTGGTTGGTTTAAAGTCTGTTTTCTCAGAGACTAGGATTGCAACCCCTGCCTTTTTTTGTTTTCCATTTGCTTGGTAGATCTTCCTCCATCCTTTTATTTTGAGCCTATGTGTGTCTCTGCACGTGAGATGGGTTTCCTGAATACAGCACACTGATGAGTCTTGACTCTTTATCCAATTTGCCAGTCTGTGTCTTTTAATTGGAGCATTTAGTCCATTTGCATTTAAAGTTAATGTTGTTATGTGTGAATTTGATCCTGTCATGATGATGTTAGCTGGTTATTTTGCTCATTAGTTGATGCAGTTTCTTCCTAGTCTTGATGGTCTTTACATTTTGGCATGATTTTGCAGTGGCTGGTACCGGTTGTTCCTTTCCATGTTTAGCGCTTCCTTCAGGAGCTCTTTTAGGGCAGACCTGGTGGTGACAAAATCTCTCAGCATTTGCTTGTCTGTAAAGTATTTTATTTCTCCTTCACTTATGAAGCTTAGTTTGGCTGGATATGAAATTCTGGGTGGAAAATTCTTTTCTTTAAGAATGTTGAATATTGGCCCCCACTCTCTTCTGGCTTGTAGGGTTTCTGCCAAGAGATCCACTGTTAGTCTGATGGGCTTCCCTTTGTGGGTAACCCGACCTTTCTCTCTGGCTGCCCTTAACATTTTTTCCTTCATTTCAAGTTTGGTGAATCTGACAATTATGTGTCTTGGAGTTGCTGTTCTCGAGGAGTATCTTTGTGGCGTTCTCTGTATTTCCTGAATCTGAATGTTGGCCTGCCTTGCTAGATTGGGGAAGTTCTCCTGGATAATATCCTGCAGAGTGTTTTCCAACTTGGTTCCATTCTCCCCATCACTTTCAGGTACACCAATCAGACGCACATTTGGTCTTTTCACATAGTCCCATATTTCTTGGAGGCTTTGCTCATTTCTTTTTATTCTTTTTTCTCTAAACTTCCCTTCTCCCTTCATTTCATTCATTTCATCTTCTATCGCTGATACCCTTTCTTCCAGTTGATTGCATCGGCTCCTGAGGCTTCTGCATTCTTCACGTAGTTCTCGAGCCTTGGTTTTCAGCTCCATCAGCTCCTTTAAGCACTTCTCTGTATTGGTTATTCTAGTTATACATTCTTCTAAATTTTTTTCAAAGTTTTCAACTTCTTTGCCTTTGTTTTGAATGTCCTCCTGTAGCTCAGAGTAATTTGATCGTCTGAAGCCTTCTTCTCTCAGCTCATCAAAGTCATTCTCCATCCAGCTTTGTTCCATTGCTGGTGAGGAACTGCATTCCTTTGGAGGAGGAGAGGCGCTCTGCTTTTTAGAGTTTCCAGTTTTTCTGTTCTGTTTTTTCCACATCTTTGTGGTTTTATCTACTTTTGGTCTTTGATGATGGTGACGTACAGATGGGTTTTTGGTGTGGATGTCCTTTCTGTTTGTTAGTTTTCCTTCTAACAGACAGGACCCTCAGCTGCAGGTCCGTTGGAGTACCCTGCCATGTGAGGTGTCAGTGTGCCCCTGCTGGGGGGTGCCTCCCAGTTAGGCTGCTCGGGGTCAGGGGTCAGGGACCCACTTGAGGAGGCAGTCTGCCCATTCTCAGATCTCCAGCTGCGTGCTGGGGGTACCACTGCTCTCTTCAAAGCTGTCAGACAGGGACATTTAAGTCTGCAGAGGTTACTGCTGTCTTTTTGTTTGTCTGTGCCCTGCCCCCAGAGGTGGAGCCTACAGAGGCAGGCAGGCCTCCTTGAGCTGTGGTGGGCTCCACCCAATTCGAGATTCCTGGCTGCTTTGTTTACCTAATCAAGCCTGGGCAATGGTGGGCGCCCCTCCCCCAGCCTCGCTGCCGCCTTGCAGTTTGATCTCAGACTGCTGTGCTAGCAGTCAGCGAGACTCCCTGGGCGTAGGAACCTCTGAACCAGGTGGGGGATATAATCTCGCGGTGCGCCGTTTTTGAAGCCTGTCGGAAAAGCGCAGTATTCGGGTTGGAGTGAACCGATTTTCCAGGTGCGGTCTGTCACCTCTTTCTTTGACTAGGAAAGGGAACTCCCTGACCCCTTGAGCTTCCCAAGTGAGGCAATGCCTCGCCCTGCTTCGGCTCGAGCACGGTGCGCACAACCACTGACCTGCGCCCACTGTCTGGCACTCCCTGGTGAGATGAACCCAGTACCTCAGATGGAAATGCAGAAATCACCGTCTTCTGCGTCGCTCATGCTGGGAGCTGTAGACCAGAGCTGTTCCTATTCGGCCATCTTGGCTCCAAAATCGATATCAAGGCACCAGTAGATTCTGTGTCTGGTAAGAACCCATTCTTTGGTTCATAGGCATCTTCTTTTTGCTGTGTCCTCACACAGTGGAAGAGGCAAGGAAGCTCTCTGGGACCTCTTCTCTAAGGTTCTTAATCCCATCCATGAGAGCTCTGCCCTCATAACTTAATAACTTCCCAAAGGCCCTACCTCCAAATACTATCACATTGTTATGTGGTCTTTGGGGTGTTGCTTGTCTGGACACCTCTGTGGCTGGTGGTGCATTTGCCTGAGTTTTGCTTGGGCCAATTGGGCTCGTTCCACTTACTCAGCCTGGCAGGCTGTGCTTGGTTCATGCTACTGGCCTGGATCCTAGGCCTGTAAAGGGCATGTCAGGCATGGAGTAGTGAGGGATGTGTGAGTGAGTGTGGGGTCCAGCCACTGTGCAGTGAGACATGCTGGCTGCTGCAGCAGGGTGGGCAGCTTTGGGTGCTGGCATGGGTGCTGGCTCATTTAGGTTGTGGCTGGACCATGTGCACTGCAAGCTGCTTCCCCAGCTGGCACAGGGGAATATGGTGGCACCCAGAAGCTTTGAGATGTGAAGAACTGCAGGGCCCCAAAGAGGAAATCATAGCTCTGTTTTGGGGAGCTCCCAGGTCTGGGCTTCCTGAAGGGCTGCAACTCTTCTCTCCTTCTCTTCACCTGCAATGGTACAAACAAAGGGCATGTCTCAGCCCTGTTTGTGTTACAGCTCATTTAGCCTCACCATTCGGTGTGTCCCAAGTTCTTGTGCTGTAATAAGGAAGAATGAGGTATGCAGACAAATGGAGGGTGAGCAAGATGAAGAGGAGCTTTATTGAGTGATAGAACAGCTCAGAGGAGACCCACAGGAGGTGTCTCCGTTCAGCAACTGGGATGTCCTGAAGAGTGTTCAGCTTTCAGCAGAGAGGGTAGCTCTTTTCCACAGGCAGGTTGTCCCAAGAAGTGTTCAGCTCTCAGCAGAGAGGGTAGCTCCTCTCTACCATCCCATTGCTAGAACATTGTTAGACCTTTCTACCATCCCATTGGTAGACCATCCCATAGATAACCCTTTCTGATCATCCCATTGTCTGCAGCTCTCAGCAGTGAAGAGGCCCTGGAGTGGGTTGCTCCTCTCTGCAGGCAGGTCGTCTCTTCATCTCCCAATTATTTCTCTATCCTTTCTTCCAGTCTGACTGAGTCAGGGTTTTTTAATGGGTCTCAGAGAGAAGCAAGTGCCTGCTGATTGGACCATGGGCGGCCATTGGAAGGCCCAGGGGAAAATACCACAAGTTCCCCCTGTGGTCTGAGGGACCAGAGGCCTGGTCTCCAGGCTTCAGGCCATCCCCAGTTTGAAGGTGGGGCTTCACCAGGGACCCACCCCCTTCTTCCCAGGAACCTGTCTGCCTCCTGCTACCATTCATGGTGCCCAGACTGTTCATCTCAAAGGGGGACCTGCAGGCCAGTGCCAGGCTGTTCTCATCCCCTCACCCCCTGACCTCCTTTCCATGCTGGTCAGCACCCAAAGTCCAGAGGGGGCTGAGGTGGCAGGAGGCTACCATGTCAGCACTGCCCCAAGCATGTGCACCCCCAGCTGGACTGTGACAGTGCCCAGGCTTGGCTCTAACCTTGCTCTGAGATTGGAGCAGGCACTGAGAGTGGGGAGAAGCCAGGCAGCGGGAGCAGGCACCTTTGAGCTCTCAGTGGGGTAGGGAGACATTCCTGGGCCCCCGAGAGTGCAGAGATGCCTGGTCTGCAGCCACAGCAGGGAGGCTGCAACTGCGTCCAAAGATCTCCTGCCACACCAACCCAGGAGGGTCACTTGTCCCTGGCTCCTGGGACTCTGTGAAGCATGCAGTCCCTGCCAAGCCTCCTTGCAGCCTGGGGCAGGAGCTACAGGTCCTTGCTGGGCCTGGGCCAGCATCCAGGAGAGGGGTGACATTGCTGCAAGTTCTTCCCATGGCCCTGGCACTCAGGGGCAGCCTGGGTCTCCCCATTGTCTGGATTGTGGCCCTGCCCAGGGGTTTGCTTCCAGGAGCAGATCATGGGCCCCAGGCCTGGACTTTGGGGGCATCAGGCTTGGTGGTCACCTTGATGTGGTGTGGACCCTGGGGACACAGCCCCAGGCAGCTCCACAATGAGCCTTCTCCTGAGGTGCAGGAATGTAACACCCTTGGTGGCATGGGTGTGGTGGCTATGCTGCTAGTCCGGTCTCTGAAGCAGGCAATGCTCCCATTTCCTGCTCTGTGTTCAAGCCTGGCACCACCCCAGGCCCAGCTCCACCTTGGGGCCCCTCTCGGCCCACCCCATCTTGCCCAACCATGCTGCTCCCCCATCGGCGGGTAACTTGGCCTGGCTCCATTGCAGCAGCCCCCAGGATGGTGAGCTCCAGGGGTCTTCCAGTGGAAGACTCCAGTGACTGTCTGCCTCCTTCCCAGGCCCTCCCTGCAGCAGTGGTGGGCCATTGTAGTGATGCGGGGCCAGGGTCCGGGCAGTGGAGGCTCCAGGCCTAGGGGAAGGTCTTGCCTGGCTGCACAAGGGTGGGGGTGGCGCATCCCACTGCCACCACTGCTGGTCCTGCAGCAGCTCCTGCCACCACCGCTTGCGCCTCTCGCTGCAGCTGGTGTGATGGCAGCAGCCACTCTGGATGGCCTGCTGCTGCCATCAACATTGGTGATTAAGTTTCAACATATGCTTTTTGGGGGGATGCAAGCATTCATACCATACCAAGGTATAAATGGAGGAATCATCAGCACATAGCTTGTGGAGAATTAAAGGAAACTAAATCGCTTCACTAAGGGAATGAACTGGAAATACTACAGAGGAGAAAATAGTATTTACGTATTACACATCTTTACTGCTTGTCTACATTTATTTTTTAATTGTCCTAACAACTTTGTGAAGTGCAGATCACTTTTACCACCTGGAACCCTTATCCCTTAATTTCTCCATAGCTGATTTCTTCTCATTTCTTATGATCTCAGCCCGATTCCCACTTTCTTAAAGACATCTTCCAAATCTATTTATCTAAAATAGGTTGTTTCCTCTTTCAACCATGTTATTTTCCACCCCATACACTTTTCCTTTATGATGCTCATCACCACAGGCAGTGTTTTCTTTCACTGTTTTCTTATTTATTGTTTGTCTCTTCCTCTAGTCTATAAGTCATGAAGGTTTGGCCCCTCTGCTTTTTTCAAAGCACTGTACTAGCATCCTATAGGCACTCAACAAACATGTTGAAAGACGAAATGGATCTCAATTTACAGATAAGGAAACTCTGATTAGTCAACAGCACAGCCCAGAGTTTTTGACTCTTAATTATGTCAAAATCCTCTAAATTGTTCATGCCAGATGGTAGTTCTGATGACCTGTTGCTGCATAACAAACCACCCAAGACTTACTAGTTTACAGCAACATTTTATTATTATTTCTCATGATTCTGTGGTTTGTCTAGGTTCTGATCATCACCACTCACTTGGAACCTCCCATGTATTTGCGGTCAAATGGTGGCTTGGGCTGGAGTCATCTAGAGGCTTGACTAGGCTGGACATCCAAAATAGCTTCTTCACTCACATGTCTGGTACCTGGGCTTGGATGGTTGGAGCAACTCAGGCTGTGTCTTTCTCTATTTCCATGTGGCTTCTCACGTGGCTAACTTGGGCTGTTTTATAACATGGAAGACTTGGAGTCATCTTCTTACATGGCAAGTGTCTTCCCTCAAAATAAGTGTTCCAAAGGAACCCCAGTAAAAGCTGCAAGGTTCTCTATAAACTAGCCTCAGAAGTCATGCAGCATTACTTCCACTACATTCTGTTGGTCAGTCACAGGTGAGTCACAGGATCAGACTGACCTCAAGCAGAGGGGACTATGCATGGGATTTGCACACCAGGAGGCATGGTCCATCTTCAGAGACTAGCAACCATAGTGATGTCCTCATTAAGAGTCTGAAAGTCAACTTCTCCTCTCCTTCCCTACTTCCAACCAAGTTAAACATGTACATTCTTGATGTGATTTGGCTCTGTCCCCACTCAAATCTCATCTTGAATTGTAGTTTCCATAATCCCCACGTGTCATGGGAGGGGCCCAGTGGGAGGTAATTGAATCACAGGGTCTGTTACCTCCATACTGTTCTTGTGATAGTGAGTAAGTTCTCACAAGATCTGATGATTTTATAAGAGGCATTTCCCCCTTTTGCTTGGCACTTCTCCTTGCTGCCACCATGTGAAGAAGGACATGTTTGCTTCCCCTTCCACTATGGTTGTCAATTTCCTGAGGCCTCCCCAGCCATGCTGAACTGTGAGTCAATGAAACCTCTTTCCTTTTTAAATTATTCAGTCTTGGCTATGTCTTTATTAGCAGTGTGAGAATGAACTAATATAGTACTTCAGGTCAGACATGCTTTAACTTTTCTGTTTTCATGAACGCTAGGAAAGCCCTACCTTCTGGAAACATGGAATCCTAGAACTAGAATCTTAGAGCTCCCAGAGCTAGAATCCCAAAGGTCACCTAGACCAACCCTATGCCTTTTAGGTAATCTAGAGAAACCCTAATGGAATAAATTCAGCAAATTGAGTGCTATTTTGCACTGACTTTTATTATAAAGCTGGAGAAAATTTTGGAAAATACTTGACCCAAAGGTGAATAAGGCCATTACAGAGAAAATATATATGTATGTATGTGTGTGTGTGTGTGTGTGTGTGTATGTGTGTGTATATATGTTTGTGTGTGTTTATATGTATATGTATGTGGTTTTATTTCTATATATAAAAAGATGACACCTTACTAAACATTAACAATAGCATAAACATTGTAATACTTAAATAATCTAGTCCCTCAAATAAAGCTCACTTATTTTGTTCATCATAGCCATCTTCATAGACATAGAAATTTGACTTTTTTTAAATCAGTTTTAAACTAAATTAGATTTAACTTCAAATTTTGTTTGTCATTTAAATCTTTGTAAACTTTTCTTTTCACTTGACTCCTCTGACCTCTTTTTGGGTAGGAGCATTTAGTGTAATCTTGATGTTGATGACAGAATACCAGGATAGAAGACAGTAATAGCACAAACAGCCAGTAATCAAAATGTTCACATCTGGTTAGTAATGATGATCCCAATGCAAATTGAACAAAGAACATTATATAATGGATACTGAGATACTTCATTGCCTGATAAGGGGAGGATGCCTTCCAAAATTAGTAGGTTATTATTTTGAAGAAGTGTTCTCATAATAAATATGTATTTTATAAATGATGAGTGCATCTTTAGTGTCATCAGGAGTCTAAGATAGTGTCTGAAAATGTATTGATCATTTTTGTGTTATAGCCCGTTGTTGTGTTTTAGGTGAGCATATGTCATAGAATCACAGGGTAGGGTACCACTGGTAGAGTGCAGATCCTGCTAGTCCCTATCTGTCAGCCACTCTCCCTTTTTCTTGCTAAGAGAATTCTGGTTTGGTTCAGGGTGGCAAAGTGCCTGGGTGAAAATATTTGAAATAATTACATACTGAATCTCCCAGCCTTCCTTATACTTTGAGTTAGCCATGTGAACACAGTTCTAGTAAATGATATTTTGGAAGAAATACATTTCTGACATTTCTACATGAAAGGTCAAATTCTTGTTAGGAGAAAATTCTTCTCCTCTTTTCCCTTCCTCCTTATTTCTGGCTGGAATGTGATCAAGAGATCTGAAAGTACAGGATCCATCTTGCAACCATGAGGTATGCCTAGACTTTTTGCAATATAAGGCAAATAAACCTCCTCTTCTTTAATCCACCCAACCATTGTGTTTCTAATATTGGCAGCTGTATCTATTTCCCATTTATGCAGCAAAGCAACAGAGATAAATTAATTCTTAACTTGATTCCCTATTTCCAGGCAAACGAAATTTGAGCAAAATGTTAAGCAAGGTGGCACAGATCTCAATGCAGTTTGCCATCATGCTCACACTCTAGCTACTACAATAGCCTCTAACTTCTCTCCTTGCCTTTAATCTTTGCTCCCTAAAATCCACTCTCCACAAAATTAACAGTTTTTTCAAGGTACATTATATTGCTTCTCTACTTTAAGCCCTACTGGCTTTCTACAGCAATTAGAAAAAAAAAAAATCTCAAAACCCCTGCAAAGCCTATGAGTCTTGGCTGTTGGATGCTCTTTTCCTCCTTGATCTGGTTCCTCCTTCCTCCCTGACCTCATCTCATATTAAAAGACTACTGTGGAGGCCAAGCAGGCTATGCACAGCATGTTGCCAGAGGTTGCCACCCATGTTAGTTCAGGGAATTAGGAATAGCCATTTATGGCTATCTAGTACTTCTGATAGCTAAGACTTATTTCATTTCTGTTTTTCTTTCAGGCACAAAAGAAAAATGTGGTAAATGGTCACTCCCTATCTCTCTATAGTGGTGTATATTAATGTAGTCATCTTCTAGAACTATTACTTTATTCATATTTCATGTGGGATCAAATGCTGGGGTACAATGCTAAAATTAGATAAAACAAATGTATAAATGATCCAACTGAAGAAGGCTTACAGAGCAATACACAACTTTACTATTTGCAGTACCTCCTTATTTTCTTCCCAATAAACATGGCACATGTGCTTGGTCTTTTGTGAGGAGGTTATCTTCACCTTTCAAGAATCTAACTTAATTATCTAGTGAAGCCATTTTAATCTTTGAGAAAGGTAGTTTGAAATTGCTATACCCTTTATGTTTCTATAGTTAATACAGCAAGCATCAGTGGAAACAATCCTCCATTTGGCAGCCCAATGAGAGTTGAAACAAACATCTGTTTCCTGCCCTATTGACTCGACAGAAAACAGGTATTTTCTGTAATTTGCCAAATTCGAGTATCCTAATTCAAATTCGTCAAAACCAGTTGCATTTCCTAACTGTTCAGAATTTTCATGGCAAAATAAATCCATAGCAAGCAAGGGCACAGTTATTTTACAGTTTTCTCTTTGATTACAAAACAAATTCCCTAAAAATCTGAACTCCTAGGACTGCCAAGTTGGGAGGAGTAAGGACAGCTGAAAAGCTCTGTGATGTGACTGGTTTCAAAGCGTCCAGAGGAAAGACCACTAAAAGTAATCAAAATCTTATAACTTCCACGTTTTCTCCTCTACCCCATTTGAAGAAACATTTTAGCACTCTCTCTTAAGAGAAAATGCCATGTCTTCCTTTCTTCTAAGTTTTGATTTCCAGATGTATTCAACTATGATTTAACAAAAAGAACATGTTTTTATCATGAATTTAGTTCATGGTGTCCTGCTACTCTGAAATACATAGTTGCAGGGTGATTATCTCTGACCAGTGAACTTTTAAAAGAGATTTTCCTGCCTATTTTAGTCTTTCTTGTTATCTTCACTTAATCCAGCTCCCTTTGTGTAAAGAAATGGTATGCATTAGGTACATGTATGGCTTTGTGTTATAATTTCCACTTTTCTGTGTGATTCTTCCAAATAAGGGGAAAATGTAGAGATTGAACATAAGTGATTTTGAAAGAACAATTCATTTTATTTACTCAGGACAGAGAACTGTCTATTTGATTACATCATTGTAGGGCTAAATTTCTAGTAATTAACATTCATGTAAATTAAAGTGCTGTTAGAAAAAGAGGACATTTAGTAATAATGAATCACAATTTATCTCCAAGAACCAGACCACTTAGCTGGCTCTTCAAGGGTCACTGAAAATGTCTGTCTCTTCTTCCTGACCACAGTGCAATCACCTGGGGAGTCTTCTTTTCTTCCTTCTGTATACCCAGAACCAGTCTCGTTGCTTGGCAGTTATTCACTCAGTACTTGCTGCGTGTTCAGCAATAATATATAAGCAGATTGTATACAGTACCAGCCATTCCTAGTGCTTCTCTGTATCCTCTCTTTTTTCCTTTGACCATGTCACACTGACAGTTTTGTGGCTTCCACCTTCCTTACCAGATGCAGCCTGATAACACCTTCCCTCAGGCCTGCAGGGTTGTACCACTTGCTTCTTGACCTGGGTCTTCTCTGATGTGGGATGTTTCCATAACTACAAAGTGAAAGGTAAGTCGACGCCCATGGGGCTACTCTTGACCAAATGAAGATAGAAGATGATGTGCTTTCCTTGTATCTCTTGGGGAGACACTTTTGAGAGTATTTTTATAGATTCTTCAGAAGTTGTTCATAGTGGTGGCTAATTCCATAACTTATTATAGTATTGGCTTTTCCTATTTTCCTGTTTCCCTGAGATCACTTCCCAAATCTCCCACCTGTTCATAAGCCTTTATCTCAGGCTCTGTTTTCAGAAGAAACTAGGCTAGGACATATATATAGCATATTATATAATGTAAGATTCACTGTAGCACTAAGAGGCAGGTTCTATTATCTACAGCCCTCCTGTTATTCCATGAGCTATCTGGTATCATTCCAAAACATCTATCATCGGTTAAATTAATCAGAATTGGTTTTTGTTGCTTGCAACCCAAAGATATCACATGAATAGAGCTATATGTACTAACCAAAACAAATATATAGTTTTTTAAAAGTAATATCTTGTCACTCCCCAATGATTTGTTTAAATTCAATACTTCAAATTCTGTCTGTGTAAGAATAATGCTGTCTACTGCATTGTCAGATTCCACATGACTTCTCAGCCTCTTTCAGCCCAGCCAGTGTGAGGCCAGCAGGATGAGGCAGTGTCGCCTGGTGCTCCTGAGGACATTGGCTACTGAGTTTGAATGCTGACTCTGCTACTCACAAATTTGGGCAAGTTATTTAGTGTCCCATTTTCCCCATGTGTGCAGTGAAAGAAGTAATTGTGCTTACCTTGTAGAGTTATTGGAAAGGTTAGATAAATCAACACATAAACTCTTTTTTTGTGTGTGTAAAAATATTACTATTTCTTTAAAAGGAGTCTGATCATGCCCCATGCACCAAGTATCTATTCTAACAGAGGTTTCTTACCTGGCTCCCAGTACTAGCTTTATCCTTTCTGGCCTTTTATTTCTCTCCTTTGTACTCTGTGTCCTCAGCCTTTAGCTGGTAAACTCAACATGAGAGAGGCTGCCATGTGTTCACCAAATCTCCACTTCCTCCCCCTGCAGGCCACAGAGCTAGACTGAATTTCCCAGCCTCTAGGCTAGGGTGCTCACGTGTCTGAGCTGTGGTCAATGACATGTCAGCAGAAGGGGTGCACACTCCTCCATGCAGGGCCTGTGAGCACTTCCCATGCGATCCTCTGAACTCTGTTTTTCTACCAACCAGCCTTTATGCAGAAGATATGGTACCCAGGGAGGGCAGAGTCACAGAAGAGCCCTTGGTTTCTGAATGACTCTAGAGAACTCCACCTGCCAACTAGGAATATCCACATTCATTTTTATTGAGAAGTAAACTCGCATGGGATGAAGTTTGTGGGATTTCAGGGTTTATCTGTCACATTATTGCCTTAGTTGATACATCCCAGAGGGTAGAGACCATGTCTGTCTTGTTCTTCAGCATCAAAGTTGTTTCTGGAATGTAGGAGACACTTAATATGTTTGTTATATCAATTAGTGACTATATATGTACCACTTCTATCACTTACTTCTCTCTACTAAAAAAAATTTAAAAAGCCCCTTTCTCATGTATCTTAAATCCCATTCTAATGGGCAGATTCTATTTCCCAAATTATCTATCTTCTAGAATAGAGGATGCTTATCCAATTTTTGTATACTTGTGAACCACCTGAGGTTTGTGAAAATGCGATTCTGATTCAGTGGGTCTAAAGTAGAGCCTGAGACTGTGTATTCTTAACAAGCTTCCAGGTGCTGCTGGTGCTAGGGGTCCTGAAGCCACACTTTGAGCAGCAGAGGCCCAGACAAGTAGTTTCTAAATAAACATTCCCAGAACCGCCTGGGAATATTACTAAAATGCAACTTTCTGAATTCCCCCATTCCCTTTATAAGGGAATTTTGATATAGGGTCCAGAAATGTGCATTTACTAAGCCCAAAGAAGATTCTGATATAGATTGTTTGGGAATCCCACTATAAAAAACATTCTTCTAGATCTTTGCTTCATCAATTATCACCTCTTTGTCTGTGTTTTGACTTCTCCTTTTCCTGGGGAGTTTCTCTGAGACACATGTCCCTTATTTGTTTATAAACATTTACATAGCACTTACAATATGCCTGGCACTACCCTACGTGCTTCACATATATCAACTCACTTACTCCTCACACAAAACCCATCTTTTAACTTGTAGATGTTGCATAGAGAGGTCCAGTTACTTTTTCAAGGGCCTAAGGCAGTAATTGATTGAGCCAGAATTCAAAGCTGGATGATATAGTCTCCAAAATTCTTGCACCCTGCTACTAGCCTATGCTATCTTATCCCTGGCATCTTCATGCTTCCTTGGAAAAAGGAGCAGCTCAATGAATTCATTTTGTGCAACTTCCTTCAGGCCCTTTGGTTTTCTCTTAATACCTGGCTACATTATCTCTACTGTTTGCTAGCATGCAAACTCTTTGAGTTCTGTTAACTTTGACTATAATCGCTTTGGAACCCATGTTTAACATCTCTCATCAAAATCAGTTGAAAAATGAAAAAAACATAGTTGATATATTACTGTGCCTGCTTAATATCAAATAAGTAATTTCAATTCAGCAAGCTCCTAGTACATATTCATTATGACAGAGGCTGACTGCTAAGAGCTGGGAAGAATACAAAGATATAGAAGATACCGTCTTTGCCTTAAAAAAAAAAAAAACCCTACAACATTGTTAGGAAGACAGATATTTTTAAACAATTTTTCTTTTGTTATTAGGTAGAATATTTTTAGTGTTATGTGAGAAGTAAAAAGTGCTGCAGGAGCTGAGGAAAACAGAAGTAGCTTAGGTGGGGGAAAGGGAGGCTATATTTGGGGGATAGTACAGGAGCTATGTGGCACGCTTAGAGCAAAGGGCAGATGTCTGAAGATGAGAAGGCTATGGGGGTTATCATTGGAAAATCCTGTGGTTTGAGACCAGATGTGGGAATGTCCACCTCCTGATGGATATGGAATGCATTACATAGGTAATTGATGAGCTATGTCATTTTTAAGAATCAGCAGTTGACGTAGTGAAAATTGTGCTTAAGGAGCTTGTTCCTGAAAATAACATCTACACTTATGGAGTATCTGTATTGCTTCCAATGTTTTCACATGACATATAACGGAATTATTTCATTATATAAATAACTGATAAATTTTATGACATATAATTAAGTTAATCAAATAATTAATTAAGTGGTCACATTGTCCAATGAGGTAAGTTCTAATATCTCCCTTTAACAAGCGTGTAACTTTTTCCAAGATAATAAAGCCAGTAGAGGCTAGATTTGAACTTGAATTTGTCTGTGTATGTGTGTGTGTTTTTTTCCTGAAATACCTTGTTGAAAATACATTAGACAAACAAAGAAGGAAAATTCCATATGAATATGCCTTAACCCTGTTGATGAAAAACAAACAGCATTACAGAAAAAGATTTTAAAATATTTACAGGATTTATGTGATAAAGTTAAGACATGAGTGATTCTATTTTTTTCCTTCACGTGACTTCAGCAATTTAAACAATTATTTGGATGAGTCATATCAAATACTTATTCATTTTAGAAGAAAAGTGCTTTGGGGATAAAGATTCAGACATTTACAAATCTTCATTTTGAATACACAGACTCTGTAAACTCAATGAAACCCTCCATGTGAAAGCATTGTAAAGGTTTTATTGTCTTATTCTTCAGAAAATGTTATTAAAAACTATTTTTTTTTCAAATGGAATGAATGCGATAGATGCCTTGAAAAACTACTATTTATTCACAGGTTTAGTCTAACAGTTATTTATATCTTGCTAAGCTCTAATTGTGCTACGTCTAGCACCTTATAATATTTAAGGGAAAATAGATGGAAAATAAAGTATGACAATAGAAGCTCTTGAAAGAAGATGCTAAAGTCTTACTATAATTGTTATGATTTAATAACTATTGAACCAATTCTTATCAGCCCAGGAAATGAAGAAGGGTTGGGGGCCTGTGTCTTACTCATCTTTATATCCCCAGTGCCCAACATAGAGCAGAACACATATTAAGTAATCAAAATCATTAGCTAATGGCTACAGATTGAAAATTCAAGTCCTCAAATAGCTAGGGACTTTCCCATACCCACAAAGCTCATAAAATAACAGAGACGTGATTCTCACCCTAGTCTTTGATTTTCCTTTCCACTGTTATTTGTACCCACTATGCTACTTCTGTAGGTTAATCTATCCACTTACCCACTCAACAAATTCCAATTGGTTGTCTTCAATGGACCAAATCCTATACTAGATCCCAGGAAGACAAAGGTAAAAGCCATGGTCCTGTCTAACTGGCTCTTCTAAACCTAATGAGAAAAATGCCTCATAAATAAGTAATTGTGACATAATATGGTTCATGATATAGTTAAGTTACATAATCATAATAATTATAATGATAGCTATTTATAAAAATTTTACTGTTCCAAGTGTTCTTTTATCAGATATTATGTAAAGTCTCAAAGAGTTCCAAAAGATATATGCCATGATTATTCCCATTTTGCAGATAATTAACTTTACCGAGGTTTGTAAATCTAGGAAGTGCAGACTGAATACTGAGCTGCTGCATTTTGTTTGGCTAATTCTAATACAGCGTAGAATAGTAACTGTTCGCATTCACATATCTTAGTCTTCAGACAGGAGACAATATAAACCACTGGTTCCCAAATGCTATGCATTAGAATCATTTGGGAAGTTCTTAAAAATCATAATACTCAGGTCATAATTAAATCACAATTCTGAGAGTGGGACTGGGCAACAATACTTTTTAAAGATCTACAGGTGATTACAATGTACAATGAAGATGAGACCATTGTTAAAAACTGCAAAGTGCTATACAATGTGAGAGTTTTTCCTTATCCCAATCAAAGACTCCAAATCAGAAAACATATGGATAACTGATTGCAGTCAGCCCAGCGGTCTCTTTTGTATTATATGTGGGGTTGGTAGGTGTCTTTTGAGTCGGTCTCTGATTAAGCGAGCAGTTATCATTACTTGTTGCAGGGTAGGTGCTTCAGAGCTCATCTCAAGGGGTGGTTATAAAGTAGATGACAGGTTGATGGGGGCAGCAAACCACCATGGCACGTGTATACATATGTAACAAACCTGCGTGTTCTGCACATGTATTCCAGAACTTAAAGTATAATAAAAAAAATAAAGATAAATAGCCAGACTTTGTTAGAACACCAGAGGCATAAGGGATATAGAAATTCATTCCTGCATGTGGACCCTAAGAGTAGGGTCAGGGGGCCTTCAGCGAACTGAATGTTTACAGTGGCCTTTGCTACCAGCAGCTGGTGTCAGCAAGGCCTGAAGTGGGTTTGGTTGTTTTTAAAGAGGAAGTGAGGCAAAAGAAATCAATTATGATAGGGTAAAAAAGCAAGGCATTTGGAACTAGGCTGTGTTTAGTAGTCTAGGGTTGCCACATCCTCATTTTAGAATTAGTATGGGAACCTTTCTAATAAGGTTGTCATGAACACTAAATGAAATATAAAGTGACTTATGCATATTCATATTTTGAGATAATAAGAAGTGATTGTTGTTGTTGCTGTTGTTACAGTTCTTGTATTAAAACAATTACATGATTTTCTCTGATCTTCACCCCTAGATTTAGGACATGGACTCTATGCCTAGCACAAAGAGGCATAAGACTAATAATCTTATATATCAAAATCTAAGTTTTAAACAAGGGTAGCTGTGTTTCCTTTTATGCAACATCTGTAAAGGTACTTCTGTGTAAATTCTGAATATATGCTTAGTTTTTGTGACCATCTTTTCTCCTTCTTAGTTTTCTTAGAAAGGACTCAGTACATAGAATGAGTAGGAATGAGACAGACACAGAAAGGTAGGCTACTTGGGGTTGGTTGAAGAGGGCTTATGAATGTAAAAGGAAAGTCAGAGATTCTTTGACAGTGACCTCAGAGGAAGATAAGGCCACAAGAGATCCCAAAGAGAAGAACAGGAGAGATGAGATCTATCGGAAGAAACAAAATGTGTGACCACTAGCTGAATATCTAAATTTGGCTTAAAACGTAAGGACACCATCCAAGATGTGCTTATTTTGGTTGGCCTGGTTTGATGTTATAACTAGAAGAAAGCCCTCCCTCAACAAAAACTGATGTAGAAGAGGGAACCCTATCTGACTGTTTATAAGAGATGTTATGAAAATCTTAACCAGATTTTTGTTACCTAAAGGAGTTTCTATTAAAAGGTATACAGTCATAAAAAGATACATTTAGGCACCTGAGTTAGGGTGATAAAGAGACACCTCCACCATACACAAGAAAGCTCAACTAAAGGGGGTTGTTGTTGGGATCTATGTGGAGTGAAAAAAAAAAAAAAACCTTGAGAAGAGTCAAGAACTTAATATTTAAAATGCCCTGGGATCATGGAGGTGGGGCCAAGGCATCCTTCTGGATATCTAGAGATGTCAGAGGCATAGACCACCCCCTAGCGTTTTGTCACTAACATGATACAGTAACCCTTTCTTTCTTTCTTTGTATTCTGCTACTACCTGCTTTTATGTAATTTTAGGTCATCACACTATTTTCTGTTCCAGCTCTATGTCTTGATCTTTACCAAAGATTCTCAACACAACTGGCAGATTTTGAAGACAGAGAGGAAGAACCTGATCAGCTCATCTTATTTCTTTGATCCAGGCTCACAAGTCACTGGGTCTCCTAGTGATTATTTGCCCTTGGATTGGGTGTTCACTTTTGGCCCAAGCAGCTGCATTCAGGCAGAGGGATTTGCAAAGTCTAAATATTGCCACTTGGCCACTTTGGTTAGGGGCAGCTTCCCTTTGAGGACAATGTGGGTAGAGAAGAAATTGTGACTGTAGACATATTCAGCACATTTCCAAGGCTTCATAATTAGAGATGGAAATGAGATTTGACTTCTGACACTCCTGGATTAAACACAGGACTCTTTTCATTATATCATCGCTGCCTCTGAGATCAAACGTAAGAGTTATCCCTAGGTTATCTAAGTCATTTCTCTCTCATTCCACCCATACATACATGCACACACACACTTACACTCTTATACTCTCTTTCTTCCCTCTCCATCCCTCCTTCTTTCACTCAAACACACACACCTTAAAATGTTCCATGCCTAGACTCCTACATTCTCTGGCATGGTAGGAGCATCTGATTTGCAACTTAAAGACTATCAAGTTCCTCTTGTCCAACAGATGAAGCATTATGTTTGATAAGTTAAACTACTCCAATAATGAATGGAGAAGATAAGGGCCCATTAAGTTATTATATAAGCAATTTTTCTAGAGAAAATTCTTTTTTATTTGTTACTCAGAACATTAGGGGTTCTCCTCATAATAATTTTAAATTATATGGGCAGTCATGGAAAACTTAACTGTGATCCTTTTGGAGAACTCTGACATCAGGCAGCAATGGAGTCTGTCACTAACTCTTCATTCTCTAAATTATGAAGATGGTCACCCACTTTCTCTACAGTAGTTCCAACACTCAAGCCAAATCCTTTAGGATCATTAATTCTTATTTTCTTAGAAATGAAAAGATAGGTGAAATGTTTTTCCTTCTTACCTCAAAGCCAAGACTATGGATATTTTATTTTTGATCCCAAATAAGAAACTTATAAGTCTGAAAAGATAGTAATAGTCAAAAGCAATTGAAGATAGGATATTTAATTAGTAAATGAGCCAGTTGCTCCCTGCCATTCTTAAAAAGAAAGACATCTTTTAGGGTTTATGAGAAATCCAGTGGTTTTTGGAAAACCCTTGGCAAACATCTAAAAATATGTTTCTAATGTTTTCAACTCAAACAAATTAAAAACATATTTTTTTCCTGGCACTTTCCTCCTTCATTTTAAAGGACATGTGTCTTTTCAGGGAAATTTCAGGCATGTGGCTCTAATTTTCACTTAACTCATCATGATATTGTTTCGTAAGATATTCAATGACTAAAAATCCTCATGAGTTTTTAAAATAAGTCTTAAAAAATCTTTATTTGTTAGAAATAGGGAGTCAGAAAAACCAGAGCTAGAAAAGAGCAAGTAAGTTCTGCAGGCCTTTCCCTGACAGGAAGGGATGAACTCTGCTCAATTTTCTTCAAGTGAGGATGAACTCCCTGAAGTCAAGTACTATTCTGGAAAGACTGTCCCAGTATGCATTACTTCCATTAAACATGATATAGTTCCAGTTGAAGGAGAGGAGACCTCTTTGCTACGTGTCTTAATAGAAAATTGTGAAAATCATTCCAGACCTGCTGATAGTACACATACACCATCCTAGTCACCAGGAGTGGTTCTGTTCTGTAGAAAGTCATTGGGTCTTAAATTGTCTTCCACTATTTTTGAGAAGGTCTTAATACCCTCTTGTGTTTCTCAGGCGGTATTCAGACTATTTCTACAGTTCAATTAGTCTGAGGAAATTTCTGTTTGTGGCTAATATTGATAACAATAATACACTAAGTTTTTCAAATTGTTCTCTAAAATGGGCACATTCCTGTGGTCAATCACCTCAACATATACTTTACCAAACTTATATTTTTCAATCTTCTAATAACTTTCTTTTGCTTTTCTCCTGAATACTTTTGAAAGGGGAGGTTTCTCTATGCCACAAGAAAATACATGAATACATACGTAATATGTTTTTGTACATGTATGTATATGAATGTTTGTTGTGTGTAATGTTTTCATTTATCCAGTTGTTTCAATCAATTTTTATTAACACCTACAATAGCCTAGGAATTATCCAAAATATCAAAATGCAAATTTGAACAAAGATAAAAATTCTGACCTCAAGGAGTTCAAGGCATAACAGTTAAGAAAATAAATGAATAAAGAAGTATGATAAAGCACAACAATAGAAGTACAGCAGAGACTGAAATAGGGTGTTTTCAACTCTCCAGGAACAATGAGGAAAGATTGCTCAGAGTAGCTGAGAGAGCTGGGTGTTAAAAATGAATAGATCTTTTGAAATAAAAGAAAATGAGTAAATCTTCATACAAAGGGCCAGTCAGTCTAGGCTGAGGGAGCATGAGCAGAGGCATGAAAATGAAAACTTATGGCCCACTGGGGCATGGCCAGGCTTTTGGCATGACTGGTGCCATAGGTGAGATGGATCTAAAAAGGCCCAATGAGGGACATTGTGGGCTGTGGCAAAGACTCAAGACTTTGTTCCAAAGACAGTGGAGATGATAGTCATGTTTGCCTTTTTGGCAGATATTTTGGTGGCTTTATGGCAGAGTGATTGGGAGATACAGTGAGAAATGAGACTAGAGAAATGTTTACTTATGTAGGATAGATATGTAAAAATCTGAGTAGAGATAAGTAGTATCTGAATTAAAGCAGTATCCATGAAGACAGAGAGAAAGGAACAGAGAGGAAAATCGCCAAGGAAGTAGAATTGACAGAATTGGTTGCCTATCTGAGGGACCAAGGGAAATGAGAGGAAGTGAATGTTCTAGAATTATGTGGAGGACAAGAAAGTATGGAAATGGGGGAAGGATGACGAATTCTGCTTAAAACAGTGAATTTGAAGGACCTGTGGAACATCCAAGTAAACAAATTGTTCGTAGGTCTCACTAAATCCTACAGGCTCCATTCTGCATTGCTGTTAATAAAATAGAACTGATAAGCAGGCATCCTAATCAGATATATTTCTTTGACAAAACTTCGAGATAATTGCTGCAGAGAAGGTGGGCCCTACTTTCACATCCACAACCATCAGCCCCCCTCCGATGACCTCCCATCAATTTCTTGCCATGAGCATCCCCTACTACAAAAGGCCCATTATTATCTTGCTCTCTTCACAGTTTCCACATTACTTTGTACTGACTCCTCTACCAGGAGGCTATTGTGGCTGCAAGAGGTGAGATGTGCCATCAATACCCACATTTCATGGCATTGCTTTCTGCAAGAGATTCATACTTCCTCACCATTCATATTTTATGCCATTTACTTTGTTCTAGTGTTCTCTGCTTTTTCTTTATCAATGCTTCTGAGTTATATATGTTAGATAAGAATTCTATTTCTGAAACAGTATATTAATTTATAGTAGTATTGACATGCTTGTATTGTGGCTACATCTCCTGTAACCATGGTCATTATGTTCACTCTTAAAATTTATTTTTAACAGTCAGGGTAATTCCAATATCTTCCCCTGCACTGTCTCCAAATGCCTCCACCCAGAGTGCTGCCTCCTACACACAAAATGCAAAACATATTGTCTCCATTATTCTTTCAGAACTGAATTTTGTCCTGCCCTGTGGCATGCATCTCATATCATTTTACTGCTGCTTAGCATATATATATTATTATTGTTATTTACCTTTGTGGGTATGTTCCCTAAAGAAATATTTTTATACCTCTTTTTATCACTCAAAGTGATCAGTTTGGCAATAGGCACAAAGTGAATAACTTGTTAACTATTAATCAAATAAATGAATAAATATTATTCTCATCAGTGATCTTAGAAGCTGAAATAACGCAGTCTATGTTATGGAAGTATAGCTATTCCTACTTTTTTTTTTTGTTTGTTTTCCCTTGGATGGAATATCTTTTTCCACCCCTTCACTTTCAATCTATGTTTTTCTTTATATGTAAAGTGGATTTTCTGTAGATAGCATATAGTTGGGTCTTGTTTCTTTATCCATTCAGCAACTCTATGCCTTTTACCTGGAGAACTGAGTCATTTACATTCAGTGTTATTATTAATAAGTAAGAACTTACTAGTATAATTTTTGTGCACTTGTTCCTTGCTTTTTCCATTTGAGAAGTTCATGATTTCCTGCTTGCTATTATTTCTGGTGGATGTTTTTCGTTGTTTTACGACTTCTCTCTCCCTTTCTCACAGTCTTTCTTTGTGGTTAAGTGATTTTTCCCTAGTAGCATGTTTTAATCTGTTGCTTTTTATTTTTAGTTAATCTATTATAAGTCTTTACATTGTGATTACCATAAAGCCTACCCAAAACACCTTGTAGATATGACAAATTATATTTTTTAACTTTTAATTTTTTTGGACATATAGTAGGTGTGTACATTTATGGGGTATATGAGATATTTTGATACAAGGATACAATGTGTAATAACCCCGTCTGGGTAAATTGGGTATCCATCACCTCCAGCATTTATCCTTTGTGTTACAAGCAATCCAATTACGCTCTTTTAGTTATTTTGAAATGTACAATTAAATTATTATTGACTATAGTCACCCTGCTGTGCTATCAAATACTGGATCTCATTCATTTTTTCTACTTTTTTGTACCCACTAACCATTCCCACCTCTCCCTCATACCCCAACCACCCTTTCCAGATTCTGGTAACTATCATTCTACTCTCTGTCTCCATGAGTTCAATTGTTTTTATTTTTAGCTACCACAAATATGTGAGAACATGTGAAGTTTTTCTTTCTGTGCCTGGCTTACTTCATGTAACAACATGACCTCCAAATTGCTGGAATCCAGGAGGCAGAGGTTGCAGTGAGCTGAGACTGTACCACTGCATTCCAGCCTGGGTGACAAAGTAAGACTCCATCTCAAAAAAAAAAAAGACATCTAGTTCTATCTATATTGTTGCAAATGACAGGATCTCATTCTTTTTATGGCTCAATAGTACTCTATTATCTATATGTACCAAATTAGCTTGATCCATTCATCTGTTGATGGACACTTAGGTTGCTTTCGAATGTTGGCAATTGTGAACAGTGCTGCAATAAACATGGGAATGCAGATATCTCTTAGATATACCGCTTTCCTTTGTTTTGGGTATATACCTAGCAGTGGTATTGCTGGATCATATGGTATCTCTATTTTCAGTGTTTTGAAGAACCTCCAAACTGTTCTGCATAGTGGTTTTACAAATTTACATTCCCACTAACAGTGTACAAGGGTTCCCTTTTCTCCACATCCTCGCCAACATTTGTTACTGCCTGTCTTTTGGATAAAAGCCATTTTAACTGGGATGAGATGATATATCATTGTAGTTTTGATTTGCATTCCTCTAATAATTAATGATGTTGAGCACCTTTTCATATACTTGTTTGTCATTTATATGTCTTCTTTAGAGAAATATCTATTCAGATCTTTTGCCCATTTAAAAAATCTCATTACTATATTTTTTCTCCTGTAGAGTTGTTTAAGCTTCTTATATATCTGGTTATTAATCTCTTGTCAGTTCGATAGTTTGCAAATATTTTCTCCTATTCTGTGGGTTGTCTCTTCACTTTATTGATTGTTTATTTTGCTGTGCAGGAGTGTTTTAACTTAACGTGATTCCATTTGTCCATTTTTACTTTGGTTGTCTGTGCTTGTTGAGTATTACTCAAGAAATCTTTGCTCAATCCAATGTTCTAGAGAGTTTACCCAAAGTTTTTTGTAGTAGTTTCATAATTTGAGGTCTTAGATTTAAGTCTTTAATCCACTTTGATTTGATTTTTGTATGTGGTGAGAAACAAGGATCTAGTTTTCTTCTTCTACATATGAATATCTAGTTTTCCCAGCACCATGTGTTGAAGAGACTATCTTTTTCCCAGTGCATACTCTTGGAACTTTTGTCAAAAATGAATTCACTGTAGATGTATGGATTTGGTTCTGGGTTCTCTATTCTGTTCCATTGGTCAGCGTCTGTTTTTATGCTAGTACCATGCTGGCATGTGGTTATGATAGCTCTGTAGTACAATTTGAAGTCAGGTAATATGATTCCTGCAGCTTTGCCCTTTTTGCTCAGGATAGCTTTGGCTATTCGGGGTCTTTTGTGGTTCCATATATATTTTAGAATTTTTTTTTCTATTTTTGTGAAGAATGTCATTGACATTTTGACAGAGATTGCATTGAATCTGTAGTTTGCTTTGGGTAGTATGGACATTTTAGCAATATTGATTCTTCCAGTTCATGAACATGAAATATCTTTCCATTTTTTTGTGCCTTCTTCAATTTCTTTCATCAGTGTTTTATAGTTTTCATTGTAGAGATCTTTCATTTCTTTGGTTTAGTTAATTCCTATTATTTAATTTTATTTGTAGCTATTGTAAATTGGGATTACTTTCTTGATTTCTTTTTTACATTGTTCACCATTGGCATATGGAAATGCTACTTATTTTTGTATGTTGATTTCTACTCTGCAACCTGACTCAATTTGTTTTTCAGTTGTCATAGTTTTTTGGTGGAGTCTTTAGGTTTTTCCAAATATAAGATCATATCTACAAAGAAGGATAATTTGACTTCTTTCTTTCCAACGAGGATGCTTTTTCTTTCTGCTGTCTGATTGCTCTTTCTAGGACTTCCGTATAGAATTATTTTAAAATGATGACAACTTACTTTATATCACAATAAAAGAAAAAAGGAAAAAAATCCCTATACTTCATTTCCCTGTCACAACATTTTAACTTTATGTTGTCTCAATTTATGTATATTTATATTTCATCTCTCTTAACAGATTGCCATAGGTATTATTGTTTTTAATAGAATTGTCTTTTGGGTTTCCTACTAGAGTAATGAGTGAATTACACACCATAATTTCAGTATTACAGTATCCTGGGTTTGTCTTAATTTTGTGTACTTAATTTTAGTGGTTGCTTTTATACCTTCAAATGTTTTCTTTTCGCACATTAGTGGTTTTTTCTTTCAGATTGAAGAACTCCCTTTAGCATTTCTTGTAAGATGTGTTTAGTGTTAGTGAATTCTCTCAGCTGTAGTTTGGGTAATACTTTCTCGGGTAATACTTTCTCTCTCCTTTGTATTTGAACGGTAGCTTTGCTGGGTACTATATTCTTGGATGGCAGTTGTTTTTTTTTTCTTCCAGCACTTTGCAAATGCTATCCTTCCTGGCTTCTGTGGTTGCCCTTGAGAAGTCTGTTTTGAGAAGTCTGTTGCCAGATGAATTAGAACTCCCTTATATATTATTTGTTTCTTTTGTTTTGATGCTTTTAGGATCCTTTCATTGGCTTTGGCTTTGAACTTTGATAAAATATTATTATATGCCTTGAAGTAGTCTTATTTGGGTTGACTCTGTCTGTTGTTATCCAACCTTCTCATACTTGTGTATTAATCTCTTTCTCAAGTTTTGGAAAGTTTTCTGATATTATTTCTTTGAGTGAGCCATCTATTTCTTGTTCTTGTTCAGCTCCCTCTTGAATATCAACAATTCTTAGATTTGGTCTTTTGAGGTAATTTTTTTTTCTATTTTGCAGGTGATCTTTGTTCATTTTCATTCTTTTCTTTTTTTTTCTCCTCTGACTACGTATTTTCAAATAGCCTGCCTGAAGCTCATTGATTCTTTCCTCCGTTTGACCTATCCTGCTGTTGAGAATCTCTAATGAACTGTTCATTTCAGTGAACTTATTTTTCATTTCTAAGATTTCTGTTTTTTTAATTTTTATTTTAATTTCTCTGATAAATTTCTGAATTGATTTTCTGTGTTATCTTGGCGATCACTGAATTTCCTTAAAAGTGCTATTTTAAATTATTGGTCAAAGAGTTCACATGTCAACATCTATTTTAGGGTCAGTGACTGGTTCCCTGCTTTGTCCACTTGAGGAGGACATGTTTCCCCATTTTCTGTTGCTTCTTGTGGATGTATGTCTATGTCTTTGTATTGAAGGATTATTTATTTTTTCCAGTCTTCTCTGTCTGGTTTGTTTTGGTTTTCATTAGATACATTTGCTGAGAGATTCTTTGAAATTTACATGCTGATTTTCTTTTTTAATATTTTTTCCCCAGTAGGTGCTGCCTTCTTTATAGCACTAGATGGTACCTTAAGCCCAGTTTATCCCAGTTCTAGTAAATGGTCAGTGTATTGCCCATATCTAAAGGAGGAGGTTGCAAAGGAGATATCCTGGTAGAGTCAGAAGGCTGATTAGGGTTTCCTGTCCAGGGGACCTGTAGAAGAAACCTCCTATAGCATGATACTGCTGAATAGCCACTCTGATTTGGCATCTCCTTTAGCCAAGTTACAGAGTGTAGTTTCTTGGGGTGGGGATGGTAGTCCCTTTTTGTCTCTGGCTATCATCAGGGATATTTCTACCTTTAGGCACCCTTGATGCTTCCCGTGGATTGAGGCAGGGACAGGTCTCCTCCTAGGGAATCCAAGATGACAGGGAAGTTTTTTGTCCATATTAATCTCACTTTTTCCAATGTAGAAACCATAAGTCAGATAAAAATTTCCCATAAACCCGGTGCTGGGCAGAGTATGGGGAAGGGTGTTACAGATGTGGAAGTCTGATTCCTTTACTGTCTGCTCAGAGTCTTTTTCTCTTCTCCATGGTCTATGGAACTGTCTTGTCTTCATATTTGAGTTCTTGGAATTGCTGGTAATAATCTCAACACTGTGTAATTGTATTTGGATTTCTGTCGGGGAGACTGAAGCATACTTCTGTGCTGCCATTTTGGAACTGGAGGTCCAATTGCAATATTCAGATATGTGAGTCAGATAGATATGGATTCAAATTGCTATTCAGCTAGTTAGTAAATGTATGTTGCTTAACTCCTAAAAGCCTCAGTTTGCTCATCTGTAAAATGGAAACATTATAAAATGGCAGTAGTAATAATAGTAACACTTATTTTATGCTTAAAGTGCCTCACTCATTATTCCAAAAACTTTATGTATACTAACTTACTTAACCCTCATGAAAATCCTGTGACTTAGATATTATTATTATCCTCATTTTTCAGATAACTAAGTAGAGTCATGGAGAAAGTAAGTGACTTGATCAAAGTTCCTTCACAGATTTAGTAAAAGGATTTACTTAATATGGCAACATATACAGAGCACCAGGTATAGCACCTGGTGCACGGTAAATAAATGCTTACTATATGTTAGTTCTTTTCTCTGTTCCTCACCATCTCCTCCACTTGTAAAGCTCAGAGGGCTTGTTAGAGAAACCAAAAAAAAAAAAGAATTGAGGAGACAGAGTTTTGAAAATGAAAGACTTTTATAAATTAAATAAAATTGTTATTACTGTTACCAATAAGAAATCTGGCTTAGGACCTATGACTGAGGAACTCTAGTTTTACAGTAGCAAAATAAAGAATACAAAATGCATTTTAAAAATAAGATGCAAATTTAATGTCTTTATTTCTATTCATAATGTTTAAGAACCATTTTTTAAAAATAAAAAACAATTATCTAGTGCCCTCTAAGTGTATTTAGTATTATGGGATTTAGAAGGGATTAATCTTTCTTGTCCTTGTAGCCTCAAAAATCTGAAGCAAAAAGCCAAACAAAAGTTGCATAGGTTGACCATGAAATCAACAAAAACACTCTTTCTTTTCAAAGTGTTCCTACTGAAGTTTGAAGGAGACAAATCCAAGAGATAGGAAGAGAAGGGCATGTACATAAGGCTAATCTTTGCTCTGCTTCAGCATATTTTTGTCTTATGAGCAAATTTATAATTACTCTGTGTTTCAGTTCTTAAGTCCAGTCATCTGTATGTCGTAAAGTAACTTTGAAGTAAGTTCACATTTTATCTCTGTCTGTCTTTCCATGTGCATTTCATTTCCTTTAACCACTGGTTTTGAAATATTTTTGCCTAAAGCTTTCACGTTTGTTTGGAAAGAGCTACCCACACACACCCTCTAACTTGTCTTCTAGGCAGGGATATGTCCTCAGTGACTGGTGATTAATGCAAATTAAAAGATTCATCTCAGAAATATTCAGTTCACTGCAACAACACATCCCTCATCCTTCTCACTTTATAGACTTCAGAAGCCTGCACCTCTTACTGTATGTATCTTTAATACTCCTTTCCCTGCCTCTTTTTTTTTTTTTTTAGAAGTTGATAGATGAGTTTAATGGTTTCAGGAGAGGGCAAAAAGAAAGGCAGTAAGAAGCAGAAAGATGGCAGAGAGGAATGCAGAAACATTCACAAAGGGCCTTGCCTCCAGTTCACAGGAAGTTGCAAATCTTGAGCTATTCCCAAGATATCTGGGGAAATATCAATAAACAAACAACAGCCAGGAAAATTGCACCCCACCCCCAAAGAAAAATGCAGTGTTTGACCAATAGAGAGATCAAGGAATTTGGGAGATTTCTAAAAACTTTTATTATTTCATTTTTATTTATTTATTTTGAGACAGAGCCTCATTCTGTTACCCAGGCTGGAGTGCAGTGGCACAATCTCAGCTGACAACAACCTCTGCCTCCTGGGTTCAAGTGATTCCCTGCCACCATGCCCAGCTAATTTTTGCATTTTTGCTAGAGATGGGGTTCACCATTTTGGCCAGGCTGGTCTCAAACTCCTGGACTCAAGTGATCCACCCTCCTTGACCTCCCAAAGTACCTGGATCACAGTCGTGAGCAACTGTGCCTGGCGGATTTCTGGAAACTTTTAAACCTTTAAGACTTTTGCATTGATCAATGGCCCCTAGGGATTAATAACTGGTTAACCATCATCCTTTATTTTCATTTAAAAACAGTATTTCCTCAAGGATAGGAACCTTGGCTTATATCTCTTTATAGCATGCATGTCTGTCACATAGTAGGCTTTCAGTAAATGCTTGCTCAATGAATGAATAAATAAACTTTTTTTCCAAAGCAAAATTGGTGATCAAGGTATTGGCAATTATCATAGAAAAGATATTGGTGATTATCATAGAAAAACCTGAAACTAATATCTAGAATGCAAACTTTCTTTCCAAAAGTTTCATCTCAGAAATATTTTCAGAAGCATAGAAACTTTATACTATTCCTAGATACTGAAGAACATGTATAAATAATCAGATGTTGATATTTCTTTTGTTTATATCAAGGGGAAAATAAATCTTGGATACCTTCAATAAAACTGGAAATAAAAGAAATTGCTCAAAATCAAGGTGAAGAAAGAAGGGAAATGAAATAATTAGAAAACCCAAGAGAGGAAAACAGCTCTAATTTCTAGAGAAATATATGTATTTTTTAACACCACTAATTTTGAAATGAAAGTATAAAGTGCTTTGTGATCATTTTCTTTTTGGTGTCTTCTATTTTTATCTAGCTTTTCATATATTTATTATTCTTTAACTTGATTGTAAGCTCCTTAAAGCAGAGACTTCCATATGTTTTATCACATACATATTTTTTTTTACAGTGTATGTATGTCTGTGTATGTGTTTGTGAGCATGTATATACAGAGAGTTTCATAATTCTCTAATCAGTGGATAAGGTGAACAAGAGCAAGAGCCAGAAACTAATAAGCCAAGTGAAATCTTCAGGCAGTATAATCACATATACACTGAACTGGATCATTCTTGCTGTACATACAGTACATAGATTATTTTTTGGTTTGGATACCAGTTTTTGACTCTAAGGGCTGAGAGTACTAAAACCGAATTTGTCAAATAACTGGTGTTTATTCTTAAATTTATCATTATCATATCTCACATCAGCCAAGATAATCATTTAGCTTCTAATGTTTCTTGGTTACATAAATTTCCCGTTTTTTGCATTTAATGTTGATGGGAAAGCATAATCCATTATAAAATATAAATCTTATTGCTAGAAGATCAAGCACATACCAGGAATCCAGAGAATGAATCAAAGACACTTTGCTTTTCTCCCGAGTCACCTGGGAAGTTTACACAAGTCCTTGGAAAGTTGCGAGGGAGTATCTGCTCTACGGTATCCCTTGCAATTTGCCCTCTCCTTTTGCCCAAACCTGTATGGCTTCATTTCTTTTTTCTCTGAGCCTCAAAGCAGAGCATCCATCCTTTGGTTTCATCTGCTTTCCTTCAAGCAGGGAGGAGTGTCCTCCTGCCTCTGAGAGTAGAGGATAAAGAACAGTGCCCTTTCAGGATCCAGCCTTGAATTAAAGCTTCTAAAAGATCATCTTTAAATTGCTAAAATGGCCTTTGAGTATAACTTTTGGAGAAGGTGATTATTTTGTTTTAAAGAGTCTCTGCGCTATTTTATGTCTTACAAAAGACTCCCTTCTATTATCCTAGCATGGTGTGTAGCATATTCCAGAAATAAGTAGAAATAAACCAAAGTTTGCTATAGAAAATTAGATAATTCCATCAGTTTTTTTTGCCTTCTGTGCATGTATCTATTACCTTTCATTTTATTTTATTTCTATGAAAAAAAATAAAATCTCAAGGTAATTTTTTCAATTCATTCATTAAATCATTGATTGAACTTCGCAATTTACTCCCCAGGTTATGTCAACTCATGTTCTTGAATGGAAAGAAAAAAAATTAGGAATGCCTCAATAACTATTTATAGAAAGGCTAAGATAAAATAATAATGATGATGATCATTATAATGATGACGACCATGAGGGTAAACACTTCGGGCACTGTCATAAATATGTACAGAAACTCATATAATGTTCACAACCTTAAGATGTGGACACTATTATCCCCATTTCACAGATGGGGAAATTGAGGCAGAGAGAGATCAGATAACTTGCCTGACATCACATAACTAGAAAGAGGAGGAGTTGAGATTCAAACACAGTGGATTTAGAATCTGAATTTATAACCCATCATGCTATTAAAAATATTGTGAACAATGCATTGATCACATATGTTAACATACGATCACTTGGTTTAAGAAAAGGTGTGATGGAATAGGGCAAGAAACTATCACTGGGAAGAGAACAGGCTGGCCAATCCCATAAACTCTCATCTCATCTCTGTTGCTTACTCATATAGGGTTATACTTGAAAATCCTCTTGGACCACCTGGGTTTCTGGGATAACTTAGTGAAAAAAGACCAGTCCGTCTTCAAAGTCTTTAAGGTTTATTGACTTCATCGTGCCACTGACATCAAGAAATCAGGCAACATATTAACATTGAAAAGTGTACTTTCTTCTTCTGTTGTGTTCTACAGTGACCCATTCCAAATATTTTATAGCTCAATGCACTGGAATTCATTTGTCACCCAAAATTTTAATTATTAATGTAAAAATATTTAAAACATGTCCATTAAGGCTGATAAAGTTGTGTCTGATGAACGGGCTTTTCATAAATTCACTGACACAAACTTTTTTTAAAAAATTAATTCAGCCTGCAAATGAACATCATCCATTTTGCTATCATATTTTATCAGTCTGTAAAGTGCATTCTCACTTCAGTTTTCAGCTCTGAATGCAGAACACTGTGAAAAATGACAGAATTTTAATGAGAAAGTGAACAACATGCCATCAACACCCTTTTGCCAGTAAAAATGGCACAACATCAAAGCTTTAAATCATGTTCCCTCCACACCTTTGGACATCTGTGATTCTGTCTGAGTCCTCAAAATCTGCTACATCCATCACCAGGTGCAGCCTTTAAACATGAAGGCGCTGTCTACTTCACTGGTTGGCATGGCAACAGTTGTCAAATCATTCCTTGATAATGCTCTTTAATTGATTGTATAAATTATTCTGAGATATGTGATTGCAAAATGATGTACTGAAGCTCTTAAGTGAGCAGATCAGCCTCACTGCATTTAAAAGTGCATTGCATCCCTTTGCCTTTGCCCAGGAAACTTACCCTTTTAAAGTGCTGGAATACTCAGGATGAAGCATAAATATTAAGCATTAAGGAAAAGTTTAAAGCAATGGCACAGTTAATTGCTACTCCAACTGCATGTTAACTTACTAAAAACCAATAGGTTGCATACTGTATGCAGCTGTAAAGAAATTCTTGAAATCACTTATAGAAATCAGTCTCTTCAAAGATAGCATTATTACCAGAATTGAGTTTATGATTGCATTGGTGGAGAAGTTACAGGCTATTTGGAGACACATGGCATCATCTTTCTTCATTAGCATGCCTTGGGCTTTTTCTTCTCATGATTCTCTATATACAATTAGTGCAGAGTGTGTTGCCAATGTATTGGCTCTCCTGTTGCCTCCATCTCTCAGCTGAATGGCATTCTATGATTTCTGGCATCTCTATTCAATTGTGAGCAACATGGAAGTGATTAACTTGGAAACTATGCCTAAAGCATCTTGTTATTTTCATTTCAAGTCTTTTTGTTTCCTTCTATAAAGTAGCCCTGATAGCATTCCCTGTCCTCCCAAAGTGGAGAAGCTAAGCACAATGCAATCTACATGAAAGTATAAGCTAGTGACTCTCAAAGTGTAGTTCCCAGTCCAGCAGCATCAGCATCATTTGGGAACTCATTAGAAATGCAGACCCACTAGACACTTTGGAGGTGGGACTCAGAAATTTATGTTTTAACAAGCTCTCTGGGAAATTCTGATACAGCTCACATTTAAGAACCGCTGGAATAAGCCAGTGTTAGTTACACATTAGAAGTAGCTGGAGAACTTTCAAAACTACCAAAATGTGGGATGCACCTCCCAAGAGATTCAGATTCAATTGGTCTGAGATGGAGCCTATCCAGTTGGTACTTTAAAACATTCCCCATATAGGTACAATGAGCTGAGAGAATTGAGGAACTCTAGCGTGAGACAATGACATTGAATATAAGGTCTTGAAATGTTTAGGAGACAGTTCCTCCCAGAGATGTTGTTATGTCACCCTCTGTTTATTTTTTTATTCCTATTTTCCATTTGTTCACTCAGTCATACTTTCAACATTTATTTATGAGTGCCTATTATATGTCATGTACTGTAGTTGATTTGGAGAAAAAATAGAAAACACAGATAGTCTTTAGGGAAGGGGCAGACAATAAAAAAGTAATTAGTAAGCAAACACATACGTAATTAAAAATAGTGATAAATTCTTTAAAGGAAATAAGCTAAATACTGTAAAAAGGAATTCATTCTGGTGGATTGCTTGAGGTCAGGATTTCGAGACCAGCCTGGCCAACATGGTGAAACCCCGTCTCTAATAATAATACAAAAATTAGCCAGGTGTGGTAGCGCACGCCTGTAATCCCAGCTATTTGGGAGGCTGAGACAGGAGTATCGCTTGAGCCTGGGAGGCAAAGGTTGCAGTGAGCTGGGATCGCACCACTGAACTCCAGCCTGGGCAACAGAACAAGGCTCCTTTCAGAAAAAAAAAAAAAAAAAAAAGAAAGAAAGAATTCAGTGAGGCTGCTTTATAGGGTAGCTAGGGAAATCCTAAAGGGGTGGCATTTAAGCTAAAAACCAAATCACAATAATGATCAGCTCTATGATGAGGTAGAGCACGGCTGAAGGGTGCAAGTGTGTGCTTGAGGATGAGTAGGAGCATGTTCTATGCAGAGAAAAGAATATAAGTCATATAGAAGGAAAACACTTTCAAGGAACTGAAAGATAGTTACCGTGCATGACATGAGTTTGAAGAGGAAGATAAGAGGTCTGAATTTGAGATGAGATGCAATAAGGAACCATGTAAGAGACATTGTGTGGTCTGAAAAAGAAGAAATTACATGAATAGATGTCCTCAGGTGATTTCAAATCACTGATGTCAAGGAATCTTTTAGCTAATCACTTTTTATCAGATTTCTAGTTGCTTAAGCAGATTGCTGTCACTTCAGCTATGTTTTCATTCCGACTCTTTCAAGAATTGTTGGCCCTCTTGTCTTGGTTTTTGCTAGAGCATCTTTGGATGGTCCGCTGCCTGAGGTTGACTGAATTTCATATTGACTTTTAAATTTAGAATGATAAATAAAATCTTAGGATACTGGTAGATTTTCTGGGGGTGGCTTGAGGTCTCAGCTTCATCTTCAATTACTAGGAGCATTATAGAGTAGAAAGAACTATCATTGTAAGTTACGTAAGCAAGGGGGACACCTAGGGATTTCTCCCAAAGAGCACACCAAGTTTGTTTTTGTCAGACTTCTTTGTGCCTCTTAGGTTGCTCTCTAAATTCATCTGCTAAATGTTTAATATCTTTTATAAAGCCTTTCTGCAAACTAATTTTCAAAACTACATATACCCCAGTTTATTATTGCCACAAGTATTTCTGTCTTTGAATTTTAGTGTCTTGTAAACATAAAATTTTCTTTTGGAACTTATCCCAACAGAGATGAGAGTCTTCTGGCCAAGTTACCTATCAAAAGGCACATCAAACAACCCAGTAATTGTCCATTTGCCATACAAGAGGTCCAAAGTTTAAAATAATTAAATTAGATCACATCAAGCCAAAGGTTTATATTAACTTTGTAAAGAAAGACAGCATGGCAGAAACAATACAATTTTAGAGAAGCCCTTGTAAACACGAGCAGCTGAAATTGTTAAAAAGGAATACTCTGATGATTAATGGAAGGGTTTCATTAAAAAGTTTTTTTTTTTTTCCATAAAGCTAAGGATACAGATAGAATCAGTAAGAATAGTGAGCCAATTGTAATGGAGACTAAAAGCTTGCTCGGTACTCTCTCCAAAGACCTGCAAATTAAAGGTTCCACACACACCCAAGATATTAAATATAAAATGATACAGGGATAGGATAATGTCTATACTCTTCATCAGGTAAAGGCATTGATAAATTAATAATCTATGCTCAGGCCGGGTGCGGTGGCTCACAACTGTAATCCCAACACATTGGGAGGCTGAGGAGGGTGGATCACATGAGGTCAGGAGTTCGAGGCCAACCTGGCCAATGTGATGAAACCCTACCTCTGCAAAAAATACAAAATTTAGACAGGTGGTGGCACACATCTGTAATCCCAGCTACTAGGGAGGCTGAGGCAGGAGAATAGCTTGAACCTGGGAAGTGGAGGTTGCATTGAGCTGAGATCACGCCACTGCACTCCAGCCTGGGCAACAGAGTGAGACTCTGTGTCAAAAAAAAAAAGAAAAAAAAAATCTATGTTCTCTCAAGAACTCCTTCTCCAGTGCTTGTTTGAGGTCCTCACGTTGAAAACAAGCCCATTGGCACCCTGGTAATGTTTAGGAGGATAGCTCATTTCACATTTTAGAGGTCACCAGACGGCAAAGACAGGCCAGTAACTGAACCTAGAAAAGGACATTGAGTCAACCGAGAGAAACGGAAAATGGCAAGTGCATGAAAGAGAGGAGACTCTTTTAGATCTTCTTGTTCCATTTTAGAGAGGCTTGGTTTAAAAGTAATATTAATATAGTGACTTTAGCTGTTCTCAACTTGTTATAAAAAAGCTCTAGACCTAGTAGCTCACACAATTTTCCCTGGGGCAATATCACTTCTCTTTGAAAAACAACTCTGAAAACATTTAAATATATATGCAGAGAAAAATGCCATTTTCTCCCTAAAATTACATTTATTTACAAGCATATCATGAAAAAAAAATAAAGAACTTTACTTTGTGTAGACATCTGGAATGGAATGCAGGAATTATCTTTTATATTCCACAAAATAATATACCAAATTATCTCCATTCACTCTCCATTTTCAGGCTGTATTCAACAGGCACATTATACAGGAAACATCAGCAGTTAGAGGGAAATTGTGGAGAAAGCAAGCCTGGAGTTCACATATGTGCAGACACAGAGCATGCTATGTGATCAGTAATGGCACAATGCATACTGGGGATATCTTTGTGTTAATGCTTCCACTGGAATAATTGAGAATGGCATTGTAATTTTTTTTTGAGACAGGGTCTCACTCTGTCACCCAGGCTGGAGTGCAGTGGCGTGATCATGGCTCACTGCAGCCTCAACCTCCCTGGGCTCAAGTGATCCTCCCACCTCAGCCTCCCAAGTAGCTGGGACTACAGGCACTTGCTACCACACCTAATTTTATTTTAAATTATTTGTTGTAGAGACGAGATCTCACTATGTTGCCCAGACTGGTCTCGAACTCCTTGGCTCAAGTCATCTTTCCACCTTGGCCTCCCAAAATGTTGGAACCATGAGCATGAGCTACCACGCCCAGCGAGAGATAAACTTGTGAAAGAAGAGTGTATGAGAATTTTTCAGAAAGAGAAATGAGGACATCATTCCTTTAATGAATGTTTTCTGAGTACTTACCGTGTGTCCCACACTGGGGTTACAAAGAAGCTTACTGTACATTGAATATAGAGAGTAAATAGGTAATTACAAGGTTATTTGATAGCAACAATAGAAGATGCCAAGATTTACTGAGTGCTAATTACTATGTTAAATTATTTTCTATCTTAAATGTTACAAAAACCTAGAGTGTTTTGTGAAGTTTACTATTTCTATTACCATGTCTATTACAATTATGATTGTTGTCCCATTGTACCGATGAGGAAACTGAGGCCCAAACAGTCTGAGTATGTCCCTAAGCTTACTCAGCTGGTAAGTAGAAGAGTGGACATTCAAAGCCAACTTTGTATGGCTTCAGAAGCTGTGCTTTAGCCTCTCTGTTACACTACCTGTGGGAGGGAAAGGAAGGGAAGGAACACAGAGTTCGGTGCCCTAACGTGGCCTTGACAGGGAAGGTGAGTGTCAAGGAATGCTTCTTTGAGAAAATGATTTGCTAGTGACTCCTTAGTCTTTTGTCTTCCATTAGGATTCATCTGTAATTTTTTTCAGCAAGGGAGGTCCAAAAGAAAAATCTCTGTTGGGCTTCTCATGAGAGACTGCACAGTCTGGTGGTGAAGAACACTGACACTAATCTAGATTGCTTAGGTAAACATTCACTCCCTACTTGGAGGCTATGCCACCTGAGGCAAGAGTCTGTAAAATAGAGCCAAAGATTTCTACATCATAGGTTTATTAGCAGTGTTGAATTAAATGAGCTTATTTCTGTAAGATATTTACACATAACACACAGTACATACCTAGTAAATACATTTGCAAAGGTTACAACACATAAAATAGCTATAGAGATTCTTCTTTGGGGTAATTAATAACAAATGACTTTGCTTAAGAATGCCTCCTTGCTCCAAAACTTTTTTCATCACTAGTGGAACATGAAGGTTATGGTGGCTAGTAGGGAGGAAGGCATTAAAATGAAATGGTTAAAGTCTAGTTATTGGGTTTTATGAAAAGAGCCTAGGATTTGGGTTCAGACATTCCTGGATTCAAATCCTGCCTCTGCCTCTTGGGTCTTGGACAGATCATTTAATAACTTTATTTTCAATTCCCTTATTGGTGAAATGAGAAAAATAACAACTCCTATAGTTAAATCAATGTTTTAAAATGACAGAGCTTGACAGAGTAGAGACTAAAACGTTAGCTGTTACAAATATTACAGCTTATTTGCCAAGCAATTTAGAAAAAGCTGATTTATTTCCCAGCTTCACTTTGCTACTATATATCAAGACTTATTATAGTAGTTGTAGTATTTTTGTAAATAGTATTAAAGTAGCTAAGACAGTGTGGTTTTGATGCAGGGAAAGACAAAGAAATGCGTGGATAGAAATGACAGCCCATTAAATAGCTGTTTCTTTGTTTATCAGATGTAGTAGTTGACTTATGTTCAGGGATCATTTACACTGATGAAAAACAAATTTGAACTGCTCTAGAGGTGAATTTTATTCCTCTTTTTGGCAGCTTAGCAGAAAGCTGGCTCAGCTGGATTGACCTAGTTTGCTAAAAGATAGCAAGACCCTTGCCTAGTGTCAGCATTCCAGGCTGGCAAGGCTCTTTCTAGGGCACCTGTGTTTTAAGACCTTGGTTTTAAGTATGCATAACCACTAGTATTGTTCCTGGACCCAGAGATCCCTTGGAATATATATAATATATATATATATGGAGTATATATATATAATATATATATGGAGTATATATATATAATATATATATGGAGTATATATATATAATATATATATATGGAGTATATATATATAATATATATATATGGAGTATATATATAATGTATATATATGGAGTATATATATATAATGTATATATATGGAGTATATATATATAATGTATATATATGGAGTATATATATATAATGTATATATATGGAGTATATATATATAATGTATATATGGAGTATATATATATAATGTATATATGGAGTATATATATAATGTATATATGGAGTATATATATATAATGTCTATATGGAGTATATATATAATATATATATGGAGTATATATATATAATATATATATGGAGTATATATATAATATATATATATATGGAGTATATATATATAATATATATATGGAGTATATATATATAATATATATATATGGAGTATATATATATAATATATATATATGGAGTATATATATATAATATATATATATGGAGTATATATATATAATATATATATGGAGTATATATAATATATATATGGAGTATATATATTATATATATGGAATATATATAATATATATATATGGAATATATATATATAATATATATATAATATATAATATATATGGAATATATATATAATATATATGGAATATATATAATATATATGTACTCAGATAAACTAAATATTCAAATATCTAGTTCTAACTAGTTACAGGACCAGTAAGTACTATACTATACTATACTATAACTATGTACTCTGATGTGGAAGCTGGACTTGTTCTCTCTTGGGGTACCTGCTGCCATGTGTCTAGCCTGCTGATCTGGGCCAACCCCGCTCTCTTGGAATCTTGGCCATTGTGTGATGACGACCTATGCCTGCCCTATGCTGCAGAATAATGACAGTGCAAGGCATACGTTCTTTTGCTTCTCTCCCTCTATATTTTTAAATTTTTCTCCAATAAATTCTATACTATGTTTGCACCATGTGGCACTACTGCTCTGTATCCATGACCCCTTTTCATGACACATAGCAAAAATATATATCTTTAAATCATACTCTAAGCTGCAAAGTGCTCTCGCTGTAAGTGGCATGATGACCTGAGACCAACCTCTGGTGAATAGTCACACTGAAAGAAATTGTGGGCAGAGTGTCCCACATTTCACTATTTAAATTATTTCTCTTTCTCCTCCCTACCTCCCCTCTTTTCTTTTCTTTTCTTTTCTTTTCACTGAGTAATTGTACTTGATTCATGATTCATGTAAGTTAAAGGCATATATGATTCAACTTTCCACTTTATTTTATGAGAGGTTTTGATGATTGCAGGGTAGCAACCCAAACTACATTTGGAAAGAAGTGGACAAGAGGTGAGTGCTGTCCTCTCCCTGGAGGCCTGGATGACAGCAGTGGTGATGGTGGTCACCGATAGAGTGCAGCTATGGACAGTGTAGTGGCAGGTTCACAAATCTCCAAGTCAAAGGCACCTTTTGGAAAAATCCTGAATAGGGCATGAGTGTCCCCGCTATACTCAGACATAGCCTTAGAGCAGCCTGGGGGAAGTGCGGTTTTGGCACAACTTTGCTGGTGAATCTAGTGGGGCAACAACTGGATGCATCACCCATGCTGTAGGCAGCAGGAGATCTGAGTGGTGTTCTTTCAACAACCACTGCAGCTCTAGGAAAACCCGATAAGATCTAGTCTCTGCTTCCTTCCATGCTACATCACCAGTCCTGCTTCCATGCTGGCCTTCTTGCTGCATTCTCAACACACCAAGTTTGCTCCTGCCTCATGGCCTTTCCAATGATCATTTCATCTACCTGAAAAATTCTTACCATAGATATCTGTATGTTTTGCTCCCTCAATTTCATTTTCTACTTTAAAAGTGCCCTTATTAGAGTTGCCGTCCCTGACTATTCTGTTCAAAGTAGCTCATATTCTCTGTTCCTTTCCACTCTCCTTGATTGCTCTGCATTGTGGTTTTCTATTTTCTGTATTTTCACTAGAATGTAAGCTTTATGAAAGGAGGACCTTACTTTTATTCTCTAATAAATGGCCTACACCTAGATAAATGTCTATCACATTGTAAGTGCTCGGTAAATATTTGCTGAATGAATAAATACTTGTGTTTTAATCAATCCACACAATCTCTCCGATTGAAAATAGTGCCCTTATATGTAAGGAGGGAGATCTATTACTTTAAGACATGTGCTGGAAAGATTTACTGTATTAGTTCATTTTCACACAACTATAAAGACATACCTGAGACTGGGAATTTATAAAGAAAATAAGTTTAATTGACTCATTTCCACATGGGTGGGGAGGCCTCAGGCAACTTACAATCATGACAGGAGAGGCATGTCTTACATGGAGGTAGGTGAGAGACAGCGTTTGTGAGCGCAGGAAAAACTATGATTTATAAAACAATCAGCTCTCGTGAGAATTCACTCACTACCATGGGAACTGCATGGGGGAAACCACTCCCACGATCCAATCACTTCCCTCCCGGGACATGTGGGGATTACAGTTCAATATGAGATTTGGATCAGGACAAAAAGCCTAACCATATCACATACTTTTGTAATCTGCTGAAGAATCTCTACCAGGGAGATGATAAAAGTTCTCACTAATTTTTAATTTCATGAGGCAAATCACTAGGCAATACTACTTCTTTATTTTTTAGTCTACTTCATTTATTTATAAAGTCTTAGACCCTAGTGAGCTTTTCTAACAACACAGCCCACTCCAGTCTCTAATTCAATATGAAGCCTTTCGTTTAGGTTTTAACACTATTGTGGTATGTTTTATTCATTATTGTGTGGTTATCCTCCAGATGCTATAACCCTTCAGTCACCATTTCTACTTCCCAGTACTTCATCTTTCATTCTTTTCATGACAAAAGTCATGTTTATCTTGCCTAATTTTTGTACTTTGGTGAATGCACTGGATTGCTAGTTTTCATGGGGTTCAAGGACTCCAATAATCAGTATCTTGTACTACTTTAATGACCACATGGAATGCAAGCCATTCTTTCAGATTGTGAGAGTCGAATGCAAGCCATTCTTTCAGATTGTGAGAGTCGATGTTAAATGGAACTCAATCTAAGCCTGTTTCTTTTGACTCACTGGATACCTCTTTCACACACCCAATCTGTTGCTGTTTGTCATTATTTCTTGTTTATATTCAGCTCACCCGTTTTCCATTTCTGTGAATGTGTATGCAGGCCAATTTTACTTCAACTTTAAAGTAGGATTTCATGAGATCCAATTAAGTATTTTTCTAATGCTCAAATATACAGTGTCCACTACAGGATTCTCCTTGTGCTCTAATTTTGTAATGAAACTGAAAGGAAATCAATCAGGTTTCTCTGGCATGAGTTAGTTGTTATAAACTCATGCTGTTGATTGCTTATTCTGTGTTCCTTTGGATTTTACAGAAATGTTTTTCAGTGTCCTTCCACTATTTTGATTACTAAACCCTGATCACACTCTTTGTTTGTTTTTTTTCAGGAAATCAGTAAAAGGCTTGATTTTTTCATATTTCTTTGTTCTGTCTCATTTTTTTTGTTTTAAAAATGACAATTAATGTGAAATGTATAAGGTGTTTTCCTGACAGATGTATGCATATTTACACTATTAATTACTTATAAAGTAGAAAGTTTCCCAAATAATTTTATTCCTAAAAATACAATATTACATAGGCAGGCCCTTAGAAGATAATACTCTGTCCTATAAAGTGAACCATGGTTTTAGATTTGGAAATTTATTAGTTTAATCATGAAGAAAGGACAGAGTATTAGTTTTTTCATCTGCTGTAACAAAGAACCACACACTTGGTGACTTAAAACAATAGACACTCTTTCATCATTCTGGAAGCCCTATATTAAAAATCAAAGTGTTAGCAGGGCTATGCTCCCTCTGAAACCTGTAAGAGAGAATCCTTCCTTGCCTCTTCCTATTTTCTGATACTTGGCAGCAATTCTTGACACTCCTTGCCTTGCAGCTGCATCACCCCAATCTCTGCCTCTGCCATTGCATGGTGTTCTCCCTGTCTCTCCTCTGTGTCTATCTAAACACCCTTCCCCTTTCTCTTATAACGAAACCAGTCGTTAGATTTAGGAATCACCATACCCAGTATGCCCTCATCTAAAGTTGGTTACATCTGCGAAGACCCTATTTACAAATAAGGTCACATTCACAGGTACCAGGGGTTAGAAGAAGTTAAACATATATTTTGGGGAGGATACGATTCCACTTCCTACAGCCAAGTTCCCAAGCCTCTGAATCTTTAGCCAGCCATTTCACTGAAAATATACCAAGAGGATGATATACACCGTGGTTGCCAACTCCTGTTTGCGCTCCAACTCTTGTGACCCAGCGAGGCCTAGATTAGAGGCAAGCTCTGCAACCTGTCTATTTTTACTTTAATATTAATTGAGTTCCAACCTCATTCTAAAAGAGACTAAGAGTTAAAATCCAAAGAGGCAACATATTCCCCAAATGGCAATGGTAGAGACAGAAAGATAAAGGGAATGAATTCCTCAAAAGAACTGCATATCAAACCAAGATCTTTCAGTGCCTATGCTTTCCCTGCTGAAAGTTCCACTTCCACTGTGGCTAATTAAAAGTTGGATATTTATCAGCTGATTAGATGAAAGAAATGAGCTCTCTGTAGAGGTTGAATGCCTCAAATATTCCTCAGAGGCAATAATTTTGTCTTAATTATTTTGTAACTTAAAATAAAAGATTGCTTAAATCAGTGATGTGCTGGTAAGCTGGGTCTATTTTCTTAAAAAAGCTCTGATTTATAGCATTTATCAATTCACATGGTATGAATAAATATTCCCACCATGGTCAATCTCATGATACCAATGGTTTAACAACTGGCTTGAAAAACCACTGAAAATTGTCAACTAGATCTTTAGAACCAGTGTGAGTTGGTTCCAGCACTCGACTGAATCAGTTCATCAATTTGCTGCATGACAATTCAGAAGAGCCTGCAATGACATGGAAAGTATAGACGGGAATATGGTCACATTATGGTTTGGAATCTGGAACATATGTAAAAGGAAGCATTCACTATCACAAAAACGTTAAGTAATTTTTATTTGTTAAAAGCTAATTAAATCAGCCGGGCACAGTGGCTCACGCCCGTAATCCCAGCACTTTGGGAGGCCAAGGCGGGCGGATCACGAGGTCAGGAGTTTGAGACCAGCCTGACCAAAATGGTGAAACCCCATCTCTAAGAAAAATACAAAAATTAGCCGGGAGTGGTGGCATGCACCTGTAATCCCAGCTACTCAGGAGGCTGAGGCAGGATAATCGCTTGAACCCCGGAGGCAGAGGTTGCAGCAAGCCGAGATCATACCACTGCACTCCAGCCTGGTTGACAGAGCAAGACTCCATCTTTAAAAAAAAAAAAAAAAAAAAAAAAGCTAATTAAATCAACAAAATGATAGCATATGTAAAATTGTCAGCTATTTCAAAACTTATAATCTTCAATGTTGGTGAAGATACATGACATGGGTTATACTTACACATGGCTGGTGGATGTTTAAATTGATATAAACTTAATGAAAATAATTAACTTTTACAAGAAGCTTGACAAACTTTATGTTCTTTTATGTTGTAATTTTTTGTTATGATACTTCTAATTTTTTTTTGTTAAAAAAAGATATCAAGCTCTTTAAGGTACTTAAGTCCCTTCTAACTGTCTCCCCAACTTCACCCTCTTCCTCTTCCCTTTCATATACACTCCAACCATACTTCCCTTCTAGCATTTTTCAAACATAGACAAGAACCTTCCCTACTTTGCACTTTCCATTTTCTCTCCTGCCCTTTGTTCCTGCATGGCAGTTGCATGGCCAACTTCCTCGTTTAATTCAGGTCTTATCAAATATTATCGTTTAGACAGATACCTCTGCCTAAAACAGTACTGCCTCTATCATGCTGTATTCTTTTGCTCTGAAGTAGTTTTCCTTGTAGTACTTATTACTTTACTTTGTATTTTTTTAATTGTTGTTTTGTTTTTTTTTCTGTCTCCTCCTACTATATAGGCTCCACAAGGCAGGGATCATGTTTATCTCTTTTACTGTGGAATTGCCATCCCTAGAACAGTGGCTATCATGCAGTAGGCACTCAATAAATATTTGTTGAAACAAGAAATGAATGAATAAGTACACGAATGAATCTCAAAAATCTTTTATTTACAAATATTTCCATTACTTTTTTTTCTTAGAATCTGCTTACTATTTTCTTGTAAGTATGTACCACAACTTATTTAATCAATCCTCTATTAAAAGATATTTAGGTCATTTTAAGTGTTCCCTCTTGTATTAAATATCCTTGTATGTACATCTTTATACACCTGCATATCTATAGGCTAAATACCTAGAGCTAGAATTTCTGGGTTAAACAATATATACTTAAAATATCAGTAGATATTTCCAAATTGCCCTCAGAAAGAGACATATGGCCCTGTTACCTTACAGGAGCATGAAAATAAAAATTAAAAAAAGAGTTAAGTGGATTTGTATTCTTTAACTGACTACAAAAAACTTTTATAAAATCCTATTTCTGATTTTTGAAAGAAAATTGGTTTACAAACAGGGCTGGATAGATATTTAAAATTCTTGAAAAATATAGGTAATATAGATATTTCAAACCAAAAGCCAGCCTCAGGCTTGATGAAGAAAGACAAGAAGAATTTATGTCTATATTAAGAACAAGACAAAGATGCTCACCAAAGACAAAAGTGTTGGATATTTCAAGACTTTGGAGAAGGTTGATGGATGAGGCATGAGATGATGAGTTGGGTAATCAGGGTCAACAGGGCATTTCAGATACAGATGTGCAGTTGTATACTGCACAAGGGTACACATATAAGAGAATACATTCACATGATAAACATCACAGATACAGATGTGCAGTTGTATACTGCACAAGGGTACACATATAAGAGAATACATTCACATAATAAACATCACAGATTTGTGTATTTTATATGAATTTTTTTTTTGGTGATAGTGGGAAACCATATTGTTCTTAGAAAATCAGGATATTATGTCAGGTTTGTGAGGGATGAAAGGAAACTGTCTTGAGGAAGAATGCCTTTCCCTAATCTTCTCAAAAGTAGAAAATGGGCAAGTTTTGGCTCTAAAAGACAGCATCAAACATGGCCTGGCTCAGGCCATCAATTTTATCAGGAGCTAAGTGGATCCAAGCTAGAAACTGACCACCTGTTGTCACTGGGTGAGCGCTGTATGTGGCCTGGACTGATGTGCCCCAAGATCAGTTTCCTCATTGTAGTCTGGTGAGGATCATCCATTGACAGTTGTTTGTCAATTGACAGCTAAAGATTATCTGGCAGAAGCGAGGCCTGCCCAACCTCTGAGATTTCTTGAGACCTATGACTTTGCCTACCCAGAGCTTACTCAAGCCTCTTTAGAGGGTGGGATTCCTGACTTGAAAGATGGTGGTATGGGAAGAAAACTTCCCAGGACTTATTTCCAGGTGAGACAGATAGTCATATGTATATATACCTGTGTCATAATATTGTTTGATAAATTCAAGGAATTATAAATACATGGTATCCAGGAATAGAATTCTCTACAATGAATCCAGTTTCTTCAAAAGAAAAGAAAGATTTTAGAAATAGAAGAAACTGATGACCAGAATAATAGAAATGAAAATTGGGTCAGATTGGAATGAAGATGAACATAATTCAACACACGAATTCCCTATTTTTAAACCAAAATGGCCATTATTGTCCACATCTCCAAGTCTCTCTTGCTTATCAACTATCTGTACAACAAATGACTGATTGGTACTATACTGGGGCAAGTTGTCACCACGGGGAAGGAGAGGCATCTCTGGAGCTCTGAATTTCCAGATACATGGGCCCAATGCCACATGGAAAAAAAAATCTGTCTCAATTTTTGGTTGTTCCCAGAACAGACCAATTCCCTTATTTAATCTGTGCTTTAGCATGCATTTCTCCACCTAAAAATATTGTAAGTGATACTAGCCCTGTCTATAAGAGCCTTTTAAAACCACATCATATTTATATTATTTATTTGCTATTCCCATTTAATGCTTTCATGTAACATTAGAAAGCATTTTATTTTTAAATGCATTTAGAAAAATATGTAAAAGGATGACAAAATGATTTAAAGGCATAATCTTGAACTGAAATTGAAAATAAAAGAAGTTATGACCTGAGAGAGTACGAGTCAAGTGCTAAAAAAGGTCTTAGATTTTTTTTTTACTCTCCATTTAACAAGTATTTATTAGGTACCACATATATTAAGAATTTTGTGAGATATTATAAAAGGTAGACAAGAAATGGCCCAAAGTTGATGAGAAGCTTATTGTTCAATAAGGAGATGAGACTTGCTTGCATGCAAATAACAAGGGAGTCAGGGGTTAAATAACAAAGCACCAACAGGTTGCCTGTGCCACAGTGAGTCTGCAAGCACAGCCTGCCATGTTACAAAATAATTCAAAGTCAATGGAAATGTAGAAAAGATTTCTTGGAAGGAGCAGAATTCGAGCTATATTTTAGGCTAGGCAGTATTCTTTCAATTCATTAAGCAACATAAGCAGTGACTTTCAGAGTGAAAATAAGCAGGAACTCCATTTCCAAAACAACCAACTCAAATGAAACAGATGATTCATGTTGTTCAAAAAGTTTGGATAGTTAGGAGGGAGAGGATGGAGGGAGTATTGGAGGTGCCAGATTATGGGGTGACTTAAAATCTGGCCATAGACACATGTCTTAACTCTGCACACAATGGGAAATTATTGCCAGTTGTATTAGTCAGGCTTCTCTAGAGAAACAAAACCCATAGGAGATACACACACACACACACACACACACAGTCATATACTGCATAATGATGTTTTGGTCAATGATGAACCACACATACAAACTTGGTCCCATAAAGTTATAATATTATATCTTTACTGTACCTTTTCTACATTTAGATACATAAAAACATTTATCCCATGTTACAGTTGCCTACAATATTCAGTACAGTAACATGCTGTACAGGTTTTTAGACTGGGAGAAATAGGCTATAACTATATAACCTAGATTTGTAGTAGGGCCTATACCATCTAGGTTTGCATAAGTACATTCTATGGTGTTTGCACAATGACAAAATCACCTAACAACACATTTGTCAGAACATATCCTTATCATTAAAGGATGTGCAACTGTATATACATACATGAAATTTATTATAAGGAATTGGATTAAATTGCCATCTGGACAGTGGAGACCCGGGAAAGCTGGTGATATACATTCCAATCCAAATCCAAAGACCAAAGAACCAGAAGCACTAATGGTTTAAGTTTTAATCTAAAGGGAGGAGAAGACCAATGTCTCAGCTCAAGCAGTAGGGTAGAGGGGGCTAATTCAAACTTTCTCTGCCTTTTTGCTCTATTCAGGTCCTCAACAGATTGGATGAGGTTAACCTGCATTGCAGAGGGCCCTCTGCTTTACTCAGTCTACCAATTCAAATGTCAATCTTTCCTAGAAACATGAATCTCAAAGCATTCGGTGTTTGACTTGGAAATGAAGAGGTGAAGCCAACGTTTTATGCCTGGATGAAGCATTAGCAAAAATGAGAATTTTTTTGAGGGAAAAACCTGGTTTCAGAGGAAGATGATTTGGATCGATTTTGCACACTAAATTTCTCATATTCAAGTCCAGATTTAGGCAACTGGAGATGTAGAGCTTGGGTCTGAAGTCGTCACTGAGTGTTATGCCATGGTGAGCACAAGAGGTAAAGGTCCTTTGGCCTCCCAGATGACCCAAAATTATATAAAGTCTGATCAGTGGCTAGAGGCATTTTTATGTATATAGTAGTCAAATACGTAAAGTTTTAATACACTTTAGAGCCTATAGTTCTCAGAGCATAGTGGAACCAAGGAGAAAGGATCATAAAACAGAGCATCCAAGAAGTAAAAATGGAGAAACAGAAGATGATAGAGGGTCAAAGGAAAGATAGCTCCTAAGGCAAACCTTGCTGGAGGTGGCGGTGGTGGTAGGTCAGGGACCTCTGATAGGAATTCGAAGTAGAACAACCGGGAGGAGCAGGGAGAGCAGTAAGAAGAACAAATAGACCTGAGTTGAAAGAGGCGGCTGGAAAAACATAGTTTTTTGAAGGTAATCAAGTTGCTGACCACTTTCATAATGAAAATTAAGTAATACAATATACCATCTGATGTTAAGTGTTTATAATTCTTAGCTATTATTATTAGTAGTAGTAAGTTTACTTTATTTTATTTTATTTTATTTTATTTTATTTTATTTTATTTTATTTTATTTTATTTTATTGTACTTTAAGTTCTGGGATACATGTGCAGGATGTTCAGGTTTGTTACATAGGTATACATGTGCCATGGTTGTTTGCTACACCAGTTAACCCATCATTTAGGTTTTAAGCCCTGAATGCATTAGGTATTTGTCCTAATGCTCTCCCTCCCCTTTCCCCCCACCCCCTGACAGGCCCCAGTGTGTGATTTTCCCCTCCTTGTGCCCATGTGTTCTAATTGTTCACTCCCACTTATGAGTGAGAACATATGATGTTTGGTTTTCTGTTCCTGTGGTTAGTTTGCTGAGGATGATGGTTTCCAGCTTCACTCATGTTCCTGCAAAGGAAATGAACTCATTCTTTTTTATGGCTGCATAGTATTCCATGGTGTATATGTGCCACATTTTCTTTATCCAATCTATCATTGATAGGCATTTGTGTTGGTTCCAAGTGTTTGCTATTATAAATAGTGCTGCAATAAACATACGTGTGCATGTGTCTTTATAGCAGAATGATTTATAATCCTTTGGGCATATACCTAGTAATGGGGTTGCTGAGTCAAATGATTTTCTAGTTCTAGATCCTTGAGGAATCACCACACTGTCTTCCACAATGGTTGAACTAACTTACACTCCCACCAACAGTGTAAAAGCGTTCCTATTTCTCCACAGCCTCGCCAACATCTGTTGTTTCCTGACTTTTTAATAATCGCCATTCTAACTGGAATGAGATGGTATCTCATTGTGGTTTTTATTTTGCATTTCTCTGATGACCAGTGATGATGAGCCACATAAATGTCTTCTTTTGAGAAGTGTCTGTTCATATCCTTCAGCTACTTTTTGATGGGGTTGTTTGTTTTTTTTCTTGTAAATTTATTCTAGTTCCCTGTAGATTCTGGGTATTAGACCTTTGTTAGATGGGTAGCTTGCAAAAATTTTCTCCCATTCTGTAGGTTGCCCATTCATTCTGATGATAGTTTCTTTTGCTGTGCAGAAGCTCTTTAGTTTGATTAGATCCCATTTGTAAATTCTGGCTTTTGCTGCATTTCCTTTTGGTGTTTTAGTTGTGGAGTCTTTGCCCATGCCTATGTCCTGAATGGTATTGCCTAGATTTTCTTCTAGGGTTTTTATGGCTTTGGGTTTTTCATTTAAGTCGTTAATCCATCTTGAGTTAATTTTCTTATAAGGTGTAAGGAAGGGGTCCAGTTTCAGTTTTCTGCATATGACTAGCCAGTTTTCCCAGCACCATGTATTAAATAGGGAATCTTTTCCCCATTTCTTGTTTTTGTCAGGTTTGTTGAAAATCAGATGGTTGTAGATGTGTGGTGTTGTTTCTGAGGTCACTATCCTGTTCCATCATCGGTCTATATATCTGTTTCAATACCAGTGCCATGCTGTTTTGGTGACAGGAGCCTTGTCATATAGTTTGAAGTCAGGTAGCGTGATGCCTCCAGCTTTGTTCTTTTTGCTTAGGATTGTCTTGGCAATGCAAGCTCTTTTTTTGTTCCATATGAAATTTAAAGTAGTTTTTTTCCTATGTCTGCAAGGAAAGTCACTGACAGCTTGATGGGAATAGCACTGAATCTATAAATTACTCCTGGCAGTTTCACCATTTTCACAATATTGATTCTTCCTATCCATAAGCATGGAATTCTTTTCCATTTGTTTGTGTCGTCTCTTATTTCCTTGAATAGTGGTTTGTAGTTCTGCTTAAACAGGTCCTTCACGTCCCTTGTAAGTTGTATTCCTAGGTATTTTATTCTCTTTGCAGCAATTGTGAATGGGAGTTCATTCATATTTGGCTCTCTGCCTATCTATTGTTGATGTGTAGGAATGCTTGTGATTTTTGCACATTGATTTTGTATCCTGAGAATTTGCTGAAGTTGCTTATTAGCTTAAGAAGTTTTTGGACCAAGACGATAGGGTTTTCTGAATATAAAATCATGTCCCCTGCAAACAGAAACAATTTGACTTTCTCCGTTCCCATTTGAATACGCTTTATTTCTTTCTCTTGCCTGATTGCCCTAACCAGAACTTCCAATACTGTGTTGAATAGGAGTGGTAAGAGAGGGCATCCTTGTCTTGTGCCTGTTTTCAAAGGGAATGCTTCCAGCTTTAGCCCATTCCATATGATATAGGCTGTTGGTTTGTCATCATTAGTTCTTATTATTTTGAGATATGTTTCATCAATACCTAGTTTATTGAGAGTTTTCAGTATGAAGGGATGATGAATTTTATCAAAGGCTTTTTCTGCTACTATTGAGATAATCATGTGGTTTTTGCCATTGGTTCTGTTTATGTGTTGGATTACATTTATTGATTTGCATATGTTGAGCCAGCCTTGCATTCCAGGGATGAAGCCGACTTCACTGTGGTGGATAAGCTTTTTGATGTGCTGCTGGATTCAGTTTGCTAGTATTTCATTTAGGATTTTCATGTCAATGTTTATCAGGGATATTGGCCTGAAATTTTCTTTTTTTGCTGTGTGTCTGCCAGGTTTTAGTATCAGGATTATGCTGGTTCACAAAACGAGTTAAGAAGGAGGTCCTCTTTTTCTATTGTTTGGAATAGGGAGGAGGAATGGTACCTGCTCCTTTTTGTACCTCTGGTAGAAATTACTGTGAATCCGTCTGGTCCTGGGCTTTTTTTGATTGGTAGGCTATTAATTGCTGCCTCAATTTCAAAACTTGTTATTGGTCTATTCAGGGATTCGACTTCTTCCTGGTTTAGTCTTGGGAGGGTATATTTGTCCAGGAATTTACCCACTACTTCTAGATTTTCTAGTTTATCTGCATAGAAGTGTTTATAGTATTCTCTGATGGTAGTTTGTTTTTCTGTGGGATCAGTGGTGACATCCCCTTGATCTTGTTTTTTATTGTGTCTGATTCTTCTCTCTTTTCTTCTTTATTAGTCTAACTAGTGGTTCATCTATTTTGTTAATCTTTTCAAAAAAAACAGCTCCTGGATTGATTGATTTTTTTTGGAAGCATTTTGTGTCTCTATCTCCTTCAGTTCTACTCTAATTTTAGTTATTTCTGGTCTTCTACCAGTTTTTAAATTTGTTTGCCTTGCTTCTTTAGTTCTTTTCATTGTGATGTTAGGATGTTGATTTTAGATCTTTCCAGCTTTTTGTTGTAGCCATTTAGTGCTATAGATTTCCCTCTCAACATTGCTTTAGCTGTGTCCCAGAGATTCTGGTACATTGTCTCCTTGTTCTCATTGGTTTCAAATAACTTATTTATTTCTGCCTTAATTTTGTTATTTACCCAGTAGTCATTCAGAAGCAGGTTGTTCAATATTCATGTAGTTGTGTGGTTTTGAGTGAGTTTCTTAATCCTAAGTTCTAATTTGATTGCACTGTGGTCTGAGAGACTGTTTGTTATAATTTCCATTCTTTTGCATTTGCCGAGGAGTGTTTTACTCTCAATTATGTGGTCGATTTTAGAATATGTGCTATGTGGCACTGAGAAGAATGTATATTCTGTTGATTTGTGGTGGAGAGTTCTGTAGATGTCCATTAGGCCCACTTGGTCTAGAGCTGAGTTCAAGTCCTGAATATCCTTGTTAATTTTCTGTCTTGTTGATCTGTCTAATATTGACAGTGGGGTGTTAAAGTCTCCCACTATTATTGTGTGGGAGTCTAAGTCTCTTTGTAGGTCTCTGAGAACTTGTTTTATGAATCTGGGTGCTCTTGAATTGGGTCTTGACTCTTTTTCCAATTTGCCTATCTATGTCTTTTAATTAGGGCATTAACCCATTTACATTTAAGGTTAATGTTGTTTTGTGTGAATTCGATCCCATCATCATGTTGCTAGCTGGTTATTTTGTACATTAGTTGAGGCAGTTTCTTCATAGTGTCATTGGTCTTTATATTTTGGTGTGTTTTTGCAGTGGGTGGTACCAGTTTTTCCCTTCCATATTTAGTGCTTCCTTCAGGATCTCTTGTAAGACAGGCCTGGTGGTGACAAAATCCCTCATCATTTGCTTCCCTGTAAAGGATTTTATTTCTCCTTTGCTTAAGAAGTTTAGTTTGGTAGATATGAAATTCTGGGTTGAAATTTCTTTTCTTTAAGAGTGTTGAATATTAGCCCCCACTCTCCTGTGGCTTGTAGGGCTTCTGCAGAGAGATCCACTCTTAGTCTAATGGGCTTCCTTTTATAGGTAGTCTGACCTTTCTTTCTGGCTGCCCTTAACATTTTTTCCTTCATTTCAACCTTGGAGAATCTGATGATTATGTGTCTTTTGGTTGCTCTTCTCAAGGAGTATCTTAGTGGTGTTCTCTGTATTTCCTGAATTTGAGTGTTGGCCTGTGTTGCTAGGTTGGGGAAATTCTCCTGGATAATAAACTGAAGTGTGTTTTCCAACTTGATTCCATTGTCCTCATCACTTTCAGGTACACCAATCAATGTAGGTTTTGTCTTTCCACCTAGTCCCATATTTATTGGAGGCTTTTTTTTCCTTTTCATTCTTTTTTCTCTAATCTTGTCTTCATGCCTTATTTCAGTAAGTTGATCTTCAATCTCAGATATCTTTTCTTCCGCTTGATCTATTCAGCTATTGATACTTGTGTATACTTCACGAAGTTCTAGTGCTGTGTTTTTCAGCTCCATTAGGTCATTTATGTTCCTCTCTAAACTGGTTATTCTAGTTAGCAGTTCCTATAACCTTTTATCAAGGTTTTTAGCTTCCTTGCATTGTGTTAGAACATGCTCTTTTAGCTCAGGGGAGTTTGTTATTACCCACTTTCTGAAGCCTACTTCTGTCAAATTTGTCAATCTCGTTCTCTGTCCAGTTTTGTGCCCTTGCTGGAGAGGAATTGCGATAATTTGGAGGAGAAGATACATTCTGGTTTTTGGAATTTTCAGCACTTTTCACTTTTTTTCCTCATCTTCATGTATTTATCTACCTTTGATCTTTGAGGCTGATGACCTTTGGATGGGCTTTTTGTATGGGGGTCCTTTATGTTGATGTCGATGTTGTTGCTTTCTGTTTGTTAGTTTTTCCTCCTAACAGTCAGGCTCCTCTTCTGCAGGTCTGCTTCATTTTGTTGGAGTTCCACTCCAGACCCTGTTTACTTGGATATCACCAGTGGAGGCTGCAGTACAGCAAAGATTGCAGCCTGCTTCTTCCTCTGGAAGCTTCGTCCTAGAGGGGCACTGGCCTGATGCAAGCTGGAGGTCTCCTGTATGAGGTGTCTGTCAACCCCTGTTGGGAAGTTTTTCCCAGTCAGGAGGCACAGGGGTGAGGGACCCACTTGAAGAGGCAGTCTGTCCCTTAGCAGAGCTGGTGTGCTGTGCTGGGAGAATCTCTCTTGTCAGGATCAGCTGCTCTCTGCAGAGCTAGCAGGAAGGAACGATTAAATCTGCTGAAGCTGCACCCACAGCCACCCCTTCCCCAAGGTGCTCTGTCCCAGGAAGATGGGGGTTTTGTCTGTAAGCCCCTGACTGGGGCTGTTACCTTTCCTTCAGAGATGCCTGCCTAGTGAGGAGGAATCTAGAGAAACAGTCTGGCCACAGTTGCTTTGATGCACCCAGTCCAGACCTCCTTAGCACTGTCAGGGGAAAACCGCCTACTAAAGCCTCAGTAATGGCAGACATCCTTCCCCCACTAAACTTGATAGTCCCAGGTCACTTCAGACTGCTGTGTTGGCAGTGAGAATTTCAAGCCAGTGGCTCTTAGCTTGCTGGGTTCCGTGGGAGTAGGAACCGCTCAGCGAGACCACTTGGCTCCCTGGCTTCAGCCCCCTTTCCAGAGGAGTGAATGGTTCTTTCTCACTGGTATTCCAGGTGCCACTGGGGTATGAAGAAATGCTCCTGCAGCTAGCTCGATGTCTGCCAAAACAGCCACCCAGTTTTGTGCTTTAAACCCAGGGCCCTGATGGTATAGGCACACAAGGGAATCTCCTGATCTGCAGACTGCAAAAACTGTCAGAAAAGTGTAGTAACCCGGCGGAGTAGCCCAGTCCCTCATGGCTTCCCTTGGGTAGGGGGAGGTAGGGCCCTGGCTCCTTGCGCTTCCCAGGTGAAGCGATGCCCCATCCTGCTTCTGCTTGCCTCCATGGGCTGCACCCACTGCTTAACCATTCCCAGTGAGATGAACCAGATACCTCAGTTGGAAACGCAGAAGTCACCCACCTTCTGCATTGGTCTCGCTGGGAGCTGCAGACCAGAGCTATTCCTATTTGGCCATCTTAGCCCCTCCCCCCAATGTTACTTTTAAAAATGTAATTGTTATCCTTTTTCCTCATCTGGTGTAGTTTCAGTTTCTAGTCTGAGTCCTTCCCTAAACTGAGTCTCTTGAAACCTAGGAACCTGCCTTCTTCCTGATCCTTGAAATGAAAACTAAATACATGCTTGGCTATAGCAGACCATCAATCTTACCTATAGAATAAATATAAATAAAGATGCAGGAAGAAAGGAAGGAAGGAAGGAAATAAGTAAGTATTCTAGGTCAGAATACTCCATTTAAGAAACTATTTAGCCAGATGACATAATCTAATTGTAAATCATTGAAAGCATAAAAACACTTTCATTCAGTAAACCTAGTAGATTTGAATCAGGAAAATTCTGTATATGTGCTCTCAAAGACTTTATATTGTAAAATTAGTTAAAGCTCCAGCATAAGACCTCTTTATCAAAGATTAAATTGTGGTCTGAGTAGGATCCTGCCTCTTATACAAAGTGTATATAACATCTACTTCTAAGAAAAAAGAAGCTAGGCCAGGCGTGGTGGCTCAAGCCTGTAATCCCAGCACTTTGGGAGGCCAAGGCAGGTGGATCGCTTGAGCCCGGGAGTTTGAGACCAGCCTAGGCAACATGGTGAAATGCCATCTCTACTAAAAATACAAAAAAATTAGCCAGTGTGGTGGTGTGTGCCTGTAATCCTGGCCACTCTGGAGGCTAGGGCAGGAGAATTGCTTAAACCCGGTGTGTCCGGAATTGGTGGGTTCTTGGTCTCACTGACTTCAAGAATGAAGCCATGGACCCTCGCGGTGAGTGTTACAGTTCTTAAAGGCAGCGTGTCCGGAGTTTGTTCCTTCTGATGTTCGGATGTGTTCGGAGTTTCTTCCTTCTGGTGGGGTTTGTGGTCTTGCCGGCTCAGGAGTGAAGCTGCAGACCTTCGCAGTGAGTGTTACAGCTCTTAAGGCGGCGCATCTGGAGTTGCTCATTCCTCCTGGTGGGTTCGTGGTCTCGCTGGCTTCAGGAGTGAAGCTGCAGACCTTCGCAGTGAGTGTTACAGCTCATAAAGGCGGTGTGGACCCAAAGAGTGAGCAGCAGCAAGATTTATTGCAAAGAGCGAAATAACAAAGCTTCCACAGTGTGGAAGGGGACCCAAGTGGGTTGCCACTGCTGGCTCCGGCAGCCTGCTTTTATTTTCTTATCTGGCCCCACCCACATCCTGCTGATTGGTAGAGCCAAGTGGTCTGTTTTGACAGCGCGCTGATTGCTGCGTTTACAATCCCTGAGCTAGACACAAAGGTTCTCCACCTCCCCACCAGATTAGCTAGATACACAGTGTGGATACAAAGGTTCTCCAAGTCCCCACCAGAGTAGCTAGATACAGAGTGGTGATTGGTGCATTCACAAACCCTGAGCTAGACACAGGGTGCTGATTGGTGTGTTTACAAACCTTGAGCTAGATACAGAGTGCCAATTGGTGTATTTACAATCCCTGAGCTAGACACAAAGGTTCTCCACCTCCCCACCAGAGTAGCTAGATACAGAGTGTCCATTGGTGCATTCACAAACCCTGAGCTAGACACAGGGTGCTGATTGGTGTGTTTACAAACCTTGAGCTAGATACAAAGTGCGGATTGGTCTATTTACAATCCCTTAGCTAGACATAAAGGTTCTCCACGTCCCCACCAGACTCAGGAGCCCAGCTGGCTTCACCCAGTGGATCCCGCACCTGGGCTGCAGGTGGAGCTGCTTGCCAGTCCTGTGCCGTGGGCCCGCACTCCTCAGCCCTTGGGTGGTCGATGGGACTGGGCACCTTGGAGCAGGGGGCGGCGCTCGTCGGGGAGGCTCCGGTGGCACAGGAGACCACGGAGTGGGAGGGGAGGCTCAGGCATGGCGGGCTGCAGGTCCTGAGCCCTGCCCCGTGGGAAGGCAGCTAAGGCCAGGCGAGAAATTGAGCACAGCAGCTACTGGTCCAGGTGCTAAGCCCCTCACTGCCCAGGGCTGGTGGGGCCAGCCGGCCACTCCGAGTGCGGGGTCCGCCGAGCCCACGCCCACCCAGAACTGGCGCTGGCCGGCAAGCACCGTGGGCAGCCCTGGTTCCCACCCACGCCTCTCCCTCCACACCTCCCCGCAAGCTGAGGGAGCTGGCTCCGCCTTGGCCAGCCCAGAAAGGGGCTCCCACAGTGCAGCTGCGGGCTGAAGGGCTCCTCAAGTGCCGCCAAAGTGGGAAACCAGGCAGAGGAGGCGCCGAGAGCGAGGGAGGGCTGTGAGGACTGCCAGCACGCTGTCACCTCTCACCGGGAGGCCAAAGTTTCAGTGAGCCTGAAATTGAGCCCCTGAACTGCAGCCTGGGTGACAGAGCAAGGCTCCATCTAAAAAAAAAGAAGCTAAACTTAAATGTGGAATGTGGCTCCCCTAGTGTCATGTTATCATAGCATCATTTATAATGGAAGATTGAACAAAGAACATTATCTTCAGCATACTTTCCTTTCTTAAACAGTGGAGCAAATACAAATCGTTCCTTAGTATGCACCAAGATTCCTGGATCTCCTTTTGGGTGCATGTACTCTTAAAATTAGGTGTGGCCATGGGACTTGCTTTGGCCAATGACATGTAAGTGAAATTGATGAAGATGACTTCTAGACCTGAGTATTTAATGGTTGGGAACATGTTCTGCATGCTCTCATCTATGCCCTGATACATCCTGAAGCATTGCATTGAGAAAGCAGCACCCTAAGATGATGGGGCCTTTATCATTCTCTGTCCCTGAGCACATATGATAGCAGCATACCCTGCTGATCCCCACTGGACATAGTGTGAATAAGAAATAAATGCTTTCAACCACTGTGGTTTCTGTGGTTGGTTGTTACCCCAATATAACTGGCCTATCCTGACTGACAAAGTCCCTCTATTAAAAAAAGAAAGTTTTTTTTTCCTGTAATTCTAACATTGCCAGAGAAAAGTTACTATATATTTATGCTATTGCCTTGATATAGACAAAGTTAAAAAATACTAAAAACTAAAAGGTTTATAGATCTTTCCTTTCACAGCTGAAGGATTAAAGCTGCATTTCATAATTTGTTTTGTTTTTTCTACTCCACTGATACCAACTGTGTCTCTGTATTTTTAGTATGCCTAAGGGAAATTATTGATAGTTCTGCTTTTACTATTTTATATCTTGAGAAAGGTGATTTATTTTATTTCATATTTATTTGCTCTAGTTTCAATATTAAGAAAAGAATATGAAGATCCATGACATGCAAAGAGAGGAAGAGTTGTTTTATTCCAATACAGAAGGAAAAAGCCTATCTATTTTTTTTGTTGTTGTTGTTTTTAAAGATTGAAGTCACGAAAAAATGATAGGAAAACCCGACCTGTTTACCAGACCATGTTTGATACATATTATTCTTTATTTCCATAAAATCTTTTAAATGTTCATTTTGCATGCAAATGCATAATGCTTTTTTTTTCCACTCATTCTCACACACATCTTGGAATCCCCTGTGAGCGATCAGCCTGGGAGAACAACCCTTTAAGATTCTGCTGTCTCTATTCATTGCATATACTGTAGCTCTGTACGTGTTTATTTTGCTAGTTATATGTGTTCAGGCAGGAATTCAAATATGTGATTTTCATTCTTGCTTTCCAAGGGAATTCTCCTGAGGGGAGAAAAACAATGTACGTGTTTCTCTTTTTATTTGACAAAACCAAAAACAATCCTGGATTTAGACCCTTACAAGGAAATATGTTCTACACAAAGTAAAAGCAAAAGACTGTCTTTGTTTCTCTTCCAGCTTTGAATCTAACCTGCTTTTATTAAGAGAGAAGATAGACAGCATAGCCTTAATTCTAAAACCAAGAGGTCTTTCCTGCTCCATTACCAGGCAGAAAGGACAGAGCATTTACAGACAAGTGACATTTCTTTACAGAGGAATGATGCCTTAACATGATCAGACTTTGTGTCTGAGAATCACTCATACAATCCTCTCATGTTAGGGCTCAGGTATGTAAAGCAAGCATGGCATCGAGGGCAGGACATTCTTAAAATGTTTAAAGGGGAAAAGAAATAAATAGTTTAATAACCAGTTTAGGGGAAAATGTTGTGACTTGTGGAGAAATATCCTACTTAAAGTTGGAGCTCTAATAAGGTTTCCTGGACCCATAAGTGCATGAAGTTCATAAAAATGTCCCCACCAACCAATTATGATTACTCTGTGCCTTTAATTATTTTTCAACTGATGTGGAACTCAAGATATTATCAGCTTCTGCTTTGCTGAGTTAGACAGCTGATCAATACAGGATAAGACAGAGCTTGAACAAAAAAATTCAGAATGATGAATAGAGAATGCTGCTTGAAAAAATTTTAAAATTTTTTGATATGGTCTTTGTTGGACATTTCCTCCTCTTATCTGCTTGTGTTTTCACTTTCAAGTTGATAACTCCTAGAGTGAGTTGAAACACGGTGATGTTTCTGCCATTCTCTTCGGAGTTCATTGTGACTTTTTTTTTTATCATCAGCAGAAATAGAGGAAGACTGAATTAAACAGGAGCTGCAGAACTTGCGAGTGCGATAACAATACAAATGGATTTTCTCTAACAGAGAAAAACAGCTGTCTCCATTATTTGAATGCTTCACCTTTCTCCATTCCATTAATTGGGTCTTTGATCACAAGCTGAGGTGGAGAGGCCCTGATAAGGAATAGGTTATTAGTAAAGCAGCCTAAAGGAATGAATTGGGCCCGGTACTTGCTGCAGAAGATGAGATAAACTCATAATGCCTGTGTATGTGAGTGGTGGAGAGTGATAGGGCCTCCGACTGCCCTGAACTGCTTGCAAAGGGAGAAGACTAATACTCTAGTGCTATGATAGCTAATGCAGGATATAAATTTAGCTCCCGGGAATGGAATAGGATAAAAATTCCATAAAGAGTTTTCTGTAAATGGCTTACACTTTTATATCAAACTGTGACAGAGTAGTCACTAAAAAAATAAAATAAAATAAAACAGTTTCTTGATCTCACTATATGTTGAACACAACTGGAGGCTTTCGTATAAGAAGGAGAAAAAAATGTCTGTTAAATTTGTTGACCAAGACATTAATAAGAGCACCCTTTGAAGTGCGGTAAAGCTACATTGGAGGAATTAAATCTGATTGAATCTAAGCCTGTTTATTTTTCATTTCTGCAGAGCGAGTGTTGAGCGATTTGTAATACTTCATTGTAAATCTTCAGGAACTTGCTATCATGTAATCCATTTTTTTTGCTGAAGAATATGACCACAGGGGACAAGGCCATATTGGTTTGTTGTTAATGTACTGGAAAGAGGTACTATGGAGAAAACAGTTAATATTAAATTACGAACACAAGGTTATCTTTCTGCTGCACATGCTCCACTGCCCTAGGCACGGGTAATCTGTTAATAGCATTCAGCCAAAATGACACCATTAAGGGACTGAAGCTACACATCTTTTGCAAGCTGAATGATGAATAAAGCTGGTTTTCTATCACCCTAGATGCAATAAATTATCCATGCTGCTAAAAATTGATACAAGACAGAAGTTTGATAGAACCAGCACCCAGACGTAAATGGAAGGCCAGGCTGGCAGGAAAGGACATGAAGATGTGAATTCTGCCACCACCGTGTTTTTATTCGTTGTTCTCTTTCCCCCTCCCCTAACTTTTTCAAGCTTTGGGGGCCACTGTGGCAAATACACTGTAGTGGCATTTTCATGGCAGAGAGCAAGGAATGACTGAGCAACAGAGAAAACGAATAACTCATACAATTATGATATTTATGTATATCCACATAATATGTATTATCCACACCTCAGAAAGGTTTGTATGTCAGGTCTACTTTGAATGAATCATTGCGTTTCGCTTCAGTTTCTGATTGTCAATGCCTGAATATAAAGCGAAGGACATTATAAATGGCTTGCATTGTGGAGCTATCTGATTGGTGTGTGGTACATTAAGAAACCATAACCTGCTCATACCTATTGCCCTTCACGTTATTTGTCCCATCAACATGCAGAATAAATAGCTGGGGAAACATTTTAGAATTATTTCCCATGATTGTTGTTCTCATTTTAAATTAATGCAAATTCTTAATAGATTTAAAAAACACAGAACACCTATTTGCTTTGGCAGAGTTCCTAATCATGTCAGGAAAAGAGACTTTCTAAATTGCAAGGGTAATAGTGAAACAATTAAAATAATACATTAAGTCAACATATGAAATTTGTACCATATTCTCTGGCACTGGTAAGCACTGGAGAGGTAAAGATAAAAAGAATATGCTTCCTTAAAACCTCACAATGTAGTGGAGACTTGGACAATTGCATGTTATAACGCTATGGAATATTATAATGATGGAGGTTTGTATGATGCTATACAGTCTTGGAGGAAGCCCTAGGTCTGCTACGGCAGTCATGACTGGCTTCTCAGAGGAAGTGACCAGCACACAGAGAACTTGTTTTGACAACCTAGTACAGAGGAAATAAACCCAACCAATAGACCCACTTATGATTTTCATCATATTTCGTTAGGCTAGAAATAGCAATATACACAGAAGCAGATACTTTTAGTTAACCACGGAATTCAGGTCACATGATAATTGAGAGGAGTATATGAGGTGTTTCTAGAGGCCCAGAGTGATGTTTATGCTGGACTTAGGTTACCAGGCAGGAGAGGTTTTGAGGTCTATGACATCATCCCCAGCCTCTCTCTCTCCCTCTTTGCTACCAGTCATTCACTAAGCACAGTGTTCTACACTTAGATATCTGTCATTTTGATCTGCTTTGTTCCTTCCTTATTCACATAACTATAGAGAATCATAATCTCTGATTTGCATCCCCACCTAGCCTCTTCACTGGCATCTCTGCCTCAACTGCATTCCTCTCCAAACCCTTCTCTAGAAGGGGGCAAGAGTGATCTTTCTAAAACAAACATTGAACTGTCATTCCCCAGTTTAAACTTTTCCTTATGATTGCATTTAAGATGAAGGCCAAACATTTTAATCTGGTTCCAAAGCTCAGTGTGTTTTGGCCCTGCTACTTCTTGAGTGCCCTCTCTGGTCACTGTTTCCACCATTCTCTGCATCTGGGATGTAATTACTGGAACTACCTCAGTTTCTTAGTTTGGAACCCTTATCTACCTTTGAACCTTCAAGTGTTGGTTGCCTTAGTTTCCATTCTCTTTCCACACCCATCATCTCATTCCTTTCTTTTTCCTGGCTGAGTTGAATTTAACATCCAGATGCTAGAACTTCCCCTGACAACTAAGTATGGGGCTGGTACCCTTGTCTCTGCTCTCGTAGCACCTTGGGTTTGCCAGTCTTAGTACCTAAGATTTCCCTGAGGGGTGTGCATCCTGGGAGTGTAGGGTCTGTGGCTATCTTGTTCACTTAATATCTCATCATAGTGCCTGGCATTCTGAGCAGTGAATATTTGTTGAACATTTGAAGAATGAGATGGACAGCAAACGAACAGTGACTGGGATCAATGGTTGGAACAAGCACAGGAATATCACTAGGACTGTAGGAAATGCACTGAGATCGTTCAGGCCCTCAGAAACTTTTCTCACGGACTGAGTGGAGAGAACTGGGTGAAAGACCAGAAACTGGTACAATGGGGAACTAACAAAATAAGGAAGCTCTATTATTTATTAGGGTGGTTTACAAGCTGCAGTGTATTGACAGGAAATAAGCCTTTATTAGAAAAGGAGAAAGAAGAGATTGGGCAGTATTGGCTATTTTCTTTTATGCTAAGTTGGTAAAATTGAATTAGGATGTTGCATACATTTGCTATATTGTTGCTAACCTTTGCACTTAATTTTGTACTATGTGGACATTTTGGTATTATAAGAGGTAGACATAATGTAGTTAGGTTATTTTCAATGCATTATACCAAGAATATATACAAATACCAGAATGAAATGACTGTAATATAATTCCAATTAAAAACTGATTGATTAAACAGAAATTACTTAGTTTTATCTTGTTCCAGAAACTGGTAGACAGAGGATGAAGAGTATGAAGGGTGATGTGGACTTTCAAAGTATCCACAGCCTGGGAGAAAAGACTGAAAATGCAAGTGAAGAGTTGACTACAATGAAGTGTCATGAGTGTTACAACATGGTGCCATGCAGGGTAGATGCTGGGGAAAGTGAGAGAAAGAACATTTCTTAGAGAAAATGACATTTCCGCTGCATTTGAAAAACCCAGGAGTAATGAGGAAGGAACACTGGAAGAAAAAGGATATTACAAGCAAAAGAAATAGCAAAGACAAAAAGTCAATAGAGGGACTTTAAGGAGTTTCATGGGCTACTACTTCAGCATAGCCAGGATTTTTCAGAAGGGCACTGTTCTGAACTGTTTTTGTCTCATTGTTCCGTGAGATTACTTACACTTGTCAGATCCGTCAGTGCTCCTGGTTTCCCAGAGTACTCACAAGGCATAGGTTCTCTGTGTTATGATTTTTTCCACTGTCTCCAGCAACAACCTTCTTCCTATCTTCTCCAACAATACTGAACTGCTTGTTACTTCTTCCCTAACAGAGTAGTTCCTTTCCTCCACACCTTCATCTGTAGTACTCTCCTCTCACTGACATACTCTTCCTCCCTGCTCCCATTACCACTTCTTCTTCCATCCCTGATGCCTTCCCTCTGTGCTTTAGTTGTAATAAATATGCTGCATTATTTATTCAATGAGGATCTCTCAAGCATCTCCAGGTACTTAAAAGCATAAGCTCTGGAGCCAGAGGCCTTGGGTGTGAGTACTCTTTGCCAGATTTATTAGTTGTGTGAACTTGGGAAGTTTGCTTAACCTCTGTATATGCTCCACTTTCCTCATCTGTAAAGTGGGAATAATTATAATATCTATCTTACAGAATTTGAGGGAAGATTAAATGAAACAATACTTTAAAGAGTACTTGGAACATATTGATAACTCAAAATATTTGGTATGTTTTAATTATTATCATATGATGATTAATTATCACCATAAGCCAAGCTCTAAGCTTACATAGTAAAGACATAAAAATGCATAAAACGCAGTTACTGCCATGAAAGAGTTCACAATCTACCTACAAGCAGACACATAACCAGATAGTAATAAGATAGTGTAGATTGTTTCATGATTTGCACAAGGTGATGCTAGAAGCAGCAGCAGTTGTCTGAAGAAGCAGCAGTTTCTTACATTTTGTAGAACCATTGAGATGGATATTCAAATTTATCTGAAATCTGCTCAGAAGATTACCAAATATTTTTCAGCCAAGTCTGCATAAATTTGGCATTGAGGCATCAGTGTAAATCAGAGGAACCTAGTATAAATTGATTATCACAGATGAGCATTAAATTTAGTTCTGAGAATAAGAGAATCACAGTCTTTCAAATGGGAAGGAATCCTTCGCATTCATCTAGCCCTATGTCTTTATCTTACAGATGAGGAGACTGTGACCCTCCCAGTGGTTAAGTCCTGGGACTAGGGTCATGCAGTGCATTAGTGACAATGCAGAAGGTAAAACCTAGATTTTCCCAATCTCACTCAGTTCAGCTCCCTTTCCATAATTGCACTGACATCTCTTTGGTTTTGTTCTTTTATTCCATGATTTCTTTCACAACCTGCATCCCAAGAAAAGTTAAACATGGCTTTTCAGTCTCATGTTCTTTATCTGATATTTGGGTATAGTCCTCCTTCAGGCTTGGAGCAATCTCATGCATCCTTTGGAACCTGGAAGATACCTTGTGTCCTCTGCATAGCCAGCCCTGAGGGTACCAGCCCAAAACAACTTCTTCCTTTTTCAATGTCACTGTACTGAATTTTCTGAATCTGTATTTGCGGCACTTCATTGCCGTCTGTACTATTTCGTGTTTCATGTATTTCCCTTGGGTTATTTCATATACATAAGTATTTGCAAGTGAAAACACTAATCATAAAGCATTTGCAAAGAGCCTAACAGTATGCTACTAGGCATACAGGATGCTCAAATGCATATTGAATGGAACTGACTTAAATTTAACTCCTCCTCCTTCAGGTTATAAGTCACTGGGGAGAAAATATGCCTTTCTTATTTTCCTACATATTTTGGGAGTAGTTTTGAACATCTTGCTTTGTGCTATTGGTAAAAATTGGGCTTTCATGTCATTTATTTGAAAAAATTAAAAACCAAAAAAAATGTTGTGAAGGTAACAGCCTCAAAGCAATTATGCATTGATCTTTCATTCATTCAACAAATTGAGCATTCAGTCAGTTAGGCTGTGTGCTTAACAAACATAAACAGATGCAAATTAATACACATTGTTTATTACTTGAATTGCTTTAAACTTGAGGCCTTTTTTTCCTTTCTGACTTTTCAGTCTTTTCTTTCCCCCTCCTGTTAATACAGCTCCCATATAAATAGTTGCTGGAGTTTGTAATTAACTGGCCAAGTAAAGAAAAGTCTACATTTTATGCACTACACTTGTTCCCCTTAGGATTACACAAGCCATTCGTTAAGCCTGGGACAGTCTTCCCCCTAACTTGCCTGGCTAAAACCTCTTCATCCACAAAGTCTCTACTCAGATGTCATTTCTATAAGCCTCTCTTGCAAGCTCCTGAGCCTCCTCTTTACCTGTATTCATAGCACCAATCACAGAATTAGAAGTGTCTGCTTAGGGATCTTGTAAAAACTAGACTGTAAGCACCTCAAAGACAGGAATAGCTTCTTATTCATTGTTTTAAATACAAACCTGGACATATTCTGTACATTCAGTAAATATTTGATAAATGCATGAACAAAATTGTTACTTTATGGTGTATAGATGGACACCCTGGGAGCATGTGACCAGTCCTGCATACCCCCTTGCAGCTAGAAATGAAACACTCTCTTTGGGGGATGTCACATTATAAGACAGATGGCTGTAAAATTGTGGTTTGTTAAAGGGTAGCTTTGAATATCAATCAAAATTAGTAAACTTGATTGCTTTATTAGCAAGCAGTAAACATGGTTGATCTTTGCAGCACTAGAATACTTATTTTAATAAAAATGATTGGAATGGCAAAGATGTTGGGGTTTGAATCAAAGGAGGCTTACCAGTTCACCAATCTGCTACTCTTGCTTTAGAAAGTAAATTCAGGAGGGATGGTGGCAGAGGTCCAATATGACATCTTTCTTCTTTTTAAATATATTTTTTCCTTCCTTCTTTTCTCTTTTTAAAATAGAAACACTGATATTTTTCATTTGTTAGCTCTTAGTCTCCTTACATATTTGTGTGCATAGAGAAGAGTTTTATTTTTAGTTTTTCTGCTCTGTGACAGAACAATGTTCTTACAATATATCAGTTTTTAAAATGTTAAAAATGCCTATTATTGTTATTCTTCTATTACACTACACTATTGGCATGCACATTTTTGAGATTTTTCTCTTATATGCTTTTGTTTTTAACCTGATTGTTTCACTGGATGCTAGAAAGGTTTGAATCTCATCTTCCTTTTCACTTTGCACTGTTGCCTCTTGCTTCTATTTACTTTGTCATACCTGCTTTTTCAGTTGTTTTAAATTTTTAGTAAGTTAAAAAATGCAAAGATGGGGAATTGAGCTGTAGGGGGCTTATTAAATAGCCCAAACTTATTTCAAATTTTTTAAACTACCTTTCCACTTGTTTCTTAAAAGTAGTATTTATTTTCAGAAAACTTTTCCCATCATGTTTTTGGCCAGGAGCATGTAGCCTGTCAGAGTCCCCATCTTTCTATTTGTAGGGTGGGAAGATTAGCCACCTCCTGTTATTGTGGAGCATGCTGAGTGAGTTAATTCTTGGGAAGAGCTTTGAATATTTGAATAAACGTTAGCTTAGATAAACTGTGATTGGCTAATGTGTGAATGCTGTGTGAATGCTCCCTGCATCTTGAACACTTCTTTAAAATTTACGGAGGACAAATCACTTGCTGAAGGCAGGACCTGGGGTGCAATATTGTTCAAAACCAACTTGCGCTTCCACTCTAGTCATAATTCCAAGCACCTTTGCGGCTCCTGCCATGGAGGTGCTTCTGTAGCTGAGATCTAGCTTCCAGTGTTTTCATCAAGCAATGAAACTGTAATTTATATGATGAAGAAAATGTTTATATTTTAATTTGTCATGTTTAATAGAAAAAATATTTTCTTTAGAGTTTGCTCTAGGATAAAATCTTGAGTCAGAAAAGTCCTCTGACAATCTCAACTAATTTTTTCTTCCTTTCTCCGACACAATGGTATTCTCACTCTTTCCTAACCCACTTCAGTTACCTACCCTACTATCAAGGCTGTGTATAGCTGTTCACATTCTTAATTGAACCAGAACTCAAGAGGTGTTTTATAGAACTCTTTATAATAAAGTATAAAATCAATGTTTTCTCACTCCCAAGAACACTTACCCTATAATCAAACTTTATGACAAAACAATTATTCTCTAATTATGGCTTCTAGGAATCAGGAAATGAATCTATTGATATTTTGAGGATAGGAATAATCTTTTCAGTGTCCTTTATATTATACCTCAATGAATTCAACTAATGATGCTAAATATGTATAAAACGTTCTGACATATTTTTTGAAGCCTAACGTTTTCTTCAGGGAATTTTTAGAATTCATGACAGTTTAACAGCTGGACCACCACATAAGGCAGTTAGGATATAAACTCTGAAGCTGGGATTTCTGGGTTTGATTCCCAGCTCTGCTATTTAAAAGCTGTGTGAATTTGGACAAGTCATATAACTTCTCAAGGAAGCTGATAAAAATAATGCTTATCTCTCTGTACATGTCAATCACATCAAGTGTTTGATAATATTGTTCTTCTAAATCTTTTTTTGAGTTTTTGTTGTTGTTTTAATTTCTGAGAGGGGCTGTTAAAATCTTCTACTATGTTCTTGGAATTGTACTGTATCCTTTTAAACTATATCAATTTATGCCTTATATATTTGAGCTATTATTTGTAATTACATACATATTGATAATTTTTTTCTGATTGTCCCCTTTCCATTAAAAATTCCCTTTTTATATTTGATAACTTTTTTGTCTCAAAGTCACTTTTTAATGATATTAAAATAGTAACTCCAGCCTTCTTATGCTTACTGATTGAGTAATATGTTATACTTTGTAAATTTACTTTCAACTATCTGGGTTTTTACATTTAAACTGTTTCACTCATAGGTATTATATAGTAGTGTCTTGCTTTAAAAAAATCTATTCTGTCATTCTCTGCATTTTAATTTGAGTTTCTAGACCATTTAATGCCTCCTTTGTCACATGGTCATCTTTCATGTTGTGTCTGTGTCTTCCCATGGCATTCTCCCTTCTCCGTATGTTGTCTCTGTGTCCTTTCTCTCCTTAAAAGGACACCAGTAATATTAGATTAAGACCTCTCTCCCCTAGTTCAGCACTGCCCCATCTTAAGTTATATCTTAAATACATCTGCAAAGACTCTATTTCCAAATAATGTCACATTCACAGGTACCGGGGTAAGAACTTCAACATGTCTTTTGGGGGGCACAATTCAATGCAAAACACTCTACTATTTACCATTTCTGTTGCTCTTCCTCCAATTCCTAGAAATCCAGTTTTTCTCTGATAACATTTTCTTTCATCCTGAAAACCTTCTAGCATATTTTGTATAGTAACTATACTGGTAAGAAGTTCTTTTAATTTCACTTAATCTGCAAATGTATTTAATTTTAAAGATAATTTTACAGATGCAGAAATATGAATTGACCATTTTTTTTCTATAATTTAAAGACGTTTTACTATCTTATGGTCTCATGTTTTCTATTAATAAATCCTGGGGCATTTGGATTGTTTCATTTTTCTCTACCTGCTTTTAAGTTTTTCAAAATTCCTTTCTTTATTTTTGTTTTTAGCAGTTTGACTAGTGTATTTATGTGTGATTTTCTTTCAGCCTATCCTATCTGGGATTTGTTGAGTTTCTTAAATCTGTACATCTATACCTTTTAGTATATCTGGGACAATTTCACCATGATTTTTTCAAGTACATTTCTTGTCCCAATTTTTTTTTCCTTTTCACATGAAATCCCACTTACATTTAAATTATGCCTTTTGATATTTTCCCACAGATTCCATAGGCTTTGTCTATTTTTTCAATCTTTTTCTCTATTCTTCAGATTGGATAATTTCTATTTATTTTCAATTTTACTCACTCTTCCCACTGTCATTTTCTTTCTGTTGTTGAGCCTATACAGTCAGTCTTTTTTAATGAGTTTTTTTGTTTTATAATTTCCACCTATCTGTTTTTCAGTCTCCATTTATCAGCTGTGTTCCTATCTTTTCATTGATTTTAATTAGTTTTCCATTACCTCACTGAGTATAGTTGTAACAGCTGCTTGTCTTATAGCTCTAACATTGGGATCATCTCAAGGTTTGATTTTTCTCTTGAAAATCCATCATATTCTTTTTTTTCTTTCTCTCTTAAAGTTTTTTTTTCTTTTTTTAATGTTTTAAATTTTAATTTTGTGGGCACATAGTGAGTGTATATATTTATGGGATACTTGAGATATTTTGATACAGGCATGGAATGCATAATAATCACATCATGGAAAATGGCTTATCTATCACTTCAAGCACTTATCCTTTGTGTTACAAAAAATCCAGTTATAGTCTTTTAGTTATTTTAAAATATACAATTAAATTATTATTGATTATAGTTACCCTGTTGTGCTATCAGATACAAGGTCTTATTCATTCTTTCTATTATTTTTTTTGTATCTATTAACCACCCCACCTCCACCCCACAATACCCTTCACAGCCTCTGGTACCATACTTCTATTCTCTAGCTTCATGAGTTCAATTGTTTTGATTTTTAGATCCCACGAATAAATGAAAACATGTGATGTTTGTCTTTCTGTGCCTGGCTTATTTCACTTGATGTAATGATCTCCAGCTTCATCCATGTCATTGCAAATGACAGAATCTTGTTCTCTTTTATGGCTGGATAGTACTCTATTACGTAAAAGTACCACATTTTCTTTATCCACTCATCTGTTGATGGGCACTTAGGTTGCTTTGAAATCTTGGCTATTGTGTGTAGTGCTGCAATAAAAATGTGGGTGCAGATTTCTCTTTGACATCCTGATTTTCTTTCTTTGGGGTATATACCCAGCAGTAGGATTTCAGGATTGTATGGCAGCTCTATTTCTCATTTTTTGAGGAACCTCCTAACTGTTCTTCATAATGGTTGTACCAATTTATATTCCTACCAACAGTGTGCAAATGGTTCCCTTTTCTCCACATCCTTGCCAGCATTTGTTACTGCCTGTCTTTTGGATAAGACGATATCTCATTGTAGTTTTGATTTGCATTCATCTAATGATCAATGATGTTGAGCACACCTTTTTTTTCTCCTTCTTTCTCCTTCTCTCTCTTTTTGTATGTCAATGCTAGCATAAATAACATTGTAATTCTTATATAGCCTACGGAACCTATTATCATTATTTGGAGAACGTTGAAATTTTTTGTTTGTTCTGTTAGTTACTCAACCTGGGAGGGATAGCCAGAATCCTCTGTAAGATACTGGGAGCCATATCAGTAATGAGTGAGAGACCATGGTGCTCATATGAGTGGCTGCAGTGCTCCACAAAGAACTTTGGTACAAGTCATACGTACATACATTGTCCAAAAGGACAATGACTCCACGGGAAGTCAGTCTAAAGACAGATGTTGGAATGCCTGTTGGAACAGCAGCAACATCTGAAAGGAAAGGACTTTATGATCAATAAGCATATATAATAATCTGAGGACTTGCAGCGGGGTGGTGGGAATTTTCAGAAACTCAAAGTACCTATAGCAACAACTTATGACAAAGCCCAGTCAAACCTGATTTGTTACTGTTATCATGACTCATTAAAATATGTAAGCTGATGACATCTGATGAAACCTGTGTTGTACCAGTGGCTGCATCGTTTTCTCATTTTAATGTGAGTTTAGTTCCATTCTGCCCTTTTAAATAGTTGATAACTTCACTGTCATGATTCTCACTTCAAATTTTCTTTAAATTCTTACTACAGGTGGCTGATAAAGATAACATTTATGTGACCAAGGCAGACTCATGTATTTTGTTATAATTTATTAATCTATGCTGTATCTGTCCTAAAAATTAAATAATTTCATTAGTCTGAAAAGTATTTGAATCTTCTAGGACAAAAAATCAGAAGAGGTCCATAGAGATCATTTCATTTAACCTCTAACTTAAAGTAAGACTTCCGAAGGCAGTATCTGATATCCACCTGTTACTAAATTTATAAGCCAAGAGTCTCTTCTTCTAAGAAGACTCCCATGACTTTGCACCTTGATAAGGATGCCCTTTCTTTGTCTTTCCTTAGTACGTCCTAATTTACAATATAATGATGATCACATTCAATTATAATAATTCCATTATTATGTTTTTCCACTTTTTGTCCACTTTGGGAGAAAAACCATGTCTAATTGTTTTCCCTATCATACTTAGCATAGTGCTTGGAACATAGAAGGCACTCAATAAATGACTGTTGATTTAAAGACCACAGTTAATATCTGATTATTACCAGATAGTCTGTCAAATGGCACAAAGCAAGAATCCATGGAAAGTCTTTTAAATTTAATGCAAGAATGGTAAAATTTTCATTTCTTTCTTTCTACTAGCATAACCAATAATATGTTCTATTTCTTACACTACTGCAGAAGTTACTGGACCCTGTGAAAAGTTGTACTGATTTATCAGATCAGTGATTAATGGTCTAAATCAATAATTTCTATTTTTATGCAGAGTTCAATGAGTTCTGAGGGCATATAAGCCTTCAACTATTAATACAGGTATTACTCATATTTCTTAACTCATTTTTAAGAGGTGGAGGAAAGGAAAGAGAAAGTTTAAAGGGAAGGGATGCACCGTGACTTGCCTTCATAAAAAGTTCATCCGAGGAAGAAGACATTTTACTGACAACTTCTTGGTTCTATCTTGTGAATAAAATCTGCATTTAGAGACAAAGGTAGGATACTGAAATTCCAAAACAGATTTAGCTCTATATTGAGCAAATGAGTTCTATGATATGCACAGCTGTGCAAGAACACCATGAGAGATGAATCATGTTCTTTATCTGGAGGAGTTTCCAACCTGTATAAAGACAACAAAGGCACATGAAAAGCTTGAAAAATGCAAAAGGCGACGTAAGTCAGGAATTAATGGTGTAGTGTGAACCAAAAGTTTCTAATGAATTTATCCATGAAAAAAAATTCTGTGACTTCTGTTGTCCTGAGAGAGGTGAAATTTCAAGGGGTTGGTTGCAGAGAATGTTTATAGCAGAATGAGGCACAGCTCTGGCATATGACTGGACCTCTGGTGTGCCTGGTGCATGGTTAAAGGCAGCAGTCACCACAGGCTCAGTGTTCCAGTAGGCTCTGTGCAGCTCTCATCCGCTGCTGAGCATGCTTCTCCTGGGGCAAGAATCAGCCTCAAGCCTTGAGAAGCAGCATTTATTTAGGGAAAGCACTCTAGTAGAGAGCATTTATGGTCTTTCTATTACCATTACTCTGTTGCTGTTACATTTAAAAGGGCATCTAGGAAGGAGTGAGGTCATTGAGCCACTTCCCTAAACAAGGAATAGGCTTATTTTGGAAATTTCTGTATCTTTTCATTCAGGTCTGAGTTTATGCTTTTCTGGCTCCTTTGATTTCAGTTCTTAAATAATCTAAAAGGAACCACTTAGAGGACAGAGAGTGAGTTAATCTTCATCTGCATATTTGATACACACTTGCTTATTCTCTTCCCTTCACTCCCTTTTCCTTAGCTCTCTTCATCCTGCTCAAATAAATCATCACATTACTCTAATTCTTACTATCCCTAACTTAATAAGGTACATTGCATTGCACTCATGGTATTTAAAAATGTGATTAAAACATACTGTAGCAGATGTGGCAGAACGAATAGTATTTCTAAGGCTGTTGGAAGACATTGGAAGTATCCCAAAGAATTATTCAATAAATTCTGCTGCTCATGAAACGAGAACGAGATTATTACTGATGTATTCATTCAAAACAAAAAGCTAACAAGAGGAGGAAAAAAAGAGAAGATTATTTGGTTAGAGAAAAAAAAACAACAAAAAGAAAAGAATTTTAAGATATAATTCTAAAATGAGCTGATAGAGTTTAAAGAACATCTGGGTAGCCTGTAGTAAACAGTTAAACTGTTATTTAAAAAAAAGCAAAATGAAAAAAGATGGAAAGATAAAAATGACTTTTCAAATAGTGACTGTTGGTGAGTGGATCAATAAGACCACTAGAAGAAAATGTGCAGAGGTTGCTTTTGTGTAAATAAGACAAATACTGGAGGTGTTAAAATTGTTTTGTTCCTAAAGTTTCCAAGGGAAGATCTTACTTAGTAAATAGTGAAGATATACAAAACCTTTAGGTTTTTAATAGCAATTCTGCTTGTGGCCAATTTGTTTCTGGGTTCTTCTTCTAGCCAAATGATACAACACATTTACATGATAAAACACATGATACAACTTTTGGATATATATAGTTTTGCATGTTTTGGTATTTTCCCTTTCTATTGATTTTTTTAAACCTTTATTCAGGGAGGGAAAGAAACCAGTTATTTGGTTCTTTCTTAGAGTAACAATTGTTTGGTTGAGATAAGAAATATCGGCTAAAATATTTGGAGTTTATTTGTGATTTCAATAAGTAATAAAAATTCTACCATCTCTTTTTATTGGTATTTCTGAATTTTTAACATTCAAGGGCAATTATTCTAACAGTCATGAGAATAGACAACATCTGCAGTTTTTGCCAACAAATTCTGACTATAATAAAGTTATTTGGAATAATTATCCTGATGGTTTTATGTACATTCTTGAAATTCTTTTAAATTCTCATTTATATTCTTTTTTTATTTTTTTAATTTTTATTTTATTTATTATTATTATTATTATACTTTAAGTTTTAGGGTACATGTGCACAATGTACAGGTTAGTTACATATGTATACATGTGCCATGCTGGTGTGCTGCACCCATTAATTGGTCATTTAGCATTAAGTATATCTCCTAATGCTATCCCTTCCCCCTCCCCTCACCCCACAACTGTCCTCAGAGTGTGATGTTCCCCTTCCAGTGTCCATGTGTTCCCATTGTTCAATTCCCATCTATGAGTGCGAACATTCGGTGTTTGGTTTTTTGTTCTTGCAATAGTTTACTGAGAATGACGATTTCCTATTTCATCCATGTCCCTACAAAGGACATGAACTCATCATTTTTTATGGCTGCATAGTATTCCATGGTGTATATGTGCCACATTTTCTTAATCCAGTCTATCATTGTTGGACATTTGGGTTGGTTCCAAGTCTTTGCTATTGTGAATAGTGCCACAATAAACATACGTGTGCATGTGTCTTTATAGCAGCATGATTTATAGTCCTTTGGGTATATACCCAGGAATGGGATGGCTGGGTCAAATGGTATTTCTAGTTCTAGATCCCTGAGGAATCGCCACACTGACTTCCACAATGGTTGAACTAGTTTACAGTCCCACCAACAGTGTAAAAGTGTTCCTATTTCTCCACATCCTCTCCAGCACCTGTTGTTTCCTGACTTTTTAATGATTGCCATTCTAACTGGTGTGAGATGGTATCTCATTGTGGTTTTGATTTGCATTTCTCTGATGGCCAGTGATGATGAGCATTTTTTCATGTGTCTGTTGGCTGCATAAATGTCTTCTTTTGAGAAGTGTCTGTTCATATCCTTTGCCTACTTTTTATGGGGTTGTTTGTTTTTTTCTTGTAAATTTGTTTGAGTTCATTGTAGATTCTGGATATTAGCCATTTGTCAGATGAGTAGGTTGCGAAAATTTTCTCCCATTTTCTAGGTTGCCTGTTCACTCTGATGGTAGTTTCTTTTGCTGTGCAGAAGCTCTTTAGTTTAATTAGATCCCATTTGTCAATTTTGGCTTCTGTTGCCATTGCTTTTGGTGTTTTAGACATGAAGTCCTTGCCCATGCCTATGTCCTGAATGGTAATGTCTAGGTTTTCTTCTAGGGATTTTATGGTTTTAGGTCTAACGTTTAAGTCTTTAATCCATCTTGAATTGATTTTTGTATAAGGTGTAAGGAAGGGATCCAGTTTCAGCTTTCTACATATGGCTAGCCAGTTTTCCCAGCACCATTTATTAAATAGGGAATCCCTGCCCCATTGCTTGTTTTTCTCAGGTTTGTCAAAGATCAGATAGTTGTAGATATGCGGCGTTATTTCTGAGGGCTCTGTTCTGTTCCATTGATCTATATCTCTGTTTTGGTACCAGTACCATGCTGTTTTGGTTACTGTAGCATTGTAGTATAGTTTGAAGTCAGGTAGCATGATGCCTCCAGCTTTGTTCTTTTGGCTTAGGATTGACTTGGCGAGGTGGGCTCTTTTTTGGTTCCATATGAACCTTACAATAGTTTTTTCCAGTTCTGTGAAGAAAGTCATTGGTAGCTTGATGGGGATGGCATTGAATCTATAAATTACCTTGGGCAGGATGGCCATTTTCACGATATTGATTCTTCCTACCCATGAGCATGGAATGTTCTTCCATTTGTTTGTATCCTCTTTTATTTCATTGAGCAGTGGTTTGTAGTTCTCCTTGAAGAGGTCCTTCACATCCCTTGTAAGCTGGATTCCTAAGTATTTTATTCTCTTTGAAGCAATTGTGAATGGGAGTTCACTCATGATTTGGCTCTCTGTCTGTTGTTGGTGCATAAGAATGCTTGTGATTTTTGCACATTGATTTTGTATCCTGAGACTTTGCTGAAGTTGCTTATCAGCTGATGGAGATTTTGGGCTGAGACAATGGGGTTTTCTAGATAGGCAATCATGTCGTCCACAAACAAGGACAATTTGACTTCCTCTTTTCCTAGTTGAATACCCTTTATTTCCTTCTCCTGCCTGATTGCCCTGGCCAGAACTTCCAACACTATGTTGAATAGGAGTGGTGAGAGAGGGCATCCCTGTCTTGTGCCAGTTTTCCAAGGGAATGCTTCCAGTTTTTTCCCATTCAGTATGATATTGGCTGTGGGTTTGTCATAGATAGCTCTTATTATTTTGAGATACGTCCCATCAATACCTAATTTATTGAGAGTTTTTAGCATGAAGGGTTGTTGAATTTTGTCAAAGGCCTTTTCTGCATCTATTGAGATAATCATGTGGTTTTTGTCTTTGGTTCTGTTTATATGCTGGATTACATTTATTGATTTGCATATATTGAACCAGCCTTGCATCCCAGGGATGAAGCCCACTTGATCATGGTGGATAAGCTTTTTGATGTGCTGCTGGATTTGGTTTGCCAGTATTTTACTGAGGAGTTTTGCATCAATGTTCATCAAGGATATTGGTCTAAAATTCTCTTTTTTGGTTGTGTCTCTGCCTGGCTTTGGTATCAGGATGATGCTGGCCTCATAAAATGAGTTAGGGAGGATTCCCTCTTTTTCTATTGATTGGAATAGTTTCAGAAGGAATGGTACCAGCTCCTGCTTGTACCTCTGGTAGAATTCGGCTGTGAATCCATCTGGTCCTGGACTCTTTTTGGTTGGTAAGCTGTTGATTATTGCCACAATTTCAGATCCTGTTATTGGTCTATTCAGAGATTCAACTTCTTCCTGGTTTAGTCTTGGGAGAGTGTATGTGTCGAGGAATTTATCCATTTCTTCTAGATTTTCTAGTTTATTTGCGTAGAGGTGTTTGTAGTATTCTCTGATGGTAGTTTGTATTTCTGTGGGATCGGTGGTCATATCCCCTTTATCATTTTTTATCGCATCTATTTGATTCTTCTCTCTTTTTTTCTTTATTAGTCTTGCTAGCGGTCTATCAATTTTGTTGATCCTTTCAAAAAACCAGCTCCTGGATTCATTAATTTTTTGAAGGGTTTTTTGTGTCTCTATTTCCTTCAGTTCTGCTCTGATTTTAGTTATTTCTTGCCTTCTGCTAGCTTTTGAATGTGTTTGCTCTTGCTTTTCTAGTTCTTTTAATTGTGATGTTAGGGTGTCAATTTTGGATCTTTCCTGCTTTCTCTTGTGGGCATTTAGTGCTATAAATTTCCCTCTACACACTGCTTTGAATGCGTCCCAGAGATTCTGGTATGTTGTGTCTTTGTTCTCGTTGGTTTCAAAGAACATCCTTATTTCTGCCTTCATTTCGTTATGTACCCAGTAGTCATTCAGGAGCAGGTTGTTCAGTTTCCATGTAGTTGAGTGGTATTGAGTGAGATTCTTAATCCTGAGTTCTAGTTTGATTGCACTGTGGTCTGAGAGATAGTTTGTTACAATTTCTGTTCTTTTACATTTGCTGAGGAGAGCTTTACTTCCAACTGTGTGGTCAATTTTGGAATAGGTGTGGTGTGGTGCTGAAAAAAATGTATATTCTGTTGATTTTGGGTGGAGAGTTCTGTAGATATGTATTAGGTCCACTTGGTGCAGAGCTGAGTTCAATTCCTGGGTATCCTTGTTAAATTTCTGTCTCGTTGATCTGTCTAATGTTGACAGTGGGGTGTTAAAGTCTCCCATTATTAATGTGTGGGAGTCTAAGTCTCTTTGTAGGTCACTCAGGACTTGCTTTATGAATCTTGTTGCTCCTGTATTGGGTGTATATATATTTAGGATAGTTAGCTCTTCTTGTTGAATTGATCCCTTTACCATTATGTAATGGCCTTCTTTGTCTCTTTTGATCTTGGTTGGTTTCAAGTCTGTTTTATCAGAGACTAGGATTGCAACCCCTGCCTTTTTTTGTTTTCCATTGGCTTGGTAGATCTTCCTCCATCCTTTTATTTTGAGCCTATGTGTGTCTCTGCACATGAGATGGGTTTCCTGAATACAGCACACTGATGGGTCTTGACTCTTTATCCAATTTGCCAGTCTGTGTCTTTTAATTGGAGCATTTAGTCCATTTACATTTAAAGTTAATATAGTTATTTTTGAATTTGATCCTGTCATTATGATGTTAGCTGGTTATTTTGCTCGTTAGTTGATGCAGTTTCTTCCTAGTCTCGATGGTCTTTACATTTTGGCATGATTTTGCAGCAGCTGGTACCGGTTGTTCCTTTGCATGTTTAGCGCTTCCTTCAGGAGCTCTTGTAAGGCAGGCCTGGTGGTGACAAAATCTCTCAGCATTTGCTTGTCTGTAAAGTATTTTATTTCTCCTTCACTTATGAAGCTTAGTTTGGCTGGATATGAAATTCTGGGTTGAAAATTCTTTAAGAATGTTGAATATTGGCCCCCACTCTCTTCTGGCTTGTAGGGTTTCTGCCAAGAGATCCACTGTTAGTCTGATGGGCTTCCCTTTGAGGGTAACCCGAACTTTCTCTCTGGCTGCCCTTAACATTTTTTCCTTCATTTCAACTTTGGTGAATGTGACAATTATGTGTCTTGGAGTTGCTCTTCTTGAGGAGTATCTTGGTGGTGTTCTCTGTATTTCCTGAATCTGAACGTTGGCCTGCCTTGCCAGATGGGGAAGTTCTCCTGGATAATATCCTGCAGAGTGTTTTCCAACTTGGTTCCATTCTCCCCATCACTTTCAGGTACACCAATCAGATGTAGATTTGGTCTTTTCACATAGTCCCATATTTCTTGGAGGCTTTGCTCATTTCTTTTTATTCTTTTTTCTCTAAACTTCCCTTCTCCCTTCATTTCATTCATTTCATCTTCCATCGCTGATACCCTTTCTTCCAGTTGATAGCATCGGCTCCTGAGGCTTCTGCATTCTTCACGTAGTTCTCGAGCCTTGGTTTTCAGCTCCATCAGCTCCTTTAAGCACTTCTCTGTATTGGTTATTCTAGTTGTACATTCTTCTAAATTTTTTTCAAAGTTTTCAACTTCTTTGCCTTTGGTTTGAATGTCCTCCTGTAGCTCAGAGTAATTTGATCGTCTGAAGCCTTCTTCTCTCAGCTCGTCAAAGTCATTCTCCATCCAGCTTTGTTCCGTTGCTGGTGAGGAACTGCGTTCCTTTGGAGGAGGAGAGGCACTCTGCTTTTTAGAGTTTCCAGTTTTTCTGTTCTGTTTTTTCCACATCTTTGTGGTTTTATCTACTTTTGGTCTTTGATGATGGTGATGTACAGATGGGTTTTTGGTGTGGATGTCCTTTGAGTTTGTTCGTTTTCCTTCTAACAGAGAGGACCCTCAGCTGCAGGTCTGTTGGAGTACCCTGCCGTGTGAGGTGTCAGTGTGCCCCTGCTGGGGGGTGCCTTCCAGTTAGGCTGCTGGGGGGTCAGGGGTCAGGGACCCACTTGAGGAGGCAGTCTGCCCGTTCTCAGACCTCCAGCTGCGTGCTGGGAGAACCACTACTCTCTTCAAAGCTGTCAGACAGGGACATTTAAGTCTGCAGAGGTTACTGCTGTCTTTTTGTTTGTCTGTGCCCTGCCCCCAGAGGTGGAGCCTACAGAGGCAGGCAGGCCTCCTTGAGCTGTGGTGGGCTCCACCCAGTTCGAGCTTCCCAGCTGCTTTGTTTACCTAATCAAGCCTGGGCAATGGCGGGCACCCCTCCCCCAGCCTCGCTGCCGCCTTGCAGTTTGATCTCAGACTGCTGTGCTAGCAATCAGCGAGACTCCGTGGGCGTAGGACCGTCCGAGCCACGTGCGGGATATAATCTCATGGTGCACTGTTTTTTAAGCCCGTCGGAAAAGCGCAGTATTCGGGTGGGAGTGACCTGATTTTCCAGGTGCCGTCCGTCACCCCTTTCTTTGACTCAGAAAGGGAACTCCCTGACCCCTTGCGCTTCCCAAGTGAGGCAGTGCCTCGCCCTGCTTCCCCTTGCACATGGTGCGCGCACCCACTGACCTGTGCTCACTGTCTGGCACTCCCTAGTGAGATGAACCCGGTACTTCAGATGGAAATGCAGAAATCACCCGTCTTCTGCATCGCTCATGCTGGGAGCTGTAGACTGGAGCTTTTCCTTTTTGGCCATCTTGGCTCCTCCCTCTGCCACATTTTCTTAATCCAGTTTATCACTGATGGACATTTGGGTTGTTTCCAAGTCTTTGGTATTGTGAATAGTGCCGCAGTAAACATACATGTGCATGTGTCTTTATAGCAGCATGATTTATAATCTTTTGGGTATATACCCAGTAATGAGATGGCTGGGTCAAATGGTATTTCAAGTTCTAGATCCTTGAGGAATCGCCACACTGTCTTCCACAATGGTTGAACTAACTTACACTCCCACCAACAGTGTAAAAGCGTTCCTATTTCTCCACATCCTTTCCAGCACCTGTTGTTTCCTGACTTTTTAATGATCACCATTCTAACTGGTATGAGATGCTATTTCATTGTGGTTTTGATTTGCATTTCTCTGATGGCCAGTGATGATGAGCATTTTTTCATGTGTCTGTTGGCTGCATAAATATCTTCTTTTGACACTTGTCTGTTCATATCCTTCGTTCACTTTCTGATGGGGTGTTTGTTTGTTTTCTTGTAAATTTGTTTGAGTTATTTGTAGATTCTGCATATAAGCCCTTTGTCATATGAATAGATCGCAAAAATTTTCTCCCATTCTGTAGGTTGCCTGTTCACTCTGATGGTAGTTTCTTTTGCTGTGCAGAAGCTCTTTAGTTTAGTTAGATCCCATTTGTCAATTTTGGCTTTTGTTGCCATTGCTTTTTGTGTTTTAGACATGAAGTCCTTGCCCATGCCTATGTCCTGAATGGTATTGCCTAGGTTCTCTTCTAGGGTGTTTATGGTTTTAGATCTAACATTTAAGTCTTTAATCCATCATAAATTAATTTTTGTATGAGGTGTAAGGAAGGGATCCAGTTTCAGCTTTCTACATATGGCTAGCCAGTTTTCCCAGTACCATTTATTAAATAGGGAATCCTTCCCCCATTTCTTGTTTTTGTCAGGTTTTTCAAAGATCAGATGGTTGTAGATGTGTGGTATTATTTCTGAGGGCTCTGTTCTGTTCCATTGGTCTATATCTCTGTTTTGATACCAGTACCATGCTGTTTTGTTAACTGTAGCCTTGTAGTATAGTTTGAAGTCAGTAGCATGATGCCTCCAGCTTTATTCTTTTGGCTTAGGATTGACTTGGCAATGTGGGCTCTTTTTTGGTTCCGTATGAACTTTGAAGTAGTTTTTTTCTGTGAGGAAAGTCATTGGTAGCTTGATGGGGATGGCATTGAATCTATAAGTTACCTTGGACAGTATGGCCATTTTCATGATACTGATTCTTCCTACACATGAGCATGGAATGTTCTTCCATTTGTTTGTGTCCTCTTTTATTTCAGTGAGCAGTGTTTTGTAGTTCTCCTTGAATAGGTCCTTCACGTCCCTTGTAAGTTGGATTCCTAGGTATTTTATTCTCTTTGAAGCAATTGTGAATGGGAGTTCACTCATTATTTGGCTCTCTGTTTGTCTGTTATTGGTGTATAAGAATGCTTGTGATTTTTGTATATTGATTTTGTATCCTGAGACTTTGCTGAAGTTGCTTATCAGCTTAAGGAGATTTTGGGCTGAGACAATGGGGTTTTCTAAATATACGATCACGTCATCTGCAAACAGGGAAAATTTGACTTCCTCTTTTCCTAATTGAATACCATTTCTTTCTTTCTCCTGCCTCATTGCCCTTGCCAGAACTTCCAACACTGTTGAATAGGAGTGGCGAGAGAGGGCATCCCTGTCTTGTGCCAGTTTTCAAAGGGAATGCTTCCAGTTTTTGCCCATTCAGTATGATATTGGCTGTGGGTCTGTCATAAATAGCTGTTTTTATTTTGAGATATGTCCCATCAATACCTAATTTATTGAGAGTTTGTAGCATGAAGGGCTGCTGAATTTATTCAAAGGCCTTTTCTGCATCTATTGAGATAATCATGTGGTTTTTGTGTTTGCTTCTGTTTATATGCTGGATTACGTTTATTGATTTGTGTATGTTGAACCAGCCTTGCATCCCAGGGACGAAGCCCACTTGATTATGGTGGATAAGCTTTTTGATGTGCTGCTGGATTTGGTTTGCCAGTATTTTATTGAGGATTTTTGCATTGATTTTCATCAGGGACATTGGTCTAAAATTGTCTTTTTTGGTTGTGTCTCTGCCAGGCTTTGGTATCAGGATGATGCTGGCCTCATAAATTGAGTTAGGGAGGATTCCCTCTTTTTCTATTGATTGGAATAGTTTCAGAAGGAATGGTACCAGCTCCTGCTTGTTCCTCTGGTAGAATTCGGCTGTGAATCCATCTGGTCCTGGACTCTTTTTGGTTGGTAAGCTATTAATTATTGCCTCAATTTCAGAGCCTGTTATTGGTCTATTCAGGGATTCAACTTCTTCCTGTTTTAGTCTTGGGAGGGTTTATGTGTCCAGGAATTTATCCATTTCTTCTAGATTTTCTAGTTTATTTGCATAAAGGTGTTTATAGTATTCTCTGATGGTAGTTTCTATTTCTGTGGGATCAGTGGTGATATCCCCTTTATCATTTTTTATTGGGTCTATTTGAGTCTTCTCTCTTTTCTTCTTTATTAGTCTTGCTAGCGGTCTATCAATTTTGGTGGTCTTTTCAAAAAACCAGCTCCTAGATTCATTGGTTTTTGAAGGGTTTTTTGTGTCTCTATCTCTTTCAGTTCTGCTCTGACCTTAGTTATTTCTTGCCTTCTGCTAGCTTTTGAATGTGTTTGCTCTTGCTTCTCTAGTTCTTTTAATTGTGATGTTAGGATGTCTATTTTAGATCTTTCCTGCTTTCTCTTATGGGCATTTAGTTCTATAAATTTCCCCCTATACACTGCTTTAAATGTGTCCCAGAGATTCTGGTATGTTGTGTGTTTGTTCTCATTGGTTTCGAAGAACATCTTTATTTTTGCCTTCATTTCGTTATGTATCCAGTTGTCACTCAGGAGCAGGTTGTTCGGTTTCCATGTAGTTGAGCAGTTTTGATTTAGTTTCTTAATCCTGAGTTCTAGTTTGATTGCACTATGGTCGGAGAGACATTTTGTTATAATTTCTGTTGTTTTACACTTGGTGAGGAGTGCTTTACTTCCAACTACGTGGTCAATTTTGGAATAAGTGTAATGTGATGCTGAGAAGAAGGTATATTCTATTGATTTGGGGTGGAGATTTCCATAGATATCTGTTAGGTCTGCTTGGTGTAGAGCTGAGTTCTATTCCTGCATATCCTTGTTAACTTTCTGTCTCATTGATCAGTCTAATGTTGACAGTGGGGTGTTAAAGTCTCCCATTATTATTGTGTGGGAGTCTAAGTCTCTTTGTAGGTCTCTAAGAACTTGCTTTGTGAATCTAGGTGCTCCTGTATTGGGTACATATACATTTAGAATAGTTAGCTCTTCATGTTGAATTGATCCCTTTACCGTTATGCAATGGCCTTCTTTGTCTCTTTTAATCTTTCTTGGTTTAAAGTCTGTTTTATCAGAGACTAGGATTGCAATGCCTGCCTTTTTTTGTTTTCCATTTGCTTGGTAGAGCTTCCTCCATCCCTTTATTCTGAGTCTATGTGTGTCTCTGCACGTGAGATGGGTTTCCTGAATACAGCACACTGATGGGTCTTGACTCTTTATCCAATTTGCCAGAGTGTGTCTTTTAATTGGAGCATTTAGCCCATTTACATTTAATGTCAATATTGTTATGTGTGAATTTGAGCCTGTCATTATGATGTTAGGTGGTTATTTTGCTCATTAGTTGATGCAGTTTCTTCCTAGCATCAAGTGTCTTTACAATTTGGCATGGTTTTGCAGTGGCTGGTACCAGTTTTTCCTTTCCATGTTTAGTGCTTCCTTCAGGAGCTCTTGTAAGGCAGGTCTGGTGGTGATAAAATCTCTCAGCATTTGCTTGTCTGTAAAGGAATTTATTTCTCCTTCACTTATGAAGCTTAGTTTGGCTGGATATGAAATTCTGTGTTGAAAATTCTTTTCTTTAAGAATGTTGAATATTGGCCCCCACTCTCTTCTGGCTTGTAGAGTTTCTGCCAAGAGATCCACTGTTAGTCTGATGGGCTTCCCTTTGTGGGTAACCCGAACTTTCTCTCTGGCTGCCCTTAACATTTTTTCCTTCATTTCAACTTTGGTGAATGTGACAATTATGTGTCTTGGAGTTGCTCTTCTTGAGGAGTATCTTGTGATGTTCTCTGTATTTCCTGTATTTGAATGTTGGCCTGCCTTGGGGAAGTTCTCCTGGATAATATCCTGCAGAGTGTTTTCCAACTTGGTTCCATTCTCCCCATGACTTTCAGCTATACCAATCAGACATAGATTTGGTCTTTTCACGTGGTCCCATATTTGTTGGATGCTTTGTTCATTTCTTTTTACTCTTTTTTCTCTAAACTTCTCTTCTCACTTCATTTTATTCATTTGATCTTCAATCACTGATACTCTTTGTTCCAGTTGATCGAATGGCTTGTGCAGTTGTCATGTAGTTCTCGTGCTATGGTTTTCAGCTCCATCAGGTCATTTAAGGACTTCTCTAAACTGGTTATTCTAGTTAGCCATTCATCTAATCTTTTTTCAAGGTTTTTAGCTTCTTTGCAATGGGTTTGAACTTCCTCCTTTAGCTCGAAGAAGTTTGATTGTCTGAAGCCTTCTTCTCTCAACTTGTCAAAGTCATTCTCCGTCCATCTTTGTTTCGTTGCTGGAGATGAGCTGTGTTCCTTTGGAGGGGGAGAGGTGCTCTGATTTTTAGAATTTTCGCTTTTCTGCTCTGTTTTTTCCTCATCTTTGTGGTTTTATCTACCTTTGGTCTTTGATGATGGTGACATACAGATGGGGTTTTGGTGTGGATGTCCTTTCTGTTTGTTAGTTTTCCTTCTAACAGTCAGGACCCTTAGCTGCAGGCCTGTTGGAGTTTGCTATAGGTCCACTGCAGACCCTGTTTCCCTGGGTATCAGCAGCGGAGGCTGCAGAACAGCAAATATTGCCGAATAGCAAATGTTGCTGCCTGATCATTCCTCTGGAAGCTTCGTCTCAGAGGGGTACCCAACCATGTGAGGTGTCAGTCTGCCCCTACTGGGGGGTGCCTCCCAGTTAGGCTACCCAGGGGTCAGGGACCCACTTGAGGAGGCAGTCTGATCGTTTTCAGATCTCAAACTCCATGCTGGGAAAACCACTACTCTCTTCAAAGCTGTCAGACAGGGACATTTAAGTCTGCAGAGGTTTCTGCTGCCTTTTGTTCAGCTATGCCCTGCTTCCAGAGGTGGAGTCTACAGAGGCAGGCAGGCCTCCTTGAGCTGTGGTGGGTTCCACCCAGTTCGAGCTTCCCGGCAGCTTTGTTTACCTACTCAAGCCTCAGCAATTGTGGGCACCCCTCCCCCAGCCTCGCTGCCACCCTGCAGTTGGCTCTCCAACTGCTGTGCTAGCAACGAGCGAGGGTCCATGGGCATGAGAACCTCCAAGCCATGCATGGGATATAATCTCCTGGTGTGCCATTTGCTAAGACCATTGGAAAAGTGCAGTATTAGGGTGAGAGTGAACTGATTTTCCAGGTGCTGTCTGTCACAGCTTCCCTTGGCTAGGAAAGGGAATTCCCTGACCCCTTGCACTTCCTGGGTGAGGCAATGCCTTGCCCTTCTTCGGCTCATGCTCAGTGGGCTGCACCCACTGTCCTGTGCCCACAGTCTGACAAGCCCCAGTGAGCTGAACCTGGTACCTCTATTGGAAATGCAGAAATCACCCGTCTTCTGCGTCGCTCACACTGGGAGCTGTAGACTGGAGCTGTTCCTATTCGGCCATCTTGCATTTTAGTATCTTAAAAATATTGTTTTCTTTGACCATCCCCTGCATCTCTGGCCTGAAAAAAAATGCAAACAAGCAAACAACAAACCAAATCCCACAAAACTCCAATAACCTTACATTTGCACATCTGGTCAAAACTTCCTTCCACTCATGCACACAATTTCTAGGCTTGGCTTATAATATGTGTCTAATAAAGTTAAGATTGAAGAGGGCTTAGAAAAATGTCTATAAAACATGCAGAAATATACAGATCTAAAACAAACCAGTTGAGAATAGCTCTACAAAGCAGGAGGTACAACTTTAAAGAAAAAAGAAAAAGTCGCTTATTTGGAAAAATAAAAACAGTGTATATAGGCTGTTGGTCAGCGCTTCCATCCTCTTTGGGAGAGATGATGCAGTGGACTTGGTGAGGAAACCTCATTCTATCTTTGCAAGAAATTTTTAGTTAAGGTAGAGTGAAAGAGGGAATCTGAGTTAGTAGGAGCCCTTATAGACAAACTATATTTGATAAGGAGATTTAAAAATGAAAACAATTCACTTACATGCACAAGCCTTTATTCTAAGAAAGCTCATGTTGTACCAGGGAGAAGTTTTGCTGGCCTGGAACCGTAACTCGATCTCTCCCACTGTACAGATCACTTCCAAATTGCTGGTCCATGGAGAAGTATTATCTTTCAAAAATGATATAAACAAGATAAAAGCACAGGATCTATACAAAAATACTACAAGTAAAAATAAAGAAAGGAACAGGGAAAACAAATAACAGTCAAAGAACATTCACTTGAAAAATGTTACTAAGGAGTGTATAAAAATTGAGACCAAACATATTGCCTTGACTTAAAAAAACAAATATAAATCTTTTACAAGTGTGATTTCAGAGTAGAAATCTGGGCCCATAGAAAAGATATAATGATGACCAAAGGAGATAAATAGAAAGAACTATAATTCATATTTGAAGGAGGAGAACAAAACATACCATTCTAGTTATAAAGACCATTTTGTAAGTAGCACTGCTGAAACTAGGCACTGCTGAAAACGCAGTAAAGTATGTGGAGGATGGGATGGAGAAAATTATTCAAGATGAAGTGGTAATGAAAAAAGGATTAAAAATAGAAATATACTGAGCACAAAGAAAATTCAGGACATGAAGAAAATAGGTGGCTTTGAAGAAGAGAATAAAAAATAGAAGAAATATTTTAATATTGTATTTATTTTCTATTGCTATATAATAACAAACTCCACAAATTTAGCAACTCAAAACAAGACTCATCTATTATCTTACAGTTTCTGCAGTTTAGAAATCCAGGCTTCGCAGCAACATGGATGGAGATAGAGGCCGTAATCCTCAGCGAACTAACACAGGACAGAAAACCAAATACTGTATGTTCTCACTTATAAGTGGGAGCTAAACACTGAGCACACATGGACATAAACATGGGAACAATGGATTCTGTGGCACTAGAGAAGGGAGAGAAGGAAGAGAACATGGATTGAAAAACTACCTGTTGTGTACTATGCACACGTACCCCTGTATCTAAAATAAAAGCGAAGAAGGAGAAGGAGAAGAAGAAGAAGGAGGAGGAGGAGGAGGAGGAGGAGCAGAAGGAGAAGCAGCAGCAGCAAGAAGGGGAAGAAGGGGAAGGAGAAGGGGAAGGGGAAGGAGAAGGAGAAGGGGAAGGAGAAGGAGAAGGGAAAGGAGAAGGAGAAGGAGAAAGAGAAGGAGAAGGAGAAGAAGAAAGAAATCCAGTGTGGTTCAGCTGGGCTCTCTGATTAGGGTTTCAGCAGTCTGAAATGAGAGTTGACCAACTGTGCTCTCATCTGAAGGATTTGGAGAAGAATCACCTTCTAAGCTGATTCAGATTGTTGGTTAAATTCCATTTGTTGAGTTGTAGGTCTGCTGTCCTTGTTTTCTGCTGCTAGCTGTAGGCCACTGATAATGTTCAGAGGTTGCCTGCATTCTGTTCCTTGCCATGTGGCCTGTCTGCCCCCAAAGCCAGCAACCATCTACCAAATTCTTATGCTTCTATTCTCCCTGACTTTGTGTTCAGCCATCGATTGGAGAAGACTCTCTGCTTTTAAAAGGGCTCGAGAGATTGGATTTGGTCCACCCATATAAGCTACTTATTGTAAGATCAACTGTGCCTTACAATAAAACATAATCACAGGAAAGATAATTTATCATTATCACATATTACAGAGCTTAAAGTGTGGAATATTTGGAATTATTTTTAGAATCCTGCCTACTGAAAGAATATAACTATAAAAAAATTCCTCCTGAATACTGAATGTTCTCAAAACAAAGAAATGATAAATGTTTGAGATGATACTGAATGTTCTCAAAGAAATGATAAATGTCTGAGATGATAGAATAATTACCCTGATCTGATCACTATATATTATATGAAATATCACTATATACCCCATAAATATGTACAATTATTATATGTCAAATACAAAATTAAAAATAAAATAAATTTTAAAATTCTTCCAAGATAAAGGAAGAAGAATTAAATCTATAGTTTGAAAGAGCACATTGTCTTTAAAAATAGACACAGAATGATAAAGAATGAGAAAAACATTGTCTCTGCCTATAGCTAAAAGAAAGATCAACTCACCCAGAAGCGTAAAAATTCAAATCAGCCCCAGACTTCTCCAGAGTGACATTAAATGCCGGAATGGAGTTTAGTATTGCCTGTGAAGTTCTCGGGGAAAGAAAGTGTAAATAAACAAAACTATGTTTTTGCTTATTTATGCAAACCATATCTAACAAAACTATTATTTAAACATAAGCACAGATAAACATTTAAAAATATGACAGTAAACAAGTAATATACTTTCAGTTAAATTTCCTTGAAAAAAGTATTAGACAAGTGACTTTGGCCAACCAAGTAATGAATAGAGATACTCCAAAAAAGATCTTATATTCACATAATGTTAACTGTTACAACAAATATACTCCCCCAAATGTCAATGGCTTAACATATAAAAGTTTATTTACTCCTGATATCATTGTCCACATTGTGACAAGAACTTCAGCTCCTTCCATGCTGTAACACTGACTAAAAAAGAGAGGGGAGAGGATCATGTGATGTTTAATGCCAAGGCCAGGAAATGATGTATATCTCATTAGTTAGAACCTAACCTGGTGGCCTCAACCTAACACAAAGGGATGTTGGTAGACATAATCTTCCTGTGTGCTCAAGAAGACAAAATGGAATTGATGCTCATCTAGCAATAGGACTAGATCCCAGAATCTTCTCTTCTCATCACAATATATGTTTCAATCTTCTTCCCTCAGAAAGAATATATCTATTCCTTAAGGAGGATAATCTCGAATTCCATCCATTCACTACACCCAGTTCAAAGTCAAGGTGATACATCATCTTCTTATCTTTTTATCAGGTTCAGTTGTGGCTCCTTGAGCTCTAAATACAAATAAAAAAATTAAATTCTAAATTATTAAATAAAAATACAGACATCTAAATAGATAAAAATATATTTTAAGAACATATGTCATCTTCTCCCCTACACTGAGTACGTAGCGGTGGATGGGTCCCATCATGGCCTTCTGTTAAGACGTGGTGTGTGGAAGGGAGCCTCGACCTAAGTATAGAGTCTTGGCCCACCCGTACCTTATGGTTGGTCCAGTGATCATTTTCTCAGGGCCTTATTAACATAATTGGGATGGATAACCTTAGTAGTAGGCAGTTCCTTCACATTGCTTCCAGGACTAGTGGAATAAGAGCTATGATATCAGGAAAAAAACAAGTTGAGGCCCCTGAAATGGTCCCTTTTCCACAGTCAATATATTTAATAAAAATGCCATATTCTGAGTGTAATGGCTTCAAGACTCAGCTAAGGCATTATCTTGGTGAGGATATCCTGCAGATCTGGGAAAAGCCCTTTAACAATGTGGTGTATACACTGAAACAATAGTCATCATATGTTAGTTCTGTGATTGTAGAATCCTGAATGCCTGACTACAGAACATCAAGTGACTAAGTGACCAGAACTGCTTATCATGTCCCAGGTATTGTCAGGCCAACAAATCATAAGATAAAGTGGGTACAGCAGCAATCCACTGCACAACAGAAATGGTACATTTGAGACGAAGCCCAAGCAGGCATGGAGGGCACACATAAGTCACAGACCCAGGAGTCCCTGAGAGTATCTGAGTTATTGTAATAGAATCCTGCAGAACGTTCCTTCAGACCAAGGAATCCACGTTATGGTGAAGAAAATGCCACAATGGACACATGGTCAGATGATTCATCAGTCCTACTATATACACATACATCATAAACCCTTATGCTGTCACCCTGATAAAACATTGCAATGGCCTCATGAAGGCTCAGCTAAGGCACAAGAATAGCCATGAAACCCTGTGATTGGGGGTGCTGTCATTCAAGATGTTTTATATATGTTGAAGCCACAGCTGTTATGCAATGATGTACCTCTGAAAGACAGAAAACATGGACCTGGTACCCAAGGGGAGGAAGTCAGAGTGGCCTCTGCCATTCAGTAGCCTTCATGGTGACTTTGTGCTTCATACCCCCCACAACTGTACTACTTGCTAGCCTGAAGATTCTTGTTCCTGGATGGATTCCTTCTACCAGGGACAAAGCAATGATTTTAGTAAACCTAAAGTTATAGCCACTGCATAGTCATTTTGAGACCCTCATGCCAGTTGATCAGCAAGCAGAGAAAGAACTTTGAGAATCAGGAAGAGACAGGTGTGCCTATAATAATGGCAGCAGGGTGGAGTATGTCTGGAACTCAGGAGCTTCACTGAGACATCACTTGCTCTTTCCATATTTAGTAAAAACCATAAATGGATAATTGCAGCAACTGTGACCTGACAGGGGCTTGACAATTAGGAGCTCAGACCCCTCAGGCATGATGGTCTGGGCTACGAAATTAGGCAAACAACCACCAACACCAGTGGAAATGCATGCTGAAGGAGAAGGAATACATATAGAAGAAGTAGTGGGAAGCAACCAACTGTAATAACATGAGCTACAGTTTAACCCACTAGACTTTCCACATTTTTATTAACTTGTTTGTTTTTGTTTTAGAAATTGTGACAAGCTATCAGTTTAAATAAAGAGGTACAAGGGATGGACTAAGCAGATAAGTTACTGCCTCACTCATATCCCTTGGACCCACCACTTTGGCATGCTCCAGCCCACTTCCAATCACCAATATATTTATTTCTGTGCCTAAAGGCTTTTTAGGCTTTTTCCAGAGCTGAAAAAGATGTTCTGCTTGTGCATGCAACAGTCTAGAAATGTCCAGGGCTCTACTACCCCTGAGCACAGCTGTCAACCAATGTTTGGAGGGCATTGGTATATCACTAACCTAGCATCTTTACTTCTTGTGTGGTGTATTAAGACAGGATTCTTCAGAGAAACAGAACCATGAACACATATGCATGAGAAAGAGAGAGAGAAAGAAAGGGAAAGAGAGAGAGAGGAAGATTTTACAGAATTTGCTTATGTGATTGTAGGGACTGATAAGTATTAAATTTGTAAGGTAGGCCAGCAGGCTGGAAGTTCAGGTAAGAGTTAAATGTTGCAGTCTTGAATCTGAAATCTTCAGGACACTCCAGTAGGCTGGAAATTCAGGCATGTTGTCTATGCTGTAGTCTTCTGCTTTGATGACTACTGATTGTAGACTTCACAGCAACAACTAGACTAGCGTTTAACTAGACACCTGGGCTCCATAGCCTAGCCAAGTTGACATATAAAATGAGCCATCACACGTGGCTTATGTTTTACACTATTTCACAGCATTTTCCCATAGAATTTAGTTGTCCACTGTGATGACTTAATAAACTGTTGTCTTTCTTCTCTTCCTTTTATCACTAGACCACTCCAATAAGCCTCTCAATAATGGTATTTTCTGTACCTCCAAAACAAACTATGTGCATTTGAATTCTTGGAGAATTATTTATTAAATTTTGAAATATTTGTAGGAGTCAGGCCTTTTGTAATAGAGAAGATACATAAATTATATAATTTATTGGATCTTTCTCACAAACTATCACAGGTTTCAACTATTATGAATGTTATCTTATAGGCAACCGAAGAGTCCTGTGGACACAGAGAATACTGGAGGCTCACCCAAGTTGGCAGGCAGAGGAGATGGAGGGGGGAATGTGAAAAACCACACATCTGATCCCATCTAGAGGTCCCCATGTTCCTCCATGAGCCTTGGAAGGAAGTTTAGAAACTGGCAGATACTTTGATGTGGTTTTGAAGGAGCCCAGGCAGCAAATTGGCACCAGCATGCTGGCACTCCCAGCAATTCCCTGGCATCACGGGCTGGTGCTGACAGGGCTGCTGCAGGCTGTGTTGATGCTAACTTGAGACAAACAACAAAACCTTTATTTGTCTTGCTACCCTGGGGAGGGAAGGCAGGCTGGTGAGGCACTATCTCATTTCAATTTTCTTTTGTTTTGTCTTGAAACTAGGGGACTAAGTGTAGGATACGGAAAGGAATGGCAAAGAAATATGGGTTATAAACCAACTGACATGTTAAAACCATTTTTAACAATTAATGTGCCTAAATGCATAAATAAGCATGAGAGAACTCAGGTACTATGAAAATCAAGGTAAGCAAATAGATAATGATGTTAAGGGAGTTAGGTCTTCCTGTTTTCTCATATTCCAATTTGATGATACCAGTGCAGAGACTTTGGTTGTATGGACAATGGGATCACCCTGACATATCCATTTATGTTCCTGTGTGTAGAAAAATGACCAATATTTATTTAACTCTAATTAAATACCACACGTTGTGCTAAAGACCTTACCGTTGTTGACTCAAGCCTCTCAATACTCCTATAACATATATTATTTTATATCAATTTTACAGAAGAGAGACTGAGGTTTAGTAAGTACTAGGAAAACTGGTGCAAAACTTATACTGCCTATTATTGGAATAGTCAGATTTGAACTCAGGTCCATAAAAGCTCTTAATTCCTTAGGACATTGTACATTCATGAATGAGAATATGATATAGCTACTGGGACTCCACTGGCCAAAGAGAAATAAGAAATCATCTAATATGGATGGCTTCTCAGCAAGGTATAACCCAGGCATTGGAAATAGTTCAGCTCTCACGGGCAGGGATTTTTCTTTGAGAGTAAGTTTAATCTTAACATTATGAAAGACCATATGGACCTCTGACAGTTGTATGCACTAAATCTACTAATCACAACTTTCTGAGCATTTTATATCAAAGCACTCCCTTTACCTGCACAACAGCACAAATTTTCAGTGGCATTATTGTCATTGATATTTTGCATCTGAATGAAGGATTCATTCATCTTAAGTAGTTATTCTGCTTTGGGAGGCCAAGGCCAGTGGATCACGAAGTCAGGAGTTTGAGAACAGCCTGGCCAACATAGTGAAACCCTATCTCTACCAAAAATAAAAAAAAATTAGCTGGGCATGGTGGTGGGCACCTGTAATCCCAGCTACTTGGGAGGCTGAGGCAGGAGAATCGCTTGAATCCAAGAGGCAGAGGTTGCAGTGAACTGAGATCGCACCACTGCACTCCAGCCCGGGCGACAGTGCGAGACTCTATCTCGGAAAAAAAAAAAAAGTAGTTATTCTAGTGCAAGGAACAATTCAAGGAAGAGGAAAATGAGGAAGTTGAACAGCTTTTCCCAAACAAGCCGTAGTGAACCCTTTAGAATCAGACACCATTTGTTGTCAGCCATAACCAGGCCACATTAAGTATTTTACATTTCATAATATGTGTGATCCTGTTCTTTTATCTAGGTAGCTATGAATTATTGTAGGTATAATCCAATTGACTGTTATAGAAATATGTATTTCTACTTTAATTTTAATTTTATTTATTTATTTATTTATTTATTTATTTTTGAGACAGAGTTTCACTCTTGTTCCCCAGGCTGCAGTAAAATGGTATGATCTTGGCTCACTGCAGCCTCTGCCTCCTGGGTTCAAGTGATTCTCCTGTCTCAGCCCCCCAAGTAGCAGGAATTACAGGCATGCACCACCACTCCCGACTAATATTGTATTTATAGTAGAGACGAGGTTTCACCATGTTGGTCAGACTGGTCTTGAACTCCTGACCTCAGGTGATCCACCCGTCTTGGCCTCCCAAAGTGCTGGGATTACAGGCATGAGCCACCACGTCCAGCAAAATACATATTTCTACTTTTAGATCCTTCACTTAGCAACTGAAGAGACTCTCAATTGTTATAAAAGAAAATCAAAAGAATAAACAGTGGGTTTTGCCAAAGGTATTCATGTGCAAAAATACTGTTCTACTTCTCCTCGAATGTTCTGTGTGCCAAGGCTAGTACTGAGCCAGCTTTAGGAAGCTTGGTGAATCCCATGGCCTCCAACTCCATCCCTTGCCCCTGATTGCCCAGGAAGTGCAGGCCAATTGTTTGGCTTCAGTGCACTGTTGGTGCCGTATTTGTTTTGGTATCTCTGAGATAGTAACTACAGTGAATGTGGGAATAAATGTCAGGTTGTTAATGTTTTTGTTTCAGCTCACATCAAAAGATCTTTTTCAAGTGCTAATAGCTGCCAACCATTTACTCTTTATATAATTAGAATAAGAGTTTTTTTAATATGAAAAAATCTAGACAGGACACCATTCTTTTGTGGTGTATGGTTTATTTTACACAGTGAAAGGGAAATCAAGGAAATTGTGTTGGCCAGCAGTAAACAGAAAAGAAATCATCAGATCTTCAACAAAATAACCATTATCTGGAGCAAAAAGTTGTTTTGATCTGCTCCTATCCTAAATCAGCATAGCATTCACCATCAGAAATGCAAGGGATCCCACGACACTTTTAAGTAGACATAAAACCCCTTTACACTTAACTGATATAATTTTTAAGAAACTTTTTCTTTTGAAATAATTTCAAACTTATGGGAAGTTTAGAATAAAATGAAGTTCTGTATACCCTTTTCTCAGAATCACCTAATGTTAACATTTTGCTATACTTACTGTTTTTCTGTCTCTATCTCACACCCCCATTGTGTGTGTATGTGTGTATATGCATGTATATTTGTGTGTATCTGTATTTCTTTTCTGAACCATTTGAGAATAAGTTGAGAATATCACGCTCCTTTACTCTTAAATATTTCAGGGTATGTATCCCAAGAACAAGGATATTTGTATACATAATCTTAGCACATTGATGAAAATCAGGAAATTTAACATTAGTACAATACCATGATCAAATCTGAAGAACTTATTTTAAAAATGTCAGTTGTCATAATATCCTTTATGGTGATTTTTTTTTTTTTTTTGGCTCAGGATCCAATCCCAGGGTGCTTATTGTATTTATTAGCTTTTGTGTTTTTTAATAGTGAATGCCATTTATTTTGTAGTCTGTTCCTCAATTTGCATTTGTCTAATGTTTCCCCATGAGTAGATTCCAGATTATGCATTTTGGACAGAAATGACACATCGATTATGTTGGGTCTTCCTCAGAGCCTCACATCAGTAGGCACTTTGTCCTGCTATCTACTAGGCTTCCCTACTATGCCATTGATATTTTTCCAATGTTTGTAAACCACAAATATGACTTTTTAACAACAAGAGGCATTTTGTTTTAAAAGTTGTTTCTGAATTTTGTCAAAGCCCTTTTCTGCATCTATTGAGATAATCATGTGGTTTTTGTCTTTGGTTCTGTTTATATGCTGGATTACGTTTATTGATTTTTGTATGTTGAACCAGCCTTGCATCCCAGGGATGAAGCCCACTTGATCATGGTGGATAAGCTTTTTGACATGTTGCTGGATTCGGTTTGCCACTATTTTATTGAGGATTTTTGCATCAATGCTCATCAAGGATATTGGTCTAAAACTCTCTCTTTTTGTTGTGTCTCTGCCAGGCTTTGGTATCAGGATGATGCTGGCCTCATAAAATGAGTTAGGGAAGATTCCCTCTTTTACTATTGATTGGAATAGTTTCAAAAGGAATAGTACCAGCTCCTGCTTGTACCGCTGGTAGAATTCGGCTGTGAATCCATCTGGTCCTGGACTTTTTTTGGTTGGTAAGCTATTAATTATTGCCTCAATTTCAGAGCCTGTTATTGGTCTATTCAGAGATTCAACTTCTTCCTCGATTAGTCTTGGGAGGGTTTATGTGTCCAGGAATTTATCCATTTCTTCTAGATTTTCTAGTTTATTTGCATAGAGGTGTTTATAGTATTCTCTGATGGTAGTTTGTATTTCTGTGGGATCGGTGGTGATATCCCCTTTGTCATTTTTTATTGCGTCTATTTGATTCTTCTCTCTTTTCTTCTTTATTAATCTTGCTAGCGGTCTATCAATTTTGTTGATCTTTTCAAAAAACCAGCTCCTGGATTCATTGATTTTTTGAAGGGTTTTTTATGTCTCTATTTCCTTCAGTTCTGCTCTGATCTTAGTTATTTCTTGCCTTCTGCTAGCTTTTGAATGTGTTTGCTCTTGCTTCTCTAGTTCTTTTAATTGTGATATTAGGGTGTCAATTTTAGATCTTTCCTGCTTTCTCTTGTGGGCATTTAGTGCTATAAATCTTCCTCTACACACTGCTTTGAATGTGTCCCAGGGATTCTGGTATGTTGTGTCTTTGTTCTCATTGGTTTCAAAGAACATCTTTATTTCTGCCTTCATTTTGTTATGTACACAGTAGTCATTCAGGAGCAGGTTGTTCAGTTTCCATGTGAACAGGCAACCTACAGAATGGGAGAAAATTTTTCAAACCTACCTATCTGACAAAGGGCTAATATCCAGAATCTACATGAACTCAAACAAATTTACAAGAAAAAAACATACAACCCCATCAAAAAGTGGGCGAATGATATGAACAGACACTTCTCAAAAGAAGACATTTATGCAGCCAAAAAACACGTGAAAAAATGCTCATCATCACTGGCCATCAGAGAAATGCAAATCAAAACCACAATGAGATACCATCTCACACCAGTTAGAATGGCAATCATTAAAAAGTCAGGAAACAACAGGTGCTAGAGAGGATGTGGAGAAATAGGAACACTTTTACACTGTTGGTGGGACTGTAAAGTAGTTCAACCATTGTGGAAGTCAGTGTGGCGATTCCTCAGGGATCTAGAACTAGAAATACCATTTGACCCAGCCATCCCATTACTGGGTATATAACCAAAGGATTATAAATCATGCTGCTATAAAGACACATGCACACGTATGTTTATTGCGGCACTATTCACAATAGCAAAGACTTGGAACCAACCCAAATGTCCAACAATGATAGACTGGATTAAGAAAATGTGGCACATATACACCAGGGAATACTATGCAGCCATAAAAAATGATGAGTTCATGTCCTTTGTGGGGACATGGATGAAGCCGGATACCATCATTCTCAGCAAACTATTGCAGGGACAAAAAACCAAACACCGCATGTTCTCACTCATAGGTGGGAATTGAACAATGAGAACACATGGACACAGGAAGGGGAACATCACACACCAGGGACTGTTGTGGGGTGGGGGGAGGGGGAGGGATAGCATTAGGAGATATACCTAATGGTAAATGACTAGTTAATGGGTGCAGCACACCAACATGGCACATGTATACATATGTAATAAACCTGCACATTGTGCACATGTACCCTAAAACTTAAAGTATAATAATAAAAAAAGATATATATATGTTGTTTCTATGCTAGGGTAGATGTAGAAATACAGAATAAAGCAACTTGAGCCAAGGACTGAGGAGAGTACCTAGGTTCTTCTCTTTGGGCTTTAGAGATCACGTGAAATCTTTGTTCCTAGTAGAGATAAAGCAACTCAACACTAGTTTTCCTTACTGGGAGAAACACCTGATGGAATTTAAGTTGCCTCAAGAAAATGTCATTGTTTCCCATTTAAGCAAATCAGGAATTTACCAAATTTGTTTTATAGTTGAGCTAGCCGGGAACAATTGGTGTGGTGACCAAAGAACAGAGTTGAAAACTTCCAATTTCTTATTTATTTCACTTCATTTGTATTGACATAGTAAAATACTGTAGGATGCATATGTCTGTCATTTTCTCTTCTAATTCCATTATGAAAACAACTTCAGTAGAGAATCATCCCTAGAATCCTTGAAATAAAGATTCTTATAAAGCAATAGAAGATACAAGAAACATTGAAAATTAGGACTGAGATTCTCAAATTTAATGGATTAATGTTTCTTCTATCATTTTCAGAAGTATAATCAACAAATATTTCCTAATAAACTGAGATAACATCAAATATCACATATTATTAATCCCAGTATTATCAAAAAGGAAAAAGTGTTTCATGTAAATGTCTCAGTCAATACGATCTGTAGGCTCTATGAAGTCTCTATTCCATTAAGCTGTAATATGGTTTTATTGCTGGACATCACTGGCTGAAGCTATATGTTCTGAGGTTAAATCTTACTATTAAATGCCCAAATTGTTTCTCACTTTTGTCTTGCATCTAAAAAAAAAAAAAACCTGCTATTTGGGGGAATAGTTCTATCCAAAGGGAGTGGCATTTGTACTTTCCCATTTTCTTGGAGAATAATTTACAGTCTTTCTATAATCACCTTTTCTATGGTGACACTGGTTGAGAGGCGAATTTTCAGTCTTATGAAGTGTCCTTACCCCAAAGCTTTTTACCTTAGATGGATATATTTCAAAAAAAATTTTGTAAATATAAAAGGAAATGTAATAAAAAGGTAAACAGTCAGAAATGAGAAATAGTGGGTATTTTTTAAAGCATACGGACAGAAAAGCAATATTTTAATTTGAGACTGAAAACAAATAATTTTATGAGAGTTTTATTTTCCCTGTATGTATATGAGAGAGAGGAAAAGAGAAAGAGATCTTTGACAAATCTTTATTTCTATGTTTCAAAGTTATTCAGCTGAATAATTAAGATCTGGCTTGTCTTCCTCCTCCACTAGGACATGGTCATGTTTGAGATGAATAACCTTTAGTGGATCCTTTAATGGTCTTTAAGAAAAATTGTCATATAAGTAAGGAATTAGCATACATTAAACTAAAATATGTAAGGTCATAATCTACTTAACAGTTTTTAAGTTGTGTGGCATTTGCTTGGGATGGTGGGAACATACAGAGCAAGAGGCATCTACTCCTGGGAATTTGAGATTGTTCACTAAACTTTATTCAAGCTTTAGGCACAAATCAATATCATCAGAGTTCAATGCCTGGATCAATGCAGTATAACATCCAGTGACAGCAATAATTACTAAGCACTTGCTGCTGATGTGAAAGGAAAGCAGAATCCATTTTATTTAGCATAAGCAGTTTTTGAACATTCACATTTGGGTTTAGTTACTTTGCAAAATGAACAAAAACTGAACAGCAGCAATATTATGCAGCTTGCATTAAGCATCAACATTCTGTTGATATATATAGTCTAATTTGTGAATTTCATTTATTTCTCTGTAATACTGTATTCAAATTGCATTACCTTCCCAGGACTGTTAACATACTCTTGATGGGTTGATTTTTTTTAAATTGCTATCACTTCCAAATAGACTTTCTTAGTGTTTTGTAGTCATTTCAATGAATCTTTGGTCTTGATAACAATCTGTTTTAGATGAAATTACATTATGTCCTATGTTTACTCAAATCTTAAGAAGGACTTTATCACAAAACTGGAAATTAGAGGGAAATAATCTCTCTCTTGAAAAACAGATTAGAATTATGCCAGTGATAGGTACCCAGAGACATTTAGTTCCTTTTATTCTCTTAGCTTTGCCCATTGAGTCTTGAATTTTTTTTTGATTCAAACATATTCTTATATAAAACATACTCCCATAGGCAACATCTTGGAGAAAAAACAGTACATATCAGCCTGGTATGTCAGAGAGAGTTTCTTTCCCCACTTTTACCTTGAAGGAGAATATCTAAATCTCCAAGGGCACTGGTGTAAAAATGAAATCCCAGATAGTCTGATATAAATGTTTCCTAAATTGTCTTTGAAAACTTTAATCATTAAATGATTAGTTTTGCTATTTTTTTATTAAAGCTTTGGATATTATCAGAGGAATAACTGTAAATATAAAGATTAGTCCATTCTAATCTTCAACCACACTCGAGCTCATAACATTCATCAACCACAACTTTGGGCTTAGTCAGCTCTATTTTTTCATTTATTTGAAGAGGTTATATCAGCAGGACTTATTAGATAGGGCTGATGCCCTGGTTTGTAGTTTAGGTGACTGAATAGAACCTGAAAAACAGAGAAATAGAGAAGCATGTTTAAAGTAAATGATGATACATTACTTTGAACTTTGTTGAGTTTGAAGTTTCTACAGGATATTCAGGAGGAAATATCTAGCAGGCAGGCAGTTCTACGTGTCCAATCCTGTTGATTTAGTTCAAGAACTGTCTTCTCTGGAAAACTTTCTTTTTTTTTTTTTTTTTTCCTGAGACGGAGTCTCGCTCTGTCTCGCCCCGGCTAGAGTGCAGTGGCGCATTCTCGGCTCACTGCAAGCTCCGCCTCCTGGGTTCACGCCATTCTCCTGCCTCAGCCTCTCCGAGTAGCTGCGTCTGCAGGCGCCCGCCACCACGCCCGGCTAATTTTTTTTTTTTTTTTTTTTTTTTTTTGGATTTTTAGTAGAGAAGGGGTTTCACCGTGGTCTCAATCTCCTGACCTCGTGATCTGCCCGCCTCGGCCTCCCAAAGTGCTGGGATTACAAGCGTGACCCACCGCGCCCCGCCTGGAAAACTTTCAGTGATCACCCAAGGTGAGTTGGTTACTCCTTTATTGTGCTCTCACAACAGTTTGTTTCTCTATTACTGCTCTTATCATCCTGTATTATCTTTTCTGCTTATGGTTCTGCCTCCACCACTAGCTGTAAGGTTCTTGAAGGCAGATACTGTGTCCTGTTTATTTTTGAAACATATAAAATCAAATATAATGCTTAACATACGGAAGGTACCAAATACATTTGGCAAGTGAATAAATAGATAAACATTTCTCTAAAGCTTTGAAGGTTTGTTTTTAAATTCTGTAGATGCAAAAAGGCCATTGCCATGACTACTCCAGGTCAGTTAAGAGATTCAAAGCACCTGATGTAGATAAGAATTATCATAAATCTCTGTACTCCTAGACTTTTTTTTTTCACCTAAAACACATTAATCTCAAGTGACAAAGCCACTTTCACATTAGCATTCATTTGCATATAGCACTACTTGTGTTATCAAGGCCGCTTGCAACTAGCAAAAGTCATTTATGCCGTTTGCAGCTTATGTTCACAGGGAATTTTGAATCTTTGTAATCCATTTGGCTGTAGAAGGTTTTTATGTTTAGAAAACTAAATTATGAGAATAGCAAGAGCAGGAATAATATGGTTTGAAGTTAACAGGAAGCAATGGATAAAAAGAAAGGTGACCGTAGCCTTTTGGAAGATGAGAGAAAGTTGAAGGCAGAAGAGATCAGGGAGCTCAACCTGGGAGTTTTTAAAAGTTATTCTATAAAAGGATTGTGGAGAAGATAGACTCATATTAAATCTAGGGCTGATTTATGACTGGGGTGTGAATGGTTCTGTCAATCAGTGTTCCATCTGAAAACGGAAAGTACACTCAAGGTGATTTTAATCAGGATTTATTTACAACAGGTTGAGTGTGAATATAGCATTACCACAAGGGAAAATGCAGGAACTTGGAGACAGGTGGAACATTCCTAGGCTTGAAGAAATGAGCGAGAGGAGTCAGTTGCCTGAACCTGGAAGGATAGAGAGCTTCAGTCAAGGGGCATGCCCAGCCCAAGACAACATTGCAGACGGATATCAAAAGTAATAAATACCCCACCCTTACTCTTCTTCCTTGTCCTCTGCCCCAGTCTGCTAATCATGTTCCCCATTGACGGTCTTCAACTCGAAGCCAGAAGTCACAGGAACCCAGGTGATATGGTCCTTATAGGTCAGTTTTCCTGGCTGAGGACAGATGGAAAGGGTGCAGAGCAGATCTAGAAGGACAACAGGAAAACAATCATTTATCACAGTGGACGGAAGCAAATGATAATCTCTACCATTTCCAATACATTGCCAACTTCATAAATATTTGTATTTGCTTTCTATTATAACACTTGTCTGTAAAATATACCTTTATTGGCAGAAATTCAGCCCTCCAAGTTGTGAAAAGAAATTCGGTTCACCAAATCATGAACAAGTCATTTCATTAAGTCTTAGTCACAAATATCCCAACTTTCCAGATCTGGGAGTTGAGTAGTTCTCATTGCATTACCCCTGATGCCAAAGGATTGCTCAGGATCTTTTATGGTATATGCTAAACTGCAGCGGCAGGATGTTCCAACACTCTGGCTGAACCTATACTGAGTAAGCCTGGATTTAAAGTTCTGTGAGAGGCGTACATGCAGGTGATTCATAGCCACTGTCTTCTAGCAGTCACAACTGTGCAGAATTGGCAGTTCTTCCGCAATTCTGGGGGATTCTTAGGATTGTTCTAGTGTAGCAGTTGGCTCTGATAAAGACATTATCAAGGAAATGTGTAAGCCATTCCCTTGTGAACACACATTAGGTTGGTTGACATGGGAAAGATTTACTAATTTGCTGATTGCTCTTGGACATTAGCCAGTTGCCAGATAGAACTCAACTGCTAAGTTCTTGTTTCAATTTTTACCTGAAGGACTTTCAAAAGTCTCTGCTTGTTTGATCCTACCTACACAATCCCATTATTCCAAACATAACTACCTGTAAATTTGGGATATCGTATCTCATAGGATTGTTCTGAAGAGTAAACACATTAATGCATGTGGCACACTTAACAGAGTGCCTAAGAGGTAGCTATTTTTTATTTTATTAATTTAATATTACTATTATTATTAGCTAAGTGCTAGTCTCATTTTAGATCTCTCACCAATATCTCTTTATTTCAGACATTCTGCCTTGACTTATGTAAGAAACCCCTGATTTATCCATCTTAGTCCTGCATATACCAGTATTTAACTCACAAATTCAAGGCAGGCAGTCCATGAACTGGTCCATGATTACTTGTGGCCAGGAGCCAGGATCATTATAGACCTGAATCTACTTGTCTGGTATCCAAAAGCTCAGTACTGACTATTCCAGAGTTAGAGCCCAAGTAGGTAAGAGACATTACATCCCAGAAAATATGGCTAAGCCTTAAATGCAGGGTGTTTAGGTACTTCCTGAGTGACTGTTCCATCCAAGATGTACCTGGTTTCAGTTCATAGGTACATGGGGAAATGGATTGGCGAGATAGAAAGTGCAGAATCTTTCAGCCACTATTGTGCTGGAGCTGGAAGTAAGATTGCAGTAATTTGGTTTTCCAGAGAAATGTGAGATGCTGGCACTTGCTAGTGAGGGACATGCATGAGACAAAATTAAGGATTAGAGACAGGTTTTGAGGATTAGGGAGCCAGTGTCCTCATAGACCATTTGCCTTAAGTCTTCTGCTGTCATGCTGGATACTACTGATGGAATTTTTTTTTCGGAGGGATGAGGTTGGGGCACTACTGCACTCAAGAACATAGTCTCGTAATTCTTACTGATGGCCTGAACACAAAGAGCTACTATACTTTGTGGCCACCCTCTCCTATATGCTAACCAGTGGAGCTGGACCCATGTCTTTGGCCCACTGATGGCATAAGGGGAACTTAAGCAATATTTTGGTTTTAGGTGTTTTTTGTTTGTTTGTTTGTTTGTTTGGTAATTGTTGTCTACTGCTTCCAACACTCAGATGTTCCCTGGGAAGAGCTTCTCAGCATGAAAACTAATTGTTGCCTCTCCACAAACATGAACAAACTCCTGTCTATCTTAGTAGGGTTACTAGATTCTTGCCTGCAGCCTGAGTTCTTGAAAAGAACAACATGGAGATGAAAAGGTATAGTTTCTATTTAGCAGTTATCTTCTCACCTCTTAAAATGTATCTTTACTTAGATCTAAAGGCAGCCAAAATAGTGACAATTATTTTAAAATGTGACTAATTTTGTTCTAGATGTATGTATGCATGGATGAACATACATGCTGGTTCTTCTTGAGTTAACAATGAAAAATTATCTTTGCCTTGAATTATTCTAATGCAATGAAAGGTGAAACTTTTACTGTTTGATGATGTAAATAGTCTTTTCAAATCACTCCCAGAGAAAAAGTTTATTAGCTCTTCCTTGAGGCCTTTAAAGATTGCTAGTTTTCTTTGTTGATATCTCTCAGGGCATTAGCTTCTAATATGATGGTATTTTCTCTACCCTAGATATAAAAAACTTTGAAGCATGATACATTCATGTTTTCACTCAAACATATATAAGATTTATCTTTATTTCTTTGTTTCCATTTTTCCAAATAGATGGAAAGTCTACAGTTGTGAGAATAGGAAATGTGTGATTCTATTGAAGCACTCCTCACATTCCGCGTACTTTTTCTGTTTGGTTTTAGAAATAACTCATAATTTTATCTTAGCCAATAACATCCATATTAACTTCTGTATATTGTGGTTAGCTTAAAAGGATAATATTTTTTAAAAAAGGATAATATTTAAGCTTATATTATTGAGTAATCAAGATGGTTTGGTACCATATTAGGAAAAATGGAGATAAATTTTTCAAACAGCTTCATGATATCCTGGGCAGCCAAGTTGCCATCATTTGCTACGGCTGCCAAAGAGCTTTGTGGTCTTTTGTTTTTTGGCCTCTTGGTTTTAAAATATAAGAACTGAGTTTCAGAAAGGTGAAATGATTTTTTTTTTTTTAATGGTCACGGAGCTCGATAGTGCTTCTGGGAAGGGTGATTCACAGTCTCTCAAGTTTTAGTTCACTGTTTCCTCTGTATGACCACACCATTATCAGAAACTAAGGAGTTCTAGAACTTCAGTGGTGTTTACTAGGGAGGAAAAACCTTAAGGTTTAAGGTCTTTGAAATCAAAAATCAATGAATGAAAATTTTCAGAATTTTGGAGGTTTGATTAAATTATCTGGTGATGATTGAAAATATAGGTCTATTATTATAATTGAGGACTTAAGGGAAAGAAAGCAATTGCAATTAATCTGAATAGAATTAATTACTTTTTCTTGTAAGAAAGTGGTGTCTCTGTGGCTAAGTTGTAACTTCTTAGAAAATCCGGGCGCAGTGGCTCATGCCTGTAATCCCAGCACTTTGGGAGGTCGAGGTGGGCGGATCACTTGAGGTCAGGAGTTCGAGACCAGCCTGGCCAATACGGTGAAACCTCCTCTCTACTAAAAATATAAAAATTAGCCAGGTGTGGTGGTACATGCCTGTAATCCCAGCTACTCAGGAGGCTGAGGCAGGAGAATTGCTTGAACCCAGGAGGCGGAGGTTGCAGTGAGCCGAGATCGTGCCACTGCACTCCAGCCTGGGTGAAAGAGCAAGACTCTGTCTCAAAAGAAAAAAAGGAAGGAAGGGAGGGAGGGAGGGAGGGAGGAAATAACTATTTTATACTACTTGGCATCTTGCTAAGCACCCAGAAAAGTTCTATACACATTGTAGGGTGTGTACGAATATGTGATTGATGAATCAGGAAGAACTGAAAAGTAAAGAACTAATGTCAGTGTGCTTTGCCCAGTAAACAATTCACAGACTCCTATAACGGCTTTGGGAGGGTCTTGTCAATCTGAAGTCAAATAGCATTACTGTATTCTGAGGTGTATAGGTGTGTGTGTATGTGTGTGTATGTGTGTGTGTATTAAACTAACATTTATTGAGAGTTTACAAGATTTACCCTCTGTTAGGTATTAGAATTGGGTTATTTTATTTAATCTTTATTACTCTCCTAAGAAATACATTCTAAAACAAACCGCTCCCCCCCTCCACCAAAAAAAATGCGCATGGCTATCTCCTGCTGTAGGAAAGAGACACAGATGCCCATTATGCCAACATGGTGAGAGTCTGGCCTTACCAGAAAATCCAGAAGAAGTTTTCCCTGAATAAATTTGAAACAAATTGTCCAGTTTATAATGATCTAAAATGTTACAAATGACAGGAAATCTTTTAAACTTTTCTTAAATATAAAACCAATAAAGACATACATTTTTACAAATGACAATACATACATTTTTACAAAAATTGACAAAATTATACATATTTGTCATGTACAACATGATGTTTTAGAATATATATACACATTGTAGAATGGCTAAACTGGGCTAATATGCGTACTACCTCACATAATTTTCAATTTTGTGGTGAGAATATAAAATCTACTCTCTTAGAATTTTTACAAATACAATACATTATTAACTGTAGTCACCATGCTGTACAATAGATTTATTGAATTTATTTCTCCTGTTTAACTGCAATTTTGCATCTCTTGACCTACATCTTCCCAACACCCTTTTTCACCACTGTCTCAGCCTCTGCTAACTACTGTTCTACTCTAGACTTCCACAAGTTCAACTTTTTAGTTAACAAGATTAGAAAATGAGTTCACACATATACGAGTTGATGCAAATTCGGGAGTGATGGTAACTAAAAGAAACATGAGATATGGTTTCTTAAGATCCTGAAAAAAGTCAAGCACACTGAGAAGAAATTTATGGCCCTTGACTGGTACCTGTAAAACTCTTATTTTGAGCACCTCAGCAACTATAACAATAATAAAAGCAACCTAGACATCAAGGTCAGCTAGTTGGTCTTTAAAAATATGAGTACCATACATAGCAAAGAAATTCAATTACAATAAAAATATTTATACCCAAACACATTCCACAGAAAATGTTTATTTAGTAAATGTGTTTTTCATTAAATGACCTCTCATATTACTGCCTGGAACAAAATATGTGCAATTTTCTCTTAATGACATCAAAATGGGACCTAACCATCTGCCTCATAGTATTTTCTATCAGTCATTTTTTATAATGAATGAAAAGTAATTTAAATGTCCTATATGATAATATTTATGATGTGGAAAGTAGTAGAATCTTTACATTCCGTGAATTTTTAATAGAATGGCTTCATGTCCACACATGAATATCCTTGTTCACACGTCTCCAGCCTAACGGGGATGAGAGGATACTCTTGATGGCTTTTTCCTGCACTCCAGTCTGCACTTTGTTTGGTTAAGCACTATCAAAAATGCTCTTATTGAGAAAGTTGAGAAACAGTTCTTTCTTTCACAAAAGAATCACAACATTCTTTTTATTTTACCTGAAACTCATTCATCGCCATATGGACTAGAGCCCTGGGGACTTAATGAGCCTAGTGCAAAACAAACTTTGTGCAAACAGTGTTACACAGCAAGCTGGCATTTGCTCTAAGAGCATGGAATAAGAACCATGAGTCAGAAAGCACATTGCTTTTTCAGTTATTTCAAAAGAACAAGTACCTAAAAGAAGAAACTATCCCCCTAGGATAAAATGTTAAGTAACCAGCACCACACTGGTCATAGCACCACACAGTAGGTCTTCAGCAAGTATATGTTGCATTGAATTTGTTGCCTTAACTAAGATAAATGTTGGTGAAATGTGAAGGCTAATTAAACAAGTTCGCTTTTGAAATATGACCTCTTAGCCTTTACACAAGTTCATAATTAACTTAGCAGAATCCAAAATTACTATTTTAAAAATAACAAAATTATATTCATTTATTTATATAAATAGTTTTTCAAACAGGAGTGTGTCCATCAGCAGCAATATTAATCTGGATTTTATTAACCCAATGCCATGATTTCATTTTAACTCTCACCTCCACAACCAGTAATTAAGTACTTGGTGCTTTTCTCTATCTCTCTAGGCACTGGGATTTCCCTCAATACTTAATGGCCCTGTGAACTCTCTAATGACTCATTGCCAATGGGGTCCATACAGTAACTTTAATTGCCTCCACATCTCCTTCTGTCTATAAAAATGGAATTCATAAACGCAGGTGTGGAAACATAATTACGCACATAATGTTTTCCATCTCTTCCTAACAACTGCTTTACTTCATTCACATTTCAGCTTGTAAAGCTTTACTCTCAATGGAGCAACCCACAGGAGAACCTCACAAATGCTAAAAACACATACACACTATAAATTAATCTTTGCCACTTGAGAGCACTGAAGAAAAGGAAAAGAACTTGCATAGTCCAATGTAATGTATTAGACATCTAGTGACATGGCTTTATGTTTAAATTCATCTCAAAGTATACATACAGATACCAATTACCAACAGCAACAATGGAAAATTGATTCTTTCTGATTCATGTAGTCAAATAGTAAGTAGAGTTTACTCTGTTGTTTGGGAAAATGGCCATAGTGTATTAAATAAATAGGACTGTATAACCAACCCATATGAGAAATGATACATTGTGAATTTTTATCCATCCTGTTATTTAGGATGTGAAAAACATTCACATAAAATACCATATTTATACAATATAGATCAATTTATAAAGCACTCTCATGTACTTTATTTTCCTTAGTACTTACTACAACCCTGTAAAGTAAGTATTATCGTAATCCCATGCCTGAAATTTGAGATGACAGGTCTAGTATCATTCCCTTGTTGAGTCACGAGGTCACAAATTATTTATTCATTCACTTATTTATACAATTAATACTTCTTGGGCATTAGAATTCATATCTTCTGATACTAATGTTTTAATGCTTCTATACTGCGTAGTCTCTCAACACTATGCTCTAAGATAACTCTTGGGTCACAGTTTTTTCTTGATATTCTGATGGCAAAAGAGGATTGGTGATTCTATACCCACTTCTTAATATAGTTTTGAATATCTAATGAGGTTACAGAGTATGACTATAACAAACAGCTCATGGTGGTTCACCAAATTCTATTACGCTTATCAAATTTGAGTGAGAAAGCATGGCAGTAGAGGGAAATGTGGTAAAGAGTGCAATTGGATCTGTGCAAATTTGCTTATATTTTTATAAAGCTGAGGTTTTCATTCCAACACTGCCACTTTCTTTGACCAACATGTGGCACAAAACCTCATAATCAGGGAACACCAACAGTTATTTGTCTATGTCCCACCTCTGTGGACGCTAAACCAAAAAAACTAAAGGCAGCCCTAGACACGTGCACTATTTTCTTGTCTCTCAGTGTCGTAACTGCCATGATACCACGTGTGAGGCACCCCACAAGGCTGCCTGGGCATGTCTGAAAAAAAACATTTTCAGTACTATTTCTAAACTAGGGATAAATAAATGGCTTCAATCTTTAGAACTGTCAATCCAGCATATATACACACTCAAATTAACCAAGCAACCAAGAAGATATTTAAAAATAGTCTTGAAGAGTTCAGTGTTTATTCTCTGAGCAGGTTTTTCAAATTAGAAATTAACATTTAAGAGAAAACAAACAGAGGGTTGTGGCAAACCAGGGCTAAAAAAACCCACATTAGCACATGGTCATGTGGATTCTTTTTTCAGGAAAAGCATTCCAGATTCCACAGATTTTCAGTGGAAAAACAAAAACAGAATTCCCATCCATTTCCAAGTATGGCAAAGTGTGCACAAAACTTGTGTGTCTCTGCCCTGTTCCCTCAAAGCATAAATTGTTACCCTAATAAAGTACTCCCAGTGAACAGAGAGGACATTGCGGAAGGACCCAGAAATGTTTGATTCCAGCCTCACTACCACCAGTACCAACTCTAACAGCTGGATCCTCAGTTTCCTCAAGTGTAAAATGGGATAATAAATAGTTCCTTCTCTGCCACCTTCAATGGCTTTTGGTGAAGATTAAATTAGATAATACATGAGAGCCTCTAAGATGTAAAAAATGTTAGGAAAATTTATTATCTTAATCTTATTTTTATTCAATTGCTTTTTCTCATCTATTCTCTAGTATTTTGTATGAACAATACCCAATGTTGTGCTGGTAAACCTGCCCTCAGGGGAAAACACCCTGGTTCATGTTGTTTGCTGATATTTGTGATGTAAATATTCTCACCATGGCCAATTTTTAAGGCACCAATTCACAAAATTTCTGACTATTTCATGATTGGCTCTCAGGAGCTGGTAGTGAACTGGCACCAGTGTAGCACTGGAACATCAAAGAATCTTCAGACTAGAGGAAGTTTTGAGAAAAATCATTTTGTTTGGTCTTAACTTTTGCTTACTTTTTCTTTTTTTACAGTGGTTTTAGATTCTTGCTGTATCCCTGAAGCCTCTTTTTCTATCTCCCTTATATACTAAATCAATTATGACTGCCTCCGGCTGTTGTAAAAATTGAAAACTGGCTGAGTATTTATTTGTTTTGTGACAAATACTCAAATAATATATGAATATCAAATACTGTGACAGTTATTCTAACGATACAAAAAAATCTTGTTTCATAAACCACACTAGAGATTAAATAAAACAACTTTTTAAAATGTGGGCAAAATATTAATATACATTAGAAAAGAAAGAAAATTCGTGCACTATATAACTTCCTTCTCCAATAGGGTGGAGGTAGTGGGATGAAAATATAGTGGGATTTTTCATCAGAAGTTCTGTGTTTAAATCTTACTGTGGCCGCTGCTCAGTATTTCATCATGGGCAAGTCTCCTCATTGATCTGAGATTTGTTTTTATCTTCTGTTTAGTGTAGACAACAGCATTAACCCATTCACTCTCCACATGAATTTGTTTTGGGGCCCAGAAGTATGTGGCAGGCTTTTGTAAAACTGAAGTACTAAACAAAAGTTAGTTACCACCACAAAGCAGTTGCTACTTACTACAACAAGAGAAATAAGCAAAGCTGTATTTTTAGGTGGGATGAAGAACATGGAGTAGTGGGGATTGATCTGATCTAGGTTGTAAGTCAGAGTAAGCCTTCCTGCTGTATTCACATCTAAGCCTTCTTGCTCTAGTCAAAACTAATCTGAGGGAGAAATTGAGACTTAGCTAGAGGATGAGATAGTTAGGGCGTGTGGGCAGTGGGAGTGGTATGTACAAGGACTTTATAAAGAAAAGACAGAGGGTGACTACAGAGGACTGAAAGATCATACACAAAGATCTTTGGCCTTGGCCTTGCTGCCGTTATAATTAAATGTACACATATGCAGTCAGAAGGAAAAATAAAAGCAATCTTGCATCCTAAGATAACCACACTAGATACAAAAACACCTTGTTTAACAAGTCCCCAAGATGAATAAAGCCTTGGACCTCTTCTTGAAAATTAAACAACTTTATCCCTGACTTATATAAGCTTAATATCTGTAGATATATAATGATTCTTGAAGATATAATTATCAAGTGAGGATATTCTTTTTTTTTTAGCCATGAATATAATAAATAGACTATTTTAAAATAAAGAATAGTGAGTAGCACATGTAGAAATTATAAGTGAGTTTTTGAAAATAGTCTTCCTTCCATCATGCTGGTTAAATATCTCTTAATATGTTTTTGTGGTAGGTAAAAAGGACTTCAGGTACTTTTGGAACTTGACAATCTATATATAAACAGTTATTATTTGAAAAAGTTATATGGGACTAATGGAAAAAAAATCACACTCTAAAAAGTCTGGAGGAGTTTCTGAGACTCCTAAATATGACAGAGAATCTTACAGTGAACATCTCTCTTGCTATAAAGGAAGACTTGGGATATTGAGAAGCAGATGGTTACTCCCAGTGATCTTGGGAACATTTGGATACCAAATGTTTGAGTAATACTGAGGTTCCCCAGAAAGGCATGAAGGAAAAAAAAAACACATTTCTCATCCCCTGTTTGCAATGAGGAACCATTCTACCTCGTTAGTTGTAACTCTAAGCAGACTTCTGTGATCTAAACTAAATACCTGAATTTTTCACTGCTTCCTCATACAGCCATTTCCACACTACTGACCCTGGAGTAGATGATGTTGCAGGCAAATGAAATTGTATATTATTAGGTGAGCTTTAGTTGCAAATCTCTATCTGATTCTTTTTCCTAGTTAGCTGCCTGGATTAATCTCTGCCACTTATTCTACAAATTACTAAATCTTACTAAACATAATTTTACTCTTCTATAAAATGGGAACATTGTCTCTCTCTTTACAAGAATGCCAGATGTCAAAAAGAGAACCTGTTTCCTTTAAGACCTAGAGATGAGCCTGCCCTAAGTCCCTCCTCCACATATTTTCGTCTCTAGACCTGAGTGCCAATCCATTCAAGCTTTGAGTGTTTCCAGATAAGAAGGAGGTACCTCCAGGACCTGTTCTACCGCATTAGCTACCCCAGAGATGGAGGAAAAAGAAAGTTACACAAGGGGAAGAATCAAGAACAAAGGATGATTTCTCCCCTAAGACCTACACAGAAGTGTTCTACTTGACTTCCCAAGGATGACAGTATGCTCTTCCAGCTGGTGTCTCCATTCCAACCATTTAAATGGAAGAAAAGATGGACAAAAAAAAAAAAAAAAAAAAACAAAGGAACATGAAAACAGATTTTGCTCTCTAGTTCTACATATAATCCTTTAATCCTCCCACTAAAGGCTCTGCTCCCCACATTAGTGCCCCATTGCAACATATCAAGGATTACATTTAGTCTTGGGTCATTACAACCTCTCCTGAGATGGGGAGTGGAGGAAGATGAGAGAAGAGGAGAGAGTCTTATGTTTCCCCAAGACTGAGTGAACAACAATCATGACTCATTCTCAGCTTGTTTTAAATAAACATAAAAAGAAATACAAATTGACCAAAATCTTTTTCTCCTAAACAGACAATATGAAACAAATACCTGTAGTATTTTCATGTTAACTAAAATAATGATACTTGTTTTAATTTGCAATTAATGCTAGAAGTTGCCTGAGAAACCAAAAGTAAAGGTATGCTTTTAAGTTTATTGAATACTTATCAATATGATCTGACACATTCAGAAACAGGCAAATGAAGGTTATTAGATATTTCATCATTCAAATAAAAATAGATATGTAACAGGGGATGATACCCATATGTTAATATTACACAGTTTATTAAGACTGTCATGAGAGAGAACTATTCAAGACAAAATAAAAAAAGAAAAAGAAAGAGGAAAAAGAGAACCAGCATTAGAATGAAAGACATATATTTTTATATTACATAAATGCATCCTATAGTCATGTATATAAGATATAGGTGAGTATTTCACTCCAATATATATGTATATTTGACCAGAAATTTAATAATATCTTATAAATTACAGTGATATTGGGTGGGTAATAATAAGGCATCATAACTAACTACATAACCTCACAGAAGGATTGAAGTTTTTAAACTATTCACAAGTGTGCCAAATAAATAAATAAATAAATAAAAGTAGCTTGCTCAGGAAGCCCCATTCCCTATATAAGGGAATGAGACAGAATATACACTTGAGAGCCTCTTTCAGGTTAACTTACTCTCATTGGGTTAATATTCCGTCAATCCAACTTTCAACTTGACTCTCTAAAAAGTTTCTCTTTTCTCTTCCTTCTCTAGAGGATGCTCAGGGACTATGGACAATTTCATATGCTAATGACTTTTGGAGAGGGCCCCTGGCTCACGTCTTCTCCTTTGGCTAAGCACGATCTCTCACATGGTGTGTTGTGGTTGGCTGTATCTGCCTCTGAGCATCCGGCTGTGGTGTTCACTGTAAGGCTGGTGTTCACTGGGTAAGGCTGCATCCCTGCCACAGTTTCCACTGGAAAGATCTCTGCTGTCTGTGGCCATTGATCTCAACTCCAGGCCTCTTTAGTTCTGCTAGTTCTCTTAGCATCTCCATATATCATAGCTATTACCACCATAAACAAAGAAAGTTGTTAGCAAAACAGCCAAGAGGCTAAATGTGGGTTTTAAGAGAAGAAGATAGATGCATATCTGGGCTCTCCCAATTTCAAGCTGTGTGAACTTGAGCTAGGATTGCCTCTTCTCTAAGAAGGGTTAGTTCATTTATTCAACATACACTTAGTTAGTGCCTACTATATGCTAGGCACCTTGTTGAGAGTTGGGAACACCGAGGTGAAAAAGAGATACAGTACCTACCAACACAGGGCTTAGAGTGTGATGAGGAAAGCCAGTGATATCTCTCCTGGAAAAATCTTAGAAACTTGGGATGGTAAGAGAACTGTTCTTATGGTCAAAAGATTGCCTCTCCAATACTCAACAGGAGAGACCTATGATCAATAAATGGAATCACAGTGCCTCAGTCCATCCATAACAAAAACACCATAAACTGGATGGTTTATAAACAACAGAAATTTATTTCTCACAGTTCTGGGGGCTGCACCAGTAGACTCCATGTCTTCTGAGGGCCAGCTTTGTGGTTCATAGATGGTCATTTTCTCACTGTAACATCACATGGCAGATGGGGAGAGCTCTGGTCTCTTCAGCCCCCTTATAGGACTCTAACTTCATTCATGAGTACTCCACTTTTGAATCACCTCCCAAGGCCCCACCTCCCAATACCATCATATTGGGGATTACTTTTCTACATATGAAGTTTGGGAAAACATAAACATTCAGTCTATAGCACACAGTAAGGTTGTTTTGAACTTAGTGACAGGAAGCTCTTTGACAATAAGTATAGTTGACCATTGAACAACACAGGTTTGAACTATGTGGATCCACTTGTTTGTGAGTTTTCCTCACCTCAGTTACCCCTAAGACAGCAAGATCAACCCCTCATCTTTCTCCTCCTCCTCAGTCTCCTCAACATGCAGATGACAAGGATGAAGACCTTTATGATGACCTACTTCCACTTAGTGAATAATATATTTTCGCTCATGGTTTTCTTAATAACATTTTCTTTTCTAGCTTGCTTTATTGTAAGAATACAGTATATATTACGTATAACCTACAAAATATATGGTAGTCGATTGTTTATATTATCAATAAGAATTCTGGCCAACAGTAGGCTATTAATAGTTAAGTTAAATTTGGGGGAGTCAAAACTTATACTTGGATATTCGTTTTTCTTTCTTTCCGTCTTTTTTTTTTTTTTTTTAGGCAGGGTCTTGCTCTGTCACTCAGGCTGGAGTGGTGCAAGGGTGTGAACAACATGGCTCACTGCAGTCTCAATCTCCCAGGCTCAACCACTTCTGCTACCTCAGCATCCTGAGTAGCTGTGACTACAGGTGCGCACTACCATGCCTGGTTAATTTGTTTATTTTGTAATTTTTGTAGAGAAGGATTGCTTGAGGCAGCATCACAATCATAGCTCACTGCAGCCCCAAACTCCTGGGCTCAAGTAATTCCCTTGCCTCAGTCTCCCCAGTAGGTGGGACCATAGGTGAGCTCCACTATACCTTTTTTTTTTTCCTTTTTGTAGAGACACAGTCTTGCCCAGGCTGACCTTGAACTTCTGGATTCAAATGATCCTCTTGCCTTGGCCTCCCAAAGTGCCAGGATCATAGGCATCAGCCACCATGCCCAGCCTATACTTAGATTTTTTAACTGTGCCTGGGGTTGGTGCCCCTAGTCCCTGAGTTCTTCAAGGATCAAATGTAGTTTCTAACTGCTGAACAGTGGGCCTCTTGAAATAGTAAGGTCACTGCTGGAAGTCTTCAGTAAGAGGTGGCATGACTGTCAGGAGGCTACAGGTCTAATTCCTGCAGGGGATGGGAAGCTGGGGTAGTTGGTTTGCTTCAAGCCTTGTTCTTGTTATGATGGTGAGATGCCTCAGCAGGGTGGTGGCATAATCAACAGGTGAGAACTTAATTATTAATGTCACAGTTGACCTGCTAGTTTCCAAGTACATCTATACGTGCACATTGAGCTGATTCCTAATGAGTGTGTATGTTTCTCCCTGTCTTCTCTGTTGTCAAGTAAGAGTTAATGTAAATTTTTCCTCCTGCCATTGCCAATTTACTGTGCAGAGCTGAGGCTTGGGATGAAGAGGATGTTAGGAGGAAAAAAAAAAAAAAAAAAAAAAGCAGCTGCCTTTGTGCTCCTAGGCAGACAAAAAGCAGGCCAGACCAGTCAGAGGCAGGGGAAGAGGTGAACCTGGGGACAAGAAACAGATGGAATGTGAGGAGGGCACAGAGAAACAGATTTGTGAGAAATGCAAACGGGGTGAAGTATATGCAAAGTTGGAAGAAGTAAGGAGATGGTAGGGGAAGAAAATAAAAATAATGATGGAAACCAAGAAAGGAATTAGATAAAATCAGAGGGAGATAATGAAAAGCAAAAAGAGGGAATGCAAAGCAAAGGAGGAACAAGCACAATTTACTAAGCAATATTTTGGTTTTTATCAAGGGCCTTGTTCCCTGAGTAGGGAACAGAGCAAGAAGAGAACGTTTGTTACTGCAGGAGCCCTCCCTCCAAATGTCACAGTGCAGGTTATTGCAGATGAGCGTCTCTGGCAGGCCTGTCCCTGGTTCACCATAGGGCCACGTCTCTCTGTCTCTCTCAGCTTTCTCAGGGAGAGGTGGACTGAGAACTTCCTTCAAGTCAAGCAAAATCTTTTTAGTACAAGCATAACTTTTTAATGAGTAATTTAATGAGTAAATATTCCTTAATCTCTGATTATTGTTCCAGGCCAGATAGCACACAAGTTTCTTTTTCTTTTTCTTTTTCTTTTTTTTGAGACAGTCTTTCTCTGTTGCCCAGGCTGGTGTGCAATGGCGTGATCTTGGCTCACTGCAACTTCCGCTTCCCAGGTTCAAGCAATTCTCCTGCCTCAGCCTCCTGAGTAGTTGGGATTACAGGCACGCGCCACCATGCCCTGATAATTTTTGTACTTTTAGTAGAGATGGGGGTGTCACCATGTTGGTCAGGCTGGTCTCGAACTCCTGACCTCGTGATCTGCCTACCTCGGCCTCCCAAAGCACTGGGATAACAGTCATGAGCCACCTCGGCCGGTCACAAGTTGCTTAATGATAGTCATTGGGTTACACATATGTTCTGTTCAACTGAATGCAGCATAAAAAGTGTAATGTTGCCGGGCGCGGTGTCTCACGCCTGAAATCCCAACACTTTGGGAGGCCACAGTGGGCGGATCACGAGGTCAGGAGATCGAGACCATCCTGGCTAACACGGTGAAACCCCATCTCTACTAAAAATACAAAAAAAATTTAGCCGGGCGTAGTGGCGGGCGCCTGTAGTTCCAGCTACTCAGGAGGCTGAGGTAGGAGAATGGCGTGAACCCGGGAGGCGGAGCTTGCAGTGAGCCGAGATCGCGCCACTGCACTCCAGCCTGGGCAACTGAGCAAGACTCGTCTCAAAAAAAAAAAAAAAAAAAACTAATGTTTATGGTTCTGCTGATAATAACAAGAAGTATTACTTGCTTTATTTAACAGGGGTAGATCATTCATTATAAAGAAATCAAAGTAACTGATTTGCTGTATCTTGTGATTCTCACTAGCCCTTCTTTTGGTGGACCAGATGCAGACTGGTCTTCCTGGGCATCATTTCCAGACCTGGGAGATAGAAAACCAGAAAGAACAGCTGTGGCCGTAAGCAGGAAGTGAAAAATAAATCTGATGGGATATTATCCTAGCCCAACTAGTAATTTTTTTAAACCCTGAGATTTCTCTGTTGTCATTCTTGTCTTTATAATTCATTAATGGCATTTTGTTCAGCATCTTGTGTTTAGTCCCTTTGTTCTCCTGTAATCCTCATATTTCATATATGTCAGATTCTCTGACACATGGAGCTGTGATAAAAACTCATCAAAGCCCTTGTTATGCTGTATTTCTACGCACTGAGCTGTTGTCATCTGTTACTCTATAAGCAATCTCTCTCCATATCTCACTCCACCCCTCTCATTATCATTTATTTTTGACTCAATATCTACTACATTTTGTGTTTTGTTTTGTTTTTATTTTGAGGAAATAATCTTATCAGCTTATTCACAAAATCTATTAGTAAATCTTAAGGGAATGTTAGGATGCATTTAGAGTTATATTTATTTTAAAGTTATCTTCATTCACAAATATCATTGACAACCTTAATATGTGGAAATAAGATGAATAAAAGTCTGTTTATGTTTTCTGAGTTTGGGGCCTAAAAAATAAAACAACTTTATCCTAGGGGCAAAGTAACTCATTTTTTTAAGTTGCTCACAAAGTGGCTTGGCTGCTAGTTTTGGACTAAATGTGAACCTTTGGGGGTTGAAATTCATTTTCTCCTGGCAAAATGTGACTTCCTGCTTCTAAGAATAAAGGCTTGAAAAGACTTATTAAAAGGAGGCTCCAAAAAGACTTCTTAAACTTCAAACAGGTCTTACAAAAGAACATTCTGATGAGTTAAGTGCACATGAATTAGAAGCATATGTATTAAATTTCCCTTAAAATACACATGGGTTTAAAAATTAAGGGGGGAGAAAAGACTCTTGGCAAAAATCTATTTTAGGTTTGGCTAAATCCAAACCATTTGAAAAGTAATTCTAAGGAATGGGACAAAAGACAAATTAAAATTCTTAAACACTTTTGGGCATTGAGTACATTTTAATTTTTAAAAATGATTTAAGCTTACTTGAATAAGAAATACTGGATTTGTTTAAATTTCCCCTAAAGTAAAGGGAAAACTGCCTGGAAACAGGATCCATTTTTTGAAGACTCCAAAACCTTGGGAAAAAACTTGAAGATCTTGATTTTAAATCAAAGCCAGGCCTGCCTGGAGGAAAAATGGGACTTAATTCAAGGGAATTGTGACTTTTGTCTTGTTTTCCTGCTCATGTCCTTTCAGGAAGAGCTAAAAAGTCTTCCAGACTCTTGTTTCTTCATCTCTCACATAAATGATATCATTTGTTCTTTCTCTTCCGAAGACACACACACACACACACACACACACACACACACACACACACACACACACACACAGATACTGAAAATTCACTGGATAATGCTGTCAGCAGTGTGCGTAAAGAAAAAAAAAAACAGTCTTGAATGTACTGTGCTTAAGCCAGGCATAGTATCACAGTCCTCATTTAAATAGAATGACAACACAGCATGGATGGTTTTAAAGTGATTGGTTCATTTAATAGAGATGGAGGAAATTTGAACCAGAATAAAAATTTTAATAAATACTATTCCTATGTAAAGTTAGAGCCTGATATTTACAGTTTGTACCTGTATCTTGTTCTTGTAATATTCCTTTATAGTAGACACCAAGGCCTTGATATCTAAGTGAGCCATAGAACTATCTGGACATCCAGAAGCATTTCCATGTGGCTATTACAGCAAGGGCATAAAACCAAGGTAAAAAGACCTAAAAGTAGCATGGACCTGTGAAAGCCATCTTAAAGGATGCTACAGTTCAGAGTACTTGGAGCCATAAAAATGTAGCTTTTGTCTTTTTGTTTTGTTTTTTGGTCAGGTGGTAGGCAAAAAGTTGAACAATGACAAACAAGAAATAGGGATAGAGAAGGTAAATATAATGTTAAAGGTCAATTTTATTCTATAAATATGTATTAAACATGTTTGTTATAACAGATGTTGAGCCCAGTATCTGATTAAAATGACAAATGAAAAACTATCTTGAATTTTAAAGTACTTGGAATCTACAGTGAAGGCAAACTTATATTCAACTTGTATCATTGTAGTTCAATTCTGTAAAGCCTGGTGACTAAATACATGAGAGTTGACTCAACATGAATCCTAGTTACTAACACATGAGCTGGATTCAAATACTGCATCCACCATTGTTTCTACCTGCATGACCTTGAGCAATTTAAATAACCTCCTTGAGTCTCAGTTTCCATGTCTATAAAGTGGAGATGCCATTAAATTTCCTATAGATATGGTGAGTATTAGTGCAGTGTCTAGAACTTCATACCCAGAACAGTGATTTATTTCATTAATATTGTAAATATAATATTCTGGAAGAACAGAGCAGACAGAGTGGGTGTGCTCTGCAGTGGAGGGAGGTGAAGAAATAAGTTCTTTTGAACTAAGCCATTGAATCAGTTTGTTTTTACCCCTAAACAAACCACCTCAAAACATAGTGGCTTAAAATATATACATATTATAGCTTACACATCTATGGATTGGCTATGTAGTGCCTCTAGTCTGGGCTTCATTAGCTGCAAATGGAGGTTTAGAATAACCTTACTGTTATGTCTGGGGATATATGTCTATGGATAGCATAGATGAGGCAGCTGGAATGGTTGGATCCTCTCTCAAATAGTTTCTCCTCCTCCAACAAGCTAGCCTGGGGTCATGCACATGGAGAAAGGATTTCCTGCAGCAAGAAAGGGAAAGTTTTAATGCACAAACCTGTATTAAGCTTCTTTTAGTGACACATTTGTTGTTGATCCATTGGTCAAAGTAACTCACATAGCCAAGACCAGATTCAAGGAATGGAAAAATAGATTCAGCTCTTGATAGGAGGGATGGCAAGTCACACAGCAAAGAGAGGTATGAATAAATTGAGACAGACTCATTACTGCAGCAGTCTGCCAAGATCTTAAACAAGTACTTAAACTTTTGTGTTCATAAGAATCACCAGAGTTATTGATTTACCAGACTGATCTCATTTTAATATTGGCAAAACTGATAAAGTCCTGGAAGAAGTCGTTGTCATTACTTTTCTCTATGGGATAAGCATTGAAGAGTGAAAAGAATAAATGCCAAATGAAGAATTCAGCTGAATCGGGAAGCTCCTTAATGCTTTCTTTAACTGCTTAGACAGGCACATGGATATAGTGGCAATAGCTTGCCGGTGTGGATCAAGGAGCCCACTGGGTCTGGGGAGACCCAAACAATTCTAAGGCACTTGAATTCCCCTCCCCACACTCTGGGATAATTAACTCTAACGCTGCAGAATCTGTCATTGCCAAGCCTAACAACCTGTATGTAGTAATTATTAGGCATCCTATATGGACAGTCAGACTGCAGGTATGTATATGAGGCCAGCCCACTAGCACGAACAATTGCTTATCTGCTGCAACACAGTGACAGAATGGAACCGATCATCACAAGCCCAGAAACAGGTCTTCTAAAGGAGATTTTTAAATTGTTAAAAATTTCTGTACAAAATTAACACTTTTTCCAAATTATCTGAATTCAAGTGCTTTAGATTCTTCTGACCATACTTGGAGAAACTCTGCCTTAAAGGATGGGTAGGAGTTTTCTGGGTAAGAAGGAAAGGACAGACATCCCACATGGAGAGACTAGGATAGAGCATGAACAAATACAGTGACATAGTGTACAATGTGGCCCCAGGGTCGTGGAGGGAAGGAGGCAAGGTGGATAAAGAAAAAGCAAGGGTGAAAAGCAGACAGCAAGGAAGTTGAGAAAAAAAGCTAGATGGTGCAGATTGATTTCTATAATGGAAGCTAGGCAGCCAGACTATCCCTGATTTCTGATCCTTGTAGATGGAATAAAATTCAAGGCTATAACATTGACACTGCAAGTAGGACAGCTGTAAATATATGGCCTATTATAGACCAGATTTTTTGTATTAATTCAATAGCAAGTGCTAACTGTACTCTTTCTTTGGTGAGTTAGGAGTTTAGCTGCCCAATCTCTACTGGAAGTCATACATTGAAGACTTTCTACTTATTCACGTGTATAAACCCTAGGGTCTAATAAATGCTCTCAATCACTAAGAAACCATTCATGTTTTGTTGTGAGTTGGACTGGAATAGATCAATAGTGCCCTAACATGTTCATTATGTTTAATATTTTATGCATATATAAGATGATTGATCATCTAAACTGTATGGATGTGATTACTCATCTTAAGTTCTGCTCATGTCCTGCTTGTTTGCAAAAGGGCTTTGTTATTAAGAAACAGTAATGAAGTACTCTAGGTTTATTTTCAGCCATAAAGATAAGATCCATTCAATTCTCAAGAGTTTTGAAGATACTGAAGGTAGTAAACTTATCCCTACTGGTCTATTATAAATGAATTTCTATGCCTAAGATTTTCTAATATAATAATGTCAATAACATTGTAATCCTCTCTAAGTGTTCACTTGTGGGTCTCTAAAAGACATAAACTAAATAGAGAAATAACCTTGAATTAAAACTGGTTGGTTTGCCAATTTTTTTCATTCCATAGAAAGTTATTCAATATATCTCATTGGCATAAAACTGTGATATCCCTGTTTAATTTGGAAATATCTCCCATAACATTCCTCTACCTCTAACTCCTGGGGTTTATCCTTAGGACTGCAGCATTCTTGACTATGTGATTAGGCCATGTGATTATGGAAGGAATTTAAATGCCAGATTCAAAATTGAACTTATAATCTTTCCTAAATTATATTTATTCCTGACTTCCATCATTCTGCTAACTGCTTCATATTCTCTCTACTCAGTCTAGTTGCTGAAGATGATTTCATTAGCATCTTTCTCACTACCTTGTTCCTTAATACGTTTCATGCCATGTGGTTTCTATCTCTGAAAGACTTGAGCATTTACCACCTTCTTTCATTTCTATTGTCATTAGTCTACTTAAAGTTTTTATTTTCTCTCCTTTAGATTATTGCATTTAATAAATTCTATTAGTTGTGCTCATTGTGTCCTGTCTTTCCATCTAATCCATTCTGCATACCGAGTCATGCATTTATTCAGTAAACCTTTACTACATGCCAGCACTCTTCTAAACCCAGCAGATACAGCTGTGAAGAACTGATACATAAATCCCCACCTTCTTGGAGCTTACATAAAATATATGGGATGTGATAGTAATAAGTGTGAAAGAGAACAGTAAAACAAACCAGAGGGAGATGTGAGAAGTTAGGAAAGAGGGCTAAGATTTTAAATAGAGTAACAGGAGAATGTCTCATTAGGAGATAAATTTTGAGGGGGGAAACAAAACAGAAAAAAAAAGAGGTATACAGTTAGGGTAACTGTAATTGGTATAACATATAAATCCCCCAGAGTCATTGACTGAATGTTTTAAAATGGGTGGGTTTTGCTCACATAATAGTTTAATGCAGGAAAACTCATAGCCTTCCATGTGGTGATTCAGGATATAGTTTCTGCAGGGTTTTGACCCAACTGCCTGGAATTAGGCCACACTTCACAGATTAAGGGTACAGTCCTTCACATGACTGTCCTCACTTCAGACAGCCACAAGTTTTGGGGTCCCCAAGGCACCCTCATGTCTGACAAGCTGGCTATCAATTTAGGGGTTCCTTTTACCCCCTCAGGTTTCATAATTCACTAGAACAACTCACAGAACTCAGGAAAGTGTTATGTTTACAATTACAGTTTTATTATAGCAAAAAGATAAAAATCTGAACTAGTCAAAAAGAGAGATGCAAATAGCAAGGTCTATGAGGGTCCCAGCTCACCATAGTTTTTATTGGGCATGATTGATTGAACCGTTGGCAATGTTAGGCAACCTCCAGTGCCCCTCCCCTTCCCAGATGGATGTCACATGGCTCAAAGCTCCAACCCTCTAATCACATGATTGGTATTTCTGGCATGACCATTCCCAACCTGAGTCACATCATCAGCATAAACTATGTAGAAACCTACCACAAATAACTAAGACATCTGGTCACCCTGGAAATCCCAAGAGTTTAGAAGCTACTTCTAAGGAACTGAGGACAAAGGCAATCCAAATTCTTTATTAAAAGGGTGTCTTCCATAGTGTGCTTCATAGTGCGTTTCAATTCTATTGTCATTGGTCTACTTAAAGTTTTTATTTTCTCTCCTTTAGATTATTGCATTTAATAAATTCTATTAGTTGTGCTCATTGTGTCCTGTCTTTCCATCTAATCCATTCTGCATCCCGAGTCATGCATTTATTCAGTAAACCTTTACTACATGCCAGCACTCTTCTAAACCCAGCAGATACAGCTGTGAACAACTGATACATAAATCCCCACCTTCCTGGAGCTTACATAATCAACCATCATCAACCTGTGACTTTCAAGGTTGCCACAGAAGAATAAAGCGAGGGAGAATCTCTTGCCCTGGGTGGGACCAGAAGTGACACACATCACTCTGTTCATATTCTGTTAGTGGGAACTAGTCACACAGCCACACTAGATACAAAGGGGGCTGGGAAATGTAGTCTTTGGCTAATGGCGCAGTTGCACCAACAACTCTTAATAGAACAGGAGAAAGAATTTTTGGTGCAAGTTAGTTGTCTCTACTATACTTGCCATGCAACAGCCATTATTCCTTTAATTATCTTTCTCTGTGTCCCCTCTCCAAAATCAGGGATTCCTATTACACATATATCAGGTCACTTGATGTTATCCCACAGCTCATGGATGATGTATTTTTCTTTTTATGTTTTTGAAAGTTTTTTTCTGTGTGTTTAATACTGCTAATGTTTTCAAGTTCATTATTTTTTTTCCTGAAATGACTAATCATCTCTTTTTGATCCCATCTATACTTTATTTTATCTCAGATACTATAGTTTTCCATTTTAAAATTTCAATTTAAATATTTTAAAATGTCTTCCACATCTCTACTTAACATATCCAATTTTTGATCTTTTTGAACATATGCAATAGAGTTTTGATAAGACTTTTTGGGCCCTAGTCTGCTAATGCTTTTATCTATGTCTATTCTAGATCAATTTTGATTAATATAGTTTTCTTTTTATCACTGAACATATTCTTTTGCCTCTTGCACTCTGATAATCTTACTTTGGAAGCTAGATATGGTACATTTTATTTTGTTGGGTGCTTAATACTATGTATTCCTATAAGAATCTTTAAGCTTTGTTGTAGGATACAGTTAAGTTACTTAGAATCAGATGGATCTTTTCAGGTCTTTCTTTTAAAGATTTGTTTTGGAGGACTACAGCTGTGTGTCATCTAGGCCTAATTAGTTCCCCACTATTGAAGAAACATCGTTCTGAGTATTCTATTAAATGGACCATACATTTTTTCATTCTGGCTGTTGGCAACAGGCACTATTCCCAGCCTTGTGCAATCTCTAGGTATTCCTCCTTCTAATTCTTCCAGGAGGTCCTTCCCTCTCCCTGGGTAGTTTGCTAACATGCATGCGCTGATCAGTATTCTATTGAATACACAAAGGGAACTTTACACATCTCTAGGATTCTCTCTGTGTTCAGATCTCTATTTGTCAGTGCTCTGCCTGGCATACATCAGTCTCTTTGGTTTCCCTGAATTCTCAGCTCTGTCTCTTCAACTCAGGGAGTCTGCCAGATTCCGTATTGGTTCCCATACCCTGTGCATGTCCTGGAGGAAATTCTCTCAAGACATGTGTGTCTTCTGCCATTTTCTAGGAAAATTACAAGATTTAACTCTTTTGTTTACTGTTTCTCATGGAAACAGGACAGATGTTGCATGATGTTCAACAGCTCTAAAATGGGTGTTTCATATTTTTGTCTAGCTTAAAAAAATTGTTTTAAGTGGTAAACTATTTTATTTCATCTTGATCAGAAGTGGAAGTTGGCAGTGTGGTTTTGATGTATGTTTTGTTTTGCTTTTGTGTTCACTAAAAAGAGTATAGTAAGGCCGTAATTATAATACATATTTTCTAGAGGGTAAGAATGCTTATGTTTAAAAGGAGTAAAGAATTGTAAAGTTTGCTAGGGTGGTTAAGAGCTGTCTGTCTTCCAAAGGAATAAATTATTTGGAGAAAATGAATTACCCAATTATGTTTTATCTCTTTTCAGTATATCATTAAATTAATTCCTGAGTATACTTCAAATCTCACTTTTTCAATATGTTATATTAATTTTTTATTTGCTAGAATCATAACTATTTTATTGCATACCTGCTACCCTGTGTTCTTCTTCCCATGTGTACTTTAAAAAAATTTTGACACTTCATTTGTTTTGAAAAAATTACAAAGTGTGGCTTTAGTATTTTTTCTTTAAGTAATACTTTCAGATGTTCATATGTAACGCTATTTCCCTGGGCAAGAGTCAAACAAGTAAGGAAACAAAAAGCAATCTAGTATTCGCCTCGAAGCAACCATCCTTCCAATCAGTTTACAGAGGCAGAGCTCATGGCAGCAGCTTGGCAGAAGTTGACCTGCAAAAGTGTTTATGTAAGCATATCATTGCTTTGGCAAAGGCCATGCTAAGAACTGCTGTGTTCAGAGACTCAGAGAGTTAAGAGTATGAGAACATATTCATTTGTGGATCTTACCAAACTTCAAGGTGCTTTTTATCCATGGTCTGTGTCACTTCAGCAACCTTATTAAAAGAAAGGCATTGTTTTTGCTTCATTTGTCATCTGGAGTAAAGCTCTACAGGCATTCTGACCAAGCAGGTCATCATCAGGGAGAGATATGAAACAAGAATTCACAGAAATTCTGGGAAAGGCCAATAATATACAGAAAAACTGAATAGCAGTAAGTTAGGCTGATATCAAACTTTATTGTGGAAAAAAACAAAAAACTCCAAAACTATGGAGACCAGATAAGCCAAAAAGAAAGAAAAAAAAAAGGTTGGCAAGAGGCCCAGGATAACAGTTTAGAAAATGAAGTGGAGTTTGATCTCTAATCCCCAATCTTCAGACTCACTCAAGCCCACTGTAAAAGAAAAAGAGGGGGAGCACAGATGACTGAAGAGCATCTCCTTTCTGGTGGTGGGGGGGAAGAGTTAGCCTATATTTTCTTTTCTCAAGGAACCATAATCTTTGTAGAGTCTATTACAGCATGAACCTTAGGGTTAGCAAGGAAGTTTTCTTCACCTCACCAAGGGGTTCATTTCTCACATTTTTGTTTTTGACTATTTACTACGACACTGCAGACGTGTTTGAGATCTTTTCCTTCTCAATCTCTGCCTCATTTCCATTCAACACTCTACAGTTTGCCTTCCTCCAGTGCATACAATTATCACCTCTCCATTCTAATTAGCTTCCAAGCTGACTATATTGTCACCCCTACTTTTATGTTATTGGCTCCATATATTTTGATCTCTTAATTGGCTTTTGATTCATCTCATTTTGCAAACTGTTGCCAAGTACATTTTTTTGCTTTTTTATATACTTCCAGAGCTGCTTTACAGTATACTTTTTATTTTTTTAGTATGTCCTTTTTCAAATCTGGTTTCCAACTCAACATAGCTCAAATCTGCTCTTCCTGGCAATATATTGAATCTTACACACACACACACACACACAAAACTTAAGTTTTCTTTTTTTTTTTAGCTGTAATGGTGCACAACCCACTTGCCAGATCAATTTTTTAACGGATTTATTATTTTTCCCTTGATATTCCTGGACTTTGTCAGTGAAGACAATCATTTTATATTGAGGCTAGGAAACTTCTCCCTTGCAAATCACATTTGTGATAGTTTGTAATGTCTTTAAGACTGTAGGAGGTAGACATCTGAAAAGTGTGATTTTTTGACAGACTGTTTATGTACTAATGTGTAAAATTTCCCAAAAATCTGCTCTGCCATTTCTGTTGCCCGTGGGGTTGAGAAATCCAACAGCTCCGTATGTTGGTAGTTGTCTAATCACGTTGCACTGCTTGTCTACTCCCATTGACTGTCACTCAGCAAAATAGTCCATCAAAGTTTCTAAAAATGTAAAAATAGTTCTTTTCCTTACGATTTTTATAATGTTTTAAAGTTAAATTACTCCTGCCAGTTCATTGCACATAGCAAGGATTTATATTGACACATTTCAGTGTTTAAATAAAAAGTAAATATAGTAGTTAAAAGTGAGGAATAAATATGAAAATATAAAACGCTTAAAGCTTTGCAATTGTGATAATAGCCGCTGCAGTCTTTAGTTTGTTATAGTTTTCATTTTGTTCTTAACTATCCAAATTCTGAGTTTAAGGGCCCTGATTAAAATGAAATGAGTGATTCTGTTTTAAGGTGCCATTAGAAGAAATTGCTTTTAACTCACTTGCATAGAGAGCATTATAAGCTATAGAAATTTATGTGAATCATTTGAAAATTGGGAAGTTTGGGTAAACAATAAACAGATGGCTTTCCTGCTTAAGGAACTAACTCAGTCAAGCCTGGTTAAGTATTCTATACCCCAATTGTCTCATCTTTAAAATGGATATAATGATCATATTTAGCTTATATGATTATGGTGAAGATTAGATGAGATGATACATGCTACAGTGACTGCCACATATAAAATACCCAGTAAATGCTGGTTTTAATTATTATTTGATGGAATTGATTGAATCAGATTACAGTTAAGCCTTAAGCAAGAACATTGTTTCTAGGACATTGTAGAAAGTGCTATATTAAGCTTTTTCAGCATTCATAGTAACCTTAAATTTTTGAAAACATGTGCATTTTGGTGTGTAGAGTGGTTGGATTGGATGAGGGAAGTGAGTTGTAATCTAAGAACTTCCCTGAATCCACTTCACCAGACAGATGTAATCACATTAACATCTTGACCAGATAAATTGATCAGAGGAGGAAAGGCCAGACAGAATCTTAGGATGGGTCATGAATTAGTCCAAGGGGACATGGCACTTCTTAATTGTATTTCATCAGTTATGGAAGAAAAAGAAGGAGACAGATGGCCTCAAGGGGTGATACAGAAACAGGGCAAATTGAGGGCTTCTGATGACAAATTTAATCTACCTACTATACCATATATGATAAATAATTCACTGTCATGGAATTTACTCCTGAATAGTTTTGTAGGTTAGAAAGAATTCACTGACAAAACTTCTTTATTCTAGGAGCATCTAGCACTCATTTTTTTGAATGTCAAAAAATTTGGTAAATATGTTACACATATTGCCTAATTCTTAATAACAAAGGAACATACATTTAGAGTATAGAAGTTGTTTTTCAAAGTTGTATAACTGGTAAACAGGAGAGGTAGTATTTGAAGCCAGACATGCCTGATTCGAGTGTACCCATGCTTAGTAACCTGTACTTTTCCCAAGATGCTCCACTACTTCCCTTTCATAACATTTCAATCTCTTAACTATTGGAATTTGACTTGGTGCCGAAGCTGGTAAGCCTCTCATGATATGTCAGTTTTGGTTGAATGGGTAACCAAATAGTTATTAGTGTATCGTTTGCTTATCTACCTCGTGGAACTAGAGGCCACTTTGGACACTTTTGGGTCTGATTTGAATTTGTGGTCCCAGTGGCCCATGAATTGATAGCTATATTTAGAGGAATTTGGGGTACGTCATGATTTTTGAGTACCTGAGAGGTAGATTCTCTCTGCACATCTCCTAGATGATTTCAACTGATATTAGAGCTTTAATCTTAAATCAGTGGAGATTTAGTGATTCTTTTCCACCTTAGCCGAAAGCAGGGAAAAGCAAAGGCAGGGAGTGAGAAGGGGCTGCTGTGTGGTGTTGCAGTGCAGTGCTGCATGGTCTCACTTCTCTCATACAATAGGGGAAGACTGTACAAAACCGACATTGACACGGCAGTCTCCCAGCGTGAGCCACCTCCCTGGAGGAAATACTCTTGATCTATTTGGTTGCTGTGGGATATAACTAATGTTCAGGTACACTGGAAGAAGGAGAACCCTAAAAGAGCCACTGACAAGAACTACTGGGAACTGCCAAGGCCAGAAGCCCCCAAGAACTGTAAACCGTAGAAGCCAAAGCAGAAAGCAGATCCTCTAACAGGAATAGTCACAGGCAGCTGCTGCCCCACAAAGAAGCTGCAATTGCCCCTGCAGAAAGAAGCCTAGAGATGTCCAGTAGGAATAGTCACTGGGAGTTCACCAACAGTTTCATTGTTAAAATTTATCCATGGGAAAAGAAGATAGAGTGTCTGACTGAGGAGGCCATGCTTGGCCTTCTTATCCACTGCAGAATCACTACCCTGGTAGGGCAGTGTGAATGGCCTTCAAGGTTACTTACACTCAAGAGAGGTAGAGGTTGTATTTTTTTTTTTATTGCTTCTGTGACAAATTACCACAAACCTAGTGGTATAAATCAACAGGAGTTTATTGTCTGCAGGTTAGAGAGTCTGCAGTTCTGCAGGTTAGAAATTTGACTTGGGTATTACTGGCTAAAGTTAAGGTGTTGGCAGAGCTGCATCCTTTTTGGAGGCTCTAGGGAACATCTGTGTCCTTGCCTTTCCTAGCTTCTAGAATTTGCCTACTCTTGACACCCTTCCTCCATCTTCAAAGCCAACAGTGGTGGGTCAATTTCTTCTCCTATCTCATCAGTTGAATTTTTTTGTTTGTTTTCTTTTTTTTTTTTTTTTTTTGAGATGGAGTTTTGCTCTGTCACTCAGGCTGGAGTGCAGTGGCACAATCTCAGCTCACTGCAGCCTCTGCCTCCCATGTTCAAGAGATTCTCCTGCCTCAGCCTCCTGAGTAGCTGGGATTACAGGTGTCTTCCACCATGCCCGGCTAATTTTTGTGTTTTTTAGTAGAGATGGCATTTCGCCATATTGACCAGGCTGTTCTCAAACTGCTGACCTCAGGCAATCTACCTGCCTCAGCCTCCCAAAGTCCTGGGATTTCAAGTGTAAGCCTGGCCTCATCACTCTGAACTTCTGTAGCCACATCTCCCTCTGACTGACTCTCTGGCCTCCTTTTACTTACAAGGACCCTTGTGATTACACTGGACCATCTGGATAACCCAGGATAATCTTCCCTGTTTAGGATCTGCTGATGAATGAACAACTTTAACTTCATTTGAAACCTTTATTCCCCTTTGACATTTAACACATTCACAGGTTCAAGGGATTAGGACATAACCATCTTTGGGGGCAGGTGTCATTCTACCCACCACACCAGTCTTTTCATATAGGTATCATTGAAGAGAGAAGAAATATCCACCAAGAAAACTGACAAAAGAACCAGAGATTCTGGCTGAATGCTCCAGACAACTATAGACACTTTGAAGAATGACCTGTGCTAGATATGTTCTGGGCAATATAAAAAAACATGGCTCTACCCTCAGTAAGCCTGAAGGGAGGGGTTGAGAATAGATTCTAGTCACAGAATCCTATAAAAGATGTAAAATTTCACTTGTGACAAATGTCACAATGATGAGAGATGTGGTGTCTAAAAGAAGGATCAGTGACTCACTTAGAAAAGGCTTTTCTGAGGAAGTGTTGATTGAGTTTAGCTGTAACAAGAGAGTTAAACTAGATGGAAAGCAAGCAAGGGAGAGAAAGGATGATAACAGCCCTGGTCAAGGCAGGCACAGGGTTGAACAGAAAGAAGGATAGAGATTGTGAGGAGCATTGTATGTGAGGAAACTAGAGAGAAAAGCAGGGTCAGACCATGTGGGGCCTAGCAACCACATTCATTCATTTAACCTTTATCCTAAATTCAGCAGATTGTCATGGGTGTGTGCTAAACACAAGCCTGAAATAGAGTATGTGTATGTGATTATTTTGGCCTTTTGAAGATATCACTGTTGCTATAGTTTGAAGAATGGATTAGAAAGGATACGTCAGCAGGAGGAAGCTGAATGAGTAAGCAAGGATCAGTTGGGAGGCTGTGGCACGTTGCTGGTAAGAGAAGTTGGCTGGTTTGGATTACAGTAGAGACAGCATAAAGGGGAGGACAAAGGACATGTTGAGAGATCTGTCCGTGGCGAAATCATCAGGGCCAAAGGAAGGATTCAATATGGGGAGATAATGGAGAGCGACATGCTGAGTATTATCCTGGCTAAGGGATTTAGCCAGGTTGTTACTTGCTTGGCGCCTTCAGTTGTTGCTATTATTTCCAGAGCCTTGATACACCTGAGACTGCATCTGCCCACCTTCCCAGACCATCATCTCTAACTGTCTTAGAAGCTGTTTCTTGTTTTGGGCTTATGTTGAACTACCTCCTGGTCTTTAGGTTGGCCTCTGCTCACTCTGCTGTGGATAACCACATTTCATCTTTCTTGATGCCAAATTCTTGGGATTCCTGCTGTTATTTTTTCTTTTTGTGGACCCCACCCAGAAGACTTCTGATACAGAAAACACTTCTTCAGTGGTGACAGAAGATGATCTCCTAGGCCTCACTGTTGCAATCTTGCCTCAAGTTTCCCATTTGTTTATTGAATACCACATTTGAACTTTTCCAGTTTGCCTATGTCTATTCCTGCTATCTCTCTATGCTGTTTTTGGGATTGTGGCCCCCTTGCCACCTGATTGGCTTCAAGGTTTCGCAGTGTTCAGTATTACACTGCCTCCTTATTTTCCTTCTTCCTGTCCAAGGACATGCTGGCCAGGATGATTTGATTTTCCAATTGCCATTGTAATCATTGCATCATTGCACATTGTGGCCTGGTGAAAGCCTCTAGTTTGACTATGACAATCTCTAGTGTAAATCTGTTTTTCCGTGGGCTGCAATGATTTAAATTTTAACCAATATATCCTCAAAATAACTGATCAAGGACTTCCAATTAGCATTTTGCCTTCAAAGAACTTCATAGTCTTGTAAAAAAAAAAAAACAACCAGATTCCTTCAGGACTATAACTGCATAAAATAATCTGTAGTGATAGTAATTGATAGTATTGACTGTGTCAATAACTTTATAGGCATTTTTCCTTTTGCTTCACAACTCTGAGAAGATGTTATTATACCCATTTTGCAAAGGAGAAAACTGAAGCTCAGAGCAGTTAAAAATATGAAAGCTAAATATTATAACTTAGAGCAAGGCAAATCATTTTCCTAAAGTTACATAGCTCATAACTGATGGAGTGGATACCAAGGGTCTGTGTTTTTTAGCTGGGATGCTTTCCCTTAGGCTATATGTATACCTTTGGGTAATACTGAGACTATTTGATAGCCCTACCCTTGTTAAAGTCCTCAGTTCCTTTGGCACCAGAAAAATAGCTGCATGGGACCATGAACCTTAATGGGCCTAGGTTAGGCATGTTAGGTTGATACAAGTTTTGGTGCCCATTCTTTTAATACTGGAGCAAGTGGCTGAGCATGCGGCTGCTCCATCCAGAACTTGGAAGTGGCTGTTGGTGCAGCCATTGCACCAGGGATCTTCTCAGCTTTTATCCTCATAGTCCCTGCTTTCAGGCCTCTCCCCTTAGACCTACTGCCTCCATGGGCAATTCTGACCAAGACAGGCTCATGTATGGAATTGCTGAATGATCTTGGAGAAATACTCTTTCACTGATCCCAGCAGCCTTATTATTGTGCTTTGCATTTTGTTTAAATTGATTACTTCCCAGGTTTGTCCTCAGACCTGCTGAGTGAACATGTTTCTGATTACCTCCCCCAAGATTGATTAGTTGCACTTTTCTAAATGGAATCTAATTTTCCTCTTTTCTTTCTGTATTTGTAATCTCATTAGATCCATTTGTATTAATTCTTAGTCTCCTGGTGTGTGCAACAGCTTCCAAATTTGTAACATCTGCAAATTTTATTAGCTTGCTGTGTGCTCTGTCTTTCAGATCATTAATGCTAACCATCAATAATCCAGATGTTAGAGAAGACAAGAGCTTTACGCCAACCCCTGTGGCCCTCCACAAGAGATCGCTCCACACCCTGAACACTGTCATTTATCATCAACTATTATTTATGACCATTCTGCCAAACTGACATTCATGTGATCACAGGTTTTGCAAATCTACTGGTCATTTAAAAGCAGAAATTCAAAGTTTTATTTCATATTTTAAGGTCAGGAATGTAGTTTTTTGCATATTCTTGACTGTTCTATAGCAATTATTATTTAAAAAGTTTTCGCTCTGTGATAGTCTTCAAAAATATTAATAAGAAAGCATTTATGTAGCATTTTTTTATTCCTAACTTTTCTTGTTATCATTAAAACTCATTTATAATTACTCACTGATTTGGAGCAAGTATTTTTCAATGTAAAAAACCCAAAAATATCTAATATTTATTGAGCATCAATGTGCAAAATATAGAGGTCCCTAAATTTAGATGAATGAGAGCTGGGGTTTTATGAAATTTTAGTTGCATTCACTGGCAAGTTATCCCTTTGTGGTTTTTATATTCATTTTCTTGCTTAAATTTCTCTGCAAAAGATACTTAGTGGTTTTAAAATACTTTATTCGGACAATTATTCAAGTGTTGCTATCATATTTGTGATAACATTATTCATAGGGTAATTATGTTCACTTTAATGAGATCTATTCTTAATTAATAACTTTAATCCTGTATTTGGGAAAATTCTTCCTTCTTAAAAATCCTATCCTGCCCTTTGCCTGTCTCTATTTCTCTCCTTTTTCTCATTCTTGCTGTCTTTCTATTTTATCTTACTTCTAGAACTAATCTTTTTTTTTTCTTTTTGGTCTAATTCTGCTTAATTCTGGTGTCTACAGAAACCCACTGATTGCATTCATATTCATTACAAAAAAGTAATGCCATGTTCTGGAGGACTTTTACTCATAATTCATTAAAATGTTCATAACATTTTTCATATTGGAAGAGTCTTTAACAAATTTAAAATAGCAGGCAGTAATCAGAGCAAACTATTAATGCATTACTAATGATTGTATTTTATATGGAAATAGTCCCATTCTTCAAGTATGACTTTCCATATTTTTAACTCATTCTCACATGAGGCCTTTGGGTAGAATACCCATAAGAATGACTAATTTCATTCTAAATGGGAGGAAAATTAAATTTTAAAAGTTCAGCTTATTTGTCCAAAGCCTTGCCATGTGATATTTAAGAGGAAGCTAGAGACCTATAGTTGTGTGTGCTCATGAGTGAAGGCAATAGCTAAGATTCACTCTAATAAGGAAAATTTTTAACTTTTTCCCTAGGTCACAACTGACAACAAATACAGGTATTGAAGTAAGAATAAGATCAGGAACTAAATAATTTGGAAGTACATGTAATATAAACATTACTAGAACTGCCTATCGAAATGAGAATTGAGTTTTTCACTTTTGGAAATAAACAATTCCAGGCTGGTGTATCTGCTCAAGCAATTAAATAAGGACCCACATTTCTGGTAACTCCCTGCTCTGTCAGCTTTACTGAAAAATTTGCTACTCACAGTCACAAAACAATTGTTCTTTCTCTAAGCATCACATCTACATTTCAGATAGAAAAATGAAAGAGCAAAAGGCAGAAAGAAGTATAGCTAAGGCTGTCATCTTTCATCAGGAAAACAATGGCTTTTCCCAAAGCTTCACCCAGTAGACTGCTGTTTACATCTCCCTAGCTGAGATGAATACATTTAACACACCCCGAACAAGATCTAGTTTTAGTTAATAAGGTAAGAGGGAGAATGGTTTGGGATGGCAACAACCAAAGTCTACCCCAAGGAGTATGGCATGCCCATCATGTACCGCTTATATGACCTCTGCCTCTGGGAGTCGTAGCAAGCAAGGCACACCAATAGCTCCTTCTCTGAAAGCTCCAGTCACTCGTCTGTCCTAGTGAAGCATCGCCATGTCTTACATCATAGTCTCGGTGGTGTAGGCTTCTTACTGCACAGAATTTGAACTGGCTTTCTTGTCCTTCTAAATTAAAATTCTACAGAAGATCTCTTTAATTGTATGCATCAAATTAAATGGGATCAAGTTGGGTAGAAAAAGAATACAAAAGTCTTGAGCTGTGTCTCTCTGTTTATCCAGAAAGCCGTTAGGAACTCACAGGTTCAGAAAGCAGTAGTAGGCAGGGTTTAGGGGCATGAAACACTTGGGACTGAACCCTGCTCTGTCGTTTACTATCTCTGGGGACTTTGGCAAGTTAATTAAACTCTATGAGCTTCTATTTCATTTTCTCTAAGGTATAATAGGGATAATAATTCTTATCTTAAAGGGTTGTCTGGGAATTGAAGGAGATAATGTATGTAAAGAGTTTGGCACAAAGTAACTGATCAATAAATGACAAGAAATGACAGCAGTGTTCCAGCCTACCACCATCTCAGAGGTCAGAGGAAGAGGAATAGGCAGTTTATGATTTCTCCTCACATCTGCATCTCCAACAGAGCAGAGAAGTAAGTTCCAAGTCAGACTACTTATTACTTAATAATGTCTCATTTAAACTGAAGGCTGTCTATGGGCCAGGTGTGTTGTATTCATTATCTCCAATCCACAATAAGTTTAACCAAAGAAGAAACAGAGACTTTAAAAAACATTAAGAGCTGTTTAAATGCTCTTGAAAAGTTAGATTCTCTTACCCTAATCATAATTTAACAGTCTTGCCAAATCAAAGACATTTAGACAGAATGAATTGAGATTTCTCACTTCTTGAGTAGCTAATAGTGGAAGATTATGAAGAGTTTATTGAAAAGAAAACAGTTTATGGATGAATGGCCTTCAATACTCATCCATTTCTTCTTATATCTTGAATATGCTAGTCTATTGAATTAATAACACTATGTTAGCTGCAAACTCAGAAAAGATGGAAAAATAAAATTTTATCTACTGCCTAAAGATTATCTCTTTAATAAAATAAGCTACACATCAACCCCCATAGAAATTAATCTTATAGTTCACTCCTGTAACCCCAGCTACTCGGGAGGCTGAGGCAAGAGGATCACTTGAGCACGGGAGTTGGAGGCTGCAGTGAGCTATGTTCTCACCACTACACTCCAGCCAGGGTGACAGAGTGAGATACTGTCACTTAAAAAAAAAAAGAAAAGAAAAAGAAAGAAAGAAATTGATCTCATAAAAGAAATGAAATGAGAGCTCTTTGGCCTTTGTGAGGAGTGAAGAGATGTGACCTCAGAGTGTTCTCATGTTGTTTATAACACTGTGTAACATTCTGCTCACTTGTCAGTCATCCCCCATGAGACTGTGAGATATTTAAGGACAGGGATGGTATTTTATTTGAATCTTTGGCTTTTAGCACAGATTCTCCTATACTGTAGGTGTTTAAGAAATATTTAATTGAAGGAATTCATAAGCAAAATACAATAATAAATAACAGTGACTAGTATTTAAAAGAAAACAAAGTGGGCAATCTCTAAATAAGGCTTCATATTGCATTTCAGGCTTTACAATAGTTGAATTTTATGGAATTTTTATGAAACTCGCAAAGTTCAGTGACTATAAATGAAGCATGCTCCATAGAGCCACTTATAATGAAGAGTCTCCCCATTTACGTTCCAGAGCCTCCCCACTTCTTTCTCCTTTATCAGTCAACCCAGTCCATTGCAAATCATGCTTTCTTCATGAAGCTTTTCCTTTTTTTAAAAAATTTTATTATTATTATACTTTAAGTTTTAGGGTACATGTGCACATTGTGCAGGTTAGTTACATATGTATACATGTGCCATGTTGGTGTGCTGCACCCATTAACTCGTCATTTAGCATTAGGTATATCTCCTAATGCTATCCCTCCCCCCTCCCCCCACCCCACAACAGTCCCTGATGTGTGATGTTGCCCTTCCTGTGTCCATGTGTTCTCATTGTTCAGTTCCCACCTATGAGTGAGAACATGCGGTGTTTGGTTTTTTGTCCTTGCGATAGTTTACTGAGAATGATGATTTCCTATTTCATCCATGTCCCTACAAAGGACATGAATTCATCATTTTTTATGGCTGCATAGTATTCCATGGTGTATATGTGCCACATTTTCTTAATCCAGTCTATCATTGTTGGACATTTGGGTTGGTTCCAAGTCTTTGCTATTGTGAATAGTGCCTCAATAAATATACATGTGCATGTGTCTTTATAGCAGCATGATTTATAGTCCTTTGGGTATATATCCAGTAATGGGATGCCTGGGTCAAATGGCATTTCTAGATCTAGATCCCTGAGGAATCGCCACACTGACTTCCACAATGGTTGAACTAGTTTACAGTCCCACCAACAGTGTAAAAGTGTTCCTATTTCTCCACATCCTCTCCAGCACCTGTTGTTTCCTGACTTTTTAATGATTGCCATTCTAACTGGTGTGAGATGGTATCTCATTGTGGTTTTGATTTGCATTTCTCTGATGGCCAGTGATGGTGAGCATTTTTTCATGTGTTTTTTGGCTGCATAAATGTCTTCTTTTGAGAAGCGTCTGTTCATATCGTTTGCCCACTTTTTGATGGGGTTGTTTTTTTCTTGTAAATTTGTTTGAGTTCATTGTAGATGATGGATATTAGCCCTTTGTCAGATGAGTAGGTTGCAAAAATTTTCTCCCATTTTCTAGGTTGCCTCTTCACTCCGATGGTAGTTTCTTTTGCTGTGCAGAAGCTCTTTGTTTAATTAGATCCCAATTGTCAATTTTGGCTTCTGTTGCCATTGCTTTTGGTGTTTTAGACATGAAGTCCTTGCCCATGCCTATGTCCTGAATGGTAATGCCTAGGTTTTCTTCTAGGGTTTTTATGGTTTTAGGTCTAACGTTTAAGTCTTTAATCCATCTTGAATTAATTTTTGTATAAGGTGTAAGGAAGGGATCCAGTTTCAGCTTTCTACATATGGCTAGCCAGTTTTCCCAGCACCATTTATTAAATAGGGAATCCTTTCCCCATTGCTTGTTTTTCTCAGGTTTGTCAAAGATCAGATAGTTGTAGATATGTGGCGTTATTTCTGAGGGCTCTGTTCTGTTCCATTGATCTATATCTCTGTTTTGTTACCAGTACCATGCTGTTTTGGTTACTGTAGCCTTGTAATATAGTTTGAAGTCAGGTAGCGTGATGCCTCCAGCTTTGTTCTTTTGGCTTCGGATTGACTTGGAGAGGCGGACTCTTTTTTGGTTCCATATGAACCTTAAAGTAGTTTTTTCCAATTCTGTGAAGAAAGTCATTGGTAGCTTGATGGAGATGGCATTGAATCTGTAAATTACCTTGGACAGTATGGCCATTTTCATGATATTGATTCTTCCTACCCATGAGCATGGAATGTTCTTCCATTTCTTTGTATCCTCTTTTATTTCATTGAGGAGTGGTTTGCAGTTCTCCTTGAAGAGGTCCTTCACGTCCCTTGTAAGTTGGATTCCTAGGTATTTTATTCTCTTTGAAGCAATTGTGAATGGGAGTTCACTCATGATTTGGCTCTCTGTTTGTCTGTTATTGGTGTATAAGAATGTTTGTGATTTTTGTACATTGATTGAAGCTTTTCCTTTAACGCTATTAAATTGTGATGTTCTCGCTTGTTCTTGTATGTGTCTGTGTGTGTAACTCGTAGATTGTATTCAGACCAGAAATATATTTTAAATTGGCTCTTCTTATTTTCTAATTGGTTCATGTGTCTTGTCGCATTCATTCATTCATTCACTTCATAACCATTTATTGAATGATTTTATGTGCACACATTGTTCTAGGTGCCTGGAGTATAGTGATGAAGAAATGAACTAAGAAAACTTCAAATGCAAACTCAAGAAGTCAAATGTGGCTCTAGGCCGGGTGCGAAGGCTCATGCCTGTAATCCTAGCACTTTGGGAGGCTGGGGTGGGTGGATTGCCTGAGCCCAGGAGTTCGAGACCAGCCTGGAAAACATGGTGAGACCCAATCTCTACTAAAAGTACAAAAAATTAGCTGGGAATGGTCGTGCACACCTGTAATGCCAGCTACTTGGGCGGCTGAGGCACAAGAATCGCTTGAACCTAGGATGCGGAGGTTGCAGTGAGCTGAGATTGTGCTACTGCATTCCAGCCTGGGCGACAGTGAGACTCTGTCTCAAAAAAAAAGTGGCTCTAATATGCTATGCCAGAACCCACAAGTATGCTGCAGCCTGTTTTGTTGGACTGAATTGCATCATTACCTAAGAAAGCATATACCAAAGAGTAGGCACAAGGACTCCAGAGAGGACTCTCCTCTTTCACACCCATTGCTTATTTCTAGGCCTGTACTTGGCACCATATCTTGAAAGTCAAAGGCCTTGGGACTCATTCTCATTTGAGAATGCCCCAGATAATTGTAATTTGCTCTAGATCTTTCAAGGGGGTAGGAGTTATCCTAATGAGACATTTGAGGAAGACGGCTAAACATGATGATACCTATACAATTCATGATGGGTATGAAAACCTAGATTATCATGCCCTTTTTCGCATTTCTGACCAATACGCATAGTTGGCATTTATTTGTAGAGTGGTTACAGGGGACTATGCAATTTACATTTTCATGCAGCTTCTAGCAAACCGGAAAATCTGGAATTGATATAGTTGGGAACACATGCTCCATCACAAAGTTCAAGTACATGCACCAGATGCAGCCCTTCAAAATTGGGGTTTTCACTTTTCCTCTACCCAGCATGAAATACATAAACCAGTATTGGGAGGCTTCCTAACACACTGACATATAGCAAAAAAATAGTATCCCATGGTGGTTTAATTGCTAGACTCTCATTTAATATAACAAGAAGCAAGATAACACATTGAGAAAACCATAAAGTTCACAGGATATGGGGCCTCTTTGAATATAAACATCTTGAGGGTAAATAGTTTTTTCATGTTTGTTCCTGGAGCTAATGGGTAGCCATAAGTCTGTGACAGTGCATCAAGATTCATACACAAAGTGAAACAATTTGCCAAGTCCAAGGATCAAGTGTAAAGAAAATTTTCATTTGGAGCTTACAATAAAGAGTCAAGCAGGAAGCTGAAAAATTATTTAAAAATTATTTAGAGAGTGAAAACATTGCAATTAGTAAGGATACCTTCATGAGATTAAAAAGTTAAATTTTCTGTTTGCTGTTTATGGATTTGTCTTTAAAGTTCAATAGATACTTCAAAAACTAATGTCATTATAATTTAAACCTTGATGTTAAGTTATTTCTGAAGCTTATCAAGTCAGTTTATTGACTCCTTTTTACATGGAACCTACACAAATGTTCTGATAACTTGGCTATGGGAAATAAATGTGATAATTAGTAATTCTGAGTAAGCTGAATTTTGTAAATTGAATCACAATGTACTAGTTTTAGGAAAATTTTTTATCAAAATAAATCTCGATGAATATACTTACCACTGCCTTCACATTCTTTGTAGCATCAGAATCTGTGCAGTGAAAAGGACACATGTAAATAGGTATCAGATGGCCATGCGAATGCCATTGCTCCCAATTGTGGTTTCGAACTCTTTCTTGTGACTGTGTCAGGGCTAATTCGGTTTCTATATTTGAGAATAGCCAGACCCTGCTTATAGTTAATGTTTAAGATACAACCTTCCCAAATTACTTTTACATGCAACATGCATCAGGCATTATTCCTGGATTCCCTAAACTAAAATCAGGCAAGTCTGTGTGTATTTGAGGCTGGATTATATAAAAATTAGTTTTATGACTCTGATTAATATTCATTAGCGCTAAACTGGTCTCATTAAAAACAAAATATGAAAAACATTTCTAAGAAGTATGATACTTTACAACTATCAGTTAACCAATTTTTTCTCTATCATAAGATATAACTAAAATTAAACCTGTCTGGTTAATAATTTCTTTATGTGACTAATGTTAATAGAGAAATTTAATATTCTCAGCAGGTATAGTATTCATTTCTCATGATACTATATCTTGCCATTCCAAAGTAATTAATAACCACAAGTATTTTAATTTGGGTATATCTCTTACTTTATAAAGCAAAGATCCAGTTTTAGCCTACATGTTTATGCACATAAAACTATAAATAACACTTAAATCCTTACTTAAACTGTGATTATTATTCACTGTGAAATGTTTAACATTTTTTTCCAGTTTTGAATTAGTGGAGACCAACCTTTGATTATAGGAAAAATATGATTTCATGAGTTCCACTCATGAAATTGATTTGCCTTCTAAATAAATTGCTCAGCAAAAGTCTAGTATTTTCAACAAAACAATGACTCAGAACTTTAGGGAAAATGGATATTCTGTACCAGAACATCCTATTAACATCTTTACACTGACAGCAAATAAGTTATTGTCATGCTATTAGTAAAAACATCTGCTTAAAATATACATGGATTTTCTTTTTTTTAAAGAAGTTAGCGTGTATGGCATATAGTGAGAGTAGTGCCATAAAATTATTCAAAATTTAGAAATAGGCAAATGAGGTTACTGAGTATTCTTTCATTACAGTACTTGGCTTGACTTTCTCTTGGCTGGGCAATTTTCAGCATGAAGAACAGAGATTAACTTGTAGAGTCTTTGTTTTTTCATTTGACATGCAAATAAGGCCTGTCCAGTGAAACTACCAAAAATGTTGCAGTGTTTGGCCTGGTTGGGCACTAATCAGTTTTATATCTAACATTGCAATCATATCTAAAAATTTCTTTGTTAAATTGCCTATATATACTACCTTCTAAAAAATTTTGACCAGATTTAACATCTTATTAGTTCCCTTATTAATTTCTAAATTAAATCAATCTTTGATGTGTTTATTTCACAGTTGCCTGGTGTCATAATTTACATTTAAAAATTATAGTTTAACAATCAGCAAACACAATGACTAAGAACAGAGACAGGAGAGCTCTCATATTCCTTTTGTTATTTCCCTTTCATGGGAGTTTCTCTTTATTTCCAAGCTCTTATTCTATTTATAACTCTAATTTATTTTTTTCTCATTTCTAACTTGCATGTGAAGGATTCAGAAAGGATTCGCTTTCCCAAAATGATTTTTAAGATTTTATCTGCAAAGTGCTTTTATCTCTTTTTTTTTTTCTGTAAAAATTAAGATCAACCAAATGACTTATGACCACTGAGACCTAGCAGGGCACTTGAGCATGCAGGAGCATCAGTAAGGATTTTTCAGTCCAAAGTGGGCAGTATGTCAGCTTCTGGAAAATAGCTGAATCCCTGACTTCTTTTTTATTTTAAATATCCTTATAGCTCTAGCTTGAGTAATTCTGATTTCACTAAACCCAGAGCATTTACATGAAAATTGATAGCCAGGTCAGGTGAATGTCACATACCAAGAAGTCAAGTAAACAAAGGAAGTAGCTGAGCTGAGGCTGCTAAATCATATATGGAATGGATCCTTCAGCTAGACACTCCATCCCTAAACTTAACAGTTGGGGTACATTTGTTATCCATAAGATTCTCCTTTATCTAAGACTCTGGAACTAGTCTTGTCTCTAGTCTTGGGCATAGACAGAAGGAGCTCTGGGTGGGTGGTACAGTGATTTAGGTTCAGTAGGATTGGCTGCTGCTTCTAACAAGAAACTGGTACCCTATTCTCTGGAAATTGGGCCCTTGCTTAATCTTCTAATCCTTCTGTGATTGCTTTACATCTTAAGTCCTTCTTTTTTTTTTTTTTTTTGAGATGGAGTTTCGCTCTTGTTGCCCAGGCTGGAGTGCAATGTGCAATCTAGGCTCACCGCAACTTCTGCCTCCCGGGTTCAAGCGATTCTCCTGCCTCAGCCTTGCAAGTAGCTGGGGTTACAGACATGTGCCACCATGCCCTGCTAATTGTGTATTTTTAGTAGAGATGGGGTTCCTCCATGTTGGTCAAGCTGGTCTGAAACTCCCGACCTCAGGTAATCTGCCCGCCTCGGCCTCCCAAAATGCTGGGATTACAGGCATGAGCCACCACGCCCGGCCAAGTCCTTCCTTCTTATATGCCATCTCTGTGGAGGCAGGTTTCTACCCTACACTCTGGTTCTCCAGTGACTTATTTTTTCTCTTACTCTTCCCTGTATTTTAGCTGGTGAATTATCTGAGGAGCAAGTACCCAACATCTCTTGCTTCTAGTGACTGCATCCTGTCCCTGAAGTTCAGGCTTCACATTAGTCTTTAAGTTTTGACACTGCCATCTGCTTTCCTGTCCTTCTTCTTTTGGTTTTGGAAATTCATTGGTTGTTTTTATTACCCTAGCCTTCTATATTCTTTATCCACTTGGATTTTCCACTAAGTTTGAGACATGTTCTGATGGTGATATCCCTTCTTTGTCTGATTTTGTGACCTGTAATTGAACTCATATTCATGTGTGCCTGTCCTATCCTAAAAGCTGAACTCGTTTGAACTTTCAGAGCTGTCATTTTTGAAGAATGTTCTCTTCTCCATTCTCCAGTATCAATTATGACACTTTCCCAGAAATAGGAAAGGACAATTATATTTTTTATATTTTCTGCTTCTCCTGGTATGATGCATGAGTGGATACTTAGTTAAAAGAGTCCTCACTCTTGAGTCACAATTTGTGGCCCACAGAACTCCAAATAGTCTATTAGCAAACTCTTCTAGCATTTAATTTCATAGTATAGAAATACCTATAGTTCTTTGGGTATATACCCAGTAATGGGATGGCTGGGTCAAATGGTATTTCCAGATCTTGATCCCTGAGGAATCGCCACACTGACTTCCACAATGGTTGAACTTGTTTACAGTCCCACCAACAGTGTAAAAGTGTTCCTATTTCTCCACATCCTCTCCAGCACCTGTTGTTTCCTGACTTTTTAATGATCGCCATTCTAACTGGTGTGAGATGGTATCTCATTGTGGTTTTGATTTGCATTTCTCTGATGGCCAGTGATGGTGAGCATTTTTTCATATGTCTTTTGGCTGCATAAATGTCTTCTTTTGAGAAGTGTCTTTTCATGTCCTTCGCCCACTTTTTGATGGGGTTGTTTGTTCTTTTCTTGTAAATTTGTTTGAGTTCACTGTAGATTCTGGATATTAGCCCTTTGTCAGATGAGTAGGTTGCGAAAATTTTCTCCCATGTTGTAGGTTGCCTGTTCACTCTGACGGTAGTTTCTTTTGCTGTGCAGAAGCTCTTTAGTTTACTTAGATCCCATTTGTCAATTTTGCCTTCTGTTGCCATTGCTTTTGGTGTTTTAGACATGAAGTCCTTGCCCATGCCTATGTCCTGAATGGTAATGTCTAGGTTTTCTTCTAGGGTTTTTATGGTTTTAGGTCTAACATTTAAGTCTTTAATCCATCTTGAATTGATTTTTGTATAAGGTGTAAGGAAGGGATCCAGTTTCAGCTTTCTACATATGGCTAGCCAGTTTTCCCAGCACCATTTATTAAATAGGGAATCCTTTCCCCATTGCTTGTTTCTCTCAGGTTTGTCAAAGATCAGATAGTTGTAGATATGCAGCGTTATTTCTGAGGGCTCTGTTCTGTTCCCTTGATCTATATCTCTGTTTTGTTACCAGTACCATGCTGTTTTGGTTACTGTAGCCTTGTAGTATAGTTTGAAGTCAGGTAGCGTGATGCCTCCAGCTTTGTTCTTTTGGCTCAGGATTGACTTGGCGATGCGGGCTCTTTTTTGGTTCCATATGAACTTTAAAGTAGTTTTTTCCAATTCTGTGAAGAAAGTCATTAGTAGCTTGATGGGGATGGCATTGAATCTGTAAATTACCTTGGGCAGGATGGCCATTTTCACGATATGGATTCTTCCTACCCATGAGCATGGAATGTTCTTCCATTTGTTTGTATCCTCTTTTATTTCCTTGAGCAGTGGTTTGTAGTTCTCCTTGAATAGGTCCTTCACATCCCTTGTAAGTTGGATTCCTAGGTGTTTTATTCTCTTTGAAGCAATTGTGAATGGGAGTTCACTCATGATTTGGCTCTCTGTCTGTTGTTGGTGTATAAGAATGCTTGTGATTTTTGTACATTGATTTTGTATCCTGAGACTTTGCTGAAGTTGCTTATCAGCTGAAGGAGATTTTGGGCTGAGACAATGGGGTTTTCTAGATATACAATCATGTCGTCTGCAAACAGGGACAATTTGACTTCCTTTTTTCCTAATTGAATACCCTTTATTTCCTTCTCCTGCCTAATTGCCCTGGCCAGAACTTCCAACACTATGTTGAATAGGAGTGGTGAGAGAGGGCATCCCTGTCTTTTGCCAGTTTTCAAAGGGAATGCTTCCAGTTTTTGCCCATTCAGTATGATATTGGCTGTAGGTTTGTCATAGATAGCTCTTATTATTTTGAGATACGTCCCATCAATACCTAATTTATTGAGAGTTTTTCGCATGAATGGTTGTTGAATTTTGTCAAAGGCCTTTTCTGCATCTATTGAGATAATCATGTGGTTTTTGTCTTTGGTTCTGTTTATATGCTGGATTACATTTATTCATTTGCGTATATTGAACCAGCCTTGCATCTCTGGGATGAATCCCACTTGATCATGGTGGATAAGCTTTTTGATGTGCTGCTAGATTCGGTTTGCCAGTATTTTATTGAGGATTTTTGCATCAATGTTCATCAAGGATATTGGTCTAAAATTCTCTTTTTTGGTTGTGTCTCTGCCCGGCTTTGGTATCAGGATGATGCTGGCCTCATAAAATGAGTTAGGGAGGATTCCTTCTTTTTCTATTGATTGGAATAGTTTCAGAAGGAATGGTATCAGTTCCTCCTTGTACCTCTGGTAGAATTCGGCTGTGAATCCATCTCGTCCTGGACTGTTTTTGGCTGGTAAGCTATTGATTATTGCCACAATTTCAGCTCCTGTTATTGGTCTATTCAGAGATTCAACTTCTTCCTGGTTTAGTCTTGGGAGAGTGTATGTGTTGAGGAATTTATCCATTTCTTCTAGATTTTCTAGTTTATTTGCATAGAGGTGTTTGTGGTATTCTCTGATGGTAGTTTATATTTCTGTAGGATCGGTGGTGATATCCCCTTTATCATTTTTTATTGTGTCTATTTGATTCTTCTGTCTTTTTTTCTTTATTAGTCTTGCTAGCGGTCTATCAAAAGGACTATAAATCATGCTGCTATAAAGACACATGCACATATATGTTTATCACGGCATTATTCACAATAGCAAAGACTTGGAACTAACCCAAATGTCCAACAATGATAGACTGGATTAAGAAAATGTGGCACATATACACCATGGAATACTATACAGCCATAAAAAATGATGAGTTCATGTCCTTTGTAGGGACATGGATGAAATTGGAAATCATCATTCTCAGTAAACTATCACAAGAACAAAAAACCAAACACCGCATATTCTCACTCATAGGTGGGAATTGAACAATGAGAACACGTGGACACAGGAAGGGCAACATCACACTCTGGGGACTGTTGTGGGGTGGTGGGAGGGGGGAGGGATAGCATCAGGAGATATACCTAATGCTAGATGACGAGTTAGTGGGTGCAGCACACCAGCATGGCACATGTATACATATGTAACTAACCTGCACATTGTGCACATGTACCCTAAAACTTAAAGTATAGTAATAATAAATAAAAATAAATAAAAATAAAGATTTACTTAAGTCACATGAACTTGGAAAAAAAAAAAGAGAAATACCTATAGTTTAAATTCTGGTACAACAATATTTTCCTTGTAACATGCTTTATCACAGGCTTATTAGATGTGTTGCTCTCTTCCAAAGTCCTCTTACCCAGAAAGTTGGAGTGAGGAGCTCATGCAATCCATTGCTTTGATAAACTCATCTGTGTGCTTTAAAACACTGAAAACCGTGAATATAAGAATAGTCCTTCTATATTTCTTTTATCAAATAAAAAACTGGAACTACTTCTATGTACATTGTAACTAAGAGTTTATCAAGGTGTTCCTGAATTTTTTCCTGAATCTTGCCTCTGGTCTCTTTGCTTAATGTATTTTTGGTAGATACAATGATAATAAATTAATAGCTACCATTTAATGAACCAGATATTAAAGCACAAAATTAATACATATAATAACATTTAATTCTCAGGAAAACTTCTTTTTAAAATAAAAAAGCTAATTCTGAAAGAAGTGGGGCTGCTTCCCCACACTCACAGAAGCCAGAAGGTGGGAGCACATGTCCACATTCTCTCCACTATGCCAGACCACCTGCTTGCATGCATGTCTCATGGAGAAGCCTGTTAATAGTTTTCATAGGGGTGACATTTCCAGGAGGGTGGAATTAGCTTCCTCATTTTTACACTTCACAACTTCTCCTTTTTGTGCCTCATAGAAACACAGGGATCAGGAAAATAAGAAGCCATTCCCATGTCTTCACTTAGGAATAAGTATCAATAATCTAAAGAGATAAAAGTAATCTTCTGTCTAAAAACTTTTAAGAGTTTCCAGTATGTTCTAAACCTTTTTTTCCAGAAAATATCTTTATTATATTTCACTTGAGAAATTTCAAGTCTTGAGACCTTAATAGCGGTAGCAACAGCAGCAATACATGTACCATGCTTACTGTAAAGCTGGACTTCTTTTAAGGCTTTTACAAAATTGAATCACAGCTGGGCACAGTGAGCTCATGTCTGTAATCCCAACACTTTGGCAGGCTTAGGTGGAAGGCTCACTTGAGCCCAGGAGTTCAAAAACAGCCTGAGCAACATCTCTCAAAATCTGAGACCCCATCTCTGCAAAAAATACAAAATTAGCCAGTATGGAGGTATGTTCCTGTAGTCTCAACTTCTCAGGAGGCTGAGGCAGGAGGATTGCTTGAACTCATGAGTTTGAGGCTGCAGTGAGCCATGATCATGCTACTGCACTCCAGCCTTGGCTACAGAGCAAGACTACCTCAAAAAAAAGAAAAAAAAAAAAAGGATCCCATAGCCCTCATAACAACCTGGGGAGGTTGGTACCATTATTGACTTTGTTTTATATATTAGAAAACTAAAGCAGAGATAGTAGATAATGTGCCTAAAATCATACTGATCTGGGCAATTTGCTTTCTCTCTTTCATAAGTTTCCTTAGAAATAAGAATGGGCAGCATCTCTGTCTTAGGAATATTTATCTCTGGAGTAATATGGCAGCTCCTTGCTTTATTAATGTGAATTTGGTGATTACGTAAAATCTTTTTTAAAAAATGTGTTTTAATCTCATGACTTTATGAGACTGAAAATGCTAACTTATCTAACTGAATGGCTGAAAAGTGATATAATGCACCATTCAGTCTGTCTGAAAAACAAAAGATAGATATATAACCAATCACTTCTCTGTCTGTATCTATCACAGTGGTGCTGACCTCCATCCCCTTCCCCCATCTTGTTCACCTTTTATTACCATTTCCTGAATGTGTCCTCTCCACCCCCACCCTAAAGACCATCCCTGGTGTCCAGAAGGCCTTATGAATTATCTTCAACTGGACAGACTTAATTCTAAGGTCCATTAATACTTTGAATATTGGCTAATATGTTTGTCTGATCTTGCATTTGAATGCATTTCCCTAATATTGAATTCCCAAATTGTTTTAAATTCTCCATTAGGATCATTTGGGGTAGTTAAAAATGTATGAAGGTTTGATGCCTCCTGATGTGAACCTGTCAGTCACTGCTGATGGCTGCAGTCAGAGACTCAGGTGATGAGGATCTGAGTTGCTGCTGGACTTAAGTGGAGCACTGTAGAGTCTTCATGCCTGAGTAGTATCTTAACATGCCTCTAATTTAATGCTTTTATCAGCTAATTCAGTTTCCTATCTAGATTGTATTGTTTTCTTCTGTTACAGTAGATAGCTGGGATAAAATGGAGAAGCAGGATGAGACAAAGCATTTCTAAGCATAACTCTATCAGCTTCTGAAATGTGCACTAGAAATGAGCTTGGCCCCTAAAATGAACCCTTTTCAAAAGGGATTTGAAAAAAAAAATTGAGGAGAAATTATTGAGATAAAACTTTAAAAACCCCAAACCTCAGCATCATACAATATACCCAGGTACAAACATGCACATGTACCCCCTGAATCTGAAAGAAAAGTTGACATTTTAAAGACTAATAAAAATAAATAAATAAATCCAGAATTTAGTCTTTTAGAAAACATCCAGATAAACTCAACAAGAATTGAGGTGGTAGTGGTTGAGAAGAGTTTGGAAGTCTATTCTGAAAATCAAATGATGAGCCATGCTGGGCTGCAAGCTACTTCACTCTTCTTTTGAATTATAGCCATGGAGAACCAGACTGGACCAATCCAACAAACTGTGACATTTGTAAAATTTTCTTTAAAGAGAAAAGAAAAAAAATATATAGATCTTTATTTCCACTGCAGTATGAGACCGAAATCTTTCAGAGCCATTTACGACTCCCAAAATAAAGCAATCCCATTGGTAGCAATTCGTTGCTCACACATGCTGAGATAAGTTTACCAATGCAGGGTGTTTGGATTATATTGAAGTTTGAAGTATTTGTTTGGGAAAAAAAATGGTTCCAATACATGGTCTGAGTCAAAGATTTCAACCTATGTGGACCAAACGAATATTGTTTGTAACACTGTTACAATCATGTACACTTCTGTATGTCTAAAATTAAATGTATCACATGTTTAACATCTATCAGTTATCATTTAACATTAATATTCCAAATTGGCATTATTTAAATTAGCTCAAGATGGCTCCAATAGTCGCCATTTGTTGCCATTTTTATGGCATATATCTTTAAACATATATTTGTCAGTTAATATTTTGAAGCTGAGAAATCATCTAGCCATTATATATTTCTCATTTGAGCATAATGATTTTGAATTACTTTAAAATCAGATGATAAATTGGAATAATTAAACCAAAGCATTAAAATAATTGTGGGCAAAATACTTCTTTGTATTATTATTTTTTCACCCTCAAGAAATATCTTTCTATCTGACAGGAAAACGGAAGATAGTTTGGCTCAAGGCTTGGAGGAATTCAGTGAGGTTAGGCAGGAGAGGACTCCATGATTCTTGAGCCTATGCCGGTGCTCTGACCAGTGAAGGACACCCCTCCCTATGGCTCTCCTTTTAAAGAGAGACACTTCAGTGGGCACAATACAGCTCTCAGCCATGGGTTCAGGGTATTATAAGCCACAGCAGGACTCCTTTTCATCCTGCAGGGAAATAGGTTTCCATTATAACTCTCAACTCTCGGCAAGAACACAGTTAAGGACTGAATTAAGCTATTGCCCACAATTGCAAAAAATTGGATACAACGTCTTTTCGTTCCTTTTGAAGATATAATGACAATACATAAGGCTTACTTGAAGTGGAACAAATGTACTCAGCAGGCTGATGGGAGCATAAATCTGTCTGTGACAACTGTAATAGAGTTACGCAGGCTACTGCTTGTTAATCAAGAGTTTAAGTCTTAGGCTGAATAACCAAATTCTGTTGATTTTTGTTTTTGGAAGATCACATCAAAATTTAGTTTTCCACCACAGATTTGACACAGCTCATCTCCTGATTCTTTTTATCTCTCCTCATGTTTGCTCATCTTTAATGTAAATGTACCTTATGGATTGTTGAACTTTCTAGAGACTCCTGCTGTGTTGATTAATTGCTAATGAATGCTAATGAAGGAGTGAGGTGAATCTACACTATGATGTATTTAAGGGATGATTGATTAGATTTAGCACTGGCTGTCAGGAGAGTACTTACCACCAGAACAACAAGTCCATAAATATGCACGGAGTGGCTGGCAGTCTCCCTCTGTGACGCTCTCTGGCCTTTCAAGTCAAGTTCCTGGGTTCATTGCATCAGAGAAGAACTAACCTTTTAGCTTTTGTAACCAAAATACATTTTCTTATTAAGAAATATGGTAATTTTCCTAATGGGATTTAATGAAAAATTCATAATCAGTGTATATTTAATTGTTAAAATATTTGATGGAGTTTTTAAGAGATGAAATGAATTCCTAGTGAAAACAGGCTTTACCAAATACCATTGGAACCCTTGTACTTAAATAGCAAATTAACTTTACAAATATAATAATGTGTAGCAGTTGCTTAATAAATATTTTTATATTGGTTCATTTAAGAAAGGTACTATTGTCCTAAAATCAAATTCTATGACACGAATGAATTTGACACTAAAAGTGAATATCTATTTTTCCCCCCAGTCATGATCCTTATGCTTTTAGAACTTTCCTACATTTCTGGAACTTTTAAAATCTACTTGGTGGAAAAAGTACTTTCTTGAGTCCCTCTTCCCTCTTGCTGAAAATGTAACCGCCTGACGGGTTCATCTTGACCACTGCTCAGATACACTCAGTCTATCAAGACAGGGAAATTGCAATAGAGAAAAAGTGTAATAGAGGGCCCACTAAACGGAAGACCAAACTTTTATTATTACTCAAATCAGCATCCCTGAAAATTTGGAGGCTAGGGTGTTTTAAAGATGGTTTGGAAGGCAGGGGCTAGGGAATGGGTGCTGCTGATTGGTTGAGGATACAATCATAGGGGTATAGAAAATGGTCCTTGTGCACTGAGTCTGATTCCAGGTAGGGCCACAGGACTGGTTGAGTCTTGTCTTGGGTCCCAGAGGAGTCATTTGGTCCTCGGTAATGCAAAAGTCTGAATAGGCACCTTAAAAGGCCACTCTTAGGTTCTATAATAATGATGTTATAGAAATAATTGGGGAATTTACAAATCTAGTGACTTCTGCAAAAATGGCTGTTGTTTATGCCTACATCTTATCAAAATTCAGGCTCCTCTCAAAATTCTAAACATGTGGCCTTTTCTTAATTTATAAAGGCAATTTAGTTTTTAGAAGGGCTATTGTTATTTAAATTATAAACTACATTTTTCCTAAAGTTAGCTAGGCCCTCACCCAGGAATGATGAAGGGCAATTTGGAGTTAGAGGGAAGATGAAGTTTGTTAGGTCAGATCTCTTTCACTGTCATAATTTTCTCACTGTTAGAACTTTTGCAAAGGCAGTTTCAAAACAACCATGAAACAAACAAAAATGAATTGAGGGTTCAGAAATGGAATCTTGAGGAGAATAAATAAATTATAACATCCCCTTTTCCTGCCTACTTTCTGAATTATTTGAAAGATAAGATAGAAACATATCAGATGAAGAGCCCTCATTGCTCATAAAGCTGATATTGGATAATGTGATTTAGGTTTGTGGCAATAGTAGGCTTTATAATATTAGGTTGGTGAAAAAGCAAGTACGGTTTTTGCTTTTTTTTTTTGAGACGGAGTTTCGCTCTCTTTGCCCAGGCTGGAGTACGATGGTGCGATCTCGGCTCGCTGCAACCTCCACCTCCCAGGTTCAAGTGATTCTCCTGCCTCAGCCTCCCAAGTAGCTGGGATTACAGGCATGCACCATCACACCCAGCTAATTTTGTATTTTTAGTAGAGACTGGGTTTCTTCATGTTGGTCAGGCTGGTCTCGAACTCCTGACCTCAGGTGATCCACCTGCCTTAGCCTCCCAAAGTGCTAGGATTACAGGCATGAGCCACCATGCCCAGCCAGTTTTTGCCATTTGTTTACGGGAAAAACTGCAATTATTTTGCACCAACCTAATATAAACTACTAGACATAGTCTTCCAGGCACAGGGAGCATTGACAACTCTTGGTGTCCTCCAACAGGAGCCTTCTCTGTGTTTCTAGATTGTAGGAGAAAACTTGCTTCCTGTAGGCAGCTATTGCCCAAAGAAAAAGTGGGCAGCAAATGTTGAGACATGCAACCCTGATTAATCGCTCAAACATACTAATCAAATATGTCATATCTCCTACCCAAGGGAGATGACTGGGAGGTACCAAAATAAACAGGAGAATGAAGCTGCCTCCACGTGGAAGGGATTATTAGGAGGATATTTATGGGAAGAACATTACCCCAAATCAAGGAAAAATTGACATAATCTACCTCAAGCCAGTTGTAAACTAAACATAAAATTCTGGCCGGGCGCGGTGGCTCACACCTGTAATCCCGGCACTTTGGGAGGCTTAGGTGGGTGGATCACAAGGTCAGGAGATCGAGACCATCCTGGCTAACATGGTGAAACCCCATCTCTACTAAAAATACAAAAGAAATTAGCTGGGTGTGGTGGCGGGTGCCTGTGGTCCCAGCTACTTGGGAGGCTGAGACAGGAGAATGATGTGAACCCGGGAGGCGGAGCTTGCAGTGAGCGGAGATTGATCGTGCCACTGCACTCCAGCCTGGGCAACAGAGCAAGACTCTGTCTCAAAAAAAAAAAAAAAAAATTCTAAGCCCTCCAATCAACAGAATCTACCCCCTTCTCTGGGCAAAGGGGATTCCAAAGAAAACCTGAAAAACTAGTTCAGTCCATGATGGGAAGAGGGTTTTGGACATGCCCCATTCTACCCTCCTCCCTTTGGAATTTAGGCACAACAGATCACCATTAACATTAAAATAGAGATCTTAAGACTGACAAAACAGACACTTTGTAGCTATGTGATACCAAATTCCAACCTGACTTTAATATAGCATCACTTGACAGCAGCCCATGAAAGAAACTGAAGTATTTTTACCCCAAACTATATTTCTTTGACATATTTTTAAATGGTCCTGTAAAGCTGTCCCTTGTGGGGAATATCTTCATTCTGTAGAGAATCCCCTCCCCTTTTCAGGATAGATTTAACTAGGAGGCTGAAACATTTTAATGCCTGATAAAGAGGCATTTACCACCAATTCTACATAAGAAGAACCTTGGTCTCCACAACCCCTTATCTTAATCCAGACACTCCTTTCTATTGATTCTAGGTCTTTAAATAATAACTATCAACTAATGGCCAGTCAGAAAACTTTTGAATCTACCAATGACCGTTAAGACCCCCAATTTGAGCTGTCCCACCTTTCTGGACTGAACCACTGCATATCTTACATGTATTGTGTCTCCCTACAACGCAAAACCAAGCTGTAACCCAATCACTTTAGGCATATGTTCTTGGAACCTCTTGAGACTGCGCCTTGGGCCTTGGTCACTCACATTTGGCTCAGAATGAACCACTTTAAATATTTTACAGAGTTTTACTCTTTTTGTCAGCACAATTAAAACACACTTTTTAAAAAAGAGAAAATCTTTAAATATTACCATGACGGGAGAACAGATTTTCATGAAGAGTGATACCATGGACCAACAATATTAAGAATGATAATCTCAGGTGCATACATACCAGAGTTCAGAAATCTATAAACTAGAATATTCCTGGAAATGCATGTCAGGTAAAGACCAAAACAGGGAGGAGGCGGAAAGATGACACTTAAAATTTATGGGCAAGTGTTATCTACATGAGGTTAAGATGTGTAGATTTCTGACTCATAAGATATAACATATGGATTCAAACATGTAGATAATTGCTTTTTTTCTTTTCATTTAGCTATTTTGGTTTTGTGTTGTTATTCTACAGAAGACATTAATATTGCTTATTAATAACTAAATAGAGATTATGCAATTTAGAGCTGCATCCTATTTTGATGATTAGATTCAGTCAGTTGTACAATCAAATGTTTCTAAAAGTTTTACCTAGGGCACAGCTGTAATTTTCTTTTAATCCTGTAGGAGTAATTACATATTCTGTATTTAGTTGGTCGATCATGTTGCTTCAAAAGAAATAGCATATAAATTTTAGCTAATTCACTTTACAACATTTTTGCATTTATTTGCAAAGTTTATAGTGTCAACTAATAGAACTGGGCTATTGTTTGTTACAAGGAAGATTTGTAAAATACTGATCATTTTACATTTAGGTCTGTTTTAAAACCTATATTCTAAGCAATCTCTATTTCTGTTATTTTCTTTCTTGAGAAGGTCTCTCATATGGCATGTTTTGCTTTTCCATCTGTTATCTAACACTTTTATTCACAGAGTATGGCTATTTCTCTACAGCACTATGGGGGCGTAGACATGTAATTGCCACAACATTAGCATTATATTATAGATGATCATTTGGATGATGATGGGGTATTTATTTTTCAGATTAGTGGCTGAATTTCCTTTACCAAATGTTTTTAAGATCACATAGTCACTGCCTTAAGATAAGGCATTATAAATAAATATCCCTATTTTATATAATTGATCAAATTTCTCATGCATGTGTGTGTGTCTGATATCTTTTCTCATACAAACATGTGTCTATTTTTTCACTCGTTTCTCGGAGTACTTGCAGACCCTGATCTATACTTCTTTGGATCTTATCTAACTCATTTAGTATTGTGTTCTGCTACACACTTGGATCCTCATTACAGCTTAGCTTCACAAATGGGGAACTGAAATTTAATGACTTTATGGTTTAAAGTTTAGTGCCTTGTCCGTTGTTTAAATAATTAGTATTATAAGGAGGTAGAATACATCCATTTGAGAACTGTCTTAGGAGTTATTTAATGGATCATCTCCTGAAAGGACTTTTAATTGATTGCAAAAAAAATGATTAGGGTGCAAAATAAATGAAGCAGTAGAAAAGATAATGGAAAGACTGTATGCTACAGTTTAATAAAAGCTTATTCACCCTAAATTTCCCACCCTCCCCAAATAGTAATAACTACTGGAAAGGATAAGGAGTTTTGTTAATCCTGCCGGCTGGTTTTCTCAATAAGGACAAGGACAAACAGTTGTGTTATCAAACTCAAAAGGAATTCCACTATCTTGTTTTTTTAAACGTTTTTTTCTCGTTATTTTTTTGTCTTGTCAAAGATATAACCAAATATGGTTTATCACTGGGTACCCATGGATATAGATGACAACAATTGACACTGGGGACTGTGGGGAGGGAAAGAACTGAGGGGGCAATGGTTGAAAAACTAACTGTTGGCTACTATGCTCACTTCCTGGGTGATAGGTTCAGTCATACCCCAAACCTCTGCATCAAGAAGCATACCCATGTAACAAACCTGCACATGTGCCTGAATCTAAAATAAAAGTTGAAATTTTAAAAAAAGTGGGTGATCAAGCTTTTTAACAAAATGATTTTCTGTGCAAACTAGAAATAGAATAACCCATGGAGTATTCCATCTTTGTTAAGCTTTTAGGACAAATTTGAGAAACATTTAAATGTGTTTTGATTTCTATGTTTTATTATAGTATAATATATATAATCTAGAACTTACCATTTTAGCCATTTTTGAGTGTTCAGTGCTGTGGCTTTAAATACAGTCACAGCATTATGCAATCATAACCACCATTCATTTCTAGAACTTTTTCATCATTTCAAAGTGAAACTCCACACCCATTAAAGAATAATTTTTCCTTCCTTCCTCCCTCCAGCTCCCAGAAACTTCTGTTTTACTTTGTGTCTCTGTGAATTTGACTACTGTGGGTACCTGATATAAGTTGTGTTACGCAGTATTTGTCCTTTTATGTCTGACTGATTTTACTTAACATAATATCTTCAAGTTCGTCCATGTTGTATCATGTATCAGAATTTCATTCCTTTTTAAGGGTAAATAATAGTCCATTATAATATGCATATATCCCATTTTGTTTATTTATTTGTCTATCATTGAACATTTGTGTTGTTTTGACATTTTGGCTATTGTGGATAATTCTGCTATGAACATAGGTATAAAAATTTAATCCCTTTTAAAATGACTTTTGCTCTATCGATTCTTTACTTCTTCAGCTAAGACATCTCACAAAATGTTCCGTTTGGATTTTTCTCCCTGTACAATTAGTGTATATTTCCCTCTGGGTCCATCTCTACTCTTTTGTCCTGACCCGCCTCCCCTAGTAAAAAACCCCTAGTTGCCCCTGAATTGAAAACTGTGGAAGGGTATATTATACACAGACAGGACATGGAATTTTGTTAGCAGCAAAACTTGGATAACGCCTGTAATCCCTGCACTTTGGGAGGCCGAGGTGGGTGGATCACGAGGTCATGAGATCGAGACCATCCTGGCTAACACAATGAAACCCCCTCTCTACTAAAAATACAAAAAAAAAAAATTAGCCGGGCGTGGTGGCAGGCGCCTGTAGCCCTGGCTACTTGTGAGGCTGAGGCAGGAGAATGGCGTGAACCCGGGAGGCGGAGCTTGCAGTGAGCCGAGATAGCGCCACTGCACTCCAGCCTGGGCGGCAAAGCGAGACTCCGTCTCAAAAACAAAAAACAAAAAAAAACAAAAAAAAAACCTTGGATAACAAGTTTATCTCCTCATTATCCCATGTATCCCATTCTAGGGTGCTATTGTCCCAGACTTCTCATTAGCACCTCATTATTATGCTCCTCCATATATCATGTCTATTTTTAAGTTTCTCCAAAAGCCCTGCTAATAAAATGTCATGATATGAATTCTCAAGAACTTGTTATGCCATAGCATTGGAAATGTGTCTGAGATCTCTTAGAAAATGAATAGTTCAGCAATTAGCGGCCTGTAATGCCAGGTGGAACAAATAAACTGTAGTCAAGGAAAAATGACCAATGAATGCACATTAAGTTTATTTTCTTCCTTAGCTGCTTGTTAATCCCTAATTGCTAGCAGACAGGTAGGAGGATAAATTTTACAGCTATTGTCCTGGCAGAATATAATTTGAATGCCCGATTAATTATTAGTCTGTCAAGATGTTTAATTGAGATAAAGTGGCTCTTTAGTAAACTGTTGCTTTCCTGACACACAGACAAAAATTGTTTATACAAAAAAGATACACAATTCTGTGGATCCAAGGTCTAGTAATAGGCTTCACCTCACTGCTCTTTTACCCATCCCCCACTCCAAATGTAGAGCTAAAAATATATCTGAAGATCTCTGAACGGTTTCAATAATAACATCTCTAGAGACCAGGTAGGAGGATATGAATACAACCAGATGCACAGAGCTTTCTCCCCTTTCTAAATGTGACATAACCTGACAAAGACAATACTGGATCCTACCCAGATCAATTCTTCTAGAGTTGTTAATGGTGGATTTAAAAAGAAAGGCCTTCCAAAATTTCTGGGCATCTGTATTTTCTGAGAAGTTGCTGCAACATTGTTCTATTAATACTGTCAAAGGCCTGCATTAGATCAGAAAGAGCCACGTACCACAGATGGCACTTTTCACATGCCTTTTCCTGGAGCTTATGGAGAGTAAAGATCAAGTTGGCGGCAACACTTCCTCCTCTGCAGCCATGCGGGCTCTCTGGTAAAAGTGCATTTTAGCACATGAGGAAGCAGCCAGTTGAGAAAGATTCTTGCCAGAGCAGTATCAAGTGTAGATTGACAGGAGATCTCCCAAGCTATTTTCACACTCCAATCTGCCACCTTTGTCTTGTGTAGCGGCATTATAATTACAGCTTTGAATTCATTTGGCAGGATTTTATATCCCAAGAGATACAAATAATTGTTAAAGGCCTTGGGATCAAAAGGAAATATGCCATACAGGTGGTAATCTGGTCTAACCCCTCTGATTTCAGGTAGGTCAATGCCTACCACATGGAAGACTGCTCTTTTGTATCCACTTTTTAGATTATCCCTGTCCTGCTCCTACTGGAAACTGGGTAACCTATGGAACAAATTCTGGTCATTAAAGGTAAGAAAATAGAATTTTCTTTATGTCCTTCAAGATGTTTCAGTACAGCTTATAAACCTATAGTTTAGATCATTTGCTATAGGAGAAAACCTGAAATCCTTTTCAGTCACCATTCCTAAAATAATCATGACAAGAATGATTCCAGTTCTTTTTCACTTTCTTTGGTCACTTCTATCAATTGTAATTAATAAAAATAATCTACTACTACCCACTAATAGTTTACATTTAGCAGGTGCTTATTATACCAAGTTTTATGGTAAGCACTTTACTTGCATTTTCTCATTTTAAGCTACACAAAACCCTAGGGAGTCCCTGAAGATCAGAGGGTTAAAAGCTGCCCAAGGTCATAAGCACTAAGTGGCCAAGCAGTATTTGATGTAAGTAGCTTGAGTCCAAATCACACCCTCTTAGCCACTATGATTTACTGCTGATTAATAGCATAATATTTCCCGTAAACCAAACATCTTACAACTATTACAACAGTCTGTGACATTTTTCTTTTGTGAAAGTGCTCCAACGTCTACTGGACATTTCAGTCTTGTTCTACCATACATATGTTTCCTTCCATTGAACCTGTGTGTTATTTTCTTTTATTTATTTAATTTTGGCTTCTCTATGTTCTTATTGTCACCTAGGCAACTTTCTAAAGAAACCAAAGGTTTCTTATTTTACTGTTTTCTATCTCAAATGGATTCTAATGTGAATAGAATGCATAGAATTTCTGTTTACAGAATATAAATAATGTTAGGAGGATACATTTATGAATTTATAAATACTACTTTACATTTATTCTATTTGAAATGCATCCATTTTTGTGAAATATTTTTCTATTTTATAAGCAACCTTAAATTAATGTGTTATTTCCACAAATAAAAGTTGCAGAGTTTCTCAAATTTTTTTAAGTGACTGGGGGAAATAGTATGTAATTCTTGTTCTAAGATGTTAGAAAATATATTTTCCTCAGTGTAGACACAAATCTCTAGATATGTATTTATTTACTTACTTTATATTTTATTTTTTAAAATTTAGGGGGTACATCTGCAGGTTTGTTACATGGATATTTTGCATGATGCTGGAGTTTGGGCTTCTAATGATCCTGTCACTCAAGTAATGAACATAGTACTTGATAGGTGGTTTTTCAACCCTTACCTCTCTTCCTCCCTCCCTGGTTTTAGAATCCCCAGTGTTTATTGTTCCCATCTTTGTACCCATGTGTACCCAATGTTTAGCTCCCACTTATAAGTGAGAACATGTGACTAGGAATTTATAGTAATATAACCATGCACTTATGTTTCTCTGTACCCTTATTTGTTCTACATAGAAACATAGGTATATCTATCACACAGGAAAATAAATGTGTTTGATTTGCAGTCCTCTTAAATATCCATGTTTATTGCTGATCAGTACTAAGGTGGGACTTTAAAATTAATGTGTATCCGTCTTCCTAAATATATATGTTATTCTATCCCAAATTTATGTATTTTTGGAGACAACTGGTCAGAACTTAACTTGATTTTTAAGAGCAAAGAGCAGAAAAGGGTTAGAACACAGGAATGTGAGATTCCAGATCACGGAGAAGGCTGGAACAATGGAAGTCAAAGTCGAGATCTGTAAATGGCATCTATATTTTCGAATCTTTCTAAAACATGAGAAGTATGACAGCCTTTTGTGAAATTTGGGTACTTTGCCCCTGAGGAGTTTTCAGGAAGAATGACTAGTATGTTTGTGGTAAAAAGCTTTGAGTCCTTAGATAATGAAATCAGCCATACTTCTTAGGCATGTTATCAAATTCATGCTGACTTTAATACAAACTTTCTTCCTTTCTGCGTATTTATAAAATGATACTTTATCTGGTCGTTTAGCTATTGAGAAACATGTTAGAATTTTGACTCTATGCCCACACTTAGCAATTTTTCTTTTTGAAAAATACAAATGTTAGGAAAAACTAAAGTGGAAAAGTGGGATACTAAAGTTCAGACAATATTATAGTTTTCACAACGTAATATGATATCACACTTTCCTAGTACTTTGATATTACATAAGCCACTATAAGACTTTTCCTTTAAAATATCCATTTTTATTTTTATTTTATTTTTATAAGAAAAGTATGTTTCTTTAACTCATGGTTCTGAATAGTAAGAAGTCCAAGAGCACAGCACTGGCATCTGGGGATAGATAGCCTTCTTGCTGAGTCATAACGTGGTAGAGAGCATCACATGGTGAGAGGGCAAGAACATACCAACTCAGGTCTCTCTTCCTCTGCCATTTTGTTTTCAAGAGAGTAGATTTTTATTAATTTCATTTATTTTTTTCACATTGGGTGCAGTGTACACTGCTCAGGTGATGGGTGTACCAAAATCTCAGAAATCACCACTAAAGAGCTTATCCATGTAACCAAACACCAACCTGTTCCCCAAAAACTATTGCAATAATAATATTAATAAAAATATTTTAAAAAGAATTTATTTTTAATAAAATTTATTGAAATATAATTGACACTCAATAAGATGCACCCCATTTTAAGGGTGTAGTTCCATGAGATTTAACAAATGCATGCACTACCACCACCAAGTACAGAAACGCCACTCAACAATGTTTCCCCATGGCTTTTGTTCAGTTAGTCCCCTCTCTCCACCTTTGGTCTCTAGAAACCACAGATCTGCTTTATGTCATTAGACATTAGATTTCCCTTTTATAGAATTTCATATACATAGAATAAACCAGAATGTGTTTTTGGTTCAGCTTCTTTTGTTCAGCATAATGTTTTTATTTTTCATTTTTATTGCACGTATAAGTAGCTTACCTCTTTTAATACCTGAGTAATATTATGTATTATAGATATACTACAATTTTCTTACCCATTCACCTCTTGATAAACATTTAAGTTATTTATAGTTTTTGGCTAATATAAATGAAGCAGCTACAAATATTTTAATATGGCTTATAAATACACACTTTAGATCCTGTGCTACATAAGAAAACCTGAAACTCTTTATGTGGACATATACTTTAATTTATCTTGAGTAAATTCCTAGGAGTGAATTGATGGGAGGCATATTATGTTTATTTTCATTAATTTTACTGCCAAATATTTTCCAAAATTGTTTTAATATTTTACATTAACATCAGCAATGCGTGAAAGTTCCAGTAGCTCTACATCTCCTACAAAATTTTGTACTGTCAGTCTTCATAATTTTAGCCATTCCAGTGTGTGGGTGGCAGTACCTGGGTTGCAATTTGCATTTCCCTGATGCTAAGTAATGATGTTGAGTATCTTTGGCTGTGAAATGTCTGTTCAAACATTTTTCCATTTTATATTTCTTGCCTTATTATTCAGTTGTGTTATTTATTTTCAAAAAACTGGACATTCTAGAGACTTTACACTTTAATATAAAGTTGAAAACATGTTTATTAAATAAAGTTTATTAAATAAATAAGTTTATTAAATTTATACAAAAATCTGATGAGATCTTGTTAGTAATTATATTCAATCTCTATATCTATCTAGGGAAAATTAAAGTCTTAATATTTGATTAATTGAATCCATGAATATGTTTTTCTCTTCACTTTATTATGTCTATAATTTTTCTGTTCAAATTTTTATATTTTTTAATGTACAATATTTGCATATATTTGTTAAATTTTCCCTAAATATTGCATATTTTCATGCTATTGCAAATTTTAAAAATTTCTGTGTCCAGTTGTTTGTTATTAATACAGACTTAAATTAATTTTTGCATATTGACTATGCATTCTGAAACCTTGCTAAATTACCAAATAGTTCTAGTAGAATTTTAAAAAATCCTTTTTCTAACAGACATGTCATCTGTGGAACAATAGACACTTTTTCTTCTTCCTTTTCAATCTGCATATCATTACCTTCCTCCTTTTCCTCTTCCTCCTTCTTAGAATGCTTAGCCCTCCAACACAATGCTGAAAAGAAGTACTGAGAGCAAACCTCTTCGCCTTGCTTTTTATCTTAAGGGGAAAATATTCAACCTTTCTTCATTAAATATAATTTTAACAAACATTTTTCGGTAGGTATCCTTATTTTGTGTGGGAAGTTATTTACTTCTCAAGAATCGTTATCAGAAACAGTTGTTTGACTTTGTCAGTTGCTTTTTCTGTACCTATGGAGATAATATGATTTTTGTTCTTTATTAATTTATTTGGTGAATTACATTACATGATTTTTTCAGTGTTGGACTAAACTGCATTCCTGGAATAAACCCCACTTGGTCATAATGTATTGCTAAATTTTACTTTTGTAAAATATCTTTGCATTTGTGTTCATGGGAAATATTGGTCTGTAGTTTTCTTTTCTTCTGATGGCTTTGTTTTTTGACTTGGGGTAATGCTAACCTTATAAAACATAAAGGCTATTTCTCCTATTTTCATTGAAGAGTTTGTGTAGAATTGATATGCTTTCTTCTTGGAATATTTGATAGAAGTTGCCAATTGTGACATCTGTGCATAAATTTTTGTGTGTGTGGGAAGGGTTTCAACTACAAATTTAATTTATTTAATAATACAGGAATATTCAGTTTAACTATTTCTTCTTGAATTGAATGTGTCTTTCAAATAGTTTGTATATTTCTTTTTTTTTTTTTTTTAAAGACAGTCGTGCTTTGTCACCCAAGCTGGAGTGCTGTAGCCCCATTTGAGCTCACTGCAACCTCTGCCTCCCAGATCCAAACGAATCTCATGCCTCAGCCACACAAAAGTAGCTGGGATTACAGGTTTGTACCACCACATCCGGCTAATTTTTGTATTTTTAGTAGAGACAGGGTTTCACCATGTTGGCCAGGCTAGTCTTAAACTCCTGGCCTCAAGTGATCTGCCCACCTTGGCTTCTCAAAGTGCTGGGATTACAGGCATGAGCCACTATGCCTGGCCTATTTCGTCTGTTAACAAATGTATTGTCATAAGGTAGTTTATAATATTCCCTAATTCTTACAACATCTTTTGAGTCTATAGTGATGTCTTCTCTCTCATTTCTGTTAATAGTAATTTATTTCTTTTCTATTTCTCTCATTTTCTTTATCATTCTAGCTAGAGGTTCATCAGAGATACTGAGTTCTTCAGAAAACCAGTTTTTTATTTCATTGATTTCTGTATTGTATACTTGTTTTCAATTTTCTAGATTTTTGCTCCTATCTATCTTTATTATTTCTTCCTCTTCTTGTTCTGATTTATTATGTTCTTATTTTTCTAGTTTCTTGGGTGAAAAGAAGTGATTGTTTTTGAGATCTTTCTTCTCATCTAACAAAAATTCCCTCTAAGCACTGCTGTAGCTGTATCTCACAAAAATTTATGTAAAAACTTTTATTTTTGTTCATTAGAAATATTTTCTAATTTTTCTCTGATTTCTTTCTGACCCATGGGCTGTTTAGAAATGTGCTGTTTAACACACAAATATTTGGGAAACTTCCGGGTTTTTTTGGTTATTGATGTCTAGGTTAATTCTGTTGCTGTCAATTAACATACTTTGTATAAATTCAATTTTTGCGCTTAAAAATATATACTATGCCTATTAGGTCAATCTGGTTGTTCAAGCCCTTTATATTGTTATGATTTTCTCTCTGCCTATTATATTACTTGCTAATAAAGAGATGTTAATATATCCAATGATACTTTTGGATTTGTCTATTTCTCCCTTCAATTTATCAGTTTATGTTTTATGTATTTTGAAGCTCTGCTGTTGGATGCATAAACATTTAAGATTGTTATTTCTTCTTGACAAATTGACGCTTTCATCATTATATAATTATACTCTTTATATCTAGTAATATTTGTTTTTCTGAAGCCTGCTTTGTTTGATATCAATATTGCCACTCCAGTGTCATTTTGTTTCGTGTTTCTATGGTGTGTAGCTATATGCACATACACATATATATACTTTTTCTTCAACCTATGTTTGTTTGTTTTGTATTTAAAGGGTTTTCTTATAGAAGCTTATTTTGATTTTGAAAATACATTTAAAGATAAGAAAAATTCTTTATATTTACCTATATATTTATCATTTATTGGCTCTCTTTATTCCTTTTCATACCTCTAACTTTCTAGCTGGTATCATTTTCCTTCTGCTAGCAAAACTCTCTCAACATTTCTTTAACTCAGGTCTTCTGGCAATACATTTTCTCAGCTTCTGTTTGCCTGATGATATATTAATTTTGATTTTAATTTTAATAAATATTTTCAATGGATAAGGAAGTTAATTTGGCAGGATTTTTTTAGACTCTCTCTCCATTTTGTTCCGACTTGCATAGTTTTGACAGGAAGTCTGTTGTCGTTCTCATCTCTGTTTTCATGTTTGTAATGTTTCTTCTAGCAGCTTTAAATATTTTATCTTTATCACACAATTTCATTGTGGCATGCCTTGATGTGATTTTCTTCATGTTTCTTGTGTTGCTAGTTTGCTGAGCTTCTTAGACTTGTGAGTCTAAAGTTGTTATTACATTTAAAAGAATTTTGGCCAGATGTGGTGGCTCATGCCTTTAATCCCAGCACTTTGGGAGGCTGAGGCAGGCAGATCACTGAGGTCAGGAGTTTGAGACCAGCCTGGCCAACATGGTGAAACCACATCTCTACTAAAAATACAAAAATTAACTGGGTGTGGTGCCACATGCCTGTAATCCCAGCTACTTGGGAGGCTGAGGCAGGAGAATCACTTGAACCTGGGAGGCAGAGGTTGTGGTGAGCCAAGATTGCACCATTGCACTCCAGCCTGGGCAACAAGGGTGAGGCTCCATCTTAAAAAAAAGAAAAGAAAAGAAGAAAAGAAAATTAAAATAATTTTGGTCATTTGTTTAAATCTTCTGTGTTTTTTCCTGCCCACTGCCTTCCTTCTGGATATTTGGTTACAAATATATTAGAATGCTTTATGTTTTCTCATATGTCACTTTGGCTCTGATTATTCTTCTCAGTGTTTTTCTTTGTAGCTTCGGATTGAAGAGTTTCTACTGCTAAGTCCTGCAAATATAAGTTCACTGATCTGAAGCAATGGCATGAGCTATACATTGACCCCTTTTAGCCACAGCTGGAGCTGAAGTAGCTGGGTTGCAGGGCACCATGTCCTGAGGCTGCATAGAGCAGGGGGGCCCTGAGATCAGTTAATGAAACCATTTTTTCCCTCCTAGGCCTCCAGGACTGTGATTGGAGGGGCTGCTGTGAAGTTCTCTGACATGCTCTGGAGACACTTTTCCCATTGTCTTGGTGATTAACATTTGGCTTCTCATTACCTATGCAAATTTCTGCAGTCAGCTTGAATTTCTCCCCAGAAAATAGGTTTTTCTTTTCTATCACATAGTAGGCTTCAAATTTTCCAAACTTTATGCTCTGCTTCTTCTAGAATACTTGCTGCTTAGAAATTTCTTCTGCCAGACATCCTAAATTATCTCTCTCAATTCAAAGTTCCACAGAGTTCTAGAGCAGGGGGAAATGCTGCCAGTCTCTTTGATAAAGCTATAAAGAGTCACCTTTGCTTCAGTTCCCAAGTCTCTCATCTCCATCTGAGACCACCTCAGCCTGGACTTTATTGTCCATGTCACTATTAGCATTTTGGTAAAAGCCATTCCACAAATCTCTAGCAAGTTTCAAACTTTCCCACATCTTCCTGTCTTCTGAGCCCTCCAAGTCTCTAGGAAGTTCCAAACTTTCCCACATTTTCCTGTCTTCTTCCAAGCCCTTCAGATTGTTTGTTTCAGCCTCTTCCTGTTAGCCAGTACCAATGTCGCTTCCACATTTTTGGGATATCTTTACAGCAGCATCTCACTCTCTGTGATACCAATTTACTGCATTAGTTCATTCTCACGCTGCTATAAAGAACTTCCAAAGACAGGGTAATTTATAAAGGATAGAGGTTTAATTGAATCACAGTTCAGCATGGCTGGGAAGTCCTCAGGAAACTTACAATTATGGTGCAAGAGAAGCAAACACATGCTTCTTCACATGGCAGCAGGAGAGATACATGCTGAGCAAAAGAGAAAAGCCCCTTTTAAAACCATCAAGTCTCATGAGAACTCACTCACTATCAATCATGAGAACAGCATGAAGGTAACCACCCTTATGACTGAATTTCCTCCCACCAGGTCCCTCCCACAACATGCAGGGATTATGGAAACTACAATTAAAGATGATATTTGTAGGTACACAGCCAAACCGTATCAATAAATTTTTAAAATTAGCTTTTAATTTAATTCAATTTTGGTTAGAGGACATATTATACATTATTTTAACACTTTCAAAATCATAGAGACTTGTTTTATAGTCTAGCAAGCCTTCTATCTTGGTGAATATATTTTGTGCACTTGAAAATAATTAGTATTTTATGGTTGTTGGATGCAGTGTTCTATATATATTATTTAGTTCAATGTGGTTGATAGTGTTCTAAACATCTTCCATATCTCTATTATTATTATTATTATTTTGTGTGTGTGCATAGTTGTTCTATAAATTGCTGAAAGAGGTTTGTTAAGTGCCCAAATGTTTATACAATTTTTCATTTCTTCACTAAATTGTTAAGGTTTCCTTCATGTGTTTTAATGGTCCATTTTGATGCTACATATACATTTATAATTGTTGTTTTCGAGATGTTTTGATCTTTTTACCATTATTAAATGTCTTTTGTTTTCTTATATATGGTATATTTTGGTCCATCTATTTATTTTCAACTTGTCTGCATCTTCTTATTAAAAGTGAGTTTATTTTAGGTGGCATTCAGTTGAGTTTTGCTATTTTATTCATTCTTACATCTTTTTTGTTACTTCTCTCCAGTACTAGCCAAAATAATTCAGTTTATTAATAACATTAACTAGCATGGACCTGGCATTTGTTTGGGGGAGATTTTTATTAAAGCAATCTTAGATAATTTTTCATTCTTGAAATATAATCTTGTATGATTATAATTTGTGACATTTCCTGTGGGATGGTTTATATCTGCCCTGGTGAGAAGATATATTGACTAAAACCTGGGGCTTTCCATTGTTGTATTCTTCCATGCTTTTCACCAGTGCAGCACTTCTGTAAAGGCATTTGACCAATATTTTTGTGCTATATGAATAGGTACTCTGAAGAGTAGAAAAGTAATTTGGGTTTATGTCATTAACCAAGTGTCCACTGTTTCCGGGAGATTTTGAGTGAGCAAAGAAACAAAAACCAAAGCAAACAATTTTCCTTTTCATGCTGTAGAAACACAATAAGAACAAGTCCTGCTCCATTCTTTTTAATAGTCCAATTGCAGCTGCTACATCTCACAAAACTATAAGAGTCTCTAAGTACAAATCTCAATAACTTGAGACAGGTTATAGATGAAAGGAATTCAAGAATTCCCCAACCACTTTTATCATAATTCACAGATATCCTGAACTTTCAGATACCTGGCATAAAACAGAGATCTCATTTTTGTGAACTGACATAAGTAAATTTGGTCATTCAACAAATGTCAGGTCTAATAATCTCCAATCAGACCTAGGTAGGGAATATCCTTCACTACAACCTCACTATCAGATTTCTGTCTAAATTTTGCCACAAATACAAATATGTATTAATAGCCAGGCATGTATGCATGTGCACAAGAACATGCATCAGTACACAAAAACCACTCCTAACATGGTCTCATAAGTTTGGTTAACTCTCTGCTTGTTCTCTTTCTCCAGGCATTAAGATAAGCACCTTGAAAGGAAGGTTTCCTCCAAGACTGATGATATGCTGATGTCTGATCAGCCAGTATTCTGTTTGGTTAGGCTTTGGAGCCCTCCACTGAGAGAGACAGAGAGAGAGAGTGTGTGTGTGTGTGTGTGTCTGTGTGTATGCCTGCGAACCGAGTGAAACTGTAGATCTTGTACTCTGTCCTGAAGGTTCACTGAAGGAGAGTAGAGTTTATAGAATCTGGTCAAACATATATATATATATATATATATATATATATATATATAGTAAAAATATATATAAATATACATTTAAATATATATGTAAAAATATATACATGTATATTAAATATATACATGTATATATTTAATTTTATATATATATATACACACCCACACATATATGGTTGACCAGATTTTATAAACTCCACTCTCTCTCTCTCTCTCTATGTATATATATATATACACATTTTTTTTTTTTTAGACAGAATTTCACTCTTGTTACCCAGGCTGGAGTGCAATGGCACAATCTTGGCTCACTGCAACCTCCGCCTCCCAGGTTCAAGCAATTCTCCTGCCTCAGCCTCCTGAGTAGCTGGGATTACAGGCACCTGCCACCATGCCCAGCTAATTTTTTGTATTTTCAGTAGAGACAGCTAATTTTTTGTATTTTCAGTAGAGACAGGATTTCACTATGTTGGCCAGGCTGGTCTTGAACTCCTGACCTCAGACGATCCACCATCCTTAGCCTCCCAATGTGCTGGGATTACAGGCATGAGCCACCGTACCTGGCCAACCATATATCTTTTAAAAATGAACATTTACTTCATCAGTGAATATTATGTCTAACATCTCTTGCACTAATTAACAAATCCTCTGCTGATGATTTAGATAAAAGCACTTCTTATTGTCACCTCTGGATTTTTGATTCATGTACAACTAACTGCCCTGATATGGTTTGGCTCTGCGTCCCCACCCTAATCTTATCTTGACTTGTACTCCCATAATTTCCATGTGTTGTGGGAGGGGCCCTGTGGGAGATAATTGAATCATGGGGGTGGTTTCCCCTATACTGTTCTTGTGGTAGTAAATAGTCTCACAAGATCTGATGGTTTTATCAAGGGTTTCTGCTTTTGCGTCTTCCTCATTCTCTCTTTGCCTCCTGCCATCCGTGTAAGACCGAACTTGTTCCTCCTTGCCTTCCACCATGATTGTGAAGCTTCCCCAGCCATGTGGAACTGTAAGTCCAATTAAACCTCTTTCTTTTGTAAATTGCCCAGTCTCGGGTATGTCTTTATCAGCAGCATGAAAATGGACTAATACGTGCCCCTAGGGCATAAAGTTCAATTAAACACATACATACACTTTGCATTTTGAAGTAATTTTTTTAAGTAAATGCACTGACAGGATAACACTCATTCTACCACCTCCTCCTTTTGAGAGTCAAGGTAGATGTATAGAAGTTAATACTGCCAGGTGGTCTGGTGGTCTTGGGAATAAAGGCCTCCTAATTAACAACAAAAACAAAAAGCTGGCCTTGATTTTCTAAAACTTTATCTGGAGCACTAAATTCAGTTCAGGGGTCAACACTGAAGACATCTCATCAGCTGTGGGATGTTTTTCTTTTTTATGATAAGGGGACATCTTATTTCTATGCAAAGAAAGCCACAGCTTATAAATGGATTTAGTAGTCCTTTGCACACTTTGTGTTGTGTTAGTTCAGGTCCTCCTTGCAATACCTGCAAGATGGGATTAAAAGTAAAAAGAACACCTGAGGGGGAAGCAGAGCAACACTGTGGAATACAAAGCTCCATCAATCATTCCCACCACCACCACAAAGTCACCAAGTTAACAACTGTCTACACACACACAAAAAAAACCTTCTCAAGAACCAAAAATCAGCTTAGCACTCATAGTACCTAGTTTTAACTCATATGGCTGAAAGAGGCACTGAAGAGATTTAAACACACACATACACACACACACACACACACACACACACACAATAAGGGCCAAAGTCCTCTCTGTCTCTAAGTTTGAAAGGCAGTCTAGGCCATAAGGACTGCAACTCTTTGGCGAGTCTTAGTGCTGAACTAGATCCAAAGACAGTGTACTAGTGGGGTACACAGCACACTGAGACACCAGCTGGGGCAGCCAAGGGAGTGCTGGCACTACCCCTCCCATAGCTCCAGGTTGCACAGCCCATAGCTCCAAAAGGGTCTCCTTCCTTGGGCTCAAGGAGAGGAAAAGGAAGAGTGGAGAAGACTTTGTCTTTCATCTTGGATACCAGCTAAGCCATAGCAGGATAGGGCACCAGTCAGAGTCCCGAGGCCCCTATTTCAAGCTCTAGCTCCTAGACAACACTTCTAGAAACAGAAGGAAACCTTGGGCCAGAAGGAAAAGACCTAGTCCTGCAAGCATTCATTACCTGCTAACTGAAGAGCCCTTGGGCCCTGAATAACTAGCAGTGATACCCAGGCAGAACACTGAGGGCCTTGGTGAGCCTCCGAGACTTGCTAGCTTCAGGTACCAATAACACTATGGAAGGGTAGAACACCAAGCAGGCTTTTGGAGTCCCTGATTCCAGAACTTCACTCTTGGATAGCATTTCTGGACTTGCTCTGGGCCAGCAGGGACTCCATTGCCCTGAAGAGTGAGTTCCAGGCCAAGCAGCATTCACCATGAGCTTACTTAATAGCCCTTGGGGCTTAAGGAACATTGGTGGTAGTCTGGCAGTACTCCTTATGGCCAGGGTTGATCGTGGCTATGGGGTGAGGCTCCTCTGCCTTTGGAAAGAGGAAGAAAAATGGGAAAAGTTGCATCATGTGGTTTGAGAGCCATCTCAGCCACAGTACAATAGAATAACAGGTAGACTTCTAAGCTTTTTGTCTCTAGTCCCTGACTCTTAGATGACACTTCTGGACCCATCTGGGGCCTGGGGGACATTGCCACCCTGAAGGGAGAGACACAGGCCTGGCTGGCTTTGCCTTTTGCTGATTGTAGCACCTCGGGGCCTTGAGTGAACATAGGTAGTAGCCAGTGTGTGGTTACAGCAAGCCTTGGGTGGGACCCAGCACTTTTCTGGCTTCAGGTCTGACCCAGCACAGTCATAGTGGTGGTGGCGGCCAGAGGGGTGCTTATGTCACTCCACTCAGAGTGACATAGGTGGCTCAGAACAGAGAGAGAGACTATGTTTTGGAGAAAGTAAGGGAAGAGAACAAGTGTCTCTGCCTAATATTCGGAAAATTCTCTCAGATCTTGTCCAAGACCATCAAGATAGTACCTCTATAAGTCTGCAAGAACCACAGCATTACTGGGCTTGGGATGCTCCCTAAAGCACAAATAGCTTAGATCACAAAGCTAACTTTGATTATTAAGGCTTTCCAAAGTCCCTTCAAATGTCTGGAAAGCCTTCCCAAGAAGGGCAGCTGCAAATAATTTCAGACAGTGAAGACTATGGTAAATACCTAACTCTTAAATGTTCAGACACCAAAGAATATCTACTAGCATCAACATCATCCAGGAAAACATGACCTAACCGTATGAACTAAATAAGACACCAGGGATGAATTCTGGAGAAATGGGGGTATGTGATCTTTCAGGCAGAGAATTCAAAGTAGCTGTGTTGAGGAAGCTAAAGGAAATTCAAGATAAAACAGAGAAGGAATTCAGAATGCTATCAGATAAATTTAACAAAGAGATTGAAATAATTTCAAAGAATCAAGTGGAAATTCTGGAGATGAAAAATGCAACAAGCATCAGAGTCCCTTAACAGCAAAATGGATCAAGTAGAAGAAAGAACTAATGAACCTGAAGACAGACTATTTCAAAATAAACAGTCAGAGGAGACAAAAGAGAAAAGAATTAAAAAAAAAAGCCAGAGAATTTAGAAAATAGCCTCAAATGGGCAAATCTAAGAGCTATTGGTCTTAAAGAGGAGGTAGAGCAAGAGACAGGAGTAGAAAGTTTATTCAAAGGGATAGTAACAGATAACTTCCCAAACCTAGACAAAGGTATCAATATCCAAGTACAAGAAGGTTATAGAACACCTAGCAGATTTAACCTGAAGAAGAGTACTTCAAGACATTTAATAATCAAACTCTCAAAGGTCAAGGATAAAGAAAGGTTCCCAAATGTAGCAAGAGAGAAGAAACAAATAGCATACAATGGAGCTCCAACACATTTGGCAGCAGACTTTTCAGTGGAAACCTTATAGGCCAGGAGAGAGTGGCATGACATATTTAAAGTGCTGAAGAAAAAAAAAAAAACATTTACCCTAGAATATTATATTTAGCAAAATATTCTTCAAACATGAAGGAGAAATAAAGACTTTCCCAGAAAAACAAAGGTGAGGGATTTTATCAATACCAGACTCATCCTACAAGAAAGGCTAAAGGGCATACTTCAATCAGAAAGGAAAGGACATTCATGAGAAGCACATAATCACCTAAAGGTAAAAAACTTACTGGCAATAGTAAGTGCACAGGAAGACACAGAATATTATAATACCATAACTGTTGAATGTAAACAACTCTTATCCTAAGTAGACAGATTAAATAATGAATCAATCAGAAATAATAACTACAACAGCTTTTCAAAACATAGCCAGTACAATAAGATAGAACTAGAAACAACAAAAAGTTAAAAAGCAGGGAAATGAAGTTAGGGTGAATTTTTTTTTCTTTTGCTTGTTTATGCAAGTAATGTTAAATTAACAGGTTAAAATAAAGGGTTATAAATAAAGGGTTATAAGATAGTATTTGCAAGCCTCATGGTAACCTCAAACCCAAAAGCATACAATGGATATGTAAAAAATAGATAGCAAGCAACTAAATCATACCACCAGAGAGAATCATCTTTACTAGAGAAAGACAGGAATGAAAGAAAGAAGGAAGAGAAGATCACAAAACAACCAGAAAACAACAAAATGGCAGGGGTAAGTCCTTACTTATCAATAATAACAGTGAATGTAAATGGACTAAACTCTCCAATTAAAAGACATAGACTGGCTGAATGGATGAAAAACAAGACCCATTGATCTGTTGTCTACAAGAAACACTTCACCTAGAAAGACACACATAGACTAAAAATGAAGGGATGGAAAAACATATTCCATGCCAATGGAAACAAAAAAGTAGCAGGAGTCACTATGCTTATATCAGACAAAATAGATTTCAAGACCAAAACTATAAGAAGAGACAAAGAAGGTCACTATATAATGATAAAGGAGTCAATACAGCAAGAGGACTTAACAATTTTAAATATATATGCACCCAACATTGGAACACCCAGATATATAAAGGAAATATTATTGGAGCTAAAGAAAGAGATAGGCCCCAATAGAATAATACCTGGAAACGGCCGGGCGCGGTGGCTCACGCCTGTAATCCCAGCACTTTGGGAGGCCGAGGCGGGTGGATCATGAGGTCAGGAGATCGAGACCATCCTGGCTAACAAGGTGAAACCCCGTCTCTACTAAAAATACAAAAAATTAGCCGGGCGCGGTGGCGGGCGCCTGTAGTCCCAGCTACTCGGGAGGCTGAGGCAGGAGAATGGCGTGAACCCGGGAAGCGGAGCTTGCAGTGAGCCGAGATTGCGCCACTGCAGTCCGCAGTCCGGCCTGGGCGACAGAGCGAGACTCCGTCTCAAAAAAAAAAAAAAAAAAAAGAATAATACCTGGAAACTTCAACACCCCACTTTCTGTGTGGCCATATCTTCCAGACAGAAAATCAACAAAGAAACATCAGACTTAATCTGCACTATAGACCAAATTGAAATTTACAGAACATTTCATCCAAGAGCTGCAGAATATACTTTTTTTTTTCTCAGTTCATGGCTCATTCTCAAGGATAGACAATATGGTAGGTCACTAAACAAGTCCCAAAACATTCAGAAAATTAAAATAATATCAAGCATCTTCTCTGGCCACAATGAAATAAAACTAGAAATTAATAATGAAGAATTTTGGAAACTATATAAATATATGGAAATTAAACAATATGCTCCAGAATGACCAGGTCATTAAAGAAATTAAAAAGGAAATTGAAAATTTTCTCTAAACAAATGATAATAGAACACAACATACTGAAACCTATGGGATACAGCAAAAGCAGTACTCAGAGGGAAGCTCATAGCTACAAATGCCTATATGTAAAAAGAGGAAAAACTTCAAACAATCTAATGATGCATCTTAAAGAACTAAAAAAGCAAGATCCAACTGAACCCAAAATTATTAGAAGAAAATAGTAATAAAGATTAGAGCAGAAAGAAATGAAATTGAAATGAAAAAAATACAAAAAATACAAAATATCAATAAAACAAGTTAATTTTTGTAAAGTTCAACAAAATAGACAAACCTTATCCAGACTAAGAAAAAAGAGAGAAGATCCAAATAAATACAATCAGAAATAGAAAAAGAGACATTACAACTGATACTGTATAAATTCAAAGGATTATTAGTGGCTACTATGAGCAACATATGCCAATAAATTGGAAAATCAAGAAGAAATGGACAAATTCCTAGAACATACAACCTACCAAAATTAAACTAGGAAAAAAATGCAAAACCTGAACACACCAATAACAAGTAATTAGATAGAAGGTGTAATAAAAAGTGTCTCAATAAAAAAGAAGCCCAGGACTTGGTGGCTTCACTGCTGAATTCTACCAAATATTTAAGAAAGAACTACTACCAATCCTACTCAAACTATTCCAAAAACTAGAGGAGGAGGGAATACTTCCAAACTCATTCTATGAGGCCAGAATTACCCTGATACCAAAACCAGAAAAAGACACATCAAAAAAAGAAAAATATAGGCCAATATCTCTGATGAATATTGATGCAAAAATCCTAAATGAAATACTAGCAAACCGAATTCAACAATACATTGGAAAGATCATTCATCATGACAAATGGGATTTATATCAGGGATGCAAGGATGGTTCAACATATGCAAATCAATCAATGTGATACATCACATCAACAGAATGAAGGATAAAAACCATATGATCATTTCAATTGATGCTGAAGAGGCATTTGATAAAGGTTTAACATCCCTTCAGAATAAAAACTCTCAAAAAACTGGATATAGAAGAAGCATACCTCAACACAATAAAAGCCATAGAGGACATACTCTCAGCTAATATCATACTGAATGGGGAAAAATGGAAAGCCTTTCCTCTAATATCTGGAAAACAATAAGAATGGCCACTGTCACCACAGTTATTCACAATAGTACTGGACGTCCTAGCTAGACCAATCAGACAAGAGAAAATGTAAAGCTCATCCAAACTGGAAAGGAAGAAGTCAAATTATTCTCGATTGTAGATCATATAATCTTATATTTGGAAAAACCTAAAGCTCCTCAAGAAAATTATTAGAACTAATAAACAAATTTAGTAAAGTTGCAGGATGCAGAATCAACATGCAAAAATCAGTAGCATTTCTATATGCCAACAGTGAACAATGTGAAAAGAAATAAAAAAGTAATTCCATTTACAACAGCCACACATAAAATTAAATACCTAGGAATTAACTTAATTGAAGAAGTGAAAGATCTCTATAATGAAAACTATAAAATACTAATAAAATAAATTGAAAAGGACACAATAAAATGGAAAGGTTTCATGTTCATGGATTGGAAGATTCAATATGGTTAAAATGTCCATATTATCCAAACCAATCTAAAGAGTCACTGCAATCCCTATCAAACACCAATGACATTCTTCCACATAAATAAAAAAATCCAAAAATTTATGTAGAACCACAAAAGACCCAGAATAGCCAAAGCTATCCTAAACAAAAGGAATAAAATAGGAAGAATCACATTACCTGACTTCAAATTATACTATAGAGCTATAGTAACCAAAACAGCATGGTGCTGGCATTAAAACAGACACATAGAACAATGGAACAGAATAGAGAACCCAGAAACAAATCCACACACCTACAGTTAACTCAATTTTGACAAAGGTGCCAAGAACACATACTGGGGAAAAGTGTTCTGTTGAATGAATAATGTCTCTTCAATAAATAATGCTGGGCAAAATGAATATCCACATGCAGAAAAAAAAACACTATATCCCTATCTCTCAACACATACAAAAGTCAAATCAAAATGATTAAAGACTTAAATCTAAGGTCTCAGACTATGAAACTACTACAAGATAACACTGGGGAAACTCTAGGACATTGGTCTGGGCAAAAATTTCTTGAGCGACATCCCACAAGCACAGGCAACCAAAACAAAAATGGACAAATGGGACCACATGAAGTTAAAAAAACTTATACGCAGCAAAGGATACAATCAACAAAGGGAATAGACAACTTACAGAATGGGAGAAAATCTTTGAAAACTACCCATCTGACAAGGGGTTAATAACCAGACTATATACGGAGCTCAAACAACTCTATAGGAAAAATCCTAATAATCTGATCAATAATCTGGCAAAAGATTTAAACAGACATTTCTCAAAAGAAGACATACAAACAGAAAATAGGTATATGAAAAGGCACTCAATATCACTGATCAGCAGAGAAATGCAAATCAAAACTACAATGAGATATCATCTCACCCCAGTTAAAATGGCCTATATCCAAAAGACAGGCAATAACAAATGCTTGTGAGGATGTGGAGAAAAGGGAACCCTTATACACGGTTGGTGAGAATGTAAGTCAGTACAGCCTCTATGGAGAACAGTTAAGAGGTTCTTCAAAAAACTAAAAATTGAGATACCATATGACCCAGCAATTCCACTGCTGGGTATATACCCAAAGGAATGGAAATCAGTATATTGAAGAGATATCTAAACTCCTATGTTTATTGCAGCACTGTTTACAAAGCTAACATTTGGAAGCAACCTAATTGTCCATCAAGAGATGAATGGATAAAGAAAATGTGGTACAGATACACAATTGAGTACTATTCAGCCATAAAAAAGAATGAGATCTAGTCATTTGCAACAACATGGATGGAACTGGAGGTCATTATGTTAAGTGAAATAAGCCAGGTACAGAAAGACAAACGTCATATGTTCTCACTTATTTTTGAGATCTAAAAATCGAAACAATTTAACTCATGGACATGGAGAGTAGAAGGATGATTGTCAGAGGCTGGGAACAGTAGTGGGAAGCTGGGGAGGAGGCCGGGATATAATGGGTACAAAAAAATTAGAAAGAATGAATAAGACCTACTATTTGATAGCATAACAGAGTGACTATAGTCCATAATAACTGTACATTTTAAAATAACTTAAAGGGTGTAATTGGATTATTTGCAACTTAATGGATAAATGCCTGAGGGGTTGGATATCCCATTCTTCATGATGTGCTTATTTCACATTGGATGTCTATATCAAAACATCTCGCATACCCCATAAATATATACACCTATTGTGTATCTATGCAAATTAAAAATAAAAAAATACCTGAGAATAATGGAAGAAGAAGTAGGAGAAGGGAGAATCTTCAGATTGTGGGGCAGAATTGATGCCTGTGAAAGGAGAGCTAGCAGGAAGGATTAGAAAAGAGTTTCAAATTGCAGCACAGTTTCAAGAACAAGTCAGTCAGGAAAATAGAAAAGCTACTGTCACCCATTGGGAGAGTCCCCCATCTCTCAAGAACCTTTGTTTCTTGCCACACACAGTTCTCTGGAAGCAGCCCCTGGGAAGTGTGGCCTTGGTGTATATGCAGCAACAGATTCAGCTTGCAGCAGCAGAGGCCATCAAAAAATTACAACTCAGCAGCAGGAGCTCTGAGTAAGACATTCTCTCAACTGCCCCCAATTTCTTTGAGTGGTTGGGAATTATGTTTCTTTCATAAAACCATGCTCCTTGATTGAGTCAAGTGCTTTTTATAAGGAAATCAACAGTACATCTTTTATTTGATGTAATTTTGTAAGTTATTCATGTCATATGAGTAAAAATAATGTCATGCATAGTTAAAACATTAATTTTGGCTTAGACGTTCTCATTAGGAGAGGATTTAAAAGGATGATAATTGTATGCATCTTGCTTATAATGACTTAAGGGCTTTGCAGTGAAGTGGAAGGGGTAGCAAACTGGATGTCACATGTCTTGAATCTGCCTCTTGCTTGTCACACGGCTGGGAGCAGGTTTCGTGACACAATTTTCTCTCAATTTCTTCATAGGTAAAAGAAAGAGTTTTCTTCTAGCTTTAAATATTGTAACTTTCTGAAGAAGAAAAAACTATATTATCAAAGAAATACATGTAAAAAAAGATACAATGATTAAAGACATTTTTATGCTGAGTATATGTGTGTGAGTTTAATAATAAGCATGTTCATACCATCTTGCTATTTAAAAGTGTAAATAGGTGTCACTTTTCTTGAAGCTAATTTGACAATATGTTTCAAGACTCCTAAGAAATAGTCATTTGAGACACTTATCCCAGAGTTTCACAGAGATTCCAGCCAAGATTCATGCAGAACAATCCTTCAACACAGCACTATTGAAAATAGTGCAGAATAAAAGAATTTAAATGCCCACCATAGTGGAATTGTCTTAAAAATAATGATACAATCATATGAACTATTCCAGAGCCGTATATTGAAGTATGTTTTCAAAGAAAACAATGATATATGGTAATGTTATATGAGAAAAGAGACATTAATAGCTATATTCATTATTATCCAAAATGTTCTAAAAATGTGTAAACCAGTAAAAACTTCAAACACAGTATTTCATGCCTGAGAGTAGTGTGATTATAAATATATTTTATTTTCTTCTTTATGCATATTTTTATTTCCCCAATTTTTATAACCAATGATTATTGCTTTAAAATTATTTTTAATAAGCAGTTACTGTAATTAGTGATTAATATGATCAAGAAATATTGTTTCAAAGATAAAATAATTTGTTGAGAAAACAAGCTGAAACAAATAAAAAATGAGGATTCAAGAAAGAAATGGCAAATTTAAATTTTACCTTGAAAAGTAACTCATAAGCAACTTCAGCAAAGCTTCAGGATACAAAATCAATGTGCAAAAATCACAAGCATTCCTATACACCAACAATATACAAACAGCCAAATCATGAGTGAACTCCCATTCACAATTGCTACAAAGAGAATAAAATACCTAGGAATACAACTTCCAAGGGAAGTGAAGGACATCTTCACGGAGAAGTATGAACCACTGCTCAACAAAATGAGAGAGGACACAAACAAAAGGAAAAAGATACCATGCTCACAGATTGGAAGAATCAATATCATGAAAATGGCCCTATTGCCCAAAGTAATTTATAGATTCAATGCTATTTCCATCAAGCTATCAGTGACTTTCCTTACAGAATAAAAAAAAAAAAAACTTTAAATTTCATATGGATCCAAAAAAAGAGCCTGTATAGCCAAGACAATCCTGAATAAAAAGAACAAAGCTGGACATCTCGCTCCCTGACTTCCAACTATACTACAAGGCTACATTAACCAAAACAGCATGGTACTTGTACCAAAGCAAATATATAAACCAATGGAACAGAACAGAGACCTCAGAAATAACACCACACATCTACAACCATCTGATCTTTGACAAACATGACAAAAACAAGCAATGGGGAAAGGACTCCCTCTTAAATAAATGGTGCTGGGAAAACTGGTTAGCCACATGCAGAAAACTGAAACTAGACCCCTTTCCTAAACCTTATACAAAAATTAACTCAAGATGGATTAAAGACATAAATGTAAAACCCAAAACCATAAAAACCCTAGAAGAAATCTAGGCAATTCCATTCAGGACCTATGCATGGGCAAAGTCGTCATGACTAAAACATCAAAAGCAGTTGCAACAAAAGCCAAAGTTGACAAATGGGATCTAATCAAACTAAAGAGCTTCTGCACAGCAAAAGAAACTTTCATCAGAGTGAACAGGCAACCTACAGAATGGGTGAAAATTTTTGCAATCTACCCATCTGACAAAGGTCTAATATCCAGAATCTACAAGGAACTTAAACAAATTTAGAAGAAAAACATAACCCCATCAAAAAGTGGGTGAAGCATATGAACAGACACTTCTCAAAAGAAGACATTTATGCAGCCAACAAACATATGAAAAAAGTTCATCATCACTGGTCTTTAGCGAAATGCAAATCAAAACCACAATGAGATACTATCTCATGCCAGACATAATGGCGATTATTAAAAAGTTAGGAAACAACAGATGCTGGAGAGGATGTGCAGAAAAAGGAATGCTTTTACACTGTTGGTGGGAGTGTAAATTAGTTCAACCATTATGGAAGACCATGTGGCAATTCCTCAAGGATCTAGAACCAGAAATACTATTAGATCCAGCAATCCTGTTACTGGGTATATACCCAAAGGGTTATAAGTGGTTTTACTATAAAGACACATGAACACATATATTTATTGCAGCACTATTTACAATAGCAAAGACCTGGAACCAACTCAAATGCCCATCAATGACAGAATGGATAAAGAAAATGTGGCACATATACACCGTGGAATACTATGTAGCCATAAAAAAGAATGAGTTCATGTTCTTTGCAGGGACACAGATGAAGCTGGAAGCTATTTACAATAGCAAAGACCTGGAACCAACTCAAATGCCCATCAATGACAGAATGGATAAAGAAAATGTGGCACATATACACCATGGAATACTATGTAGCCATAAAAAAGAATGAGTTCATGTCCTTTGCAGGGACACAGATGAAGCTGGAAGCCAACATTCTCAGTAAACTAACACAGGAACAGAAAACCAAACATTGCATGTTCTCACTCATAAGTGGGAGTTGAATAATGAGAACACATGGACACAGGAAGGGGGAACATCACACACCAGGGCCTATTGAGGGGTGGGGAGCAAGGGAAGGGACAGCATTAGGACAAATACCTAATGCATGCAGGGCTTAAAACCTAGATGTCGGGATGATAGGCACAGCAAACCACCATGGCACATGTATACCTATGTAACAAACCTCCATGTCTGCACATGTATCCCAGAACTTAAAGTAAAATTTAAAAAAAAATAACTTAAGCACTTCAGAAATAATGAAATAAACTATTATGAACCATTCATGTCCCATGAATGTCACATTGATTTTGCTACACACAGTAACTAAAATCTGTTTTATTTGCCTAGAGTTTGCACTGGAGATTGTTTGAGAGCAGTATATCAAAGTGAGGCCTATTTAATTTTTTCCTGTTTTCTTAATTCAGTCTTCCAGTGCCAATACTCCCTCTTTGGATCAACCCGGTGGCCACCATGCTTATGGGATATCATTTCACATACAGAGCACCAGTCCCTGGATTATTTATATTCTATTTTTAAATTATTAATGACTCATTCTGCATTACTCTGTCACTATACAACCTCATGTAGAATGATATTTCCTAATCTTTTATACTCTGTATGTCCAAATGGAAAACAAAAGTTTAGGAAACCCTATATGAACACACAACAATTTAAGAAATGCAATGTCTCAACTCATTTTACTGAAATATTTAATCTCCCATCACCCGCCATCAAAGTACCTCACTGTGCAAGCAAGTATACTTTTAAATATTAAAAGATTAGTATTGTGTTATGATAACTGGTCGATGTGTAGAGAATGAAGCATAAGAGTTTATCTGAGGCAACCTGGGTTTCATTTTCTGTGTTGAGACTGTGACTGTGCTTAAACTGTGTTTCACCTGTGACATCAGACTCCTCTGTGACTGAGGTTGTAAATGATGGTTTGGTTCTTGAAGTAGGTGATGACGGTTTCTCTGACCTTTAGTTTTTCTTAATGCTGGGCTATGAGGCAGCACCATGAAACAATCACTGCCAGTGATTGCTTTGCAGCACAAGGACCCAGCAATAATCAATGTGATCAAAATCTTGACCTCTTGCCTATTTCCTTTGTGTGTTCCAGATTAAAGACAGGAATATGTGTTCTTGGGCAAATAACAACCAAATGTTAAATGTCTTCAAATCAAGAAGTGAAAAGTCTCTCTAGCTTAACCTGGTCCCACCTAGCCTCTAAGAATGTAAAACTAAAGTGGCCCAGGAATTTCCTTGTGTCAACAATAAGGCTTTAATAAATAGTTAATGCTAAGTAGTCCATATATGAAGGTGAATCATTGTTTCCTAGGCATGTGTTCAGAAATCCAAGTTCTCATTTCAGTGGCATTCAATTGGTCTGAAGCAAGAGGAAGAACTAGGACACTAACATCCATCTGCAAGGCCTCTGCTACCAGCTTTCTATGTGTTTTCTCATTTACATCTCCAAACAGCTTCGTGTGGTAATTATTATTGTTTCTTTTTTTTTTTTTTGAAATGGAGTGTTGCTTTTTTGCCCAGGCTGGAGTGCAGTGGCGCAATCTCGGCTCACTGCAACCTCTGCCTCTCAGGTTCAAGTGATTCTCGTGTGTCAGCCTCCCAAGTAGCTGGGACTACAGGTGTGTGCCACCACACCAGGTTAATTTTTGTATTTTTAGTAGAGAAGGGGTTTCACCATATTGGTCAGGCTGGTCTCGAACTCCTTAAGTGGTCAGATTACAGTCCTGAGCCACCACGCCTGGCCCATGTTTCTACTTTTAACAATGAAGAAACTATGACTCAGATAAGTTGCCTGTTTATGGCCAAAAACATAATTAGTAGCAAAGATGAGATATAAACTCACATTTCTCTGGCTGCAACCCCATACCACATTCAATAGACATTTGCTCATTTTTGTTGTTAATGGCTTTGAGTCAAAACTAAAGAATTTGAAATGTATGTTTTATGAAGTCATTAGCACCATAGAAGTAAGTGTTCTCTCGTTTTGATTGGAGTAAAAGATGGTAAAAGATAATGAGCACAGGCTTCTAGGTCTTATTCCTACCACTCAACTATTTCTTTTTTTATAATGAATTTTATTGTGTGTATTTGAGGTTTATGACATAGTTTTATGGGATACATATAGATAGTAAAATGGTTACTATAGTGAAGAAAATTACCATATCTGTCATCTCACATAGTTACGTTTTGTGGCAAGAGCAGCTAAAATCTACTTTAAAAAAGTCTCAAATATAATAAAATATTATTGGCTATAGTCCTTATATTGTACATTAGATCTCTAGACTTGTTCATTCTACATATCTACTACTTTTATCCTTTGATCTACATCTCTCCATTTCTTCCCTCCTGTAACCATAGTTTTATTCTCTATCTCTGTATATTATGCATTTTTCTAAAACTTCCACATGTAAATGAGATCATACAATGTTTTTCTTTCTGTGTCTGGCTTATTTCACTTAGTATAATGTCCTCCAGGCCTGTCTGTTTTGTAGCAAATAGCAGAATCTTCTTTTTAAAGGCTGAATAATATTCCATTGTGTATACACCATATGTTCTTTACATCTGTTGATGACCACTTAAATTTCATATCTTGGCTATTGTGAATAATGCTGGAATGAACATGGGAATACAGATATCTTTACAAAGTAGAGATTTCATCTTAGTGTATATACCCAGAAGAAGGATTGTTGGGTCACATGATGGTAGTTCTATTTTTATTTTTTTTAGGAATCTCCATACTGTTTTCCATAATGGTTGTACTAATCTAACTTTCCATCAACAATGTACAAAGGTTCCCTTTTCTCCTACCTTTACCAACATTTGTAATCTATTGTCTTTTTAGTAATAGCCATCCTGATGCGTGTGAAGTGATATCTCACAGTAGTTTTAATTTGCATTTTTAGTGGTTAGTGATGTTGAGCACTTTTTTTCTATTTCTGTGGTGATCTTTATGTCTTCTTTAGAAAAATGTCTGTTTGCATCTTTTGCCCATTTTAAAAATCAGGTTATTTGTTTTCTTGCTATTGAGTTATAATTGTTCTTTATAAGTTTTGGATATTAACGCCTTATATATCTGTGGTTTGCAAATATTTTCTCCCAGTTTGTAGATTGATTTTTTGTTTTTTTCTTTCTTCATTTTTTAATTTTTCATAAGTTATTGGGGTACAGGTGGTATTTGGTTACATGAGTAAGTTCTTTAGTGGTGATTTGTGAGATTTTGGTGCACCCATCACCTGAACAGTATACACTGCATCATATTTGTAGTCTTCTATCCCTTGCCTCCCTCCCACTCTTCCCACCAAGTCCCCAAAGTCCATTGCATCATTCTTATGCCTTTGTGTCCTCATAGCTTAGCTCCCACATATCAGTGAGAACATAACAATGTTTTTTTCCATTCCTGAGCTACTTCACTTGGAATAATAGTCTCCAATATCATCCAGGTCACTGCAAATGCTGTTAATTTATTCCTTTTTTTGGCTGCATAATATTCCATTATATATATATATATGACAGAATCATATATATATCATAGTTATATATATCATCATACATATATATCATCATATATATGTATGTACATGTATACATATATGTATGATGATCATCATACTATATATTATTGTGTATACACACACACACACACACACACACACACACACACACACACACACATATCATAGTTTCTTTATCCACTTGTTGGTTGATGGGCCTTATGGTTGGTTCCATGATTTTGCAATTGTGAATTGTGCTGCTATACATATGCATGTGCAAGTATCTTTTTTGAATAATGACTTCTTTTCCTCTGGGTAGATACCCAGTACTGGGATTGCTGGATCAAATGGTAGTTTTACTTTTATTTTTTTTTTCTTTTGATTGTTTCCTTTGTTGTGCAAAAGTTTTTTAGTTTGATGTAGCCTCATTTATTTGTATTTAGTTTTGTAGCCTGAGCTTTTGGAGTAATGTCAAAAAAATCATTGTAAAGACCAATGTAAAGGAACTTTTCACCTATGTTTCCTTCTAGGAGTTTTATGGTTTCAGATCTTATATTTAGGCATTTTATCTACTTTTAGTTGACTTTTTTGGTATAGTATCTATAATTTTGTTAAATATTTATTTGGTCTTTGTGTTTCCTGGCATACAATTCCTAAAATTCATAGAATCTCCAAAGTGATGTCTTTTTGTAGTTAATTCTTGATGGCTGGCCGCCCCTAGGTAGCTTCAAGACAGGGGCAGATCAATAGAAAGTCCAAGACATGATTAAAGGATTGGGACTTTCAACCCCATCTCCAACATCCAGGGTAAAGGGAGGAACTGAAGGCTAAATTGAACACCAATGGCCAATGATTTAATCAGTCATGCCTACATAATGAAGCCTCCATAAAAACTCAAAAGAACAGCTTAATAGCTCAATATATGAGGTTCCTGGAGACCTGTATGCCTGGGGAGGACATGGAAGCTTCACACCCCATTCCAAACCTCAACTACGCATCTCTTCATCTATATTCTTTGTAATATCTTTTATGATAAATTGGTAAATGTGTTACCCTAAGTTCTGTGAGCCACTCTAGTAAATTAACTAAACCCAAGAAGGTAGTAATAGGATTACCAATTTATAGCCAGTTGATCACAAGCACAGGTAAAACAACCTGGGGCTTTCAATTGGCATTGGAAGTGGGGCACAGTCTTGTGGAACTGAGCCTTCACCCTGTGGAAACTGATACTATCTCCAGGTATATTGCATCAAAATGGAATTGGATTGAAGGACACCCAACTTGTGTCCTTTGCAAAATTAATGTTTGCTTGTTGCAGGGAGAACTCCCAACACATTTTGTCATAGAAGTATTCTGTGTTAATTATTGGGTGAGAGAATAAAGAAATGCACTTTGAATTTGAGTGAGTATTTGCCCTGTCAGAGTGTAAAAATAAAAGTTCAATTTGATTTTTTTGTATGTGGATATCCATGTTGAAAAGACTGTCTCTTCTCCATTGTGCCTTCTGGTTGCTTTTGTTTAAAATTTGTTGACTGTCTATGTTTAGATTTACTTCTGGGCTCTCTATTTTGTTTTATTGGTCTATGTTTTTGGTTTTAATTTTGGTACCATACTGTTTTGATCACTATAGCTTTGTAACATAATTTCAAATCAGGAATTGCTATGCCTCCAACTTTATTTCTGTCAGTATTGCTTCAGCTATTTGAGGTGTTTTTTTGTGGCTTCATACAAATTTTGGATGTTTTTTCTATTGTTATAAAGAATGGCCTTGGAATTTTGAAAATAATTGTGTTAAATTGATATGTGGTTCAGGGGTTGTATGTGCATTTTAACAATATTAAACCTTCTGATCTATAAACACAGTGTATTTCTAATTTATTTGTGGCTTCAATTTCTTTCATCAATATTTTATAGTTTTTAGTGTACTAATCTTTCACCTCTTTAGTCAAATTTACTCCTAAGTATTTTATTTTAGTTTTTGATCTTATCATAAATGAAATTGTTTTCTTGATTTATTTTTCATGTAGGTAATTATTTATGTATAGAAATGTTACTGATATTTCTATGTTGATCTTATATCCTGTGACTTTACAGAATTTATTACTTCTAACAGATTTTTTGTGTGTGTGAAATCTTTGGTGTTTTCTATATATAGATTTATGTCTTCCACAAACAGAGATAATTTTACTTCTTTTTTTTTTTATTTGGATGCCTTTCATTTCTTTTTCTTGTCTTATTGCTTGGCCAGTACTTCCAGTACTGTGTTGAATAGAAGTGGCAATAGTGGACATCCTTACCTTGAGCTGAATCTTACTGGAAATGGTTTCAGTTGTTCCCATTGATTGTAATGTTAGCTCTGGATTTTTTTATAATTTGCCTTTATTATATTATGGAACTTTTCATTTATATCTGAACGGTTAACAGTTTTTATCAAGAAAGGATACTAAACTTTGTCAATTGTTTCTTCTACATCAATTGAAATGATCACATGGTTTTTATCTTTTATTCTGTTAATAGGATACAGCACATTGATTGATTTGTGTATTTTAAACCAGCCTTGGATGCCAGAGATAAATCCGACTTGGTCATGACATAATCTTTTTGATATATTGTTGAATTTGGTTTGCTAATATTTTTAGGATTTTTGCATCAATGTCTATCAGAGAGAGACATAGCTCAGAGATAGAGATAGCTCAAAACACAGATATTGACCTGTGTTTTTTTTTTCTTTATCAGGATTAAGGATCAAGGTCATGCTGGCCTCCTAAAATGTACTTGGAAGTATTCACTCTAGCACTATTTTTTGGAAGAGTTTAAGAAGTGCTGGTCATAATTTTTCTTTGATGGTTTGGTAGAATTCAACTGTAAAGTCATGTGGTCCTGGGCTTTTTTTGTTGTTGTTGGAAGGTTTTGAGTTACTTCTCCAATCTATTTGTTATCAGTTGTACAAGCTTTCTATTTTCTCCTGATTCAATCATGATAGGTTATATATTTTTTAAATTTATCCATTTACTTTATTTGATCAAATTTTTGGCACATCATTGTTCATAATAATTCCTTATGACCTCTTTTATTTATGAGGCACCTGTTGAAATGTCCCTAGTTCATTTCTGATTTTATTTATGAATATTCTTTCTTTTTTTAGTCACTCTAACTTGGGGTTTGTTGATTTTGATTATTTTTATAAATAACTAAATCTTGGTTTTATTAATTTTTTTCTATGGCCTTTCTGTTCTTGACTTTATTATTTTCTTCCTTCTGCTAACTTTAGTGTTAGCTCATTCATCTTTTTTCTAGTGCCTTGAGGTGTAATGTTAGGCTATTTATTTGGATTTTTTTCTGTTTTTTTTTTTGTTTGTTTGTTTGTTTGTTTGTTTGTTTTTGAGATGGAGTCTCGCCCTGTCACCCAGGCTGGACTGCAATGGCACAATCTCAGCTCACTGCAACCTCCTCCTCCTGGGTTCAAGCAATTCTCCTCCCTCAGCCTCTGAGTAGCTGGGATTACAGGCATGCACCACCACACCCATCTAATTTTTTGTATCCTTAGTAGACATGGGGTCTCACCATTTGGCCAGGCTTGTCTTGAACACCTGACCTCGTGATCCACCTGTCTCAGCCTCCGAAAGTGCTGGGATTACAGGTGTACCTGCGCCTGGCCTCTTTTTTTCTGTTTTAATGTAGGCACTTATTGCTATAAAATTCACCCATAAAACTGCTTTTCCTTCATCCCATAGGTTTTGGTATGTTGTGTTTCCATTTTTGTTTGTCTCAATATTTTCATTCATTTATTTTTTATTTCTTCTTTGGCCCACTGGTTGTTCAGCAGCATGTTGTTTAATTACCTCATATTTGTGAATTATTAAAGATCTTCTCCTATTGATTTCTAGTTTCATACCATTGCAATTTGCAAATATAATTGATACAATTTTAATCCTCTTAAATTTGTTTAGACTTATTTTGTGGCCTAACATATGATCTATCCTGGAAAATACTCTGTGTGCACTTGAAGGTTTATTCTGCTTCTGTTAGATGGAATGTTCTGTATGTGTCTTTTATGTCCATTTGGTCTAAAATGTAGTACAAATTCAATGTTTCCTTATTAATTTTATGTCTAATTGATCTATTCATTGTTAAAAGTAAAATATTTATGTACTCTATTATTATTGTATGGCAGTCTATCTGTCCCTTCAAATCCTTTAATATTTGTTTTGAATATTTAGGTGACCTGAGGTTGGACACATATGTATTCATAATTGTTATGTACTCTTGCTAAACTGACCCTTGATAATTAAATAATGACATTATTTGTTTTTCATAACAGTTTTTGAAAGTCTATTTTATCTAATATAAGTAAAGCCATTTCTGCCCTCTTTTGATTACTATTTTTATGAAATATCTTCTTCCATACCTTCACTTTCAGCCTATGTGTGTCCTTACAATTTAAATGGGTGTCTTGTAGGCAGCATATAATTGGAATTTTTGAAAAATCCATTCAACCACTTCATGTCTTTTAATGGAAGAGTTTAGTCTATTTACATTTAAGGTAATTTTGATTGGTAAGAAGTTATTCCTGCCGTTTTGTTAACTGTTTTCTTATTTTGTACATTCTTCCTTCTGTTCTTCCTCTCTTGTTGTCTACCTTTGTGATTTGGTGATTTTATGTAACGTTCAGTTTTCATTCTTTTCTCTTTTTCATTTGTGTATTTGCTATAGTTTTTTGTTTTGTGATTACCATGTGACTTACATTAAAATTCTTATAGTTATGGAAGACTATTTTCATCTGATAACAACTTAGCTTCAGTTGCATACAAATACTCCAGACTTTTACTTCCACACACACAATTTATAGTTTTGTTGTCACGGTTTGCATGTTTTTGTATTGTGCTTTCCTTAATTAAATATTGTAGCTAGGGTTATTGTTAGCCATTTTGATTTTTAACCTTCCTACCAGGTTTTGGAAAGATTTACACACCACCCTTACAGTAATGGAGTATTCTGAAATCTGGTATTAGTTTAATGGAGAGTCCCTTGTATTTCACTTGATGCTTTTCTCTTGCTGCTTTAAAAATTCTGTCTTTGACTTTTGAAATTTTGAAATTATACTCTACCCTTGGTGAAGGCCTCATTGGGTTGAGCCTGTTTGGGAAACTTTAAGCTTCATGGATCTGAATGTCCATATCTCTTCTAAGAATCCAGGGTAATTTTCAGCAATTATTCTATCAAATAATCTTTATGTGCCTTCAATTCTTGTGTCTCTGGAAATCTCATAATGCAAATATTTATTTGCTTTATGATGTCCCATAAGTACCATATACTTTATGTATTCTTTTTCATTTTTTCCCTTTGACTGAGTTAATTCAAAATACTTGTATTCAAGTTCAGAGATTCTTTCTTTTGTTTAATCTAATCTGTTGTTGAAGCTCTCAACTGTATTTTTTATTTTACTCATTGAATTCTTCAGCTCCAAGATTTTTGTTTGGTTCTTCGTTATGATATCTATCTTTTTGTTGAATTTCTCATTCAGATCGTGCATTAGTTTCTTTGTTCAATTTTATTGTTTTAATCAATACATTATATACATATTTTTAAGGTACATGTGATCATTTAATACATTCATATGATTTATAAAGATCAAATCAGTTTAAATGGTATATCCATCTCACATCATAAACTATTTTTCTGGTTTCATTGAATTGTTTATTATTTTGTATCTCATGGAGTTTCCTTAAAATTAGTATTTTGAATTTCTTTTCAGGCCATTTATAAATTTCCATTTATTTGGGGTCAGTTACGGGAAAATCATTGTGTTCCTTTGGTTGTGTCATGTTTCCTTGTATTGCATTCTCATGTTTCTTCAGTCACTGTGTTAATGTGTATGGATCTGGTTAAACAGTCTTGTCTTCCAAACTTTATGGTATATCTTATTTTAGAAAAAGACTTTCACCTTCAGATGGGTCTTAGGGTAACAGTTGGTAGGGATGCAATGGCTCTGATACCAAGTGGATGCAGTGGTATAGCCTCCATGCCAGCTTCTTTAGCCGTGATCAAAATCAGCAATGATTATGGGTGATTCATTGCCCTTGGCTACAGGAGTTTATGGCAGTGGTAGTGGCAGCTTGTGCTGTTAGCATTCTCAGTGGCAAGGGTTTCTGGGGTCTTCTTGTTCTCACTTTTCCCACAGTGGGGTGTCTTAGCTGAGAGGAAGCCTCTGCATTGATTGCATCTGTCATAGGCTACAAGAATCTGCAACAGCACTAGGTTCTAGGACACAGGTGCTGTGGAGTCAGGGTCTTGGCATCAGGGTCTCACCAACCAACTATGGCATCTAGGATTTTGAGTGCAGGTTCACGCTGAGGCATGGGTAGATGCAGATTGCCAACAAGCTGGGATCTGTTACTCTATCAGCTTGTATTTTGGAGGAAGGTGGCACAGAAGTTTGGCCCAACAAGATAGAGTTTAACTGCAGTTTGATTCATGGATGGTGAGCCAACATGGGGGGTGGTGCAGCTGTGACAGAGCCTCAGGGATGGAAAGATGCAATGGCTACTTGCCCTCAGGGCAGGACACGTGCCAGTGGTGGTTCCAATTCCAAGCTAGCACAGTACAGTAGGCCATGGTGGGGGTGAGGTACAGTGTTGGCTTCTTCTCTCTAGGAAGTACAGATGTATGGACTCCAAGCAACTTCTTCAGCTGAGTGTAGCACCTGTGATAACTCCAGGGGTCCACAGTGGCAAGAACTGTAGGTGACTGAAGTGGGTGATGGGGGCTGCTGCATTACTTTTACCTGCAGCGAGAAGTTGCTCCAGATTTCAAGCTGGTCCAAATGGGGGATAGGCTCACAAAGGCAGATGTTTTTTCCCTTCTTTATGCAGAAATCCTGGGTTGTTATGCTCTACAGGATTTCTGCTACTCTTTTTGTGTACTCTGGTGCTCTCCTTTAGTTATTTTCATCGAAATATAGTTTTTTATTTGTTGCTTTGCCTGTTTATGTCAGGGAGATAAGTGCAAGGGGCTTCTAGTAAGCCATATTGCTGATGCCACTCTCTCCTATTTATTATAAGGTTTATCACCTCATTCAGCTTTTCTGAATCTTAATTCAGAAAAGACAAAGCCTGTTTCCTAATCTGTAAAATAAGCATATTACCAAAATCTCTCTCACTCAACTACTTACATTGACTGTGATAATATGAGTGCTTTCTAACATATGAAACAGTACATAAATACTTATGGGTTCACTGATTTAGCTTATAACAGGTATATTTGTTTCTTACAGCTGCCATTAACAAAGTAGCAAAAAACTAGATGGCTTAAAATAAGGGAGATTTATTGTCTCATAGATCTGGAAATTAGAAGTCTGAAATAAAGGTGTTATTAGGGACATCCTCTTTCTAATATCCCTAGGGGAGAATCTTTCTTTGCTTCTTCCAGCTTCTGGTATTTTCCAGCAATCTTTGGCATTCCTTGACTTGTAGAGACATCCCTCCAGTTACATGGATACCTTTGTGTATCTTCACATCATCTTCCTTCTGTATAGGTCTATCTCTGTGTCCAAATTTCCCTTTTATAATGATCAGAGTCCATCATAATGACCTATTTTAACTTGATTACCTCTGTAAAGACTCTATTTTCAAATATGGTCAAATTTTTCTTATTAGGGGTTAAGACTCCAACATATTTTTGAGTGTCAGTGGGGGGTGGCAAAACTCAACCCATAACAATGGGGTAGTGCTAAAAGGAATGCTTAGGGAAGAGAATGAAAAGAAAGAAATAGAAAAGCAGTAAAGAGCAAGTAATATCAGGATAATAAAGGAAAATCTTTTATGACAAACCTCATTGATAGTCAGGATTCCTCCTACCAAAATATTGTTGGGTTGTTCTGTCCCATTTTGTAGCTGTTCTGAAGCTGGCAGTATCATCATGCTCAGTAATTAAATGATAATATGTTTGAGGCCTCAGAGGACACCAGAGGTTTTCCAGAGACATAACAAAGTTACTAAGATAATATGATTTTACCTTTGGATCCCTCACAGAGATCTCCATGGTAAATGAGGCAGATTATTTCATGTGGAGCTGGGCATGCTGTGACCTACCATTATAATTTTATTCAGTGGTTCTCAAAGTGTGTTCCTCAAACAAGCAGTATAGAATTTATTAGACATGTATTTTTAGGTCTCATCCCAGAGCCTCTGAATCAGAAACTGTGGGGCCCAGCAACAGCAATCCAAGTTTAATAAGTTCTGGATTATAATGCATGTTCAAGTTTTAGAATCACAGAATCAAGTTCTTCTTAATCAGTGGTGCACATCTGTTAAATATATATATTTGTCCTTGTATCTGCCCCAGAGCTTCTGAATTAGAGGATCGGAAGTAGGACATGTGAATTGGTTTTAAAAGCTCCACATGATAAACACTGTGCTTCAGCACCATCAAAGATCTGCAGAAGTGTACAAGAGTCAGGCCTGGTAGTAACTTTGAATGACCTGTGAAGCCCTATGGAAGTTAAGGATCTCTGGGGCACGTGGTGCTGTCCTTGGTGCTGATTTTGCTCTGAGACTTCCTTTTTAGAATCTGCTTATGGATTCTACCAAGTTCTCTGCTCTGATATTTTTGAACTGTTTGTTGGCATTTATCATGATGGATTTGCCTGACCCTGAGATTTCAATTCAAACATTTTGGCTGGCCTATCCTTGGCTGAGTTTAGTCTCGGTGGCACTTAACACTGAACAGAATTAGACCTAATTTAAGAGTAATGACAAGATGTACAAATAGCTAAAAAATCATAATTGCTGTATAAGGAACCTCAGTATAAATAAATGAATAGTAGGACATATGAGAATCGCCTGTGGATATGTTAACAACAATTAGAAACCGGGGCCACAACCTTAGGACTGGGAATAGTAGGGAAGAGGTGGTTTTAAAAGTTCAATGAATAATTTTGATGTGCACCACTGGTTAAGAAATGATTATTTAACAATTATTGACTGCTGAGTATGGGTCTAGCTTCCACGGAATTTAGGTATGTTTATCAAAGGGGGAATCTGTTTTCTAGGTAGATATGTGCTTTAACTAGGATTTTTTTTTTTTAAGCAAAGACATACAGCATACACACTGTCTTTTTTTTATTTTTCCTGGTGTTTGTTTTTGATGAGCAATTTGATGGATTAAATAGTTTTAGTTTCTGCTGCTAAGTTGTTAGAGATAAGGAGAACTGAAAACAGCTGAAAGATATCTGCTAATTCAGAGGAGGACAATTATCTTGACACAGCTCTCAGCTTTCCTTAGCTCTCAGGCAAGAACCCACCTGTCCTGTTATTTTTGGAAGCAAAATTTCAACTGTGTTCATAAAATTAAATGTCTTACCATTGTATGTTAAATCACACAGCTTTGTCATTAATAGGTATAACAAACATCAGTGCATTGTAAATCCAGGGCTTAAATCTCAAATCCCAAAGCTCTTTTTGTTAGGTGCAGAGCAATGAAACTGGGATGTGTCCTTGGCTGCCATAGACATAGGAAATGGCCTGAACCCTTTAAAAATTATTCACTGGAGTCTCTGTTAAATTGATTAAGTAGTCTCAGACATAGTAGGAAGCTAAATTTTTTTTTTCAAAACATCTCAGATTATCACCATACAACCTTAGTACACCTATTTAAGCTTTACAAAGAGCTACAATTGCAGCTACACTGAACTTAACAGGTGTCTCTTTACAGGAGCATCCGTCCAGTAACTCATGTTAATTGAAAGCAGAAGAGAGACAGTGCTATTAACAACGTAGCATTGAATGCCTGAAAAGTGAAGCTGACAAAGACACTACAGCTACATACAGAGTTCAGATTCTGAAATTCCATTTCTTCTCAGTTTCAGGAATACAAGGAGATGGTATTACCCCTGCTTTTGAAAAGTCACCTAAAAATAATATTCTTACATTTTAGACACAATGAACTCTAACTGTGGTATTGCCTCAAGGTATCTGAAGGTATGGAGGAATTCAGCCTTGTCGGTTGTTATAAAGTTTTCCAGCCTGTTAAAGCAGGTGTTCTTGCTTTATCACCTTTCACCTCCTCTACTCTTGCCTGGGTTTCAAACTTCATATACCCATAGTTTAAACTACTAACTCCATTTGCTGGTTGGCACTCCTAGCTATTCATTCCACAAGGAGCACCAACCCAGGGCTTAGAAAAAGCTTGTTATTTAGTGCAATACTTTCCCAGATGGATTCAATATGGAATAAATAAATGAAGACTACATAGGCACTAAATTGGCGTTTTGGCACAATCTTATCAAATTACTTGTTTTGTGTTCCTTTTCTATGGAGACTGTGATTTCCGAATAGTTGGATAAGAGAAGTGTAGGTTTATCTTTCAGTGGGGTGTTGTAAATCTGTCATATATTATTGGGCTAAAAACTTGTAATTCAATAGCTAAAGCAACCTAAGTAATATTTTTCCTATCCCCTTTCCTTCAGGAAAGCAAAAGGGGAAGACATAAAGGGATATGGTGAAATGCATTCCCCTTTCCTCTCTTTCTGGAATCTGGAAAGGTGCTCAGAACATTTCTATTTAGTTCATTTTGAAATCACTTCTTTTAATCCAAGCCAGCTGTTTTCTCTGAAGAGCAGCCTGGAAAAGAAATATTGTTTGGATAATCCTTTCCCAAGCCCATACATTCTTGGGGTTAGAACTGACTGAACCCATGAATGATTTACACTCCTGTTTATTCCAAGAGCTTTATAGTTTCCCATTAGTCTCTTCCCCAGACCCCAAAGGGCTTCTCTAGCAGCAGCAGATTCACAGGGTACACAGCTAATTTAATCACATTGGGCAAATAGACATTTTTTAGAATAGGAAAGTTTTTGTTAGTATCTTCTCAGTTTGAGGTAAAATTGGGGAAAGAAGCCCACGATAGAGCTTACTATATATTGCTTATTTTTCTATTACATGTAAATGTTCTAATTGCTTCCCTCAGAGTGAAACAAATTCTATAATTATAAATAATTAATGTTTCTCTACAGCGATACTAAATCTAGTCCTCATTTGGGGATACAAACATGCAGTAGCACCTAATAAAATATATGCCTTAATATCATTTTTACATCAACGCCAATGTGAAATCTCCAAAGGATTCAGGCATCAGGGAAATACATGATATAAGTGATGGACTAGAGAAAAGGAAGGATAGATGGAATTTTTTATTGTGAGACTCACTAATGCACGTTTCCAATCATGCAGCAAAATCAATATGTATAGGATCCCGCCAATTTTTGCTTAAATAGGTAGCATATTTCATATCACTACTGTAGCTAATGGTAATCTTGCATATAGAAAATTGCAATACACTTTATATTTAACTTAGGTAAGTTTCCCAGGGCAAGTTGTCTAAAATTAATCTAACAGCACACTTTCTTACCTGACAGAGGCCTTTCCTCAGTATCTTGTGTGTGTTGTGCACTTTTCATTCTGATTCATGTAAGAAAAGCAGAACAGCAGTCACGTCCATTATTTCTAGATCTTGAAAAATACGTACATACCAAATAGCAAATTACTAGCATGTTTTTGGGTTAAATCAAACACTGGACAGCTAGAGTTGTAAAAAGGGTAATAAAGTTTTTATAACAAGCAATAAATACAAATCTCTGTTAGAACTGATTGAAGAAGCCAGTTCTTTATCACCCGTATTTGGTTTATTTCGGGATTCTCTATCTCCTCCCTACAAGTACATGCAGGAGGTGCTTTGCTCTGTTTAGAATTGTTGAGGGCAATTATTCTGTTACAGGCTCACTGCTAGGTGGGAAGTTATTAGCTGCAGCTTTATATCATAGAGTAGGTTACAGGGAGATTTTTAAGTTTTTGTGGGTAGTTGTTAAACCTTCCACTTATTTAATTAGCTACAGTGAGTCTGTAACTACAGGTGACAAATGTAGTGCCCTGCCTTTAACAGCCTAAGGCTTTTATTAGTCCTTCATTCATTCACTCCTACTACTAGGCATACTAAGTGCTAGAAAAATGATACTAAAAAGTGCTAGACTTGAGGCTACAGTAATGAACATGACTGTTTCTGCTTTTATGTAACTTACACATTAGTTCATTTATTTGCCTATTCACTCATTCATTCAATCATTCACTTAGCAAATACAGTTGACCATTGAGCAACTCAAGAATTAGAACACTGACCCCTATGTAGTCAAAAATTTCTGTATAACTTTTGACTCCCTAAAAACTTAACTACTAATAGTCACCATTGACTGGAAGCCTTACTGATAACATAGTCAGTTAACACATTATTGTGTATGTATTATATACTGTATTCTTACAATAAAGTAAGCTAGAGAAAATAAAATGTTAATAATGAAATCATAAGGAAAATATATGTAGTATTCATTAAATTGGAAGTGGGTAATCATAAAATACTTTATCATCTTCACTTTAAATAGGCTGAGGAGGAGGAAGAAAAAGAAGTGTTGGACTTGCTGTCTTAGGGATGACAGAAGAGGAAAAGGTAGAGGAAATAGAAGGGGAGGCAGAAGAGGCTGGCATACACTTTGCAACTTTTATTGAAAAAAATCTGTACCTAAGTGGACCTGCATAGTTCAAACCTAAGAGTCAACTGTAGTTCTAGCGAATCTACTTTGTGTCAGGAAATTTTTTCTAAGCATAGGAAGTATGAAAACGCATGCAGTCATTCTTATATTATTGTAGGAGGTACTACCCTACTAATTATTCTTGAATGTCCCTTGTGTAGCTATAATATATCTATCCTTCTGTTTAGACTCATATGTTGCTTGGAAGGCAAAAATAATATAAATATGTGCAAAAGTATTAATTATCATCCAGGGTTTAACGTCAGACAAGCCAGGTTAAGATTTTCCAGGGATCCTCCCCTGCTAAAGAATTTACATAGTGTTATTTTCAAAACTTGGACCCAATTAATTCCAGAACTCTCATGGCTGTCCACAATTGAGTAGAAAACCTGGTGAAACTTGTCAACCTGGTTTCCCACAGATTTAGTAAAAGCTTCCATGGGATCAGTCCTTCCTTGGTTACAAAATAATGAGTGAAACTTTTACTGTATTAAATGTTGCTTGTCAATTAAAAAGAAACAGTCTAATATCTTGGATTTTTAAAGTATCACTCTTGATCAGGTGAGTTAAATGGAGAAGTCACTGATACCTTTTCTGAGACACTGCCCATAATTAGGGCAGAATGATAGAGGTGCTCTGAAATCTATCCCAAAAGCAGAAAAAATACTTTATGATGACTCCTGCACCTGAGTGCATGATAATTTTATTTCTCACTGTTGGTATCAGTAAAAGGATCCATTTGCATATCTACTTTTCATCTTTGTCCTCCTCACCTCTAAAGGTGTTACCCTCTAAGAGTGTGGGCATAGATCTGTATAGGCTGCACCCTTAGACAAGGAAAGTGGGGTCTACTGAGAGCAGGCACTACTGCTCTGGAAAAATAAGCCCTGAGTAGATCCAGGTGCTCAACAGACTTGCCACTCAGGGCAGAATGTGATTCGACACTAGGCTGAGTTTCTAGAAGATGCTTGAAGAAAATGCCTCTGGAGCTCTATAAGATGCCATAAAAACATAATGCATCCATTAAAAAAATTAGATATTCTTTGAAAGTGATTGGCAAAAGCTGCAATTGCCTTTGCACCAACCTACTAACTTGTTGGTATATTTAGCTTCAAAATAGTTTGCTGTCCATGGATACAATTTTGTTGTTGTAGATACAGGAAGCATGTATGTCATGGTTAGGGGTTATTTGACTTCAAAAATAAACTCACTCAAACAATGTAGAAAAATAATTGAAAATATATTGGAAAGATACGTGGGAATCTCATAGAATCTAGGGCACAGAAGACATCTGATGCAGTATACAGCTCTTTTATTTTTCCCCTTTCAGTGTCCCAAGCTTTCTTACCTCTTTTTTTTTTTTTTTTCTGAATATCTACTTTCACTTCATCTCTAAACTGACTTTCTCTTCTTTGTCATGTACTTGGGATACAAAGGACAACTCCATCCCTTTACTTGCCTTTACAGCTTCTGCACTTCTGATCAACCCACTAGTGTCCCTGTATACCAAGTTTAAATTCCTAATCTAAAGAAGCTGATTGATTTAGTTTAGCCAATTGATTGACTCTCTTCAGTCAGATACCGTATCACTAATATTCAGAAATTGAGCATTTTTCTTAGGTTAACATAATTCACAGACATTTTTCCCACTAAAGTATCCCCAAAGGACAGCAACCTTAATGTTCTGTGTCTTTCTTTGAACTTACTCTCTTTATATACGATAATTTTTATTTTATGTAGATATTTTTTCTGTCTGGATTTACATAAATATTCCAAATAAAAATTCCAAATAAAAAATTTAAAATTTAAAAATAATTAAAGTCTGCTAAGAGTCAATGATAATACATTACTTTGAGCAAATCTTTTTCCTACTAAAATGAAGCATTTTGTTATCATCTACCATCTCATCACTTACCACATGAATATCTCTAATGATGACTCATAGTTTAACAAAACTCAGTCCAATATATTTTTGTCTAAAGTATTTTTCTTTTAGCTGTTTTCATCAGCTTTAATTAATTACATTTTATAAATTAATTTTAGCTTTTGATCAAATAATTTTAAGCTCTCAAATGATATCTGGTTCATTGAAACCAGTCAAGGAGTCAAGAAAGAACTTAATTAAATAATTATTCTACTGCATACAGATTAGGTTCATAAATATGTCTTTTATCTTATTACTGGATTTAGTAATTTTCTCTTTCTCCAGTCTTTTCCAAGTGCAATTCAATCTGCACACTTCAGCAAGAGTTGTTTTTAAACAAAGATCTTCCAGTAACATTTTTTCTTTTTTTAAAATATTAAGCTATTTTGCTTAAAGAGTAAAGCCCAACCACATTCTTAGACTAACACCAAGACCCTTAAAGACCATTCCCAAGCTAATCTAACTTTCTTTCCTGTCATTCCTATTCTAATGTCTATAATAGAGCCAAGCTGTTGTTTCCCAAATGCTTCATGCTATTTTATACTCTGCCTGAGATAGCCTTCCTTCTAACCTACTCCATCTGGTAAACACCCTCTCTCCCATCTCCTTACTTATCAGGGCTTAGATAAGATGTCAATTCTTTGAGAAGCTTTTCCTGATGGCCTTAGGCAGAGTTATTCACCTCCAAATTAAAGCAAGAGTAATTGTGTATTATAATTAGTTGGTTATGTGCCTGGAACCCCCACTAAATTGCAATCTACCTTGAGGGCAGTGACCTGGTTTGAAGTATTTTATCTCCAGCATCTAGCACAAGATGTGCATGTGCTCAATAAATGCTAACCCAAATGTGTGCATAAATTGATAAATGAACATAGAAAATAAATAAATAAATAAATGCATGAATAAATGAAAGAAGGGTTCTATTAAAGATCACTTACTCTACTTTGTCAGGTCACCTGGATATTTTGTAGGGTTCTAATTTCCAATGATTAAAGAAGTTATTATGCTATTCTTACAGCTATTCCTGCAATATGGCCCTTGATATAGTAATTTTTTTTCAATAAGCTTTTTCAGGTCAAGCTTTTCAATTTTTTGTTTATCTCCCATTCAATTATTTGGTTTATTTTTTTCTTAGGCACAATTGAAAAGAGACTGAATTCCTTTTGTTCAACCATGTTCCATAAAATAGTCTTTGCACTAATAAAATAGTATAGTTTTATACTTTCTTGTAAATTTCTGACTCTTAAGAACCAGGAGTACTTTCCCTTTTTCATTTTACTGTTACTTCAAAAGTAGAGTCCTCAGATTTCTTTTAATGTTTTACCCTGTGTTGATTCCTTGATTACTTACATGATAAAAGAGTACAATTTGCCAAATTCTCAAAAAAGCCATGAAGGGCAGGGCTCCAAGGAGGAGCAAGATATCAACTGGCAAATTGATTTTGAGAATATTTTATCAGGAAAAATAATTATATGTTCTTGAGCCCATGAAAATTTATCTATACATCTTCATTTATTCTACCTTAAAACCAATAACTTGGGGTGATGTCAGTTGGTGGCCTTTGCAATATTTCAAATCACAATGTAGTTTAATATTAATATCAGTCATGCAGCCAGTTGGATAGTTTTGCAATGTGCACAGATCAGTGTGATGACCCAATAACCTAATTAGTTCATTCATTTCAATAGTTCACTATTGTTTCACATGGTGTTATTTTCATGGCAAAGTCACCTACAATATTTCCAATTAGAGCCAAGGATGATTATGGAACATTTCTAATCCTATGTATATTTCTTCAAATTCTAATTATTCATATTCAGCTTCTAGTTTTCATAGGGATCTGCTAATTTTGACTAATTGAAGTGTTAAAATACTCAAGGAATTGTTCACATTGTCTCTTCCTGCCCTCACTGAACTTCTGTGCCAGAATTTTAATGAATTCTGGAATGTGTATGCAAATATGATTGGTTATATGAGGTCAATCTTGACACCGGGTACTTTCTAAGTTAGTAAAGTACACATTCTGGAATGTGTATGCAAATATGATTGGTTATAAAAGGTCAGTCTTGACATCAGATACTTTACAAGTTAGTTGGGGAAATGGAACACCAAGTAACCACAGTATCCTTATAAGGGAGTATAAAACAATGACCTGTGAAACAATGAGGTAAGAAAATAGTTTTAGTTCTGAATAAGAGTAGTCTTTATGGCATAATTGGCAGACAGAAACTGCCTTTATTAACGACTTACTATGTGCCTATCATGAAGAGAACACTGCATAAACCAATGTATTTATTACTCACGACATTCCTGTAAGGTAGGAATGATCATTCCCATTTTTTCTAGGTAAGAAAACAGATTCAGAGAGGGTAAGCAATCTATTTCAGATCACATAATGTAGAAGACCAAACTGGATTTTAATTCATATCCATAGGATTCCCAAACCTTTAATTAAGCTGTGAAGGACAGGGCTCCAAGGAGGAGCAAGATTTCAACTGCCAAAGATAGCATGACAGAGAAAAGATGCTGACATGTTCACATGTGTTCTTAATCATCTGGAGGCTTTACTCTCCCTTGACTTTTTTGGAGGCAGAGTGGCATAGCAACTACAAGCATGAGGTTTGAAGTCAGTCATATCACCTGAGCTCAAACCTTGGTTTCATTACATACTAATATTTGAATTCTAGGCAGGTTACTTAAGTGTTCTGAGCCTCAAGTTCCATTTGGAAAAACTGACGCTACAGTGGTGATGAACACTAAATGAAATGTTAGCACAGTGCTTACAAAATAGTAATTGCTCAACAAGTGGTAATTGTTAGTATTATTATTAATCTCTAGGTATAGGTTTGAAAATTTTAAGTATAGTGATCAGAGTTCATGGCCATGAAAATTGGTTGGGTCTTGATGTCCTCTGATCTGTCTTTTATTCATGAGCTATGCATTCAGAGCACATGCAATTCATTGTAATCCAGTGTCATTTATATTTACAGTTCACTTTAAAAAATGGTTGCTTCAATGTGTTTCTCTTTTCTCCTGAATATACAAAATGAGAAAAATAAAATGAAGAAAGAAAAGAAAAGAAAAAATTTGCTTAGTCCCATTATCACTTCAATACTCTGGTCAGCTAATCACAAATTAACACAGTAGAAAAATCAGAAGAGTATTTTTTTTGAGTACATAAACTCTTAGCCGTAACCCCCCAAAATAAAAAAAAAAAATCTACACTCCATAGATTGCATCTATGTCCCTATATTTGTGTGCAGAGATGCATATGACTAAGAAGATCAAAATGTGGCAAAAGAATTTTTCATAGAGGAGACACTTGAAGTTAATCAATGTATATATTTTAAATTAATTACACATTAAACCAGCTTAATTTTCAGTGCAGTAAAACTGCCAAATTATTTTGTTCCATAAATTGCTATTTTTCTTTCCCTTTATTTTTGCCTATGCAATTTTTAAAAGAAAAACGTAACCTGATGTTATAGCTCATAACCTTATAATATCCTGAGTTAATGCCAGTAACCCAAAAAGCTCAATTGACAAGCAAACATTTAGCTGTGTGTGTGTGTGCACACGTGTGCATGTGTGTGTGTGCATCTGTGTACATATATGCATATTTAGGATATTCACACATTGACTCTTTGGACTTTGTGGCTTCTAACAAAGATTGTGAAAGAACTTCAACTAAGTCTATCCTTCCAGGCACTTTGCCTTAATTACCCACTCCCTGTATAAATCACAGCTTTCTGCCTGTCATTTTTCAAGACCCCGCTGTGAATCCAAACCAGGTGACTATGTGGATATGTTGGAAAGCAAAGTGACAGAACACACCTGAGCTTCCATTTTGCTCAGGGCTGTGATTATTAATGTGAGAAATCCGGAGTGATGTGAAGTGTCCAGAGTTTCAGCAGAATTTATTGCTTACAGCTTTGGGGTCCCCTGGCATTTACCAGCTGTTCCACACCTGGATGTGGAGAACAGAAACATCCCTCTTCAATTTATCTTTCCTGGACTTGTTGCTTATGGGACTCAGATGCCAGGTGACAGGGCTGGGAAGCAATGGTGAGAGTCTCCACCTGCATAACCCTGAATTCCCCAAATAGCCCTTGTTCTGACTTTGGTACAGACATCAGCTTTTAGCAGTATATAAGCTTTAAGTTTGGGGGAAAGTGAACCTACATACAAACTCATTTTTCTAGCATATGATCTTTAGTCTAATCTGGGACATAATGATTAAGTGAGCAGGACACTGGAGTCTCCTGCAGGGTTCAAGTACTCTGTCTTCCAGGGTGCCTAGTGCAGCAAGCATTTCTTTTCTGAAGATCTTTTGTTTAGTTTCTGAAGTTCTGGAGGAGTTCCTTATGCCCTGAAACCTTGTGAGTTTTATAATTATTGTATTTCCAAATTGTTATATTGACTGGCACATATTAGGCAACAAGAAAAGATTGCTCATTGGATGAACAAAAGAAGAAACTAATGAAAATAATATCACCTTTCTGGTCTGAAAGGCCAGTATTTCTGTGGTGAAGAGCATTGGTTTTAGAGGGAGAGGACCCAGTTTCAAAACGTGGTTCTGCTATTTATTAGCTATGTGACCAAAGGCAAAGCCCTTAAACTCTCTCTCAGTTTCTTCATCTATAAAATGAGGATGATAATGGCTACCTCATATAGCTGTTATGAAGGTGAGATGAGGAAATGTAGGTATAGCAGGGTGGATTTCGTCTTCCTTCCTTCCATTTACCTATGCTACAGCTGTGAAGGGGGCCACTTTTTCATAATAGGATACAGGAATACGTTAGTCGGAGGCTAATCTTGACTATATTCAAGGTCTGGTTTTCTTTCACATAACAGGAAACCATCCTACATTGTGGGTTCTTCCCACTCTTTTCTTCCATTCTCAGGATCTATAGCCATATCTGGAGGGGAAGTCCAGAGAAACAAATGACCATCTTATTGAGGGTCCCTAAGACAATCCTTTTTAAGAGCCTCTTAAGCAGTAACTATATAGATAAAATTCTTTTCTTCCTTTGGTCAGAAGACTGTGACCCAAATTAAATAAAGTCTGTCAAAACTTATATTTGAAGAAAAATGATCCGGCATCTTTATAATACAGTGATAATGCAATGTCAGAAATAAAGAAGATTTGACTTTTTGCAAGATAGTTGTAAAGAATTGAAAGCCTAGCTGATGCCTGGTTGTTCTTGCAAAAATTTGGATTGTGATCAGGTAGCCCTATACGGGGAAGAATCCATGGCAGCTGAAGTGACAGGACACATATTCCAGTCTCTGTTCTTGCAGTTACACCTTCTGGTACCTGCTGAAAGAATTTTGTTCCTTATCTCCCTGGAGGAGAAAGATGTAGCACTTCTCAGAGACACACAGGGACTTGGATAATGTCCACTAACCTTCTGGTGGTATCAGCGCAACCTCAGGAAAACCTATACTCTTAGATGTAGGTATGAATTAGCTCCTTTTCTACATACTGAGTCTAGAGAAGATGGCTGGTAACATTCAGGCTAACATTTCTTCTCTTTTTATGGGTTATGTTTCCTGAGAAAAGACCCATATTCTTAGAAAGAATATAACCAGTTCTCAATTCCATCATCGGAACCAGGAAGTTAATCTTCAACAAGAGTATTACAATGACTGACAACTTATACAGTCAATTTAGCATAAGAGGAGAAGATCCTCCTGGGCGTGTGGAGGGAGGAAGGCAAAAGGAATATGGTAAATCAGCTCAATAGTTGCTGAATGAGGAGAAGTAGATGGTCCAAGACAGCGGGGGAAGTGGGAGTTCTGTATTGATTACAAGAAAGTGTAGGAAAACCATTCTGCAGTTTTTAAGCCACTGCGGACCCTATATGGTTAGAATATGCCACCTGAACTCTTGCAGTGCCGATATTTTGTGTAATATTTCTTCCTTTGTTGTCTTCTCTTTCTTCTCTCCTATCCTCTCTCTCTTTCCCATTCTCTCTTTTTTCTAACACATATCCACACAAAGACACACTCAAAACATTACTATACACAACAAATACATATCAATAATGACTAATTGCTTCAACAGGAGACCTTGCATCCTAGTGCTAAAGGCCTCCACCTGCTCCCTAGTTAAGCAAGGAGATGCTTGACACGAGCTATGTTCACTAAGAAACAACTTTTCTGGACATCTCAGCCAGCTGGAAGGATTTTTGTCCTGATAATTGATTTTAAACACCATTGCTTCTACTGGCAACAAGATTCCTCCCTACTGAAACACATGAAAAGAAAATCATGTATCTAATCACTTGTATTCGGGGCATTGCTTCTCCTTATCTCAACTATGAATACGTAGCCTGGAGAGAGATCTTGTAAGGGATGAGGGGAGGTGACTTAGAGTCTCCTCGGTGTACTCAGTTGTCCAGCATTTTAAAAAAATCTAGTGAAATGACTTAAGCTTTGCATCAATAACACATTTCTTAGACTTGGATTCTGTGGCATTGGAATCTGCTTTATGATGGAGATGTAGAAACTTGGTTAAAATTATCTCTTCATGTAGATAAGACAAGAAGCTATCTACCTCCCATCTACTGCTAAAATCAATGTTTAAAATTCAATAATTATATCTTTTCATTTTTAGCATTACCATATTTGCATTTTAAGCGTAACTTCCTGGTGATGCAATGAACATTCCTGAAGCAAGATGGAAATTTATAAGAATACAGACAGGTCCTTTGGATGCCTCAAACCCCACAGAAAAAGCTGTGAGCATTTCCTCAGAGAATACGTTCAGCTTTGTCATCCTCTTAGACCAGAGACATAATTAATTAATCAAACACATCTGAAAACATTTTCTGATTCAAATTAAAATAAGGGTAAAATTATTCCTATATTTTATGAATTCATTGAATTAGTAATGAAATAGGCTTAATTCTGACTTATGCAAACTGCTTTCTAACAGAATGCCTGTTTTGGTGCACTACAAGTTTTTTGGTTATTAAAAGCACTGTTGAAGAAAAGATCCACATTCAGCGTTGTGACTCTGGACTGAGAATTGGACCTGGAGTATTTCAGCATTCAGTCTCAGTGTGCCTTAGCAGGATCAATCAAAAAGAAAAACTGAGTGATAGAACTCACCATCTGAACAAAATGCTTCTCAGATTAAAAGATATTTTTTTTGCCTTGTCTCAATCTTGAAAATAACTTTGAGATTGGAAATTTGTACTTGCATGAAGTAAAACCAAATGTGCCATATGATCCTTTATGAATTAAAAAGTTCAGGATGAAATCTTGATAATGTAAAGCATCTTGAATGGCTTATGGACTCCTAAGTTTACTGAGAAAATATTACAGGAAGAGTAAGGATACCAGGTTCCAGAAACCCCTTCATGATTAGACTCTTTTCTGGTATGATGACAGACGTCCCTCTGCCACCAATTACATGGTGTAGGAAGTTCACGCCTGTGTTTGTTCACCTTGGTATCCCATCCCTCAGTAACTACACTGTGAATGGACAGAGTGATCCTCAATGTTTACTGAATGAATAAACAAATCAAAGTAGAGAACTGCACACAAATCGAGCTTCCTGCCCCCCATCTTTGCTTCTGAGATGTCAGACTGGAACAGTCTTCAAGTCATACTCAGTTTCAGCTCTCTGTGGCTTTGCTGCAGCTATTTTTCTTGTGAAAATATCCTTTCTCCCTTTCTCTCTGTAAAGCAAAATGCTAGTTATCTTCCATGATTTGACTGAAGTTTAAATTTCTCCATGAATATACACCCTTCCCCACTCTGTCAGTCAACTATGGCTCTTTCATTTATACATTTTATTGAAATTGTGATTAGAGGAACACATGATGTATCTGTCTTTAGTATTTTCCTAAACCAACTACATTGGAAGCTACTTATGATCACACATTGTCTTTAAAAAAAAAAAATCCTAATTGCCATACATAGCACCTTGAGGATGTTAGGACACATTTTAAGTGCTTGAATAATAAGCTCTTGCTGATTCATCTTTGATATATCTTGTACCTATAGAACTTTGTTCATTCATTTAATTTCTGCATCTATTTATTTATTCTTCCAGAATACAAGCACAATAAAGGCTGTATCTTTGTTCTGCTGTATTGCCAGATCCTAGGAAAGTGTTTGGCAAATTAGCAGATGCTCAATAAATATATATTGGTTAAATAAATTGTCAATAATTTCAACATGGTCCCATTTCCTACAGTTTACTGTCTAGTTGGGGATACAGGTAAGTAAACATGCATTTATAGTATAATATGTTGAGTGCTACCATGAGGAAGTAGGAGCTATGGGAAGATTGGAATGATACCTGAATAAGGGAAAGCAGGCATCAGGGAAGTCTTAAAATAGGGCCATGATCACTGCCACGAGATCTGAGCAAACACAAAGAATTATTATAGAAAGGGGAAAGGTAATATGAAAAGTATTCTGGGTGGAAAACACAGAATATGAAAAGGCAAGAGAGCACGCCTGATGCATTTGAGGAACTAGAAGCAGCTCATCGTGACTGATATAGAGAATGAGTAGAAGGAGGGTTGTAGAAGCAATGAGAAATGAAGCTGGAAGGTCAAGGAGACCAGATTATGAAGGGGCTTGTGAGACAATAAATTTGAGCTTCTTCTTCAGGGCAATGGAGAGGGCACCGAATAGTTTTAAACAACAAAAATAGATGGCTGCCATTTCCCTTTCCAGAAATACAGATATTGTAATTCTCTTGTTATTTCATGTAAATATATTACCATGGCATTTTTGTTTAACTGAATTTTCATATTGAAATTTAAACTCATTCTGTCTTCTGTGCATATCCTTAAAAATTACTCCTTTACATCACTCTAAATAAGTCCCATCAAATGCTACAACTCACTTATTGAGGCCTATGTTGTTATTAAAGACTTCGGTGTCTTACAAGTTTTGCTGTGCAACACATGCTGCTCTATTTTGGTCTCGAGTTGGACAAACTAAGCAGGTTGTGTGACAAGTATTCAACTTTCATGTCTTTCACTCCTAGCTCTCCTTTACATCAGATCCTTCCCACTAAGATATAGTCTTTCTATGAAGCTATTCTTTTTTAAATCTTTCCCACTTCTCTTTTCACAACTTAGCTCTCGAATGCCACCTTCTTGTAAATTCTTCCAGATTCTCAACAAATTCCTCCCTGTGAGAAAGAACTAAAACAAAAAAGCTGTTTACCATTAGTGATTTTATTGTTACTAAATCAAAAAAACAGTTGGGTCAACACACTTATAAAAACTGAAGAAGTTGTAAACAGAAAAATGCTCAAGCTTTTGGATGCTTCACCCTTTTTTGATTTAGTACTGGTGATGCCTTCTCATATTACATGAGTGGGGCAGACTCTCACACCCCACATCAGCCCTACTGAATTAGAACCTGAGTTTTTCCTGAGTTTTTGTGCGTGTGTTCTAAATTTATTTTTAGAGACAGTTACATTCTGTTACCCAGGCTGGAGTACAGTGGCACAGTCATAGCTCACTGCAGCCTGGACCCAAGCAATCCTCCTACCTCAACCTCTCAAATAGCTGAGACTAAAGGCATGCATCACCATGCCCAGCTAGTTTTTTGTTTGCTTTTTTTCGGAGATGCAGGTCTCACTCTGTTGCTTAGGTTGCTTTCCAACTCCTGGCTTCAAGCAATACTCCCTCATCAGTCTCTCAAAGTGCTGGGATTACGGGATGAGCCACTGTGCCCAGTCTAGAACCTAGGGTTTAACCAGATCTTCAGGTGACCTGCAGGAGTATTAACATCTGAGAAGCCCCACATCAGTTGTATCTGCAGTGGGCAGCAGCATTGGGTGAGGCTATTCCAGGTATAAATAGTATTTTGTTCTTCTTGACACTCTGGAATAGCCCTTGCTCCTGCCCATTTTAAGTTTGTCATGTCGATTCTGTGAGTTATTGATATTCTTCCAATAACGCTTTTTTTCTTTAGAGTTAGTTTCTATTACTTGCAATTGATCAAGTCCTAATTGAAGCACAGGTTATTTTAATTTTTTTAAAAAGTGTGTCTCTAACCTTTCTAAATTTTCCAAAAAGTGTATACATTCTACTTTTATAATTAGTAAAGCAAATAAGTCATTTTAAAATATATGCCTGCTTTTAACCAGAGAGCTCTGAATCTACATTGTATTGCTTTGGATCTTTATACTTAGATAATAATTTTAAAATAAACAAAACAACATTGTGTTTTGGTGCTATGCCCTCTGCCTACACTGAGATAAATCAGGAGCAGCTGTGGGACATTTATTATTGCTTTTGAATGGATGTGTTTGAGGATATTGTTCATGAATTTCATAGTATCTCCCTTCTGAGGACTGTTGGAAAATTTCTCTCATGCCTAAGTGCCAAGAAAAGCTAAACACCTCCTGAAAACTAATGTTTTACATTCAAATAAAATTGTGAATCCCAAAAATTGATTGCTCTTCCAAAACTTCTTAATCATTAGAATCACCTGAATTGCTTGTTTAATGACTTATGAGCACTAAATCAGAATATCCAAGGAAGGAACCTGGTAATTTTCATGATCAATCAGTTGTTTTTTCTTTGCTTTTAGTGGTTTGGTTTGAAATTCTGGCTGCCCTTTAGCCTCACCTGAGAATCTTTTGGAACCTACAATGCCCAGGCCTCACCCCAGTTCATTTACTTCAGAATCACTGAAAGTAGAATTAAAAAAGAAAGTATCTGGTAATCATAACTTGCAGTCAAGCTTGAAAAGCACTGTTTTGGCTGAATTGGTAGCCCACCCAATTTTCTTAGCCAAACAATATGCATTCTAAAATTAAGTTTATTCCATGGCTTCATTTCACTATTCTGCCACTTTTTTCCATTTTTTGTGACTATATATATATGTATAGGTATATATGTTTATATTTTAACATAGGAGGTAGATGAATGAGTGAATGAATGAATGAATGAATGAATGTACTGAGTAGCCAAAACCAATTATTAAACATTCTGTCACATATACCAGAACATCAGGAAATAAATACAACTGTTCCCAAGAAATTTCTCTCCTTGATAACTCTCTAGTTATCCAGTAGTAAATGCAGAGAATCGAGGAAATCTGGCAAGACGAAGAGGCAGAAGCCTAAGAAAAGCTGTGCCTGTAAGGGGATTCTGGGGTCCAGGGCAGGGTCTGGGTGCTGTGGGATGTGAGAAGAGAAAGCAAGGGTAGAGCTGGGGGATGGAGAGCATCCTTCTGCTGAAACAGCAGCTGTTCCTCCCTGTGGGGGAAACCCACACTCAGTGCTGCCACCTGACTCCTGATGTCCTGCATGATGCTTTCTGATACATCAGCATTTGTGACACATGTTCAGGCCAAGGGCACATTTAAGGGGCTTGAAGAACTTTCATGCCCATTTATAACCTTCAGATATTCATGGAACTCTCTCATGATGGCTCATTGCCAAGCCCTGCTAAGACCAGCACCCATTATTGTGATAATGGCTGCCCTCACAGGGCACAATTTATTTCTTGCCCGCACTCTGTCAACAAGCCCCTATCCTCCACTGATTAAGGATGCTTTCAACATGTCTTTTAACTAGCAACAGCATTTCTGAACATAGTCCAAGATCATGACCCAATTCTAGAAGTAGTTGAGTCATCCACCTCTGGTTTAATCTATCTGCTGCTTTACTTTCAAGCCAATAGCCATATGGAATGAATCAATAATAATAATAGTTAACATTTAAAGATGCTCCTCAGCTTATGATGGTTTGACTTATAATTTTTATTTTACAATGGTGCAGTATGAAAGGGATATGCATTTTTATGCTAAACGCACCTAATAGCAATAACTTAAGGACACCCTGAGAATCACCTTGTATGGCAGATGCACCTGAAAGTGTGTTCCGAGCTAGGGAATTCGGGAGTGGCCAACCTGGAGATTGGTTCCTTGTTTATGAGGAACATATGAGCCTCTGGCCTATCCCATGGAACACAGGCCTTACAGGGGATGGAGGCCCTGTGTTTGGGTTGAATGAAGGTTGCCAGGTGGAAGTGGTTAGGGAAAGGGTGCTAAGTGAAAATGTTATATAGAAACTTCATGCCTTTTCAAGTGGTTGTATCCTTCTGCCCAGCCCATCACCACATGGCTATGTGGTTATCCTGTCCAACTCACTGCCATTGAACCCTCTCTCCTGCCTGTAAGCCCCCAGTAAAACCCCCTGTCTCATTTGCAGGCTCTGGGTCTCTTCTTCGGCCTCTTAAACCTGATGCCATCCACACTGGAGTCAGTAGGGGTTTGGCACAACAGCATTCAGTAGAAACTATACTTCAAATTTTGAATTTTGATCTCTTCCCAAGCTAGAGATATGCTGTACCTTACTGTGTCACTATGCTAGGCAGCAGCAGGGAGCCACAGCTCCCAGTCAGCCATGCTGACACATTACCATGAGTTTATTGGGACATAATCCCATCACAAGTCGAGGAGCATCTGTACTGAGTACTTACCTTGTGGCAAGCATTTTGCATGTATTAACTCATTTGATCTTCACAAACCTAAAAGGGGTAGGTGCTAAGATGTTACATCCACTTTCAAATGAGGAACTGAGACACAGAAAGGCTAAGTAAATTGCCCAAGGTTGCACCATAGTGGTAAAATTGCTGTGAGTGGAGCCCCAAAGTCTGCATGCTTAATCACTTCCCTGTGATCATGTCATCGCTGCACATCACACAGACGACAGCATGGGTTTATCTAACTCACCACCTGGGAATTTGCTTGTTGCTTACTATACTACTTCCACTAAAATTTATCCTTGTGTCGTAACTACAGCACTTACTTACATCCGTTACCCAAACTGCCTCGTATCACCCTAGCAGAAGGCCAGCAAGATCCTGGGAGAGCCACTGGCTATTCAAGGAGTTCTTAAAATCTCCCTTTGGCTTGCCAAAGAGCAGTATAAAGCATACAACGACAGGCACCAGGTCTCAGGAGAGAAAATCTGACAGTGAGATGCCATCTGTTTCTACTCCTATCTACACAGACCATCTGCTCTTGCTCAAAATACTGCACAACTGCTACTTAGGGTCATTTAAGGTCAGAGGAATCATCAACCCTTCAACTGTGTCTATCCATACACCCACCTTGTCTTCTACTGCTGCCCGCCATGCCTGGTTCACCAAAGCCCCACACTTCACTGCCCAGGCCTGCATCCAACCCTGAAAGCTAAATGGAGAAATGAGAAATGAGAATGTGTGGTAGGGGAAATGTTAGATTCCCATTAGTCTGAAGGCTGACTCCAGCAGCAAGTAAAATTGGAAGTATGGGGTTGAAAATTAGTCAAGAAAACCTTCCTCCCACAACATGAACATGGGGTCAAAAACTTGAGATTCCTGTTTAGGCAAAGAAACACTAAAGCAAACAGGATGGAATTGTCTATCCTATGCCTGGCTGTATAAACCTGTCCTCCACCCATCACACATTTGCTGGCCCAGAAAAGCTAGCCTCAAAATTTAGCTAAAATTCAAAGCAATTCAACAGGAACCCTCTTGTTTCACACATCCCCTCCCCTTCATCTGCTTGTTCCCAGCCTCTCTTCATTCACTGCCTTTCTGCCATGTGTACAGATCTGCCCTCCAATACCAGGCACTGCCTCTGGCCCTGCCAGTATGTCAGGCCATCTCAGTTGGGTTCCCCAGAAGCACGTGCTGAGACAGAGTTTATGAGGGGTCAACACCTCTGAGAGGAAGGGGAGGAAATAGGATTAGGATGCAGGATAATTTAAAAAAATTTTTTTTTGAGACAGGGTCTGGCTCTGTCAGCCAGACTGGAGTGCAGTGGTATGATCTCGGCTCACTGCAGCCTCGACCTCCCAGGCTCAGTTGATCCTCCCACCTCAGCCTCCTGAGTAGTTGGGACCACAGATGCATGCCACCATGCCCAGCTAATTTTTGTGTTTGTTTTTTATTTATAGAGACAGTGTTTCTCTGTGTTGCCCAGGCTGGACTAAAACTCCTGGGCTCAAGGAATCCACCCGCCTCAGACTCCCAAAGTACTGGGATTACAGGCATGAGCCACTGTGCCTGGCTTGTAGGAGAAATTGAACTGTGTACAGGCCCCAAAAAGGCTCCACTAACTCAAAACTCTGGAAGGTATATTTCCCATCAGAATTGCTCTTATTGGGCCAAAGCGGTAGGCATTTGCTCCTGCCTGGCTCAGTCTGCAGATGAGGGCTGCCCTGCAAAGGATGTGGCTTTGGGCAAGGTGGCTGTCCTTAGCTGAGGCAGCCACTAAAGGAGCTGACAACTGAAGAGACATGCTGACTGCCCTCTCTGCATCTGGGCAGTGCATCTCCAAGTCTACCACAGTGGCCCTTTCTTAGGCTTCTCCTCAATGTGAACCATCAAGTCCCAGGTTGTGGAATTCTCACTCAGCTTGTTCCTCCAGCCCCATCTCACACTGTATCCAGTGAAGACTTCATGCTCTGGGTCCTAGCTTAGAGAATCTGGGCAGTGGAGGGACTGGAGAGTGGGAGATTCAAGCCTGAAGAGGATGAACTCTTTCAGAATGAGTTCTATTCTGCATTCAGGGATTCATCTTGCTGAGATTTTAGAAGGGGCTCTTGGGATTGGTTGTGGTTTCCTGTGCTTTCTCATTTCTCTCATCTTCACTTAGACTTTTCTTCATACCTACTTCCTTGAAGAATTCTGGGATGCTCCTCTTTCTAAAGCCTTTCTTTAGTTCTGTCATCTTAAATGGGCCTCTTTTTTAGTTTTGAGATGGCTCTTTTTTCAGAACTGGTTTAATGCATCTCAAACTCTTCCACCAAAGAATTCCTAACTTCAGAGAAAGAGTATGTATACTTCTGGGGGTCCCAAAAGGTTAGCTCAGAGCTGCTTTCTCTAGGCATAGAATTTCTTTGAAGTCTTTGTATTTTATCTTAAAAATTCATGTGAATTTTGCATTTTGCATTCTACTCTATAAACTGTATGTTAATATTAAAATACTGCTTTAAATTACTTACTAGTGAATAAATTTATTCAGGAAGATATATCAATTTATGCATGGTTTCTTGTACCTTATGAAATAACCTTGCATATATCAACTCTAAATTCATAGAACTAGGAGATCGTGCTTCTGAAGCTTGGATATAAATATGGCATACAATCTTAGAATATGAATTTAGAATATGTTTTTAATATCAACTTACATGTACTGAATTATGTTTACATAATAGTCTATATTTTAACGTGTATTCAACATGAAATTATATATGAAAAAGATCAACATATTTCTTCTAAAAGGAGAGAGTGAATTTTCCATCAAATCAAAAACTAGATGTTCAATTCGACTAAATATCAATAAATAATCTTTCCAGGTTATGCTATATAAGCTGAAAACATCATCTAAACACAATTTATTAAAGACATTTGTATGAGATAATAAACACTATATTTTAGAATTAGAGTTTTTTGATGACCTGCCTTAAGAATATAATTTATAAATCCTTCCTCTGCAGAAATATCTAAAATATCAAGACTTCAGACTCCACAGAAACAAATGAAAGTTATATTATTTAGGGTTATTTCTATTGTATTTTTTCAACAAATGAGTTTTTTTATAAGAATCAAACAGTGTTCATTTGTTTATTTAGCAACTGTTGCACATTATTGAGTACCTACTGTGTATCAGGTTTTACACTACGTGCTGGAAAAGAGTGAGGAACAAGGCAAACTGGGTCTTTCTTCCAGGTGGCACCTTTTGCTGGTGGGGAGGGGATATAGCTGAGAATTTCAAGGAGTAATCTTTGGCAAGGTTCAAGAGAGCAGGTGTTCTGAGATATTGATAAAAGACAGGCCTATGTGCTTTGAGGATCACACAGGTAGAGAGAAGACTTAAAACCCTCTTAAAAACACTGAAAAGCTTTAACAAAAAATATGCTTAAATGGATGACCCTCTAGTCCTTAATATGGATGATTCAAGGGCATATATAAAGGTGAACGTTTTTTAAAGTCTATTTTGCATATTTCAATTAAGTAAATACTCAGTGTGCATAATATGGTTTGGCTCTGTGTCCCCACCCAAATCTCATCTTCTAGCTCCCATAATTCCCATGTGTTGTGGGAGGGACCTGGTAGAATATGATTGAATCATGGGGGTGGGTCTTTCCTATGCTATTCTTGAGTGGGTCTCACGAGACCTGATGGTTTTAAAAATGAGAGTTTCTCCGCACAAGCCCTCTCTTTATGCCTGATGCCATCCATGTAAGATGTGACTTGCTCCTTCCACCATGATTGTGAGGCCTCCCCAGCCATGTGGAACTGTAAGTCCAATAAACCTCTTTTTTTTTTTTTTTTTTTTTTTTTTTTTTCTGGAAATTGCCAGGCTTGGGTATGTCTTCATCAGCAGCATGAAAACTGGCTAATGCAGTGCATTTATTGTGCAAGCTCTGGAGGATATAAAGAGCAAAATAATCTCAGGGGTTTTATGTTATTGTTCACACAGTTCCTTCCCCCACAAAAAGACTCACCACTAAGTGGAGCAAGAGTGCCCAAATTTTAATGCCTGAACAATGCCTGAAAATAATGTCTCTACTATTTTATGTGATTTATTTTATTTTTTTCAAACACATTGAACTAATGTTTGTTGAGAACCTACTCTGTGCAATGCACTCTCCTAGGTGCTGGATCTTCAGCAGAAAAACAAAACATTGTTTCTGCTTTCTCTGAAGCTTATCATTTACTAAAAAGAAAGGAAGAAATAATTACAAAATGCAAAAGGCCATGAGCAAGACAACAGTGTATTTTGATAGAGAACAATAGAATTGACCCTTTTAGATAGGATGTTCAGTGAAGGCCTTTCCACAGTGGAGATATTTTATCTGAGAACTAACAAAGGAAAAAGAGCTAGCCCTGAGAAGAACCCACACAAAAGCATTTCAGACATAGGAAACGGCATATACAAATACTCCCACATGAGAAGGCCCTTAAAGTGTTTGCGGTAGAGAAAGAAGGCCAGTGTGGCTGGACTACCATGGATGAGGGAACGAGTAGTACATAATTGGGGAAAATGAAATTGAAGACAAGATGAAATTAAGAAGTTCCTAATTCATTTTCAGTGTAACATTTAAGAGATTTAAGCAAGGAAAATGATGATATGACATATATTTTAAAAATATCAATATGGTATCTACATAGAAAAGAGATTTAGGGGAAAAATAAGGCCAGGAGAGACCCATTTGAAATATCATTGACATAGCTCCAGGAAAGGTGTGGTTATGATTTGGACCAGGATGGGGGAAGAAAGAATGAGTTTGGGGTCTATTTCAGTATAACTGGGACAATTTGAGCTGAGTAGGGGAGAGAAAAACTGGCTCTTACAACATATTTTATCTGGGAGTCCTTTTAGGTGGCACCAAATACTGTAATAGAAAAGACCAGGGAAAATTTTGGTTGAAGGAAACCCCTCAAATTGTTTTCAATCTGTGATGCTTGAAAAACTACCAAATAGAAATATCAGATAGAGAGATGTATGCACAAGACTAAGGAAAACTTGGATTGAGGATTAAATTTGGGAGTCAGAAGCATCAAGCTGGTATTTAAAGGAGTGGAGAAGGATGAGGTTCTCTAAGGATTGCAGAAAGAATGAGAAAGGACTCTGAGAAATAGCAATATTTAAGGGTCAGATAGAGCAGAAAAAGCCAGTAAATGAAGCATCCAAGGAAAAGCCAAAGATAGCCGTAAAGAAATAGAAGTTAACGTTATCACAAAAACCAGAGAGTCAACTACTTAAATAGAAGGGAGCGATCAACACCATTGAATGCTTCTGAGAGAGCTAATAAGGGGTGAATAGGAAGCGTCCATTGGGTATGTTAACTTGGAGTTCATTTGTACCTTGATAAGAGCAAACTCATTAGAGAGCACTGGCTGAAGTACACAGGAGCTGGCTGATGAGTGAATGGGAAGGGAGGAAGCAACAAGAACAAAGCCTGGAATGTACAGGAGATATCTATGAACAATGAAAGGCTGACCCGTCTGTTCAATGTCTATTGCAGAGTTGTTTAGGAGCAGGTGACAGACTGGGTAGGCAAGAGTGACACCAGATTGCAGGAGACTATAATTGCACAGCGGAACAATTAGTGTAAGTAATAGTAATTATCAACCTATAGTCCTCAGGTAGTTACAGATAACTCTTCTGCTATTTCCTAGGTTTGTGACTATGGGAAACTTACTTAGCTTCCCTGTGCCTCAGTTTTCTCATCTATAAATTAGGAATAATACTGAAATCTACCTCAAAGGCTTGTTATGAGGACTTAATCAAACAGTATATCCAAAAGCAAAGTCTTTCCCATATTAAATATTAATATTCACTAACTAGAATTACCATTATTATTAGTACACATAGGATATACAATTAAAAATAAAATATTTGTGATAGTGAAACAGAGTATTTCATTTTTAAAAAAAGTTATAGCCATTGAACAACTTAGCTCTGGGAAAGAAAGAATATTTGAGAGAGGTTCAAAGGTGTCAGTTTTTCCATTTTCTTCTGTTCTCAGCCCCTGGTAACCTCTATTCTATTTTCTGTCTCCATTTGTGTATTCTACAGGTAAAATTTTAAAGTAGCTAAAATTTATTTTTGGAAATCCCTCCCACTGACTCTTTACAATCCACAGAATCCAAAAATCTGGAAGTAGAGAGTGGTTGGTGATGGTTGCACAATGATGCACAACTATTTAAAAACCATTTGGTACTTAAATGTATATTTAAATAAAATCTATTTAATTCCACTGAATTGTTCACTTAAAATGGTCAAAATGTTAAATTTTATATTATATATATTTTCAGCAAAACAAAACAATATTTATCTAGAAAAATAAGTTAGTTGTATTTTTGGCATATAAAAAACTGTACATATTTAATGTATACAACTTGATGAGTTTGGAGATTAAGTACATACTCATGAAACCATCACCACAATCTATGCCATAAACCTAACCATCACCTACAAAATGTTCCTCCTGCCTCCCTATTTATTTATTGGTATTAATGTGATAAGAGCTCTTAACAGAAGATCTACCCTCCCAGCAAAAGTTTAAGTATATAATACAGTATTACTTACTATAGGCACAATGTTGTTCAGTAGATCGCTAGAACTTTTCAACTTGTGTCACCAAAACTTTGTACTTATTGACTAATACCTCCCACTTCTTCCTCCCACCAGCCCCTGCAACCACCATTTCACTCTCTGCTTCTAAATTTGACTATTTCAGATTCGACATATAGGTAGAATCATGTAGCATTTGTCCTTCTGTGTCTGAATTATTTCATTTAGCATAATGTCCTCCAGGTTCATCTATGTTTTTGCAAATGGCAGGATTTCCTTCAAAAAGATGTTAGTTTTAACCTTGCTTCTGACAAGGCCAGGTGACCTTAAGGAAGTCATTTCAGCGCTCTTTGGAAGTCATTTTACTCATATATGAAATGGAGTTAGGCTTTTTTTTTTTCTTTTGGTTTCATTCAACCTCCAAATTCTGTAACTATCACACTAATGTAACTTTTAAAAATGGGTGAAATAATAGGACAGAAAAGACTAGATATAACAATAACATACTTTATTGTGAGTAAAATTTAAAAAAAAACAAGCTCCTGTAATGTTTTCTTATATGCATTTTAAAAATTTGGCTTATTTGCTAATCTTAAACATTAAATTACTATTTATGATTGTTCATGGGATTAGAGCTTATTACATAGAGCTGGAAATACAGTAGCCACTAGGTACATATGGCTTTTTACATTTAAATTAAAGGGCTGGGGCCAGGGGTGGTGGCTCATGCCTGTAATCCCACCACTTTGGGAAGTGGGCAGATCACATGAGGTCAGGAGTTCAAGACCAGCCTGGCCAACATGGTGAAAACCCATCTCTACTAAAAATACAAAAATTAGCCAGGCATGCTGGTGGGCACCTGTAATCCCAGCTACTCAGGAGGCTGAGGCAGGAGAATTGCTTGAACACAGAAGGCAGAGGTTGCGGTGAGCCAAGATCGAGCCACTGCACTCCAGCCTGGGAGACAAAGTGAGACTGTGTTTCAAAAAAAAAAATACATAAATACATAAAATTAGGTAAATAGAAACAAGTTTAGTTCCTCAGTTATGCTAATAGTATTTAAGGTGTTCAATAGCCGCATGTGGCTACTGGCAGATATAAAGTATTTACATCGCAGAATGTTCTATTCGACAGTGCTGATTTAGCAGATCTCCCATTACTTATATACTTCTGGACATTTTTCATGAGACATTTCCTTTCTTAGCTTTATCTTTCAAATAGTATCAGCAAATGACCAAAGCTATAACAGATGCTCGGGTGTCCTCTGAGAAAAAAGGGCCACCACCAAGCTGTCATCTCCTTCTCATATTTGTTTAATCTTTCTTAGGATATGCACCTAAACAGTATATTTTTAAGCTGAAATATTCTATGGTAATTCTTCCAGAAATGTTATTCTTTAATTTGAAGCAGTTTTTCAATGACTTCTATTTCTTTTCATTTAATTGCATCTATAAAAACGTAACATAACATCGTGAAATTCTACAAGAGGAAATCAGAAGTTGAAGAACTATTGCTGTCATCCCATATGTGTTTGGAAGTAGACTTTGTAAGCACAGGGATAAGACATAATCTCATTTGTTTTATGATATGACAGAAGCCAGTCGTGGCTTAATTAATTCAGGGTTGTTTTCATTTTGGTTGGATGGGACAGATCTGTTAATAGAAATGATGTATAAATAAAGAAGATCCAGAAAAGGATGTTGAATATTGGCGGGGAAGGGGGAAAGGCTGACAAGAACTAAGGTCTGCAAAAAATCATCTTTCCATGAGAAACAAAAACTGGCTGCAGACAGATGCTTATAAGACCTCAGCTTTGTTGAAGAGAACAGCTTTATAAATAGATGCACAATAACAGCAGCCAGCTGTTCAAAATAATTGCCAGGCGATATTTGGTGATGACAACCTGAAGAAAGTCATCAATGCAATTATTTCACACCAGATCAGTCCAGCAGATCTGTTGAACCCTCCTGCCTATTTTGTGTGAGATACTCATTATTCTTGCAATGCCAATGTTACCTGCTCATTTTTTTTCTATAATAAACAATGACTTCAATGCAATTATATTGTTGTAGCATTATTAATGTTTTAATCAGGGGCAATGAACTTAGTGGGTTAGAGTTTCAAATATGTGACACTAAGGTTCAGCACACTAATGTCTAAAGAGAAATGCACTGTCCTAAAATAAAAGACTGTGTTCTTAACACCAGTTAGTCATTTCAGAAAAGCACACCAGCTGGTTGTTAAGGGCATCCTGGATTTAACATTAAAGAAAAGCAGGACAATACCCTGTTGTTAATGTCTTGACCACTTTATCATGATATATATAGAAGAATGTTTACATAATTGTATGTTACAATATAGTTTTATAAACCCAATCAGTAGTTCTCCAAGTGCATTTATTTTATAACTACTAATGTTCATCATTATTTGTTCATTGCCTTCCATTACCTCTCAAATGTTTAAACTTTCCTCCTCCCCGCTTTTCCAGCCCCACTCCTCTTTTCTCAACCCTTTTTTTTCGAAGACCCAGTAGTTACATAACTATCATTTTCTATGACTCAACCATAGTTTCATCAATTTCTCAGGTCTTCGTTGTCAGGGCTTCTGCGTTTAAATGTCATGTTCTTTGAGTAACATCCTCACGACACTATTCCTGAGATGTTTGCAGAATAGTGTTTCATGTGCAGTTTCAGCAAGCATTTGTAGAAGATCTGCTTCCTTCTTGAAAACAAATCAGGTTTAATGACACAACAGTGTGGGGCAGATATTCAAGAGTTAAGTGTAAAGGCTATTCATTCAACAAGTATTAATTCAGTGATAATTATATGTGTGGTGGAGATAAGATACGGAATTCCAGTGGGAGATTTGCTGGCTAAATAAAAATAAATGCTCTTTTGAACTTTAAATTGTGCAAAAGCAGTAGACCTTTAAACTTTAAATTGATGTTGGAACAATATATTTACCTGTATCTTTACCTATCTTTTTCTTACTCTCATCTCTACCTACAGATTTATTATTCCAGAATAAATATTTTGGTTTGGGGGACGTCGATTACATTGAGTAAATATTTCCTGGGTATCCATTATGAGCAAGACTGTGCTGGAGGGCGATAAAATATAAAGAAGTTAAAAAACAATTATTCTGATATTAAATTAAATCTAAATAATTGGCAAGATATACCATGCTGATAGGATAAAAGACAATATAGTTAAGATGTCCATTCTCCTCAATTTATCTATAAATTTAAAGCAGTCTAATAAATACTCCAGCAGACTTTTTTGTTGAAATTACCAAATTGATGATAAAACTTATATAGAAATGCAAGTGACCTAGAACATATCTATTCTAAATCCTTTGTATGTATGTAGATGTGTGTATTATGTATTTTATACACACACAAATCATATAATTCTTAAAAGATAAAACTCTAGAGTTAAAATATTAATCAAGTAAGAAATCATTATTTTAATTATATTTTCAGTTGGCAATAACATTTACTTATTTCCACTATAGCTGATAAAATAGATACTTATTTTTTTCCTATAATTTCTCCTTCAGAACTTCCGAATTTTGTTAGCAATATTACTATTTCTACATTGTCAAGATTTATAACATCTTTATTCTGTTCTTTGACCATAAGTCCACAGTTACTTAGTCTTTAGTTCTATATTTAATATGATTTAGTGCTCACTGCCAATATTTTCACCATGGAATCTTCCTACCTCAGCTTTTTATTTTGGTATATTACTTGGTTGGCTAGATTTCACCCGAGACTGATCCTCCCCTCCCGTCCCGTCCCCTCCCCTCTCTTTTCTTTTCTTTTCTTTTCTTTTCTTTTCTTTTCTTCTTTTTTGATGGAGTTTTGCTCTTGTTGCCCAGGCTGGAGTGCAATGGGGCAATCTCAGCTCACTGCAACCTCTGCCTCCCAGGTTCAGTGATTCTCTTGCCTCAGCCTCCCGAGTAGCTGGGATTACAGTTGCCCGCCACCATGCCCAGCTAATTTTTGCATTTTTAGTAGAGATGGGGTTTCACCATATTGGCCAGGCTGATCTCGAATTCCTGACCTCATGATCTGCCTGCCTCAGGTTCCCAAAGTGCTGGGATTACAGGCGTGAGCCACGGCGCCCGGCCAATTTTTTTTCTTCAATAAGGTTAGAGGTACAGTTTCCCCTGAACTTCTGCATGTGTCATAATATTAGTCTGTTGACCTTACATCTGGAAGAAAAGCTTTCAGAATTCTAAAATTCTTTGGTCATAATTGTACTCAGATATTTGTAGACATAGTTCCACTGTCTTCTGGAAATGGGTTTGTGAGAATTTGTAATGTTTTTCCTGTTTGTGACTTTTTTTAATCACTTTTCAAAAGTTATTTATTTATTCTCAAAATTTGGAAATTCACTGAATACTCAATAAGGTTAGTGTGCCTTTCAAGTTGCAGATTCAGTGCTTTATTTCATAAGTAAGTTTTCTTCTATTATATCTGTTACATTTAAAACATCCATTTTGTCTTTGGTTTTCAAGAAATGTAATCTCCTTTTAATTCATATTTATCATTTTCATCTTAATTCTTCTTAGTTTTTTATTTTGCATTTCATATTTTTATTTCTGTCTCTTCTTCATGTCTTATCGTTTAATCAATGTTTCTGTATTTCTGTTATCTTTTAATCATTACGTTCATTTCTTTTCTGAGTTTTACAAGCTTTTTTTTGCTTCCTGCTACTGATTTTTTAAATTTTCTTTTTTCTTTCCAATTGAACCATTTTTTGTTGTTGTTGTTAGAAAGATATGACTGAAATGTTGAATAACTTTTTCTCAACTCTTTCTCTATTTCTAGGTGAAATACTTATATTTGCTAATTTATTTGCTTTTTTAAAATTATACTTTAAGTTCTAGGATACATCTGCAGAATGTGCAGGTTTGTTACATAGGTATACACGTGCCATGGTGGCGTGCTGCACCCATCAGCCTGTCATCTACATTAGGTATTTCTCCTAATGCTATCCCTCCCCTAGCACCCCACTACCCAACAGGCCCCAGTGTGTGATGTTCCCCTCCTTGTGTCCATGTATTCTCATTGTTCAACTCCCACATATAGTGAGAACTTTGAGTCTTTGGTTTTCTGTTCCTGTGCTAGTTTGCTGAGGATGATGGTTTCCAGCTTCATTCATGTCACTGCAAATGAAATGAACTCATTCTTTCTTATGGCTGCATAGTATTCCATGGTATATATGTGCCACATTTTCTTTATCCAGTCTATCATTGATGGACATTTGGGTTGGTTCCAAGTCTTTGCTATTGTGAATAGTGCTGCAGTAAACATACATGTGCATGTGTCTTTATAGTAGAATGATTTATAATGCTTTGGGTATGTACCTAGTAATGCGACTGCTGGGTCAAATTTTTATTTCTAGTTCTAGATCCTTGAGGAATCTCCACACTGTCTTCCACAATGGTTGAACTAATTTACACTCCCACCAACAGTGTAAAAGCATTCCTATTTCTCCATATCCTTTCCAGCATCTGTTGTTTCCTGATTTTTAATGATCGTCATTCTAACTGGCATGAGATGGTATCTCACTGTGGTTTTGAGTTGCATTTCTATAATGACTAGTGATGATAAGCTTTTTTTGATATGTTTGTTGGCCACATAAATGTCTTCTTTTGAGAAGTGTCTGTTCATATTCTTCACCCACTTTTTGATGGGGTTGTTTTTTTCTTGTAAATTTGTTTAAGTTCCTTGTAGATTCTGGATATTAGCCCTTTGTCAGATGGATAGATCGCAAAAGTTTTTTCCCATTCTGTAGGTTGTCTGTTCACTCTGATGATAGTTTCTTTTGCTGTGCAGAAGCTCTCTAGTTTAATTAGATCCCATTTGTCAATTTTGGCTTTCGTTGCCATTGCTTTTGGTGTTTTGGTCATGAAGGCTTTACCCATGCCTATGTCCTAAATGGTATTGCCTCGGTTTTGTTCTAGGGTTTTTATGAATTTAGGTTTTATGTTTAAGTCCTTAATCCATCTTGAGTTAATTTTTGTATAAGGTGTAAGGAAGGGGTCCAGTTTCAGTTTTCTGAACATGGCTAGCCAGTTTTTCCAACACCATTTATTAAATAGGGACTCCTTTCCTCGTTGCTTGTTTTTGTCAGGTTTGTCAAAGATCAGATGGTTGTAGATGTGTGTTGTCATTTCTGAGGCCTCTGTTCTCTTCCATTGGTCTATATATCTGTTTTGATACTTGTACCATGCTGTTTTGGTTACCGTAGCCTTGTAGTATAGTTTGAAGTCAGGTAGCATAATGCCTCCAGGTTTGTTCTTTTTGCTTAGGATTGTCTTGGCTATATGGGTCTTTTTTGGTTCCATATGAAATTTAAAGTAGTTTTTTCTAATTCTGTGAATAAAGTCAATGGTAGCTTGATGGGAATAGCATTGAATCTATAAATTACTTTGGGCAGTGTGGCCATTTTCACGGTATTGATTCTTCCTGCCCATGAGCATGGGATGTTTTTCCATTTGTTTGTGTCCTCTCTTATTTCCTTGAGCAGTGGTTTGTAGTTCTCCTTGAAGCACTGCTTCATATCCCTTACAGGTTGTATTCCTAGATATTTTATTCTCTTTGAAGCAATTGTGAATGGGAGTTCACTCATGATTTGGCTCTCTGTTATTGGTGCATAGCAATGCTTGTGATTTTTGCACATTGATTTTGTATCCTGAGATTATTTGCTTTTTGCATATATTTATTTCCTCCTCTCTCCCCAACCTGGTATTTCTGCCATGCCTCCCACTATTGTTTCCTTTCTACCTACTAGGTAGTAGAAATGAATCTTTAAATGAGTACTGAACTCAGAACACTTATTTGCCAGTTAAAGTCAGAGGAAAATTCAATCGATTTAGCTTGGTTAATACCCAGATTTAAATTAAGTTTGTGTTATTCCATGCCCTGTAACCAAATTTGTCATTACTTTGTCCTGATTGCCTATCATCTTCAGTCTTTTCCCATTCAGGAAGTTGGAGTGGCTTATAGCCCTTAGGTAATATGCTCTCTGATTTATAGTCTTATTTTCACTGCTTACCCTTCTTCCTTTATTATACCTCCAGCAGATATTTTACGTAATTATAAATGTTATAATATTATATAATACATCGTAAAAAGATATATTAGTATGAGGTGTACTTTAATCCCATCTCTCCTGATAAACTGTTTATCAACTTGATTACTGTAGGAACATTCTCCTCTTTTTCTAAGACCTTTCTAAAACCCTCTATTTTATTGCCTTAATCAAAAGTTTAATATATGGGCTTTTAGGAACTTGGACACTTAATTTTAAGAAATCTCTTCCTGCCTAAAGAATATAGGAATAGATGTCAGTACTATTTCTCTTTTGGTCCAAGTTTCACAGTATTTGGCAAATATTCTTCATATTTCATAATTTATGGTTATGGATATGTTTTTGTTTCATTGATGATAAGCCACCATCCTTTTCATTATGTACCCACTGTACCCCCTAAATGCTTTTGCTATACCACTTTTAGCCCCTTGGTACACAGAAACTTTTATTCTTTTTTCCTTGGTTGAAAGGACAAGGCAATGTTTTACCCTAGAGCCTGCCTATTCTTACAAATAAGATAACAATCTTCATTTCTCATTATTCACTCATGTTAAAGACTAAATGCTACAAACATTTGAAGAAAAACACAATCTATTGCAATATTTGTACAATCATAGGGCTAGGGATTATTCTAAGAAATTAAAATAGCTGCCTTCTAATTGTTTTAAATAAATGTTACCACTATAACCTCCACCACCACCTTCGTCATCACTTCTAGCTAAATTTTCATTAACTCTTTGCTATGCACCGTGGACAAGGCTGTTATGTGTATCATCTCACTTAATCCTCACATAGATTTTATAAGTCTGGTTCTGTTATTACAGACTGCTCTAGTAACTTATATCAATTTTTGGTGTCTGACTCTAGAGCCTGAAATCCTAATCACTATATTATGCTGCCTTCTGAAAACCAAAATAAAGTAACATGAGACTCCACACTTTTCACAGAACTCTCACATTTATTCCCGCTATGCACTTGGTATTTAAAATATGAATTTTGCTTTGAAGAGGTGAAAGGCACTTTGAAATACTTTGGAAGATCTGGGAAATGCAAATCAAAACAACGAGATTACAACTCACACCTGTTAGGATGGCTACTATTAAGATAAAAAAAAGATAAAAAGTGATGGGGGCCAGGCGCAGTGGCTCATGCCTATAATCCTAACACTTTGGGAAACTGAGGCAGGTGGATCACTTGTGCTCAGGAGTTTGAGACCAGCCTGGCAACATGGCAAAACCTTATCTTTACTAAAAATACAAAAATTATTCAGGCGTGTTGGCACATGCCTCTATTCCCAGCTACTCAGAAAGATCACTTAAGCCTAGGATGTGTGATCATGGTGTGACCATGGCTCACTGCAGCCATAATCACATCACTGCACTCCAGCCTGGGTGTGCGCACACATATGCGTGCACACACACACATAAAGTGTTGGGGATGTGGACAAATTGAAACCCTTGTACACTGTTGGTGAAAATGCAAAATGGTACAGTCACTATGGAGAAGAGTATGGAGTTTTCTCAAATATTAATAATAGAACTACTGTATTATCCAGCAATCCCACTTCTGGGTATACATCCCAAAGAAAGGAAATCAGAATCCAGAAAAAATACCTGCACTCTTATGTTCATTGCAGCATTATTTACAATAGCCAAGATATATGGAACAACACAAGTGTCTATCAACAGATGAATAGATAAAGCAATGTGGTATTTACATAAAATGGAATATTACTCAGCCTAAAAAGGGAAAAAAGTCTGCCATTTGTGACAATATGGATGAAACTTTAGGGCATTTTGCTAAGCTAAATAGCATCACAGAAGCACAAATACCGCATTATTCCACTTATATGAAGTTTCTAAAATAGTCAAACTCAAAGAAGCAGAGAATACAATAGTGGTTTACAGAAACTAGAGGGAGAGGTAAATGGAGAGTTGTTGTTCAGTGGGTATAAAGCTTCAGTTATGCTAGATGAATAAGTTCTCAAGGTCTGCTGTACAACATAGTGTTTGAAGTTAACAATAGGGTATTGTGTACTTCAAAATATTTTAAGAGGATAGATCTTATATTAAGTGTTCTTACCACAAAACAAACAAACAACAAAAAAACAAAAGGACACAAGGAAACTTAGGAAGGTGTTAGATGTGTTACCTTGATTATGGTGATGGCATGTGAGTATTTGCATACGTCCAAACCTATCATATTGTACACATTACATATGTGCAGTTCTTTGTATATCAATTATATCTCAATAAAGCTGTTAAATAAATTTAAAAAATATACCCCTCATGGCATTTATGGGTTAACAGGATAAATCTATGTTAAATTTCTAAATAAAAAAGTAAATACCTAATTATAAATTTTGATTTGAAAAGAATAAAAAATGCATTGGAGTAACTAATTAATTATAATAATTATTTGTCAAACACCAGGCCCTGTAGTAAGCATTACAACCACATAGATGAAAACACAAGCATGATCTTTACTCATGTGGCACTCACAGCATTCATTTGTTTTTCTTTCCTCCCTCCTTCCTTTCTTCCAACAAAGAGCTAGGGCAGTGGATAACAGGGGACTGTGTGTGCCTGAGCAAGTAGGGGAAGGCTTCTCAGTGGAGAGACAAGCCTAGCTGGACTTTGAAGAACAAGTAGCTCTTCATTAGATAGAAGAAAAGAAAATGGCATTTCAGGCAACTAGCAAAGCGTGGTAAAAGACATGGATGCAGGGCCCTGCAAGAAATGGTAAGGGATCTGAGGAGGGTGATCATACGAGATGAAGCTGGTGATACCTGGAGGGCAGATTGCAAGGGCCTTGAAGGTCATGGTAAAAAGCACTATGAAGGGCTCGTTATCAGGTGGGATTTTCTGGAAAGAAAACTTGCTGAGATAAATATTCTTTCTTGGCTTCTCATAAGTGTCCAGGCACAGCAAAATCAATTCATAAAATAGCCTGAGATTAAAAACAAATGAGCCCTTGAACCAGGCACCCAACAAGCATCAATAATTTCAACTTTAGAGGAGAGATTACCTTTAAGCATGGACAGTCATCGTGGAATTTCATAAATCTCCACTAAACTTTTCTTAACTTAAAAACTAATGGTATTAGCAGTTGCACATAATAATGTCTTCCTAAACTACCAGGAAAAGAAACAACTAACTCCTAGGGAAGAAATCAAGATCTTATATTATCACAAAGAACTGTTTCTAATCCATTACTAACTAGAATGGCATGGGAAATGCAGTGGCCTTTAAGAAATCTGGTTTATGCCACTGTCTTTTCCAGGCTGAAATTTCTTGTTATCAGTTTTTTTTTAAATTTATTATAACTCTTTCATAATCACACTACTTTGGAAGCTGTGGAAATACCTAGGATTGCCACGAATTTTATCATTGACTTATTCTTGGCTCTTCATTTGAATTTTTAAAAAGCTGAGATAAAAATTTAATTGTATTTATGTGACAGTAACACAGGAATACATTCTCTTTCGGCAAAATGTTGAGTGGAATGCTGTGCTTCACTCCATTTTTATGCTTAGCAGCCTTGTCTGTGTGGGTGGAGGCTTCCTTCTCAGAGCTCATAGAGTCCACAGCTGTCCAAGGATGGACTTCGGGGGAGCAATAAACACCGTCAAATTGCACTCAAAGTATTGTGCATTTTTCCAGGGAGAGAGCCCATAGTTTTCATCAGACATTCAAAGGGATCTTGGCCACCCTCTGCCCCGCCACACACGCACACACACACACACACACACACACACATTTAAGTGCCATTAACAGAGAGGAAAAAAGTGCCTGGGCATTGTTCTTCCCCATCTCAAACACAGTGGAAAGTAGGCCGTTATCTGCCCATGCATTATGAATACCTTGTGTGAAAAAATGGTCCTTAAATAATGGCAAAACTTAGAGTTGTGAAAGGGTCCTGTGCACAGCTCAATAGCTGTAAGCCTCTCCCTCCAGCTGTGTAACAGATGCTCTTAAAGCCCTGAGGAACTACCTCTGGTAGAAGTAGTTGCTGTTTCAAAGAATATGACAACAGACAAGTATGCTTGCCTGATATTCTTTCTTAAAATTGGGTGGAGCAGTACATATGTGTATAAGAGGATAAATATGTCTGAAATGTGGTAGATATTGTCCATGTTACCTCTTTCTAGAGGAAAGAAAAGAAGTAGCACTGTTTTAACCTATTAAAGTATTTCACCACAAAGCTATGGTGTTAGTGACCAAAATAATCACTGTTCCTGAAAAGCAGGCTGGCACATCTTCTCTTTGGCATTGCCCTTATTAACATCTGTTTGGAGTTGTGTGAGCTCTGCTTCTCTGAATTCCAACTACATGAGTGATCCATTAATTTTATTTTGTTCTGGGAATGTCTAAATGTTTTTATTATAAACTCCTGCAGTTCACTTAACCTTTGTAGGATGGCTGTGCTCTTTTGTGAGGCTTTTTGTGTGTGTGGAAGCCCTAGTATGATAAACAGATTCAAATGTTACCATGATTCTCACTGAGACTAGTATAGACTTTTGAAAGACTGTGTGGGTACAAGCTCTGAATTTACTGAATTGTCTAAGGGTCATTCTAGATTCTGACATTGATGACAAATTGTAGGAATGTAATTATTGGTGTTTATTTGTAGAGAATACTTATTTTCAAGGCACTTATCTGATATTATATATAATATTAGATATTTCACTGTGGTTTAGCATATCAAATTTTTACTTTGCTTCCATATGATTTTGGCTATGACCAAACCAATATTCAACTAGCACTACTATTATTTTCCTTAAATATTAAATTTTGGCATGGTGGTAAGTTAAGAAACATCTTTCATAAATTTTGTAGCCTACCTTATAAATGTTAAAGTATGACATTTGATATTTTCTTGTAATTCAAGCTTTTAAATTTATAGTGGTGCTGGTACCTCTCCACTCTTTCTTTGTTTGCTTGTACATATCAGTACACCATGGGTATGGTCCAGGAGTCATGTCATTTTCTCTTTCTGTCTCCTTTATATGCTTATTTCTCATTGGTGGAGTGAAACAGAAAATTAGGTTATGATTCTGAACATCTTTCTTCTGATGGTTAGAACAGATTTCTGGAGTTAATGTATTTGTGTTACATTAGGCTTATTTTTGGAATGACCTGCCACGAATTATGGGCACAGTGTTCTTTTTTTTCATCTAAATATAAAAATTAGTATATTTTCTTGCTAAAATAATCCCGAGAAGAAAAGCTCAAAGGGAGTCTGAGCACCTTGTGCTCAGGAAGGAAACATGCAAAGTCTAATGTAGTTGTGTCAAAAGGAAACAGAAGCCAGCTTGAAGGAGGTCCTACTGGCCAAAATTCGAATAATTTGAAGAGGGATAAGAATCATGACTTTAATGATTATAATCATAGAATAAATAAAATCCATAAGGCTAAAAGGAAAGAAAGGAGGAGGAAGCTCATTAGCCTCAATTGGAGATGATGATTACAATAATCCTTTAAATACTGGTAATTAAAGAGAACTAATAAGTACCTATTCTGCCTTTTATTTAGATGAAGTATAGTTTTATCCTAGTTGATATAATAAGTTTTTCTTTATAGAGCAAGGCTAGGTACTAATTCTATCTAGAATGAATGACAGAATTAGAAAAATCAACATTTTCTAACCCTCAATACAGTAATTAATTCAGGAAAGATCACCAGTGGATGCTAAAATCATTATGGGAAAGGCAGTCAGGGGAATAGATAATTCACACTCTGCCAAAGTGTCACTTCACAGACTACTTGCCAATTGCAATGGGAAAAGTGCAACTTTACAATGGAGACATCTGGCTTTCCCCATCCTAACCAAGAGATCAAATAGTGGGACAGACCTAATATTATATGTCCCCTGATGTGAGGCAATTTGAAGTAAATATAATCATCTAGGAAATACTCTTTCAAAAAATGTTAGCAAGAACCTAATCAATACTTTAAACATAAGTTACAATTTACAGAAAATAAAGGGATGGAGAAAGAAATTACGTGACAACACAAGATCCAGAATGAGACGTATTTTACAAGGGAATCAGCCTTGTTTGGTCATGTCTAGACATAAAAAACAGGCAGGAAGACTATTACTGTAAATGAAAAGACACTAAAAAGACAACATACCCAAATGCACTATATGAAAGTTTATTGATCCTGAATTTTTTTTTTTTTTTTTTAGATGGCGTCTGCCTTTGTTGCCCAGGCTGGAGTGCAGTGGTGCCATTTCGGCTCACTGCAACCTCTGCCTCCAGGGTTCAAGGGATTCTTCTGCCTTAGCCTCCTGATTATGACTTTTTTAAAGTTATAGAATACACTTAAGAACAACTGGAAGAAATTTGAATATGTACCTCTATTTGATGTTACTAAGGAATTGTTGTTAACTCCTTACATATGATAATGGAATAGTATGGCTGTAAATGAACATGTCCTCATTCTTTAGGAGATACATCCTGAAGCATCTTGATGTCTTTCATTGATTTTCACATAGTTTATTTGAAAAATACAAACACATTTATAGCTACATTAAGCAAATGTGGCAAAAGTTAACAGTTATTGAATTTAGATGTTGGGCATATGGATGTTCATTGTTCATTTAAACATTTCAGTATTTACAAATGTATAATATAAATTTGGAAACAAAAGAAAAATGACATATGTGTTTTGTGTGTGTGATTCTATTTGTGTATATGTATGTGAGTTAATCTCCAGAAATTCAATAAAAATCTTTGTCTCAGAATTCTTTGTACATTCATATGATGCCACTTTGTAGGGGGTTGGTGGGCCCCCAAATCAACTTGTGAAGCAATGTCAGCTCATTTTGGATGAAAGTGTCCTCCTTCCTCTCAAATCTGAAATGTATGCACAGAATTTATATGGTGTCAGCAGAGTGATGGATGTTCCCAGTACTAGGAAGGAATTATAGACATATGTTGCAATCATAACTATATAGACTGCCATGAAATGAGAAAGAACAGGGCATGGCAGTGAAACCTGGGATGAAAGTAGAGATCAGAAATCCAAGAGCTGGGAGAAATTGTCAAAGTGCATATAAAGGGAATTAAGAGAATGAAGAGCATAAGGAGGCAGGATGTATGGAAGCCATGTGGCATAAGAATGTGCCATATGGTGTTGGAAGGTGGCAAAGAAAGGGCAAGTACCCTGAAGAGATAATGAAGGAAAAATCACATTGACGAGGACCAGACGGAGGTCAGCACAGCATAAGTGGGTGGCATTCCTATCACAAGATGATGGGAAGCCTAGAAACAATTCAACGCTAGCAGGATGATGAAAATAAAGGAATCAACTTGAGCTGGTGAGTGGGGGATTTTGAGGTCAGGAAAAGTCAAATGATTTGAAGCCAAGTCAGCTTGGAATAGTGAAACACTGTGAGTTTTGGAATTGGGTAAATCTAATTTTAAATTCTGGCTCTGCTGTTTTCTACCTGTGTGACCTTGGGTAGCTTACTTGGGGTCTCAATTTCACTTCTCAAAATTCACAAGTCAGAATTTTAATTAAAGATAGTGAGCAAATAAAAATAGGTGAACAATGAGCTTTTCATTTTAGCCATAGAATGAATCAATCAGATGTGATAACTTGATACATGTAAATTTGACTGTGAACATTACAATCACATTAACATAATAGCAATTTAGAGAGGATCATATCTATTAGGAGTTTTGATATTATTATTCCTCTCTGACCATGGGGGAGGGTATATTTCAGTAGAGCTGAGGACATTCATGAAACTAAGTTCTCATACTGGGTAAAGTCCCTTGAACTGACCTCACTCAGCATTCATTCATTCATTCAACCAATATCTATTGAAGACATGTTATATGCACCAATAATTATGCTAGGCACTGGAATTATACTAATTAGGCAAGATGCCTGTCCTCCAGGGATTTTTACTTATAAATTCCTTCAACAAACATTTATTGAGTGTTTTTCCTATCTATACCTTTATTGAGCAGCTTTTATGCACCACATTCCTAAAACTATTCACACATATTTCTTTGTTTCCTTCAAGTTTTGCTTTTGATAGAACCGAGGCTAAGAAAGTGCTAGAAATTCTGCTACATGAAAGAGATGACTGTGAATAAGTTATGTTAAAAATACCAAAAGTTTGCAGTCTGGTAAACAGAATACACATGACAAATGCAAGGTAAAATGTAATACTCTAGAAGAGTCACAAATAAAGGTCAGAGAAAGGAGAGATCACATACATCATTCAACTGTTAGTTGGGGCAAACCAGTAGGAAAAAAACTTGATGGAAAAAGTGGCATTTGAGAAAATTTTAATAACTAGATAGAATTGCAAGGAATTAAGACAGTATATTCGTTTATCTAGGCTGCTGAAACAAATTACCACAAACTCAGTGGTTTAAAACAACAGACAGACAGCAGTGGCTCATGCCTGTAATCCCAGCACTTTGGGAGGCCGAGGCAGGTGGATCACGAGGTCAGGAGTTTGAGACCAGCTTGGTCAACATAGTGAAACCCCATCTATCTCTACTAAAAATACAAAAAAAATTAGCTGGGCGTGGTGGCAGGTGCCTGTAATCCCAGCTACTTGGGAGGCTGAGGCAGGAGAATCGCTTGAAGCCAGGAGGCGGAGGTTGCAGTGAGCCAAGATCATGCAGCTGCAGCCCAGCCTAGGCAACAGTGCGAGAATCCATCTCAAAAAAAAAAAAAAAAAAAAAAAAAAAAAAAAAAAAAAAAAACAGACATTTTGTCTCACAGTTCAGGAGAGCAGAAGTCTGCCATCGAGGTGTGGGCAGGTTTGTTTCTTTCTGGAGGCCTTGAGGGAGAATCTGCTCATGCCTCTCTCCTTGGCATTCCAGGGCTGGGAGACATATTATTCCAATTTCTGCCTCTATTTTCACATGGCTGTATCCTTGATATGTCTCTAGGTGTCCTCTCCTCTTCTTCTAAGGATACCAGTCATTGAATTTAAAGCCCACACTAAATCCAGGATGATTTTATCTTGAGATGTCCCAATAAATTACTCCTGCAAAAACCCTATTTTCCATAAAGTCACATTCTCAGTTCCAGGTACATGAGTTTTTGGAGAACACCATTCAACTCACTACAGATGGGAAGGGAGACCTGGTTAAAACTAAAAAGCACGATCAAATGCACTTTTGGCATATGTTCACAGCAAGGAGAGTCTTCTGGTCTGTCTGGAAGGTACATAGAATATAGAAAAAGAGTAGGAGATGGGGCCACAGGGAACCCTTTCATTCATCAGTACTCAAAGTCAGTGTCACATTTTATGTGAACTCTTACCTGAACAATCTTTTTCCTGCCTCCCCGGAGTTAGTTGCTTCTTCCTTGGTGTTCTTGATCTCCTTTGTCCTTACCTCTGTTACAGCACTCACCACATCTTAATGTAATTCTGTGTACACATATCTGGTTTTACTAGGCTGACTGAGGTAAAACTCTATGTCATTTGACTTGGTGTTCCCAAGGCCTCACACAGTGCTGGACATACAGTAGTCACTCAGTGATTACTTGTGGAAGGGTGAAAGGAAGGAAAGAAGGAAGAACCAAGGAAAAAAGGAAGGAAAGAAGGAGAGGTAGGAGGGATGGACAGATGGTTAGGCTTGCATTGGCCTATAGAGGACACTGAATACCAGCTTAAGACTTCATGTGTTTTACTCTGTAGGTAAAGGACTGTCTCCACAGCTTTCTAAACAGAGGATAATAAATTAGAACTATACTTTAAAATGAAATATCTGATAGTGATATTTAATATGGATTGAAATTAAAAAAACCTCAAAAGAAGGAAGAAGTTTGGAGGAAATTGAAATAGAACAAAGAAAGGAATTGAGGACCTAAAATAGCCCCTCTACATTATAGATGTAAATAAATAAAATCGTGGTAAAATCAACATGCATGGTAATTGAACTGTTGTAGTTTCATTAACATAAAAATTAGATGGGGCTGGGATGGTGGCTCACACCTGTAATCCCAGCAATTTAGAAGGTCAAGGCAGAAAGATCGCTTGAGCCAGGAGTTCGAGACAAGCCTGGGCAACATGGTGAAACCCTGTCACTACAAAAATAAAAATACAAAATACAAAAAATTAGCTGGGCATGGTAGTGCATGCCTATGGTCCCAGCTACTCAGAAAGCTGAGGTGGGAGGATCATCTGAGTCCAGGAAGTCAAGGCTGCAGTGAGCCGTGATCCCACCACTGCACTCGAGCCTGGGCAATGAGAGTGAGACCCTGTTTCAGAGAAAAAAATAATCATAATAAAAGGTGGCAGAAAAACATAACTTTTGTGTGGTAATAATGAATTCACCTTGAAATGTTTTAAAAGTTAGAAAGAACATTCCAAAATCCACATTTTACCATTAAACTAGATATTCAGGAATAAATTTGAAGGCACCAAGTTTGAAGTTTTGGATTGGAAGTCATTTAAGGAGAGGAAAAACATTCAGGTGAGATTGAGCTGAGGATCCCTAGGAAGAGAATAAAAAGGAGAAGATAAATGGTTTGTGGAGAGAACATTAAATGTTGCCAATATGTAGGAAAGAAGAACTTGTAAAAGATTCAGAGGAGCAGTAAGAGAGTTTGGTTCATGCCCTGCTACTGCTCAGAGAACTTCAAGTATGTCCATTTATTTGTTTAATTAACTACAATATACTGATCTTGGCTTTTACTTTTTTTTTTTTTACAGTATGACCACCCTGAATTATGAACAAAAATCTACCTGTAGATTGGTCCCTGTAAAATTTTTTTTCTTGACTAATATGCTTTGAGAAATAGGTACTGCCCATGTCTATGTTGGTACTTTTCAATTTTGGTTTTATAATGAAAAGATTGCATTTTGAATAGATGTTTCAAAGTAGATATTGAAGGCTAGATCAGGGCACGAAAAGCAAAATTGTGGCACATAAGCACTTTGTATTTAGAACCCCACCTACTTTGGGATGTTCTCTTTTGGGAACTTCTTCACCCTATGTACTTAAAGAGCTCTCTTAACATGCAATAAGTAAAGGAGACTGGCCAATGCCCTTATACAAAGGAGTCAGCAGACGTAGCTAGCAAAAGTACAAGATGTTGACTAGCACTATCCCATCTTGTGCCCAGGGCATCATTAATCAGTTATGGCCAACATTCCCACTGAAGCCTCCTAGGAATGTGTTTTAACATAACGTTCCAGGCGATCAATAAGCAGAGAGATTAACCCAAAAGAAGAATGTGTTACTATCAAAATTTCAGAAATTAGAGAAAAATTTTACTGGACACTATCCCTCAAATCAAACAATGTGTATGAACTTAACCTGAAGAATAAGCTGTAAGGTGAGGGTGCAGGAAGAAACCATTAAAAGTAGAAAACATCGATTTGGTCTTCAGTCAAATTTAAGGTAAAAATGAGCCATGAAACTGTTTTGGAGTAAAAGAGTTTAGAAATACTGAAATCTAAAAGACAAAAAAAAGGGGAGAAATAGAAAGATCAGGTGGAAATGTTTGATACCAAAAGAGGTAAAAAAGGTGAAAAAGAAGCATAATCTTATGCTTTAAAAGAAAACAAACATCAAAATTTCTGAGTTTCAGAAAGTATACATTGGCATGTACTGGCCTTCTGATACTCAGCCCATTGAAAATGCTAAGGTGATCCTGACTTACAGCAACATTCATCTTGAAGGTCACTAAAATTTATTCATCCATCTGGCCACACATAGAACTGAAGATTAGTTTTGATGTTTAAAAAAAGCAAAAGTGTTTCTTTATTGCTTTCACTAAAGCTTTTACTTTTAAGTGAATTATTTATAGCTAATTCCTTATTGAAAATACTGTAAATTATGGCAGTCCTACAAATTGTGATATGGGTTATTTGTTTTATCATATGTTGGCTCTTCTTCATTAGTTATTGAGCTCTCACAACTTGTCAGGAATGTTAGCCACCCTCATCCCTTAACTGAAACAAAAAAAATGGCTGCTTGGTTTGGGATCCATTTACGTCAGGGAAAGGGAGGTAGGAAGGTTGAAAGTTCAAGGGAGCTCCTCACATTTCTCAGAAATCTTCTTTATTTCCTATTGCAAGAAAACCTACTAGGTTTTAATATACTCTAAAATTAATTTACTACTTTTTATAGCCTCCTTTACCACATGAAAAAAATCCAAAAACTGTGTCCTGATTGTAGCTAAAGAGTCAGTGTGACACAAAATCTTTCCCTTTTCTGACTGTGATGTCAACCTATCACTACTGAATCCAAGCAAAACTCCAAAGGCACTCTCTGCTCCTAGACTTAATGGAAGAATTTAACAATCCAGTCTGCCGTCCTGGTGTTTTCTAGTTGCTCAGGGCTGGTTGTCAGCAGCTCATTTGGCAACCCGGTAGGAGAGGTTAATTAGCAGGGAGAGTTGAAGAGTGCTACCCAGAGGGAGCAGGAGTGCTGTGCCCACTGAGAGCCTGGAAGACAAACAAAGAAGTCGGGAAGTATTTATTTTCTCTGTTGGGGAATCTTTTTCTCCATGGGACTTGAGTTCAAACAGGGGCCAGCACCTTGTTGCCTCCACATGAGAGACACAGAATCAAAGTGCCCTGAAAATGAATGATGGTTAGAAAGGGGATCAGAGGCTTGACTTGCACTCAGGAAGCCAAAAAGGTTTTGTTGCTCTCCATAGTAAAAGGCTATTGATTGCTGCAAGTAAGAGCTTGCTGTTTCCTGAAGTTTAAGTTTATTCAGTCTTTTGCCCTTTGAGAGTCCCTTGCTGTTAAGAACTACTATGGAATTTAGCACTTGTTTAATATAAAATGAATTATTTGTGATCAGCCATGACTGCTCTCTCAGGCTACAAATCTGTTGCCAAGGTCAAAGTGAAGGATGCTTTACATAATGTAGATTTTACTGAGTGGCCATCTTTGAAGTGATCTTAGCACAACACATCCTGGCATGCTCATTGCTGTCTTACCTTTAAACTGACAGACTGGGTGCCAGTACAGCAAAATCTTTTTTGAAATTTTCCACTATTGCTCAAAAGTTATCATGGTCATTTTAAGCTGGAAAATGGAGGCAAAAGTAACAGGGAACCAATGTCTTCTACACAGACAGTGTCAATTCTGTTTGCAATCATTGGTAAGTGTACCAGTGTGGTATCAGAGAAGAGCGTTTAATCATGCCTATAGCTACAATTTCTTTAGCAAGAATCTGGGCATTTAAAACATAACCAGAAAGAGCCACAGAGGCTTTTTGTAGCTTACTGTTCTCTGTTTCTAGTTTATTAGAGAGTAGTTTTTTTGAGATAGTAAGTTATTTTTATTTTTTCAGGTTACAAAAGTAATATCTAGTGATGAATATCATTAATATTTTGACAACATATGCCCTTTAAATATTTTTTCTCATTTTTAATGTTACTTTACCAAATTGGAATATATGTCCTATTTTTAGTCTATTAGTGGTTATGGTTATAATTTTTTAAATATTCAAGTTATTTTCATAATTATAATGAATTAGGTTTCCACTCTGGGAACCTAATTTTATCCCAATACCTTTTTCTTACATCTGATAACTCTCCATTTTTATTTATGCCAGATTATATAGATTCAGATTATAATTATAAAATTAATGATTTGATACTATGCATTGTCTTTTCTAGAATAATGTCTGGTGTTTATTTGCATTAAGCTTTAATACCATATTAGAAACAATCATTGGGACTTAACTATGTTTATCCAGTTTCACTGCTCACTCTTAATCTCATATAACAACTTTCCCATTTTCAAAATTCTTTATATTTTCTTCTATTAGTCAGCCAAAACTTATCTTCAATTAACTATTTCAGGAGAGGTGTACAGGTGATATGCTTTGGAAGTGTTTGCAGTCTGAGAATGCCTTTCTGCTGTCCCTACTACAGGAACCACTGGGCATAGAAGCCGTCTGTGCTCAGAGCTTGGAGGATTACTACCTCAAGGAATGTTCTAGAGAAAACTAACAGTAGCCTGTCTTTGGTGTTTAATAATATGTTAATTTTTCTCTGCTTGGATACTTGTAACATTTCAAGTTTTATTCTTGAGAAGAAATCAGCCAAAAAACAAACCAACAACAACAATGAAAAACCAGCACACACAGAGGCTCCTTTTGGTTCCATGAGTCCTTCTGATCTGTGACCTAATATTGTTTCCTCTCAGGAAGATTTTCTTCTACTCTTTCTTTTATTAATACCTTTGTATCATACAATCTGTTATTTATTTGTAAGATTATTATTTGTATGGATTAAGCCTCTTGAATCCGTATGTCAAGTTGTGTAGTTTTTATGCCTTTGTCTCTAATTTTTAGAAATACTTAAGTTCATTTTCTACTTCACTAATTGGATTTTCTTTAGTATTAATTCTGCTACTGTCTTCATTATGGAATTCAGGGAATATTAAATATGAACTCCTTCTGTATTTTAGATTTGGGTTTTTTTAAAAAATAGATTTGTTCCTCATTCTTATTGGGGGGATGGGGGTTGGTAGCATGAATACCCAGTATTGGCTCACAGCAATACATTGAGAGATTCTATCCTCTACTGGTGCAAGTGACTGTCTGAAACCTCTAGATCCAGATGAAAAGAGAAAAAGAGAATACATTTCCCGTAAAATTGCAATAACTGTTCAGAAAGCCTGCAGTCTTGGAGGAAAAGAGAGAGAGCTGAGGCAATAGGCAGCCTCAGCAGGGAGTCCCTCCTCTGTGCTGAAACATTGCTTCTTTGTTCTTTTCTGTTCCCATGTAGCCACCTGCTGAAGAACAAGCTGCAATACTGCCCATCTTCTGTTCATCACAGTTGCCAGGCCACAGCCCAGCCTGCAGCTCTTCCCAAAGCTTTGCATGTGGTAGCCCTGTGAGTAGCCTTGCCTGATTTAGCAAATAATATACATGCCTATGCCTACGCTACTGTATCTACAATCTTTAAGCAAGAGTCTGGGCATTTCCATGTAACCAGAAAGGGCCACAGAGGCTGTTTATGGCTTACTCTTCTCAGTTTCTAGCCTATTAGATAGTAGTATTTTTAAAAGTTTCTTTCGTATATCACAAATTTTTCACAAGACATACTTATTACCCTTGCTCCCTTCCCGCACCCCAAATATTGCATGGGACATACTTATTACCCCTGGTCCCTTGCCCCACCCACTAAAATCTATTGTTTACTGGAAAGTCAACTTTAACTAGGTGTCCTATACTTGATCTGGCAGCCTTACCCACGAACCATAGTATGCTCTTGTCTTTTTTGAATTAAGGAGGTGTTACAAGGGCTGTTCAAGGACTCCACCTAATTCCTTAGGATGCTGGCCTTTCAGAGGACTGCATGGCATTGCCCTTCAAGTCTCTCTTCAGCAGACCATTTCAGCACTCTATATGATGGAAATCCCTCAATATTTCATGCCGATATGGCATTGGCATTAGGATGTAACATATTATAGTTTCCAGAACTGATGCAGATTTCCCACTACTTTCGCATTCCAGTGGTAATTGCTATAGGATTCTGGAGGGATGTGTGAGTGTGTACATGAGGTGAGGAGACAGTTGTGATGAATAAAAGGAAGTTAAATTTCTGTTCATATGTTGTCATTGTACTAAAAAGTTTCACCAAGTCAATTTCAACTTTCTAGAGCTCGTGTGCCTAGCAGTGTAGTGCCTCGTTAAAAAATGATTCTTAAATCGAATTGGACAAAATTAGTTATGTGGTCGGACAAATAGGACCACCTTAGGCTGTAACTGATTTAATAGACTAGGACGAATAGCTTTCCCCAAACTATCTCCATAGAGATTTATTTTCCCATCCCATCACTCTTCTGTTTACTACCCTACTACTTGAGCTCATCTACTCCTCTGGGAAGTTAATAAGCCAAAAGAAGATAAATGCTCTATGTGAAACTGCCTGTCAATAGAAAGTGATCATACTAACATTTATTGAATATTTAATATATGCCAGGCACCAGGCTAAGTGTTTTATGTAGCTTACCTCATTTAGTCCTCTCTGTACTCTGTGGAATAGTTACTGACTCTCCCTTTCCAGACGAGAACGCACATAACCAGAGAGGTTGACAGACTCATCATAGGCCACACAGTGAGGTTTGAGTGCCCTTTTAAAAACTCTATTGTCCCATTTCAGAGCTCCTAATTCTCAATTGCCTCTTTTAGAAACAGATGGGACTTCATGTTGGCCTGCTTATTGATTCTTTTCTCCTCTAATTTCACAGAGAGAAACAACTGTGGGCTTAGGGACCAGTATGTGCTACTGATTTCCATTAGCCATATCATTATGCAAGTCACCCCTGCAACAAAGCACAGACAGCTATCAGAGGCAACTTTTCTTTTCCTGTAGTTGCTAGAGTTTTGCTTCCATCTGTAGAGGTTCTTTTATCCACTCACCAACTCACAGAGCATCAAATGACTTTATGACCTAGAAAAAGTACTAAAATGTAGAATGCAGAAGGGAATACAGAGACAGAGCATGGCAAGGAGCCAGTTCCCAAAGCAAAGTGGATGAAAGGAAAATCCCTAATACCTGCTTACAGCTGGAAAAATTATAATTATGTTGCTTATTTACTTTGTGCACTGGTGGCTCATGTTAATTACAGGAGATCCCCTGCAATTTCCCGTGAGGTGTATCAATGGCCCACAACGTCTTCAGTTATTTCTATTGGAAGTAATAACTTTCCAATGTCATAACCATGGGCACTATGCATTATTATTGACACATTAGCTGGTAATGAGACAGAGCACTTAACTCACACCACCACAGTGCATTCCCATGCATTCCTGCTTGTTATGAAAATTTCTGACCATACCTTCTGCTTGTTATTAAAATGAAGGATCATGAGTAGTGTTGCCCAGAGCCAATAAATGTCATATAAATATCTTCATATAATTTTATCAAATTATTTCGCTTTTGATACTTGTCATTAGGCTCCTTAATAGGCAAAACATCCTATGGACAAATATAGGCACATATGTGATTGTTTTGTGCAGAAGACAAAGTTTCAGAGAGGGTACATGAATGAGAAATAATTACTAATTGAGTGCCTATTACAGGCTTAATGTTTTCTGTGCACTATTTAATGCTTAAGCAACCATATGAATCATGTTCCATTGCTCCCTTTTTTCCAAATGCAGAAATGGGAGATCAGAGCAGCTCAGTTATTCACTCAAAGTAACTCAGCACTGTCTAATTCAGAGCTAATCTATCTCTAAAACTTCAAGTTTTTTTCTACTTGAGCCATGAACAACCTCCAGTTCATCATCTATAAAACTTCTCTTCACAAAAGTAAACTGTCAGTTGAGTCTACGATCACTTAGTGTTTTGCTTTTATATTAATCATTCATAATTTTAATTTAAAAATATTTATTGGTTAAGCTAACACTGGCATGGATGCATTTATAAATATAAAGAAAGGAACCACTTTCTGCAATTTACTGTTCGACTAGTCAAGCAAAAGTCAAACAAAAATATATATCACAAGGGCAGTTTGTTTTACTGCATTTTGTAAATGCTAAGTTACTTCGGCCCAAACTTTGTTTATTAGTAATGGAAATCTGAGTTAGAGCTAGATCAATAATCAACCACACACAAATGAGAATACCCAAGGGAAAAGAAACCATGAAGAATGTAAATAAAGGACAGAGGAAAAGCACAGATTATTTTTCTGTTCTATATCTGTGGTCAGAATTATTTCCCCTGTGGTCAAAAGAAGAAAGAAATTCAAGGTTCATCATTTTTTTTTTCTGCAGACCAGAGAGACCACAAGAGACTAAGATGAGCAGATGTCAATTCCTAAAACTCAAATGAACCTTCTTAGAAATTAAACTCATTGTCTTCAATGGGAGGATAAGAGCAGTTAGCCAAAGCTCAAAGCTGATGTAATAGAAATGCTACATGAAAATATACATTTGAAGAGACCTTGAAAGTACAATTTTAGGAGAAATTATTAAACTATAAACTGAAGTGGAACAAGTGCATAAACACATCAGTTTTACTTCCTATATTTTTCTTTGCTTTTCTTTGCTGATTTTTACCTCCCAGAGTCAGTCTGTATTCAAAGGGATAAAAGCTGTATATAGAAAGAGGTCCTACACTTACATTCATAAAATATTTATAACATAAATAGAAAAGAATGTCAATATAAAACTTTATAGTCTTTCACCTAAGGAAGTCTTTAAACACTTACATAATAATAGCAGCTGATATTTATTAAGCTCTTACAAAGGCCTGACCCAATGCAAAGTGCTTCACATGCATTTCATGACAATCATACTCTGGGCTAGCCACTATTTTGGGATTAATGGAGAGACAAAATTCTTCTCTTTAAGAGTAGCTGATTGAGCAGAGGTGGCCAGCACAGCTGGGGTCAGGAGGGCCACTCTGCATATGGAGTAGCATACAGCAGTCAACACCTGCCCTGGCGCATGACGCTCATGAAAGCTGGCTCAATGATAGCTAATTGTCCTATTCAGAAAGAAAGCACACTACAACAAGTCAGAGACAGTGAAACAGAATAGAACCAGAATGTTAGATTCCCTGATTCCTCATTAGAAACTCTGTTCATGTGCTAACGTGCTTATCCACTTATTCATATGTTCAATAGGTATTCACTGAGTGCCTTCTACATTCTAAGTGCTGAGCTTGGTGAGAAGGATGCAGAGATAAATAAGACATACTTCATATTCTTAAGGAGCCCCCGGTCTAGTTAGTTGAACAGGCAATGCTAGATCAAATAAGCCCAACAAAATATAGCTGTAAGAAGGTACAGAGGTATCAGGCCAGACGAAGCAATTCACACTGGTAGGTTATATTAAGAGAAGGGACAGCTAGGTTGAATAGGTAGGCAAAAGTGAAAATAATATTTCAGGAAAATGAAACAGCATTCACAAAGCTCTTGGGCATGAATCAGCACAGTGTATTTTGGGATCTCTAAATAATTCCGGTGGAGAGGGCAGTTTGAACTGATTGTGAAATGACTTACATGCATTTAAAGAGCTTAGATTTTTCTTGCAGAAGATTGTGAGTTAGTGAAAAACTAAGCAGAATAAAGCCATAATCCAATTTATACTCTTGGAAAGTTAATTATGGTGAAAATGTGGATAAAGGATTACACAAGGACACATGCAAGGTATTGCAATAATCATTAAATGAGTTACAGTGGCTTGGCCAGACATTGAAAGAAAAGTTTGCAACACTGCCTATAAATGAATTATGTCGTGAGACATCTTTACTTGATCTACTTTTGAGGTCTTAATTATGCTATGTACGTGTGTGCTTTTGTGTGTGAGGGTGCACTTTTTCTATAAATTTATTTTTTCAGAGAGCTTTAAATAAAAAAGTCTTTAGCATTATTGCCCTAAGCAGCAACAGAAAATTGGAACTAATGAATTCTTCTCTATCTGGTCTCTTAATCAAGGCATCTCAAGCTTAGCTGTTACTAAAATTATTCTGGATTTTTTACTCGTGTTAAATAAAGTAATTATCTCACTATGCAATATGATATATTTTTGAAGACATGCTGCTGATTTACAGTACAAGGAGCTGGCTCTTTGGGCATATTTTTACCCCTGGAATTGGCTACAGACTGCAACTCACTCATCCTTTCAGTGCCCAGTGGCAACTATTTGCCAACTGATTTGTTTGAGATGAGAAATAAATCTGGGCCCTTGGAATTGAATGTTTTTCTTTCTGAGTGAATTGGGCAGATTCATAAGAGACAGAGTGAAGACCTCAGGTCCAACAGGCCCATATTTTAACCCACTAAACTAACTGATCTACACCTAAGCTCAAAATTTCATATTAATATTGTACCTGATGCTTTCAAATGCCTAAAACCAAAATATTTTTATTCCTTTCTTGCACATGATTCCACAAATACTTTGTGCAAAAGATGCTGGTCTGAGTAGCATAACAAGTCCTGAGCATTGGGATGGAGAGTCTTGAAGACAGGCATTCTGCTGCCCTACCCTGACTTTGTATAGTCATAATGCCCTGTAAGGTATTTCTAGAAATATCATAGAGACTTGACAAATGCCTTTGTCCATGAGACTGTGTACATAATACAGAGGAAACAAAGCTTTATACCAACGTATTTCAAAGTACATAAACCACCTACCTCAACTCCATCAAAAATTGAGACATTATGAATACCTACTCTGCACATCTCCCAGCAATGCTTTGAATACAAAATGAGATAATAAATACAAAAAAGCTTTTAGTGTAAAAGGCTCTATTTAGCCAAGCCAATTGTTTTACTCTGGGAGAACAAGGTCTTAGGGAAAAATTGGTGTCTACTTCTCTGAATAGAAAAGTTCCTTGGTACAGGGTTTGGCACTTGTGAAGGAGTTGCTAGATAATTTGTGTTCACTTACACATGGCGGAGGACTCTGAACAGCATTACCACAGCGTTTCTCCCTTACCTTTGAGAGCAAGGTAAAAATGGGAGGCCCCCTGCATCAATGCTACCCTCTTCTACTGGGGAATACAACTGGTTGGGGAAAAAGAACATGTGTGGCTGGGCGCAGTGGCTCACGCCTGTAATCCCAACACTTTGGGAAGCTGAGGCATGTGGATCACTTGAGGCCAGGAGTTCAAGACCAGCCTGGACAACATGGTGAAACCTCCTCTCTACTAAAAATACAAAAATTACCCGGGTGCAGTGGTATGCGCCTGTAATCTCAGCTACTTGGGAAGCTGATGCAGGAGAAATGCTTGAACCTGGGAGGCAGAGGTTGCAGTGAGCCAAGATTGTGCCACTGCACTCCAACCTGGGTGATAGTGGGACTCCGTCTCAAAAAAAAAAAAGGGAAAGAAAGAAAGAAGAAAAGAACTTGTGGCCTTTGCCTTAGGCATCTTTATGAATGCAGAAAAGACTTGAGCACAAGGGCATCCATCACAAGACTAGGCATCCATTGTAAGACTAGGCATCCATCATAAGACTGAGCATCCTACCTGTTCAGCTCAGAACCATGTTCTCTGCAAGAAAGGTTCGAGGCAGTTTCCTCCCAAGTACAGGAGAACTTGTAGGAGTGTTTTTCTTAAACATGTAGAGTTTCAAGCCTAATCTCCTCATATTAAAAACAGCTGCGTGGCCTTGGGCAGTTACTGAACTTTTCTGTGTCAGTTTCTTCATCTGAAGATCCCAACAGTACCTGCTATGGAGTTGTTTGAGAATTACAAGGATTTCTCCTTTTTTGTGTTCCTCTGATTATTATTATTTGTATAAAGTTTTATTTATGAGCTATTACATTTAAAAACACATGGCTTTTTAAAATGCTATCGTCATATATGTCATTTAAATTTTGAGAAGTGGAGACTTTTCTACAGGATCGAGACTCTTGGTTTTCTTTCTCTGCCCAGGATTTTAAATCTTAAATATAAATCTCAGGTCCATCTTTAAAAGCTGTTTTAAGAAAATTCACAGTCAAGTTGCAGTTCCCTCAGGACTGGCATCCCTTCTCACTGCCATACCTCTGCTCCGTGCTGCCTTTCTAGCAAAGCCAGCCTCTGGGTAATCACCACTCAGGCCATGCAATTTGACCTGTGCCGGGCTGGAATGTATTCCTGAGAAGCAGTAGGTAATATGACCTAATTTGGCTTGAGCCTCTCATGAGCTGAGATGAGATTACCAACTGAGTACAATTATAGAGGGTGATTTGGTGCTTCTGACCTACAGTCAGCTGGAGACTGAAGTTGGATCATCTCACCTATGAAATTTCCCCCAGGGCTTCCAGATAATGATTTTAAATGCTAATTACTACATGTAGTCAATGCTCTGATAAAATTGAGAGCATTTTGATTTATGATGGATATTAAGTAAGAGTAAGAATGAAACCCAGTAGATATAAAGGATTTAAATATACTCATAAGGTTTTGGCACTAAAAGAAAACCACAAGACCCTTCCTTTTCAATAGTCATATTTATTTCAGTTCAGACACATGGTTTTTCTTATTACCGCTGCAGATGCCACCATAAAAATTGATGAAATTCTGTCCAAATCTACAGTCTTTGTTTAAATTTTAAAACAAGTGTCTTCTCCAGTTTGGCAGTAATTCTAGACACAGCCAGAGGCAGAGTTGGCTCCTATACAGAAGATTTTTGTTTTTAGAGAGATCCAGTCCTGGGCTAAATGGAATTTGAAAGGCAGCACCAATCTGTGGATACTTCTTCCTAGATCTGCATAGCTGAAAGCACACCAAGGATGATGCAGGGATAGGGACTGGGGTTTCTAGCCTCAGGTTCACCCAACTCTAGATTCTTAGATCATACATTCAGTTTTGTGATATACATTTTGGCATGGAGTGTTAAACTCAACAGTATTCAATAAAAACTCTGATTCTGGTCTTTATTTGTCCCGTAAATGTGGTCAATCACTTGACCTCTCTAAGTTTCAACTTCTGCAAAAATAGGGATTATAGCACTAATTTATCGTATAGTAGTGACATGCAGTAAATGAGTTAAGTGCCTAGCACAAAATGAGTGCTGAATGTATGCAAACAAATTAATTTAATATTATTTTGGGGACATGGGTTTGAGTTTCACTTTTGCCAATATGTACTCTTGGGCAATAACGTTTTATCCTCTAGGCCTCAATTTCCTCCTCTGCCAAATGAGATGATGAAGCTAGATTAGAAGTTCTCAAACTTTGTTTTAAGGAGCTGTCATATCCTACAAAAATGCCTCTAATGGTATGACTTGGGTCTCCTTTTAAAAATATATTTTAAAAACTTTAATAGAATAACATGCATCTATATGTGGGCTATACATCCATATGTATATGGATCCATATGGACATATGACATCCATATGCCAACTAAGTTGACAGAACCTAATAACCTAATAATCTGTAAATATTGTACTTGGAACTTGTAAAATGGATTTATCTAGTGTCCATATTAACTACTGGGGATTTTTCATCAGGTTGCCTTTGAAATAAAGGATTTGATTGCTAAAATATTTTCAAGCCATGGAGCTAATGATCTCTGAGGATCCATCCAGTCTAAAATTCTAAATAATTGATTTCATTAAATTCATGTGAATAAAGACAAATACAAATGTTCCTTGGCATTCCCTTGATGCACTAGATGTCTTGGAGTACTGAAGGCATTTGAAAGTCAACATCCTCCACATCTCTCCCAGATGTAAAACAAATGTTCTTGCAGATTTCTTTGGATGGTCGTTTAGCTATTTAGTCAGAGAGAATATATGTGGAATGGCAATTAATGCAGCAACACCTTCACAATTAGAATATGAGATAAATGCGGATGGCAACACTTTTGCCTACATTTTAAAAAACAAAAATCTGATGATGTCACCATTCTTATGGAAACCTCACCCTGAGCTTTGGAGCCAGATTGATTTTTAAGAACGCTCTGGCCCAGGCTTTGTGGATGAGAGGGATTGTTGTCCTTTTCCATGCTGAAATGAGGGACAAACAGTAAAGATCAGTATCAACTCTATTTCAGCAAGGTTTACATGTACCCAGCCAGTTGCTTAACTAGTACAAAAGGAAAAAGAATTGTCATTGTTTTTTAGTGGAAATTCTTTAAGAATGAAGTTAGTCTTTCTCTTAGGGACTATTTTTGTAAATCAATCTGTAGTTGAGTCCCTATGGAAAACATATTTCATTTATAAACTTTTTTCTGTGTCTTTCTGTTGGGAGACAAATGTGATTGATTTTACAAGACTGACGGTTTGATCAGATTAGTTTATTGCATTAGCCCTTTAAGATCACTATGATTTATTTGTTTTCCATGAAGTATTTATTTAAGTATTTTATTGTTGCTTATCCTTGTATAATTTTTGAAGATTGAAGAAAGAACTGTGAGTATACAAATCAACATTTAATTATGATATTGGGTGAAGGCTATATAAATTGTATGAGAAAGACTCCATTAATATTTACACTTAACCGGGCACACTATGGTCATTTTAAGGTAGTGAAGACTTAGGGGAAAACAAGATGAATTGTATTGTGTACTAACCTATATTTAACAAAGTAAAATTCATGGTGGGAGGGTATTGAGTCCCCCAATTTAAAAGCAATATGCAATTTTTTTCCTACTGCTTAGGTTTGCAGTTAAGTCAGCAAAGTCCTCCATTCACCTAAAAGGGAATAATTCTATAAAATATTCTGGTTCAAAGGTCAAGGAAATCAAATTTACTTTCAATCAGATACTCATTAAGATTAAGCTAATTACAGCATATATTGTGAAGGGCTTTTCCATATTGTCTTCAGAAGAAAAGATTAAACTGTTTAATATTTTTATTTCTCTGGGAAGAAAGCTCCCTTCCAAAATTTGGGTCTGACTTTTAAAAACATTTTAAGGATGCATCACATACAAACGTAGAAACTACATGTACTAAGCTTAAGCATTAAAAAGGCAGAAAGCAAGTCTGTCTTGTTCCTTGCTACTTTTTCTCTGCTTTGCATAGACCTCACACTTAGGATCCATAAATCCTTGTTGAATGAATGGTAGGCATTAGCTGAGAAGGGTAGCATTGCAGTAGAGCAGCTAAGGGCATGCAATTGGGAAACAGAGGCTCTGTAGAAATTCTCACTTTACGAGTAAAGCACATGGCTTAACTTTTCTGAGTTCAGTTTCCTCATTTGTAAAATGAGGGTGATAGTGCTTGTTTCAGAAGGTTGCTATGAGGATTAAATGAGATAACCCCAGTAAAGATGTTAGCCCATGTCTGGCAAGTGGCAAATGTTCAACAAATGCTAGCTCTGAGTATTCTCAGCAAAGCACAGAAAGTTTTCTAGGTAATGGATTTATCTTTATTTTTTATGTTTTCTAGTTTCATAGTGTATTTTGTATTATAAAATTATAAAATATATTAGTCAAATTCTCCCATGTCAAACAGAATTCTCTCATTTTCAAAATTCTGCTGATGGTACACATCTGATCATATAATTATATGATGCTAATGTGTAGTTAAATGCCAAGTACTCCTAATTCCATAGTCTTTCAAGTTTTCCCAAGATGTGAAGATCATTTGAAACAGTTACACATTCAAACCAATAAATGTTTCCAAAGATATATTGAATAAACTATGATCAGAATATACAAACAAACTTATGAATCTAGAATGCACTCATCATGAAAGGCTCAGAGTTAATACAAGCATATAATTTGAGACTGCAGAGCTGTGGATACAATACTAGATATTCTCTGCCCTTGGGTGTATGGTGAGTTCTGGAATAGAAGAGGAAAAGAGCTGGAGATTCTAGACATGTTCCACTAGAAAATCAGGTAGAAGAAATGCTTCTGCAAAAGGTGCTAGAGGATTTTGGCATTCTTTCCTGTTTTTTTTTTTTTCTACATTACACCATGCCAGGAAGTTTTCTCTGTGACTCATGTGAGATTACAATAGCCCCAGTTGTTGAGAAGACCTCCAACAATGACAGATAGAGCAACTGTGTCAGAATCTCCAATTAGAGCTATATAAGCCAGGCCGGGAAAAAGGATGAAGAGATTATTTTCATGACAAGTAACCTACTTGGGGTGACCATCCATCTCAGTTTTCCGAGGACCATCCTGGTTTTAACAACTAAAAGTTCTGCATTCCTAGAAACCCCTTATTGCCAGGAAAATAGGGGTAGTTGATCACTGCCCTCCACATGCTTCTGCCTACACCTGCCTTTCACCATGACCACGGAATGTCTGGCCTGCTTCTTCCCAATCTGTGCTTCCTCTTGGACTGATACTCTCTCACACACATGGATACATTGAGGCAGGGGAACACACACAGGATTCCAAGATGGAAGAAAGGCACTTATTTGGAATTTTCAGAAGGCAGACTCTTGCAGATTCAAAATATAGGTAGGACCCTGGTCTGAACTGTGCCCCCTTTCTCTTTCATAGGGAGCATAATTCAGAAACAGATTTAAGAACTGAAGATGAACACCTGTGTGTGTGTGTGCAGACACAGGCAACACTTCATCTAAAATACAATTTTACATCATAGATACACAATAATACATCATTGTACAAATGTGATACATAACGTACATTATTGTAAAAGTCTTACGATGTTCTAACCCTGAGCTCTGGCCCAATTTTCTGACTAAACATGTTACTTATTGCCACTTCAATAATTTAGTGACAAGGCCTTTGTCTTCTTGGATGAATTCTGTGCACAATTTCCTGGCAAAAAGGCCAGAGTTAGCTTGGAGATACATCTTTGAACAAAAAACATCTGGAGAAATTGAAGAGACTGGTGAGTAAACTAATTAGGCTGTTCTCAGATGTGGAGTCAAGGAACTAATGAATCAGATTTCTTAGTTGCACAATGATCAGACCCCATCCTGTGAATGGGGATAGGTAGACGTTGGCCCTGCTGGTAACAAACTGGACCCCATTTCAGTTTCACACCATTCTTTCTTGAGGTTGTCTTCATTCTCATATGCTTGCAATTTTATTACGTGTAATACCACTCAGAAGTGTTAATGGACTCTCATTACTAGAACCACATTTTAGAGATATGGTTTAACATTTAGCACTGAGCAGAAGAAATTTGATAAGGTAGCCAAGAATTATTCAGTCAATCAGTTACGCCTAAATAGTGTTCAGTATAAAGCTCTAAATTACATACAATGCATACCAATCATTTCCAGTAAGCTTTCTACAATTATATAATGATTTTGGTGCAAAGTTACCCACTTTCATATAGTGGAAACTTCTTGAAGAATATACACATCTATAGATGTTACACTCTTTAGTGGTGGTGTTTCTCAGAAAGTGGAGAATTTATTCAAGAAGACAGGACTCCAGGACTTTTCTGACCCAAATGCCAGGGGTATAAAACTCCTTTGGAAAGAAAATGTTAGCTACCATGCAATATTCATTTTGTACTTTCCAAAATGCTGAAAAACCTGTGTAACACCCAAGAAGCACAGGAAGTAACAGGAGGCAAATTTTGCAAAGCAAAAAGACCACATATAAAATAGACCATGGGATAATCATTCACTTGTTTATTAATTTTATGCATCTATTAAATGCTTGGTACAGTACAAGACACCAGGAAGACTGGGTTTTTTTTTTGTTGTTGTTCTAAAAATCTTATGTTCTAGTAGAGGAGATGAAATTTTTTTAAATAATAAATGATAAAAAGCATGACAATTACTATAAGGAAACAGAGATCAGAGAAAGATTTTCTTGTTCCTCCCTTTCTCTCTTCCTTCCTTTCTCTCCTCTTGCTTCTTTCCTTCACTTTCTTCCTCCTTTCCTTTCTTTTTTACACTGTTCAGAGTTTCATGGAAGGTTTCTAAAAAGAGCTTCAGTTTTGTGATCATAAAATAGTGTTTACGTATGTTAAAACATTCACGGTAAAAAAAGACATACAGTAAAAATCAGCCTTGAGTTTCTTTTCCTAGAAGCACCCCTTTTGCTAGTTTCTTGTGCATCCCTTTAGATATTCAGTGCATGTGCAAATATTTGTAAACATTCCCTCTTTTTCTTTTTACATAAATGGAAGTATCACAAATACGCTGTTTTGCCCTTGCTTTTTAAAAAATTTAATATATTTTAAGACTTTTAAGTATATTTAATTAATGTAATTTTAGTACAGGAAAATCAGTCTTTTGCCATATGTGCTGTAAATATTTTCTCAGTTTATCATCTGTCTTTTGACTTTGTTTAGGTATTTTTACCATGCAGAATTTAAAATATTGTATTTGGTCACATTTATCAATTTTTTTTATGACTTTTGTTTTTTGTCTTTTTTTTTTTTTTGGTAAGCCTGTCTCAAATCAGAGATGAAAAATAAATCCTTCCATGTGTTCTTCAAATGCTTTTATGGTCTTAACTATTTTTTGCGGTTAAATCTTTTCTCCATCTAGAATCTATTTTGGGGTAAGACTTCATTTTAATCCAATGGCTAGATGCTGAACCCCAAACCAATTTTGAAATAATTGATCTCTCTTTTCCCCTCTGATATGAAATGCCAAGAATGTCAGTTTCAGAACTTTTAGAGAAGGAAATAAAAAAATCCCCAGGTGATAGGGAAAACGTGAGACAAGGAAGTCTATACCAGTCTTCTGACTTCTTAACCTATGTCCACTGTTTTATCTCAACATTTTCTGAAAAATCTCCTCTGAAATTAGAAACCCCTCTCACCACTACTACCACCACAGCACTTACTCAGTCTTCACTGGGTATCTGACATAGTGTAAGTATTTTACAGGTATCACACTCAATCGTCACGTCAGCTGGGTAATGTAACTGTCTCCAGTTTTAAGGCGAGGAACCTGAGGGAGTGAGGCTAAGTAATCTTCCTAAGACCACAAATCTGGTAGATATTGCAGCATGAGCCTGAACTAATTAGGCTGTTTGATATTAGGTCCTGTGTTTTTAAACCCTGAGTTGCACCGTATCTCAATAGCCCCACTTGAACAAAAACCCAGGTTTCCTCTGAAAATATTCACTTCCATTATGTCCTTCTAAGTGATAGTTTATTATTTTCCAATACAGCAGGTAAAGAAAGATGGAATTCAAAACTGGAGGCTGAGAAACAACTTTGAAGGCTGTTCCAGAAGTTCAGGGAGACATGTGAAATGTCTGAATTAGTCTAATTAGAATGGAGAGGACAGGATAAGTTTCTGAAATATAGAGGAGATCTAATAGGCCAGATTTAATGGTGGAATGGTTACAGAAGGGAGAAAGAGAGTTCAAGGATGACTCTTACATTTTTAATTTGGGGACTGACCAGCTAAATGATGTTTGGCATTAATTGAGAGATAATTTAGAAGGATAAACTGGATTTGAAGGAGAGAATAAGATGAGTTTAGTTTTTGACTGAAAATACTAAGCTGTTGTATTACAGGCAGTCTATGTGACTCTGAAACCCAGAGATTCAGAAAGGAGAATTAAATTTGGGAAATGGTTAGTGCATGGGTCTAAGTTTAAATTTTGGAAGTGAGTGAGATCACCTGGAAAAAGAACAAAGCATGAGAAGAACTTCAGGACACTTCAGAACTTTGGTGAACATCAGCATTCAAAATGTGGGTGGCATGGAATACTACACAGCCATAAAAAGCAAAATCACAACTTTTACAGCAACATGGATATAGCTGGAGGCCGTTATCCAAAACAAACTAAGCAGGAAAAGAAAACCAAATACTGCATGCTTTCACTTATAAGAGAGCTAAACATCAGCTAAGCATGGACATAAAGATGGCAACAATAGACAATGGGGGCTACTGTGGCAAGAGGGAGAAGGCAAGGGTTGAAAACTAACTATTGGGTACTATGCTTACTACCTTCATGACAGGATCAATTGTACCCTACAACTCATCATTATACAATATACCTAGGTATATTGCACATATACCCCCTGAATCTAAAATACAAATTGACCAAAAATATAGGTAGCTCATTTCAAAAGGGATAGAGAAAAAAATGGAAGAAACTAGAGAATCTAGTGTCAACAAATAAAGTGACCAATAGAATAAAATGTAACTAAAATCAGCGATATCAATAGACAAACACTATTTAGATTGCAATGATGAGGTCATTGATGATTTTAATAAGAATACCTTCAATAGAGTGGAATACAGATGTACAGATGTAGTCATTAAACTCCAAAGAAGAGATTATGTTGAGGTGACCATCCAGCTTACTATTCTATGTAGTCTGGGAGAGAAACAATTGAATGGTAACTTGAAGAGAATGTGAAGTTTGGAGTTTTGTTTTTTTGTTGTTGTTGTTAATATGAAAGACTAGAGAATGTTTATTGGCTGAAAGGAGAGGAACTAGCATAGAGATGAATGAAAGACAATTTGTTTTCATGAAACACAAACAAAGAGCTCAAAGACACAAGTAGTATGAGCAGGATGGCTTCATCTTTTAAAGATGAAGGAAAAGATTTTTTGATGGATGCAAGGTAGGCAGATTTGTATATAGGGGAATTGGCAAATTGAGGGAGATTTGAAGAACTTTCTCTTAATGACCTTGATTTTTGTCATGTAATAGATAAACTTATTCACTGAGAATGAAGGAGCTGGAATGGTGTCAGATGCTTGAGAAGAGCAGTAAAAACTTGTTGATGCTTGATAAGGGCAATAAAAATGTTGGAATGATATATTTCTAAGAATATATAAAAATCATTTATTGGCAGTTCTGAGTACCTAGCTGACAACAGAGACTGATTTTTTTATCATGCCAATTCATAGTGGTATTGTTCTTTTCTTGGTATAGAAGAGAAGGCAGAGTTTGACAATATCGATTTTATGTTGTTTTGAGAAGCTAAAGATGTAAGGAAATTTAGCATATCTGCAAGATAATGAAGATGATAAACATTTTAGTTCAGGGTACAGAAGGAAAGTGATGAGCAACAGGGATAATAAGCTGGAAGACAGTAAAAAAATGATGTCTCTATGAGATGGAAGAGTGATGTAGTAGGAGTTTGAGGGTAAGGGTTACCGTCAGAAAGTGAGGTGGAGTAATTGTTAATGATAACTGAATTGAGAATTTGGTAATGGTTATAGGTGAATTTCAGTGGATTGGAGATGAGGATCACTTGATAAGAAAGGTTCAGGGATTTGAAGGCAAGTTTAAAGGGTAGGTTATTAAAAGAAACTGACTTTTCATAGATTACCATAGTAAAGGAGGAAGATTCTGAGTCAGAGGACTGACAGCGTCCAGGAGGTCAATAATGAGGATATAGCCTAATGGCATGAGTATTGAAGGTGATGGACATCTTTGCCTGTAAATAGAGGTGTAATTAAATGATAAGGAGAGAATCTTCAAGATAAATTGTTTAGTGAAATAAGCATTTCACTGGAGAAAGTTATGCAGATATAGATAGAATTAGACACATAGTGTAAGGACCATTGCCATTTTAACAAAAATATTTGAACTTATGTTGATGTTTTCCATCAACATTGATAATTCATTAACCCTTTTGACACTCCCTCCCAAATAAGACAAGGGTTTGAGTATGTTTCTACTTCTTTCTTGTTGCTCACCACCAGATTGTTAATTTTTTTGTTACATTGTGGCACTATTTTTTATGTATCCTTTCTTTGTGTAGTGGTTTTAAAATATGTCAGTCTAATTCCTTCCCTCTTAAATTTGGCCTGGTCTATAGCGACTTGCTTCTGGTGAATAGGAGCTGGTGGAAGCTATGCTGTATGACTTCTGAGGCCAAATCAGAAAAGAGATACAGCTTTCACCTGGTTTTCTCTTTCTTGGGATAGTTGCTCTTGGAACCTAGTTGCCGTCCTGAAAGGAAGCCCAGGCCACATAGAGAGGCTATATGAGGTGTTCCAGTCAACAGTCCCAATTTTTTAGGCAGTATCAAGTCTCAAAGATGAGTGAGGAAGCCATGGAGATGACTCCACCTCTAGCCATCACTTGACTGCAATCACATTAGCAACCCCAAATGAGAACCATCTAGTTGAGCTGAGTCAATTCCATAATTTTATAGATAATAAAAATAAGTGATAATTTTACATAACTAAGTTTGGGGTGGTTTTTCTGCAGCTATGATCAGAACACGCAACAATTGAGTTAATTCTCACAGTTCTGTTATCAATAAGTGTGTAGATGTAACCATGTATTTTATTGATTTATTTGTATTAATCCATCTCATGTTATCCATTTCTTTGTGTTCTTTTCTCATTCTGCTGAAATATTTATTAAAGGTTTTTTCCTCTCAGAATAAACTCTGTGTCCTTGCATGTCTAAAAAGTATTTGAATGGTAGTTTGACTTTTAATAACATCCTAGGCTTAAAATTATTTTCTTATTTTTGTGACATGTAGTTTTACAGATGAGAGTTCTGATTCCAGAGTCATTTTCACTCCAGGATGGTTGATGTTTCTTATGTATATATTTTTAAGCTGTGGCTTTTGGAAATTTCACCTGATATTCCCTCTGCTTGGCATGTTCTTCTCCCAGATCTTTTCATGGCTAGCATTTGCCTGCCATTCAGCTCTCACAGCAAATGCCAGTTCTTCAGAGGTACCTTCACTGATATCCCAGTATAAAGTAGCTCCACATGGTCATTATTTATTATTACCTATACTTCTTTCTTCAGAGAATTTATTTCTTTTAAACTTTTATTTGTTAATCAATATATTTTATCTCTGATCTTTACAATGTAAGATCCATAGAGGGAGAATTTGGTCCGTCCTGTTCATGGCAGTCCCTAATCCCTAGAATGGAGCCAGGCATATAGTAAATATTACATGAAATCTTTGATAAAGGATGAGTGAATGAATGTATTTGCTTGTATTTCATTTTACTAGATATCCAGCATGATTTTCAGTGTGAAAACTGAATCTTTCTCAGGTCATTCTTCTAAAAACTATCTTTTGATTATTTATTTTCTCATTCCTCTTCTCTCCTAGTATATGAATATTAGATACCGTGGAACTCTTCTCCATATCTCTGAAATGTTTTTATTTTTTATTTCTTTTACTTTTGAGTTTACATTCTTTGGTAATATCCTTTCACTTACTCAGCCCTTCTATTTTTTTTTTAATTTTGCCTAACATGCTTTATTTCCAAGAATCCTTTATTTTTTATTGCTATTTTATTGCATTTCGTTGGTTTTCTTTTGTAGATTCAGAGTCTTTTTTAATCACTCTGAAATTATTAAAAATAATTTAAGCTTTATTCTCTTTTCTGTATATCTCTGTTTCCCCCAATTGTTCATCTTTTGCATTCTTTTTTATTTTATTTGTGTTTCTTGAATGTCTGGTGATCTTCGTTTCCTGTGAAATGACAGGTGAAAGAATACATTGGTGAGTGTAATTTTCTGGGTTGTATTTTCTCTGAAGCTGTATCACTGTCTCCCAAGTAGTTCTCTCCCTTGAGTGAATCCTTGGTACAGTCCTGCTCCTGAGATTTAAGTTGCTAAGAAGTTTTGTTGGGACAAATGGGTTCTACTCAGTAGAATTTTCTGTGATTTGTGTTATTGTTTTATTCTGCTGAGCATATGTAATTCCATCTACTTTCCTCATATAACTCAAATTTATTTTGTCTGCTAATGGCACTCAATAATCTATATCAATAGATATAAATGTATAGATGCAGATATGGATTTGCAGTGAAATGACTATTAACATTTTAACAAACATATTCACACAACATTGATAATGTATTAACCCCTATAACTTTCAACCCAAATAAGACAAAAGTTTGAGTATACTTATTTTTTTTAGCACCGCCATAAATTCTACTTGTAAATATATTTCCTGTCATTTCAGTAAGAATGCTAGTGTAAGTAAAACATGCACAAGTCAACCATCTTTATGTAGACACTACAGCTTCCAGACTCACACGTATATTTTCAATTCACTCGGCACACATCTGTCCTAAACTTAATTCAATCTGGTTTGTGCCCCCAGCAGTCTACTGAGACTGCTCTCCCTACTGCCCCATTGACTGATTAATCTTCAAAACCTGTGTCAATTTGTTATTCTCCAATTGATGTTCAACACTATTGATCCCTTCCTACTTTTAAGATTCTTCTCTCTCGAAGATTTTGTGGCACTATTTTGTTTTGATTTTTTTCCTAGCCATTCTTTTTTTTTTCTATTTTACTGACTTCTCCTGGAAATTACTTAATTCTTTGATGCTACCATGGAATAAGTGGAAATTCCTCTGCTGATGAGTCATTGAACCTATTTAACTCTATTCACTGATCTGCAAATCCTGCCCTGTTCAGGATGGTCACTTTACCATCCCCTAAGCCTACCATGCTTATTTCAGACTCCAAGCATTGGCTTATATTATGCATCCTACATAAACTGCCTGCGACTTTGACTATATTTTCTAATCTTATCCATCCTTATTAAAGGTGCACAAGTCTCCATCTTCTATGAAGCATTCCATGTCAAGCCCAAAGCAGTTTCTTCTTTGAATAGTTATTTTTTGTCTACCATGAACTTCCACTTATCATTAATTCCCTCTAAATTTATATTCCATTTCTGTGGTTAATTTCTGCAAGAGCAGAGTCTGTGTCTTTTTTTTTTTTTTTTTTTTTTTTTCAGATGGAGTTTCACTCTTGTCGCCCAGGCTGGAGTGGAAAGTGGTGTGATTTCAGCTCACTGCAACCTCCACTTCCTGGGTTCAAGTGATTCTCCTGCCTCAGCCTCCCGAGTAGCTGGGATTATAGGCGCATGCCACCACACCTGGCTAATTTTTTGTATTTTTAGTAGAGATGGGGTTTCAACATGTTGGCCAAGATGTTCTGGATCTCCTGACCTCGTAATCCACTGGCCTTGGCCTCCCAAAGTGCTGGGACTACAGGCGCAAGCCACCACTCCTGGCCTGTGTCTTACATTTTTTAAATTTCCTCTCCCTGTATACATATTCTAGTAATGTGAACATAGAAAGCATTAACATTTCCATTGAATAAATAAACAAAAAGCTAAGTGATCTATAACTAGTACTGATTCTTCTTTTAGCTAGTGCAAAAGAGATAAAAAATTGGGAGTTAAGCATTAGATCTGCCTTCGAATAGCTACAGGTGAAAAGTGTAATAGCATTTTAATAATGACTTAATAGGGAAAGCACATTAGCCTGCTTAACAGAGTTTCAAACAACATCTGGGTGTTTTCTTTTTGTTTTTTGGTTTTTGTTTTTAGGTTCTCATTTTACTATGGAGCATTGGAATATCAAAAAATCCTTCTGCTTATTTGGCACAGCTGGTTCCAGGAGAGATGCCTATGACCTACAACTTAATGAAGATTTCATAGCTTCATAAAATTGTATAGAAAAGGAAGACACCTGTTAGGTCAGCTACCTCAAATAAGAATGCTTCCATGCTTGCTCTCCAGGAGATAAGCTGCTATGAGAACTCATTGATTCTGAGTGTAATGTTTCAAATAATTATGATTTTAAAAGAAACTTATTTTTAAAAAAATTTGGGCTTCTCAGCTCATGAAACAAAGAAATCTTTTGCAAAATAGCTATTTTATCTGTTTTATCTATTTTCCAAAATACAGCTTGCTAGAATTTAAGAATCTTAAAAGTGTGTGTAGATAATCAAGATAGATATTAAGTAAAGGAAAATTCATGTAGTATCTAGAAAATATCTTTGTAAGAAACAAAATTATATTGTCATGGAACTTAACTCCCTGATTTTTCAAGCTTTCTGAGATTCTATGATCTAGGTATCAGAAAAGTTTGGTTGACTATCTGGAAATCTGGACACATATGGTTAAATATGCCCAGTTGACTTTATGCACTGAGGGTTTTAAGGAATTTCCATAGAAGTAGGAATTTTCCAAACAACTTTTTGAACTTAATAATTTTTCCATATTTATTCTGTAGAATTGTTTTAAAAAGAAATTGTTTTCAATGAAAGAACATTTGAGTCAGTCTTCATGGTGTTCTCATAATGGTATTTGTTCTTGTTTATGTTCTTGAAATCTACCTAAACATTCATTGCCAAGAGTAAATAATTTAGAGAGATTATCACAAATTCTTTGAGGTAATATCTTTTTCTTTCTACAATTATAACAACTGAGAAAAAATGTCATTCACTAGCAAGGTGATATTACAGTGACTTACAGTGAGATATCATGATGCCAGTATTTGTTGCTGCCTCAGTTCTTTGCAATGAAATAAATGTAACTCCAACTGCCTTGAAGCTGACCTTTTTGAAGCTTAGCTAACAATATTAATATTAAAACCCCATTTTCATCTTGTGTTATAAGGGAATAAAGCATTCAATATTTGCTTTGTTGTCTGAAAAATTCAGGTAAAGCTTTAAGCAGTAAAATTCACTTCAGTAATTTTCTCTAGATTTTTCAAAGTATTTCAAATATTCATGGCTTTCATTCAGCAGAAAACACCAAACAAAATTAAATTTTTTTTTTTTTTGCATGATTTACTGCCATCAGTGTAAACAACAGCCTGTGTAATCACAGTGTTCATCAACTAAAACGAATGGGCAAAGTATGCCCCGGGGCCAAATCTGGCCCACTGCCTGCTTTTGTCAATAAAGTTTTATTGGAACACAGCCAAGCCTATTCATTTACATTTGCCTGTGGCTGCTTACACAGACAATTTTTCTTGCTATCCCAGAAAAGTTGAGTAGTTGTGACAGAGGCTGTATGCCCCCTTAAATCTTAAAATATTTACTATGTGGATGTTTATAGAAAAAATTTGCTAAGCTCTGACCTAAAGCATGGTTCTCTTTTTATTGTTCTATGAGATACTAGATAGTCCCTGGAAGTCAGTTTTGGTAATTTCCTTTAGTATACCCCATTTACAATCCAAAATAAAATGCTTCTGAATACCTCTTATTTACTTCCTGAATATTTACCTTATAACAGCTTTTTGAACTTTTTTACTTCTGTCCATTTCCACTACCAGAATTCTAGTCAAACCTTCACCATCTTTAGTTACTGTGTTATTGTAGTACACTTTTCACTGATTTTCCAGCAGCCAATCTTGCCCCATGAAAATCCATTCTTCATACTGAAAGGTGATATTTTAAAAGTACAGGCTTCATTATCTTGCTCCCTTTCAAAGCGCTCTTCAGTAGCTTCCCTGTATTTGCTGGGACACAAATGGAACCCATAGACCCTGCATCTATCAGTCATATAAACTCTGTATAACCCCAGCCTACTTCTCCAGCTCATCTCATTACTCTTCTTACGTCGTGATCTTTCTTTCTTTCTTTTTTTTTTTTTGTTTTTTGTTTTTTGTTTTTTTGAGACAGTCTTGCTCTGTCGCCCAGGCTGGAGTGCAGTGGCGTGATCTCGGCTCACTGCAAGCTCCGCCTCCCGGGTTCACGCCACTCTCCTGCCTCAGCCTCCCAAGTAGCTGGGACTAGAGGCGCCTGCCACCATGCCCAGCTAATTTTTTTTTTTTTGTATTTTTAGTAAAGACTGGATTTCACCATGTTAGCCAGGATGGTCTCGACCTCCTGACCTCATGATCTGCCCACCTCAGCCTCCAAAGTGCTGGGATTACAGGCGTGAGCCACTGCGCCCAGCCGTGATCTTTCTTTCATTTCCTCATGTTCCTCCCACCTCAGGGCCTTTGCACAAGCTATATTCTCTGTATGAAATATTTTTGTGCCCTCCATCTATACCCCATCTTCTAAAATATTAGTTTTCAAACATCTAGACATCCTTCAAATCTCAGATAAAGCGCTCTTTCCCAAGGAAGCCTTTTTTATATATATTTAAAACTTTTACAGAACCCAGTTTTTTCTTATTTATCACAATATTAAATGTTATTTGCATAAAATTTACATTAGAATGTGCACCCTTCTATAGGCTCTAAAGTTCAGGAGGGCAAGCACCAAGTTTGTTTTTCTCATTGTTTTATCTTCAGCAATCAGCAGGGAGTAGGGCCCTAATAAATATCTGCTGACTGAATTTAGGTTCTAGCAGTGCCTTCTGCAGTTGTTTTGATTCCTTGCCCCTCATGAGCAAGCATTTTGATTTGCCTGAATCCTTGCCATAGACTGCGTTTTCTATCTTGCCAAGGCTTTTAGAAACTGGCATTTAAATTTGAACTACTGTATCCGTATCTAAAGAAAGCATAGAGACGTTAATGATTACGTGAGAGGCACTTTTGTGAGGAAAATCCACAAATATTAGCAAATATATGACTTCTGTGGGAATTACCTACAGAACATTTTTATTTACAAGTTCTCTGGTGATTTCTCTATTGTTGAGTATTTTGGGTATGAGGCATCCAGTTGTCGTGTGCTGCTTTAGTATTATGCCATATATCACCTTTCGCCTACCTAACCCAAAGGGCAATGTAGAAATTTCTATGTCTTTTCATAATGTCTCTAAAAGAGAGAAGCCCACCCACAGGCTTACTTCCAAGGGCATGCATTTCCGAGAAGACACAATAATCCTGAGGGTGTTACACATGTGTTTCTACAGCAAATGAGGGAGTCCAAACATGTGTCTTCATAGTCCCTTGATAAATAGGACAAAGAACACAGGTTTTCTGTCATGCTCTCATCTCACTGTGGAAGCTGAAAAATTAGAATAATAAAGCTTAGAAGGAATCTGAAGAGGTCATTTAATCGATCTTTCTACCTTGAGGCATTTGTACTTAAACCAATAGTAAAAATATGTATGGAATTATCGGGCTGAGGCCAGAAAGAGTAAGAGAAACTGTGCTCTGGGCAAATAAAATATTTATCCAAAACTGAAGCATTCTCTTTTCATTTTGTCCACATTGATGGTATCTCCAGATATATTTGTAAGCAGAATCATCTAGAAACAATTTTTAATGCAAATATCCATTCTACCTACAAAAAATGACTGAAACTATCTGAGACAGAGAAAGGAAGGAGCCTGCTCCATTTTCAAACTTTTCACAATTCTATATTGAGGATTTTACACTGTCCTTCGATAATCCATCTTAGAGAATATCCCCCTAAAGCTACAGTGTTCTTCCTTATGTCTAACATAATCTCTCTGGTTATAATTTAATCCCATCCTTCTACTTTCAGCAGAGAGGAGAGCAGCTGGCAACATACTCTATCCTAATAATCTTTCACATAATTACAGATGGTCAGTTACCAACCCTTAGCTTTTCTTGTCTACACGAAATCAGCTCAGCATTTTTTTTAACCTTTCCCCAGAGGGCATTTGTTCTTTGATATTTTTACACGTTTGTCTGTTATAGATGTCTTTAGTATCTTTTTATTTTTCTTGGTGTTCCTTTTTGCTCAATATTCAACATTATGGAAAACAATCCTCATGCACACTGGAAAAACTGAGCCTGAAATTTTTAAATGGCAGATACTAGGTATAAAAAGCCTATTTTAGGCATACCCAGTCTAAAGGTCAACCTAACTGCATTGATAACAAAGGCAGAACCCAAAGAGAATTTAGCCTTGCTTTGAAAAGGGACTACTACTGGTTTGTTTAAAACCTAATCCACTGCAATTTTTCTCAGTACTAATAGTGACAGTGAAAACATTCAGAGAGTAATTGTCACCCTTTCTTTTAAGAGCTCTGGCAAAGAGAAAAATGTGAATATTGAGAGAAGGAGAGAAATACGGAAAATAAAAGATTATTTTAAATTTGAGAGGCTTGAGCAGAGTTTATGAGAAAAAGACAGGTAGAGAATAAGAAATGAAGAGAAAGTGGGCAACTGCTGAAGTGAACTCCTAATAAGGTACGGGGGAAGAGGGGAGAGGTGCAAAGGTGGAGTTTCACTAACGAAGGCGTCTTTTTAATAAGCAAAATTCTACTATGTCACGATGACTATATAACACTATATTATTTTGCATTTTATTCTCTGATTTTATAAGCAATTCATTTAGACTGCTAATTTCCTAGCAATCTGTTGGGGGAAAAAAAACACAGCTCTTTTTTTCATCTTGAAGCAATTATTTACTACATTTTTATGACAATGTATTTTAGATAATATCTGGACTAAGTAACAGACTCTTTTTCCTTATTGAATTCCTTGGTTAGCTTAGGCTTTAAGCTATTTTTTATTTTTGAATGTTTTTTAACTGTTCCATACTTAAATCATTGTATTTTAATTGTATTATCACTTTAAATATGTAAATGGTCTAATTAGCTTACAATTGTAATTTTCCCTTTCTGAGCATTTATAGTTTTCTTCATGATTTGTCTTTTTACAATTTCTATTTCTTTGCAATTCACATCTTTCTTTAAAACAATCAGGTGTCCCATGAATATAACAAAATACACCAACAATCCCAGAACACCCCCCCAATTTTTAGATCCCCCAAAATGCAACCTGCTATGTGAACAACAGCTTGTGGTGGCCTCTTCCCTCAGGGGTTCTCTTTTATGGGCGATATCAAAGCAAAGGATGTGATTTGGAGGCAACTGAAAGCAAATCCATTTTCTTAAGCTGGATTTTAATTAGTCAAATGGGACATGTTAATATTTTTCACTTGAGGTTCCAGGAGAAGGGACCAAAACACTGAGGAACTTAGCATAGAATCTCATTGGGAATCTCTAACTTCTCTAAAATGTGGGGTAGCACACCCTTTTATTTATTTATTTTTCAACAAAAGTATTAGAAAAGAAAGAAAATAATTGTGAGAGGCTAAATGTTACCCAAGAATATAGTAGCATATGTGGCACAAAGCTGCTAAAGGCTGAAGTACCAGGCTTAACAGCATTTCTCTGCAGCACAGTTGCTTATCAATGAAGCGTGTATGCAGTCTAATTAACATAATTGGAACTACTATAATTATGCTATCATTTTGTTTACTTTAGCACATTCTGTTGAGGTATATGGGTAGCAATATTTGCTATTGAAATATTGCCCCCTTGCTGCATGCTGGTTGTTTAATCATCCTGTTTATTCTACCTTCCTTGTGGTGCTGCCCTGCTACTCAAAGGTGAGTAAAGTGTTAAGTCCTTGTAGCCAGGAAAGCAGAAGAAGAAAAAAACAATTAAACTAATCAGGAGCTCACAGCCACAAAGCTCCAAGAGTGGGCAGTTTTGCAAAAGCACAATGGGAAAATAATACTTCCCAGTTCAGAGCATTCGATCTAATAAAATGATGAAGGAAATTGATTTCAAACAGAATGCATTCATCATATGTGGTTTGCCCCTGTGTTTTAAGCAATTGAAACAAGTTATATCCTATTTTGGAAAACTGAGAATAAAGTCATAAATGCTTCATAGAGCTTGTTCTAAGATATTCATTACTAAAATGGGACCAAAAGATTTTATTTGCTTTGACCTTTTAAGTGAGACTACAGTGAGGATGAGAGAGCTAGCTTCTCCTAGTTCTTGCATTTAGAGGCACTAAAGATTTTATTTTTCCTGATGTCTCAGCAGAACCAGGCAGGAGATAAGAACTTCACAGGGCATCAGGTCCTTGTATGACTGATCCTTTCCAGAATCTTCAAAGAGAGACAGAGAGCAGAAGGCTTGATTTTCAGAATCAGCTTACATGCCTGTTCTATGGCACAGAAGAGGTTACACAGGTGTTTTGGGCCTTTGAAGCTTTCTTTTTTCTCATGTTGTTTCCAAAGAGAAGGTATGGGCTAAAGCATTCCCGATGGTTCCTACCAGAGGCGTCAAGCCAAGGCAAGCAGATGTCAGTGTCACATTCACAGCCAATGAGTGTAATATCTGGGTTTTCATAACTACTCTTCTAAAGAACATAAACAGAACACAGTATAAAGATCAATAAAACTTGGGGAGATATGCTCAATGCCCTCTCATCCCACTGAGTTCTCCAAATGACTCCACATCCTCCTGCCTACATTTCCTGAGCTCCCTGTTAGACACCAAAAGTCACTGAAAGAGCTGTTACTGTGTATGCTCCACCTTAAAGGTACATCACATATTCTTCATCGAGGTTCAATATATAGATCTTAATCATCTACCAGATGTTTTTATTTACTAGTTGTTATTTAAAATAGCTTGTAGGGTTCCTTTTTTATTTCATTCTGATCTCGTTCCATTTGGAAGTCTTTAAATGCATGCAACACATGTATTCCTGAAGCAGAGATTCAGCAGCAATAATCAGGGTTGTAAAAATGGTTTGTGAAATCTACACAGAACTTGCATGAACAAGTTGAACCCTATTTCACACAAATCTTGAGGAATGAATAATGTGAGAACATTTTAATGGAGGATAAGTACAGTGGATGCTGTCAGTGTCTGGCAAGATCCCCTTTTCCTGACTAGTGTATCTACCCCACAGCTTCTGTGAGTGTTGCTGGTTAATAGCCTATAGTTGCCTCCTTCTCTGGAGAATTTCCCTAGGCTGAACTAAGTGTTCTCTGTGAAGGTTACACACACACATGCACACACATACATGCACACACACACAAACACACCCCAGGGCAGCCCAAATTCCAGTAATTGAGCAGCATGGGAGTATAAAGGGTCAGTACCCCTGACAATGGCAAGTCATGCTCCCAAAGCTCCCTGTAGGATTGGCCTAAAGCTGGACACCAATTGAGATGACATTCAGGTTTAAATAAATCTTTCCCCTGACCTATCCTCCCTCCCTCACTGTCTTTCTCTTAAGACTATTCCCTGATGTATACAAATTCTTGGTCTTCTACTTGGTAACCCAACCTAAGACAGTGGGGATATCTAAACAATTTGCACCATTAGCACTGAGGTTATAAATCAACCAAAACATGGTGTTTACTCTGAAGAGGGAACAGAGGTGGAAAAGCATAATACATATACAGAGTCTGGCACTGAGCAGCAATTATATTATTTCTTTTAAAATAGAGGAATAAAGAAACAAAAATTAGTCAAAGACTGTTATGGTTATGTTGAGAGGCAATAACATCCAACATTAAGAACTCAGGCTCTGCAGCAGACATCTGAATTCAAATATAGGTGCCTCCATTGTCTGGTGGGCTGTCCTTGAATAAGTCCCTGAACTTCTTTGTTCCTTAGTTTTCTCATTCAAATATTGAGGATAATAACAGAACCTACTTCACAGAGTTGTTACGAGTATTAAATGAGTTATAAATGTAAATTTTGGCATAGTGTATAGTACAAAGTAAGTACTCAACAAATGAAGTTTTTACAATATCATACACATCCAGAAAAGTCCTTATCAACCACCATTGTAAGTGTTGCATGTGGCACATTCCAAAGGCTCCAAAATGACAAAGTACTCTTCTCTGCTCTGAATCTTCAGGAAGCTGGCTGAGATTTGATATAATGGGTCCAGAAAGCCGCTCCAGGCTTCACAGGACACAGCAAAGTTTTATGCACTTACTTGACAAACATTCTGTATCAGGAACTGTTCTGGACATTGCACATGCAATGATGACCCAACTAGGTCCCTGCATTCATGGAACTCACATTTTAATAGTGGAGAAAAGGAATAAACAAATGAAAGTGGGATTGCCTCAGATAGTGAAGAGCTATGAAATTAGACAGTAATGATCTGGAGCAATGTTGTCCAACAGAACTTTCTGCATGATGGAAACGCTGTATCTGCACTGCCTTGGTGGCCACTAGCTATGTGTAGCTACTAAACACTTGAAATGTGGCTAATGTGACAGAACTAATTTCTAATTTTATTAAATTTAAAATTAAATTTAAGTAGCTTATGTACATTTGGATTTGCAGAAAGGCAAGTGGGAATGCGGAAGCAGACCTCCCTTGTGAGACCATTGGAGTTATGACAAAAGTGGCACTATTCGGAGAACACTTCTGAGTGAGGAATAGATGGATTTTTCAATAAATGGTATTGGGTCACTTGGATGTAAAAATGAAAATACAAAATTGAACTTGGCCCCTACCTCATCACATAAATAAACCAATTCTAGAGACTGTGTACGTGAATGTTAAAAGCAGAACAATAAAACTTCTAGAAGATAACACAGGAGGATGTCTTTGCAACTTTGGCATTTGTAAAGATTTTATAAACAGGACTTACAGATCACTAGCTATAAAGAAAACAATTGATAAACTGAAGTTCATTAAAATTAAAAAAGACCCATTCATTAAGATTCCATTATGAAAATTTTTTAAAAACAACCCATAGAATGTGAGAAGATATCTACATTACATATAATTGATAAAGCACTTGCATCCAGGATATATAAAGAAAACCTACAATCATATCAAAAATACTTTAATAGAAAAAAATGGGCAAGACTTAAGCAAGCACTTCACAAAAGGGGATATCCAATTAAGTGAATAAACGTGAAAAAATGCTCAATCTCATTCGTAGTCAAGGAAATGCAAATAAAAATGCAACATGAACTACCACTTACACATCCATCAGAATGGCTGAAATTAAGAAGACTGATGATTGTATTGGTGAGTATATGGAGTATTTAGACCCATCTATAAGGCTGTAGGAACTGTCAATTAGTATAATCAGTTTTAGAAACCATCTGTGGACTCTGTACCCCAATTCCACTCCTGAGAATACACCTAAGAGAAATGCTTACAAATATGCTCCAAATATGTATACAGTAACACTCACAGCAGCACTAATTACAACAGCCCCAAACAGAAAACAATGAAAATGTTCAGAAACAGAAGAATAAATCGTGGTAGATTCATCCTGTAAATTATTATACAGCAATGAAAAATGAATAAACCACTGCTATATTCAACAGCATGGCTGAAGTTCACAAACATAATGTGGAATGAAATAAACCAGTTGGAAAATAGTGCATACTGTGTGAACAATACATGTGCTGTTTACAGAGTTCAAAAAGAGACAAAACAAATCTATAGTGTTAGAATCAAGGAGTGATTACCATGGGGAAGAGGGAGGCTTCTGGGGAACAGAGGATATTTTATTTCTTCGTAGGTGTTGGTAACACTTAGCTGTGCAATTTTCTATATGTATTTTTTTAATAAAAAGATTATTTTTAAAAGCACATCATAAAACAGAATATACAGTTTGATCCCCTATTGTGAAAATAGATGTGTGTGTGCCCATGCAGAGAACTGAATCCTCTGTGGAGGTTTGGAGAGAATTACTTAGCATTTTTTCTTTTACTTCTCTGATCATATTTTCTAATTCATCTGTAATAAATATTTATCATTTGACAATAAAAACAAATTGTTTCTATTTATAACAACAGTTACAATATTAATAGGAATAACAAAAAAATAAAGTGAATCTTCAGCTTTGACACAGCTCAAGTTGAGAAAATCAAAAAAATTGTTGCTGAAAAGAACAGGCTTTGGGTAGCCGAAGAAAAGATTGGTAGGTCAAAGGAAACGTTTGTTTTTAGAAGATATGAGGGACCTGATTGTCTTTATATACTAAGTGGGAAGAGTTAAGGGAGGCAAGAGCTGACAGATCTTCATTTTCTTTTTGTCACTGTGCAAAATGAAACAACCATTTTTTCCATTGATAATACGTAAAGGACAGATTCAGTCCTAGTATATGCAATTGGCCAGAATCTGCCCTGCACAGCAGCTATTCTTCTTCTTCTTCTTCTTTTTTTTCTTTGAGATGGAGTCTCAGCCTAGGCTGTAGTGCAGTGGCACAGTCTCGGCACACTGCAACCTCTGCCTCCCAGTTCAAGTGATTCTCCTGTCTCAGCCTCCCAAGTAGCTGGGACTACAGGCATGTACCATCATGCCTGGCTAGTTTTTGTACTTCTAGTAGAGACAGGGTTTCACCATCTTGGCCAGGTTGATCTTGAACTCCTGACCTCAAGTGATTCATCATCCTCAGCCTCCCAAATTGCTGGGATTACAGGCATGAGGCACCATGCCTGGCCTTTATTTTTATTTATTTACTTTTTTTTGAGACTGCATCTTGCTCTGTTGCCGGGCTGGAGTACTATGGCGTGACCTCAGCTCACTGCAACCTCTGCCTCTGGGGTTCACACCATTCTCCTGCCTCAGCCTCCTGAGTAGCTGGGACTATAGGTGCCCACCACCACACCCAGCTAATTTTTATATTTTTAATAGAGACGGGGTTTCACTATGTTGGCCAGGATGGTATCAATCTCTTGACCTCGTGATCCGCCTGCTTTGGCCTCCCTAAGTGCTGGGATTACAGGCATGAGCCACCGCGCCCGGCTGCCTGGCCTCTTTTTATGAGCTTTCTTCTCATTTCCAGTATAGCCAGCTACTCCTAATTACCACCTTTGAAAAGCGGTTAATTCGCTGTAAAAAATAAATAAATAATAACCAACAACACCAAAACAACAAACACAACTACACAAAACACCTGTGTTTACTTTGCTTATAGCATAATCTTCAGATATTTTAGCATGATATTCAAGGCACTTCATAACGTGGCACCAACTTTGTTTTCTTGCCTTATTTCCTGCTGCTCACATCAGCCCTGCACTGCTCTAGGCATATTGAAATATGTGTATGCCTCTTGCTGTTTCATATTTGTGTTTTGATCTAGCCCCGTTTCCTACCTGGCAAAATTGTCCTAGTGTTTTCAGGCTCAGCTCTCATGACAACTTTTTAAGGAAATTGTATAAATTCCCCTAGTTGTAACAGCTAACATCTCCCTATGTGTTTTCTGAACACTTCTTAATAGTAAGAGCTTCCATTATGCATCAGGGACTGGGTTTGATACTGTTGAAAGAAAAACTTCAGCCAAATTAAATTTAAGGGAGTTTAATTGAGCAATGAATGATTCACGAATAGGGTAGCCCCCAGAATCACAACAGATTCAGAGAGACTCCAGGGATGCCTCGTGGTCTGAACAAACTTACAGGCAAAAAAGGGGAAATGACGTGTAGAAATAGGCAGTGAGGTACAGAAACAGCTGGATTGGTTATAGCTTGGCGTTTGTCTTATTTGAACACAGTTTGAACACTCAGCAGTGTATGAGTGGTTGAAGTATGGCTGCTGAGATTGGCCAAGACTCAACTATTATTACAGGAGCATACTCCTAAGTTAGGTTTCCAATCTTGTCTACCTATTAAGTTAGGATATGGTTTGTCCACAAGGTCTCAAATATAGAAGTATGGAGTCCTTCTCAGGTCATATTTAGTTCTCTTTAACAAGACCAGTATCACTAATCCCCAAGGCTACTCTACCAAGTAGATATGATTACACCTTTTTATCAAATATGATAACTGTCCAAGTTTACTTAGCCAGTAAGTGGATGGGCCAGGATTTTACCTCGACCTGTCGTCTCTATGTCACTAGTCTAGTGTATGTGTCTTGCTCCCCAACTATATTGTGCATTTGAGGACAACAATCATACCCTATTAGTTTCGTTTTCCCTACCCTGGCACCAAAAAAAAATCACCTATATTATAGTTAAAACTGCTTGTGGAACTTCACTGAAGTAATTTCAATTAGGCTCCTTAACAGGAAGCATAACATCACGTTATGAACTGAACTTCATCCCCACAAAATTCCTTAGCTGAAGTCCTAGCCCTTAGTACCTCAGAATGTGACTGCATTTGGAGATAGGCCCTTTCCAGAGTTAAGTGAGGTAAAGTGAGGTCATATAAGTGGGCCATAACCCAATATGTCTGGTGTCCTTCTATGAAGAGGAGATTGGGAGATAGACATGCACAGAGGGACAACCATGTGAACACACGAGAGAAAGATGTTCATCTACAAGTCAAGGAGAGAGGCCTCAGAAGAAATCAACCATGCCAACACCTTGACCTTGGAATTCTTGCTCTAGAATTTTGAGGAAATCAGTTTCTGTTGTGTAAGCCACTCGTTCTGGTGCTTTGCTATGACAGCCCCTAACAACTCATCCAGCTGCTCTGGCCTTTTCCCCCTAACATGTGCCCTCTCTGAGTCACTGTTCTGCTTTGAATTCCTTCTTCTGGTTCTGTAAATCGTTTCATTCCTGACTTTTTTTTTTTTTTAACCAACCATTCTCCCACTCCTCCCATCACTTTATCTTTCTTTAGAATTGGTATCTTCCTGTATTTTACCCACATATGTGATTTCTCTTTACAGCTTTGCTTTCTTATCAGTCCTGTTTTAGCCTTGCTTACCTGTTTCTGCCTGTGGCTTTTATTTTAGATTATTGTCTGACTACTATTGCCAGATTTAGTAAACAAAAATTAGTTCTTATTTATCTGAAATTCACATTTAACAAGGTGTGCTGTATTTTATCTGGCTGCCCTCTATCTAACCCTTTGCCTGTCCCCATAGTCATCAGTGTCTTTGTTGTGGTATAATTAATTTTTAAAAAAAGAAAATATTTTACTTGCAGTTTTAAAAAATTAGTATCAGGATTTAGAGCAAGGTATTCAGTTCAAATTCTGTCATCTCTGCTGACTTTCCAAGTAGCATGGAGCAATTAACTCATTGTATCATGTAAAGTCTTTCTTCATCTGGAAACGATTAGTGAGTTCCTTATCAGACCTAGCTGAGAAAGGAAAGACTTAATCCCATTCTATTTACAATCTTCAGCTACATAACAATGTGTCAGTCAACATGAACTGCATATACAAGGATTGTTTCATAAGATTGTAGTACCATATTTTTACTGTACCATTTCTATGTTAAGATATGTTTAGAAACACAAAAATATTTACTCTTGTGTTACAATTGCCTACAGTATTTGGTACAGTAACATGCTGAACATGCTGTACAGGCCTTGTAGCCTATAAGCAACAGGCTATGTATACTATATAACCTAGGTGAGTAGTAGGCTCTACCATCTAAGTTTTTGTAAGCATACTCTATGATGTTTGTTCACACAATGACAAAATCGCCTAATGACTCATTTCTCAGAATGTATCCCTGTCATTAAGGGACCCATGACTATGTCTGTCCACCCAGTTCCTCTAAATTGTTGGGCTCTTGGCTATGTTTCAAATTCTTCATCATGCTCCTTCCACCCAGAACTGAGGCAATGTCAAAATGCTAGTTTGTTTCATTTGCCATCTTTATAGCCCTCTCTCTCCCCACCCCCAATTCCAAGGAGTGTTTTTCCATTCATTCCTTTGCTATGAGCTGTTGGAAACATACCCACAAACCATTTACAAATCCCTCCTCATAACTCTGTTCCCCACCCCAGTATTGGCATCTTCTACAAACAATTCTTTTGGAAAAAGAGGCTCGATTGTTTACCAATTTCATAAAGCTATCCTGTAAATAAACCAGTTTAAGTTTTGCTTGTGATTTGCTTTTTATTCAAAGAGCTGAATCAATGGTATGTTTTGTGACTCTGCTTAAGGGAGACACAGTTAAGAAGTTTAATGGAGACAGCATGGGCCATACAGCCGTTGCCCAGCTCCATAGATGTCGATTAACTCCCCAACGTTCCCTTTTAGACAGATGTTCCCTAGGAAACTTGCCAAAACACATGCATGTTCTGTTAGCAGTGAAGAAGTTAAATAGAAAGCCACTTCCTCCCTTCCCTGAATGCATGCTTGAAAATCAGAAACTGTAATTAAATGCATATGTGGCATTTTTCACAATATGTTAGGTTGGTGGTTCTAATTATTATCATACGTACCATATTTGATCTGGTAGAACATGTGAAAATGTTTATATACTTTTACATTATGGTTTAACAACACTTATAAACATTTAGGTACAAAAGGATTATAAATTTTGTTAAAGGCATTGAATTACTGTCAAAAAGAGAGAAACTTTAGCAATTATCCCTGTATTTTTTGCAAACCTTTTGTCACAGAACAAACTGTTTCAGAAAGTAAAACTGTAGGAGAACACAAATTGAGGAAATGAGACAGAAATGTGTCAAATAAACAGAATATATTTTGTAGGAGCAGTCTTTTAGGGCTCTGCAATGATCAGAGAATTTAGGGACCAGGCCTGATTCTGAGCTCATCTGTCTCTTGCTTTACTCACGAAAGGGGAAGAAACAGAATAGAGGGGGTGGGAATTGACCAATGTCACAGAGCAGACTTCTGCCCATGAATGATCAAGAACCTACTATGTTTCAGGCACTATGATACATGAATTCTAATCTTTACAACAAACTGGCTCTCACATTACAAATGAGGAAACCAGTTTAAAAGTTTTAAGTAGCTTTGCCATTGTTGCTTAGCTGATTAAAGGCAGAACCTGGAGTGACAGCCAAATGCAGGTCTGAGAGTAAAAGCTCCTCCTTCTGCATGAGGGTAGGCTTAGTCTGAGATTCCCCTCCAAAGTGTTTGCATAAAGGGTCTTTTTTCCCCCTCCAAAGTGTTAGCATAAAGGGTCTCAATTGTTATGTCTGTGACTTGTGCTAACTTTGTATTGCTCATAGAAAGACGGCAAGTGGTATGCAAACTAGTGTTCGAGCAAATTTGCATCATCAATCCAGAAAATGTCAAAGCTAGAAAGGCCTTTGAAGGGCATCTGGTCTATTCCCTTCATTTTAAAGAGAGCTGAGGTCAATGAGCTGTGTGACTTGGGATGAGCAGCACTGTGCCAGGGTGTTTTGGAAACACTACCCTCTGGCATCATCATATCTCTGCTTCTAGCAGAGAGGAGTTAACAGATATAGGGTACTGTTGTGACTTCTATGGGAATGATCTGGGGAGGTAGCCCCATAACTACTGCACACATAGAGAAATACCTCCCTGGATGTTTAAGCATGTAGATAACCCAGCCAATTTGGGCAGTTTTTTCTATTTTTTTTTTCTTCTTAATGTACAACATCAGTTAATCAAACACAAACTGCTCCAGCTAATGCTGGCTATTTCCTACCTAATTGACAGGTCTGGAGTGCTTACCATAAGGAGTCTCTTCAATCCCCAGTTGTGGTAGCAGATGAGTTTTGTGGTTAGAAGGAAGTTAAGATGCCCTGAAGTCTAGACACAGAGACTCATCTTTAAAGGTGAAATAAGGAGCTGTGGAGAGGGACAGTTATAAAAGCACAGTTCAGGAGTCTGCTGGACTAATAATGACTTGAAGCGACTGCCTTAGTGCTCCCTTCTGACTCAGATTATTAGAGGTAACCACTGTGATTCACAGAGAAATGGGATTAGAGATCAGCCTCCTTCCTTGCTTCCTTCCTTCCTTCTTTCCATCCATCCATCCCCCTTCCTTCCTTCCTTCTTCCTGTTCTTCTAATGCATTTTGAAGTTTGGTGAGACCATAGGAGCCACTTTCATTCGTTTCTAACTGTGAAGCAGATCACAATTACCCATTATAACTGCAAAGTAGCTTTAAAAATCACATTTTAGAGAGTGTTTTAACACCATATGGTTGAGTACTGACAGGATACAGCACAAAGGCAACAGAAAGTGTTTAGTGACAGAAGCATTTTCATGAAATCCACCTTTTCCTTCTCTGGCTTCCCATTTCCAAGGCTGTTTTGGACAGGGATTAATGTGACCTCTCAGGACAGGACAACATTGCTACTAATCTCACAAAGAATGAGGCACGTGTGCTGAAGAGGCCGTGGGGTGACATCCAGACAGCCTGCTCTTTACGTTGTTCACACGCGGAGTGTTCCCTAGTCCATCTCTTTAGTTTAGCCACTCCCCAGGCTCTCACTCTCCATGGTCTTATTTCTTTTATTCTTTCCCCATTAAAGTGCATCCATGGGGGAAAAAGCTAATTAAAAACAGGATATGAGAAACTACTTCAGAAGATGATTCACTACATTCCCAAAGGCACCCAAATTTGGGTCCATCATAGTAGATTTAAGTATTTATTGAGAACCAACTAAGTTTAAGTGCTTACTAAGAGCTGTGCAAAATAAAAAAGTATCACACAAAATACAAAAGTAACTGTAAGGAAGAGGATGGATGTTGATTGGAGTGGTAGGTTGTGGGAATGTGTTGACAAGGATGCTCATAGGAATCTGGCTCACTAGGAAACCATACTGTGCTGCTGACTGGAGATCTTTCCACGGACTCACGTCAATGTCACAGAAGCCTCACAGCAGCCCTGCAGAGGAGAAAGTCATTTTCTCCAATTTACAGACTGGTAAACTGAGGATCAGAAAAATCAGATAATTTTTCAAAAGACGCATAGCCAGAAAGGTAGACCCAGGTTATCTGACTCCCAAGTCATATTTTATAATTTAATTTTTAAATGTGTGTACCACACATCTGAACTTCTGGCCAAGACACTGAGTTGAGTACAGTTGTTTATCCTATAGTGCAAGAGTACTAGAAAGTAGATAGAGGAGACCCAGGAATATGTGACTGGCATCCCTTAAATCAGAGAGGAAAGGGCTAGAGGCAAGAGCAGACCAAACACCACACAATGGAAAAACATGAATTCCACAATGCAACAGGACACCTGCTGGACAAACAGCTTCTGGGCAGGGTGCCCTTGGGCACCTTAGCAGTGGCCATAATGAACCTGCAATGCTACCTTGGAGGAGAGGCAAAGTTACCTATAATGATGGCCCAGTGCTCTGAGGCAAACTTCCTTTCCACTACGCCCAGACTCAGAATACCAAAGCCAGTCAAATAAAATTATGGTAAATCTAGTGTTTTTTTCCCCTTTTTCACTTGAAAATAAAAGAACTGGACAGAGACCCACATCAATCTCAACTCCAAACTTATTTTAGGTCAATCTTGAGTAAACATAGACTGCCCTATGCAAGGATGAGCAAGAAGAAACCAGCACGCTTTTGAAACTATATCACAGTTCTAAAGAAAGGGACAAGCCTGAGATGATTACAAACATCTTCCTTTGAAATAGATTTATTGCAAGGACAAGGATTTCTTTTCTTAAATTCTAACTTGGGTTCTCATATACCCACAAGAGAATAGTAAATCAAATAAAATGCAGTATTAAATCAGAAAGAGAAAATAATCTTGGTTAAGAAAATTTGTGCAATGTGAAAGACATGATTTTGTAATTAAAACTTAAAGTGTTTTCTTTCCATGGCATACTGGATATAAGAGAAAAGGATTTAAAAAAAAAAAAAAAGCAGAGGACAGATTTAATCTCTTAATATATTGATAAGAAAATGGTAAAGAGATATTTTGGATTAAAGATGAGAGGGTAGGAGATGAGATCCAGTGGAATACACAGAATATGTATTTAGCATTTACATTTCTGTGTGTAGGTACCCAATATTTCAGACATCCAAGAGGATCAGAAAATATAATATTTAAGTTATTCTTGAAAGTTGTTCCTGAAAACAACTATTTGAATATAAGCTCTAACCTTTTTATCAAGGTTAATACATAAAATAAATCACAAATCAAAATAAAAATTTGAGAATTAGGGACTATGGGTATAAAAGATCTGAGATGAGCAGTGCGATCAATTAAAAAGAGTCTGTGTAATTTCCACTGTGGCTGTAAGACAATGTAAATGTGAAAATGGTCTTTGAAGACTATATTTATAATACAAATTTGTAGCAATAGCAGTGAAGTAAAATATAATTTATACATGTTACATATGCAGATATGTGTTTTTTGATGTGTATGTAGTTATATGCTAAAAATTTGCATCAGGTAGACCTGGGTTTGGATCCTGGCTTTGCCACTAAGTAAGTTTCCTATGATCTTGCCTGCATACACCCAGACACCTACACATACATTTAACACACTTACAATAGGACAATCCAACAAAATGCTAAAAGTATTTATCTCTAATCAACAGGAATTATGTGAAAATTTTATTTCTTTATTTTTATCACTTCAATAATCAGAAAAATGTTATTAAATACAAGAAAAGTGATATTAAAAATTTAAACTATAATTCTAACTAAGGAACTTCTTTTCTGAAAATCAAATCTGCATAATTAGGAACCTGGGTTGAATTTTAGTTGAACTTGTATTGGTAAGCTTAATAACAACAGATGCCATTCTGTGTTGAGATAAGACTTGGAATTTCAACATCTTATCATTAGGATTACTGGCACTGCTGAATGGGCTGTTAGTTATTGACATCGTGGTCAGCTGGCCTGGGTCTGTCTCCTGCTCCATCCTCACTCAATCATACTATGTTACCCAGAGTGAGCTATGTAACCTCTCTGGACCTCACTTTTCTAACCTGTAAACTTTGAATAATTGGGGTGCTTATATTGCAGGTTGACTGTAAGAACGAAGTCAGATAATGGCTGGTGAGGAAGCTGAAGGTTAAGGAAGCAGAATCAGTCTTCAGAGGGAGAGCTCACCGACTCCAGAGCCCGGCCCTGCTGCTTTTGTTTCTCCCTAGCCCTGGAACCCAGTCATGAGGCTGAGCCCCCTGCCAATTTTTTGAGAGCTTGTTTGGAGGTTCTAGCAGGGGAGTGCAGCTACTCGTATACCCTTGACAGAACACCGGTCCTCCTCTATCAGGATGGTCGTCCTCTTCGACCAAGTGTGCAGCTTCAGGAGGGAGACACATGGAGCAGTGAGGTAGGAAGGGGACACTCGCCTAGTCAGCCGGATCAGATGAATCAACCCTGGCAATCAATGGGGTGACACATGTTGCAGCCAGATCGCCCTCACATCCAGCCGCCTGCCAATTTTTAACTTCATCTTCCTACTTAGACTGAGTTGTGTGTGACTAGTGTTTTAGTACTAACACCAGTATTCTTTCATTTATTGACAAATTATTTACTTGGTGTTTTTTGAAACTATGCATTTGTTGTTACCATATTCTGACCACCTGAAGTTTCTATATGATACAATATCTGTGTATTATGAATACAGTAGCAAAAAACAAATGTGATTTTCATTTTAACTCTGAAAAACCTATTACACAAACATCACAGCCAAGGGTGGTGTATACTTATGGCCTCTCAAGCTCATTTAAAATTCTTATGACAGCACTAAATACTCTCTGTGTAGTTACATGGATCTGTAGAGAAATGGAAGGCAGGTCAGAACTGCTGTGCCTAGAGACTTCAGAATTTGTTTTGCAGTGGTTATATTGAGAATAATCACTTTTCTCATTCTGCACTTGGCTGCTTTGTTTTGGTTTTTTTTTTGTTTGTTTGTTTTGTTTGTTTTTTCTGTCCCTCTTGACCAAGTAGAAGAAAGTCTGAATACTAATGGTTGGTCAATTCCAAGCTATCATTTTGAGGTAATTAATTTGGACAGAAAGCGTAAACCTAGCACTTGTGGGGCTAATTTGAGGTTCAGTTAATTCACCAGATGAATTATTTCATTTTTAAGTAGCTACTTTTCCAAAGACCTATTAATAAGATAGGTGTTTAACCTCTAGATCCACATTTGACTCAATCCTGGGATAGCACCAAGTTTCCTGAATATACCAATAGAATATTTTGGTGTCATTTTTTAAATTTAACGATCATGAGGTCAATTGTTTAATTAATTTTACCTTTTTTTTAGGTTAAAAAAAAACCTATCAGGAACTACCAAGTTAGAATAGAAGAGGACATTTTCAATTATTCTCACATCAAAAACTAGAAAATGCTGTGATTGTTCTTGCCTATGGAGCAATGATGAAACACATAACCTACATTCCAAAAGCATACATTTTATATCAGGGAGCTATATGACCAGTTCCCAAAAAGTACTCCCTCCGAGAAGTATGCAACCCTTAAAATGTTGTTCACAAAATGTTTGCAGCATTATATGAATACTCTTGAAAAACTGAAATTTGCAATCAGCAACTACAAATGTTTCAAGGACATCCTCACAAGGAGAACACCATATTTTCCAACCTGAAACAGCTGTGCAACTACTTGAGGCTGAGTTCCTTGAGGCCCTTTTTGTACTATGAAGTATCACCCAGATGTTGCTACCTGGAAGGCCTTCAGTGACTTGCATACTTTGTCTAACATAATAGGAGAATGACCCAGCTCCTTAGTTCAGAGCTGCAGCACAAATGTACCAGATAATGCAATCATGCAGCATGGTAGCCAGTCACTGGTCTCTGCTTTCACCTTGGTAAGAAATAGAATCATGTTGTCTGACTAAGGATTGGACTCTTGTGCTCCATTTACTTTTGTCATGCTCCACTACCATACGGTTAGTCAAATGGACAGAAGTTAACCTAAACCTCTCCATTCTCCAGAAACACTTAATTCTGTTTCATCTGATTTAATATCAGCACATATGTGCCTTACAAATCTTTGTTAAAGACCACTAACCTTAATGTTCTGAAAAGGGCACTGCTGAATCTGATAAACTTAAAACATGGAAAGATGAAAACCAAGAATTTTCACAAGATTTCTTTCTTTAAATATGGTTTATTAGTGAAGACTGCCAAATGAAGAATGTATCAAAGGTAATGTTACTACAAAGAAGGGAAGTACTCTTCTTCTCCAAACATATGCTTTGCAGCTGAGCCCTGCTCTCAGCTTTGAATCTTGTTTCATGTGGCAGTCTGACTCTCTTCTTTGGCCCGAAGTCCAAGCATCTCTGACCATACCCTCCCTATCTTTCCAGCCTATAGATTCAGATAAAGAAATATTAAACTAAACACACTAAAGTAATTAGCATGAGATTGAGTCTCCATGCAATACAGTGCTCAAATAACATGCTTATCCAAGGAAAAGGTAAAGCAAGTCATTTTTGCTATTTGGAAAAGCATTTGGGGATGTGTGTGTGTGTGTGTGTGTGTGTGTGTGTGTGTGTGTGTGTGTGTGTGTTTTCTTGTCATAAATATTCCTTCCTCATTACTTTGAAAAGTGAGTGAAGTGAGAAAGAAAATAGAAAGAATGAAAGAAGATGGAGAACTTTTGCAAATTGGCAGAATAAAATATGAAGATTCAAAAATGGCATTGACGGATACAGAAAGGAATGTCACAGTACAAGGAAGAGTGGTTAGTGTTTTTAACAGAATTCAATTGAAATAGATGTTACTGTTTCTAGAGGATGAAAAGGTTAAGGTTAGCTTCTATATGTTCTGCTAACCATAGGTCAGTGGTTTATGTCTAAAATAATTGCTGTAGTGTTTCCTCCCCTCAGAATGAGAAAAATATGGAGAAAAAGGAGCACATTTGCAGGCTTGCTCTTTCATGAGGTTTTATGATTCCTCAGCAAGACTAGCCCTGTTCTTCATGACAACGAATCCTATTTTTGCAAGTTGCTTCTCAATGTTCAGAATACTACTCCATTTTATGGAGGAGACGGACTTTTGCATTCTGAACATTCTCTTTATGAAACCCAAGTTTTCTTAGGCTTTGTTATCCTGTGGGTGACAAATGAGATCATACAAACACTTGTGCTGAAATTCCATTAAGCCACGATCCCCATCTGCTTCAACAGAACTTCAGCCCTTCCAGCTCCTCCCTGCTCCACTGTACCTCCATTTGTTCATGGGAGGGTCTGGTGGGTTCATGGACAAGTCTACTTCTGTGGTAGTCATGATACTATACAAGTCATCAGTGCTCCAAGAAGAAACAAAGTCTCTCTATACTTCTGTGGACACCACTCTGTGTGAACATTACTGCTTTCCTGGGACCTACAGGCACTAACCTGCTCCATGAGCCTCTACATCTGCTCTCTCTACTCTTTCCCTAAGTACTTAGAGATTTTTATTGCCTGGGTCCTTTCCTGAGCTCTTTTCTATGGCAGAATTATGAAGATGGTATGTTCCTCTCTGGGTCACTGTTGCAAACATTCTGAAAATAGAGTTGTTTAGGCCACAGTGGGCTATGGCTTTCAGTGAAAGTGCTATTTTAGTTTTATTTACTGAATTCTCTAAGGATTCAGATGTCTCAGAAAATTGGAGCTAGAAATACACTTATGTGGCAGACAATGTAATCAAAATCCATACTCTCTTCCAAATATCTACTCTGTATTCACAAGCTCATCCTACATGTTTTCTCCTTTCCTTTAAGAGAGTCCTCACCCCTCCTACCAATGGGCATCCCTTGAGTGATCCACCAGAGCACCAGATTTGTCAAGGAAATCCTGCACTCTGTTAGAAAATGGTCTTCTCTTCTATGCAACAGACATACTAAGTCCATATATATGTTACGATTCTCTTAAAACTGAGGCCAGTTTCACCTCTATTTTTTAATTGGGTATTTAAATGAGTTCTGAAGAGTCAATAGATTTGATATTCCTCAAACAGATACCATATCAAGATACAAATTTGCAAAGAAAAGTGTATGAAAACCAGTTTCATGGCTATTATTTCCTCACCTAGCTTGAGGTTTGGGTCAAGCATGGAGATGGAGAAAGGCATTTTAGAAAGGAATGCCTTGGAGAGAATTATGATGTGACATGGGCTCCACCATTCTGAGGCCTGGAGAGAGGCGCTTCCCAAGATCTCTCGAATAATGTGATTTGTGACTCCTACAACTGGAACATCTCCAGTGGATTCATGTTCATGCTTTCTTATTAAATATAAAAGTAGAGTGGCTGGATGGCTGCTCCAAGATTGAGAAATGGTTGCAGGGTCAGAAATGGCTTAAGTCCCTATGATTTGTCAAGGCCAAGTTTTCAAGGCCATATGAAATAGGGAGGTTCTGTCCAAGAGGGACACCTAAAGGCCCAAACTGACCTCAGAACAGAGAAGCTAAGAAGTTTGGCCAAACTGGGAAGGATCAAGACCAGCCTAAGGTAGTACCAGTGAAACAAAAACTCTCCTACTTTCCTTATCTGTCCTCCTTCCAGATCACCTCTTCCTACTCCTTCCACCCTCCAAAGTCAGTAGCTATCAAATGGGGAAGAAGGTAAACCAAAAAGAGGGAGGAAGCTGCCCATATATGTGTCCTCTAGGGCAGATTGCTCACTCTAAGAGCTGTACCTACTTGTGGAATAGAAAATAAGGCATGCTCTTGAATGAAGGACCTGAATGCTCTATTTTCTAAATTGAAACATATTTTATGACCTGAATAGACTATAAAGTCCCTGACTAGATAGTCATGGAACTTTCAAATTGTTTTTCAGAGTCATGGAAAACTAACCCCACTAAACAAAGATAAAAGGACAATGAGAATACAAAATAAAGTCACTTTATGAAAATATTCCATTAGTCCATGGAGTTTGCTCAATACACTAGGTATGTCGTTACAAATCCTACATGTTAAAAGGGAAAGTATCACACTCATTATCCTAATATCTGGTTGGATCCCTTTTCTTCTTCTTAATCATTTAAATCTATGTGTAATTCCACATTTCTAATTAAAGCAACTTCCATAATGTTTTCAATCTTACTGATTACACCAGGGTTTTAGAATTATATACATTTTAAGACTATAAATAACTTTAAGAGGATCAAATCCAATGGTTCCCAACATTTAATGTGCAAACAAGTCACCTAAGACCTTGCTAAGACATAAATTCTAATTCAGTGTGTCTGAAGAGGCCTGAGATTTTGCATTTCTAACCAGCTCCCAGTTGATGTTAATGCTGCTAGCCATGAACCATACTTTGCACAGCAAAACTCTATATACATCTGCCCCACTATTATAATATAACCAATAAACTTAAACCCTATAAATAAAGAATTGGAAATCCTCATATGAGGTAATGAAACAAGGAGCAGATTCTAGAACTGGGGCCTCTGACGTTTGCCTCCTTAGGCCATTCACTTCTTCACTGTCATTACTCTTGTCATATGTTATAACCAATCCAGGAGCTTTGTTTTCCAGGTATTACGTGACCTGTGAAACTCCTCATCCATATAAAAACATGATACAGGGTGTACTAGCCACCTGAGTCCAAAAACAATGATGGTAGTTACTGAAAGGTAGAAAAAACTATGAATGTACTCAACTAGACCCATGGAAAGAAAAATCTGACTGAAATCTGACCGCACTAAGAAATTTCACCTAGCTTTGCTGACATGCTTCTACTTGTGCCATTTTTCCCCACCAGGAATACCTTTCATTCTTACATATTCTAAAATGCTTTAATTTATGCATAATCCCTCTCAAGAAGCCTTACCTGAAAGTCCAGACTTAATCACATGACTATTCTCTGTTCTCCAAAGTATCTTGTGACTGCTTCAACTTTAACATTTACTATGTTATTTTGAAATCAGCCATATATATATATGTATATATATATGTGTGTGTATATATATAATATATATATACTTATATATTGACTTATCTATATATTGACTTATATATAATGACTTATCTTGCTTTTGATGGCTGGGACTATATATTATTATTTGTGCTCCTGAGCACCTAGCAAAATTCCTGGGACATATCAAGTGTTCAATAGATATTTTTAGACAAAAATAGACTTTAAGACAAGAAATTTTTCTGTAGACAAGGAGAGAAGTAGTGACTTAAAAATCCAACTGTATTAGGGAGATATAATAATTATAAATGTAGATGTGCCTAGACACTTAAAATATGTGATTAAAAAACTGACAGAACTGAAAGTAGAAATAGACAATTCAACAATAATAGTTGGAGATTTCCATAACCCATTCTGAATAATTGAAAGAGCAACTAAATAGAAAGTCAGCAAGATTATTGAAAACTTAAAATGATACTATTAACTAATTTGACTACCTAACTGAGATATAAAGAACTCTTCACACAACAACCATAGAACATACACCATTTTTAAGTGCACATGTAACATTCTTTAGGATAGATCATATGCTAGGCCACAAAGAAATCTCAATAAATTTAAAAGAATTATAAACATACAGAGATATCTCTGACCAGAGTGGAATTAAGTTAGAATCGATGACTAGAAGAAATATGGGAATCTCCAAATGTTTGAAAATTAGACAACATACTCTTAATCATTGGCCAAAGCAGAAATAACAAGAGAAATTAGAAAACATTTTGAGCTGAGTAAAAACAAACATATCAAAATTTATGTGATGCAACTAGAGAAATGTTTAGAGAAAAATACAGAGCTTTGAAATGACTTTGTCCAAATGGAGAGAATGACATAAGCAAGATAACAGAATAGGAGATGTTACCATCACCTCTCCATAGTGCACTGATTTTGACAACCACCCATTGACATTTGTGTGAGTTCGGTAGTCTAGTGTAGAAGTTCTAGCGCACTGTTGGAGCAAAATATTTGGGAATAGACACATTGAAGAGGGAAGAACAGCTTTGGTTTACCCACATTACCCCTCCTTCAAGGTGGCACAGCTCAGTACCAAGAGAGATCCCCCAAGCATGTGATTCTTCCTATGGGAGAAAGTGAGAGCATAATGAGTAAGCACCCAGGTCTCCGAGCTGTATGGGAATCTGCCCAAGAGGCTCACTACTTTTTTGCCCCATCCAAAATTCTGAGGAGATCAACATAACTGAGTAGCTGGGAGAGGCTGGTAGTAGGAAAGAGAGGTAGGAACTCACAGCAACTAGGGTGTGAAACCCAATAAAGACCCATGAATCCTACTAACTGCCTCATGAGCTTATGTCCCTCCCATGAACTACTTGGGACACTTTGTCTCCAGACCCCCCCAAAAAGAAACTGGCCCATGAGCTTCCCCAAATATCTTCTCTGTGGCTGACTCCCCATCTGCATCCCCTAGACATGGAGTGTGAGCCTTTACAGATGATTCATGAACAAGCACAGTCAGATTTAGCAGGATTGAGAGAAGGCGCACAAACTTGAGCATTTCAGAGCATCACCCTAGGAAAAACAAACAGGAGACTCTCAGCACCAGGCCTACTTTTGTGGGATCCAGACAAGGCGTACAATTTTAAGAATTCCCACCTAAGAGGGAACAAGAGGGATAGAGTGGCTGCATCCATAGAAAAAGTCTAAAAGAGCCTCAGAATCCCAAGCCCAGGTGATTGGTGAAGGTGTTTCTCTCTCAAAGCCAGTTAGTAAAATATGTCTTTACTTCTTCAAATATAAAGACAGCAATTCAAGACTTCAAGAAACATAAAAAAGGAAACATGATACTACCAAAGGACTATAGTAATTTCCCAGTTACCACTGCCCTCCAAATGGAGGGCTAAGAACTGCCTGACAAATAATTCAAAATTTTTTTTATGGAAGCTCAGTGAGAACACAGATTGACAACTCAGTGACATCAGAAAATGATTAACAAAGTGTGAATTTCAAGAAAGAAATTGTCTTAGTCCCTGCTATGTCAAAATACCATGGACTGGGTAATAATATATACATAGAGAAATATATATTGTTCACATTTCTGGAGGCTAGGAAGTCCAAGATCAAGGTACCAGTACATTGGGTGTCTGCTATAGGCTTTCTCTCTGCTTCCAAGATGGTGCCTTGTTGCTGAATCATCTGGAAGGGACAAATGCTGTGACTTCACATGGTGGAAGGACTAGGAGGGAAAAAGGATCAATGCTGTTGAAGGCTCTTTTACAAGGGCATTAAACTAATTCACAAGGGATAAGCCCATATGACCTATTCACATCCTAAAAGCCTCTCCCTTAATACGATTGCATTAGGGGTTATATTTCAACATAAATTTAGAGGGACACAAACATTAAAATCATAGCAGAGTTAGAAAACATTTTTAAATAACACAGAAATTCTGGAGCTGCATACAGTAAATTAAATGAAAACTGTAATAAAGAGATTTCAACAGGAGGCTTGATCAAGCAGAAGAATGAATCTGTGAACTTAAAGACAAGGTCAGTTGAAATTATCCATTGAAAGGATATTTAAAAAGAGTGAAATTGAATGAAGAAAGTTTATGGGGTTTATGTGACACCATCAAGAGAAATACTTTATGAATTACGGAATTCCAAAGAAGAGAGAGATGAGAGAGTGGGGTGGGTACCGAACGCTTATTACATACAAGGGACTCATTACATACAATGGGATCTTCATTAGACTGAGCAGATTTCTCAGCAGAAAACTTGAAGGCTAAAAGTGGGATAATATATTCAAAGTTCTGAAAAAAGAAATCCAACCAAAAATATTTTGCCCAAAAACGCTTTCCTTCAGAAATGAAGAAAAGATAAAGGCTTTTCCACACAAACAGAAGCTGAAGAAGCCTATCACCACCAGGCCTGTTAAAGAGAGTTCTTTACCAAGAACTAAAGTCTCTTGATCATTTAACAAAAACTCATTTAATAAGAGTTCATTTAATAAGAAATGCTAAAGGGAGTTTTTCAAGCTGAAACTAAATGACACTAATTAGCAACATGAAAACATATGAAAATATAAAACTCATTGGTAAAGGTAAATATATAGTCAAATTCAGAATATTCTAGTCTGTAATGGTGGCATATAAATCACTTTTACTCTAGTATAAAGGTTAAAAATATAGAAGTATTGAGAATGACTATAGCAATACTAATTTGTTAATGGATATACAATATTAAAAATACATTAAGAAATTAAAACTTAAAATGTTGGGAGAAGGGAGAGTGAAAGGTACAGTTTTTAATACGTAATTGTGGAAGGTTGTTATCAGCTTAAAACAGACTGTTATAAATATTAGAGGTTTTATGTACACCCCATGGTAATCACAAAGCCAAAACCTATAGAAGATACACAAAAGATAAACAGAAAGGAATCAAAGCATACCACAAAAAAAAAAAAAAAAAAAAAAAAAAAGTGCCCCTCTGGGACGAAGCTCCAGAGGAAGGATCAGGCAGCAATATTTGCTGTTCTGAAGCCTCCGCTGGTGATACCCAGGAAAACAGGGTTTGGAGTGAACCTCCAGCAAACTCCAACAGACCTGCAGCTGAGGGAACTGACTGTTAGAAGGAAAACTAACAAACAGAAAGGAATAGCAACATCAACAAAAAGGACATCCACACCAAAACCCCATGGGTAGGTCACCAACATCAAAGACCAAAGGTAGATAAAACCACAAAGATGGGGAGAAACCAGAGCAGAAAAGCTGAAAATTCTAAAAACAAGAGAGCCTCTTCTCCTCCAAAGGATCACAGCTCCTCACCAGCAATGGAACAAAGCTGGATGGAGAATGACTTTGACGAGTTGACAGAAGTGGTCTTCAGAAGGTCGGTAATAACAAACTTCTCCGAGCTAAAGGAAGATGTTCAAACCCATCGCAAGGAAGCTAAAAACCTTGAAAAAAGATTAGACAAATGGCTAACTAGAATAAACAGTGTAGAGAAGATTTTAAATGACCTGATGGAGCTGAAAACCATGGCACAAGAACTATGTAAGACAAGCACAAGCTTCAGTAGCCAATTTGATCAAGTGGAAGAAAGGTTATCAGTGATTGAAAATCAAATTAATGAAATAAAGTGAGAAGAGAAGCTTAGAGAATAAAAGAGTAAAAGAAATGAACAAAGCCTCCAAGAAATACGGGACTATGTGAAAAGACCAAATCTGTGTCTGATTGGTGTACCTGAAAGTGACGAGGAAAATGGAACCAAGTTAGAAAACACTCTTCAGGATATTATCCAGGACAACTTCCTCAACCTAGCAAGGCAGGCCAACATTCAAATTCAGGAAATACAGAGAACACCACAAAGATACTCCTCGAGAAGAGCAACCCCAAGACACATAATTGTCCAATTCACCAAGGTTGAAATGAAGGAAAAAATGTTAAGGGCAGCCAGAGAGAAAGGTCGGGTTACCCACGAAGGGAAGTCCATCAGACTAACAGTGGATCTATCGGCAGAAACTCTACAAGCCCAAGAGAGTGGGGGCCAATATTCAACATTCTTAAAGAAAAGAAATTTCAACCCAGAATTTCATATCCAGTCAAAATAATCTTCATTAAGTGAAGGAGAAATAAAATCCTTTACAAACAAGCAAATGCTGAGAGATTCTGTCACCACCAGGCCTGCCTTACAAGAGCTCCTGAAGGAAGCACTAAACATGAAAAGAAACAACTGGTACCAGCCACTGCAAAAACATGCCAAATTGTAAAGACCATCGATGCTAGAAGGAAACTGCATCAACTAACAGGCAAAATAAGCAGCTAACATCATAATGACAGGATCAAATTCACACATAACAATATTAACCTTAAATGTAAATGTACTAACTGCCCCACTTAAAAGACACAGACTGGCAAATTGGATAAAGAGTCAAGATCCATCAGTGTGCTGTATTCAGGAGACCCATCTCACGTGCAGAGACACACGTAGACTCAAAATAAAAGGATGGAGGAAGATCTACCAAGCAAATGGAAAGCAAAAAAAAGCAGGGGTTGCAACCGTAGTCTCTGATAAAACAGACTTTAAACCAACAAAGACCAAAAGAGACAAAGAAGGCCATTACATAATGGTAAAGGGATCAATTCAACCAGAAGAGCTAACTATCCTAAATATATATGCACTCAATACAGAAGCACCAAGATTCATAAAGCAAGTCCTTAGAGACCTACAATGAGACTCAGACTCCCACACAATAATAATGGCAGACTTTAACACCCCACTGTCAATATTAGACCGATCAACGAGACAGAAGGCAAACAAGGATATCCAGGAATTGAACTCAGCTCTGCACCAAGCAGATATAATAGACATCTACAGAACTCTCCACCCCAAATCAACAGAATATACATTCTGCTCAGCACCACATCACACTTATTCCAAAATTGACCACATAGTTGGAAGTAAAGCACTCCTCAGCAAATGTAAAAGAACAGAAATCACAACAAACTGTGGTCTCTCAGACCACAGTGCAATCAAATTAGAACTCAGGATTAAGAAACTCACCCAAAACCACACAACTACATGGTAACTGAACAACCTGCTCCTGAATGACTACAGGGTAAATAACAAAATAAAGGCAGAAATAAAGATGTTCTTTGAAACCAACGAGAACAAAGACACAACATACCAGAATCTCTGGGACACTTTTAAAGTAGTGCGTAGAGGGAAATTTATAGCAATAAATGCCCACAAGAGAAAGCAGGAAAGATCTAAAATGGACACCCTAACATCACAATTAAAAGAACTAGAGAAGCAAGAGCAAACAAATTCAAAAGCTAACAGAAGGCAAGAAATAACTAAGATCAGAGGAGAACTGAAGGAGACAGAGACACAAAAATCCCTTCAAAAAATCAATGACTCTGGGAGTTGGTTTTTTGAAAAGATCAACAAAACTGATAGACTGCTAGCAAGACTAATAAAGAAGAAAAGAAGGAAGAATCAAATAAATGCAATAAAAAATGATAAAGGGGATATCACCACCAATCCCACAGAAATACAAACCAACATCAAAGAATACTATAAACACCTCTACGCAAATAAACTCAAAAATCTAGAAGAAATGGATAAATTCCTGGACGCATACACCCTCCCAAGACTAAACCAGGAAGAAGTTGAATCTCTGAATAGACCAATAACAGGCTCTGAAATTGAGGCGATAATTAATAGCCTACAAACCAAAAAAAGTCCAGGACCAGATGGATTCACAGCCGAATTCTATCAGAGGTACAAAGAGGAGCTGGTAACATTCCGTCTGAAACTATTCCAATCAATGGAAAAAGAGGGAATCCTCCTTAACTCATTTTATGAGGCCAGCCTCATCCTGATACCAAAGCCTGGCAAAGACACAACAAAAAAAGAGAATTTTAGACAAATATCCCTGATGAACATCAATGTGAATATCCTTAATAAAATACTGGCAAACTGAATCCAGCAGCACATCAAAAAGCTTATCCACCACGATCAAGTTGGCTTCATTCCTGGGATGCAAGGCTGGCTCAACATATGCAAATCAATAAACATAATACATCACATAAACAGAACCAATGACAAAAAACACATGATTATCTCAATAGATGCAGAAAACGCCTTCATCGAAATTCAACACTGCTTCATGCTAAAAATTCTCAATAAACTAGGTATTGATGGAATGTATCTCAAAATAATAAGAGCTATTTATGACAAACCTACAGCCAATCTCATACTGAATGGGCAAAAACTGGAAGCATTCTCTTTGAAAACTGGCACAAGACAGGGATGCCCTCTCTCACCACTGCTATTCAACATAGTGTTGGAAATTCTGGCCAGGGCAATCAGGCAAGAGAAAAAAATAAAGGGTATTCAATTAGGAAAAGAGGAAGTCAAATTGTCCCTGTTTGCAGATGACATGATTGTATATTTAGAAAACCCCATCATCTCAGCCCAAAATCTCCTTAAGCTGATAAGCAACTTCAGCAAAGTTTCAGGATACAAAATCAATGTGCAAAAATCACAAGCATTCCTATATGCCAATAAGAGTCAGAGAGCCAAATCATGAGTGAACTCCCATTCACAATTGCTCCAAAGAGAGTAAAATACCTAGGAATCCAACTTACACAGGATTTGAAGGACCTCTTCAAGGAGAACTACAAACCACTGCTTAATGAAATAAAAGAGGCCACAAACAAATGGAAGAATATTCCATGCTCACAGATAGGAAGAATTAATATCCTGAAAATGGCCATACTGCCCAAGGTAATTTATAGATTCAATGCCATCCCCATCAAGTTACCAATGACTTTCTTCAAAGACTTGGAAAAAACTACTTTAAATTTCATATGGAACTGAAAAAGAGCCTGCATTGCCAAGACAAGCCTAAGCAAAAAGAACAAAGCTGGAGGCATCACGCTACCTGACTTCAAAGTATGCTACAAGGCTACAGTAACCAAAACAGCATGGTACTGGTACCAAAACAAGGATATAGACCAATGGAACAGAACAGAGGACTCATATATAACACCACACATCTACAACCATCTGATCTTTGACAAACCTGACAAAAACAAGAAATGGGGAAAGGATTCCCTATTTAATAAATGGTGCTGGAAAACTGGCTAGCCATATGTAGAAAGCTGAAACTGGATCCGTTCCTTACAACTTATACAAAAATTAATTCAAGATGGATTAAAGACTTAAATGTTAGACCTAAAACCATAAAAACCCTAGAAGAAAACCTAGGCAATACCATTCAGGGCATAAGCACGGCAAGGACTTCATGACTAAATACCAAAAGCAATGGCAACAAAAACCAAAATAGACAAATGGGATCCAGTTAAACTAAAGAGCTTCTGCACAGCAAAAGAAACTACCATCAGAGCGAACAGGCAACCTACAGAATGGGAGAAAATTTTTGCAATCTACCCATCTGACAAAGGGCTAATATCCAGAATCTACAAAGAACTTAAACAAATTTACAAGAAAAAAAACAATGCTATCAAAAAGTGAGTGAAGGATATGAACAGACGCTTCTCAAAAGAAGACATTTATGCAGCCAACAGACACATGAAAAAATGCTCATCACTGGTCATCAGAGAAATGCAAATCAAAACCACAATGAGATACCATCTCACACCAGTTAGAATGGCGATCATTAAAAAGTCAGGAAACAACAGATGCTGGAAAGGATGTGGAGAAATAGGAATGCTTTTACACTGTTTGTGGGACTCTAAACTAGTTCACCCATTGTGGAAGACAGTGTGGCGATTCCTCAAGGATCTAGAACTAGAAATACCATTTGACCCAGCGATCCCATTAATGGGTATGTACTCAAAGGATTATAAATCATGCCACTATAAAAATACATGCACATGTATGTTTATTGCAGCACTATTCACAATAGCAAAGACTTGGAACCAACCCAAATGTCCAACAATGATAGACTGGATTATGAAAATGTGGCACATATACACCATGGAATACTATGCAGCCATAAAAAACAATGAGTTCATGTCCTTTGTAGGCACATGGATGCAGCTGGAAACCATCATTCTGAACAAACTATCACAAGGACAGAAAACCAAACACCACATGTTCTCACTCATAGGTTGGAATTGAACAATGAGAACACATGGACACAAGGAGGGGAACATCACACCCTGGGGCCTGTCATAGGGTGGGAGGCAGGGGGTGGGATAGCATTAGGAGAAATACCTAATGTAAGTGATGAGTTAATGGGTGCAGCAAACCAACATGGCACATGTATACCTATGTAACAAACTTGCATGTTGTGCACATGTACCCTAGAACTTCAAGTATAATAAAAAAAAAGACATGTGGTATTGCACATAGATAAATGAAACAGAATCGAGTCCATGAACTCTTATATTTACAGTCAATTTGTTTTCAACAAAATGCTAATGCAATTTCAAAGGGGAAAGAATATCTTCAACAAATGGTGATGAAACAATTGGATGTCTACGTGCCAAAAAAAAAGAACGTTACCTCAAACTATAGCAAAAATTAACTCAAAATTTATGACTTAAATGTAAGAGCTGAATATTAATAAATAAATCAGAGGAGGAATTTTTTAATCTTGGAATAAGCAGAGAGTTTTAGAAATAGCATCGAAAACACAACCCATAAAAGAAAAATTGATAAATGGGAGCTTGTCTAAATGATAGACATTTGTATTTTTAGCAACACAATTAAAATAAAAAGAGAAGCCACAGTATGAGAGAAAATATTCACAGATCTAATAGCTGATATAAGTCTTATACACAGAATATTTAAGGAACCCTTAGAACTCGATAAATAAGGCAAACATCTCAATTAAAAATAGGCAGAATATGTGAATAGACATTTAACTATACACCCTTTAGAATGGTTATAATGAAAAAGACAAGTCAATGGCAAATACAATATTACCCCCACAAATTGTCAATTTCACTTTTTTCCAGATTTAAGTTACCCATGGACAGCCAAGGACTGAAAATATTAAATGGAAAAATTATAGAAATAAACAATTTATAAGTTTTAAATTGTGTACCACTCTGAGTAGTGTGATGAAATCTTGCACCTTCCTTCTCCTACCTGGGACATGAATTATCCCCCTGTCTAACATAGCCATGTTTGTTGCTTGGTCGTGGCTCAGTGATCCTCTTTCTGTCCAGTGTTCAAAAGGTCAATGGTAGAGTAATGCTATGTTACAATGCCTATGTCATTCATCTCACTTCGTCTCATCACATAGACATCTTATCATCTCACATCAACACAAGAAGGGTGAGTACAATAAATAAGAAATTTTGAGAGAGGGACCACATTCACATAACTTTTATTACAATATATTGTTATAATGGTTCTATTTTGGTATTTGTTATTGCTGTTAATCTCTTACTTGCCTAATCTATATATTAAACTTTAACACAAGTATGTGTAAATAGGGAAAAGCATAGTATATATAGGATTCAGTACTATCTACAATTTCAGGCACTGACTCAGGGTCCTGGAATGCATCCCCTGCAGGTAAGGTGGGGGACTACTGTATTGGAGATGGGTACTTTAAAATTGTACAGCCGGTTGGAAGACATTTGGTGGTATCGTTAAAAGTTAAACATAAAGCAATCATACAACCAACCAAGCAATTCTGCTCCTAGGACTCTACCCAAGAAAAGTGAAGACTTAGGTCCACACAAAAACATTATGAATGTTCATAATGGCATTATTCCTAGTAGCCCCAAACGGAAAAAAGTACAAATATCTAATTAGTTAATGGATAAATAAAATGCATACAAATGGAATACTATTCAGCAACATAAAGGAATGAACGACCCATGCTTCTACACTTAAGCCTTGAAAGCATTATTTTACATGAAATAATTCAGATACACAAAAAACTAGATATTATATTCTTCCATTTACATAAAATGTCTAGATAAGAAAAATGTGTAGAGACAGAAATCATATCAGTACCCAGGGCTAGAAATGAAAGTGTGGATAAATTGCAAATGGGCACAAGGGAAATTTAGGGGTTTATGAAAAGTTCTAAAATTGGATTGGGGTGATGCTTGCACAACTAAATCTACTAAAAAAACTCTAATAAAAAATATTATTTTAGAGGTTCAGGATAAGGATTATAAATAAGATTTCTTTCTTTTATTATTTTAGCACTTCACCCTACTTTGGTTTAACATACTTGTTAATAAAGACATTAACTGTCTAATCAGTCCAGGATAGCAGTCATTGTATATCCTCTTCAAAAAAAATATGTTGTTGCAACAGGCAAGCAGTTCAAACACTGTGATTGTTCTGTGGGGACCAGCTGAGCACCTGCTCTACATGAATTCCTCTCACCTAATATTTTTATGCTGTTTTAGACAAAGTGTGAAGCAGCAGCGCTTCTCATGCTCCACCTTTATCATGATTAAGTGACTTCTGGTCCTGCTCTTTCCTTCTTTTTAAAAGTGCCAAGGCTCCTTATGAGTGTTAAATTGTGCTCGGCTCCAGGAGTTTCCAGTATGTCATGGTGCTCACTGAGCCAAGAGTTTTAATCACCTCCTCTTCATCACATTGGTGAAGAAGAGACTCTCACCCTAGGTTTATGATGATGGCCAAACACATGAATGCCTGAAACTGGACAGGTAAGGGCAACAACAGTTAGTCACATATACTTATAACCTAGGGGAGAAGGATATCATGTGTCACACAGAGCCCATGGATGTTGCAATTGGGAATATAGTGAACAACCAGTGGCTGTGGGAGGCAGGCTTTGTAGTATCAAGACAACAGGGTGTGCCCAGGCTCCCTGGGAGAGTGTGATTGGCTTGTTTGAATAATTCCATGGGCCAGCAGGAAACTGAAACCTGCTATTCAGGGATAAGTAGGAAGTCCACCTGGTCTGTTTGGTAAGGATGGTTGTTTGGATAAGGGACTTTATTCACGGCAGGAGAGTGGTGAGGGAACTTGCAGTTAGACTGGTTGAAGCCCTCCCTGTTTAATCAGATGTCCAGGCAGCAAACAATATTGAGCTTTAATTTTAGGTCTTGTATCACACTAAGTTAAACACATGGAAAATTTTACTTTCTATAAGTGATTGTATATCCAGAAAAGTGAATCAACAGTCCTGTTCAAATTCTCTATTTAGCTTCTCCATGCCTGCATTTGTAATCACGGTATCTGTGAATTATATAAGTTAGAGAAAACAAACCCACAAGATTAATTACCAAAAAGTCATCTATAAGATGTTTTACATGCTTGCAAAGAAGAGCAATAAACATCGTTTTATATATTATAGGCCCTAAAATATAGGGGAAAAGTAGGTATTTTATATGGGTCTTAAATGTCCCCACTGAGCATTTTGTGCATCTCTATGACCCTACAATACTGTATTGGTGGTTTAATTTCCCTGAGGATGGATGGAGCCATGTTTTATTTGTCATGGTGCCTCCAGCACCAAGCCTAATACCTGGCAAAATACTTCTAATGATGCCTAACAGTTAATGAGAATGCACCATGTTCCAGACAATGTCCTAAACAGTATGTACACATTGTCCCATTTAATTGTCACAACCACCTGTCAGGTAGGTACTATCATTATTTAAGCTTATTATATCGGGGCCAGGAAAATTTTTCTGTGAGGGGTCAGACAGCAAATATTTTAGGCTTTGTGTACCACAGATTGTGTGTTAAGACCACCCTACTCTACTCTTAGACTATAAAAGCAGCCAGATGATATGCAAATGAGTGGGCATGGCTGCATTCCAGGCAGTGGGATGGATTTGGTTCACAGGTCAAAATTTGCCAACCCTGCCTTAGATCATGCTACTAATGCTTGGTGTGTTCAGTAATTGGCTCAAGGTCACACAGCTCATAAGAGGCAGAGCAGGATTTTGTACCCCAAATCCTGATTTGTTTCACTTCAAAATTCCTTTTACTAATTACTATTCTGTACTGTACCAACCTACTGCATTAGTCAATAAGGCTCCATACATATGTGTTGAATAAATAAAAAAGTCTATTATATTCACTTTACTATAGAAAAAGTTGAATCTAATTTTATTAAGTCAGCACATAATCAGGACTTGTGATTCCTATCCTAAACCAAATTTAAAATATAATGAAAAGTTAATCAGTCTGGGATATTTTCACTAGGCCTCTGTCTACTTGTTTAATGGTAAAACAAGTCTATATCTAGTAAGAAAGAGCAGCTGTTAACAGAAGAGACGGCCTACAGGCTTTATTTTCCATTATTTGGATTCTTATCTGTAGTGGCATCACCGTAGTTCACTATCATTTTCTTCAGGTTCTGTCTACGGACGAGCACATTTGACTTTCCTGGGCTGTTCAACCCTAATCCTACTCACATTCTCTTAAACTGGAAATTCAAGTACTCCATAAACTAGGTCTTTTTCTCTCTTAAATTAGTTACAAAATGCTAACATCTTTTTCACACTTTGTTGAAAAACATGCTTCCCAGCTAATACACTATTTTCTAATTTTTGAGCAAAAATACATAGGATGAAGAATAAAAAATTGCTGACACATCTTTAACTGACTATGCCTGAAATAATGGCATTTCTAAGATGGTTCAACTATTATTTTTTATAAACAGGAGGAATGAATAGCTACAGCATTTTTACTTATAATTCAGAGCGCGCTGTTATTAAAAAAAAAAAGACATGGCATCCAGAAAATGTAATTAATTTGATGGTATAAGCCTTCATAAATTATCAAGTATTCCCAGTAGCAGCCATGAAAAACTTAGAGAGAACATGAGCTGCCTTTAAATTGCTAGTTTTCTCACAGCCAGAATTATTTTAAGGTGGTTGTGTTGCTGTTGGCATTAAAAGATGTTTGAATTATTATTACCATTAATGGCTGACTCCACCTTTAAATAAGGTGATAGAGATTTGGAGTCACACACAAGCCAGCATCAATGTCTCAAGGCTGTCATTCTTCTCGCTAATGAACTGCTGCTTACAGAAATTAATTATGGGGGAAAGGTTGCTGTTACCCCCACCAGGAATGAAGTCTCCAGATTCCAAATCAAGTGTTGTTGAGGAGGAAGTGCAGAGCTTCCCGTGGCTCTACCTCCCAAAGCTCTGCTCACGTTGTGCTCCTTCTGCCAGGCACAAACAACATGCTTGACTGCACAGTGGGAAAAAAATGACTTTGGGAAGGAGTTTATCATATTTACAATCAGTATACAAAGCTGTCCCAGAAAGACAGGACAATCCAGTGACTAGAACAATTTATTGGGACCCCCGAAGAGTAGGTTCCAGGCTAGGAGCTCTGGGAGACAATGAATCTACTTTTGAATTTCTACATGGTATTTGCAAAATAAATAATGTTATATCTGACCTCTCCAACCTTTCTAGAAATATGCCAATTTCAATTATTAATAATGTAATGTGTTGCATAATTCTATCTTCTGAAATAATAGAAGACATTGATAGTTTGCAAAGTATTTAGGTAAGATCTGAAGACCATCTATATTACGTTTGCTATTCAGTCATGGGAGAAAAGCAACTGCATTATTTTCTCCATTTGACGGTGGAATAGCTAGCCTTCACAGGAAGTTAATTGATGTGTCATCCTAGAGATATTAAGGCCTAAACTGTGTACCCACTTTTTGTCAATTTGTATGGAAGTTTTGAGTGTATCTATAAGTTCAAGTATTGGGTAGTCTTGAAGTCCTTTTAAATCCTGTAATTTTTTTTTCATTATATAACAAGACATATGTGAAAGGAATGAGGAGTTAGAAAATTAGGAACTTAAATTATGTGACTTAGGGCAAAATAATCAAAATCATAAGACCATTTCCAATATCATTAAAAATATTTTCTAAGTGGGGATGAGAGAAGACGATCTAAGAATAAATCAGCCCACATTAGAGAAGGAATTTCGAGCCTTCAGAGTTAAACTGGCCATTTTCCCAGCAGCACAAGTGCCTACAGCTGATTTGCAAGCAACTTTATAGAGACACTCTTGTCCTCTCACTAGCTGGAAATAAGAGGGAAAAGATAAATGGGCTCTGTGGATCACTTATTTGAGATAGGGTTGCTAGGGGTGAAGAGCACTAATCTGAAGTCATTGATTATTAATATGCTTCCTATTCACGGGCAACGTCAGGGTGATGAGGCTGTAAAACTGAAAATTCTAAAGAATGTTGTTATGAAAATGCTATAACCACCAGCTCTTGAACATTGGATGAAAGAATTTTCATTCTTCTCTTTACGTGTTTACTTATAATTACAGGATATGTCAAATTAAACAGTGACAACAATCACTCAAGCACACACATGCACGCACACATGCACACTGAAATGTACAAAGAATGAATGTGCCCAATTGTATAATTGTATTTTTTTCTGCAAAAAGAAGATAAAACGAGGTCAGACTCTGCTTTCAGAAATCCATCTCTACTGTTGGTCAACAAAAATTTTGTGACTATGCACAGGTGCACCTTCCTGTGTCTCAGGATCTGAAAATCTGATGGCACTGGGTACAGTCATGACTTGTAGAGATATCTGCAGTAAACACAACCATTTATGTCTATCTATCTATCCATCTATCTCTATTTATCACAATATGTGGACCCAGCCCTGTCTGACATGGGTCACTCTCCAGTCAACTATACCGGTCTGATAGTTTTGCAGAAGTTCACTCTTAGCAGTTACAATAAAAGATCTTCCAATTTGCCACAGAAAGCTAGAGAAATGGTGAAGAAAATTTCTTAGCTCACTTCATTTTATTTAAATAAAAGCCACATGTGAAGTTTTCAGTTCTTTTTAAAAAAAATGTCCATTTAGAATCCAATGTACAGATTGTGAGACAAAGTAACAACAAAAGCTGTTTGCTCATTTCTGCTTGCCAACACAACTTCACTAAGTCCCTCACTCTGCAATGACATGCAGCTCTCCAGAAAGATGCTTCAAAGACAAAACAGGAGAGAGCACATAGGCCCCACCACGTCTCTTGCCTGAGTCACTATACTCCTTAAAAGATAAATGACCTGGTTCTTGCCTTGTCCTGCACGTAAGATAACGTCAGATGGGGCTGGTGATTATGCCTCAGTAATTTATAACCAGATGTACTCTTACACCCAAACCTTGATGTGATTCTGCTTTAATGTAACTTCTGAGGAAGTTTGATGTGATTTAGCATGTACGGAACCCCCATCCCCCTCCCTCCTCCACTTGTACATGAGCTATGAACTCAAACACTGCTTTGGAGCAGTCTGAAATAACTCCTAAGCTATAGACCACAGTAAGACTTCCGAAAAAAACTAACTTTATTTCTTTAAAAGCTTGGCTTCTTACTTTAGTCAATAAGATCAAGGAAAAGTGACAAAATAACATCTAAAGAATAGAAAATGAAAGTACCCTTCTTGGGTATTATGAGAAATGTGAAAGTAAAAAGGCCATTTGTATCCTGTGTTGAAGGAAGGAAGTACCTGCTAAATTGTCCTAAATAAAGCCACATTGACCTTGACAGAAGCATCTATAACTACAAAAGTACTTCCGATAAAAAGCACTCCCAATAAAAGTATAAAAAATGAATTGATCAATTTCTGTTTTTTAAATTATACTTTAAGTTCTGGGATACACAGGCAGAATGTGCAGGTTTGTTACATAGGTATACACATGCCATGGTGGTTTGCTGCACCCATCAACCCAACATCTACATTAGGTATTTCTCCTAATGCTATCCCTCCCCTAGCCCCTCACTACCCGATGGGCCCCAATGTGTCATGTTCCCTTCTCTGTGTCCATGTGTTCTCATTATTCAACTCCCACTTATGAGTGAGAACATGCAGTCTTTGGTTCCTGTGTTAGTTTGCTGAGAATGATGGTTTCCAGCTTCATCCATGTCCCTGCAAAGGACATGAACTCATTCTCTTTTATGGCTGCGTAGCATTCCATGGTGTGTATGTGCCACATTTTCTTTATCTAGTCTATCATGGATGGGCATTTGGGTTGGTTCCAAGTCTTTGCTATTGTGAACAGTGCTGCAATAAACATATATTTACATGTGTCTTTATAGGAGAATGATTTATAATCCTTTGGGTATACACCTAGTAAGGGAATAGCTGGGTCAAATGGTATTTCTGGTTCTAGATCCTTGAGGAATCACCACACTGTCTTCCACAATGGTTGAGCTAATGTACACTCCCACCAACAGTGTAAAAGCGTTCCTATTTCTCCACATCCTCTCCAGCATCTGTTGTTTCCTGACTTTTTAATGATCGCCATTCTAACTGGCATGAGAAGGTATCTCATTCTGGTTTTGATTTGCATTTCTCTAATGACCAGTGATGACAAGCTTTTTTTCATATGTTCGTTGGCTACAGAAATGTCTTCTTTTGAGAAGTGTCTGTTCATATCCTTCACCCACTTTTTGATAGCATTGTTTTTTTTCTTGTAAATTTGTTTAAGGTCCTTGTAGATTCTGGATATTAGCCCTTTGTCAGACGAATAAACTGCAAAAGTTTTCTCCCATTCTGTAGGTTGCCTGTTCACTCTGATGATAGCTTCTTTTGCTGTGCAGAAGCTCTTTAATTAGATCCCATTTGTCGATTTTGGCTTTTGTTGCCTTTGCTTTTGGTGTTTTAGTCATGAAGTCTTTGCCCATGCCTATGTCCCGAATGGTATTGCCTAGGTTTTGTTCTAGGATTTTTATGGTTTAAGGTCTTATGTTTAAATCTTTAATCTATCTTGAATTAAATTTTGTATGAGGCATAAGGAAAGGGTCCAGTTTCAGTTTTCTGCCTTCCCAACAGCATTTATTAAATAAAGAACCCTTTCCCTATTGTTGTTTTTGTCAGGTTTGTCAAAGATCAGATGGTTGTAGATGTGTGATGCTATTTCTGAGTCCTCTGTTTGGTTCCATTGGTCTATATATCTGTTTTGGTATGAGTACCACACTGCTTTAGTTACTGTAGACTTGTAGTATAGTTTAAAGTCAGGTAACGTGATGCCTCCAGCTTTATTCTTTTTGCTTAGGATTGTCTTGGCAATGTAGGCTCTTTTTCAGTTCCATATGAAATTTAAAATACTTTTTTCTACTGTGAAGAAAGTCAATAGTAGCTCCATGGGAATAGCACTGAATCTATAAATTACTTTTGGCAGCATGGCATTTTCATGATATTGATTCTTCCTGTCCATGAGCATGGAATATTTTTCCATTTGTTTGTGTCCTCTCTTATTTCCTTGAGCAGTGGTTTGTAGTTCTCCTTGAAGATGTTCTTCCCATTCCTTGTAAGTTGTATTCCTAGGTATTTTATTCTCTTTGTAGCAATTGTGAATGGGAGTTCACACATGATTTGGTTGGCTGTTTGTCTATTATCGGTGTATAGGAAAGCTTATGATTTTTGCAGATTGATTTTGTATCCTGAGACTTTGCTGAAGTAGCTTATCCACTTGAGGAGATTTTGGGCTGAGATGATGGAGTTTTCTAACTATACAATCATGTCATCTGCAAACAGAGACAATTTGACTTCCTCTCTTACTATCTGAATACACTTTATTTCTTTCTCTTGCCTGATTACTCTGGTCAGAACTTCCAACACTAAGTTGAATAGGAGTGGTGAGAGAGGGCATCCTTGTCTTGTGCCCATTTTCAAAGGGAATGTTTCCAGTTTTTGCCCATTCAGTATGATATTGGCTGTGGGTTTGTCATAAATAGCTCTTATTATTTTGAGATACATTCCATCAATACCTAGTTTATTAAGAGTTTTTAGCATAAAGCGGTGTTGAATTTTATTGAATGCCTTTTCTGCATCTATTGAGATAATCATGTGGTTTTTGTCATTGGTTCTTTTTATGTGATGGATTACATTTATTGATTTGCATATGTTGAACCAGGCTTGCATCCCAGGGATGAAGCCGACTTGATCGTGGTGGATAAGCTTTTTGATGTGTTGCTGGATTCGGTTTGCCAGTATTTTATTGAGGACTTTTACATCGATATTCATCAGGGATATCAGTCTGAAATTCTCTTCTTTTGTTGTGTCTCTGCCATGTTTTGGTATCAGGATGATGCTGGCCTCATAAAATGAGTTAGGGAGGATTCCTTCCTTTTCTATTGATTGGAATAGTTTCAGAAGGAATGGTACCAGCTCCTCTTTGTACCTCTGGTAGAATTCAGCTTTGAATCATCTGGTCCTGGGCTTTTTTTTGGTTGGTAGGCTATTAATTACTGACTCAATTTCAGAACTTGTTATTGGTCTACTCAGGGATTCAACTTCTTCCTATTTTAGTCTTGGGAGGGTGTACGTGTCCAGGAATGTATCCCTTTCTTCTAGATTTTCTAGTTTATTTGCATAGAGGTATTTATAGTATTCTCTGATGGTAGTTTGTATTTCTGTGGGATCAGTGGTGATATCCCCTTTATTATTTTTCACATCCAGCCAAACTAAGCTTCATAAGTGAAGGAGAAATAAAATCCTTTACAGACAAGCAAATGCTGAGAGATTTTGCCACCACCAAGCCTGCCTTACAAGAGCTCCTGAAGGGGCCAGGCATGGTGGCTCATGCCTGTAATCCCAGCACTTTGGGAGGCTAAGGTGGGCAGATCACAAGGTCAGGAGATTGAGACCATCCTGGCTAACACAGTGAAACCCTGTCTCTACTAAAAATACAAAAAAATTAGCTGGGCATGGTGGTGTGCACCTGTAGTCCCAGCTACTCAGGAGGCTGAGGCAGGAGAATGGCATGAACCTGGGAGGCGGAGCTTTCAGTGAGCCGAGATCACACTACTGCACTCCAGCCTGGGTGACAGAGTAAGACTCTGTCTCAAAAAAAAAAAGAAAAAAAAAGTCTCCTGAAGGAAGCACTAAATATGGAAAGGAAAAACTGGCACTAGCCACTGCAAAAACAAACCGAATTGTAAAGACCATTGACATTATGAAGAAACTGCATCAAATAACGAGCAAAATAATCAGCTAGCACTATAATGACAGAATCAAATTCACACATAACAATATTAACCTTAAATGTAAATGGGCCAAATGACCCAATTAAAAGACACAGACTGGCAAATTGGATAAAGAGTCAAGACCCATCAGTGTGCTGTATTCAGGAGACCCATCTCACATGCAGAGACACACATAGGCTCAAAATAAAGGGATGGAGGAATATTTACCAAGCAAATGGAAAGCAAAAAAAAAGCAGGGGTTGCAATCCTAGTCTCTGATAAAACAGACTTTAAACCGACAAGATCAAAAAAGGCAAAGAAGGGCATTAGATAATGGTAAAGGAATTAATGCAACAAGAAGAGCTAACTATCCTAAAGATAAATGCACCCAATACAGGAGCACCCAGATTCATAAAGCAAGCTCTTAGAGACCTACAAAGAGACTTAGACTCCCACACAATAATAGTGGGAGATTTTAACCCCCACTGTTGATATTAGACAGATCAACAAGTCAGAAAATTAACAAGGATATCCAGGACTTGAACTCAGTTCTGGACCAAGCAAACCTAACAGACATCTATAGAACTCGCCACCCCAAATCAACAGAATATACATTCTTCTCAGCACCACATAGCACTTCTTCTAAAATCGACCACGTAATTGGAAGTAAAACACTCCTCAGCAAATGCAAAAGAATGGAAATCATAACAGTCTCTCAGACCACAGTGCAATCAAATTACAATTCAGGATTAAGAAACTCACTCAAACGCACACAGCTACATGGAAACTGAACAACCTGCTCCTGAATAACTACTGGGTTAATAATAAAATTAAGGCAGAAATAAATAAGTTCTTTGAAACCAATGAGAACAAAGCCACACCATACAAAAGTCTCTGGAACACAGCTAAAGCAGTGTTAGAGGGAAATTTGTAGCACTAAATTGCCCACTGGAGAAAGCAGTAAAGATCTAAAATCAACACCCTAACATCACAATTAAAAGAACTAGAGAAGCAAGAGCAAACAAATTCAAAAGCTAGCAGAAGACAAGAAATAACTAAGAGCTGAGCAAAACTGAAGGATGTAGAGACATGAAAAACCCTTCAAAAAAGCAATGAATCCAGGAGCTGGTTTTTTGAAAAGATTAACAAAATAGACCACTAGCCAGACTAATACAGAAGAAAAGAGAGAAGAATCAAATAGATTATTATTTTTTAAAATCATGCAGATAGTAAGACAGGTAAAGAGTTTTCCTGAATTTTTCAATTTAGCAAAATACAAAGGATTTGCGATTGTTTTCTATTATTCCATAGAGAATAGCTTCATTTTTCTAGTTCTTCAAAAGAAGTATTTTAACGATTGATGCAGATGGAAGAGGGAGTGAATTTATCAGGCATGGAGAGTATGACTACCAACCAAGAGTGTAGACCACATACAAGCCCCAGAATGGAGTCAAGCAATCTCAAGTCCAAGGTCCTCATTTAAAAGATGAGGACATGTATGTTCAGAGAAGCAAAAGCAATATTTCTCAGACTTTAAGGTTCACAGAAAGCATCCTGAAATCTTATTCAAATGATATCTTCAATCTTGTAGTTCTGGTTAGGACTAGGATTCTGTGCTTCCTACAAGCTTCCAGGTGCTACTGATACTGTGCTTCACGACCCACACTGGAGTAGTGTAGAAAAAGATGCTTTTCCATTTTAGGTAATGGAACAAAAGAGACTTGGCTATACCCTGCTTACCTCTGATTAATTTTTTTAAGTTATACAGCTACTGCCTATATTTGGCAACTGAATTATTTATCCTAGTTATTCAGTAGTATGCTGGCTTTATTCCCATCAGCGAGAAGTAATATACACTTATTTGGTAACTGGATTCTGCAACAGGCTTTCTGAGTTCAATCCCAGTTTTTCCACTTACCATCTATGTGACCTTTATGAATTTTCTACCTTCTCTTTGTCTCAATTTCTTCTGTAAAATAATATTCTTAAGCTAGCCCTCAAAAAATGGTAGACTTATCAAAGAAGAGTGGAGTCTGACTGATTTTGATGGATCATCTCGCTTTATAGATATGAAACTTGAGACCTAGAAGAAAAGTGGGACAGAATCAGAATTAGCATTATTTATGACTGCTTGTGACAGTAGAAGAGAGAAAAGTTCAAGACACAACTTGTTCTGGAGTGGGAGGGAAAATTGCATGTGCTGAACACTGCTTTGGCCTCACATATCAAATAAATAGTATAATCTTCAGTTTTCTTAGCGGTCTTGTGGGGTTGTCTTGTCACCACCATGTTATATGGGAGGAAACCAAGGCACACATGTTAAGTGACTGGCCAGTGGTAGCTTAGCCACAAACACGGCAGTTCCAAGATTGGGACTGGCTTGGCTGACTCCAAAACTTGTGTGAGTCTACTAGGTGTGAGCCTTCTGATGTGGGAAACAGGGGTCTGTGTGAAACTAAGTAGGGCAAGGTTACCAGCACCTTGCAGGGTCATCCTCCTAATCCTTTAACAGGTGATCACACATTGGTGATTGCTCAGCCAACACATCCAAAGTCATAGCAATTATCTTGCTTACCAAGAAACAAGTCATTTTCCTCTGCCTGGATGAATCTTTTTTTCCGTTCTAGGCATCAGAGAAGGAAGAAAAGGGAAGTTTTGGTGTTTCTTTCTGCCCCCAAGCACCTCCAAAATTCTCTCTCTCTCTTTCCCCCTCTTTCTGTCCTCTCATACCTCTACTTTTCCATCTGCCTCTCAAAGGAATGTCACCATCATGTCCCCACATCCCCATATCAGTCTCCATTCTTGCCTAAACCAACATGGTTACAGAATTTAACCTTTCTCAGGATCACCATAAACAATAGAACCTCTCAAAAGTATTGGTGTGCAATTTACAATTTACCCATGACTTCACAGGGGCGATAAGGATTTATATTGGAAACACTTCAGCAAACTGCTTGAAATCATTCTTCTACAGGTTCCTTTTCTCCCACCTTGCAGAGATCCTTGGACCCCATTTCTTACCCCCATGGTAGCGCTCACATTTGCTGGTTTCTTTCTTTCCCCCACTGGCCTCCTCAACCTCTGCCACCTTCCTTAAACAACATCATTTAGGAGAATGCCAGTGGCTCTCTCTCAGACTTACATGTTCACTCCTACCCTGGAGTAAACTACAGCCATTCAATTACAAGGACCTGCCTTTCCTAGAAAGCAGTGAAGTGCCTGTACAAGAAGTTTTCTGGCCCGTCACAAAGTTGATAGGTAGCACCACTAGAATGGCAGGTGGAAACCATATGCAGCAAGAAGCCAGTCTTCCTGCCACCCCACAGCCTTTGCAGTCTGGTGGGAAAGAGCCATTCACTCAATGACTTCACAGTGCTGCAGGCATGGTAAAATGAAGGCCAAGCATCATCTGAAGGGAGAGCCTGTGTCAGGAAAGGCTTCCACAGGGAGGAACTACAGGCAGAAAACTAAAGGATGAGGCAGAATCATCTAGATGAAGATGAAGGAAGGAGGACTACAGAAAGTCCAAAATGTTCTCATTTCTTGATTCTCCATAGGAGGACACCCTTCTTTCCTATAACCCTTGCTCACCAGCTTGCAGGTGATATGTCCTAAGTGGTTTCAAAGCTCATTATAAGCCTTCAAAAGGCAGTTCAGCAAAATATTGATGACTCATCTTAATCCAGGAGGCGGTACCCTGGTATCTCTCTAAACATTATTATACGTCATCTTTAACCTAGAAAAATATTAGTATATATGCATGACTGCGTATGTCTAATAGTTTATTCTTGGAGGTTATGGGGAGCAATAACTATAAATGTCATCTGTTGTAAAACTATATGGAGCTATGCATGTATTTTGGTGATATGTATAATTTGCATAAATATATTTTTTAAAAGATTATTGTTCACAACAATTTTCCAACAATGCTCTATAAATGATTATAATTCTAAGTACTGATGGCATCAACAAATCTATCAGAAGTTTTACTTAAAGTTCCCTCTCCATGACTTCTGTCAGCCCTACATTCAATCAAAATTTTTAGAGGCCTGAACATTTGAGATTCTTCAAAATAATTTTCCAGGGTCACATCACTTTTGAATTCCAGTCTCTGCCCTTTTAGTCTTGATATTTGTTTCTTTACTAGGAAATAATGAGGAAGACCAATGACTTCTATTTCACTCAAGGACAAAGTCAAATTCTTATAAGGATTTGCCAGGTTGTGCTGTGATTCTCTGCTACCCCTCCAGATCCCTTGGACACTTTCTTGCCCTCTGCTTTGTGCCCATCTAGTATGAAAGCTTCATGAGGGCATGAGTTTTTGTCAGTTTTGGTCATTTTGGTATCCCCAGGTAGTACAAAAATGCCCGTAGATCATTACATGAAGAAAAGTTTTTTTAAAAACAACAGAGAATAGTAATTATCATACCTTGAGTCATTAGTGAATCTCAATCCATTGGCCCTTCTCCTCACCTCTTATAGTATCCTGAGACGTTATTAAATAAAAATAGCCTCAAGATTTTATTCATTTTTATATAAATATATATGCAAATAGACACACCTGTCTTGTATCATTATAACTTTATATTGCACTTATCTTCTTTCCTTTTACTGAATAGTAAACTCTTTGAGAGTAAGTGGCTATGTCTGTTCAATTCTGATTTTTCATATGACCTAGAACAGTGCCTGGAACATTACAGACAATGGATGTTTGTTGAATATGTGTGAAAGAACCAAAGTGAGAAAGCCTGAGACAGAGTTAACCTAAAATATAAACTGGGTTCACATTTTCCTGTTAGATAAGACAATCAATATCCTTCCTAAAACTGTAGTGTTGCAGGTCACTCTATGTACCTGGATCACTGCAGGGCTAGTAAAGATTTTCATTCTGATGGCTCAATAGTTGTCACTTCTATTCCCAGGTGGGAGGAGAGCAAGATGGCAGAAGTGACCGGGCTCTCTCTCCATTGATTACACTCTCCAGCAGCATGGCTGTTTTCCCCAGGATGGCAGGTGGCACAAGCGTTTTGCTACTCAGCAGGAGGTGTTGGCTTGATGCTCAGGACCTCTGTGACACCAGCGGGTGCAGCAGAAGGGGAGCTGACTTCCTGATGCAGATTTAACTGATTAAACTGTGAGTCCCCACAGCACCAGTGCCAGAGAGTCCCCTGGGACTGACTGCAGCCAAATTTCTCATTTATAGGTTTCCCTGTTTGTGATGCCTGACATTTTTTTTTTTTTTTAATGAATCAGACTTCTTTTAATAGTTCTATTATGTTATCAAATCGTGAGTATAAGACCCTATGACTTCATCACAAGGTTTAGCATGCTGGCTGAAAATGTTAACTAAACTTGCATTTTTTTTTTTTTTTTAAATTTTTTTTTTTTTATTATACTCTAAGTTTTAGGGTACATGTGCACATTGTGCAGGTTAGTTACATATGTATACATGTGCCATGCTGGTGCGCTGCACCCACTAACGTGTCATCTAGCATTAGGTATATCTCCCATGCTATCCCTCCCCCCTCCCCCCACCCCACAACAGTCCCCAGAGTGTGATATTCCCCTTCCTGTGTCCAAGTGATCTCATTGTTCAATTCCCACCTATGAGTGAGAATATGCGGTGTTTGGTTTTTTGTTCTTGTGATAGTTTACTGAGAATGATGGTTTCCAATTTCATCCATGTCCCTACAAAGGACATGAACTCATCATTTTTTATGGCTGCATAGTATTCCATGGTGTATATGTGCCACATTTTCTTAATCCAGTCTATCATTGTTGGACATTTGGGTTGGTTCCAAGTCCTTGCTATTGTGAATAGTGCCGCAATAAACATACATGTGCATGTGTCTTTATAGCAGCATGATTTATAGTCCTTTGGGTATATACCCAGTAATGGGATGGCTGGGTCAAATGGTATTTCTAGTTCTAGATCCCTGAGGAATCGCCACACTGACTTCCACAATGGTTGAACTAGTTTACAGTCCCACCAACAGTGTAAAAGTGTTCCTATTTCTCCACATCCTCTCCAGCACCTGTTGTTTCCTGACTTTTTAATGATTGCCATTCTAACTGGTGTGAGATGGTATCTCATTGTGGTTTTGATTTGCATTTCTCTGATGGCCAGTGATGGTGAGCATTTTTTCATGTGTTTTTTGGCTGCATAAATGTCTTCTTTTGAGAAGTGTCTGTTCATGTCCTTCGCCCACTTTTTGATGGGGTTGTTTGTTTTTTTCTTGTAAATTTGTTTGAGTTCATTGTAGATTCTGGATATTAGCCCTTTGTCAGATGAGTAGGTTGCGAAAATTTTCTCCCATGTTGTAGGTTGCCTGTTCTCTCTGATGGTAGTTTCTTTTGCTGTGCAGGAGCTCTTTAGTTTAATTAGATCCCATTTGTCAATTTTGGCTTTTGTTGCCATTGCTTTTGGTGTTTTAGACATGAAGTCCTTGCCCACGCCTATGTCCTGAATGGTAATGCCTAGGTTTTCTTCTAGGGTTTTTATGGTTTTAGGTCTAACGTTTAAATCTTTAATCCATCTTGAATTAATTTTTGTATAAGGTGTAAGGAAGGGATCCAGTTTCAGCTTTCTACATATGGCCAGCCAGTTTTCCCAGCACCATTTATTAAATAGGGAATCCTTTCCCCATTGCTTGTTTTTCTCAGGTTTGTCAAAGCTCAGATAGTTGTAGATATGTGGCATTATTTCTGAGGGCTCTGTTCTGTTCCATTGCTCTATATCTCTGTTTTGGTACCAGTACCATGCTGTTTTGGTTACTGTAGCCTTGTAGTATAGTTTGAAGTCAGGTAGTGTGATGCCTCCAGCTTTGTTCTTTTGGCTTAGGATTGACTTGGCGATGCGGGCTCTTTTTTGGTTCCATATGAACTTTAAAGTAGTTTTTTCCAATTCTGTGAAGAAAGTCATTGGTAGCTTGATGGGGATGGCATTGAATCTGTAAATTACCTTGGGCAGTATGGCCATTTTCACGATATTGATTCTTCCTACCCATGAGCATGGAATGTTCTTCCATTTGTTTGTGTCCTCTTTTATTTCCTTGAGCAGTGGTTTGTAGTTCTCCTTGAAGAGGTCCTTCACATCCCTTGTAAGTTGGATTCCTAGGTATTTTATTCTCTTTGAAGCAATTGTGAATGGGAGTTCACTCATGATTTGGCTCTCTGTTTGTCTGTTGTTGGTGTATAAGAATGCTTGTGATTTTTGTACATTGATTTTGTATCCTGAGACTTTGCTGAAGTTGCTTATCAGCTTAAGGAGATTTTGGGCTGAGACGATGGGGTTTTCTAGATAAACAATCATGTCGTCTGCAAACAGGGACAATTTGACTTCCTCTTTTTCTAATTGAATACCCTTTATTTCCTTCTCCTGCCTGATTGCCCTGGCCAGAACTTCCAACACTATGTTGAATAGGAGCGGTGAGAGAGGGCATCCCTGTCTTGTGCCAATTTTCAAAGGGAATGTTTCCGGTTTTTGCCCATTCAGAATGATATTGGCTGTGGGTTTGTCATAGATAGCTCTTATTATTTTGAAATACATCCCATCAATACCTAATTTATTGAGAGTTTTTAGCATGAAGGGTTGTTGAATTTTGTCAAAGGCTTTTTCTGCATCTATTGAGATAATCATGTGGTTTTTGTCTTTGGCTCTGTTTATATGCTGGATTACATTTATTGATTTGCGTATATTGAACCAGCCTTGCATCCCAGGGATGAAGCCCACTTGATCATGGTGGATAAGCTTTTTGATGTGCTGCTGGATTCGGTTTGCCAGTATTTTATTGAGGATTTTTGCATCAATGTTCATCAAGGATATTGTTCTAAAATTCTCTTTTTTGGTTGTGTCTCTGCCCGGCTTTGGTATCAGAATGATGCTGGCCTCATAAAATGAGTTAGGGAGGATTCCCTCTTTTTCTATTGATTGGAATAGTTTCAGAAGGAATGGTACCAGTTCCTCCATGTACCTCTGGTAGAATTCGGCTGTGAATCCATCTGGTCCTGGACTCTTTTTGGTTGGTAAACTATTGATTATTGCCACAATTTCAGAGCCTGTTATTGGTCTATTCAGAGATTCAACTTCTTCCTGGTTTAGTCTTGGGAGAGTGTATGTGTCGAGGAATGTATCCATCTCTTCTAGATTTTCTAGTTTATTTGCGTAGAGGTGTTTGTAGTATTCTCTGATGGTAGTTTGTATTTCTGTGGGATCGGTGGTGATATCCCCTTTATCATTTTTTATTGTGTCTATTTGATTCTTCTCTCTTTTTTTCTTTATTAGTCTTGCTAGCGGTCTATCAATTTTGTTGATCCTTTCAAAAAACCAGCTCCTGGATTCATTGATTTTTTGAAGGGTTTTTTGTGTCTCTATTTCCTTCAGTTCTGCTCTGATTTTAGTTATTTCTTGCCTTCTGCTAGCTTTTGAATGTGTTTGCTCTTGCTTTTCTAGTTCTTTTAATTGTGATGTTAGGGTGTCAATTTTGGATCTTTCCTGCTTTCTCTTGTGGGCATTTAGTGCTATAAATTTCCCTCTACACACTGCTTTGAATGCGTCCCAGAGATTCTGGTATGTGGTGTCTTTGTTCTCGTTGGTTTCAAAGAACATCTTTATTTCTGCCTTCATTTCGTTATGTACCCAGTAGTCATTCAGGAGCAGGTTGTTCAGTTTCCATGTAGTTGAGCGGCTTTGAGTGAGATTCTTAATCCTGAGTTCTAGTTTGATTGCACTGTGGTCTGAGAGATAGTTTGTTATAATTTCTGTTCTTTTACATTTGCTGAGGAGAGCTTTACTTCCAACTATGTGGTCAATTTTGGAATAGGTGTGGTGTGGTGCTGAAAAAAATGTATATTCTGTTGATTTGGGGTGGAGAGTTCTGTAGATGTCTATTAGGTCTGCTTGGTGCAGAGCTGAGTTCAATTCCTGGGTATCCTTGTTGACTTTCTGTCTCGTTGATCTGTCTAATGTTGACAGTGGGGTGTTAAAGTCTCCCATTATTAATGTGTGGGAGTCTAAGTCTCTTTGTAGGTCACTCAGGACTTGCTTTATGAATCTGGGTGCTCCTGTATTGGGTGCATAAATATTTAGGATAGTTAGCTCCTCTCGTTGAATTGATCCCTTTACCATTATGTAATGGCCTTCTTTGTCTCTTTTGATCTTTGTTGGTTTAAAGTCTGTTTTATCAGAGACTAGGATTGCAACCCCTGCCTTTTTTTGTTTTCCATTGGCTTGGTAGATCTTCCTCCATCCTTTTATTTTGAGCCTATGTGTGTCTCTGCACGCGAGATGGGTTTCCTGAATACAGCACACTGATGGGTCTTGACTCTTTATCCAACTTGCCAGTCTGTGTCTTTTAATTGCAGAATTTAGTCCATTTACATTTAAAGTTAATATTGTTATGTGTGAATTTGATCCTGTCATTATGATGTTAGCTGGTGATTTTGCTCATTAGTTGATGCAGTTTCTTCCTAGTCTTGATGGTCTTTACATTTTGGCATGATTTTGCAGCGGCTGGTACCGATTGTTCCTTTCCATGTTTAGCGCTTCCTTCAGGAGCTCTTTTAGGGCAGGCCTGGTGGTGACAAAATCTCTCAGCATTTGCTTGTCTATAAAGTATTTTATTTGTCCTTCACTTATGAAGCTTAGTTTGGCTGGATATGAAATTCTGGGTTGAAAATTCTTTTCTTTAAGAATGTTGAATATTGGCCCCCACTCTCTTCTGGCTTGTAGGGTTTCTGCCGAGAGATCCGCTGTTAGTCTGATGGGCTTTCCTTTGAGGGTAACCCGACCTTTCTCTCTGGCTGCCCTTAACATTTTTTCCTTCATTTCAACTTTGGTGAATCTGACAATTATGTGTCTTGGAGTTGCTCTTCTTGAGGAGTATCTTTGTGGCGTTCTCTGTATTTCCTGAATCTGAACGTTGGCCTGCCTTGCTAGATTGGGGAAGTTCTCCTGGATAATATCCTGCAGAGTGTTTTCCAACTTGGTTCCATTCTCCACATCACTTTCAGGTACACCAATCAGACGTAGATTTGGTCTTTTCACATAGTCCCATATTTCTTGGAGGCTTTGCTCATTTCTTTTTATTCTTTTTTCTCTAAACTTCCCTTCTCGCTTCATTTCATTCATTTCATCTTCCATTGCTGATACCCTTTCTTCCAGTTGATCGCATCGGCTCCTGAGGCTTCTGCATTCTTCACGTAGTTCTCGAGCCTTGGTTTTCAGCTCCATCAGCTCCTTTAAGCACTTCTCTGTATTGGTTATTCTAGTTATACATTCTTCTAAATTTTTTTCAAAGTTTTCAACTTCTTTGCCTTTGGTTTGAATGTCCTCCCGTAGCTCAGAGTAATTTGATCGTCTGAAGCCTTCTTCTCTCAGCTCGTCAAAATCATTCTCCATCCAGCTTTGTTCTGTTGCTGGTGAGGAACTGCGTTCCTTTGGAGGAGGAGAGGCGCTCTGTGTTTTAGAGTTTCCAGTTTTTCTGTTCTGTTTTTTCCCCATCTTTGTGGTTTTATCTACTTTTGGTCTTTGATGATGGTGATGTACAGATGGGTTTTCGGTGTAGATGTCCTTTCTGGTTGTTAGTTTTCCTTCTAACAGACAGGACCCTCAGCTGCAGGTCTGTTGGAATACCCTGCCGTGTGAGGTGTCAGTGTGCCCCTGCTGGGGGGTGCCTCCCAGTTAGGCTGCTCGGGGGTCAGGGGTCAGGGACCCACTTGAGGAGGCAGTCTGCCCGTTCTCAGATCTCCAGCTGCGTGCTGGGAGAACCACTGCTCTCTTCAAAGCTGTCAGACAGGGACATTTAAGTCTGCAGAGGTTACTGCTGTCTTTTTGTTTGTCTGTGCCCTGCCCCCAGAGGTGGAGCCTACAGAGGCAGGCAGGCCTCCTTGAGCTGTGGTGGGCTCCACCCAGTTCGAGCTTCCTGGCTGCTTTGTTTACCTAAGCAAGCCTGGGCAATGGCGGGCGCCCCTCCCCCAGCCTCGTTGCCGCCTTGCAGTTTGATCTCAGACTGCTGTGCTAGCAATCAGCGAGATTCCGTGGGCGTAGGACCCTCTGAGCCAGGTGTGGGATATAGTCTCGTGGTGCGCCGTTTCTTAAGCCGGTCTGAAAAGCGCAATATTCGGGTGGGAGTGACCCGATTTTCCAGGTGCGTCGGTCACCCCTTTCTTTGACTCGGAAAGGGAACTCCCTGACCCCTTGCGCTTCCCAGGTGAGGCAATGCCTCGCCCTGCTTCGGCTGGCACACGGTGCGCACACACACTGGCCTGCGCCCACTGTCTGGCACTCCCTAGTGAGATGAACCCGGTACCTCAGATGGAAATGCAGAAATCACCCGTCTTCTGCGTCGCTCACGCTGGGAGCTGTAGACGGGAGCTGTTGCTATTCGGCCATCTTCGATGCCTGACATTTTTAAGGCTAGGCTGGCAAACAATCCATGAAGACCGCCTCCAGAGAAGAGACTCATATTACGTAACTATAATAGCTTGGGTTTATGGAGAATATTTCTTAGCACTTAACAAGTTAACTCACTTTATCCTCTTCGTGGTCCATGTCTGTGAAACACACAGCAATTCCTGCCTGTTTTCCAGTAGGTGGAGACCAAATGTGCTTTTTATTTATTTATTTATTTCATTATTATTATTTTTGATGGAGTCTCGCTCTGTCGCCCAGTGCAATGGTGTGATCTTGGCTCACTGCAACCTCCGTTTCCTGGGCTTAAGTGATTCTCCTGCCTCAGCCTTCCAAGTACCTGAGACCACAGGCATGCAAGACCACACCTGGCTAATTTTTATATTTTTAGTAGAGATGGGGTTTTGCCATGTTGGCCAGGCTCATCTCGAACTCCTGACCACAGATTATCTGCCCACCTTGGCCTCCCAAAGTGCTGGGATTACAGTTGTGATCCACCATGCCTGGCTCCAAATACATTTTTGCCTAAATAAAAAGTAAAACCTAGGTGTTCTGATTTCCAGTTGAAGATGGTTTCCGTCTAAGGGTTGGAGATAAAATAAAAATTTTTTGAAAGCCAGTGAAAGCGTTTTCTGGAAAGAAGCCAATATAAATCAAAATGTGAAAAGTCAGGTACCATTGCCTCCTCTCTTTACATTTAAAATCTAAACTTCCTGTAGCTGGCGTGGCTCTTTAATGAATTCTCCTTCTTGCTTAGTAAACAATTTTGTGTGTGTGTTTTTAAAAATGTGTATATGCCAGGTTGTATAGTTTAAAGTTGGTTCTAAAACTGTTGAATTTCCTCAAAGAAGGAGGAATTATTATTGGCCATAACTATTGTGTGTTTTTTTTTTCCTTAATTCTAAGGGTCAGAGAAAATTCAGATGACTAAAACCATTCATTTACAGTGTCTTATAATTTTTATTATAGTTTTTTTTATTTTTAAAAAGTTTCTTATGGTACAAAGACATGGAGAGGGAGAATATTTGTAATATAAAAGAAAATTGAACAATGAGTCACACCTTAAAACAAAACAGTGAATAATGGTGGTTTCTTCTTGCATTTTTATGTTTCTTGATTTTATGTAGTTAACGTTCCATGAATGATAGATTTTAAAAATAGTCAAAATTATTCTAATTTTTTTTCTTACTTTCAACATAGATTGAGGGGTTGATTTTCAGTTTCTATCCACTGCAGAGTACAGAAATAAGTAGAAGTGAAGCCAGGATGAAATTGAAAATCCCACTAATATATAGAATCAGCTGCCCAGCGAATGCTCCTTCTTTCAGTACCAGTTTTGCCACCTTCCAGTTTAATTATGTCTCCACATCATAAGGAAGTGTTTGTTCTTTACATAGGTAGTAAGCATAACTGCCAGATATTCATTAGAAATTTTCAAACAAAAGGAGATCCATAGCCCAAACTACGTAAGCATCAATCTTATCTCATTATATGAAAGAAAAGGTTTTTTCTCCTTTATTACTAAGAAAAAAAGTCTCTTGAACACTTTGGAGAATTTATTGTTTGAAAACTTATAGGTAACCTATTTTAACCTTCCAAATAGCCAATACTCCTTTGCTTAGTGTAGGCTTCTCTCCATGGTACTGAGAAAGCAGACTCAATGGTGAGTATTTCCAACATCTTCAACTGCCACTGATTTTTCACAGTCTCCTCAATGCTCTTGTCATTCCAGCACCTCCATCACCTATGCAACTGCAGGCATATTCTTTATTTAACACTTTTTAAAAGCAATATCACTTCTAGTTGTCATCAAGTTTGTATATGTCATAAAAAGTGAGAGGCAATATTAGCATTTTCCTTCAAAAGAAACAAAAGCAGAAAAAAAGGGAAGGATACTGTGTGAGGTCTTATTTGTTTCACAGAGCAACTTGAAGTTACCAAGTCAGAATTTTCCTTAGAAGCATAGCCTCTCCGTATATGAGTCAATTTCCTTCTGGGCACACAGTCACAAAGAACCAGAAGGTCACAACCTTCTTACAGGAGGTTTCTAGAATCTCTAAGGAGTGTTAAAAACAACCGTGGAAAAAACATTTACTTAAGAGTTTTCTATTAACTTGGGCATTTGTAAATTTGTTATGGAGAGCGAAGCGTAGTAACAATGTGTGCTGAGCATACTGGAAAAGGGAATTTCACAGAACTTCTATCAAACAATTACAGAGAGCATTGACTGCCCAAGAGCTTTTAAGCAGTGGTGACATCCTCTGCAGCAGTGAATTAAGCCCCAAGAAAAGTGTTAGTGTTATTTTAAAAATAATCATCAAAAATAACAAAAATATTTATTCCTGGTGACTCATACAAAGCAACAAGAAGAAAAATCACAATTCCAATTTAGACTTCCTAGGAGGCCTCAGGCAATCCTTCATAAATTTCTAAAGATCAATATTTAAGCAGCAGCATGAAAACAAATCTCTACAAATATAGAGATTTTTCTTTTCTTTCCTATTTGTGAAATTGGTACAGGACTCCATAGAACAAAGTAGGAAATAAAATGAAAAATCATTTCCCAACATGAAGAGAAAATAAGGCAATGGGTAGGGGTGGAGGGAGGAAAGATATTTTTATAGATCAAACCAGTAAGCATTACTGAGATCTAAGAGCCAATTACTGTCAGTGCTATTTTCTAAGGGATTTAAAAATACATCTCCTCCTAATATGCCCTAGTACCAACTCTTGAGATGAGAGATTTGAGGCAGACACAGGTGCTATAAGCAGGAGGCCCAGAAACGAATAGAAGGAGCTCACTGGCCATGCCAAAGAGGTGAGTCTATGCCAGGAACATTCTGGATAGAGCCCCTCCCACTCCAGTGCTTAGCAAAGCAAATTAGAATAAGAATCCACAGAATAGGAGAAATTCTCTGCCTCAAATGAAAAACTAAACCAGAGAGGAGATGTCTTCTTTTACCTTTTGGGTCTTTTAAAATTTTTTGAGACAGGGTCTTGCTCTCTTGCCCAGGCTGGAGAAAAATGGCAGGGCTATACTCACTGCAGCCTTGACTTCCTGGGCTAAAGTGACCCTCCTGGCTCAATCTCCTGAGTAGCTGGGACCACAAGTGTGCTCCACCATGCCCAGCTAATTTTTTTATTTCATTTTTTTAGAGATGGAGTCTTGCTATGCTGCCCAGGCTGGCCTCAAATTCCTGGGCTCAAGCGATCCTCCCACCTTGGCCTTACAAAATGCTGGGATTACCAGCATGAGCCACTGGGCCCAGCTGATTTTTTCTTCTCAGTATGCTGTATTGACTCCTTCCTCTGCCCACTGCCGTGCTGAGCTCCCCCATGCCCAGCAGCATGCCAGAATCTCCCAGTGGGGACAGCATGTGTTATAGGGGGAAAAAAAGTCCCCTCAGTTGATTCTCATTCCTGTTCTCTCAGCCCACTCCTTTAAGAACTGTCCACTCAAATGTAGCAGTAAGCCCAGTATTCTAGTCTGTGCCTAGCCCTCTTTCCTTCCATGTACCACACCCTAACTGGATAATTCCATCCATTTCTGTGGTGGGGCATGTTAATGATTCTCTTATGATTATCTCTGACTCTGATGTGGACCTTTAACTTCAAATCAGACATTGCCTCTTTGAGAGACTCATGGGTCCATCAAACTCAGCATGTTCAAAAGGGAAATTAAGATGCTCTGCTGGAAGGGGTAGAAGCCTACTCCAGGTTATTTAAGTAAAAAGTGATTTACTAAAAGGATACAACAAAAAAATGGACAGGCAAGGACAAACATGACATCTACTCAGTCTTCCTTGCCACATTTGTTTAATCTCGGGCCACTTCCCTCATGGGAAGTCACAACATGGTGGCTGCAATTCCAGACATCCAGAGAAAGAAAGGAGATTCATTTAGTTCTTTTCAAAAGTGGGGGCAACTTCTGAAGAAGATCCAGATCAGACTTGACTTTACTACGCATTTGACCAAACCTATTTCCCTGTCCATTTCCAAGCCATGTACTTGCCAATACTTAGCTGTGATTAGAAGACAGTAAAGGAATTAGAGTGTCTACTGTGTATATAACCAACCGAGTACCTCTGTGAAAGCCAGGAACCAAATTTAGTCCCCGTTCTGAGGGACTGCCCTCCAGTTATCAACTGTATCCTCCCTATTCTTATTTTCTATTACCCGTTTCCTCCTTAACTATACATGAGTCATTCTCTTGCTCACACACATCAAACGAATTTCCATCTCAGAGCCTTCAAACACCTTTGCTCTTTAATTCACATCTCTGCCTATATCACCTCCTCAAATTTGTAACCACCCAATCTAAAAGCAGCACCCTACCATTTTCTAGCATTTTACTCTGGTTTATTTTTCTCCCCAGTACCTACCATTCTCAGACATTATTTATACATTTATCTTTTATCTAGTTTTCTACTAGAATATCATTCCATCAAGGTAGAGCTTTTTCTTCTTTGTTAAATGCTATATCAGCAGTGCTTGGGACCTTTCCCAGTACATAGTTAACGCTCAATAACTATTTTTTGACTAAACAAAGAATTTTTCAATTTATTAGTCTTAAATTCTAGGCAGAAAAGATATTGCAAAAGTCAGGGTGAGGCGTTTGCTCGCAGTCAACTGTAGACTGGCACAGGATCATGTGCTTCACAGGTGGGGGGACCATGTACCCCACTTTGCTCTGGAGAATCCTAACTCATTCCTGCTGTTTTGTAGTCATTATTGACAGCTTCTTATTCTCGCTCGCTAACATGCCTCCATTTAGATAATAAATTAGATGAGCACCCCATGCACAAGCAATGCCCCTTCCAGAAGCTATGGAAAGAGAGGCTGTTTTCTAAATAAAGGAGTGTGGGTAGGAAATGAATAGCATATTGAGTACTCTCCCCAATTCTGCTTCTTCACCGGGATTCTCTAAGCCAGAAACCTCACTATCATTCACCCAGATGGCAAACTAAAACTAGTCTCTGCTGGGATGTTCAGTTGTCTCTAAGGATATGTCATGCCCATTCAATCAGCAATTAAACTTTTTTAAAACATACCTCCTTATTATATCTCATAACTACCTCCCCTTTTTTATCCCTAGTGCTAAAATTCAGGCTCAGAAACCTTCTCCTGGACTGCCCTAATATTTTTATTTCTTTTTATTGATAAATGGTCATGTGTTTTAGGGGAAAAAAAAAAGTCCCGTCAGGTGATTCCTGAGCATAATCCCAGTATACCACCTTACTGTGTTGCAGATCCTGTTCAAAGGTGTTATGAATATTAATTCATTTAATCCTCATAGTAACTCCATGCAGTAGGCATTAATTATATTATCATTCTCCCCTTCTAAACATGGAAGAATTGAAGCACAGAGAGGTTGAACAATGCCACACAGCAGTGGCCGTGTGAGGAATCAAGCTGCAGAGTGGGACTCAGCCCTTAAACTGAGCTAACCTAACAGGGATCTCTGCCCATGATTCCACTCCATATCAAGGGAGCAAAGTATAGGTGAAACCTGCAGTGCCTTAGCATGGTATACAAGGGCTTCTGTAACCTAACTTTGCCTCCTCTGCAACCTTGCCTCACCATGACAACCTAGTTTCACCTTTCAGTAAACTTTTGCAGAACATGCTACCTTTCCCCAAATGGGTCATGCTCATGCCTTTTCATGTCTTTTTTTTATTTTGCTGGCAGACCTCATTATACCTAGAATGTCACAATGCCTGGGATACCCAATATAGTAAATCCCAGTAAAACCTTCAAGATTCGGACTTTGTCACTTCCTCTATGAAGCTTTCTTACTCTTCTAATTTATCTAGTTTCTACTATGTCCTATATCAATAACACATTTTTTCACTGTTCAAAGACAGGGCTCATACCTTGGTCATTTTTGAAAATATGCTTATTGCATAAAGCAAACAGATCAAAGAAGAGTAGTGAGATGTTCAAATTCCAGTCATGAAATAAAGCATCCAGAGAGGGGAAGAAAAATATTCCTCACTGGCCCACAGAGTAATAGTTACAAATATTAGGCAAAAGTAACTGTGGTTTCTTATATTAGTTTAATATATATTCACTTCTCCTTTCTACAACAGAGTTTAGCAAACTATGACCTATGGGCTAAATCCAGTCTGCCACCTTCTGTGTGAGTGTGTGCTCATGTGCATGTGCACCACCTGTTTTTTATAATAAGGCTTTAGAGAACACAGCCATGCCCATTCATTTCTGCATGGTCTATGGCTTCTCTCACACTACAATGGCAAAATTGAGTCATTGTGACAGAGATTATATGTCCTGCAAAGATGAAAATCTGTAATATTTGGTCCTTTATAGAAAAAAGTTTGTGACTCCAGTTCTACAATATAATGTTCAGTGACTGTCATGCAAATGCTATTTGATGATGCTCTTCCATTTGTCAATCTAGACTTGCTGTCACAGGATAAGGCTAGAGATCCATTCAGGAAGAGGAGCATGAATAACAACACAACTTCAAATCATAATTTCTATTCTCATTATGGCATAACAGGATTTATCTCCTGTTTTTCTGGGACATAGATGCCCCTTTTAGGTGTGTGGCCCAGACTAAACTAGAACACTCATGGAGAGATAGAGCTAATTAACTCCAAACACCTAAGTATGTTGAGATGATTTCTCTTATATGTCCTTCACTCTGATACTGGACCAGGAGGGGTGACTTTTCTTCATTCTTTCCTTATAGGTATAAGAGCTGAAATGAGCTCCTCACCCCACCCACCCAAGCTCCACTGAGGGGGGATTTGGAGGCAAATGAATGACTGAGAGCACTCATCTAAGGCCAAGAGAGAGAAGTGGAATCATAAAGGAGAGGCAGAGTGGTCCACAGTTTGAGGAAGGATGGTAGTGGTGGCGAAGAGAGGTGGGGACAGCAGGAAAGACTTCCTTATATTTTGAACTTACCTTAATAAGGATTCATAGTTTTCCTGAGGCGAGAAGCAAATTCTTGTTTTGTTCTCTGAAGCCTTGATGTGGGTTTGATTGTCTCACAGTAGGACATTTTCTGCAATGTATCATCCCTTTTCATTCTTCCCGAGGGTGTGGGCACAGCTAAGTGGCTTAACCTGCATCTTTCACTTCAGTACTGTGTTATTAAAATGGCAGTCAATTTATAGAGGGAAAATAATCTTCTGCAAATGGAATCAAAACACTAGATCCATACTACCATTCCTTTACCATTTTCCCAGGCCCCAGAACAAAACAACACTGAATTTGGCATCCCAGGAGAGTTTGTTCACTTTCAGTCCTACAGATATTTGTGTTTATCTGTGATAACATCTGGACATACGTGGGCAATGCTAGCAGGTCTTTAGAAAAGCAGATGTTGTGTGAACCATTTTGCACTACTCACCAGTAAAAGGGGCAGGCAAGCAGAACGGTGCCATTCTTTGCCTGGCATTTGGCAAAAAAGAGAAAACAAATGCATTTTTTACATCTGTTCATGTTCTTCTTTATAGCTTAGCTGTGCCAGCCAAGCAGGCCTGATCAGGCATAATTGATAAATTATTAAAGGCAACTGGACAAGGAGGGCAATGAAAACTAATAATGAAAAAAAGAGAAAAATGAATTGACTCATGTTTGTCAGTTGCTTTGAAAAAAAAACTAAACGGACAAGACAATCTCAAAAAAAAAAAAAAAAACAGTGTTGTTTCAGCAAAACTGCAGTGCCATGGTGACTGAAACATAAATAACTTTGTTCTTTTTCTTTTGCCTCCCACAAATTATTGGGAGCAGACTGAAAAGTTATATTCTTCATATCATGAAATAATAACAGCTACAAGTTATTGAGCACTCTGTAAGGCATTACATAATCTCAAAATCCATATCAGGAATTATCCTCATTTTAGAGATTGAGAAACTAATATCCAGAGAGTAAACAGTCACGTTCGTGATCAAATGGCAGCATCAGGATACAAAAACTGCCTTAAATGTGCATTCTTAGCTGACAGACTACTCCCATGTACACGTCTACTGAGACAGGCATAGCCTGGTAGCAAGAGTTTGGACTTCAGGGCCGGGCACAGTGGCTCACGCCTGTAATCCCAGCACTTTGGGAGACTGAGGCGAGCGGATCACAAGGTCAGGAGATCAAGACCATCCTGGCTAACATGGTGAAACCCCGTTTCTACTAACAATACAAAAAAATTAGCCAGGCGTGGTGGCGGGCGCCTGTAGTCCCAGCTACTCGGGAGGCTGAGGCAGGAGAATGGCGTGAACCCGGGAGGCAGAGGTTGCAGGTTGCAGTGAGCCGCAATAGCACCACTGCACTCCAGCCTGGGCGACAGTGCGAGACTCCGTCTCAAAAAAAAAAAAAGAACTTGGATTTTGGAGCTGGAGAGTTTTGAATCTTGCCTCGGCTACATTGTAGCTAATGGATTTGGTTTAGTTACTTCATATGAAGACTTCAGTTTTCATGGCTGTAAATGAGCAATACAATCCATCTCACTGGGTTTTTGTATGAATTAAATGAGGAAATATATATTTTAAATTCCTTGGATATAGTAAACCCCCAATAACAACTGTCTGTTGTTTTTTTTTTTCCTCGTTTAATCTCACCTTGCGTACCTAGCTTAAACTAGCATTCTGAAAAGACAAACTGTGATACTTAAATGTTCATAGTATAGTTAAAAAAATTGTCTCAAGCTGCTGTCCTTGATAGAGTTTCAAATAAAGTCTTGTTTCCTCTGGTTACGTTATCACATCTTACCACTGGTTACATTACCAATCTTACCAAGCATCTTGGTGCTATTAACCTGAAGTGGGTCAGGATTTCCAAACCATCTTTCTAAACAAATGCTTTAAGGTAAAGTTCTGGGGCAATGAAATGGGGGCTTCTCAGTGTTCTGATAAAGGTATGACTAGCAAATATATGAGAATCCATCCAGCATTTTTATCTTAATTTGGTAATTGAAAAGTCTCTATCACATGCTTTTTGTCTCTTAAAATCTGATAGGAAGTTATACCCTTGTTTTTACTACAATTCCATATATCAAATGGATGTTAAATAATTATTAGTTGACAATAAGAAGCAAAGGAAGAAGATTTGCAATAAATGACTTTAAGAAATTGCTTTCTGGCCGGACGTGTTGGCTCACGCCTGTAATCCCAGCACTTTGGGAGGCCGAGACGGTCAGATCAGGAGGTCAGGAGTTCGACACCAGCCTGGTCAACAGTGTGAAACCCCGTCTCTGCTAAAAATACAAAAAATTAGCCGGGCGCAGTGGCACGTACCTGTAGTCCCAGCTACTCAGGAGGCTGAGGCAGAAGAATCACTTGAACCCGGGAGGTGGAGGTTGCAGTGAGCCGAGATTGTGCCACTGTACTCCAGCCTGGGTGACAGAGTGGGACTCCGCCTCAAAAAAAAAAAAAAAGAAAGAAAGAAAGAAAAAAGAAAAAGAAAAAAAGACATTGTTTTCTGGGTGTGACATCTGTGAGCAATCAGGCAGGGAGTGAGATGAAGTGTCAAGAGTGGAATTCTTGCATTTGTAAGTTCTAAGATGACATTTACCCTTCAGTCTTTCTTTAAGTCCCGTGGGAAACACTTCAGTAGCACTTCCTGTTCACCTATGATAACACCTGAGATGATTAGACAAAGAACGAGGCATAGCTGTAAATGTTCAATAAGGTTACATTTTGTAATATTAATAGTAATAGAAAAGAATATAAGTGGAATCAATGTGCATAAGGAGACTGTAAATGAGACGCCAAGTAGTTCCTTTCTATTTGTATTTGCACTGTTTCTTTTTAGCAGCACTGCAGATAATTATCAGGTATTCAGCCTTTATTTTCAACGGAGTGTTGCCATAATTTAAGCAAATATTCTGAGGAATGAGGGCAAAAGAAGATCTAAACCAGATGAACTCATGAATGATGTGAAACTAGAAAACAGAAATTGCCTTATCACCTTGGTGGTCTGAAAATACTTTCTTCATTGTAAAAGCCATGGGAAACATCTTATCTATGAACTTGTAATTTCCCAATAGAGACATAAGCGTTAAATATTTGTAGGTGTATCTGAGAGGAAACCAAGACCACTGAAGACAGACTTTCCATTTCACCAAATAGTTACTCAGGAACAAACTTCAAAAGAACTCTATATAGAGAAAGTGAATAGAACTTGAGCTCAGTCTCTATAATTTAATAGTGCTGTGTTACTAGTTAAATCATATATCCACTATGAACTTCAGTTGCCCTATATACAAAATGGAGATAAGTCTTGTCCGTTAATTATTTACTGTGAAACATATCACCCCAATCATTAATTTTGTTCAGAAATCTCTAATGTAGGTGAGACCCATCAGGGAGAGCTTGAATTTGTTTTATGCAGCATTATTAGCTGTGGTGAGAGGAAAACTATGGATAACTTGACAGCCAAGGGCTGGAATTATCTGAAGACTCACCATTCATATCTGGTAGTTGCTGACTGATGGTTGGACCACACTCAGCTGGGGCCATAGAGTGTACAGTATTGGTTTCTCTCCACACAGTCCACTCCATCTGATACAGCTTCCTCATGGAAAAGAGACTGTGGTCCAAAAGCAAGCTCTTCTACAAAGCTGTGCTGAAGGTATATACTCTTTTATGACTAGCCTTGGAGGCCATACACTGTAACTTCTGCCACGGCCAGGAGTTTATCCAGTTATGAGGGAAGGGAACATAGACCCATCTCTCAATGGGAGGAATGGCACAGTTACATTATAAGTATGTGTAGGATGAAGGATGTCACTGTGTCCATTTTTGGAGCATACAATCTACCACAATAGTAAAATCTACCATATAACATACATTTCTATTCTACTTTTTTCTTCCAGAAAAGATTCTTTTTACGTGCCTTCCCACATACTTTTACAATTTTTATCAATTTCTCAAAATAAAAGACATTGAAACTTAACACTGAAAATTGTTTCTTTTTTTATTTCTTTCCTTCCTTTTTTTTTTTTCCCCAGAGTCTTGTTCTGTCACCCAGGCTGCAGTGCAGTGGCATGATCTCAGCTCACTGCAAGCTCTGCCCGCCAGGTTCAAGCAATCCTCCTGCTTCAGCCTCCCAAGTAACTGGAACTACAGGTGTGAGCCACCATGCTCAGCTAATTTTTATAATTTTAGTAGAAACAGGGTTTCATTATGTTGCCCAGGCTGGTCTCAAACTCCTGGACTCAGGTGATCCACCCACCTTGGCCTCCCAAAGTGCTGGAATTGCAGGTGTGAGGCACTGTGCCTGGCCTTATTTTCTATCTCATGTTTTTGCTTTTCAGGTAATGGTTTCTTGAGTAAGGATGTGCAGTGTTTTAGTGAACTAAAAGGAAGGAGAGTGACAGGTAGAGAAACTCTTTTGTTGTTGTTACCTTGAATTATGAGAACACACTTTTAGAGAGACTTTTGCTAGTGGGAGAGAGTACAGCACTTTTAACAAGACTAGGTTTGCCTTATGAAAACACCCTTTGTATTTCATACCAATTTGACAAACACTTCTTATGCCCTTTCATTTTTCATGATAGAAGAGCATCAAGCAAGGGCTAGAGTGTCTCTCATTTTGGATAGCAATTGTTATGGGTATTACAAATGACAATGTATATGAAGGTCTCTGACTATTGGTTGGATGAGCAGCTTTTTTTGACAAATGAAAACCAAATATCATCAAAAGAACTAGTTTACCAACTGTCAAGTTAGTATGCCTTATTAATTTTGAATCTCAGCATCCACAATTCTGATCAAGAAAATAACATATAAGACTACTTGGGAGAAATTAAAAGCTCTGGCAGAAGCTCTCCCTGAATGTCCCCAACTCTTCCTCAAATGTCATAGACAGCCTACAAAGAGAGTGTCTTAGATATTTGTCTTCCCATCAAAAAGCTGTTATAATACTCAATGCCAACTATTTAAACAAAATAAACCAGTAAAATTATGTATAATTCTATGACTTCCAAATTCCAAGATACATAATATCACAAAGACTCAATTAAAATCTGTTTACCTCCAAGTTTTATTTTGGCATTGATTTATTAGACAAGAAACTGAGAAAATTCATTGAGAATAGTAGCAAAATGAAGTGCATTATTGAACTGTCAACAAAACTGCCAGGTATATTTTCTAATTTGTGGGATAAGGAAAGAAAATAATGTAGAAAACAGTTTTCATTACTTCCATTAAACTGTTTCTTTTTTTTTGTTGCCAGACCATACTATCTGAATACAGTGCATTAAAGGAGGTGCAGAGACTGAAGATCTGCATTAAGCAGCAAGTACTTCAGCCCAGGTGCCTAGCTTACCCTCTTATATTCAGTTACTGTTTCTGCAGTAGTCATCTCCGAAGTGATAAAGTCAGTGATGATTTTTCTGCTGCTGTCAGCAGAAATAGCTCTAGAGGTTTCTGTTGGACCCTGGAAATCAAGTTTTACTTTGAAAAAAAAAAATGCATTTTAAACAATATAGAGGGAAAAACTTGTCAGTTACATCCTATACGTATGTTGTCCAGTTAAAACAGAAGGGCACGTTTTACCAGTGTAAACATAACCTCAGTAATAATAGGTAATTAGTTAATCCTTATAAATATTTTTAATTACTAATTTCATGACACAACTTAAATAAAGTGATTCTTATCCTGAAAGAAAATGAACATAAAGTAAAGTAGTTTTGAAAAGTGCAGCATCTGGGCTTTATGCAATTTGTTTGCTCTGAGACTTGAAGCTTTCAAATCTGTGGCTACACCCCTGGCACAAATTAAAGATGTAAGAAAATTTCTTCAGTTAATTCTCAGTTTTTCTTGAGGAAAGGAGAGCGTAGAAAAATGAAACCCCCAGATAATACAAAACGTCTTCTGTAGTCTTGCCTCTTGGAAAGAAGCTAGTGGACGTATTATAAGGTACCAGCTCAGCCTGAAATGGGCTATGCTAACTGGTGAGTCAGATGGCTGGGACTTCATTCACAAGCGGAACAGGAATTTTGGAAGGACTCTGTTGGGAGGTATATTAGTTTTCTATTATTGTGAAACAAATTATCACAGATTTAGTGGCTTACAACAATACACCTTTATTATCTCACAGTTTTTGTAGGTTGGAAATTTGGGCAGATCTTCTCTGGATCCACTGCTTCAGAGTTTCCCAAAAGGCTTCAATCAAAGTATCAGCCAGAGCTGTGGTGTAGTCTGAAGGCTCAACAGAGGAAAGATCTTTTTCCAAGTTCAGTGGTATTGGCAGGATTCAATTTCTTACAGGCTGTTAGGCTGAGGATCTCACTTTTTTGCAGGCTGTAAGCTGAGGGTCTTGGTTTCTTGCTGGCTATTGGCCAGAGGCCATCCCAGTTTCTTGCTATGTGGGTGTCTCCACATGGCAACTTGCTTTATCAGAGCATGAAAATCAAGGAAACAAAAGTCTGGAGGCAAAACAGAAGTCATAATATTTTGTAGCCTCATCATGGAAGTGACATCCATTACCTTTGCCATTTTCTATTGGTTAGACGCAAGTCACCATGTCCAGCCCTCACTCAAGGAGAGGGTATTACACATGGGCACGAATGCCAAGAGGCAAGGATTACTGGATACTATCTTAGTATCTGTCTATCCCCAGGTGGTTGAGTCCAAAGGGACTGGGTTGGGAGGAGCACTGTGTTTTCACTCTGGTATTGATCTCTGGACCTGTGCCCAAGTTCTGTGGTGAAAGCCTCAGCAGGCTAAACTAAGAGGAATCGTTTTCACCTGGAAGGATTCAGTGGCACCTCAGAAGTGTGGTGTCCTCTCCTATGTGATAACATGCAACATTGGATTGGGACAAACCATCTACTTCTCTCTTCTGCATGCAGCACAGCATTGCTTTCTCCTCCCAACACATGTGTTCTTTACAGCAGCTTTTCTGCTTCCACAGTGAATTATGGGGAATTCTGGGAGATTGTGTTCTTGGGTGTGGGTTCCATTTTTTGCTTGGCTTTTTTGTTTGTTTGTTTGTTTGTTTGTTTGTTTCTCTTCTTCCCCCACTGGGGAGAGAGAACAGAGAAAGGAAGGGTAAGAGGTTGTCCTTATGCTTTTATGCAACTATAAAAGAGAATGTTAAACATTATAGGAATGGATGACTTTGGTCTGTTTGGGCAGCTTTGTGCATACTGAATACATAGCTGAACACATAATTCTTTTAAGGAATGTATATTCTCTGCTGAGCAATTTCTCTATTTTCTCATCTTCCTTTCTTTCTTTGACTCAGTGACCAAGTTTGTTGGAGGCTTTAAGCATTCTAATTTGTATGCAAAACAATAAGGAAAGCCAAATGTAAATTAATTATCTAAGTTTCACAACAGAAGGTTGGTGGGGGATGGTGCCGCTAAACTGACCTCTACTCTATGTTCAAAGATATGTTTTGAACGATGCTCATGATATTCATATATTATTTTGGGTAAGTGGGAATCTCAGCATATTAATTCTATTCTAATTTGTGAGAAAATTTCTGGCCACTGAAGTGTGACTATTTATCCACACATGAGCATAATACACAAAGAGAATGCTGGTATTGATGTCCAGTAAGTAACAATAGGCTAAAGCAGAAGAATATAGAAAAGAAAAAGGAAGAGATGGAAGCAGAGGAAGAGAAATGTGAAGAAAGTATTTTTTCTTTAGTAATCCTTATCAGATCTCTTTTGAAAGATATACTCAAAGACCATTACAAAATGTTCATACATTTTGCTACTTTTGAACAGTATACTTCAGACTCTTCCTGGAATGAAGGAAAGGATAACAGGAGACCAAAGTCTCAGATTTGTTTATTGAATTGGCCCTACAATTTCTTTTGTATATAGTTTTATAATGAGCTTATGATGAACCATTTTTTCCTGAAAACCTAGAGATCTTGGGATGTTATTTCAGTACCACCTTATGTCTAATATTTATCAAAACAGGAGAGACTAAAGCATTAAAATGTCTAAACTTTATCACACATTTACGTCTGCTGGCAAGACTATAAAACAGTTGTTAATATTGAAAATGAGATGAAAGATGTTCTAAATTTATCTTATCAGCACTGTCTTCCAATGTAATGAGAGTTACTTGACACTATCAAAATGCTTTTCAGCCAGTTGAAATCAGGTCTGAAAAGATGTACATTCATTCAGAAGTCATGGCTCAGAAATACAGAATGATGCCAAATGAAACAGATAATTGTTCATTCACCTGGGAGCCATATTTTGACTGTATTATAGTGCAAGTTGAAAAAAAAATGATATTCACATCAATTTAAAAATCATACTTAAAAGACATCAGATGGAAACCATATATTTTTTTCAATATCCATATATAAATTAATATGTACCATCTGGGTTACATCTGGTGACATAAAAATGTTGTCTTATGAACGCTGAAGGTGTCAGAACCATCAAGCATATCCAAGTTGATTTTGACACATTTGTTCACAAAGGAGGTAATCCTTTATGTGGTAAGATTTAATCTAGAAAGTAAATAGAAATTTAAGAACCCATCTCAACATACACAATTTGATCAAAGATATAAAACACATTAATATCGATGAGATAAACAAATTGCATTTTACATTAGAAGACTGTAAAGCAGGAAAATGAATTTTGAAAAATAGAATCTGCCTTTGGATCTTTTTAGCAAGCATATTTTCACCCATTTTAGAAATAAAATACTGCGTACAGAAATTGTGATTCTCCTATATGGGAAAATCAATATTTAATTCTCGGTCTGTTTGTTTTCAGGTCCATGTTCTACGCTCTATGCAAATTTCAAAGCTACATTTCTGGGACCCTTGGCAGGGTGCTCAGGCCAAGCGAGGATACTGGGTAGAGTCACAAATTACCCATGTACTTCCTTTACATTTGCTTCCACCAGGACTTTAATTCAGTTTAAATCAGTTCAAGGTGAATATCAAGGGAAACACTGAAGAGTAAAAGAAGTAACAAGAGAGTGTGGTGGGAGTTGTGTACCAAAAGGTAACAAAGACTGCTCTACCCAATTGCCTTTGTGGAGTGATGATGCATCTGTTGTGTGTGTGTATGTGGGTTGTACTTTTTTCCTATACTATGTGTTGAAGAGGAGGGACTGGGCTGGCCATTGAGGGAGTGGCCCAATTGGCATATGCTGTGTGCACGGCCATTCAGCAGGAGAGGGAATAGCCAGTGATGGATCACCTTGACAACAGAGCCAGAAGGCTTCCAGGGTCTTCACAGGCTGGTGGCACCATGCTAAATATACTGTAATCTAATACCTGCAACATCTGTGCAGCCTCAGAAAACTGATTTTGGCTACAGCTTGAGGAGGACTACCTTCTGAGACACATTCACATTAAATAAATTCATAAGCCTGATGAAGATAATTTGAAGGCCAATTCATTCTCTTCAGTTCTCTTCAAAGGCTGACAATATTTGCTCTACTCCACATGATCTTTCTGAACTGACCTCCTGCTACCCACCTCATGCACCTTGCTTGAGCTACCCTGACCCCGTGCTCTTCCTCAAACACACCAGACATGCTCACTCTATCCAGGGTACTTTCCCTTATTTATCCTTACATCTTGCTCCCTCAGCTCCTTTTGGACTTCTCAGTGAAGCTTTATTCACATCCTTGTTTAAAATGCAACATCAGAGGAGTCACATCAGCAAGATGACTGAATCTGAGGTCCCAGGCTTCACTTTCTGCCACAGATATTTCAGCTAGCAATTATCCTCAGATGAAAAGAACTTTGTGAAAACCCAAAAACTTAGGACTAAGACTGAGTGTAAACCATAGAACTAAATAAAATTATATCATAAGATAAGAGGAATGATTTCACTTTGACTACATCATCATTTCCCTCCTTCAAGACAACACGACACATAGCGAAGATCCCCTGAATCGACAGTTTCCATAGTGAGTAAAGAGCTCTGGAGGTAGTCATCCAGCTTCTCAGTATTCAGAGACACTTCTCAGGGAGCTCGCCCCCATCTCACCTCAAAGGGAACACTAGGTGTAACAATGGGACTAGACCACCTGGGATCAGATAGAAACACCAAAAGGAGGCTCAAGGATCTTGATGATAGCCCTGTGTTTCTGCCGTTGATGGCATCCCAGCCAACAGCAGAGCTCACCCACAAAGCCAAGCTGGTGGATCCCAGAAGTATAGCAGGACGTTCAAGCTGGCTAGAGCCCTAGGCAGCCAGCCTCCATACCCAGCCTTGGAGCCTACACCAGATCCCCACCCAGGCAAGGAGACACCAGCCACAACACATTTCTGTTGAGCGTAGGGGCTAGTGCCTGGCCTGGGAGTCTAATCAGTAGCCTGGCCGAGACTCAGAGCCCACCCCAAAGCTCCACCCAAGCTAGGAGACACCTTCTATAGTTCCTTTCTGTAGAGCACAGGAATGAGTCCTGCCTAGACCCAGCAGTAGCTTGGCCCAGTTCCAAACCCTATTCCAAGGCCCCACCCAGGAAGGGAGATTCTTGTTACATGCATTTCTGCAGAGCTTAGGGGCTAGACCTGCCCAACCTCTGAGTTCAAACAGTGGCCTGACCCAGACTCAGAGACCATTTCAAAGCCCCACTCAGGCAAGGAGGAAAGCTTCAAATATGCATTGTCCAAAGCACAGCATTTGGACCCATATTTTGAGCAGTGACTCTGCCTAGCCTCAGAGTGCTTAACCTCTGCAAGTACAGCCTGCAGCCTTGCCCAACTGAAAAATGCAAATAGCAGTAATGCTCAGCCAGGGAATATACCCTGTGACCCTGAAGATTGATACCACAGAAATACAAAGGTTCATAAAAGATCACTATGAACAACTATACATCAACAAATTGGATAACCTAGAAGAAGTGGAAAGCTTTTTAGAAATAACCTATGGAGACTAAAGTATAAAGAAATAGAAAATTTGAATAGTCCAACAATGAGCAGGGAGATTGAATATGTAATAAAAAGTCTTCCGTCAAAGAAAAGCATAGGACTTAATAGCTTAACTGAATAATTCTACCAAATATTTCAGAACTAGTATCAATCCTTCTCAAATTATTTCAAAACATAAACGAGGAAAGAATACTTCCGAACTCATTATATGAGGCCACATTCCCTTGATATCAAAGCCAGACAAGGACATGAAAAGAAAAGAAAATTACATGCCAATATCCCTGTTGAATGTAGATGCAAAAATACTCAACAAAATATTAGTAAATTTAATTCAATATTACATTAAAAGGATCATTCACTATGATCAAGCAGGATTTATACTGGGGAGGCAAGGATCGCTCATCATATACAAATCAATAACTGTGATACATCACATTAACAAAATGAAGGACAAGAATGATATGATTATCTCATTTAGATACAGAAAAACCATTTGAAAAAATTCAATATTTTTTCATAATAAAAACTCTCAACAAATTATATATAGAAGGAATGTACCTCAACACATTTAAAGCTACATATGACATCCCATAACTAACATTATACTTAACATTGATGACAAGGATGTCCACTCTTGCCACTTCTATTCAACACAGTAGTGGAAGTCCTTGCCAGAACAATCAGGCAAGAGAAAGAAATAAAACACATCCAAATAGAAAAGAAAGAAGTGAAATTGTCTCTGTTTTCTGATGACATGATTTTACATGTAGATAATCCTAAAGATTCCACCATAAAACTGCTAGAATAAATGAATACAGTAAATTTGCAGGACACAAAACTAACAGACAAGAATTAGTAGTGTTTTTATATACAACAACAAACTATTTGAAACAGAAATCAAGAAAACCATTCCACTTACAATAGCTACCGAAAAAATACTTAGAATAAGTTTAACCAATGAGGTTGTATTAGTTTGTTCTCATGCTGCCTGGGTAATTTATGAAGAAGAAAGGTTTACCTGAGACTGAGACTGGGTAATTTATGAAGAGGAAAGGTTTAATTGACTCACAGTTCTGCAGGCGGCACAGGGAGCACAGTTGGGGAGGCCTCAAGAAACTTACAACCATGGTAGAAGGCAAAGGGGAAGCAAAGCAAGTCTTCACATGACCAGTGGAAGGGGGAAAAGAGAGATGAGGGAGGTGCCACACACTTTTAAACAAACAGCACTGGGGGATGGTGCTAAACCACTAGAAACTACCCCCCAATCCAATCACCTCCCACCAGGCCCCTCCTCTAATTCTAGGGATTACAACTTGACCTGAGATTTGGGTGGGACACAAAGCCAAACCACATCAGAAGTGAAAGACTGGTCCACTGAAAACTCTAAAACATTGATGAAAGAAATGAAAGAAGACACAAGAAATGGAAAGATATTCCATGTTTATGAGTTAGAATAATTAACATTGTTAAAATCTCCATACCACCCAAAGCAATCTACAGGTTCAATGCAATCCCTATCAAAATATCAATGTCATTTTTCTCAGAAGTAGAAAAAAGAATCTTAAATTTCAGATGGAATCACACACACACACACACATATACACAAACACACACACTCCTGAATAGACAAGCCAATCTTGAACAAAAAAATACAAAGGTGAAGGCACCACTCTACTTGATTTCAAACTATATTACAAAGCTATAATAATTAAAACAGCATAATATGGGCATACACATAGACACATTGAATAATGGAACAGAATAGAGAGTCCAGAAATGAACCAACACATTTACAATCAATTGATTTTTGACAAAAGTGCCAAGAACACAAGATGGAAAAAGGAGAGTCTCTTCAATAAAAGGTGCTGGGAAAATTGGATATCAACCTGTAGAAGAGTGAAATTAGACACTTATCTTACACAATATGCAAAAATTAACTCAAAATTGATTAAAAACATAAGTGTAAGACCTGAAACTGTAAAACTACTAGAAAAAATCATAGAGAAAATGTTACATGACATAGGTCTGGGCAATGATTTTTTTGGGATTTGACCCCAAAAGCTCAGTCAACAATGAGAAAAAAATAAACAAATGTGATTACATCAAACAAAAAAGCTTCTGCACAGCAAAGGAAAAAATTAATAGCATAAAGAGATAATCTAGGAATGGTAGAAAATATTTGCAAGCCATATATCTGATGAATGATTAATGTCCAAAATATATAAGGCACTTAAACAACTCAATAACAAGAAAACAAATAACAATTAAAATTTGGGCAAAGAACCTGAATAGACATTTCTCAGAAAGAAGACATACAAATGGCCAACAGATATATGAAAAAATGCTCACCATCACTAATAATTAGGGAAATGCAAATTATAACCACAATGAGCTATCACCTTATACTTGTCAGAGTGGCTGTTATCAAAATGACAAAAGATAACAAGTGTTGGTAAGGACATGGAGACAAGGGAATTCTTTTTTATTTCTTATTGAAAAAAATGGGATACATGTGCAGAACGTGCAGGGTTTGTTATATAGGTATACATGTGCCATGGTGGTTTGCTGCACCTATTGACCCATCTTCTAAGTTCCCTCCTCGCACCCCCCATCCCCTAACAGGTCCTGGTGTGTGTTGTTCCCCTCTCTGTGTCCATGTGTTCTCATTATTCAACTCCCACTTATGAGTGAGAACGTGCAGTATTTGGTTTTCTGCTCCTGTGTTGGTGTGCTGAGGATGATGGCTTCCAGCTTCATCCATGTGCCTGCAAAGGACATGATCTTAATCCTTTTTAATGGCTGCATAGTATTCCATGGTGTATATATACCACATTTTCTTTATCCAGTATATCACTGATGGGCATTTGGGTTGGTTCCATGTATTTGCTATTGTAAATAGTGCTGAAATAAACATACATGGGCATGTGTCTTTATAGTAGAATGATTTATATTCCTTTGGGTATATCCCCAGTAATGGGATTGCTGGGTCAAATGGTATTTCTGGTTCTAGATCCTTGAGGAATTGCCATACACAATTCCACAATGGTTGAAATAATTTACATTCCTGCCAACAGTGTAAAAGCATTCCTATTTCTCCACGGCCTCACCAGCATCTATTATTTCCTGACTTTTTAATAATCACCATTCTGACTGGTTTGAGATGGTATCTCATTATGGTATTGATTTGCATTTCTCTGATGATCAGTGATGTTGAGCTTTTTAAAAATGTTTCTTGGCCACATAAATGCCTTCTTTTAAGAAGTGTCTATTCATATCCTTTGTCCACTTTTTGATGGGATTTTTTCGTGTAAATTTAATTTCCTTGTAAATTCTGGATATTAGACCTTTGTCAGGTGGGTAGATTGCAAAAATTTTCTCCCATTCTGTAGTTTGCCTGTTCACTCTGATGATAGTTTCTTTTGCTGTGCAGAAGTTCTTTAGTTTAATTAGATCCCATCAAGACAAGGGAATTCTTGAGCACTGTTGGTGGAATGTAAATTAGTACAGCCATTTATGGAAAACTGTATAGAGGATCCTCTAAAAACTAAGGATTTGAAACCTGTATGTTGAAGAGATATCTGCATTCTCAATAATCAATATGGAATAAGCCTGTGTCTATCAACAGATGCATGGTTTAAAAAATATGATATGCATACACAATAAAATATTATTCAACTTTAAAAAAGAGGGAGGAAATTTTGTCATTTGTGACAACATGGATTAACCTGGAGGCCATTACGCTAAGTGAAATAAGCCAGGCACAGGAGGACAAATACCACACAATCTCACTTGTATGTGAAATCCAAAACAATTGAACACAAAAGTAGAGAGTAGAATGGTGGTTACCAGAGGCCAGGGGTTAGGGTTCCGAAGATGGGGTCAAAGGGGACAAAGTTTCAGTCAGATAAGAATGAGTTTTTTCAGATCTATTGCACAGCATGGTGACTATAGTTAATAATAATGTATTGTATATTTAAAAATTGCTAAGAGAGTAAATTTCGAATGTTCTCACCACAAAAAAAGTATTTGAGGTGATGAATATATATCAATTAGTTTGATTTAATCATCCACATTTATATTCATATATCATAACATCACTTTGTACCTCGTAAATATACACAATTATAATTTGTCAATTTATAATAAAATAAAAATTACATAGATAAAAAATAAATAAAATTCAATGTCTCCCTACCCTGACCCCATTACCCCTTACCTTCTCTGCTTTTTATTTTTTCTATAGCCCTTATCACCATATGATGTAACTTTATATTTTACTTACTTTGTCAACTTTCTTATTTATTAGAATGCAAATTCTCCTCATTTAATAGAGGGTAAATTCCTTGACGGCAGAGGCTTTTGTCTGTGTAACTCATTGCTGTATCTTCAGAATCTAGAACACCGCCGGACATATGGTAGTAATTGACTTAAACATCTTTTAAAATGTGGTTATTTAGTTAACTATTTTACACAGAGAAATATAACTATACATATGCAAACATATAAATATGATAACTTGTGTTACATGAAACTTTACATGATAAATATTACACTATGTATATCCCGACTACTGTATATATTCAGAGTAGACAATGAAGCTTGGTAAGAATATTAAAAACTAAAAATTTCTTGGAGAGTATGCAACCACACTAAGAAAATAGATTATACATGTAGTAGTGACTAAATCTCAGGCTATAATCTTGAATATGTTCCTCAAAAAAGTAACTTTATTTAATTGTCCTTAATTTCTAGCTTGAGTCTCATTATGCCTGGTAGCAGAATCCATTTCTGACAATTCAGAGTAAACATACTCAATTGAAGGTAGACTCAGAATGATCCAAAATTATTCTCCTTTTCTTTTTCCTTTTGCTTATTTCTAAACCTAAGGAAGTTGACTTATCTGGTCCTTGCTCATCATTTTCTACATTGCTGTCATCTGCTGAAATGGCCCCATTCCCACTTGTTCCCTTTGAATGGCTACTGGCAGCATTCCCTGGCTTCTTTTCATCTTTTATCCAGGACCTTGTCTCATTCTTTCCACTACATTTGTGCCTTTCTGGAGGAGGGTCGGTAGGTACACAGGAAAATTTTTGCAGGCTCTGCATGTCACTCTGAAGGCACAGGAAACTTCGGAGGAGGGTGGCGGGCAGGGGATGTCTTTGAACGCTCTCCCTAGATAAGCCAGATTGCCATTTCTTTTTGACTGCAACTACCTCATTTAGAATGGGGAATATCCCCAAATATCACCTTCCAGAGCCACAGATGGAAAGTGGGGTACATGTTGACTTTGTCTGAGGGCCCAAACCTACATGGTCATTAGTGGTAGAGATGCCAGCTGCCCACCAAAATATCATGTTTTTCTTGCCACAGTTTGGAATTATTGGTGGGATGAGGCTATATAACTGGGGGCTGAGTTTCCAAGTTCCCCTTACATCTAGTTGAGGGTATGTGACTAATTCTTGCCAATTGAATATTAATGGAAATGATGTATCTCATTTCTATGCCAGGATTTATAAGAAGCAGATAAGAATTTTTCAATTTCTGTTTTCCCTTTTAGCTACTGGATTCCAAAGCTCTAGGGAACTGAAGAGCCCCAAAATAGAAGAAGCCTGAGTACCTGAGTCACCACATAGAAAAAAGCTGCCCACCAATCAGACCCACCTCCTTGGACTATTTCATAAGAAATAAAATACTATTGCATTGTGTCTCCAAATTTGGTTGCTGCAGCAAGTATTACCTTAACAAATAGACTTCTGTGGCCCTCCCAAACTGGGTCTGGGAATGGAGAGCAAACACTTTCCTAGTATACACACTGGTGTATTGCTTCTTCTCTCATATACTCCAACCATAGCCCATGGATTATTCATCTAGTCTAAATGTATTTAAAAAAATACCCAGGTGATATTTATTCTTCTATGGGTATTGTTTAGCACAGGGCCAGCTCTGTTCTCTGAGGAAATCAAAGTCTTTGTCTTGTGTTTCAAAAGTATGCTTTGACATTTAAAATTGAGTATTGCCTAGAAAATTTTTCTTTGCATTCTCATTGCCATAATCCTTCTGAGGCAACTGGATGCTTCAGGCCAAATGGAAGTTAGGGAGGATATCTTGTAGTTATGGTAGTTTGAGTAGAGGAGGAGATAAACTTCAATGGAGATCATATCTTCTTACCTCCTCTAATAGAACATCAGGAGGGACTTGCTATGGAACTATACTAAAAGTCTAAGAATCAATATTTACTTTTCTTGAGAGAGTGCTTAGATGAGCTTTGCCGATATCTGCCTCGGTGACCTTCCTTTGTCCTTTTTTGTTTGATCTGCACTTCTGACCAACACATGATTTCTTTAGATTTATTCACCATTGCAATCAAATTATCTTCAATGTTTATAATGGGAATTTATTTGAATTTTTAAGGTGACTGTGTTTATCTGTGTTCTCGTGAACTGTACATTTATGTGATAAAGCATATATCCAAGGATAATCAAATGTCCACTAATTCCATGATTTTGGGAGCAGAAACTGTCTACCCACTCCCCATGTTCTTAAACAATGGCTTTTTTAGTAGGCATGCCTTTCTTTTGTGATTTGGCAACCAACCCACAGCTTCCAGGAGCCGAACTAAATCTATATCCCTAATCTAAATTCTAGGCAAAATCTCTGGAGTTATAGAAGGTCATCCATGATAGCTGTAGACATATATGGAAAGATTACCTTTTATACATTTTTAGTAAGCAAAGGAAAAGGCTCTGATGATGGATACAGAGGGCTGAAATCATATGCAGAGATGCGGAGAACCCTGGCTGTGGCAACTTGTAGGGCTAGGCTAATACAAATGTGATTACTATCACTCAGTACAAGGGTTCAGCTGAGATAGCAAAAATTCAGTTTAAATAATAATAGTCACTTAATTTTTTAGTTTAAATTGTAAAATTTTCTATAACCAGGGGTACCTGTACTTCCAGATTATTCTTTATAAGGAAATGAGCACTGTTAAATATTTATTAGGGAGTACTGAGCATTGTATTGGATTGTTCTGCTTGTTATGTCAACTAAAGTCTTCCTTTAACTTTGGAAATAGGAAATTAATTTAATATCAGTTCTAAGGATTATTCAAATATCTGCATGTTTAACAGGAACTTAAACATCGTTGACCTTATGAAAGTGGGATACATGTTTTTCTTCTAGAAGTGGAAGGGATTGCTTCATGCACTCTCTCTGCACTTCTCAGATAATGAAACTGAGACCCACAAAGGTAAAACACTTGCCTAAGGTTATTCTTTTTCTACAGAATGAAAAACAACCACAAAGAAATGCATATTATGAGAAAAAGAATCACTGACAATAATAGGGAATGTGTTTGTAATATAATCAAGATTGACCATATATATTTATGTATTTAGACACACATATTTATACACACATATATACATGCACACACACACATACATGAAGAATAGAGTGTGCTCTTGCTCTCTCTCTTTCTCTCTCTCTCTTCTCCCAAACCCATTTATGAATATTTGCTTCATTAGGCAAAAAGCATGGAATGTCAGCGTATTAAAATGCATGAAACAGCCTACTTAATTTTTTCTATTTTTAGAATAGTATTTGCCACAGACACATGTTCAGAGGCCTTGACAGTGGAACCACCTAATAAAATTGAAAATAAGTAAATAAAAGAGACACCCAAATATGCATACTGAAGCAGTTTGAATGTTCAGTTAAAACTCTGACACAACAATGAACTAAATTATGGCAATCATTGTTATTTTGCTAAGGACTTTGATGTTCATTGAATTCTCAAAACAACCTGATGACTAACATAAGGATTATCATTTTAAAGAGGCAGAAGCTGAGACTCAGTTTGATTAATGAAACTTTTTACATAACAATTAAATGGTAGACCAAAATTTGAACACAATTTTGTCTCATTCCAAACCCTTTCCCCAGTATAACATGTTACCTTCTTCACCATCCAAAGAAAAGTAAGTTCAGCTTTTTTTAAACTCACTTTCCTTTTTTTTTTTTTGTTTCAGATCCACTTTTTACTATAACAACTTTGCTGATGCACGTTTTGATGCACTTGTCCAGATGTTTGTTAGGTCCCTTGTACTCATGTTCTCTAGTGCACATCAAAGGCATTTGGACAAATAGGCCATCCGTTGCCCTAGTGACTAGAAAGTTAGCACCCAGACGAAGGGAATTTTCCATTAAAAAAACTTTCAAAATCCAACAGTCCATGAAGACAAAGTCTTCCTCAATCATCTCCTTAACTGATCGCCAAAAAGCCATCAAGTAAGAAGGGGTGATCAGCAGTAAAACATAGCAGTAACTTAAAGATGAAAATTATATTTTGAAACATAAATCATCAATGATGTTATTGCACCTACCATTTCTTTCTTTTTCTTTCTTTGAGTATGACACACACAACTATGTGGATGGCCTTAGAATCTAGGGTAGAGGTCACAAGGTGAAACCTGGCTGAGCAGAACAAGTGCTTCCCACCCTTGCTTGCTTTCACACAGCCTCCTAAGGAATCTTCTCAGGCAATGCCCATAAGTCCAATCAGCATCTTGAAGAAGGTTAGTGGACATGAAGAAGAACTGAAAAAATCCCCTTTCTTTCAGACACTTAGCACTTATTTGTAAAGCACAGACTAGGTGCTATTCCTTGTGCCAAGTCAGGGAAAAATCAGTCAAGGCTGCTGCACTCAGGGAGCCTACAGTCTAATAGTCTGTTATGCTCTTTTTCTTATCGACATTCCCATGGTTGAGGTTGGACTAGCACTTCCAACCTGGGATCAGCATTATGAACTAAGGTAGCTAATTGTATGAAATATATGGCAGCATGGCAATTCCAGCTAAGACACAGAAGACTCATGAACTCATGAAAAATAAATTCCAGCCCATTGACATATTAAGAATCACACACTAGTAGCCAATAGCACATTTCACTACAAACCTTAAGCTGCCTTCTAGATGCTGGTATATACTGGAGGATAGAATTCAAAGGTCAGACATTTATCTTTATCACACATTTGTACAAAGACTACTCCAGACAGGTAAACATTTCCAAGTTTAATTTGTTTCCTTCTGTCACCATCAGCTTTAATTATGCCTCTAGACCATTTACATGGTGTTTGTCATGCAAGTACCTTATTAGAAAATAGGATATTGCTTTAAGAACTCTTCCAGGTTTCTTCTCTGCCCATAGCCTATAGCTTTTGACTTCAGCCTGCACACTCTTTCCTCCACCCAAATGTCATAACCACCTCCCCCTAATCCATGAAATCAAATCTCTGAGTGCATGATGTCAAAACAATGTGCTAATGTGGAATCCAGCCACCCAAGTTTGCTCTAAGCACAGCTATTGCGAAATCCAATCTATTTTATCACTCTGTCTTCGCGCTGGATTTAGCAGCTTCATAATTCCACACCTCTGTCAACGAGACACTCATTATGCAGGCTTCTAAACATTTTACTTGGGGAAAGAATAAACAACATATTTAGCACTAATGAGGTGAGATACTGCTTTTACATTTGCATAACTGTTTAATGATTGTGATATCTTCAGCACTTTGGGCTCAGGAAGCTTGCTTTGATTGATGCAGTTTTTCAATGAGAAGCTCCTGCAGACAACCAGCTACTTGCAGAGTGCAGTTTGTCCCTTAATCTGGATGTGGGGCTTCAGAACTATTGCACAATAGAGCTCCATCTTCCATTCACCATGGCTGCTCTACAGGTTACAATATTATTCATGTTGTTTACATTTGAGCATAAACACTTAAAATGGAGTGTTTATCAACCAGAGAAATTTAATCATATTTTTTCTGTATTTTTCTCCCCCTTCCCTCTGCTGTACAATGACTGCAAAACACCAACAATTTTACATATTTTCTCGTGCCCTAATTCATCCCAATTCTTCCTGCCTGCATGAGTCTTTCAAAGATCATTTACTTAAACAAACATTATTTGGTATCATCTTGTAAAATAGAGTTATATATTCCAGACTAAGCATAACTGATAGCAGCAACTTTTGGTCTCTAAATGGGAATAATTTGGGATCAATAGAAGAACTGCAAAATTAATTTCAGAATAGGTCAAATGCAAAGGCAACACGAAAATAATAGAGCCTTGTGGCCAAGAAGAGCTAGATTTGAATCCCAGCTGGGCTACTTAGTAACTCAGTGAACTTGGGCTACTTACTTAATTAATTTGACACTTAAGTTCTTTACCCATAAATGGGTATTTAAAAATATCAACCTCATTTGTTCTAAGGACTGATGAGATAATGCATGTAAAAATGCTATTGTGTGGGGTCTGGTGCATATTAGGCACTCCATACACCTTTGTTCTAATCATTATTATTAAAACACTCACAGTAAGGAGGGTACATATATGACTGATAACCCTATATGGAAAAAAAGAAGCACTGATAGAGCTGACTGTTCACAAGAATACTAGAGAGAAGAGCAGCTTTTCTCTCTGTGTTTAATCCCTAAACTTTGAGAGCAAAGGCTACTCTCAATTCACATCCACACTTTTAACACACATAAAGGACCTTAAAGAGTTTCCAAATTATTCCCCTGCCAGTGGAGAAAGGACCTATTCAATTATGTGAGACAGTCCTCAAACAAGCAAAACAGTCAGTGCCTTGCAACATGATGAAGTTTTAAACCCTAAGTCTCTATGAAAGCCATGCTAGCCTACCAGAGATCACATCCAAAGGAAGACATGAGAGAAGTCTCAAATTAGGCTGGGAGACTCTAGGGAGATATGCAGGGTAGCCTAGCAGACTCTTCCTTCAACAGGTACTTTTTCTACCTCTACTCAGAATACCAGGTATAGAGCCTGTAGACCTACATGTAAATTCGGATTCTATCACTCACCAATCTACAAAAGAGAGCTCTGTCCTTTTTACTTCAAGTAGCTATTGTAAGAATCACATGGGATAATGTAATAAAGAGTGCTTAGTAAATTTTAAAACACTTTACATATACTTAGGCTGGGCACAGTGGCTCACGCCTGTAATCCCAGCACTTTGGGAGGCCGAGGTGGGCAGATCATGAGGTCAGGAGATCGAGACCATCCTGGCTAACACGGTGAAACCCCATCTCTACTAAAAATAGAAAAAATTAGCTGGGCGTGGTGGCGGGTGCCTGTAGTCCCAGTTACTCAGGAGGCCGAGGCAGGAGAATGGCTTGAACCTGGGAGGTGGAGCTTGCAGTGAACCAAGATCGCGCCACTGCACTCCAGCCTGGGCGACAGAGCGAGACTCCATCTCAAAAACAAACAAACAAACAAACAAAAAACACTTTACATATACTTGTTACTCTCTAGCTGAGATGAACAAATTAAGATACTATTTAATTAGATATTCAATTTAAATTTACTTTTGATTTTTCTTAACTAGTAAATGTGGGTCTTAAGAGTAGTAAATTTATTTTTCCTTTATAAATACCTGGGGTAAAATGTCAACATTAGCATTATTAGATAATCTCAGGGCAGAAGACAGAGCCTCAAGAGCCAACCATGCTTAAATACCTGCAGATCACTTTAGTTACTTTTATCCAGAATATATCTGTGGTCCATGAAATGATAAAATAGAGTTAACTATTATTATTATACTGTAAGCTAAAAAAAATACTGACAAAAGGTGGGTTTTACAATGAATGAGCAGAGTTTCTGAAATATTTTAAATTCTACATGGATTTAAATATTTTAAATTCCACATTCTACACGGATGAGATTTAATGAGTTTGACCTCAGTAGGACATCAGAGTCCTTCCCTCAGGGGAAGAAAATAAGTATGGTCCATTAGTACACAATAGGAAATAACATACATTTAAATTTATTACCTAGACTCATTTTACTTCTATTTGTATACGGTATATATTTTGCTAGATAATATTATAAAATCAAATATGCTAGCATAGAACTACAAAAGGCTCATTTTTTTACTTACCCTATCTTTATCATATCTTTCCTTCAAATTTATCTATGTGAATACATAAATCACAGTCAAGTGTCATGAAGCATAATCTGATTTGATTTTAAAATCTACACTGGAAATCATTATTCTGAGCACAATAAAAATTTCTTCCAAAAAATTTCTTTTTTTTTTTTTTTTTGGATTTATCAATCTCTTTTGAAAATAGCTTTTGGGCTCTGGACTGGAGCGCAGCATCCTTCGAGGCTGCAGCCGCCACGGCTGTTGCCGTAAGCAATCCTCCTGCCTCAGCCTCCCGAGTAGCTGGGACTCGGGACCAGCCTCCCGAGTATTGGTCAGATGACATTTACCATCACCGTTTTCTTCTTCTTTCATCATCATCATCATCACCATTGCCACTACCACCACCTCCAAGGCCACTACCACCACAGCATCTCTGTTCCTCCATCAGAGCTCTTCAAGTTCTGTAAAGGCAGATTCTCTAAAGGCATACATAAAATTGGTGGAGCTGTTCCCAGAGGAAGAGGAAGGGGGACAGACTGGAACTTGATGTGATGATGGCCTGGTGGCATCACGTTTTTCACATCTCCGCATCTGGACCCTGCCCAAGCGAAGGCTGATCTAGAGACGGGGTTACACCGTGTTAGCCTGGATAGTCTGGATCTCCTGACCTTGTGATCCGCCCGCCTCGGCCTCCGAAAGTGCTGAGATTACAGGCGTGTGCCACCATGCTCGGCCAACAACAGCTATTTAGGGAGGAGCCAAGATGGCCAAATAGGAACAGCTCCGGTCTACAGCTCCAAGCGTGAGCGACGCAGAAGACGGTGATTTCTGCATTTCCATCTGAGGTACCGGGTTCATCTCACTAGGGAGTGCCAGACAGTGGGCGCAGGCCAGTGTGTGTGCGCACCGTGCGCGAGCCGAAGCAGGGCGAGGCATTGCCTCACCTGGGAAGCGCAAGGGGTCAGGGAGTTCCCTTTCCGAGTCAAAGAAAGGGGTGACGGACGCACCTGGAAAATCGGGTCACTCTCACCCGAATATTGCGCTTTTCAGACCGGCTTAAGAAACGGCACACCACGAGACTATATCCCACACCTGGCTCAGAGGGTCCTACGCCCACGGAATCTCGCTGATTGCTAGCACAGCAGTCTGAGATCAAACTGCAAGGCGGCAACGAGGCTGGGGGAGGGGCGCCCGCCATTGCCCAGGCTTGCTTAGGTAAACAAAGCAGCCGGGAAGCTCGAACTGGGTGGAGCCCACCACAGCTCAAGGAGGCCTGCCTGCCTCTGTAGGCTCCACCTCTGGGGGCAGGGCACAGACAAACAAAAAGACAGCAGTAACCTCTGCAGACTTAAATGTCCCTGTCTGACAGCTTTGAAGAGAGCAGTGGTTCTCCCAGCACGCAGCTGGAGATCTGAGAACGGGCAGACTGCCTCCTCAAGTGGGTCCCTGACTCCTGACCCCCGAGCAGCCTAACTGGGAGGCACCCCCCAGCAGGGGCACACTGACACCTCACACGGCAGGGTATTCCAACAGACCTGCAGCTGAGGGCCCTGTCTGTTAGAAGGAAAACTAACAACCAGAAAGGACATCTACACCGAAAACCCATCTGTACATCACCATCATCAAAGACCAAAAGTAGATAAAACCACAAAGATGGGGAAAAAACAGAACAGAAAAACTGGAAACTCTAAAATGCAGAGCGCCTCTCCTCCTCCAAAGGAATGCAGTTCCTCACCAGCAACAGAACAAAGCTGGATGGAGAATGATTTTGACGAGCTGAGAGAAGAAGGCTTCAGACGATCAAATTACTCTGAGCTACGGGAGGACATTCAAACCAAAGGCAAAGAAGTTGAAAACTTTGAAAAAAATTTAGAAGAATGTATAACTAGAATAACCAATACAGAGAAGTGCTTAAAGGAGCTGATGGAGCTGAAAACCAAGGCTCGAGAACTAGGTGAAGAATGCAGAAGCCTCAGGAGCCGATGCGATCAACTGGAAGAAAGGGTATCAGCAATGGAAGATGAAATGAATGAAATGAAGCGAGAAGGGAAGTTTAGAGAAAAAAGAATAAAAAGAAATGAGCAAACCCTCCAAGAAATATGGGACTATGTGAAAAGACCAAATCTACGTCTGCTTGGTGTACCTGAAAGTGATGGGGAGAATGGAACCAAGTTGGAAAACACTCTGCAGGATATTATCCAGGAGAACTTCCCCAATCTAGCAAGGCAGGCCAACGTTCAGATTCAGGAAATACAGAGAACGCCACAAAGATACTCCTCGAGAAGAGCAACTCCAAGACACATAATTGTCAGATTCACCAAAGTTGAAATGAAGGAAAAAATGTTAAGGGCAGCCAGAGAGAAAGGTCGGGTTACCCTCAAAGGAAAGCCCATCAGACTAACAGCGGATCTCTCGGCAGAAACCCTACAAGCCAGAAGAGAGTGGGGGCCAATATTCAACATTCTTAAAGAAAAGAATTTTCAACCCAGAATTTCATATCCAGCCAAACTAAGCTTCATAAGTGAAGGAGAAATAAAATACTTTATAGACAAGCAAATGTTGAGAGATTTTGTCACCACCAGGCCTGCCCTAAAAGAGCTCCTGAAGGAAGCGCTAAACATGGAAAGGAACAACCGGTACCAGCCGCTGCAAAATCATGCCAAAATGTAAAGACCATCAAGACTAGGAAGAAACTGCATCAACTAATGAGCAAAATCACCAGCTAACATCATAATGACAGGATCAAATTCACACATAACAATATTAACTTTAAATATAAATGGACTAAATTCTGCAATTAAAAGACACAGACTGGCAAGTTGGATAAAGAGTCAAGACCCATCAGTGTGCTGTATTCAGGAAACCCATCTCGCGTGCAGAGACACACATAGGCTCAAAATAAAAGGATGGAGGAAGATCTACCAAGCCAATGGAAAACAAAAAAAGGCAGGGGTTGCAATCCTAGTCTCTGATAAAACAGACTTTAAACCAACAAAGATCAAAAGAGACAAAGAAGGCCATTACATAATGGTAAAGGGATCAATTCAACAAGAGGAGCTAACTATCCTAAATATTTATGCACCCAATACAGGAGCACCCAGATTCATAAAGCAAGTCCTGAGTGACCTACAAAGAGACTTAGACTCCCACACATTAATAATGGGAGACTTTAACACCCCACTGTCAACATTAGACAGATCAACGAGACAGAAAGTCAACAAGGATACCCAGGAATTGAACTCAGCTCTGCACCAAGCAGACCTAATAGACATCTACAGAACTCTCCACCCCAAATCAACAGAATATACATTTTTTTTCAGCACCACACCACACCTATTCCAAAATTGACCACATAGTTGGAAGTAAAGCTCCCCTCAGCAAATGTAAAAGAACAGAAATTATAACAAACTATCTCTCAGACCACAGTGCAATCAAACTAGAACTCAGGATTAAGAATCTCACTCAAAGCCGCTCAACTACATGGAAACTGAACAACCTGCTCCTGAATGACTACTGGGTACATAACGAAATGAAGGTAGAAATAAAGATGTTCTTTGAAACCAACGAGAACAAAGACACCACATACCAGAATCTCTGGGACGCATTCAAAGCAGTGTGTAGAGGGAAATTTATAGCACTAAATGCCTACAAGAGAAAGCAGGAAAGATCCAAAATTGACACCCTAACATCACAATTAAAAGAACTAGAAAAGCAAGAGCAAACACATTCAAAAGCTAGCAGAAGGCAAGAAATAACTAAAATCAGAGCAGAACTGAAGGAAATAGAGACACAAAAAACCCTTCAAAAAATCAATGAATCCAGGAGCTGGTTTTTTGAAAGGATCAACAAAATTGATAGACCGCTAGCAAGACTAATAAAGAAAAAAAGAGAGAAGAATCAAATAGACACAATAAAAAATGATAAAGGGGATATCACCACCGATCCCACAGAAATACAAACTACCATCAGAGAATACTACAAACACCTCTACGCAAATAAACTAGAAAATCTAGAAGAAATGGATAAATTCCTCGACACATACACTCTCCCAAGACTAAACCAGGAAGAAGTTGAATCTCTGAATAGACCAATAACAGGCTCTGAAATTGTGGCAATAATCAATAGTTTACCAACCAAAAAGAGTCCAGGACCAGATGGATTCACAGCCGAATTCTACCAGAGGTACATGGAGGAACTGGTACCATTCCTTCTGAAACTATTCCAATCAATAGAAAAAGAGGGAATCCTCCCTAACTCATTTTATGAGGCCAGCATCATTCTGATACCAAAGCCGGGCAGAGACACAACCAAAAAAGAGAATTTTAGAACAATATCCTTGATGAACATTGATGCAAAAATCCTCAATAAAATACTGGCAAACCGAATCCAGCAGCACATCAAAAAGCTTATCCACCATGATCAAGTGGGCTTCATCCCTGGGATGCAAGGCTGGTTCAATATACGCAAATCAATAAATGTAATCCAGCATATAAACAGAGCCAAAGACAAAAACCACATGATTATCTCAATAGATGCAGAAAAAGCCTTTGACAAAATTCAACAACCCTTCATGCTAAAAACTCTCAATAAATTAGGTATTGATGGGACGTATTTCAAAATAATAAGAGCTATCTATGACAAACCCACAGCCAATATCATACTGAATGGGCAAAAACTGGAAGCATTCCCTTTGAAATCTGGCACAAGACAGGGATGCCCTCTCTCACCGCTCCTATTCAACATAGTGTTGGAAGTTCTGGCCAGGGCAATCAGGCAGGAGAAGGAAATAAAGGGTATTTAATTAGGAAAAGAGGAAGTCAAATTGTCCCTGTTTGCAGACGACATGATTGTTTATCTAGAAAACCCCATCGTCTCAGCCCAAAATCTCCTTAAGCTGATAAGCAACTTCAGCAAAGTCTCAGGATACAAAATCAATGCACAAAAATCACAAGCATTCTTATACACCAACAACAGACAAACAGAGAGCCAAATCATGGGTGAACTCCCATTCACAATTGCTTCAAAGAGAATAAAATACCTAGGAATCCAACTTACAAGGGATGTGAAGGACCTCTTCAAGGAGAACTACAAACCACTGCTCAAGGAAATAAAAGAGGAGACAAACAAATGGAAGAACATTCCATGCTCATGGGTAGGAAGAATCAATATCGTGAAAATGGCCATACTGCCCAAGGTAATTTACAGATTCAATGCCATCCCCATCAAGCTACCAATGACTTTCTTCACAGAATTGGAAAAAACTACTTTAAAGTTCATATGGAACCAAAAAAGAGCCCGCATTGCCAAGTCAATCCTAAGCCAAAAGAACAAAGCTGGAGGCATCACACTACCTGACTTCAAACTATACTACAAGGCAACAGTAACCAAAACAGCATGGTACTGGTACCAAAACAGAGATATAGATCAATGGAACAGAACAGAGCCCTCAGAAATAATGCCACATATCTACAACTATCTGATCTTTGACAAACCTGAGAAAAACAAGCAATGGGGAAAGGATTCCCTATTTAATAAATGGTGCTGGGAAAACTGGCTAGCCATATGTAGAAAGCTGAAACTGGATCCCTTCCTTACACCTTATACAAAAATCAATTCAAGATGGATTAAAGATTTAAACGTTAAACCTAAAACCATAAAAACCCTAGAAGAAAACCTAGGCATTACCATTCAGGACATAGGCGTGGGCAAGGACTTCATGTCCAAAACACCAAAAGCAATGGCAACAAAAGCCAAAATTGACAAATGGGATCTAATTAAACTAAAGAGCTTCTGCACAGCAAAAGAAACTACCATCAGAGTGAACAGGCAACCTACAACATGGGAGAAAATTTTCGCAACCTACTCATCTGACAAAGGGCTAATATCCAGAATCTACAATGAACTCAAACAAATTTACAAGAAAAAAACAAACAACCCTATCAAAAAGTGGGCGAAGGACATGAACAGACACTTCTCAAAAGAAGACATTTATGCAGCCAAAAAACACATGAAGAAATGCTCATCATCACTGGCCATCAGAGAAATGCAAATCAAAACCACTATGAGATATCATCTCACACCAGTTAGAATGGCAATCATTAAAAAGTCAGGAAACAACAGGTGCTGGAGAGGATGTGGAGAAATAGGAACACTTTTACACTGTTGGTGGGACTGTAAACTAGTTCAACCATTGTGGAAGTCAGTGTGGCGATTCCTCAGGGATCTAGAACTAGAAATACCATTTGACCCAGCCATCCCATTACTGGGTATATACCCAAATGAGTATAAATCATGCTGCTATAAAGACACATGCACACGTATGTTTATTGCGGCACTATTCACAATAGCAAAGACTTGGAACCAACCCAAATGTCCAACAATGATAGACTGGATTAAGAAAATGTGGCACATATACACCATGGAATACTATGCAGCCATAAAAAATGATGAGTTCATATCCTTTGTAGGGACATGGATGAAAGTGGAAACCATCATTCTCAGTAAACTATCGCAAGAACAAAAAACCAAACACCGCATATTCTCACTCATAGGTGGGAATTGAACAATGAGATCACATGGACACAGGAAGGGGAATATCACACTCTGGGGACTGTGGTGGGGTCGGGGGAGGGGGGAGGGATAGCATTGGGAGATATACCTAATGCTAGATGACGAGCTAGTGGGTGCAGCGCACCAGCATGGCACATGTATACATATGTAACTAACCTGCACAATGTGCACATGTACCCTAAAACTTAGAGTATAATAAAAAAAAAAAAAAAGAAAAGAAAATAGCTTTTAACTTGGGTAGCATATTTTAAAATGCCCCCATGCCGCCTGCCCCCCTCTCTCTTTCTGTGTGTGTGTGTGTGTGTATGTGTGTGTGTGTGTGTGTGTGTATGTTTATTCACTCATGTTTTTTTGTAGTAGCCAATACAGTAATTTCATTTTTATTTATTTTTATTTTTTTTTTTAATTTTTTTTTTTTATTATACTCTAAGTTTTAGGGTACATGTGCACATTGTGCAGGTTAGTTACATATGTATACATGTGCCATGCTGGTGCGCTGCACCCACTAACATGTCATCTAGCATTAGGTATATCTCCCAATGCTATCCCTCCCCCCTCCCCCGACCCCACCACAGTCCCCAGAGTGTGATATTCCCCTTCCTGTGTCCATGTGATCTCATTGTTCAATTCCCACCTATGAGTGAGAATATGCGGTGTTTGGTTTTTTGTTCTTGCGATAGTTTACTAAGAATGATGGTTTCCAATTTCATCCATGTCCCTACAAAGGACATGAACTCATCATTTTTTATGGCTGCATAGTATTCCATGGTGTATATGTGCCACATTTTCTTAATCCAGTCTATCATTGTTGGACATTTGGGTTGGTTCCAAGTCTTTGCTATTGTGAATAGTGCCACAATAAACATACGTGTGCATGTGTCTTTATAGCAGCATGATTTATAGTCATTTGGGTATATACCCAGTTAATCCAACTTACAAGGGATGTGAAGGACCTCTTCAAGGAGAACTACAAACCACTGCTCAAGGAAATAAAAGAGGACACAAACAAATGGAAGAACATTCCATGCTCATGGGTAGGAAGAATCAATATCGTGAAAATGGCCATACTGCCCAAGGTAATTTACAGATTCAATGCCATCCCCATCAAGCTACCAATGACTTTCTTCACAGAATTGGAAAAAACTACTTTAAAGTTCATATGGAACCAAAAAAGAGCCCGCATCGCCAAGTCAATCCTAAGCCAAAAGAACAAAGCTGGAGGCATCACACTACCTGACTTCAAACTATACTACAAGCCTACAGTAACCAAAACAGCATGGTACTGGTACCAAAACAGAGATATAGATCAATGGAACAGAACAGAGCCCTCAGAAATAATGCCGCATATCTACAACTATCTGATCTTTGACAAACCTGAGAAAAACAAGCAATGGGGAAAGGATTCCCTATTTAATAAATGGTGCTGGGAAAACTGGCTAGCCATATGTAGAAAGCTGAAACTGGATCCCTTCCTTACACCTTATACAAAAATCAATTCAAGATGGATTAAAGATTTAAACGTTAGACCTAAAACCATAAAAACCCTAGAAGAAAACCTAGGCATTACCATTCAGGACATAGGCGTGGGCAAGGACTTCATGTCCAAAACACCAAAAGCAATGGCAACAAAAGACAAAATTGACAAATGGGATCTAATTAAACTAAAGAGCTTCTGCACAGCAAAAGAAACTACCATCAGAGTGAACAGGCAACCTACAACATGGGAGAAAATTTTCGCAACCTACTCATCTGACAAAGGGCTAATATCCAGAATCTACAATGAACTGAAACAAATTTACAAGAAAAAAACAAACAACCCCATCAAAAAGTGGGTGAAGGACATGAACAGACACTTCTCAAAAGAAGACATTTATGCAGCCAAAAAACACATGAAGAAATGCTCATCATCACTGGCCATCAGAGAAATGCAAATCAAAACCACTATGAGATATCATCTCACACCAGTTAGAATGGCAATCATTAAAAAGTCAGGAAACAACAGGTGCTGGAGAGGATGTGGAGAAATAGGAACACTTTTACACTGTTGGTGGGACTGTAAACTAGTTCAACCATTGTGGAAGTCAGTGTGGCGATTCCTCAGGGATCTAGAACTAGAAATACCATTTGACCCAGCCATCCCAAAAAATTTCTTGAATTGAGAAATTAAACAAGTACAGTTTAGGTTCTTTCTCTGGTTGAATTCCTTCTACATTTCAGGCACTGTGCTGGGGCATGGAGTAATGACACGAATCAAACATGGTGCTGCCTTTGCACACAGCTTGGCCTGCTAAGCCTGTGGCCTGGCTAGCACCGTCATAACCCTGGCGTGTGGTATGAAGAGAAAGCAGCAAGTGTGAGCATAAAGATTTGAGAATAAGTGGGAAAGTTGATTAAAAAAAAAACAAAAAACTGGAACTGAGAAAGAAGAAAGAGGAGAGGCTCTAGGCCTCCCAAAACTCTTATTGAGAAAGAATTTCAGCTGTCACTTACTTTTCGTAAATAATGTTTATAGGTGAGTTTTTAAATTTTATAGCTCCAACAAAATGCCAGGTTTAATGTTTCATATTACAGAATACACTGCGAATTGCTACATTAAAATAAGGATTGGCTAGAGACTTCAAACTGTAAAAGTCTGTTTTCATGTCTTTATTATGTTTTGGTATATAGTGATCATGCTGCAGTGAAAATAGGGTAAAACAAACCTTTTAATAAAGGGAGAATTAAATAAAAATTTGGTGCTCAAAACTGTAATAACAAATCATTAAGTGGGTATTTGAGCTTGGACACTATGGAGAATTATTTTCATTTACACTTGGTTAAATGCATGCAATGTTGCTGCAATTTGTTATCACTGAGATGGCTGGCATCCTACAAGCTAGAAATATGGGTTGAAGTACCACTTAACTTATATGTTAAATCTTTTCCAAATCAGTGGCAACGAGTTGCCAATTCTTATTTTAAAAAGGGGCATGAATTAGTTAAAAAAGATTACTCATGATTCATCTGAATGTTATTGTGTTAAAAACACATCTTGGAAATTTACTCATTTTATGGATTTCACTTTCCCCTACAATATTAATAAATAGCAGAGACAAAATCTGGGTTTCTTTAATAAAACATTATGTGCATATCTACAAAAGCATGGAAAAGGCATGGAAATCCACTTTTCTAAGAACTAATTCCTTTCATCCCCTCTAGCTTTCATGCATTGTCCTTTTATGAGCCATCTTCTGTCCCTGCCTGAGGCAGGGTCATAGGGAGTTGGTGACACTCTCATGGCAAGAATAGCACCACTGCTGTTAAGCAGAACATTTTTTATCTCATACATGAATCTTTAAAAATGTGACTACTTATTGGTCTAGTGCCTCTTGATTCTCTAACCTGCTTTCCATTTCTTTTGATGCCTACAATTATCCAGCCTTTATCCTTTTTAGCAACAGTGTCTACTAAGGCTTACTTAAACATACCCAAATTTGGACCTAAGTGCAAGATTGCAAGTTTCCATTCATCCCACTTTCTCTGTGATTTGACAAATACATGGGCAGTTACACCAAAATGTCTGTTACATTTTGCTTTTTGCAAAAAAATAACTAAATGGTGAAAGGCTCATACAGAAAATACAGGCTTCCACAGGAGTTAATACGAAGTCTATTTTCTATAGATGAATTAACTGCCTACCATAAATGGTAAGGAAAGTAACAGATTTGATGATAGCAGCAATCTTTTAGATATACTAAATGCACTATGCATGCGTTTCCACAAGTCAATATGATGTATTGGAAAGAGCAGTACACATTTTGCCTCAATTAAAAAAAAAATCAGTTTGTCCAGGAACACACAACTCATCACAAGTAAGCCATAAGAAAAGGAAAAAAGAGAGGAAAAAAAAAGAGAGAAAACACCCATTTTGTCCTAACTACAGTTGACAGGAGTACCAGAATGTGAAACCCAGAGAAATTCCATCTTCTCCCATCTCACAACTTTCCGAGGCAGGTGTCAGTGCTATTTACATGTGTCTTCTGTTCTTAATCACAGAAGTAAATATTTACAGTGGATGTTTATTTTCTGCAGAATTTGGGGGCTTAAGAAAAGTGTCTACACAGAAAATGTCTCTAAAAGCTGAATGTAGATTTGTGTTTGGTTGGTATTTTATTAATATATATCAGTAGACTTGACTCTAGCTTGAATTTTAAGGCTTTACATTGAGCTTAGTAGGTAATAATTATTCATCATTCTATGCTGTTTTCATGATCATGATGGTCTTTATGGCTAGGTAAGTTTATGCTGTTTTTTTATTTACACTGGCCTGGTCCGTCTCTTGCATGCGGTATTCTAATCATCTCCTGGTTTATGAGGGTGGGGTGGGAAGTGGGTTACTAACCATGAGTTTGCAGTCATAATCGACTGGCATTGGAATGGAGGATTCCTACTGCAGACAACATGAGTTGCTAGAATTCAGTCATAGGCAAAAGCCACTGGGAAGTGTCAACACTGGGACCTCAACATCGCCAAGTCCAAATGCTAGCAGACACAGGGGTCAAAGTAGAAAATTCAGTTTTTTGTCACTGAACCAGCAGTTTATATTGGGAGAACTGGGGCTCATATCATGAATAAAATGGGAAGAAATAAGAAAGTTCCCAAGGCAATTGACACTAACAGGGATGTAGGTAGAGGTAAAAGGTGAGTGTGCCAGGGAGGCTAAAATTGTTAAAACAAAGTAAACACATCTTTGGGCATATACTGATACTCCTGACATTTCTTGGCAGTGTAAATTGTAGCTATTATTTCTCCCAAATCATTAAGTTGTTTTTTTATCCATCACTATATACTTAGAAAATAGAACTGTAACAATTCTTGAACTACTCTAGCTTAGATTAATATGAAACAAGCAGCAAAAAATAAATGATGAATTTTAAGAACACCTATGAAAATTCAATTCCCTGATGCACATTAGATTTACCTAGAGAAGTGGGGTTTTGTTATTGTTGTTGTTGTTGGTTGGTTGGTTTTCATTTGGTTTTTAAATATTCCAATCCCTGGGCTCCACTCAAACCAATTTAGAATATCTGGAGGTTAGTCTCAAACACTAATGTGTATTTCAAAGCTTTCTAGGTGACTTAAATGCATAGGCAAATTTAAGAACCACTGGTTGAATTCTACCAGTCTGGAAGTCAAGTTCAGCATTTTAGGGAAAATTGAGACAAGTCGTTAACTAAATGTTTAAGTATGAAATATGAAATAGAGATGAGATAGTTAAGTTACTAGTCATTGAAAATTATCCTTCATTATATTGATTAATTCATTCAATAAACATTTATTGAATGCCAACTCATACCAAGTACAGTACCAAGGATATGAGCAAAAAGCAAAATCACAAGCATCTTATCATCTTGTATCTTTTAAGGAAACCCAAAACACACAACTCCTTTCTACCTGTGGACCATGAAAAGGGACTAGGGATAGCCCAAGGCCATTTAGGAATTTCTCTGGACCTCTTCATTTGTTTCTATCCTGGTCTTTCATGGATGTTCTCTACTTGACTTGATATCCTCCTCCCTGCAACCCTGATTGAATCTCTGGCCGTTTGAGCCTGCTATTTACATGTGACTGTCTCATCATTTTACTCTTAGATTTCCCTTATACCTTTGGTCTTTATGGTGCTCCCTGACTCTCTGTTCCAGGCTTCCTTGAATAGGTTTTTGCTCTTCAAAGAATTATCCTTTTGGTAATTCTAGTTTACTAGTTAAAAAAGGAGAATTCCATTCATATCTATTTACTCTTATACTTCAGGAAATAAGTTTTGATGAATCTGAGCAATAAATCCATTTTCTACAAGTTATTTATGCAGGAGATCAGTTAGGTAAATCATAACTAATAGGTATACATTGAATGCTTAGAAAACTCAGGCTCGTAAGAAGTGGGTCTCAAATTGGGTTATATGTCAGAATCAACTGGTGGTAGCAGGTGCAGGGGAGGGGTTTGAAAATAGGATTCTTTGGTACCACTTAGAGCAACTGAATTAGAAACTCAGGGTTGGGGGGATGCATGGAAGGTGAACAACCAGTTTTTAAAAAGCTTGCCAGCTAAGTTTCATGCAGGATGAGGGTTTAAAAGCAGTCATAAAAGAACATATGAAGGTGGAAAGAAACCCCATCTTCAGTAACTTTTAAAATTCACTGGAAACCTTAACATGGTCTACACTTCCTTCTCTTCAGCGCACACAGGAAGCTCATAAAATTAATTCCATTGTCCTTAATAGAGAAGAGAAGGAAAAAGAAACTCAACCAAAGGACACTGATTTTTCAAGGTGACCACGGCTTGGATTAATGCCTCACAGTTTCCTTTTGCCATGTATTTTGCCCACAGGCTTTTAAAATTTAATGACATGTTTTGATTGAATTATTTTAAAGATACTTTATTCTTCAAAACTATAACCATAGCTGTTCCATCAAAAATTGTTATTCTTCACAAACTTATATGGCTTTTGGAAAGAAAAAAGAAAACAAAGTAATATCAAAAACAGATCAAGCAGCAATCAATCAATCAGCACTTTTAGTCTGAAAAGAGAAATAAGTGTCATCAACCTCTAAAGATTAACAGGTACCCTTTAATTTATTTTGAAAACCTGGTGACTAGTTGTATAACTCTATCACATCTCCCTAAAAGTATCTGTATTCTTCGTGGACACAGTATGGGGTTTCTCAATCTTTCTAACATCCTCTTTAATTACACAGCAGGCCATTGTGTACTTCACATTCATCCACAGGCTCCCTCCCCAACTAGTAGTGCCATTGTGCTGACCACAGCATGAGGCCTCTCCATTTCTGCAAAATAGTTTTCTCATAGAAATTTCATCTGTAGACTAATGGTTTCACTTCAGATTTTCTTCCTCATGTGGAAATACCACACTTTTACTGTTAGACTTTTTCTTCTTCCCTTTACCTAACCACGGTCCTTTCCTCTGCAGGGAAATACATGGATAAAACAACAAACAAACCCTGCACTATTGGAGTAGTGTCCTTTCTTTGTAGGAAAAGCCTTAAGGTATGTTCATCTTTTATGTGTTGGGAATTCCACATCATTTTTTTCTATTTTGACATGAAAATTTCACATTTTATTCCTTTAAAATCTTTTTAATTAAAAAATAGGAATTCTATAGTTTTCCTAATTTATACATGGCTTTATATTTAGACTTATTCATGTTTGGAATCAACTCTAAGTCAATATTTTTGTCCTGAAATTATAGAAAGGAAATAATTTTATAAAAGCAATTAATAGGCTGGCTTGACTACAAGGTAGAATCCCATTTTCAAATTTTTATTCAAATCACTAATGCACATGGCCTCAATTTCTTAGCAGAAAGGTATTACCATATCAGAATAATTTACACCAATGATTTTGTCTGTATTTTTCATTCTTTCTTTTTTTTTCCTCAGTAATCATCAACTCTCTCAAGGCACTGTGCCATAGTTGCTTATAAACAATATAAACAGGAGTAAGACATTGTTTCTAGCCACAAAATAATTTGAAATTTAAATGGTGTGAAAGAGGTGGAAAATTGAATAAAATAATGACATCAGAATGTGATTAATATCACAAGAGACATACCAAGTGCTATGCAGTTTCTGAGAACCAGTAAAGTCATTTCACCAGAGTAGATAGACACAGGAAGTCTCTATTTATTTAAGATCATCAGCTCTACCATCCTTCATGACTATAGTGAACAAAACTCCTTCAAGATGCATAAGTACTCAGGTACACCAGGTTTGTTTTATAAGGTAAGGAAATTACCTTTCCTCCACAGAAGAATGAGGTACAAAAATCATAGCTGCCTGTATTTGTCTCCTCAGGTCCCTGAGGGTAGGACCTGAGTGGCTCTAGATAGCCTTTCCCTACTGGTCCAGTTGCACTGCCTTTTGATAGCAACACCTTTGTCAGCCCACTTAGCATACTGCCAGTTATTCCTACAGATTGAGGAGGGATAGGCAAAATTATTATCAAAACTGAATCTTAGCTTTGTTAAGGAGTTGGTAAATTTATCTTCAGAACTTCACACTATTCTTTTGGGATCTTTACCACTCTTATTTAGCACACTCATATCTACCAACTTGCCTCAGAAATCCTGGGGCATATCCTATTGAAATATACTTTTAGATCTTCAAATTCACATAAAGATGTGAATTATTGATATTACATAAATTTATGCTATTAGTAATGAAGAGAAATTACTGATGGTAATAAGAGAAACTCATTATCTTCATATATATTTTATAGTTTGCTATTATTTTCTAATTTGCTCCTTGCGATAGCTTTGTAAAGTAGTTATGAAGGTGTTATTATCTATATTTTATTGATGGTGAAATAACGGTAAAAAATTATGTCACTTATCAGAGTGACACAGTAAGCAAGTGTCATTGCTAGTACTAAAACAGTATGTTTTCTGACTCTAAATTCATTGATAAACACATAAGTAATGGTGAAATTTTAGGTGCCCATTCTGTTCTAAGAAAGCTATTTGGAAGCTTTTACAGTTCTTGAAATATTAGACATAAAGACAGTTATTTATTTTACCTTCATATTTAACCAGCACTGGTTATATTACCAGAGACATATAACCTTTCTGATAATGTTCCCTTTGTACTTTAAGTCTGCTGTTTGTCATTCAGAGAGCGTTAAACCAGGAGAAGAAGAAAAAAACACCCCACAGGAAATCAACATTTAAAATTCAAGACTGGAGCATGATTTGGACAAATTAAGGATGCCAAGTGGTATCTGCTGATACCGTAGCTGTCACTCAATAGCTTTCTCAGGATTCTCCTCCAGCAACAAGAAACAAAGTGTCTAAGCTTAGCCAAAGTAGGACCAATGATGATATGGAGTGACAGAGCTTTCATTGCACAAGAGACAGTTTAGCTAGTTCTTTCATTGGACTCGTATAAGACGCATATGGAGCATTCAGTCTATGAATGAAGCATGTGTGAGCTTCAGGGAGAGCTGGCCAAAGCGTTAAAGTGCATGGATTTTAGATAAGTCAGTGTGAACATGTGGTGCCGTGTGAATAAAATGTGATAGTGCCTATCAGAATGAGCCTACATCATATTCTTACTTGACACATTAAGCAAAGCTTTCAGTTCTGAGCCTACTGATGATAGGATTGTGTTCACAATTGTTTGATGATAGCTTGTTCTGGAATTTTATAACCAAAGATCCCATAAGGAAAGACTTAAAGGATGCACCATACACTTGTTAGTGTACTCTGCACCTCCAGGATTGAAGACTCATTTGTTCTTACCTTCAAGCTAAAAAAATCTCAGCTTGTGAAATCCCCCCACTAATATTATAATTTCCATAGAGAACATTTCCTTTCTATCGTCCAGTCAAAAGCACTGGACCTGAGAAACACAGCAACACCACATTCTTGAATTAAAATTTCTTTTCACATGAAATAAAGAGGTGATTGTGTGTACGTGTATGTATGCTACAATACGTTTGTTCATACATACTGAACTAGACAAATGTGGGTAGTATCTACGTTTTTGTTTATTTTTTGATTTGCATCTTATTCTAAACCTCTAATTTATACCAATATAATTCTTTAGTATATTATTCATGGATGATTTTAAAGTCAGGGTTCCTAGAATTGGATTCCCCAGAAATCAGAACCTGAAACAAAGTCTTAAGTGGATGTGCTTTCTTGGAAAATGTGATCCAGGAAATATAAAGGAGAGAGATGGGGGTGGGGGTGTGGGGCGAGGCAAGAAAGAAGGGAAAACCAATAGAAAGATACCTCCTTGAGTTGGCCGTTGCTATGGTGCAACTGCTTGGTAAATCCCATGAGACATTTTGAAGAACCTTATGAAGCACATTTCAGGACTTTATAGGGTAGGAAGGAAGGAAGCATCTATCCATGAGAGCTTTTGTGTCCAATCCATCAAACGTCCGTTCGTTGGAGTGCTTCTAAGCTGTATTTGGGTGAGCATTCAGAAGGTTACCCTACTTCAGCAGTCATGTCAGCAGAGGCCTTCATGGAGGGCATGAGGCAAAGTGTTATCAGAATATACCTGCACGAAACTGGCTGAAGCCACAGCAGAACCGGTTACTCCTCTGGCTCTATAAGAATCTGTGATGGCACATAAAAGGTGTCTGAAATGTGGGGGCTTCATGTTTTATAAATAAGTTAGGTTCCAAATGTTCATTTGTGAGCCTGTTATATGGATGTTTTATTCCTCACATGAACTATCTAAATCTCTATAGCCCTCTGCCTACATAGACATATGTAAAAGAATTCTCAGGGTAATCCACAGAGGCCCTTTTAACCCACGTAGATAAAAATATTTACTACAATGAAAAGTGGTGTTGGAAAATACAATTATACCTCTATAGTACATTGTTTAAGCTGAAGATACTATGTGGAATCTAGTAATTCCTGGGAAACAGCTACCAACAGTCTCATCCAGACCAGGCTGTGCTCTGGAATCACTCTTGCTAGAGTATTAGTGACTGATATCAACTCAGTATCACTGGTGGAGGAAGAAGAAAAAACTTTAGAGTGAAGGATTGAGGGAGAGGACTGGAAAAGATAAAAGTTTTCTAAATGGCTTTTAACAGTCTGCATCACAGCATCTTTTCTTCTCATATTGTTTTATAATACACATTGCTTTTATATTGTTTCCACTCTGACTATAGTCTTTAAGTTTGGATCTGCGAGTCACATTCAAAATAGCATGGCTTAAGACTTTTGTATGAGAACCTTGTGAATTCACAGTGAGTTCTTTATTTTTTTATTCATTAATTTTTAAATCATTACTTGAATGAGAAGTGAAAAATGGTGGACAGTGCCTTGTTATTCTATATTTTTATTGTATTTGTAAATCAGATTGTTTAAAATGTTTAAGATGGAGTAAATCCATTTTTATTATGGCCAAATTTTACTTTTTAATTCTATATATCTTTTGTTTTTATTTGTAAAGAAAATCTGGTTCACTACTTTTAAGTTCTTCTCTAAAAATAGTTTAAGAAGAGACGATTTTCTTAAGCACAGTTATCCCAAGAGGAAAACAATTTCTTTGAAATTTTGACTTCACATTTCACTATTAGATTATGAAAAGTTATAAAAGTTATATCAGTGAAAATGATAGAGTAAGAACATCTATAAGTCCATCCCTTCATAAAAACAATGAAAAGCCTGGCAAAAAAAATGCCAGGAACAACTTTTTTAGAGCTATGAAAACTAAGTAAAAACTTTCAGCAACCAGGATGAAAGTCTCTCAGGCAAAGCCAGCTGACTCTTAGTTAGAATAGCAAGATTTGTGGCATTGTAGCTTACCATGGTCCCAGCCCCTACTCTCCAGCTCAGTGGTGGCCGTGAGAGAAACAGCCTGCATTTGTGGTACAGGTACTTGTACAAGAGGGAAGAGAATTGATCTCATTTATAAAGAATTGTGATTGTTTGACCTGTCTTGTGGCTGTAGCAACTCACCTAACTCATTTTTCAAAAAAATTATTTATGGGCAGATGTATTAGTTACTGTGGTTTTTAGTTATAGATCATAGTTGGGACAAAGAATAGACTAACTGAAACTTGAAAGGAAAGTTTGGGAAATTAGATATGTTGGAAAATAAAGATTTGAAACAGTCTGACATATTCCTGGGAATCTAGAAGTCCATGTGCATGCCCAGGGTTGTGTGCATGCTCAGAAAAAAAAAAAGAAAGAAAGAAAAGAAAAGAAAAGAAGAAAGCCCTCAGCTCTCACCTCTGGCTGACCACTAAGCTCTGTTCATGTAGAAAGTGAAGTCTAGGGCAGAATTGTCAACTACCTAGCTGAATGTGGAAGATGTGTCACAACACACACACACACACACACACACACACACACACTCCATCTGTAAAGACTGGAGAATATGAAAAATGTTTTTTCCAGATGTTTAAGGTAATCTCTGTTCAACTACTAGCTAACCACTAAACTAACAAATAGAGATTTCAGTCACGCCTCACAGCCGTAATAGAGACCTCACCAAGTTATTTCAGAAAATTCAGTAAACATTCAATAACAACTACGACAAGCAGCAAAAACAAATCCAAAAGAGTCAGAAATCTGTTTTCCAAAGCTGCCCCTAATAATATTCAAAATGTCCAGTTTCCAAAAAAAAAGAAATATGAGACATGCAAAGAAATTAAAAAGTATGGCTCATACACAGAAAAAGATAGGGCAGAAGGAAACTGTCACACACAAAAAAAGAAAGGAAGAAACTGTCTCTGAAGGAGCCCATACACTGGACTTACTAGATAATGACTTTAAATCACATATTTTAAATATGTTCAAAGAACTAAAGAAAATCATGCCAAAATAACTAAAGGAACCACAAGAAAAATATATCTTTAAAAAGAGATAGTCAATAAATAGACAGAAATTATAAAAAGGAATCATTAAAATTCTGGAGTTGACAATCATGATAACTAAAATTGAAAATTCACTAGAGAGACTCTACAGCAAATTCGAGCAGAAAGAATTACCAGTGGACAATAACTTGGGTCAACTGAGATTATTCAATCTGAGAAACAGAAAAATAATTTTAAAAATTAAAAGAACCTACAAGACCCTATGTGATATTACCAAGTGTGTTAACATATGCGTAATGGGATTCCTAGGAGAGGAAAGATAGAAAGGGATGGAAAAATATTTGAAAAAATAATGGTCAAAAAGTTCCTGAATTTGAAAAACAGCAATAATCTACACATTCATAGACCTTAATAAACTAAAAGAGATCTAAACCAAGATACATTATAATCAAATTGTAGAAAAAAATAGACAAAGACAATACTTTGAAAGTAGTAAGAGAAAAGCAACTTATCACTTAAAAGAGATATTCTATATGATGATAGCTGATTTCTCATCAGAAACCATGGAGGCCAGAAAGCAGCAAAATGATGTGCTCAAAGTGCTGAAAGGAAAAAAAAAATCAATAGAAAATTCCATATCTGACAAAACTATCCTTCAAAAATAAAGGAGAAATTAAGCCCTTCCCAGATAAGCAAACACTGTGTTGTTTCTTGTTACCAGATCTTTCCTGCAAGAAATGGTAAATGGAGCTCTTCAGATGAAATGAAAGTATACTAGATGATAACTCAAATCCATATGAAAAAAAGAACACTAGTAAAAGTAACTATATAGGTAAATATGAAATTCAGTATTTATTTTTTTCTTGTAATCTAAAAAAAAATCTCATTTAAAATAAGACTTTATAAAACAATAATTATAAAGCTAAGTTGATGGGCACACAATGACTAGAGGCATGATTTGTGAAAAATATAAAGGGGAGGATGGAACTATATGGGAGCAAAGATTTTGTATATTATTAAAACTTAGTTGGCATTCATTCACACTAGAATGTTATAAATTAAGATGTTAAGCATCCTCTCCAGGGCAATTATTAAGAAAATAACTAAAAAATACATAGCAAAAGAAGAACAAGAGAATTAAAATTGTACAGTAAAAAAGATCTCTTTAACACAAAAGAAGGCAGTAATAGATGAATTTCAGGACACAAAAGATAAGACATATAGAAAAGAATAGCAAAATGGCAAAAGCAAGTGATTCTTTATAATTATATTAAATATAAATAGATTAAACTGTCCAAATTAGAGGCAGAGATTGGCAGAATAGATATTAAAAATATGATCCAGCTATGTGATGTCTACAAGAGACCCACTGTAGATTCAAAGACACACATAGGTTGAAAGTAAAAGGTTGGGAAAAAATATTTTATGCAAATAGTCAAGAGAGCCAGATAGTGAAACTAATATCAGAAAAAAGATATCTTAAGACAATTATTATTATGAGACATAAAGAAAGCTTTATTTAATGACAAAAGGGTCAATCCACCAAGATATAACAATTATAAATGTATATGACGTAAAAGTCAAGGCCCAAAATACATGAAGCAAATACTAATAGAGAGACTACTAAAGGAAGAAAAGAAGATTCAACAATAATTGTCAGAGGTTTCAGTACCTCATTTTCAAAAATAGACAACTAGAAAGAATATCAGAAATACTGGACTTGAATAATACTATAAGCCAACTAGACCTAACAAATATATATAGCACACTCCACCTCCAGATAGCAAAATATACTTTCTTTTCAAGTTCACATGGAACATTTTCTAAGATAGACCATCTGTTATACAACAACAAGACTCAATTTATTTAAAAGATTAAAATTATACAAAATATGTTCTCTGACAACAATGGAATGAAATTAGAAATCAATAACAAATGGAAATTTGGAAAGTTTCCAACTATGTGGGAATTAAACAATACATTTCTAAATAAAAGTAGGCCAAGGAAATCATAAGAAAAATTAGAAAATACTTTGAAGTGAATGAAAACAAAAATTAAAAAGAAAACAAAATTATGGGACATCAAAAAAAAAAACAGTTCTTTGAAGAAATTTTATAGCCATAGAAAGATGTCAAATTAACAGCCTAACCTAAATACCTTTTTAGAAAATGAAGGAAAAGAGCAAGCGAAACCCAAAACAAGGAGAAGAGGAAAATATAATTGTCCCTCAGGATACACAAAGGATTCATTTCAAGACTTCCACATATACAAAAGTCTGTGCATACTCAAGTTTGGCAGTTGGCCCTGTGTAACCCACGTATGCAAAAAGTTAGCCCTTGGAAATGTGTTTTTAATCCTGCACATGCTGTACTTTCAATCTATGTTAGTTGACAAAAATCCACATATAAGTGGGCCTACCTAGTTCAACCCAATGGTTTTCAAGGTTCAACTGTAGAAATGATTAGTGAAAAGATAAACAAAATAGATAATAGAAAAACAATGGAGAACATCAAGGAAACCAAAAGTATGTTCTTTGAAAAGATCAACAAAATTGACAAATTTTTGGGCAGACTGGCCAAAAATAAATAAATAAATAAATAAATAAATAAGAGGAATTGAATTACTAAAACCAAGAATAAAGTGGTGACATTACCACAGATCTTACTAATATAAAAAGGTTTCTAAGAGAATACTATGGATAATGGTATGTCAACAATTATATAACCTCAATGAAATGGACAAATTCCTAGAAATGCACAGTCTACCAAAACTGACTAATGAAGCAATTGAAAATATCAATAGACCTATAACAGGCAAGCAGATTAAACTGGTAAAAAAGAAACCTCCCAACAAAAATCTGAGAATCAGACAGTCTCATTAGTGAATTCTACAAAACAAATAAAGAAGGATTAACACAAATCCTTCTCAAACTCTTTTGAAAGATGGAGGAGGGGATACCCCTAACTTATTCTATAACTATTAGTATTACACTGGTTATAAAGCCAGACCAAAACCAAAGCAAAAGCAGGAAAGAAAAACATCACAAAAAAGATAAGAGGAGGAAGAAGGCAAAAAGAGACAGGGAGAGAAAGAAGAGAAGAAGGAGAAAGAGGAGGAAGATGAGGAGAAAAACGGAGAAGAAAACTCTAGACCAATATTCTTTATGAATACAGATTCAAATATCCTCAATAAAATAGTAGCAAACTGAATCCAGGAGCATATTAAAATAACTATACACTATATGTGGAATTTATCTCATGAATGAAGTGTGGTTCAACATATGAAAATCAATCAATGCAATAAATTATATTAATAAAGGTATTTATTATTAATAAATAATAAATTATATTATTAATAAAGGTATTTATTATTAATAAATAATAAATTATATTATTAATAAAGGTAAAGAAGATATGATCATCTCAATAGATGCAGAAAATGCATTTGAAAAAATATCCAACATTCTCTCATGATAAGAAGCCCTCAGCAAATTAGGAATAGAAGGATGTTTTCTCAACCTGATAAAGGGCCCCTATGAAAAATCCACCATTAATAACACACTTAACTAGTGAAAGACTAAAAATCTTACCTCCCTAAGATCAAGAAAAAGTCTGCTCTTGCCACTTCCTTTCAACATTGTACTGAAAATTCAAGCCAGAGCAATTAGGCAGAAGAAATAAACAAAATGCATTTGGATTGGGAATAAAGAAGAAAACTATACTCACAGATAACATGAACTTATATAGAGAAAACCCTAAAGAAATCACAAAAAAGCATGAGAGCTAATAAATGAGTTCAGCAAATTTGCAGAATACAACATCAATATACAAAAATCAATTGTATCTCCATTCACTTGCAATAACAATCTAAAAAAATGAAGTTAAGAATCCATTTACAATAGCATCCTAAAGAATAAAATACCTAGAAATAACCTAACAAAAGAGGTAAAAGACTTATACACTGAAAACTACAAAACATTGCTAAAAGAAATTGAAGAAGACACAAATAAGTGTAAAGACATCCTATGTTTGTATACTGCATTACTTAATATTAGGATATTAACACCTTCCAAAGCAATCTATAGATTTAATGTGATTCCTATCAAAATTCCAGATCCTTTGTTGCTTTAAGAAATGGACACCCTATTCTAAAATTTGTTTGGAATGCAAGAAACCCCATGTAACCAAAACAACCTTGAAAGAGAAAAAGGAGGACTCACTCTTTGAAATTTCAAAACTTAGTACAAAGCTATAGTAATCCAAACAATGTGATACTGGCAAAAGGATAGATCAGTGGAATAGGATTCAGGGTCTAGAAATAAACCCATACATATATCTATGGTAAATTGATTTTTGACAATATTTCCAAGACCATTCAATGAGGAAAAGGATAGACTCTTCAACAAATGGTGCTGTGACAACAACAAACCCACATTCAAAAGAATAAATTTGGATCCCTCCTTCATACAATGTATAAAAATTAATTTAATATGGATCAGAGACCTACACTTAAGAGCTTACACCATAAAACTCTTAGAAGAAAACATAGTATACATATTTTTGAGGTTGGATTAAGTAGTGGTTTCATAAACATGATTATAAAGAATAAGAAACCAAAAATAGACAAACTTGAACTTCATCAAAAGTAAACACTTTTGTGCATCAAAGTTCATTACTAAGAAAGGGAAAATATGGCTGCTTTGTCTATGGAGTAGCCACTCTTTGATTTCTTTACTTTCTTAATAAACTTGCTTTCACTTTACTGTATGGATTCACCTCAGATTCATTCTTGTGTGAGAGCCAAGAAAACTCTCTTGGGGGCTGGACTGAGACCCCTTTCTGGTAACATCCTTCCGCTGAACCACCAAGGAACTATACTAACGTCCTTCTGGTGACCACAGAAGGAACAATACTGAGGAAAACCCCAACCCAAAGCCTAATTTTGGGTATGTGGTGGGGTCCAGTAACATCTTTCTGGCACACCACTGAAGGGATGATACTAAAGAGACCCCCAACCCAAAGGAAAATTATCTGACTGGGCTGACTGGGTAAGAGGGGTGCATATACCTGGGTAAAGGATGGGATTGGGCTACAGGCCCAACTTAGGGGAGTTAGAGTCTCTCCTAAGACAGAGTTGGTTAAAGGTCCCCTGAGGCCCAACTTAGGAAGGTTAGAGTTCTTCCTAAGATTTAGGGGGTTAGAGGTCCCTTTCACTAAAGTCCCTCTTGGCTAAGAATGGATTTGGCACTGTGGGATGTTAACTGCTATTCTCTTTGGATTAACTTGTCTTGCACTCTTTGCTGATGGGTATGGATGACAGAATTAGGCATGTAGAGGACCATGGGACGTGAGGAGATTTTTCCTCCCCAAAAGAGAACACTTAAGAGCTAATGAGACTGCTGGAAAAGATCCTTTCCCAACTGGCAAGCAGCCACCTGAACTTTTGATTCAGTGTCACTGTGATGGGCAGGCCTTTCTCTGGCCTCCCTGAGGCTCCTTGCCTTCTCCACCCTGCCACAGGCAATACTTTTCTCCCTTTCTTTTTTCTAACTTTTCTGTTATTCAGGGTGAGCATCTTGCCCAGAAACCACAAGGTGAAATTCCTGGTCAGAGTTTGGATTAACAACAATGAGGCCCAACTGGAGGCAAGTTTGAGCCTTGCCAATTTGATATTGGGTGCTAAGCAGAGTGGCTAATGTCTAGGTTTTGTCACACATGTTTTGCTCTGGCCTGAATAGAAAATGATAATTTTCCTTTGTGTTGTGGCTTGGCCCCCAGGGCTGTAGTGCAGCCAGCTGGGTCACTACAGCTGCTCAGGGAAAGGGAACCCAGAAGCCTGGCATGCCTGCAAAAGGCTAAGAATTTCTTACCAGTCAGACTTCTGGCCCCTCTCGCTCTCTCCCTTTTTGTGCAAATCGGTTGAATAAATGCAGAAATCACTGTTTATCTCCTCTATAAAGTTTTGATTAATTGGAAAAAGGGTTTGTGAGGCTAACCTTAAATTGTAGTGAATCTGTTGTGTTTTGTGTCTTTCTGTAATGTTCTCTTATAAAGAGGGGTATCTTAGGATTGAACATGGACCTAGGACCCCATAAGCCCATTGTTCAGGATAGCCCAGCAAACTGGTCATTCATGTCCTTCGGAGCTTGACCTTGTAACCACATGGCAGTACTTTCTCTTGGCCTCTGCCATCATAATGGTGATCCACATTCAGGGTTCAATTCCTGGCTTAGGGAATAAGTCCTTTATCATCTGTCTTTCTGTGTGCTTATGTGTTGTGTGTATAATATAAAAGTGCTGTAATTAATTGGCTTAAAAAATAAGAGTTTAAATCAAATATTTTGTCAGAAAAGTAAAAAGTGTAATGCCTTTTAGTTCATGTGACTTTAGTAAACTTTGGGAATTAAAAATAGTTTTGAAAATTATTGGTAAAATAAAAATATCTTCAAAAATATAAACATTTCATCTAAATTATGCAGGTCAGCTAATAGGTTTGCTTAATACTTTAAGATCATAAACTGCTTCTTTGGCTTTTAAAAATTGTTAGCATTAGATTCTAGATAAGGCCTGGGGACATGTGGAATTAGCCATGCCCCCAGCTATGCAAAGAAGGTTATAAAGAAAAGAGATTTTATATAAGAAAGGATCCTGTATGGTAAATTCTTGTCCTAAAGTAAAACAACTGGTTATTTAAAAAGAGGGATGTTTAGGACAAGTCAGAAAGTCCAAGTGTGTCATAGATGGTCTGTGTAAGTCATAAAAGAATTCATGAAAGGGAATTTATGCAGGAAATGTTGCACAATGTAAAAGTTACTAGGCCTCCTAAATGTTTCATAAAATGGCACTATAAATTAACTGTACAACTTGCCTCGCTTTACAGCTAGGTAAGGCCTATGACACCTGGAGTTAGCTATAACCCCTAGCTACACTGGAAAGAATCAGACTATATTGGAACTTCTGTCTGGGTCCTAGGAGCCACACCTAGTACATAATTAAAATCTCTTACTTACCAAGGTTTTAACCAAAAGTAAAAGTCACTAAAAGTTAACAGTGTAACATATAATTGAGACTACTGAAGAAATCATTTTACATGCAAGGTATATAAAGATAGTGAAATGTGTTTTTGGTGAAAGATTATAAGAAGGCATGGAAATGTGTTGTTTCTTTTGTTTGTTTGTTTGTTTTTTTGCCTAGATCAAAAGGTTAAAAGACTGTTTTAAGTCAGAAAAAAGCTGAAGATTTAAGCAAGTTGTGGAAGGTTTCTGAAAAATTAATTGTAAAAGAAATTCTGTCTGTGAACATATTGGCTAAAGTAAAAGGGGCATTATTCAGTTTTCTGTAAGTTGAACACTGGAATAAAAAATTGGAATGAAACTCTTTAACAAAAACTGTAAAGGGTTTTAAAAGATTTCTCCAGAGTTTGGAAACTGTTTGTGAGTCTTAACTTGTGGCAATATAGTTATTTGCATAAGTGCAATTAGAATCTGTTTTCTGGCCGATATGGTGGCTCACGCCTGTAATCCCAGCACTTTGGCAGGCCAAGGAAGGTGGATCACCAGGTCAGCAGTTTGATACCAGGCCAACCAACATGGTGAAACTGCATCTCCACAAAAAATACAAAAATTAGCTGGGTGTGGTGGTGCATGCCTGTAATCCCAGCTATTCAGGAGGCTGAGGCAGGAGAATCACTTGAACCCAGGTGGCAGAGGTTGCAGTGAGCCGAGATCATGCCACTGCACTCTGGCCTGGGTGACAGAGTAAGACTCTGTTCCTACCCACCTCCCCCCTCCCACCCCCGCCGAAAAAAAAAGAATCTGTTTTCTTTTGCAACAGGACACAATTGGAAAAACTGGTTATTTTACCAAGGCTTTGACTAGAATGATGTGCCTTCCCCTAAGGAATCAAATTTGACTTACAAAGCCAATAAAAGCCCTTTGGGAAAACTGGCCTCATACCTTGTGTACACGGTTCTTGTACAGGGTTCTTGATCTGTGGTAAATAGAGAATGTTACATTCTGACAGGCCCAGGAGCCCCAAGCTATCTTGGGATCTCAAGATGAGAGGAATTATCCAACTGATAGGTATTTGAGGGTACAAACTGATGGCTGGGCTTTGCTTTTTTAAAAAAAAGTCTTATCTGAGATTCTTTCTATGGAACAGAGTTCCATCAAAGCCAATTTAAAAAGAGCTTATGTGAAAAATAATGATTATTACTGCACTTTAGACAAATAATGAGGCCAGATATAATAAAGCAAATTGGTCCTACCATGATTTGTTTTTAGTAAAAATGAGAAACTGGAGAGAGAAAAATTATGTTTCAAGAACTATGGTACACTTGTTGTTAGATGCTAGTCTCATCAGCTGTTTTTAAGTTTTTTTCTGCGTTTAGGCTAACCTTTTTTATTCCTGTGAACCAACGACTGATCTCTGACTGCTGCTCAGAAGAAACAAGAGTAATGGGTAATGTAAAAATTGGGGTCAATATCCTAATTCTGGGCACATGCTGGAACCAACTAGCAACCCCATATTGGCTTGGTTCCAGCAGTTACCCAGTTCATGGAAAGCCTTCTTATTTAGTTTACTTGGGATAATTTTACTTATTTTGCTTTACTCTTGTGGAATATATTGCTGTTGTACTTTGTGTAGGAATGCAGAATAAGCTTACTAAATGTTTTCTTAAATTGAACACTTATTAATCTTCCAGGTATCACCTTTTGTGGAACTTGGAGTTATGAATGGCTCTCAGCGTACTGACGTTTTGTGACTGAGCTCTTCTCTCCCCTGAATACAAGAAACCCTAATAGTTAGGCAGGAATATCATCTCATTTATCCAACATGAATAAGTTACAGAAGATGAATCTTCATTCCTCTATAACCTGTAAGGTTAAGGATTCCTTATAAAATGGAGGGGGGGGGATATGTCAGAAGCATCTGAACCAGAGCAGCTCCACCTCAAATAGAGGCTGGGTAAAATAAGGCTGAGACCTACTCAGCAGCATTCCCAGATGGTTAGGCATTCTAAGTCACAGGAAGAAAGAGAAGGTAGGCACAAAATAAAGGTCATAAAGACCTTGCTGATAATACAGGTTGCAGTATAGAAGCCAGCTAAAACCCACCAAAACCAAGATGGCAATGAGAGTAACCTCTGGTTGTCCTCACTACTACACTTCCACCAGTGCCATGACAGTTTACAAATGCCATGACAATGTCAGGAAGTTACCCTATGTGGGCTAAAAAGGGGAGACATGAATAATTCACCCCTTGTTTAGTGTATAATCAAGAAATAATCACAAAAAGGGACAGCCAGCAGCCCTTGGGGTTGCTCTGTCTATGAAGTAGGCATTTTTTTATTCATTTACTTTCTAAATAAACTTGCATTCACTTTACTTAAAAAAAAAAAAGTGAAAATACAGTTACCAAAATGGGAAAAAATATTTGCAAATCATATATCTCAAATTATCCAACTGATAATTTTATCAGTCATGTATCTGATAAAAATATTTCTATAATAAAACAAATAATATAATAAAATTCTTTTCAATTTTACAACACCTGTTCAGAAAAAATAACTTTAACAACTCAACAAGAGCAGCAAAAAAGAATACATTTCAAAATGGACAAGAATTGAATAGCCATTTCTTCAAAGAAGCTACACAAATGGTGAGTAAGCACATGAAAAGATGCTCAACGGATCTGGCAAGATGGTCATATAGGAACAGATCTAGTCTGCAGCTCCAAATGAGATCAACACAGAAGGTGGGTGATTTCTGCATGTTCAACTGAGGTAACCTGTTCATCTCATCGGGACTGGTTAGAGTGAGTGCAGCCCATGGAAGGCAAGCAGAAGCAGGGCAGGGTTTTGCCTCACCCAGGAAGTGCAAGGGGCCAGAGACCTCCCTCCCCTAGCCAAGGGAAGCTGTAAGGAACTGTGCTATCTGGCCCAGATAATTATGCTTTTCCCACAGTTTTTGCACATGGGACAGAGCACCTGGGGACAAGGATGGCAGTGGGCACAACATAAATAGACTTAAATGTCCCAGCCTGCCAGCTCTGAAGACACCAGCAGATCTCCCAGCACAGTGCTCAAGCTCTGCTAAGAGACAGACTGCCTCCTAAGTGAGTCCCTGACCCCCATGCCTCTTGACTGGGAGACACCTCCCAACATGGGTCGACAGACACCTCATACAGGAGAGCTCCGACAGGCATCAGGTGGGTGCCCCTCTGGGACAAAGCTTCCAGAGGAAAGAGCAGGCAGGAATCTTTGCTGTTCTGCAGCCTCCACTAGTGACACCCAGGCAAACAGGGTCTGGAGTGGACCTCTAGCAAACCCTAGCAGACCTACAGAAGAGGGGCCTGACTGTTAGAAGGAAAACTAGCAAACAGAAAGCAATAACACCAACATGAACAAAAAGCATGCCCACACAAAAACCCCATCCAAAGGTCATCAGCATCAAATATCAAAGGTAGATAAATCCATGAAGATGAGGAAAAACCAGCACAAAAATGCTGAAAATTCTAAAAACCAGAATGCCTCTCCTCATCCAAATGATCACCGCTCCCCTCCAGCAAGGGCAAAAAACTGGATGGAGAATAATTTTGATGAATTGACAGAAGTAGGCTTCAGAAAGTGGGTAATAACAAACTCCTCTGAGCTAAAGGAGCATGTTGCAACCCAATGCAAAGAAGCTAAAAACCTTGATAAAAGGTTACAGGATCTGCTTACTAGAATAACCAGTTTAGAGAAGAACAAAAATGACCTGATGGAGCTGAAAAACAAAGCAAGAGAACTTCATGAAGCATACACAGGTATCAATAGCAGAATTGATCAAGTGGAAGAAAGGATATCAGAGATTGAAGATCAACTTAATTAAATAAAGTGTGAAGACAAGATTAGGAAAAAAAAAGAATGAAAAGGAACAAACAAAGCCTCCAAGAAATATGGGGCTATGTGAAAAGACCAAGCCTATGATTTATTGGTGTACCTGAAAGTGATGGGGAGAACGGAAGCAAGTTGGAAAACACATTTCGAGATATTATCCAGGAGAACTTGCCCAACCTAGCAAGACAGGCCAACATTCAAACTCAGGAAATACAGAGAACACCACTCAGATACTCCATGAGAAGAGCAACTCAAAGACACATAATCATCAGATTCTCCAAGGTTGAAATGAAGGAAAAAATGTTAAGGGCAGCCAGAGAGAAAGGTCAGGTCACCTACAAAGGAAAGTTCATCAGACTAACAGTGGATCTCTCTGCAGAAACCCACAACCCAGAAGAGTGTGGGGGCCAATATTCAACATTTTTAAAGAAAATAATTTTCAACCCACAACTTCATATCCAGCCAAAGTTAGCTTCATAAGTGAAGGAGAAATAAAATCCTTTCCAGACAAGCAAATGCTGAGGGATTTTGTCACCACCAGGCCTGTCTTACAAGAACTCCTGAAGATGCACTAATTATGGAAAAGAAAAACTGGTACCAGCCACTGCAAAAACATATCAAAATATAAAGACCAACTACACTATGAAGAAACTACATTAACTAATGTGCAAAATAGCCACCTAGCATCATGATGACGGGATCAAATTCACACATTACAATATAAATGTAAATAGGCTAAATGCCCCAATTAAAAGACACAGACTGGCAAATTGGATAAAGAGTCAAGACCCAACAGTGTGCTGTATTCAGGAGACCCATCTCATGTGCAAAGACACACATAGGCTCAAAATAAAGGGATGGAGGAATATTTACCAAGCAAATGGACAGCAAAGAAAAGCAGGAGTTGCAATTCTAGTCTCTGATAAAACAGACTTTAAACCAACAAGGATCAAAAAAGACAAAGAAGGGCATTACATAATGGTAAAGGGGCAATGCAACAAAAGAGCTAACTATCCTAAATATATATGCACCCAATACAGGAACACCTAGATTCATAAAGCAAGTTCTTAAAGACCTACAAAGAGACTTAGACTCCCACACAATAATAGTGGGAGACTTTAACACCCCACTGTCAATATTAGAAAGATCAACAAGACAGAAAATTAACAAGGATATTCAGGACTTGAATTCAGCTCTAGACCAAGAGGACCTAATACACATGTACAGAACTCCCCACCCAAAATCAACAGAATATACATTCTTCTCAGCACCACATAACACTTATTCTAAAATCGACCACATAATTGGAAGTAAAACACTCCTCAGCAAATGCAAAAGAAAGATAATCACAACAAACAGTCTCTCAGACCACAGTTCAATCAAATTAGATCTCAGGATTAAGAAACTCACTCAAAACCACACACCTACATGGAAATTGAACAACCTGCTCCACAATGACTACTGGGTAAATACGAAATTAAGGCAGAAATAAATAAGTTCTTTGAAACCAACAAGAACAAAGAGACAACATACCAGAAACTCTGAAACACAGCTAAAGCAGTGTTTAGAGGGAAATTTATAGTACTAAATGCCCACTTCATAAAGTGGGAAAGATCTAAAATCTACACCTTAACATCACAATTAAAAGAACTAGAGAAGCAAGAGCAAACAAAATCAAAAGCTAGCAGAAGACAGGAAATAACTAAGATCAGAGCAGAACTAAAGGAGGTAGACACACAAAAAAACCTTCAAAAAATCAATGAATCCAGGAGCTGGTTTTTTGAAAAGAGTAACAAAATAGGTAGACTGCTAGCCAGACTAATAAAGAAGAAAAGACAGAAGAATCAAATAGACACAATAAAAAATGATAAAGAGGATATCACCACTGATCCCACAGAAATACAAACTACTATCAGATAACACTATAAACACTTCTAAGCAAATAAACTAGAAAGTCTAGAAGAAATGGATAAATTCCTGGACACATACACCCTCCCAGGACTAAACCGGGAAGAAGTCAAATCCCTGAATAGACCAATAACAAGTTCTGAAATTGAGGCAGTAATTAATAGCCTACCAAACAAACAAACAAACAAAAAGCCCAGGACCAGATGGATTCACAGCCAAATTCTATCAGAGGTACAAAGAGGAGCTGGTACCATTCCTACTGAAACTAATCCAAACAATAGAAAAAGAGGGACTCCTCCCTAACTCATTTTATGAGGTGAGCATCATCCTGATACCAAAACCTGGCAGAGACACAACAACAAAAAAATTTCAGGCCAACATCCCTGATGAACACCAGTGCAAAAATCCTTAATAAAATACTGGCAAACTGAATCCAGCAGCACATCAAAAAGCTTATCCACCACGATCAAGTAGGCTTCATCCCTGGGATGCAAGGCTGGGTCAACATACAAAAGTCAATAAAGGTAATCTATCACAAAAACAGAACAAATAAAAAAACAAATTATTATCTCAATAGATGCAGAAAAGGCATTTGATAAAATTTGACACCCCTTTATGCTAAAAGCACTCAAAAACTAGGTATTGATGGAATATATCTCAAAATAATAAGAGCTATTTATGACAAACTCATAGCCAATGTCATACTGAATGGGCAAAAGCTGGAAAACCAGCACAAGACAAGGATGCCCTCTCTCACCACTCGTATTCAACATAGTATTGCAAGTACTGGCCAGTGAAATCATGCAAGAGAATGAAATAAAGGGTTTTCAAATAGGAACAGAGGAAGTCAGATTGTCCCTGTTTGCAGATGACATGATTGTATATTTAGAAAACCCCATCATCTCAGCTCCGAAATTCCTTAAGCTGTTAAGCAACTTCAGCAAAGTCACAGGATACAAAATCAATGTGCAAAAATCACAAACATTCTTATACACCAAAAACAGACTAACAGCGAGCCAAATAATGAGTGAACTCCTATTCACAATTGCTACAAAGGAATAAAATACCTAGGAATGCAACTTACAAGGGAAGTGAAGGACCTCTTCAAGGAGAACTACAAACCACTGCTCAACAAAATAAAAGAGGACACCAACAAATGGAAAAACATTCCATGTTCATGGATAGGAAGAATCAATATCATGAAAATGGCCATACTGCCAAAGTAATTTACAGATTCAATGCTATTGCCATCAAGCTACCACTGACTTTCTTCACAGAATTAGAAAAAGCTACTTTAAATTTCATATGGAACCAAAAAAGAGCCCGTATAGCCAAGACAATCCTAAGCAAACAGAACAAAGCTGGAGGCATCGTGCTACCTGACTTCAAACTATAGTACAAGGCTACGGTAACCAAAACAGCATGGTACTGGTACCAAAACAGATATATAGACCAATGGAACAGAACAGAAGCCTCAGAAATAACACCACACATCCACAGCCATCTGATCTTTGACAAACCTGACAAAAACAGTCAATGGGGAAAGGATTCTCTATTTCATAAATGGTGCTGGTAAAACTGGATTCCCATATGCAGAAAACTGAAACTGGACCCCTTCCTTACACCTTATACAAAAATTAACTCAAGATGGATTAAAGACTTGAATGTAAAACATAAAATTATTAAAAACCCTAGGAGAAAACCTAAGTAATACCATTCAGGACATAGGCATGGGCAAAGACTTCATGACTAAAACACCAAAAGCAATTTTTCCAAAATTGACAAATGGGATCTAATTAAACTAAAGAGCTTCTGCACAGCAAAAGAAACTATCATCAGAGTGAACAGGCAACCTACAGAATGGGAGAAAATTTTTGCAATCTATCTATCTGACAAAGGTCTAATATCCAGAATCTACAAGGTACTTAAACAAATTTACAAGATAAAACCAAACAACCCCATCAAAATGTGGGTGAATGATATGAACAGACACTTCACAAAAGAAGACATTTATGTGGCCAACAAAAGTATGAAAAAAAGCTCATCATCTCTGATCAGTAGAGAAATGCAAATCAAAACTACAATGAGATACCATCTCAGCCAGGCGCGGTGGCTCACGCCTGTAATCCCAGCACTTTGGGAGGCCGAGGTGGGTGGATCACAAGGTCAGGAGATCGAGATCATCCTGGCTAACACAGTGAAACACCATCTCTACTAAAAATACAAAAAATTAGCCGGGCCTGGTGGCGGGTGCCTGTAGTCCCGGCTACCCGGGAGGCTGAGGCAGGAGAATGGCGTGAACCCAGGAGGCGGAGCTGGCAGTGAGCCAAGATGGTGCCACTGCACTCCAGCCTGGGTGACAAAGCAAGACTCTGTCTCAAAGAAAAAAAAAATTGAGATACCATCTCATGCCAATTAGAATGGCGATCATTAAAAAGTCAGGAAATGGCCGGGCGCAGAGGCTCATGGCTGTAATCCCAACACTTTGGGAGGCCAAGGTGGGTAGATCACGAGGTCGGGAGATCGAGACCATCCTGGCTAACACAGTGAAACCCCGTCTCTACTAAAAATACAAAAAATTAGCCTGGCATGGTGGCAGGTGCCTGTAGTCCCAGCTACTTGGGAGGCTGAGGCAGGAGAATGGCATGAACCCAGGAGGCAGAACTTGCAGTGAGCTGAGATCACACCACTGCACTCCAGCCTGGGTGACAGAGTGAGACTCATCTCAAAAAAAAAAAAAAAAAAAAAAGTCAGGAAACAACAGATGCCTGAGAGGATGTGGAGAAATAGGAATTATTTTACACTGTTGGTGGGAGTATATATTCGTTCAACCATTGTGGAAGACAGTGTGGTTATTCCTCAAGGACCTAGAACCAGAAATACCATTTGACTCAGCAATCCCATTACTGGGGACATACCCAAAGGATTATAAATCATTCTACTATAAAGACACATGCACACATATGTCTATTGCAGCACTATTTACAATAGCAAAGACTTAGAACCAACCCAAATGCCTATCAAAGACAGACTGGATAAAGAAAATGTGGCACATATACACCATGGAATACTACACAGCCATAAAAAGAATGAGTTAATGTCCTTTGCAGGGACACGGATGAAGTTGGAAACCATCATACTCAGCAAACTAACACAGGAAAAGAAAACCAAACACCACATGTTCTCACTCATAAGTGGGAGTTGAACAATGAGAACACATGGACACAGGGAGGGGAACATCACACACTGTGGCCCATCGGGTTTTGGAAGCAAGGGGAGGGAGATCATTAGGACAAATACCTAATGCATGTGGGGCTAAAAACCTATATGATGGGTTGATGGGTGCAGCAAACCACCATGGCACATGTATACCTATGTAACCTGCACATTCTACACATGTATCCCATAACTTAAATTATAATAATAAAAAAAGATGCTCAACAACACTAGTCAAGAACATTAGTCAGCAAAACAGAAATTATAAACATAATGGGATACCACTTCTTACCCACTAGGATGGCTATAATTTTTTTAAAATCAGAAAATATCAGGTGTTGGCAAGGATATCAAGAAACTGGAAGCCTCGTACATTGCTGGTAGGAATGTAAAATGTTGAAGCCACTGTAGAAAAACATTTGGTAGTTACTTAAAAGTCAAACATTGAGTTCCTATGTGAGTTTTCTTCTAGGTATATATCAAGGAGAAATAAAAGGTATGGCCATATAAAATCGTGTAGATGAATGGTCTTATCACAATTATTCGTAATAGCCAATTACACTAAGTGAAAGAAGCCAGTCACTGAGTGAAAAAGTCACAAATTATATGATACCTTTTATATAAAATGCCATAATACTCAAATTCATTGAGACAAATAGTAGCTTGTTGCCAGGGCCTTGAAAGAAAGGATGGAGTATAACTGCTCAATGAATATGAGGTGCCTTCTGGGGTGATGAAAATGTTCTGAAATTAGATAGTGGTGTTGATTGCACAACATTGCAAATATACAAAAAAAATCACTGAATTGTACATTTAAAGTGATTAAAATGGTAAATTCATATGAATTTTTTCTCAACAAAAATTTAAACTAATAAAGAAACTATCTCAATATTTACAAGTTCTTATTTGTCAGAATTAAAATAAATTATAATAAATAATGAATGTATACAAATTTCTGTAAGTAAAACAAATAATATAAATATAATTCTTCCCAATTTTACAACACCTAGGATATTTTACTCATTAAAAGTGAAGAAATGGATTGGAAGGTTGTATGAAAATCCCTCTGAGACAGCTGCCTGAAGAGAAAGAAAAAGTGGGTTTGCTGTTTAGCATGAGAACTAGGCTATTCCTTTGAATTGAACAAATGTAAACATTTTTATCTCAAATCATTGAATTCTCAGGAATAATGGACTTTAACTATAGCTTCCAGTTATATTCATTTAAATTCAAATTTGTGGCTAAAATCAAAATTCTTTCAAGTAAATTAAATAGAAACACAAATTTATGTCTATATCTCTAGCACTGGAGGTAGAGCTCCTCATGTAATTAAATCCTTCATCATTTGGAGCCATTCTAAGAGTGCACTAATTGTACTCACATTGGAAATTTTCAGGCAATAAATCATGAGCTAGGACTCTTCCTTTTTTATAATTACAACTCTGCTTCAAATATGCTTTCTCTCCGGGCACGCTAATACCTTCAGTTGTTATAGTACACCAAACTCCTTCCAAACTAAATCATAATGGAATGCATGGTACATCCTTCAAGATGTATTTGTTTTAAGGTGTTTGGGAGAGGCTGGATGAAAAAAAAAGAAAGAGCATTAAACCTATTAGAACTGGTAGGGTCTAATACTAACCATTGGTTCATTCATTCATTCACCTGACAAACATTTATTTTGTGATTGCTCACTTTTTAGCTAGCCATTGCTCTTGACAAAGAATTAATGGCTAACATTTCCTGCTTTTAAGGAGACCACAGTATTTTGGGGGACAGAGAAAAAATAGAATTAGTGATAATTTAATGTAGCAAGTACACTAACAGATATATGCCATCGTGAGAACACAGGAGACACACATTGCATAACCTGGATGATGGCAGGAAGGCTTCCTAGAGCAGTAAAGGCTGTTTCTATAGGTAAGACAGGCAACTGGAGGAAGAGCAAAAGGGAAAGGAATTCTAGGCACAGCATACAGAATTAACAAAAACACACAGGCAAGAAATAACACAGAGATCAGTTAAACTGCAAGACGTTTCACATAGAAAGGCCAGATGAAGAAAGGACTTCTCTGCCATACGAAAGGGTTTGGATCCTACTATGTTGATAAAGGAAAGCTACTAAAGATTTTTAAGGCACAACAAAGTACAGACTGATTTGTACTTTACATAGTACACTTTTGAAGGGATATGGAATTTCAGGAGATATACTAAAAAATAGTGGTTTGCATTCTTTTTTATCTCATTGCAAACATCATAAAGACCACAATGCATTGTAAAGACTACAGTGTACCACCATTTGCCAAAGCCATCAATTACTCTGCAATAAATCGTAATATAGATATGGCCAGAGGACAAAGCAGAAAAGAGTCGAGACAAATCTTGGGTAAAGCATAAAAGCATAGACTCTTCTTTTTTTCTCTCTTTGAAAACTTTCATCTCACAAATTGAAACAGTGTCTTATTGTCCTGAACAAAATCCCTCCTTTCTCAGAGGAAAACACCATGAAAATTAATGTCCACTAACATCAGTGTTTGTTTGAAGTAAAGAGTCTATTATAACTCCATTAGGACAGAATTGCTTGTGGCACCAAATTACTGTGGGAAACCAGTTCATGCTCCGCCTTCCCATACACACATTGCTAAGACCCCATAGAGAGTCCATTAGTGGGACCCAGAGTCACACTAGCCTGTAATTTTTCTTTGCCTTAGGAAAACAGTAGCCTGTAATTTTTCTTTGCCTGAGGTTTTAAAAGGGCTGTCCCTGGCTGGGTCTCATGTATGCTATTGTATCCCCAAATCCAACTCATATACCAGTTACCGTCTGTATACTTTCTGAAGAAAAGAAGACTCAATGGAAACAGCCTTTCTTGCTTTGTAGTTTGTCTGTGAGCAAAGACATTCTTTTTATCTGAGCTCTCTTTCTTGATTTTTCATTGTAAGTTTTATTTTAAGCTTATAGAGAATCTCAATTACAGTCAACCCTCACTATCCATAGGGATTGGTTCCAGGACTCTCCAAGTATACCAAAATCCACAGATATCAAGTCTCTGAGCTAAAGTGGCATAGTATTTGCATATAATTGACACACATCTTTCTGCATACTTTAAATCATCTCTAAATTACTTATAATCAGTAATACAATGTAAATGCTATGTAAATAGTTATACTGTATTGTTTAGGGAATAATGTCAAGAAAAAAGTTGCACATGTTCAGTACAGATGCAATTTTTTGTCTAAATATTTTTATCTGAGGTTGATTGAATCTACAGATGTGGCACCCAAAGATACAGAGAGCTGAAAGCACTTGAGTTTAGTTTAATATTAGATATTTTCTGTCATCAAAACTTTTTATGTTATTTTGTAAGCTTTATGCCAATGATATAGAAATTTAACTACAGTGTGTTAAAACAGGTTCTATGCCATTATAGAAAGCCATGTTTTAGTGATCGTGTTATAATGTTCAAATACATTATATTGAAGTACATAAGTCTGATGTTACTTTAAAAGACAGCATTTATCTATTATATTTATGAACACAAAAGGTTAAAATGATGACTAGACTAGGTCAAACATGGATTATGTTTACTCAAATACACAATAATTTTTTGATTATTAGCGGAAAAAATAGATACACATCGTAGACAAGGAAAGTCTATATATTTAAAGGCACACTTTTAATTCAATAACACTTACTTCCCTAAAATCTAAGTTCAAGTTCATGAGTAGAATATCTGAATGTCATGTTCAAGTTCATGAGTAGAGTAACTGAACTCTCCTCTGGGTTAATTTTTGAAGAGCATTGGACTAATGATAAAGCAGCAAAGTCTTCCCAAGTGGAATTTTTAACATATTTTTGGATACTTTAATTTTCCACAATGTTCCTTTTTTTCTTCTCTAATGACTCATTCTTTGAGAGGATAGGAGTTTGTTATAAAAAAGGAGGAAGTATCACAAAATACACTGTTTTGTGTATAGAAGTAGAACTTGTTATGTAAATCAGATTTCACCTCCTGGGACCTTTAAATGTTGGATAACTGACTCTTTTGACCAATTGGTATTGCCACCCAGGAGGGAAGTCCTGATATATAGCAAGAGGCTGTCATGACGAATCAGCAAAGAAAAGAGGCAATGAATAGCGACTGTATCTGATTAGCCATCTGCCAATGAATAGTTAATAATCGGTAGCATTTGGCATAGCTTATCACTCCATTCTGCTTCAACTACACCTTTCTCTTGATTCTAACTCTAGGTTCTCATCCTTTGCTCACTTATTCACAGCATGCTTTCCTATCTCCATCTCAGATTTCCAATCTGTAAACAACAGGACATTTTAGAACTCAGTTATGGGATCATTTCTTTTCTCTATATACCAACAAAGTCTTCCCATGGTTTTAAATGTCATCTTTATGCTAATAACTTTCAGGTTCAAAATCCACTGTTACTTCTCCTTGAAATATATCCACTGTCTACTCATATCCAATTCTGTTTTTGACACCAATTCTTGAATGCCTAAAAGACATCTCAGAATTAACTTTGAAAAACTAAACTCTTGATTCTTCTCCCCTTATTCTTGTTTTTCCCTTATTTGCCCTGTATCAATAAATAGAATTCCATTCTTCCAACAGTTTAGGCCAAAAGTCTTTAAGTCTTCCTTGTTACCTCCCCTTCTTTCACACCCCAGATTTGATCTATTAACAAATCACAGTGGTTTTTACTTCAAAATACTTTGAGAATCTAACCATTTTCACCAATATCAGCCCCTAGTCCAAGCTGAAATTGGTTTTTGCCTGGATATTGAAGTTATCTGCAATTATCCTTCTTGCTTACCTTACTACTGTCTATTTCCCACAACAAAGCTCAGATTATCACTTTTCAGCTCAAATATTTCCCAGATCATTCCATCTTACTCAGAATAAATTCCGAAGTTTTTATTATTGCTTACAGCTGCCTACATGTTCTGGCCCCTTTTCCTTTCTCTGGACCTATCTCCTACCACCCGATTACACCCTGCCCTGGGGCATTGCTGTGTTGTCTTTCTTGCTGTTTTTTGAATGCACCAGGTACTCTTCCACTCTAAGGCCTTTGCAATTGCTATATCTTCTACCTGGAGAATTATCTATACCTAAATCTATGTATCTATGCATCTATAAGATAAATATCATTGGATCTCTGCATCGCTTCATTCAAGTTTATGTTCAAATATAACCTTAAAAGAGATACCTTCCCTGACCACTCTAACTAAATAGCTCACCCCATCCATTCTCTGTCCATATCTCTTTACTTTGATTATTTAACCTATTAGTACTTCAGAGCACTAACATGACAGAGCCTTTTTTGTTTATTGTCTCTCTCCAGCCACCATCATGTATTCCCCTTGGCAACAGAGACTTGAATTACCTGAGAATCTTCAATGACTAGGGCAGTAAATACTAGGTCCTTTAACAACATTTAAGAGTCAATGAATTTGTTATACTTCAACTAGGGAATCTGTTCTACTGGCTTCATGTTAAAAAGTAATTTTAAAAGTTTTGTCTGTTTTGAACAAAAAAGCACCAGCTTTCCAAGCTGTCTTTCAATTTCTCAGAAACCTGCTTAAAATATAAATGGTTATATAAGCTTAAAAACAAGCCTGCTACTTTGGCAAAGAGACAACCGTGGAGTCTCTTGCCATTTATTTGCTGGTGCTGAATTTCATTTCTTCAAACTATTAACTCCTTTACTGGTAAAACTATTCTCACAGAATGCCTCTCAGAAAATATGTTTAATTTTCTGGTCTATGAATATAGCCATATATACATATTACTACTTGCTTTTGAATAATATTATAATAACTTTTAAATCTTGATTAACTAGCCAGATTATTTAGTAGCACTATTTAAGCTTCAGGCTTCTATATATTAAATAAATATCTTGATCCTGTAATTTTTAAGAAATATCTTATTTGTGTGGGCATTAATTAAGACTGAACAGACATTGATTCTCATCCAATGTTATGGTTCTTGAATTAAAAGTTTCAACATCCACTTGTGCACTTCACTTAAGGCAAATTGTATCACTTATTACAAGTGAATAAGGCAAATGCACAGACATGTCCTTGCGGAATATGCATTCTCTGAAATCCCACTTTGACTTGCTTGCAAGAATTTCCCAAATCCATCCAGAGGGTCAAAGGGATAAAAGTATGTGAAGAATCCTACATTATTACACACACGGAAAAAAAGATTCCATAACATATTTGGGATTTTCTGGTGCAGAAATTCAAGGAAACTCTCCTAGAAGTCTCCTGCCCCTGGATATTGTTTGTTACAGATACTCTTCTCACTTGTTGATGACACCTTCCTGGCATTCATCCCCTTGATAAAATTTTATTCTGTTTTCTTTTGTTATGTGTGGGAAAAAGCAAACTTTGACTTCCTTTTCAGGATTCAAATATTATATTATTGTTTGTCAAGTATCCATATTTAGCACCAATTATTCCCCAGGTATGTTTTAATCAAACACAATATACCTGCTTAGTGTTATCCATCACAAGAATAATAATACACTTGGGTTTTTCCCCCATATATATATTTCAGAATCAAACTTAATTCATCTTTGGCAAATAGTGAGTGGTATATGATCCAGATTTTTTTACAGTACCTACTTCTGACAGTAGAGGACCTAAGAAAATCTTCATATAGAATACTTCCAAATAATAATATCCTTTAGACATTTTTATTTAGATACCCTTTTCTGGAATCATTTCTTTGGCATGCCACAGATTTATGTACAATGTACAAACATTAAAACATTATACTTCAATTTCTGCCTTCCTGTCCTTTGTGCTATTCTTGTCAATAATTTTACATCTACATACATGCAGCCAACAAATATATGAAAAATGCTCATCATCATTAATCATTAGAGGAATGCAAATCAAAACCACAATGAAATATAATCTAACTCCAGTCAGAATGACTATTATCAAAAAGTAAAGAAAACAACAGACGCTGACAAGGTTGCAGTGAAAAGGGAAGACTTATGCACTGCTGGTGGGAATTTGTATTAGTTCAGCTGCTGTGAAGGACAATGTGGAAATTTCTCAAAGAACTTAAAAACAGAACTACCATTTGATTCTGCAATCTCACTATTGGGTATACACCCAAAGGAAAACAAATCTTTTCATCAACAAGGCACATGCACTTGTATGTTCACTGTAGCACTATTCACAATAGCAAATACATGGAATCAACCTCAATGCCCATCGATGGAGGACTGGATAAAGAAAATGTGGTACATATACACCATGGAACACTACACAGCCATTAAAAATGAAACTATGTCTTTTGCAGCAACATGGATGCAGGTCGGGGGCCATTATCCTAAGTGAAGTAACAGAGGAATAGAAAACCAAATACTGCCTGTTCTCACTTATACATGGGAGCTAAACACTGAATACACATGGACACAAAGATGCAAACCATAGACACTGGAGACTGCTTGAAATGGGGTGTAGGTCGGAAGATACCTATTAGGTATCATGCTCATTACCTGGGTGACGGGATCATTGTACACCAATCCTCAGTGACATGCAATGTATCCCATGTAAGAAACCTGCACATGTATCCCTGGAACCTAAAATAAAAGAAGAAGAAGAAGAAAGCGTATATTCTCTTTAAAACCTAGATTACTTAATTCCACTGAAAAAATAAATAGTAATTTTACTTCCACATATTATATACCCCATTATACATTGTTACTATTTTTTCTTTAATCAAATATAGTTCAATACAATTTTAATGAGAAATAAGTTTTTATATTTATTCACATATTTACTATTAAAGAAACTCTTCTTTCCCTTGTGCAAATATTTCTATCCAATATCCTTTTCCTTAAGCCTGAAGAACTTTCTTGAACATATCTTTCAGTGCAAGTTCCCAGTGACAAATTCTCTCAGTTTTTGTTATTCTAAAAAGGTCTCATTTAACTTCCATTTTTGAAGGATACTTTTGCTAGATATAGATTCTAGATTAACTTTTTTCTCAACTCTAAGAATATCATCCCATCGCCTTTTGGTTTGCATTATATATAATGAGAAGTCAATTAAATTTGTTACCTTGTATGTAATATATCATTTTCCTCTGAAGACTTTCACTTCGTTACTGGGTTTTACTAGTTAGACTATGATACGTCTAGATGTGGTTTCATTTATTTAATTTATATTCAGTTTAGGTTTCACTGAGCTTTTTGAACCTGTAGATGTATGTATATGACCAAATTTAAGAAATTTTCAACCTTATTTATTCAATATTATGTTATGCCCTACCTTCCTCACCATTAAGGACTTCAATTGTATGTGTGCTAGAGAGTTTATTAATGTCCAACAAGTCACTAAATCTCTGTTCATTTTTTAAATCACTTTTTTTTTAGGTTCCAGTGCTCTGATTCATTGTCAATAAACATTTTCTTCTATGGTATCTATCACGCACTTAAAACTCATTTAGTGACTTTTTTGTTTCAGATATTCTATTTTTCATCTCAAGAAGTTCCATTTGCTTCTTTAATAGGTTTTATTTTTTTCTTCTAATTATGTTCATATTGTCTTTTAAATTCTTAAACATATTTATACTAATTTAAATTCCTTTTCATTCTATCAGTATGTAACAGCTCAGAAACTATCATCCATGGAACTTTTTTGGTACAATCCATGAGTTAAGAATGGTTTACATATTTTAAAGTAGTGTTAAATGCACACACACATACAAATACACAGCAAAACAAAACAGAAAAACATATGATAAAGACCACAGGCAACCTTCAAAGCCTAAAATATTTACATTATGGCCTTTTATATAACAAAATATTGTCCCTTAATTTATACCATTTCTGAGTTCAATTCTGGTGACCAATGTATCTACTGACTATGAGTTTATTGCCCTACTTTTTTTTTTCTTCTTTTTGAGACAGAGTCTTGCTCTGTTGCCCAGGCTGCAGTGCAGTGGCACAAGCTTGGCTCACTGCAATCTCCACCTCCCGGGTTCAAGAGATTCTCCTGCCTCAGCCTCCCAAGTAGCTGGGACTACAGGTACATGCCACCACGCCTGGCTAATTGTTTATATTTTTAGTAGAGATGGGGTTTCACCGTGTTAGCCAGGATGGTCTCGATCTCCTGACCTCGTGATCCACCCACCTCGGCCTCCCAAAGTGCTGGAATTACAGGCGTGAGCCACCACGCCTGCCTGCCCTACTTCTTTACATGTAATTTTTGAATGGATGATGAGAATTGTAATATGGCATTGTTGGTTGTATAAATTTTGTTGTCTTTTATAAAAGAATGTTTTATTCTAGAAGACAGTTTTTTAAATGATCATTCTAAGGATTGCTAGGGCAGGTTTACAGTAACTTTTATTCTAGATTTTGTTCCGTTCTACTCCTAAGGTGTGGCTTTCTGAGGTCTCTCCTGCATGTCCCAATTACTCAAGGAGGTCTCTCTATTTCAGATCATCAAATTGTGAATGTCTCCCAACCCACTGTAATATCTGATTGTTTTTAAATTTACACTCTACCTAGTTCTTCTTTTACTACTAGTTGTTTTTTGCCCAACCTCATTGACACCAGTGTAGAATTCAACCACAGACTTTGCCCAACATATGCATACCAATTTTGTATGTAGCTCATTGTTGATATAGCTTTTATTCACCCATACTCTACAATAATAAACCACTCTCTTGTCAGTTTGAATAATGCATTTTCTTGAAAAACAGCTATGTTGGCCGGGCGTGGCATATATCAGTCATTCATTTCTTTTGATGACTCATATTCCATTGTATGGCTATGCCACATTTTATTTACCTATTCATCATTTGAAGGACATCTGGACTGTTTCCACATTTTCTTTCCATAAATAATGTTAATATAAACATTCTTACATAAGTTTTGTGTGGACATATGTTTTTCTCTTGGGCATATACCTAAGAGAGGCATTTCTGGGTCATATAACTACTTTAGAAATTACCACACTATTTTCCACAGCAGTGACACCATTTTACTTTCCAACGAGCAGTGTATGAAAGTACTGACTTCTCCACAACTTTGACAACACTTGTTATTATTACTTTTTTTTAATCATAGCTATCCTAGTAGATGTGAAATTACAACTAATTGTGATTTTGACTTGTATTTTCCTGATGTTTAACGATGAACATCATTTTATGTACTTACTGGTTATTTGTGTATCTTTGGAGAACTATCTATTCAGATCCTTTGCCCATTTGTTAAACGGGTTATTTGTAATTTAATTATTGAGTTTTATTAGTTCTTTATATAGTTGACCCCTGAAGAACAGAAGTTGTGGTGCTGACTCCTTGCACAGTCAAAAATTCTCATGTAGCTTTTAACTCTTCAAAAACTTAACTACTAATAGCCTATTATTGACTGGAGGCCTTACTGATTACATAAACAGTTAACATACATTTTGTATGTTATATGTATTATATATTGTATATATACAGCTTAATATAAACTAGAGAAGCAAAAATATTTAAAAATAAGAAAAAGAAAATACTATTCATTAGGCGAAAGTGGATTATCATAAAGGTCTTCATCCTTGTCATCTTCACATTGAGTAGGCTGAGGAGGGGGAAAAGGATGGGTTGGTCTGGCTGTTTCAGGAGTGGCAGAGGTGAAAGAAGTGGAGGAGACAGAAGGGGAGGCAGAAGAAGCAGGCACACTCAGTGTAACATTTATTGAAAGAATCCACACATAAGTAGACCCGCACAGTTTAAATCTGTGTTGTTCAAGGGTCAACTGTATATTCTAGATACAAGTCCCTTTTCAGATATAAGATTTGTAAAAAATTTTCTCCCATACCGTGGATTATCTTTTCACTTTCTTTATGATGTCTTTTGAAGCCCAGAAGGTTTTAACTATGATGATGTCAAACTTACCTATTTATTTTTTGTCACTTTAGTGTCATATCTAAAAAACCATTACCTAATTACAGGTTATAAAAATTTATACCTGGCTTTATCTAGGAAGTATAGAGTTTTAGCTTTCAGCTAAAATAAATAAATTTAGGTATTTAATCCATTTTGCATTAACTTTGTATATAGCATGAGGTAGAGGTATATTTTCCTTATTTAGCATGTGAATATCCAGTTGTCCCAGCACCATTTGTTAAAAAAAAAAAAATTCCCCATTGGAATTCTCTTGTTATTCCAATATTATTATTTTTACTTTGGATTTAAAGAAATAATTTCAGGGACCCTCTCTGTCTCCAGACAACACTTAGAGAATTGCTATAGAGAATGGACAGACATATATATTTGTATTTGATATAGAAAGCTCTCAGAAGCCATTTAAAAAGCAAATTTCCAATGTGTCCTAAATCTTCATCCTCCTGAGAGAAACAGGTTATGTAGATAGAATAGCATGACTGTAATTGAACAAAATGTGCTTTCTGTCCCAATGAATGACTTCTGATTTCTCTAAAACATTTAAGCATGTCTTCATCACCTATTGGCCACTTATAGGCTAGGATAATATAATATGACTCTGTAGGATCTAAGTACTGTTTTATATTTGGAGTTTTTACTTACCTAAATAAAGATAAACTGAAAGATACATTATGAAATCCTCGGAGTTATGAGTTTAGATTCTCAAGATAGATAAGACCTCTGGATTTAAATTTTGGTCTCAAAACTTGCTGTGTGGCCTCAGCGTAATTTCCAAAATTTTCTAAGCCTCCGATTCCTCATTCATAAAATAAAGACAATAATATTATTTTATTATTAATATTAATAATCTTAAAAACTCTCTAAGTCTCTGTTTCCACATTCGTAAAATAAATACGAATTTTATTATAAATATTAATAATATCAATATTCATAATAAAACCTTATATTATCAATGTAAGGTATAAAGCAGAGACTGTATAAAGCACTTGGCACAGATTTGGTCATATATTAAGAACTTAATACATATCAGCTGTAATTAATCAACAAACATTCTTTAATTATCTATGCAAAGCACTGTGTTAAATACTGGAAATAATAAGATAAATAAGAATCAGTTCTTGACTCTAAAGCAAGGATTAACATATGCCATCTTCAGCAGCTTCCTATACATTTGCTTAAAGACTCCCTTTTACGGTATGTTTTTATGCTTAGATTCATCCTCTTTGATCTTCAGATACTCCAATGGCTTGTTTTTATCTACCCTCCCAAACTATAACTTTCAAGAAATAACACAAAGTGATCAAGTGTCATTTACACTTTGATATGAACTTATTTACACCAAAGTATATGTTGAGGTTCATTCAGTCATTCATTTCTCCATTTATTCATAAACCCAGTAATCAGACTTTATTGAGCACTTACTAGTCCTAGACACTAAGCAAGTTGGAAATATAAATAAGATCATTTCCAAACTGTAAAAAAGAATATAGTTTAATTCATGAACATGAACCATGAGAATACAAAACAATTTTATAATTAATAATAATTATAAACAAATACCTTAAACGTCCAAAGGAAAATAAGGGAAAATTTGTTTGAATGTATCATATCTGCCCTAGATTATGATCTTTAAGAATTAAAAAAAAATCAATAAGAATGAGTGAAGAATTTCTAACTGGAGGAAACTACAATCGTAGAGTAGGATTTCTATTAGATGAGAAGAAAGAAATGGTACAGGTATTTCTCCCTGCTCCAGAAAAATATTATATCCTAAGCATGCCATTAAGGAAAATCATTTTTATTACATTTAAGATATCTGAGGACTGCTCTTAAATGCCTGTCTTTCCCTTCCCTTCTCTATTCTCTTCCTTTTACCTAACCTTTGCTTGCTCTCAAGTCTACTTTAAAGCATTGAGATAACAGGATTTAAGATCCTCTTCTTTTTTTTCTTAATGTTGTATCTTCACTTTAACACAACTGGTGAAATTGGATTTATTGATATGATAAAGATGACCATGAAGTCATTATCTTAGACACATAATGCACAGCTTTAGGATCAGTTTCTGCTGTCTTAAGTGTTCTAGCACCTACTACACATAGCCTATGAGAAACATGAAAGTGTTCAAGGAATTTGCAGTCCTAGTGAAAGGAACCATATGAGGAGACCAAAAGAAATCTCAGGATCAGATATGTCTTCAAGGTAGAGTAAGATTCAAAGTCCTGACAACCTGAATACTTGACCAGTCACACAAACTAGGTCCTGAACAGATGGGTACAAAGGAAAAGTCTAAGAAAATGTCATATATTTATCACTACTATTAATACGTTTTATTGCAAATTTATATATGGAATACTTGGCCATTAGAAAGTAGGCAGGACTTTATATGATATATAAGGACATATTTTTTCCAAACAAGAAAAATGTACCTTGCCCAGGACAATTTCTTCTTCCCCTTGGTTTTTTTTTCTGTTTTTTACTAAAGCCCATTATGCCACATCAGATATATTAAAGATAAAATACTCCAAATATAAAAATAAAATCAAGGAGTTAAGAATACCAAAATTCCATTTCATATGGAGACAAAGGCTTCTTGTTCTTAGCACGTAAAGATGCAACTCCAGAACTAGGTCTGGGTCTAGATCCTAGGTCTCCTTAGCCATGACCCAGTCAGCACATTGCTTCAAGGAATGAAAAAGCTTGAGCTTCTTTTAAGGTTTAGATTGTGCATCCAACACTCAGCACAAAGTGGCAGACAGTGTTTGTGTTATAGAATCCTAACCATTGACAAGGCTCTGGGATTCAATGAAAGTGTATGGTATTATGCACTGCATATATTCTTGAATTGTCAAGGATGATGGTAATATAATAGTGAGGATAAATAAATGCTAAAACAGAAAAAATATAGCCACTTATGTATCCATTCATGAAATGCAAGCCATCCATTAAATGCAAGTCACTGGAGAACTAGAAAACTGAAAGGGAAAATTTTAGGTTTTACATGAGCTGTGTATAAATAAAAATAATTGAAACAAGTAATTGAATTGCTATATTTCTATTTACTACTGAATTATGTTATAGATATTAAATATATCATATTTTCTTTTTATACATGTTTCTTGATTAAAGAGTCCATCTATGTCTATGTATAGTTATCATAGTTTGTGTCTCATTTAGAAAGTAAGTTGCTTCTAGGCCAGGCGCAGTGGCTCATGCCTGTAATCCCATCACTCTGGGAGGCCGAGGAGGGCAGATCACCTGAGGTCAGGAGTTCGAGACCAGCCTGTCCAACATGGCGAAACCCTGTCTCTACTAAGAATACAAAAATTAGCCAGGCATGGTAGCGGGAGCCTGTAATCCCAGCTACTCGGGAGACTGAGGCAGGAGACTCGCTTAACCCGGGAGGTGGAGGTTGCAGTAAGTTGAGATCGTGCCACTGCACTCCAGCCTGGGCAACAGAGTGAGAATCTTTCTCAAAAAAAAAGGAAAAAAAAAAAGTAAGTTGCTTCTAATATTTTTAATTTAAAAAAGTACCTCTCAACGTTAAAATGTAACTATAAAATATTTGAATAACTATAATTTATAGTTGAGACTGTATGCCAACTTTGAACTATTTTGCTTAATGAATTATGTGATTATGTGATTACTGCCTGACATGTCATGTCTTTGAATCATTATAACCATTTGAAAACAAGTATTTCATGTCATATAGAAGAAGCCTATGAATTAGTTTCTGTTGATCACCCATAGGTTAACGATCACTCCAAGCCTATTAATAAGATTCCTACAACTTTGCCAGATAACCTGCAATTTTATGCATTAATTTTTTATAATAAGCACATGTGTTTATTATGATATCATCTTCAGCAAGGCTTTTATATCAGTTTTTCATTCTTTTAAGTTGAGTTATGCCAAGTTGCTTCCTGAAACCAGAACTGATTCTACTTTGTCCAACAAGAATAAAAAAATCTCAGAATATAAATAGTTTAAAGATACTTTTTTTCCTACTGTAAATGGCACACAGATGGTGCTTAACTGTTCTCTGAATCAATTCCAAAAATGTGCAACATCCTCAATAGGGAGAACTAAAGATGGCTGAGGTTCTATGAAAATCTTTAGAACTTGTGAAGTCTTTTCTAGATTTTAGATTGAAAATTTATTACCTACAAAGTTGTTTGGAGGAAACAACATTTTCCTAGAAAATGACTTTCAATGACATTTAACAATGTCTAATAAAATATTTTAGTTTACTTTGTACATTATTTCATGGATAGGAAGACTTTAAAAACCCAAATACTTCCAACTTCAACCCCACCCTCTGGCTAGCTTGTATGTTCACAGATGGAGCTTTTAACAATTTTATTTGGATTTCGCTCTTCCTTGAAAGATTTATCATTCTGTTTCCAGAATTCTATGTATCTACATGTTTTATTCTCTTGCATTTAATTATTCTCTTCTCTTTCATTTCCCTTCTCATATTTCGCACCTTGTCTTTCTTCCTATCCTTATAAAATAGGAAGGTGATCAAAACAAGGTAGAAGCAAGTAAGTGAATGGGAGAATAAAAGAAAGAAAAAGGAGCAAGAGCAGGATCTGTAAATCGCATGATTCCCACAGAAGGCCTGGAACCCACCTAATGACTCTCATACACAAGTCCATGTCCACATCCAAAACACGACCTAGGTGATATGCCAGTATTTTCCATCGTGAAGTCAAGGATGACTTAGAAAAACATTCCTGGAAATTTGGAGAGCTCAAGAAGCCATAGAAATACATGTCATTCAAATAGAGTAATATTTTGTTAGAGAGTGTCCCAATTGTCAAATGAATATAGAAATTCTGAATTTCCAGAATCAAATTAGGGGCCTATGCTTCCAACATGCAAAAGTTTATGAAGGTTCTAGGCAAGAGGCCAGCATAATTGAGGGTTCATACTACTCGAATCAGCTTTCAAAACTTTCTGAAAATGTGTTTATATACTGAGTATGTTTCTCTTCAATATTACTATGTATCAGTCACTCTACAGGGTTCTATCCTACAAAGATGTGACAAATGGTCCTTGATACCAAGAAATCATTGGCTAACAGAGTCACAAAGAGCTTCTCTTGTCTTCCCCTAAAAGTTTTACAGCTTTCGTTCTTATGTTTAGGTCTATCATTCATAATGTTAATTTTTTTAATTGTCGAAGTTTATATTTTATATAGATATCAAATTATGCCAACACTGTTTGTTGAATAGACTATTCTTTTCCCATTGAATTATTTTATCAAGTTAATTTGAACATAATTAACACATGTGAGTCTATTTCTGTAGTCTATTCTGTTCCATTGATCTATATGATTGTTCTTATGTCAATACCACATTGTCTTTATTAACGTAGATTTGTACTAAGTAAAGCTAACTGCTAACTCACCGATAATTCAAGCAGTGTAAGTGCCCAGATATTTTTTCTCTTTTTCTAAATTGTATAGGCTATTCTAAATTCTTGATGTTTTCATACAAATTTAAGAATAAACTTGTCAGTTCCCCAAAGTAGTCCTGATTTGAATTTGAATGAAAATGCATTAGATCTGCAGATCAATTTGGGAAGTAATATTTTAACAATATTGAGTCAATCAATAAATGCATTATATAGTTCTGTTACTTTAGATATTCTTTAATTTCAGAAATGTTTAATAATTTTCAAAGCGCATGTCTTGCATATATTTCATTGAAGTGATGAGAAGAATTTCATATTTTTTGATGCTGTTGGATATTCTTTTTAAATTTTCATTTTAAATTATTTATCACTAGTATATAAATAAATCAATTGAGTATTAAAATATTAACTTTAAATTTTATGGCCTTGGTAGCTGACACTTTTTAGTGTTAGGTTTTCATAAATTTACATTTGGGATTTTTTTATATTAACAATCATATCATCAGTGAGTGAAGAGCTCACAGTATTTCTTTACAATCAGTATGCATTCTCTTGACTTACTGAAGTGACTATGACCTCTAACAATGTTGACTAGATATGGTCGTATAGGTTTTTACTATTAAGTAAAAGTACAATATTAACTGTAGGTTTAAATATTTTTTGCCTATTTATTCTATCTATTATTGAGAGGAGAGTGTTGAAAATCTCAAACTATAATTGTGCATTTGTCCGTTTGTCCTTGCAGTTCTATCATTTTTCTGCTTTATGTATTTTGAAGTACCATTATTAGGTGATTCAAATCTTACCTTTAGGATTGTTAGGATTGTTATGCTTTCCCGATTAATGGACCTTTTTTCACCATGCAATTTCTTTCTTTATCTCTGTTAATATCCATTTTTCTTTGGATTAGTGCTTCATGGTACACATTTTCCATCCTTTTACTTTTGACCTATTTCATTATATTAAAATAATTTTCTTATAAATAGTATATATTTGAGCCTTTTTAAAATCCAATTTGGCCAGTTCTACATGTAAGTTGTAGTATTTAGACCATTTGTATCAAATATACTTTTTGATAGGGTTGGGCTTAAATCTATAATATGGTTGGGATTACATCTTGCCATTTCTTATCTAGTATTCCATCTGTTCTTCGTTTCATTCTTGCTCTTTTTCTGCCATATTTTGAATTGAGCACTTTAATAATTTTATTTTATCTCCACTATCAGCTTATTAGCTATATATCTTTGTTTTATTTTTTCAATTGTTGCTCTGCATTTTACAATATGCTTTGTTAACTTATCATAGCTTACCTTCACATAATAGCATACCACTTTTTGCACAACACACGACCCTTACAACAGTATACTTCTATTTCTTCCTTCCTATCATTTGTACTACTGTCATATATTTTGCTTTTACATAGGTTATTAACCTCACAATATTTTACTATTCTTTTTGTTATAAAGTGTCATTTATCTTTTAAAAAGGTCAAAAGTAAGGGAAAATAATCTTTAATATATTTATCTACATTTTTACCATTTCTGGGGCATATCCATTCCTTTCCGACGACACAGATTTCCAACTGACCTCATATTATTTCTGTCTATAAGACTTATTTTAAATAACATAGCTTGTGGTGCAGTTAAGCTGGTGATAAATTCTCTATTTTTGTTTTTAATGTGAAAAAATACATATTTTTTATTTATTTTTAAAAGGGACTTAGTTGGGTATAGAATTATTGGTTGACAAGTTGTTTTATTTCTTTACCCAGTTGACATGTCACTTCATTGTTTTTCTCTTTTCTTCTTTTTGTTTGTCTTACTAGCTTTCTGATGAAAAGTCTACTGCCATTGTTAACTTTGTTCTCCTCTATATTTTTCTTTTTTCTTTGGGTATTTTCAAGATTTTTTGTTTATTTTTGTTTCTAAGCAGTTTGATTATGATGTGCCTAGGTATATTCAGCCTGCTAGGGGTTCTTTGAGATTTTTGGAACTGTTGCTTGTTGACTTCAGTAAATTTTGGTGAATTCCTGGCCTGTAACTCTACATGAATTGTTGGGTTCTCACTATTCCCTGTTCTCATTCTGGGATGCCAAGTCTAGGTATTTTGTAGAGTTTGATAGTGTCCCACATTCCTGGATGTTTAATTCTGTTTTCTTCTCCTTTTTCCTATTTGTGTTTCGAGTTGAATTATTTTAAATGACTTACCTTCAAGTTCATTGATTCTTTCCTCTTCTCTGTCTAGTTTACAGATAAGTGTATCAAAGGAATTATTTGTTTGTTAAGCATTTTCAATTTACTACTTTTTTTATACTTCCCAGCCTTCTACTGAAATTCTGTTAATATTTTGTCTACATTTTTGCTGGATATTTACAATATTAATCATAGTTATTTCAAAGACTGCTGAAAATTTTCAATGTCTGGGATATCTCTATTTCCATTTCTACTATTTTGTTTTCTTGCCAATGGGTCATTTTTTTTTTTTTGTCTGACACACACACCAGGAAAAAACAAAAACAGGAATGAAAGTAGATACGAATAAACATCAAACATTGTGTGTCAAGAAACAGTAGAGACTGAGATACTATTATTTGTACCCTGAAATTGATATATCTTTTCTTATCTAAGACTGTTAGTGTCAGTAGTTGAGTCAGTCTCACCAGTAATTGAAATGGATGAGAGTTTTGTAGCTGCTGTAGTTATCTCAGTGCACTACCAACCTCAAATTTCTCCAATGATGGACCACAGTTTCCTTGTGGTTAGTGTGACATGTGGAGTACTGAAGGTTTTATTTGGTGATTTGATGTTCCTGCTCCATCTTCAGCTTCTCTCAAGCCCTACTCACGACATAAAGTCTCTTTCTGAACTCTCGCCTCTTCCCAAGTGAAGATTGCTGATGCTTGCTACTCTCTTCTGATATTTCTAGTATGTATATTGTTTATTTCTTATTGCATGTAGTAGAATACTTGAATAATAAAGATCCAACAAAAAGTGGATTTTATAGCCACTGAATATATGATTAGCTACTGGAATTTAAAGTAGATGCTGAATATTTAAAATATATAATTAAACCCAGAACCAGTATAAACTAGAGACAAAGCCTAAACTAAGATTCTTTTTTTAATGCCTGATATTTATTTCTTTAGAGTTAATATGCTATTTGTCCAGAAATTACCTCATTAAAGATTATGATTTATTAAATTTACCAATAGGCATTTGCATGATAAAATCAATTCAGGTATTAGACTATTAAATCTAAGTCTAGAAAAAAACCCAGAATTTCACATTTGCTTCACATTGGAGGCTGAAATAACCTATCTTGGGCATTCTCTGTGAAAGAGAATATAATCCCCTGAAGTTTACACAAATTCCTTTATTATAGATAGTGGCACAAGAAAAATTCAAACTGGATTACTGCCAAGTAGAAAGAAAATTAAGGATGGGTTTTTTTGTGTTTTTTTTTTACCCAAATGACTCTAATTTGCTTTTAGACATTTGGTGTTTTAACAAACAAAATGTCCATTAAGTCAGGCCATCTGGGAAGTGATTCTGTGCTTGGGACATAAAGTCAAGGATTTTTCTGCCCTGCTATCTTTAACTGGACTATTTGTAATAATGAGGTTCAGATATTCAACATTAGACAAGCTAGTCCCAACAAATGACTTACTGAATATTTTGATAAAGGATCTTCCACATGCTTCTTACTGATATATGTTAGTTGACATTAAACCCCATTTCCTTCCTTCTTTCTTTCATTATTTTTCCTCATTTTCTTATTTGTTCTTCACTGTAATTTCTGCCAAGCCACAGTTTTTACAATACTACAAAGGAGAGCACTATTTTTAACTTCAGTAACTCAAATACTACTTTCATTATATTTATCTTTTTAAACTACGACTTATATACCAAAATTTATTTTTAAATTAAATTTAAATAGATTTTTAATTTAGCCTTACCCTAAGCAATTATATATTCATCAAATTAGTGGTTCTCAAACTTTAGTACACATTAGAATCACCTGGAGGGATTGCTGGGCTTCACCTGCAAAGTTTCTGATTCAGTCTATCTGCGGTGGTGCTTGACGATTTGCATTTCTAAGCTCCCAGGTGATACTGTTTGGGAACCACACTGTAAAAACTACACACTATTTTGTGGTTTTCTTGTGCTTATTACACACACACACACACACACACCACTCACTTTGTAGTATACTAATGTATATTCAACATATAACTATTAAAAGTGAAAGGTTGCTTTGTGAACTACCAAAAAATATTCTCACCTATTGCCCTGTTTTTGAAGGAATTTTCCAGCAGATCTCACTCTATTCTCCTGATAAATCATTCTCTATTTAGTTATTTCTACTTCTTCCCTACTTTTTTCCTTTGATTATAAAGCTCTGAATGCCTGTAATGTTATGTATTAGTTTGTTTTCACACTGCTATAAAGAACTGCCCGAGGCTGGGTAATTTATAAAGGAAAGGGGTACAATTGACTCACAGTTCCACATAGCTGGGGAGGCCTCACGAAACTTACAGTCATGGCGGAAAGGGAAGCAGGTACGTATTAACACGGCAGCAGGCAAGAGAGAAGTGCAAGCAGGGGGAAATGCCAGATGCTTATAAAACCATCAGATCTCGTGAGAACTCACTATAATGAGAACAGTAAGAGGAAAACTGCCTCCATGATCCTATCATTTCCCACCAGGTTGCTCCCTCAACACCTGGGGATTACAATTCAAGATGAGATTCAGGTGGGGGCTACAAAGCCTAACCATATCATTTTATCTGCATGCAGATAAAATGTCTCTTGTCATACCCACACATACAGCATTAATATATCGGGGTTTGGGGTTGCTCATTAGTTGTTTCATAAATATACAGGGGTTTGGAGTTGCCCGTTAGTTGTTAAAAAAAAAAAGGCTTTGTCTCAAGAAACGTAGAGAAAAGCTTAAAAGTACCCAATGGGAAGACTAGAGTTCATCATGCTATTTTGCACAGCCCTTCCTTCTCCACCTCTGCCTCAAAATCTAGCTGAATTACATCATTATTTTGAATCTCAAGACCATAGTCTCTTCAACATATTACTTGTAAAGCACTATTTAAGTAATGGATTTGGAGAACAGCATTTAAGGCTGGTTGCTTATTAATATATGTTGGCAGTGAGGACTATAAGTGCAGATTACACAAATAATATGACAGGGGGATTACTGAGATATCATTCTTCTTTTCATTATTGTCTAATAAACATTACTAGTACTGTTCCAACACTTCAATAAAGCCAAGGTCTGCAAAATCAGAAAGGAGATGGAAAATTCAAGATATTTTCTAGAACCATGTCTAAAATAAAGGCACTCAGTATTATATTTTCACATACAATGTGGAAATGCTCACCCTGCTTACTTTCACCCTTAGGATTTTCCTCACGTTGCCTCACGTTGCCCTTCTCATCTAGAATGTCTTCTTTTCTCACCTCTATCAATTCAAACTTGACCTTTGCTTTCAGGCTCAGCTGGAACACCACTTCTTTAACACAGCCTTCATCAATCTTTTATTCCTTGGTACCCCTAAAGCAATTATAGAATGTATTTTAGCACTTGAATTCTGTTGTATATTTTCAACATTGTTTAATAAATATTACGTTTTCCTCAACCAAAGCAGGGTGTCCCTCACAGCCCCTATAACTGCACTAAGTATATGCTAAGTGATTCATCTTTGTGTTTATATATTCTAGTGACTCCTAAAGAAATATCTAATTATATTGTTTTCCCTATTATTTAACTATATTTCTTATTTGATTCATGAATAAAAATAGTCTGAGCCAAAATTCTACTATTCATTCTATGATCATAGATATGTTTTATATATGTATATTTTACTTATTGTCTTAATTTTTATTTAATTTACTATGACCAGCATAATTTTATAGAAAATTTGTATTTTAAGTCAGTCTTTAATATGAAGTCAATTTTTAGATTAGCTACCTAAATGAGTAAATAGGCTCTTAATAATTCTGACTCCTTCTAAAATCAAGAAAAATATTCCAAATTTTATATCCATAAGAAATTATAAAACATCATATAATTATACTGCTTTAGAAAAAAATACATAACATCAGGAAAAATACAGTTGTACCTATAAAACATTATATAACTAGTTTTTTGCATTTTTCTTTTGTCAACACGTCATTTTGGCATCATGTGGACAACGTTAATGTCTATACAGTGCCAAAACATTTACCATAACAGCCAACTGACATGTGGGGAAAAAAATCAACATAATTTCTTTTGTACACTTGATGCTAAACAACTGATTCAATTTATTTTTTAACATAGAAACAACCATATTAATCAATATTTTGGAAAACATCTATATTCTAGTCCCTCAAATTTAGCCTAACAAAAGATGGGGAGGAAGATGACATATACTTTGTCTCTGCCAAAAGGCACCTTGCCTCTTCATAGAAGCTACAGAGGACTCTCTGGCATAGGGAGACAGTTTTTACCACTGTCAGGTCCAGTGGTAGTCTGTTGAGGAGGAGGGGAAAATGCTTTATCGACCACAAAAAGAAATCGTCTCAAGAAGCTTCTACCTTTACAAATAAAAGCTCAACTGAAAACTGTTGTGATACTGAAAGCATGGTAAATTGATTCAGAGAAGGAAACAGAAAACTTTTTTTTTTAATCAGAAAAGGACACCATTAAGCATTTTTCCTTTATTTAAAGCTACAGAAATAATATAAAGCTAAGCAATCATACATTATATTCTGCTATATTCTAGTTATACCATAACTGTTTTCCTTGCATTTGATAATTCTGATTCGAACCGTTTTCCAATGAGGTGTAAAAACATTAAGGCATAGGCTGGGCGCAGTGGCTCACGCCTGTAATCCCAGCACTTTGGGAGGCCGAGGTGGGCGGATCACGAGGTCAGGAGATAGAGACCATCCTGGTCAACATGGTGAAACCCTGTCTCTACTAAAAATACAAAAATTAACTGGACGTTGTGGCACGTGCCTGGAATCCCAGCTACTTGGGAGGCTGAGGCAGGAGAATCGCTTGAACCAGGGGGTCAGAGGTTGCAGTGAGCTGAGATCGTGCCACTGAACTCCAGCTTGCCAACAGAGACTCCATCTCAAGATAAGATAAGATAAGATAAGATAAGATAAGATAAGATAAAATAAAATAATTAAGGTATAAGCTCTAAAACCTATTTTCCAGAAAAGTAAAACCAGTATCTGATGCTAAAGGAAAATAAATTCTGAAGTCAGAAGACTTGAATTCAAGTCTCTGCTTCCTCATTAACCAGTTCTCCTTCATCATTAACTACTTAGGTCACCTTGGGCTAGCTGCTTTAATCACCTAAGCCTCAATTCTCCTGTCTATAAAATGAGATTATTGATACCAATTTTATCCTTCTATGATGAGGTCAAACGAAATAAAAGAAATATTTTTGTAAGCCATAGAAACTAAAAACTAAACAAGAAATTGGCAGCCCAGATCACCGACTTCTTTGTTGTTGTTATTCATATCCTCAAAGATTAAATGAATCACAGGGCTGCCATGTGCTTTCACATATTTGATATAGCTACAACTCAGTGTCCCCTAAAATATGAATGTTTGGAATCCCACCTTTTTGCAAATGTTTAGTGTCATGTTGGATAAAGCACCTGCATGATTAAGTATGTATTTTCTTTTGATTGTTACTGATGTGTAGGCAGAATCTAAGCACATGTATTTGCATTTGGTCAAGTAAAAGAAAGGTTTAAAAATGCACGAGGAATGAAGGGTGCTAAGCAAAGATGGCAGTCACATTAATAACTAAACAAACAAACCTACTCCAGTGTAATTCAGCAAGTAATGGTGGACAAGAGTGTCAAATTCATAGAATCTTAAGTGCTGAAAGGAAGCTTAGAAATGAAATCCTTCACTTCCCATCTCATGAGAGAATCCCTCCTGCAATTTCTATGACCAGCCAGATCATTTTCATTACATCCCTACATTCAAGCATTTTCTTCTCCACTCTTTGTTTTGGCTGGCCTCACAGCCATTCCTTAAACTGCATGACAAGTTTTTCTAGGTTCCTTCTGATTTTTTTCTTGGAGGAGATATCAAAGAATCTTTTAGGGAAGGAAGAAAGGAATGGATGGTACGAAATAAACCTCTTCTGCCTGCTATTTAGATTACTTTTCTCATATTGAATATTTTCAAAAGTTATCTCAATCTAAGGTAGATGTACACAATCCCAAATCAAATAAATTTATGCTTGTGAACATATGTGTATATTCATAATAATTTTTAATTAAATAGAGATTTTTAGTTGATATTGTGATAGTTTTACTATATTAGGTATTTTCAAACTGTTTAGGATTCTGATAGGTATTCGTAAGTACAGCTGGATTTGTTTTATACATAAAATTAACACACGTAATGTATATGTTGAGAAATTAATTTATAAAAATAAGTATTTCCAGTTTTAAGTTATTATTATTCTTTGGATGCTGTAACATCACTGTTCTTCCTCTTGTTCTATTGCCTTTTACTCAAGTGTAATCAAGGCCTTCACTGGAAAGATAAAACTGTAAATGTTTCTATCTACAGGTAGGAAATTTAACACATTTGCTTTGTCAGGAACTGGATAAAGAACAAGAAAAGCTGAACAAAGGAAAACTGTTTTAATGCATATGCTCCAGGCCTCAGAAGACTTTGAAATAAAGTAGCACTTCCTTTTTACTTTTTTTGTTACGAAGGTACTTTTGTACAGGCACTCTTTTATGAGGTTTCCTTCTCCCAGTACCTCTGGGAATCCTGATACCATTTGTTACATGCTCTCAAATAATATTTTGGAACTCACCGGTCACTTGGAATACCCCACATCTATTGCTGGACCATGCCCCCCAATTCTGAGTTGAGCTTCATTTCATGTATGTCTCAGGGTGCGGGTGGTTCTCCCCTATAGAAGCTTTACTGCAAGTGTAATGGTAAGCTCATCCCTCAATTCTCTAAAGCACAACTGCGCTGTGTAATGCTTAATAAGACTTCACTAAAAGAAACCAGGGACGGGAACTGTATCACACAGAAAACTTGAAATTGGTTGTGGTTGCGTTTAGAATCCAAAGTCCCAAGCCACATGTCAGTCATCTCCTGACACCTTTTCCTGTTTAGATCTTGACCTGCCTCACTGTGGTGAAAATCAACCTTCCTGCCATTCCTTGTCTCCTCCATTTTATAGAGTCCAGCTTACCTTCTGGCAAAAACCAAGGAGAGCTTCCTAAGTACAGTATACATCTTCTCCTGCAGTCTAGACACCAACTCCCTGAGGTCAGAAAGAAAAGAAACAGCTTTTCCTTCCTTCTGACTCCCCCAGGAGTCCCCAATCTCTTGACTGATTTCCAATCAAGTTTCTGCCCTTGATTGACCTCTCCCCAGCTTGCTTCATGGGGATCATGCATTCTTCTTAGGGAGAACTCCACCCCCTACCCACAGGCATTGGTCTCACCCTAGGCTCCTTTCAGGACAATCCCAAAATACAAAATTACCTGTGTTTTTCCCATAGTGTAGCATGTTAAGCATTGGAAAGCTTCCATGTTGTCAAGGAACCAAGATAGGCAACAAAGCTTCGTTTCTGTTTTCAGAATTTTATGAGTAAATGCTTGCATAGAAAAACTCACAAACATAGACATTCCCTAAGCACAAATGAAGAAAGAGTAATGCTAACAAAGGCAATCTTAATCAAAACAAAATGACCAAGGACAGCATTATTATCTCCATCTCAAGTGTCTGCACATGGGTTACTTTCTGGAGTTTAACACTTTCTCAAGAAGAAAATGTAGGTGCTTTTCTCTAAGTCTGAATAAAAGCCCACAAACGCAGACATTCCCAGGGTACAGTGGGGGATGACCACAAAGAGGAGAAGAGAAAATTCCACCCTAGAAATCAGAAATGAAGTTCCAGTAAATTTTTAAATGGCAGATTCTCCAGTTTTAACAGCAACACGGCAAATATAATAATTACTATATCTGCTATATTAATATCAAACATCAATAGAATACTTTGTTTCCATTATTCTTTTTATTACTACTACTACTACTATTAGAAATACTTGGGATACTAGTATCTATAGAAGACTATCTCTGAGCATGAATTTTTAATTATAATTTAGTAAAAGTGTATCTTATTAGAATATTCTTACAGTAGTATGAATATGTTTCTATGTAAATATATTATAATGTTTACTCTGGGTTCATAAAAATGTAAGACAGTTGAATATTTATCACTTGTTCATAACTTTACTAATTTCTTAAAATCATTTGCTAAATTTAAACCTTTAAAAATACTGGATTTTTATTATACCAAGCTTACAAGTAGTCATCATCTCTATTTTATAATAATGTTCTAGGCTGGGTGCAGTGGCTCACGCCTGTAATCTCAGCACTTTCAGAGGCTACAGCAAGTGAATCAACTTGAGGTCAGGAGTTCAAGACCAGCCTGGCCAATATGGTGAAACTCCATCTCTACTAAAAATACAAGAAATTAGCTGTGGTGTTGCATCCCTGTAATCCCAGCTACTTGGGAGGCTGAGGCAGGAGAATCCCTTGAACCAGGAGGCAGAGTTTGCGGTGAGCCGAGATAATGCCACTGCACTCCAGCCTGGGTAACAGAGCAAGATTCTGTCTCAAAAATAAATAAATAAAATAATGTTCTATATCCATATTTTAAAGTATAAGCATATTTTCAGAATATTTTGTCCTTTGAGGTAGGCAGAATTCTAAAATAACTCACAATGAGTAAAACCCTTGTATAATAACCTCCTTTAAATATGGACAGAACCTAGAACTTGCTTCTAAGTTCCATATTCTAAAAACATGGAAAAGGTGTTAGAATAGTCACTACTTTGATTAGCTTACATTTTATGACAAGAATACAATGGCTTTTCAGATGTAATTAAGGTCTATAATCAGTTTTCTGTAAGTTAATTAAAGAGATGTTTACTTGGTGAGCCTAACCTAAACCAGCTCATCTAGTAAAAATCCCATCGAAAAGAGGGTCTAGAGGTAAGGAACTCTCTTTCCCACAGGCTTTGAAGAAGTAAGCTACCACAGATTCTACTGCTCTGAGAAAATTAATACTGCCAACATGAGTTTGGAAGAGGTCATTGAGCCTCAGATGAGAGACACTAGCTGCAGCTGATACCTTGATTACAGCTTTGTGAGATCCTGAGCAAAGGACCAAGCTATAGCAGCCATTCTCAGACTCCTGACCCATGGAAACTGTGAAATAATTAATGTGTGTTGCTTAAGCCACTATGATGGTAGTAATCTGTCATGCAGCAATTAAAAAACACTACTACATCAATAATCAACAAATATTTACTGAGCACCTACTATGTGCCAGTAGCTGTTCTAATATTTGGGATACAATGTTGAAAAGAACAGGGAAAGTCTCTGCCTTCAGGAAGTTTCTATTATGTGTTGAGGAAGAAGATCATTGCTATTGTCAATTTAATGCAATCACTTTTTTCTTTTCTCTGAGTGATATCTGTTATGTGGATTTTTCCAGTTTCATTAGGTTAACACTAGCTGCTGTCAGCAGATGAATACCCAAACACTGGTGACTTAATAATAAAGCATAATTTTTTCTTTACACAACAATTCAGTGAGAATGTTTGCCACATAACATTCCACGTGATGACTCAGGGTGTAGCGCTGCCAGCACCTAAAGGTTCCATGACTTTTGCTTCCAACCGAGGGAAAGGAAAAGCAAAAATAGAGAAGGCACATCTGCTTCTTAATCAACTTGGCTTGGGAGTGGAACACCCCTATTCATATTCCATTTACAGGAGCTAATCTCATGGTGGGAACTGCAGTGGCTGAGCAGCAGCATCTTAGCAGATACTGTGCTTTATGAAAGGTGGGTGGGGGTGTAGATATTTACTAGACATCCACCTGTGTCTGCTGCAATCCTGAATAGCTGGACATTTGTCTCAGGTAGACAAGACCATATTATAGTCATTGAATCAATGAATGAGTATATTTATGTAAATGTTCACATACTGGGGGGACATATTATGTCAACTGAACCTATAGAGACTATAGTGAATATCAATTGTTTTGGTTAGTGCAACAGCCCTTCCCACTTCTGGTAACACACTGTTTTCACTTTGATTATAGCCACAAAACCCACTGCCTACCACCAACTGGAAAACACATTGACCAGGCCTAGTCATTCAGAGTGGACTGGACCATTCTTCCAACAGCAGCAATAGTCTCATGAACCAATCGGAGTCAATTAGGGTTCTCCATGGGGTTTAACACCTTGAAGGATGTAAACAGAGGGCTGCCAGCAGTCATAATGCCTTTCATAAGAACAAGAAGGCCTCGTTCGTTAGAAAGGAAGCCTCAGAGACCATAGGAAAAGACCTAGCTCAATGTTACTTTATTTTATTTTCTCATCTTCATCTATCACACATTGACCTAGCCCAATATTACCTTATTTTATTTTCTCATCTTCATCTATCACACTCATTCTTACTTATAATTTCCCCTGTCAGATTCCTAAAGAATGGGCAGCAAGAAGAGAAAGGAGCTAATTAACAATGAGGAAAGTGTATGAACAATGGAGCAAGCATGTGACAGAAGACATTGGCATGGCTGGGTGACAGGGAGGACCAAGGGAGGGAAGGCAAAATTGCTCAAAAAAATGTAGCTAAATTAGGAAATGTCTTTAAAGCTGGACTTTAAGATTTTTGGCAAAAGTAGTAATGTGGACTCCTAAAACAAACAAGAATCATAAAACTTTTGAGTTAAAATGTCACATAGAGATCATTTTATCACCCAAATGTCGATCAATCAATGAGTGGTTAAAGAAACTGTGGTATATATGTAGCTATATAGCTATGGTGTGTATATATATATGTGTGTGTGTGTGTGTGTGTGTGTATAATTTTATATATATATATATAATGCAATACTACTCAGCCATAAAAAGGAATGAATTCACAGCATTCACGGCAACCTGGATGGGATTAGAGACTATTATTCTAAGTGAAGTAACTCAGGAATGGACAACCAAATATCATATGTTCTCACTCATAGGTGGGAGCTAAGCTAAAAGGATACAAAAGCATAAGAATGATACAATGGACTTTGAAGACTTGGAGGGCGGAAATGGTGGGAAGGGGATGAGGGATAAAAGGCTACAAATCGGGTTCATTGTATACTGCTTGGGTGATGGGTGCACCAAGATGTTACAAATCACCACTCAAAAACCTACTCATGTAACCAACTACCACCTGTTCCCCCAAAACCTATGGAAATTAAAACTTTTTAAAAATGAAATTTAAAAAGAGTTCATTTTGTTAAACACCTTTATTCTCTGGAAAATTAATTCCAAGTTCAGAGGTCAACACTGGGTAGCTGGATAGTAACCTGGCACCCTTGTGGGAAAATGAAAAAGCAAAAAATGGAGTAGTGATCTTTTTTCTAGTTAATAAGTGTGATGAATGGGTTGTCACGCACATGTATGAGTTGTGCCTTCCTCAAACCTTGTTACGACATCGGTACATTACCTATCTGGCATGAAAAAAAACAAAAAGGAATAGTTCAGGTGATGTCAGAGTGGGCTTGGAAAGCAGCCCTGAAGAAAAGGAGGTGGCTATGAAAAGCATTCCATATGGAGTACTGACGTGAGGGAAAGCCACATGCACTGAGATTTCAGGTGAGGAAATGGAAGGAGGTGATACCACTAACTAAAACAGAGACTTGAGTGAGGGTGCCAGTTCTAGGGAAATATCATACATTCTATTTTAGATGTATACATTTAGAGTATGTTGAGTTTCTGAATATAGCATATCACACAGGATAACTTTCATATCGTATATCACCCAGGAGAACAAGTTATAGAGGATATATTCTGGGCTAAGAATTATAATAAGTGATTTACAGATATCATCAAATTTAATCCTCACAACAGCCCTTGGAGGGCTTAATAGGCTGGTTTGGCAGCTTTGCCTTAAGACACAACTACCAAGGGCCAGGTCTGGGAGTAAAGCCAAGGTTCAGGTAACTACCAAGCTCATTCTCTCAACAATGATGTCTCCCATCATTCTGCCTTCCTGAAGATATTTTGGAGGCGTAACAAACATGATTCAGCGGGTAACTTCATATGAGGCCTAAAGAAAGCAGAAGAGTCAAATACTTCCAAAGTAGGGGTAGACATATGAATTTTTAAATCACTCATACAGAAGTGATCATGGATGGTTTGAAAAAGACATTGATCATTTCTCATGTTGCAACAATGTGGTGGAAAAGAGTATGAGGCAAAAACAAGGTCCTGAGCACCCATATCCGTAATTAGATTCTACACAGACAAAAGGGGCTAATCAGGCAGAACAAGGAAACTCAGAAATAGAGGATTCAGACATAGCAGGTATTAAAATATACTGTATCTTAGAAACACAAATTTAAAGAAGATGGATTTGATGACTCAGGTCAAATGCAACAGAAAGATCAAGCTAAAATGGTGAAAAAAATTATTTGGTCATTACTATGCTGTGGTGACTATGGAGGAGGCAGTTCTACTAGTAACATGGAGCCAGTTTGTGATGGCTAAATAGAAAGAGAAATGGAAACAGGGACTCTGGGTCTAACCCTGCATTTCACGTGGATTTTTTCTACCTACTTCTGTATCATCTAATAACTGCATACAATATGTATGTCTACATTTGACACTCTCATCAAAATATTCACTTCATTTAGCGTTTGATTTCTCGCGAGGTTCCGCTTGCTATTCTTAGGTCATGTTAGTCCACAGGCATCTGCATGCTCTAAAAAGGCCAGACATTGCTGTCTATGTTCTAAATCACAGCGACTTAGGCAGAAATCCATTACCAGGGAAAACAGTGGGAAAGAGCTGTGTAGCGATAAAGGAAAGAGGACAGAGTCAATAGTTTTTTAAAGGAATTCCTTCCTTTCCTCACTGTTACCTGTCTGGCCACAAATCACTCACAGTCAGACTGAACTGAGCTTACATGATCTGGCTTTCTGGCAGAGTCCAGATTTGTGCCCCTTCTCAAAGGGGGAATAACTGGGCCAGCTGCAGAAGCAGCTCTCCTTTGGAATTTCAACATGGAATTTTTATGCAGTTCTGCTCGCTCCTCTTTGGTGTTATAAAACAGTCAAGCAAGATGAATATGGCTGGTAATTTATACTAGGAACTTGCATTGAATTATACTTGGATGACTTATTAAATGAAGGATATTATCAATATTACATCTGTCATAAATGAAAAACTCCACGTTTGAATAGATCTGATCCATTCATTGTTTTATGGGCACACTGGCCTCCAGAGAGAGTCACAAATCCAAATGATGTCCCTGAGTGATGGATTTTATGTTCTCTTCCTCAGGCATTGCTAAAAGACATGTGAAATCCTTATGTGAAGTGAGGGTTCCCCTTTGGCCAAGGATCAAAAGAGACTTTCATAGAAAAGTTTCATGAGACTACCTGGAAATGTTCCTATCCAGCTGCAAAGAGCATGAAAGACAAGGTGGTAAATGGCAGCTAGATAAATGTGACTTCATATAAACAAAAGTACATGAAGCCTCTTTTTTCCTTACTAGTCCATATCAAATTGTTTGCTAAAAGAGCCTGGATTTGGAAGTCTAGGCTTCGTCCACTCAGTGAATATTGGTTAACTCATCCATTGTGCTTTGAAACAAAGCCCAGGAAATTAAAAACTGCAACAGTTTCCTCATTTCCTTAGCCAAATTCCCTATTATATATTATATTTCTCTTTGATTTGTCATGCTTAATCTCTCTTTGGTGAACTATAATATCTTCCATACAAAACACAATCCACTATGTTCAAACTCAAGTCTAAAATAAAAAATGGATGACTATCATTATTCTAAGGGCTTTACACATCCTCTTTTATTTAATCCAGAGAACCTCTATGAAGTAGGTTATATTATTATACTAATTTTTAGATAAGAAGTTGAGTAGCAGAAAAAGATTTTTAAACTACCTAATGTAAATGCTTCAGAACTCTAGAACCCTCATTCTTAAATATTATATGTAATTCACCATAAAAGCACTCATACAAGAACATTTCCCAGAGTGCATGTGCATTATGCTACTGATTGAAATGGCTCATCAAGTGCCCAGTGCAACCCATGGAAAGGGAATCTCGCCAAGGCATATTTTTTTGTGAAATTTCACAAGAGGGGTAAGGAGGAGTAACTAAAATTTCAGAGAAAATAAACATCACCTTACAAAGGAATGGAGAGGCATATGACATATCGCATTTTAACAGCAAGTTTCAATGCTAGAAGCTCATAAAGAATATTCTCAAATTTTGGAGAGGAAGTAAATTTTAACCTAGAATTATATGCCTAGCCAGACCATTGATCAGCAGACAGCAGGATTAAAAGCATTTACAGACAGGGCGCAGTGGCTCATGCCTGTAATTCTAGCACTTTGGGAGGCCGAGGCAGATCGCCTGAGGTCAAGAATTCGAGACCAGCCTGGCCAACATGGAGAAACCCTGTCTCTACTAAAACTACAAAAAAAAAAAAAAAAATTAGCTGGCTGTGGTGGTGCATGCCTGTAATTCCAGCTACTTGGGAGGCTGAGGCAGGATAATTGCTTGAACCCGGGAGCCAGAGGTAGCAGTGAGCCGAGATTGTGGCACTGCACTCCAGCCTGGGCGACAGAGTGAGACTCTCTCTCTCACACACACACACACAGACGACAAGCATTTACAGACAAGCGCTGTCTCTGATATTTTACTTATGTATTCTTTCTTAGGAAGCTACTTGAGGGTAAACTGCAACAACGTTTTGTTGTTAATGATTAAACCCAGAGAGAGGAAGGCACAGGATTAAGGAAATAATAACTGCAACAACTGAGAGCACCAACAGGGCATTCTTGGATGATATTGCAGGGATGTCCTTGCCACAGGCCTGGGGAACACTCAGCCAGGACTTGGAGCAAGGATAACAAAGAGCTTCGGCAGAAAGTTCACTAAGGAGAACAGCAACTCATTAGAATATTTTAAAATGAAGCCATATTTGTAAAGAAACAAATTAGCTGTGGTGTTGCATGCCTGTAATCCCAGCTACTCGGGAGGCTGAGGCAGGAGAATGGCGTGAACCCAGGAGGCGGAGCTTGCAGTGAGCCGAGATAGCGCCACTGCACTCCAGCCTGGGCGACAGAGCGAGACTCCGTCTCAAAAAAAAAAAAAAAAGAAAGAAAGAAATACAACAGGAACGTCTCTTAACTGGCAATTACAGCTGTTTCAAAATTACTTTTGGATTCCTTCCCCAGTGCACTCATCATCAAATCATTCATTCCTCTTTCTGAAACACCCCTTCTTTTGTGTTCTCCGAGCCATTGGCTTAAAATATCTCCTTTTACTTTTGTTTCTTTACAAATATGCCTTCATTTTACTCTGATTTTCTGACTAGGCCACCTTCAAAGTATCTTTCTTGTAATCACCTTTTTTTCTGGCTGAGAAGGGTCCTCCTTGTGGGTACTGCACGGAGGAGGAGGAAAGACCTCCTTCCTGCACCCATCTCCACCTTTGGGAGGTCACCTCCAGCCCCACCAGCCAGAGGAGAAAGAGTCTAGATTCCTAAAAAGGATCAGCCAAACTGGCCCAGATATAGAGAAACTCTTTCTGGAAGTTTCTAAGTCTATGTTGTGTATTTTTGGAGGGACTTGGAGAGAGAGAGGAATGGGGAGAGACAGCTTTAACAAAGGAACCAACATTAAAACTTAAGAATAGGAGTTAGGCCAAGTGAGAAGTAGGGAAAAATTTTCAGGCTGAGGGAACGGGTTGGCAAGAAATGAGGAGACCATATCACATTCCAGAAACTGATAAAAAGTTCTGTGTGATTAGATTGGGAAAGATCTCAATTCATGTGTGAAAAACACACCGAAAAGGAGAAGAGCAATTCAGAAAATCTTTGCTGGAGGAACGGACGTTCCAAACCTGAAGTATTCATTCCATGTGAAATAGTTCTGAATCCTTGCCCAAATATTTAGATGTTCCAATATAAAACAAAATAAGAAAACAGAACAAAAACACATGAACAGAGAAACAAGAATGTATGTAGAAATCCACAAAGCAAAAAAAAGGGTGGAAAGCAAATGTGATCACACTGAGTAAGGACAATTTCCATTGTGTTCAAACATGATAAAAATTAGCTGTAGATTTGGAAGACTGAAATCACATTTAGAGCTTTTATAAATTCATTTCGTATTATAAAAGTTATGACTGTTGTATATTCATATTTAAAATCAATCATGGTAGAATTGGTGACCCACAGGGTACCCAGGGCTGTGGCTTCAGGTAATATTCAGTGGAGAGAGTGTATACTGGGGTCATGTCAGAAAATGGATGGCCCCTTCACAATCACGGTCCATAAAACAATGGCTGGGCCGATACATAGAGACCCAAAGTGAGGTTCACTATACTAAGGCAGATAATTTGAGTTACAGTCAAAATAATAAAATCTTAAAAATCGTTCAAAGAAAATTATAACTGCCTTCTGAAATTTGAAGAATGAGAGCCAGGAAACAAAATATGGATTAATTTGGGACATTGTCCAATCTTCACCAGTATTGCATCAAATGAACTGTGTTTCTTAGTTGAGTGGTGTGTGAGCATGTTAGTTTTTCACATGGAAGTTGCATTGCTGGTAATATTTTTCTTATTAATCATGTACCGTATATTTTGGCTGCCTTTGTACTCTGCTACTCTTCTATAATCATGAGATGTGAGATTAAACTTATCAGAGAAGTGCGACAGCCACCACTGTTGACAAGGTAGGCTCAAACACTTTACAGGAGGTCCTATACCCTCCAGAAGGAGACACAAGGGACTTCAATTAATATCAAAGTCACAGTCATAGAGAGTGTAGCTTTCAGTAAGAATAAGTGACAGAGACCTAGAGAAAAGAAGGCCAGGAGGAGGCAGTTTAGAGTTTAAGTAGCATTAGAAGCTTTTGAGAAGCACCTACAGGGAATGGATTTTACTGTGCTGGAGGTTTTGGGACAAACATTAGTATGAAAAATAAAACGTGCGTCCAATCTCGGCATTTATTCCTCGAAAATGTAAGTACTTGATAATTCAGTGACTTGAGGCCTCAGGCATTTTTCCTTCCCTTAGGAATATAATTAACAATTGTTATCACTGAAATAAAATGACTACTAAATGCTTTTATGGTACTCACGAGATAACTATATACAAAGGCTCTAGGATAGAGTGTCTCCCTTTGAAATAATGACAGAACGAAAAATAAGCAGACTAAAGAGCAGTTATATCTTAAAAAGAAAAAAGAGAAGACACACAAACACCAGTTCTACTACTTTTTTCTTATTTCAAGTATATGATAAATTACTTCTACAAAATTAAAGAAGTACAGATTAGCAAAACAGTACATAGGGTTTCTAAAACACAAATTTGAATCATATAATAATTAGCTTTATAATGTGATTTTTCATTTAAAGCATACCATAAATATACTTATTTTATTAACTATACTTACACAAAATAATTTTTTACAATAGCATACTACTCCGTTCTATGTACAACCCATAATTAATATTACCAGTATCTAGAGTAGAAAATTTGGCTTCCTCTTGCTTCCTGCTCCTCTTTATTTATTCGTTTTATAACTAAGCCAGAAGACTTCTCATATTTTCTATCAGTTTTTGAAACTACCAAAGATTTAAAGGAGAACTCTAATCTGTGTATATCAACTATGCTAAACTTTAAAATAAAAACCGTCCTCTCTGGCCGGGCGCCTGTAATCCCAGCACTTTGGGAGGCCGTGGCGGGTGGATCACGAGGTCAGCAGTTCCAGACCAGCCTGACCAATGTGGTGAAACCCCGTCTCTACTAAAAATACAAAAACTAGCTGGGCATGGTGGCGCGTGCCTGTGGCCCCAGCTACTTGGGAAGCTGAAGCAAGAGAATCATTTGAACCTGGGAGGCAGAGGTTGCAGTGAGCTGAGCTCACTCCACTGTACTCCAGCCTGAGGGACAGAGAGAGACTCTGTCTCAAAAACAACAACAACAACAACAACAAAGTCCTCTCCTTAGCCAAAAATTAAAACACTTTTTACTTTCTGAAGACAAGAATTGTCATTTCTTTTGATTAAAATGCTAATCAATCTATGCAATTATCCAGAAGAGATGCAAGTTCAGTGAGATGACCAATAATTCTATTTTATAAAACACTCTATATTAAGACCTATTAGGCATCTACAAAGGACAAGAAGCCTCAACATACTGTCTTTGCTCACAGTTTGTTTCTCTAATGAAACATTAATATTTATGTTATTGAAATAAATAGATTACTTAAGGTAGAGAACATAAAGTCATGTGTTTCCAATCTCAATCTGAGATGGAAGGTTTAAGCCTAAGAATTTATTAGAAAAACATCTAAAAAGAATGATGTCCTCATTTCTGCTTGAATAAAACATTATTTTGAAATAAATATCTTAGATGTGCAAACGTATATGTATGTGCCTTGTAATCTATCTATTTAAAGTATGTCCTTCATTGAGTGGTTTATTCTAATGTTAGGTGAACTGTCACGAGTAAAACTACTAACTCAATGAGCAACTAGGGCTTCTTGAACATGAGCTGCAGACCCTCACTTTCACTGTGACCCTACTGCACTTATAGCCTATGAATACATCTGCCATTGCCCTGAGAGTATATTACACTTCCTTGTTTGTCTTTCTTCCACATTAGACTGGAAGCTCCTTGAGGACTGGTACCTTATCTTTCGTGTGTTCACGTCTTCACTCCCTATCAAAACAATGGAATTGTAACAAAGCTCAACAAGTTTTTGCTGGATGAATTAATCTATGTCATCCTTTCACATCAGGCTACCAAATTGCATTTTTATTGAGTTAACAGAAGTCTTCAAACATGTCTAGTAGAAACAATATGGGCTTCTGAAAAATGTAAAGTTATTCTAAATGTTCTATTTTGAGTTTTATTATACCATTCCGTTTATTTTCTCTCAAGGATTTATGGCTAAGGTAGTCTAGACAGCGCTGTGGACTGAATATTTGCGCCCCTCCAAACTTTATATGTTGAAGCCTGATTCCTAATATGATAGTGTTTGGAGATGGGGCCTTTGAGAGATCTTGAAGGTGGAGCCTCTGAATAGGATCTCCCTCTCTCTCTGTCTGCTCCCTGCCATACACTGAGAACACGGCCACCTGCAAGCCAAAAGAGGGCTCCCACCAGATGTCAAATCTGCCAGCACCCTGATCTTGGACTTCCCAGCCTCCAGAACTGTGAGAAATAAATTTCTGTTGTTTAAGCCACCCAGTCTGTGGGACCTTGTACACAGCCTGAATAGATTAAGACAGGAAAATAGAACACGACATGAGAATGAAAGTGGTTTGAGGTAAAACTAGCCCTTATACTTATTCTATGCAAAATCAAATTGATCCTTCCATATTTGATCTAGTTATTGAAATGGAGGGGGAACAGTAAATTCCTCTAAATCCATTCTCCAGTGTTTTTAGAACTTAATCTTCTATACTTGGGTCAATAAAGCTGTGAAGGTTCAATGATTCTAGGAATAAAGAAGCAAGTAATAAGGTAGTTGTGAGGCTTTGTAGACTATAATTGAAACCCTTACTTTTTAATAGGAAAATTACTTTTACCCACATTTTTCTTTGGAGCTAAACAGACCATTGAACTGTACTTGGATCCTGCTCTTTAAAGTATGCATCAATACTGTACACACCAGGTTTTTGCTAAGATGGCTACACTGCACCAGTATCTAAATTGACATGTAAGGTTGGGTTTTATATTTGAATGTTTCTTTGTAGATAATATGTTATACTGGTTGACTGACCCATACAAAAGGAAATTATTTACTTTATTTCTATTTATTTAAAATATCTTAGATACAATTTGATGGCAAACCATTTCCACTGAAAGGGAAATAGTGACATCTTGTGGAATCATCTAATTTTATCCTAAAGTCTAGTCATTAACATTTTTATTCCTCAAAATAAGTGAAATACATATTCTCTCCTTAGAGAACAAATGAACTTTTGTAAAACTAGCATATGTTATATATCACGATGTTACTTTATGGTACTAATACTAATATTTTATTCCCTTTTTAGACTAATGAGTGATGGATGAGAAATTACCTCATGAGTACAATGCACACTATTTGGGTGATGGTTACACTAAAAGCCCAGATTTCTGCACTACACAATATATCCATGTACCAAAACTGCATTTTTACCCCCTAAATCTATAAAAAAAATTTAATTGAGATTTTTCAGTGAATGTCCAGAGCATTAAATATAGAAAAAAGCAAAACAAAATGAAGCAAAAACTGATTACAGGATTTCAGTCTTTTTACCATTCTAGCCATTTAAACAATGCAACCTGAATGTAGCAAGCCATATGCTATACACAGAAGTAAACATAGATATGTTTATACATAGGTGTTTATAAACCTGTGGGGTCAGACATCATGGAGGAAAGTACAACTTCATTTTATAATGTTCAAGACTTGCCCCAGATCCTCATGAATTTCAAATTTTCAAATACCTGTATAGTGTATTATTTTTTAAGTTAAATTATATACAAATATGAATAGTGACTCACAAAGTGGCCATAAATTGCAGTGCTGAATGGTGGGCCGGCCTGGAGCCTGCACAGCAGCCAGTATTAATGCTCTAAGATTACTAATTGTACTATATATCCTGGAATGTGGATTATGTGAAATTAATGTGAACTGCAAATGCTAAATCAAATAAAGCCAAGGGTCTCTCCTAGATTACATGGAAGGCAGTCTTGAGAAGCAGTTCTGATCTTAGGTTTGGATTCTCACAGATCTGAGCTAGAATCCTGGTTTCACCAGCTGGGTAAAACAGGACAAGTGACTTAGTTTCATCTCAGGGACAGAATTGAAATAGAGTTGTTGTATTAGTTGAAAAACATGGGTAAAGCATTTTAGCAGAGTGACTAAAAAATATCACTTATTTGTTTTAGATATGGTTGTGTTACTTCCTCTCTGTGTTACTATTGTGAACTTTATTGCTGTGTCAGTTTCTTGGAGGGCATTGTTTTATATTAGTAAGAAAGGTCAGAACCACACAGCAGTTGAGAGCTTGGGGTCTAGAGTCAGTTCAAAATGTGGTTCAAATCCTGGCTCAGTCACTCACTAACTGATCTTGGACAAGTGATTTAATTTCTCTGTAAGTCAGTTTCATCATTTATAAAATGGGGTCAAAATTTTCTCTTACCTCATGTGATTTTATTATGAGGATTAAATGTATTAATGCATGTAAAGCCCTTAGAGCACTGTCTGGCACAAGGCAAGATCATATAAATGTTAGCTCTTAGTATTGTGTTATTTATAATAAAATAACACGAAAACAAACAGCACTTTTGACCTACTCATCCAAATACTCTTAAGGGGTGTAGGGGGGAAAGTTGATCTAAGTTTGACTCCTAAATTATGAATAACTCAGAACAGATTATCAGAGCATTTGCTTATTCCATGGCCCCTGATCAATTTGTCTTGCTTATCCATTTATGAATACATATACTCAACTGGAATATGTAATTCATTTTTTCTTCTTATATAGATATGATCACAGCTTGAGTCTAAATTATGTTCACTGCTGGGATTCAAACATGGTTGGGTATTTCTAGCCGACTGGAAGAACAGGCCCAGCTTGAGCTTATTTGTGTAAGGGATTGAAAAGTTTCTTAGGAAATAACCCATCCTAAGAGAAAAAGAAAATTTCACAGACAAATTTGCCCAGTAACAAAGCCTGAGGCGGGTAGGTCTCTGCCACTTGAGTTTGCCCCTAGTTCAACTCGTATAGACTTATATGACTTATGTGAATCCTGAGAAGGAGGGTGCATGATTAGTCATATTTTAAAACTCCACAAGATAATGGGGTTCAAAGAAATCTTTATTTTAGAACAAATATGATGATATATAACAAAAAGCAAGGAGAAACAATAAGGAACGACAGGCTTGTCACAGACATCAAGATTCTCATGCAAACCCTTATCATCAGGACAGTAACAAGTGACAGAATGGCTTTAAAGGCAAGAGAGGCCAAAGCATGGAGTCTTCCTGAAGGAGGGAAGAGATGAGATGACATAAATGGGAGATAAAAAGTAGTGATGAAAAGGACTTAATCTTGAGTAAATGTGAGACACTCTAGAAATAATAGATACAGCTTTGAGAAAGACTAGAGATCTGTAACAGAGAAATGGAGTTAGAGCCAGAGAAATGAAATTTGTGTTTGTATTTTCCAAACTTACCAAAAAGAGGATAGTTAATACATTTTGAACGAAGTAGATTAAAACAGAGAAAAAAAGGAAAAGGAGGAAGAAAAGAGACAGGTCATCTCATACCTGAATATGTGGGTAGAAAATTATGTGAGGTTTTTACAGAATGGGAGAAAATGTTTGCAATCTATCCACCTGACAAAGGGCTAATATCCAGAATCTACAAAGAACTTAAACAAATGTACAAGAACATCAAAACAACCCCATCAAAAAGTGAGCAAAGGATATGAACAGATATTTCTCAGAAGATATTTATGCAGCCAACAGACATATGAAAAAATGCTCATCATCACTGGTCATTAAAGATGTGCAAATCAAAACCACAATGAGATACCATCTCACACCAGTTAGAATGAAGACCATTAAAAAGTCAGGAAACAACAGATGCTGGAGAGGATGTGGAGAAATAGGAATGCTTTTATGCTGTTGGTGGGATTGTAAATTAGTTCAACCATTGTGGAAGACTGTGTGGCGATTCCTCAAGGATCTAGAACTAGAAATACCATTTGGCCTGGCAATCCCATTACTGGGTATATACCCAAAGGATTATAAATCATTCTACTATAAAGACACATGCACATGTGTGTTTATTGAAGCAGTATCCACAATAGCAAAGACTTAGAACCAACCCAAATGTCCATCAGTAATAGACTGGATAAAGAAAATGTGGCACATATACACCATGGAATACTATGCAGCCATGAAAAAGGATGAGTTCATGTCCTTTGCAGGGACATGGATGAAGCTGGAAACCCTCATTCTCAGCAAACTATCACAAGAAGAGAAAGCCAAACATCACATGTTCTCTCTCAGAAGTGGGAGTTGAACAATGAAAACACATGGATATAGGGAGGGGAACATCACACACTGGGGCCTGTCGGGTGTTGGGAGCCTAGGAGAGGGATAACATTAGGAGAAATGCCTAATGTAGATGACGGGATGATGGGTGCAGCAAACCACCATGTCACATGTATACCTATGTAGCAAAACTGCACGTTCTGCACATGTATCCCAGAACTTAAAGTATAATTTAAAAAAAAAGAAAATGAAAATTATGTGAGGTTTTGTGGTTAAAGGGACATGTTAGAGGAAATTTGAAAGCCCTTCTTATGTTTCCAACTAACTCTGTCAATGATCAACTCTATCGTTGGTTAAGTCACTTAAAATTTCTCAGACTCAATTTTCTTATTCATTCATCACTCATGCATTCATTCGACCATGATTTATTGAGCTGTTATTATTCACTAAGTTCTGTGCTAGCCCTAGAAGTGCATATGAATATTTCCTCTATTCAAGGCACTTACATTGTAGTGGAGAACACATGGAAATGAAGCAACTAAATAAGAGATGGAGCAGGCACTGAGGGAAGTTTTTGTGTAGGATGATATGCTTGGGTTAAGTTTTTGAAGGACAAGTAGGAGTAGTTTTGACAAAAAAAGGAAAAGAGCTCTCTAGGTGTGAGCAGCATGTGGAAACACAAGGAGGCATGAAATACCATCACACATTTGGGAAACTGCCAGAAATTCTGTATAGCTGAATCCAAGGGTATGTTGGGGTAATGTCGTGAGTTTGGAACGAAAGTAGTAAATGGAAGCTAAGTCAAAAAAGACCTTGAGTATTAAGCCCATCTACAAAATGAGGAAGTTGTACTACATGGACTTCTGTTCTGACCTCCATGGAACATTTTTCTCTCATGGACATAAAGCCCTTTCTCCTACAACATATGGAACCATTGACACTCAAGATTGGATAAAATTAGCTCCTAATTCCAATGTGACACAGGAATCTTGTCAACATACGTCTTGAGTGATCGTTTGTTCTCTGCTCGAACACCTCCAGTGATTGAGAATTCATCACCTCTTGAGATAGCGCAGACAGCGCATTTTGCTTTTTAGAAGGTAATTACTGGAACTTAAAGTCAAACATGGAAGATTGAACAATTCATTTATCTCCTCTCTTCATTTCCAAAATCCAGGTAAAATGAGTAAAAATTGCTAAACATCTACCAAGAATCTCAATGAAACTTTGGAAGCTGATTTGGAGGAATAGAGAAACTTGAAATTTAAGCCTGCCAGGGGAAATACTAACCATGGAAAAGCTCAGGTACATCTGTAATGTCAGTCTGAATATGGGAGAATTTATTAAGGAGAATTATTTATTAAGAAGAGTCTGACACACAGATTCCCTCCCTCACCCCACGAAGCCAGGAAGCTGTTCTTCCCACCCAGGCAGAAGCGCATTGGTTTACTTTCTAAAGATATTAAGTCGTGAAGATTGTGGACACTCAGACACAAGAAACAGTGGATGGTGGAGGTGAAGCACCTTTGGAAAACAAGGGGACTAAGCCAAGGTCTGTACAGTGAATACTGAGCTCCTTGAATGGCCTTCTAGTACACTGGCCACTATCTACCTCCTTCCCCAATTTCATCTGTGGAAATTTACCAGCCCAAGAGAAATACCTCTGATACTGACATTTGAGGCTGTCTCATAGTATTCCCTCTCCTGAAATAACTTTGTAGTGAGATCTACCATTTGCTTAACCTCATCTGCATGATAGCATTTTAGTGCCTTGCTATAGAAGATACTGTAGTGTATCACCCTGAGTCCTCTTCAGGACTGAGGTGTTACTGTCAACTGTGTGAGTGTTAGTGGCTTATGGATTATAGCTGATTCCCTCTTAGAGAATCGCTTGCAGGTGAAGAGAGATGGCTCTCATAAGATCACACCTCTTCCCTGGAAACAGCCGAAATCTAATGACTTATAGGTATGGGATAAATAAGTCTAGCCCACTTGCTTAATTTGTACCTCTGTGAGGAGACATCCAAACCCCAGTGCTTTCCATGTGATTGTCTGTGAACTGGTTGCAACCATATTCCAATTCAGTTTCTCAACACTTTCCCCCTTAGGTGTTGATTTCAAGGGAATTCCCAGTAAACTTGCTGCACAAACTCTATTTCCCAGAAAACCAAATCTAACACACTCACTCAAGAATATGAAAGGATATTCCAGCATTTTTAATAAAAAACTCTCTAACATGAAAGACAGTCCAAATCAATGCATGGAGAATAAAGGAACTTGAAAGAGACACATAGTGTAGAGAATATTAACATTAATTGTTTAAAGAGGTAAAAATTCTGTATTCATAAAATAAAAAGCAGGATGTTATAAGAACAGAACTTTCAGAAGACAAAAAAGAGGCCCTTGGAATTCAAACTACAGTAATGAAAATGAAAACTCTGATAGACTGATTAAAAGACACATTTGTGGCACTCTCCAAAACATAGAACAAAATGAAAAGAAAGAGAATATGAAAAACAATATGAGAAAATTAGAAGATTGAGAAAGTACAACATTTGACTAATAGGAATTCTAGAAAGAGAACAAAAAAACAAAACAGAAGGGCAAAATTTGCTTTCAAAAAAATTAATAAAGAAGATGAAAGGGCCGGGCTGGTGACTCACGCCTGTAATCCCAGCACTTTGGGAGGCCGAGGTGGGTGGATTGTGAGGTTAGGAGTTCGAGACCACCCTGGCCAACATAGTGAAACCCCGTCTACTAAAAATACAAAAAAATAGCCAGGTGTGGTGGTGTGCACCTGTAATCCCAGCTACTTGGGAGGCTGAGGCAGGAGAATCGTGTGAACCCGGGAGGCGGAGCTTGCAGTGAGCCGAGATCGCGCCATTGCACTCCAGCCCAGGCAACAGTGTGAGACTCCATCTCAAAAAAAAAAAAAAAAAAAAAAAGATGATGAAAGACTTTCTAAGAACTGAAAACCAAGAGTTTCCCAAGTGCCTTGCAAAATGAATGAAAAAGTTCTACACCAATGGAAATCATTGAGAAATTTCAGACTAACAAGAAAAAAAGAGAAGTTACTGAAATCTTCTCAGAAGTGGGTAAAAAAGCAGCATGCATGTAAGGGCTTCGGGTTCTTAACAAAGATCCTGAAAGCTGGAAAACAATAGCATAAATCAATGTCTTCAAAATTTAGAAGTAATGTAATTTCAAATCTAGAATTCTAAGCCCAGGAATATTATCAATCAAACTTAAAGAGGAATAGATGCCCATTTGAAAAATTTAGTTCTCATACATTTATTCTGAAGAAACTACTGCAGAAAAAATGTTCCACCAAATGGAGGAATAAAACAAGAAAGAGGATACTGTAAAAGTCAAAACGGAAGTAAAGGGAATCAGACGGACCACAGCTACATCAGGATGGAAGCCACTGAGCTGAGGACTTCAGAGAGAATTTTGCTGGGAAAAAATAGTGCTAAGAGATGGACCAGTGCATTTTATTGTATTGATTTAAGTTATGCAGCTCTCCTAGAGAGTTTGGGGATGAAATAACACAAATTACATAAGGGAAAAAACAAACAAAAAACTGTTATTAATTCTAAGGAAGACAAATCATTCTATAAGAAAATATAGTCGGCCAGGCGCGGTGGCTCACGCCTGTAATCCTAGCACTTTGGGAGGCCAAGGCAGGTGGGTCACGAGGTCAGGAGATCGAGACCATCTTGGTTAACATGGTGAAACCCCGTCTCTACTAAAAATATTTAAAGAATTAGCCGGGCGTGGTGGCAGGTGCCTGTAGTCCCAGCTACTTGGGAGGCTGAGGCAGGGGAATGGCGTGAACCCGTGAGACAGAGCTTGCAGTGAGCCGAGATCGTGCCACTGCACTCCAGCCCGGGCGACAGAGCGAGACTCCATCTCAAAAAAAAAAAAAAAGAAAGAAAATATACTCATAATACTTTATATGTCTCAATCATAAACTATTTACATAAAGTACATCCTGGTTATTGATTTAAGCAGAAACAGTTATTTAACTAAATTGGGAGAATGGAGAAGGAGAAGGGAGAATAATAGAGAACCAAAATCTCATTTTCTATAGAAGTCATTAGATTTAATTTTTTAAACTAGAATATGCATGACATTTGGAAAATAGAGGGAGTACCAGGAAAGTACGTAAAATAACTCCCTAGAGGTTGCCTGCGGGGAGCAAGGATTAGGGTGGAGAGGGAGAAGATAACCGTAGTTTTTAATTACATGTTTGGCAGCATTTTTTGCCTCTGTAACCAATGTATCATTTTGGTAAGCATTTTTTAAAAGAAAGAATTTCTTTCTTATGCTGACCTAAAATTTGCCTCCCTAAGTTCTGGTTCTAATTATATTCTCCAGGGTTCTACATACAAAAATAAATAATAGTTTCTCTTCACCATGACTATAGTTTTAAGTAATTTAAATCAGAGCTCTAATTGTCCTTTTAGTTTTCATGTATAAGGGCTAAAATATTTCTGTTCATTCAACCATGCTTCATGTGAAATCTTTCCCTTCCCCCACCTGGTTGCTTTTCTCTGTACTCAAAAAATGTTGTCCAGAAATGTGGATGATGCTCAGGATATAATCTGGCTAATTTACAGCAAACTATCACTTCAGTCATTCTGTATAATTCATTAAAGGCAACAAAAAATCACACTGACTTTCTTAGAAGCTAAATCTCATAAACGCTTAATATTAAAAGCAAGTCTTTTCCATGCATATAACGTTTAAGTCACCTATCCTATTGGTAGGATTTGCTTTCTGGGTCATTTTTTGTCTTGGTGAAGGACCTTATATTTTTCTCTGTTAAAGTATGTTTTATTAAAGTCACTTTATTACCAAGTTGAAAAGAAAATATATTTCACTGTTAATTTATTCACAGAAGATATTAGCTGTCTCCTCCAAATTTGTGTCACTCATAAATTTGATAACTATGCTTTCAATTTGTTATTGAATAAAAATAGCGAACAACACCAATCCTAGCAAGGCCGAGCCCTTCAGCCACCAGAACACACGTTTCAAGTTAACAACCATCTGTTAGCCAGCTTTATGTTGCAGGTTGTTCAACCGTTATAAGTTCATCAAATCTGGCCCTGAGCCAGATACACCAAACAGATGACAGTCCTCTATTTTAACCATTTTTTAACCTAGTCATTCAGAAGATAAAATAATATAATTAAATCCATTACTTTCTTTACTGATATGCATTATTATAAAACAAGCAGTTATCAGCCTTCCTACTTCACTAGATGTTCAAAGGGATGTCATTTGGCTTGTCTTATAGTGACAGACCTGGGATGCAAATGTGGATTTTGGCTCCTGACTTCTAGCCCTATTCTTCATTCTTCAGAAGTAGGTGAGCGTCTTGAGATTTATCATCATCATCATCTTAATGTGAGGCTGTAAACTAACCATTTTTAGCCTTCTTTTCCTCTTTTCCTTTCTTTCTTTCTTTCTTTTTTTTTTTTTTTTTTTTTGAGACGGAGTCACTCTTGTCACCCAGGCTCAAGTCCAATGGCGCAACCTCCACCTTCTGGGTTCAAGCGATTCTCCTGCCTCAGCCTCCCAAGTAGCTGGGATTACAGGCACCCGCCACCATGCCCAGCTAATTTTTGAATTTTTAGTAGAGACGAGGTTTCACCATGTTGGCCAGGCTGGTCTAGAACTCCTGACCTCTGGCGATCTGCCCACCTCAGCCTCCCAAAGTGCTGAGATTATAGGCGTGAGCCACAGCACCTGGCCTTTAGTCTTATTTTCATACCCTGGATATGTGAGAGCTCAGTCCTGGAGGTCATGCCATGGATTTTTAAATTGCAGTGGGCAAACCCTGCCCTCCTCAGGCCCAGCCATTCCCATTGCTTTCTGACAACTGACTGAGGGTACAGCTTTAAGCCTTCTGATATTCCTAGGCAAAGAGTCTGTGCTTTGACATTTGCATTTATCTCATTATGTTTGATTGGCATATTGAGATCCATAAACTTGTGGTTAATATATTGCCACGGATTCTTAATTAAGCTGGTTGTGCAAAAAATGCATTAGAGTCTCCAGAGAAATGTATCATCTTTGCCAGTCGTTCGCTTTGAATTTGCCTTGCTGCCCCAGTGGCATAGCATTGGTGCTACAGGGAGGGTTGGGGTCTTGACATAACAGCCATAGGCTTCTAAAACCTGGTGCTGCTATTTCAGTTAGGAGTAGGGAGATGGTTACAACAGAAAGGGGAGACAAGCAGAATATCTAAGTTCATATTCCCCATGGGCAAATGAAACCAAAGAACAAAATATGTGACAGGCAAAGCTGCCAGTTGTCATACTCCAAGGAATTACTAAACATTAATATGCTTACTTTCTACTTATTTTTTTCTATTAGTATTTTAATGAAATTGATACTTTAGGAAGCTGAGACAGAAAGATCTTTACTGAATCAAAGTTATTTATAAACACACCCCAGATCCCTGTGTGCTAGAAGCAGTGGTTTTCAGTTTCATTGCGCAAACCAGCACCATCAGCATCACCTTTGAACCTAATAGAAATGCAAATTTTCAAGTCCTACCCCAGAAATATTTAATCAGAAACTTTAAATACAGAGCCCTGGAAGTTTGTGCTTTACTAAGCCTTCCAGGTGATTGTCATGGACAGATAAGTTTGAGAACCACTGCTGTAAAGAAACTACTCAGCTTTTTGAAGGTGGGAACCTTTCAAAGGTGATTGAGTTTCAAAGCAAAGCAAAAACAACTCGTTAACACTGGTGAGCATACTTACTGGCTCACTTTTCCCCATTCTGCCTGCTTGTCTGTCATCGTGTTAGCATCCCCTGCATGAACAATGCCACAAGGACTCCAGTGTTCATCAGATGTCCTCAGGAGTTCCCTTCAGGAATCAGCATTCCTACAGGAGAAGCATGATGCATTCCCCCTCACCCATGATTCTTACCTGCCCAGGAACACCTACCTTTGCCTTCAGCCTTCTTCTTTCTACCCCATGGCCATGAGCCTTAGGAGGAAATGAAGTTTATTAACTCCAGACACTGTGTATTCATCTCTTTCCCACCTTTCCTCCCTGTCCTGTTCAGGATTCCTTCAGGCATCCCTTTATGGCCTGACTTCAGCAGGAAGCTGCTGTTTAAATGTGGGTCATGCAGCGAGTAGTGTGCCGCTGGGAGCTATGCTACTCTGCTTACTTTGTACCCTGTTGATTTCAAATGATCCTACTCTCAATTTTGCTCCAAACCTCTAGGTGATGCTTCCCTGGCACACAATGGCTGAGACAGCTCAACTCTGCCATGCCTTCTGAGAATCTGTTAAATACAGAGAATGGGTATCGGGCTTTAGTCCAAGAAGGATTTAGGAACATTTTCCTTATTTGTCATATACACAAAATATCCCTATGGCATGCACCCCTGCACAGTAATTTCTTTAGTAGGTATTTGGGTACTTGCTGTAACAAATGTATTTAAATCTTTTCGATCTGTGGATTCCTAGGTTGTTTTCCTTTTGTTACTCACTCAGTGTGCCTAACCTTTGCCAAACAACTGCAGAGCTATGTCCTGGCCACAGGTTTTATTTGCTGCCTTTAGTCATTTTCAATTGCTTCATAGAAGAAAATATGAGGGTAGAAGTCAATGGAAAGCAGGTTTAGGTAAGCTCCATTTGGTCTATATATATTGCCAAGAATACAGCATGTACTTGAAGCAAGGAAGGGATTTCTGTTCTGATTTGGAACACTATAAATCAAATAACTAAGGTTCAGCCACCCCCAAGACTGCAGACATGGTTCCCTCCCAATATTTATTGCTAAATGTCAGAACTTACAAATGCCAACTTGAGTATGCTGCCTGCATCTGGAAAATTATTTCTGGTTTGTCAGAAAATCCAGGGGCTGCTTTTGTTTGATGTTAGTGCTGTTCAGTTCTTGTTTCTGGGCTGTTTGAATGACAATCTTCTCATAGCATATCCTGTCAGAAAGGGTGAGAGTCACCTGGAGAAGCTGTAGACCTCATATTGCATGACACTTGTCTCCATAAATGCCAACTGACAAGCATCTCTTCAGAGGTGCCAACATTTAAATATTTCAAAGAAAGAGGTAGTGAGTGAGGAGATGTTTTCACAGCTATCTGGTATTGTTACTTGAGTTGTTACTTTCTGTGAGTGAGAAAATGATGCATTTGATGCCTACTTAGTGAACATCCCCTATGCAACAGATAATCTGATGGGCACAGCAGACACCAACCCTGCCCTCAAGAAGCTTATATCTTTTAGTACCCTTTGGGAATAATAAAGGCAGACTCCTTTTTTAGTCACTTTGATTCTACCCTCTCCTTCCGGGTATCAAAGCAGCTTAACACTGTGCTTGTTGACAAACACACTGAAGTACTCAGAGGTGATAGAGCTTCTCTAAGCAGCTCCACTTTGCACTGAGCTCTATGGGAAGGAATTATATTGTCATAGCAGCACAGCTATTGGCAAGGCACCTAGAACTCTTAATTGATCATGACGAATACAATCACTAAAGTTAAGGATATACTTTTCAGTAGACTAAGACTTTTCTAAAAATTTTATAACAACAGATCATCAATTTAGATTAGAGCAATATAAACATAATGCAGAACCACATATAACCTCCTTCCCCAGAAAAGCATTATACTTTTGTGTAACTGTATAAATATAACCATTTACAAACATGAAATACGAACTATTATAAGTATATGCTTTTGAATCCAGTTTCTTTTTTTTCTGAGAAAAAAGAAACTAGATTCAAAACCATTTTATATTGTTGTATAATATACCATTATTTGGACATGCTATCATTTTTTTAACCATTCTCCTAGATTAGGACATTTAATCTGTTCCTAATTTTCTTTTCTGTTTTTTTCTTGAGACAGAGTCTCGCTCTCTCACCCAGGCTGGAGTGCAGTGGCACCATCTTGGCTTACTGCAACCTCCACCTCCCAGGTTCAAGCGATTCTCCTGCCTCAGCCTCCTGAGCAGCTGGGACTACAGGAGCGTGCCACCAAGCCTGGCTAATTTTTGTATTTTTAGTAGAGACCGGGTTTCATGTTGTCCAGGCTGGTCTCAAACTCCTGACTTCAGGTGATCCACATGCCTCGGCCTCCCAAAGTGCTGGGATTACAGGCGTGAGCCACTGTGCCCGGCCTCTAACTTTCATTAGTTTGAATACCCCTATAACTTACATTCTTCTACATGATCTTTATCTTCGTTCCTTATTATTTCTTTAGGATAATTACCTTGAAGCAGTTAAATACTTAGGTCAAATCTCAAGAAGACTTTTAAGTCTTTTGGTTACACAATGGAAAAATATTTTCTATAAATGTTATATCAATTTATATTTTCATCAGAAATGTTTAAGAGCACCTATGGAGACTAAGATTTTTTATATTTAAATGAAATACTAAAACATCTTGTAAGTCAAAGAATATATAGGTTTTCTAAGCATGCTTCCTTCCAAATGACATTTTTAACATTATTCTTTGTGCATGTATAGAATATATGATATATGAGCTGCACTACAATAAGACAAATGATTTCCAGAACAGTAATTTTGACCTTATAGATGGACTATGAAAGCTATGATTTTAGTCATAGCAATATGTTCCTTGATTCCCCTTCTTTGCTTTTAAAGCACCCTGTTTCTCCTTTGGAGAATAAGGTCTCTGGTCCTTATAATCCCAACAGGCTTTCATTCAAACTACCATACCTTCGTCTACACACAAGAGGTAGAGAATATTACCCAAGGCCGGCCATTTCCAATATGGTCACATGATTCTGCTAAAGCCAATTAGAGTATTTTCTATAGCTTTTCACTGGAGCTGACAGGGACTCCAAAAAATATGTGTCTGGGCTGAGAGAAGCCATCTTGACTGGCACATTGTGAGAGTTCACCTGCAGAATGAGGTCAAATAGGGACAAGTAGAACAGTGAGCGAGTACCCTAATAATAATGTCTGATTTCCAGGATGAGCTACACCTGAAGTTGGCTTCCTTCCTGGAGTTCTAAGTTTCATGAGACAATAATTAATATTTAGTTCAAATTGGCTGTGAATTTTTTTGATACTCTCAAGCAAAAGAACCCATTTGAATAGGCAGCTATAAACTGTTCCATAGAGATTAAGGAGATATAAAATCTTAAGCCAAGTCAGAACTATATTGAGTAAAATGTGGTTCAGGGGGTTGGTGAAAGAATATATAGTATCATTTTGAACAAAACTACTTATCTAAAGAGTGGAACCAATTCTCAGGTTGAAGAAAATGAAAGGCCTTGTAGAAATGTACTCATTAGGTCTTACACACTACATCCATGCTTCTCTATAGATATGAAGTAAGGAAACTCCTACAGATACTATATCACGTTAGTTACTAAAGAGGGAAGGATCAAATGAGTAGAAAGCAACCTTCACTTCACTAAGTTAGCTTAGTTAGATGAAATTAATATATGTATGTTTCTTGTTGCTTGACTACAATCTTCAAAAGTGATTAAAGTAGCCTGCTTCTCTGTAGCATGTTAAATGGGCCTCTTTAGGACATAAATTATATATAGAACTATATAAGGTCAACATGTTTACCCCATTTAGACTCCATTTGATGTTGTGATGCATTCTTTGAAGGTATGCAATAGTTAAAACATCACAGGGTAATGGAAATAGCACTGAACTGAAAGCCAGAAGACCTTGTATAAGTCCAGCCTTTAGCCACAGCTAGTAGTCATGTAACCTTGATCTAATAATTTACCTCTCTGAGTTCCATTTTATTTATTGATACAACAAGAAATTTAAACTTCACAGGCTATAGCACTAACAGTCAAAGATTCATATGTTCAAAATATAACATTTCAAAATTAGGAATTAGTGTTTTCTCTGGTATATTAGTCCATTATCATGCTGCTATGAAGAACTGCCTGAGACTGGACAGTTTATAAAGAAAAGAGGTTTAATTGACTCACAGTTCTGCAGGGCAAAGGAGGCCTCAGGAAATTTACATTCAAGGCGGAAGGAAAAGCAAACACATCCTTCTTCACATGGCAGCAGGAAACAGAAGAATGGGTGCCGAGCAAAGAGAGAAGCCCCTTATAAAACCATCAGATCTTGTGGGAACTCACTCACTATCACAAGAATAGCATGGGGGAAACAGCCCTCATGATTCAGTTACCCTGCACTGGGTCCTTTCCACCACACATGGGGATTATGGAAACTACAATTCAAGATGAGATTTGGGTGGGGACACAGCCAAACCACCATATCATGTGAAAACTATTCTTTCTTCAATCACCACTTTGGTAAATCCCCTGAGCTCTCTAGACAGAAATATGACACATCTAAATACTCAAGATGGTTGAAAGTAAAAACTAGAAAAAGATATTCCAGACAAACACAGGAAACTGGTGTACCTATATTAATAACATTATTTAACATATAAGTATAATTTAACACATTGTGATAAAGTACATGTATTATACCCACTATAGAGATCAAGAAAGAGAATTTCAGGTGGCACAATCAGGCCCCACCTGAAACACACCAAGTGTCTTTAACTGCTCACAGCGTTTTTCCTCCCTCTCTGGAATATGACAGTGACTTTATGGCAATTATGTTCTTACTATACTTTATAAATTCACTGCCGTTTTTTTCAACTTGGTATAAAACAGAGTCATAGTATAATCATTCTTCTGTGATTTTTCTCCTTTAAGTTAACATTATATTTGAAAGATATTACTGGCACCTACAATTTGCATACTTATATTATCACATAATATTTCATGTTTGCCAGTTACTGATCTCTTATCCTTCATCACCCTACCTCTATAGTACTGGAGCTAGACCTTGTACATATTTCTCCTTTGTCAGCTAGCACAATGTTAAACTAGGTCAGTAGAGAGCACTAGAAGAAAGCTGTAAGAAGGGGCTTTTCTTTCTGGTTCCAGTGAGTTTTCTTCTCACTTCTGTGGTTTACAGCAGCCAGCAGCATCAGAAACTCCCAGTGACACACTCTTCAGTGATTTCAGCAGCACCTCAGTGAATGGTTTTCCAGGGTGTTTCAATGCACCCAGCAGGCAGCTTCCTAGTGAGTTTTGGTGTCACCCCCAGAAGATGATTTCCTGTTCCCCAGGTCTGGCCTGTGGCATTTAGCAAATTCTCTTCACAGGCAGCGGGCCACAGCCACACCCTCTCCATGAGATGTGAAGCTCATCCTTGCCAGGGTCCCTCTTCCAAGATTCTTCCTTCCTTGGGTACTTTCTCTCAGCTCAAAGCTGCCCCTATATCTGCTATTTCCAGGTTGGTTACAGTTTACCTCCCTTGGTAAACTATTCCCTGCTACTAGCTAATAATCTCTTAAAATTAGCAATATAGCTTCTGTCCCCTGATGGAATACTGACTTACAAGTATTTTAGAATAGCCAGATATTCATAATTTGTGTAAGTTTTTACAAAAAACCAACTCTTGGTTTTGTTAATCTTTACGATTGTACATTTCTATACCACTAATCTCTGGTGATATAAATATGAATACTGCATCCTTTCTTCTACTTTGCTTGGATTTCTTTTGTTGTCCTTTTCTAACTGCTAAGATAGATGTTTATTTTGTTATTTTTAACCTTTCTTATTTTCTAATATAGGTATTTAAGTCTATAAACCGCTCTGTAAGTACAACTGCAGTTCCATCATGCATTTTCTATATGTAATATTTTGCTATCATTCAGTCAAAAATGTTACTTTCATTTTCATTTCTTTTTAACTCACAACAGTTAATGTCCAAATACTTAACAATTTTCTAGTTCTGCTTTTTATATTGACTTTTAGCTTTTATTTGCCTTTTATCAGATAATAGTCCCTGTATGGTGGCAATTCTTTAAAATTTTTGAGCTTTTATGGTTCAGTGAATGGGCAATTTTTGTTTTATATATTCGAAGCAATGTTAAGTGAAATTTAAGATTTAAATTGGTATATTTTCCTTATTGAAGTAATCCTTTTTACCTCCCTTAATGTCTCTGCCTAAAATCTAATTTGTCTATTGTTATACCTACAAAATATTTCAGTTGGTTAATAATTTCCTACTATATATTTCCTATTTCCACTTTTTCAACTTTTCCTTATCTTTAGGTTTTAGCTGTTTCTCTTTTAAATAATGTGATTGGAATTTTTAAAATTCATTCAGAAAATATTTATATTTTAATTTAACCTTTATGTTATTATTATTTGTATAAATACTGTTATGTTCAGGTTTAAATCTATCATCCATTGGTACTGCTCGGCCAATATTGTTTCTCTTCTTTATTGCTTACTTTTGTATTGCTTGATATTTTTAGCATTTTCCTCTGTTCCATCTGGCTGTGTTCTTTTAGTGGTTATCCTAGCAATTACAACATTCATATAAAACTAAATTAATCAAAACATTTACTGTCCTCTCAGATAACACAAGGGCCTGAGAATATTTAACTCTATCCCTCTTGATTGATATTTTTGATATTTTTTCATATATTTCAATTCAATAATTGTTGACTCTATTAGATATTATTATAAGTATCTTATATAATCAATGTTTATTTGCATTTGCTCACACTATTACCCTTTTTCCCCCTTAATTCCCTTTTGCATTTCACGACTTCCATCTGGGATCACTATCATTCTTCTTAAGCACCTTTAAAATATCCTTCAGTGAGAGACTTCTATTAATAATTTTTTTCAGATTCATTGCTTTGAAAATATCTTTATTTTACTCTTACCTTTGAAAAATATTTTTGATGGGTGTGAAATTCTAGGTGGACAATTTCTCCCTGGAAAATTAGCAATATCATTCTACTTACAGAAACTTCTCCCACTTTTACAGTTGAGTAAAACTTACAGTTTTCAGTACTTCAAGCAGAATTTGGGTTTGGTCTCTTCAAGTTTTTAAAGGTATTTCCTCTTTTTGGTTTGCCATAATTTTGTTATATTATGGCTAGGCATGGATTTTTAAATTTTATTATAGTTGGAATCTTCTGGGTAACTTGATTCTGTAAATTGAAGAATTTCTCACTTCTGGAAGTTTCTTGTCTGGAAGTTTCTCGGCCTTTATGTTTTTGAATATTATCTCTGCCCCTCCTACTGGGGCTCTAATCAAATATTGCAAAGTCCTATAGTGTCCTCTCACCTTTCTCACTCTGTTTTTCTTCTACTTGTCTCTCCAGGTGTTGTTTAAATTATGGCCAATTTACCAGTTTATTCATTCTCAGTTTCTTCATCCTTTCTGCTGAAAAACATTTCCATCGAGTTTTCTTTAATTATTTACCCACAAGCAGATACAGTAATTGAATACACTCAAAACTCACACAGCTTAAATAATTAGCTCCTCATAGCCAGTCTTGCTTCATTTATATCTCATCTAACTTCTCCCATACCCATAAAAGTGGAAGCAATTCCTATTATGTATCATTTTATCTATAAATATTTTAATGTAATTTTCTGAAATAAATAATTTCTTCAAAAATAATTACAATAATATTATCATGAATTAAATTATAAAACTATTTATATCACCAACTATTCAGAATTAGATTTCCAATTGTCTTATAAATATATTTGGCTTTGGTACCTTCTTACTACTTTCCTTCAAATTCTGGAGCACATTGAGCATATTTATAAGAACGCTTTTAAAATCCTTGTCTGCTAATTTCATCATTTCTGTCATTTCAGGGTCTGTTTCTATTAACTGCTTTTTCTCCTAGTTAGTAGGAGTTATTATTTTCTGCTTCCTTGCATGTTTAGTAACTTTTATTACATTCTAAACAGCATAAATTTTACATAATTGAAACTGGATTTTACTGTATTACTTTAGAGTTGTGAGCTATTCTGGCAGGCAATTAGAGCACTTGTGAATCAGCTTGATCTTTTATAGGCCTTGTTTTAGGATTTTGTAGGGCCTGAGTAGATTGGCTTTTACTCTAACCTAAGTTTAGTCCTGCTACTAACATGTGACCCTTTCACAGTCTCCACTTAATATACTCAACATGGTCTCTTCCATCTACTGGAAACGCAAATGATTTCCAGCCTTTGTGAACTCTTAATATTGGTCAATTTACTCTTCCCTAGTAATTGTTCTTTTTATGATCATTGTTATTTGCGCAGTCATTGGGTTTTACCCTATGTTTGTAAAGGTGGATGTTAAGACAAAGCTTCAAGAAAATCATTATGTAGATTTCCACAGCTCTTGCTTGCATAGCTCTTTCTTCCACGCAGAAGTTCTCTTGCAGAATTTGCTTGAAAATTATTTGACTCTTCATGTTGGTAAAATTTCTGAGCTCTGTTTGGGCTTCCAAACTCTGTACCAATTCAGAAACTGCCACAAGACAAACAGCTGTTGTGATAGCATGGCTTACTGTCTTTGTTTCCATTCACTCAGAGCACATCAGCTTGCACTGATGTCTTTTCAACATCTAAGAAAAGTTATTTTGTACTTTTTTCTAGTTTTCTAGTTATTTACAAAGGTAGGGGAAGTCCTGTAGAGGTTAACCTTTCATAATCAGAAGCAGACATCTTCTTTTCTTTCAACATAGAAATCACAGAAGTTTTATAATATTTAAATAATTCTAATATGTGAAATCTGTTTCTGCTGCTATTACCTCTTCTGCTTCTCGCTCATAGTGCCTTGTTTATGCCTTTTTACATTTGGCAGAATGGTAGGCATTGTATTTTTTTTTTATTGCATAGAAACTTCCTAAAGCCCAGGACAAATATGCCCTATACCAGAGACATCTGATGGCACTACCAGCTGGGAAACATCTCAAACCTGGGGACAAAACTAAAGGGGAATATTGGTCTCCTGTCACACTTTTTTAGATATTTTCTCTTTTTTCTTTCTATTTTCCTACTTCACTGCCCCCCAAGGTATATTTTTCATGTTTGGGGAGATAAACAACGACAGCTTTAGTTATAGGTTACCCTCACCTCCTCAGAGTGAGACATTTTAGGTCCTACTTGAATGTGAGAGGAAGTCTTTAAACTATAGACAATTTTTTTTTTTTTTTTTTTTATGGAGTCTTGCTCTGTTGCCAGGCTGGAGTGCAGTGGCATGATCTTGGCTCACTGCAGCCTTTACCTTCCGGATTCAAGCAATTCTCCTGCCTCAGCCTCCTGAGTAGCTGGGACTACAGGTGCACGCCGCCACGCCCAGCTAATTTGTTTGTATTTTTAGTAGAGACAGGGTTTCACCATGTTGGCCAGAATGGTCTTGATCTCCTGACCTCGTGATCCGCCCGCCTTGGTCTCCCAAAGTGCTGGGATTACAGACATGAGCCACCGCGCCTGGCCAAGAAAATCTTTTATGAAACACAAAATCTTGGGTTTTAACTTCTGTTTTTCTTGTTCCAAGAGGTCCAAGAGTCTGTCACGTTTACCCTCAGCATGAAATAAACTAACAAAAAAACAATTTTAGTGCTCTCATAGTCTGTTTATTCTGCTTATTTCTTTAAGTTTTAACTTTTCCAAAATATTTAATATTTGTTATGGCAGTCTCCCATATATATGTGCTCATTCCACTATATCTTACCATTTTTAGCAAGAGGCAGTAAGCCAAATAATCGAACACACCATTCCTACAAAAACTCTTTCAAACTAATTTTCTAAAAAGCTGAAATCATAGAGGATGAGAGGATTGTTTTCTTTCTTCTTGGCTTTGATCCAATGTGAAGCAGTATTCTAGGTGTGACTGCTCTGAAGACAAAACCCTCCTTCATGTGGGCTGTTCTAAAGTCTAGGTTTAGAGAGAGAGAAAGCATTATCAGGTTTATTTGATTGCAGATCTATAGCCATGTTCTTCAATCACATTTTTCTAAATAAAGCTTATACTTGACCTCTAGCTCTCTATTTCCTACATCTGATTTCTCAACTGCTTCCCAAACTTGGAAAAAAATAGTTATTTATCTACCAAACCCTACCCTCCGAAAGAAAAACACAACTATATATATGTAAAAAAAATTTTTCCATTTAATTTCCAGCTAATTTTATATGAGAAATTATGAAGAGATAGGAAAGAAACAACGCAAGAAATCACAAACAAATCCTGCCTCCTAGCTGTGATAATTTAGGTGGGACAGAGGACTAGTTACATCCTCTTCCTCCTCTCGTATCCAGAAAAAAAAATTGACAATCCCAACTACAAAGTCATATGGTGCACCAAAAATGACTCACTGCACTTTGTGGCTTTACAGTTTGTATGTCCTCAAGATAAGTAGGTTACTTTTTAAAAAATTTCTCAAAACAACTAAGGTCATTATACACAGCAGTATCTCCTTCTAGCACTTTTATTCAGTGATTGCTCTAAACCTCACAAGTTAAATACGCATTTGAGGGGCCATTGCATTCTTTTTTTATTTTTACCTTTTTTGGAAAGAAGATAAGAAAAAAAACACTTTAAAAATAACCAAAGGCATCTCAAGAAGGTAAGGTGATAATTAAGTAAAATTATTAATCCTTAAATACATCTAAAATTATTCACCACAAAATTTCTCCTCTCTATGCACCCTTCAAATCATTCTGGTTTTTGGAGCCTGGGACAGGCTGAAACCAGTCTGAATGATAACTCAGTTACCAATCCACTCTACCAGTTATGCTCTACATGACAACATCATATTGGATAAGTGAAGAGTCTGTGTTAAAGTTTAAAAATGTTTAAAAGTCAGAAAAGTAAACAGAATTAGGGCCATTGATAGCTCTATAGGTCATTAAAAGGATTCTTAAAAACCCTATGCTGTCCAAGAGGCAGCCAACATAAAGACTGTAAGATAGGAGAAATATGATCTATAGACCACGTCTTAGTAACAATGCCGGCAGCAGCCACATTCAAAACCATCTGCAGCCAGTTTAGCAAACAATCTGGAATGCCACCAGGAACAAATTAAAATAGTCAGTCCTAGAAGAAATGAAAGCCTAGTATGGGTGAGTGAAATGTTGCTTGCCGGAGAATGCAAAGCCCGTAATCTTACAATATTCTAGAAGTCATAAAAAGAATTTTTCAACACAAACGTTATATGGAGATTGAAAGTTAAATTGAGGGCCATGAAGAGAAACGTGCATGGCAAAACCGCCATGGCAAGGCAATGAACTCGAATCCCAATCCCAGTGGCTTTGCTGACATAAAGTGCAATTCAACCAGGAAGAGAATGTGTTTAACGCTGCTATGATCTGTAAGGGACACTGCTCACCTGGCCAGCGCTGGAAGCACAATAATGTCAAGGACAATCATCTGCTTGAAGCCAGCAACTGAAATAATGCCCCCTGATAATACCTGAAGTGGACTTTGGTATCAGAACTTCACAAAGATAGCACGATTTGCATTTGTTAAGAATGAACATATTATTTAGTAAATTTATGTTGTTTCTTAAATAGTAATTAAAATTAGACGGGAACAAATATAATCTGCTGAATATTCTGATTTGATCATTACACAATGTATACATTTATCGAAATATTACACTGTATCCACAAATATACACAATTATGTTTTAATTAAAAATAAAACTTAAAAAAACAGGAAAGGGTAAATATGATCACTAACATTTAGTAAATGCTTACTTTGTGTCAATAGGGTTCTATGTGCTTTATATAAAGTCTAAGGTAATTCTGACACCATGAAGTGTTATTATTGTCTTGTTTTCTTTCAACTAAGTGCCAGGATATCCTGTATAATTTCTTTTCCTAACCCCTCAGTGATGCTGCTCAGAGAGAAAATACTATGCCCTGTCATTTGCAATAGCTGGAGCAAGCAATTATTAAGGATGATTGTAAGAATTCTAGCATTGCAGGGAAATGTGTAGAAACTGATGGAATCAAATATCTTGATGACATAACTTTTCTGATGAAGTAATGTCATCATCTCCATTTTACACAAAATGTAAAGAATGCTAAGGCACCATGAAATTTAGTAGCTTATACTTTGCTATTGTAATAGAGACATAATGTGAACTCCACTGCTTTAAAATCATATACAAATCTAACAGAGTGGTTCTGGATTTAGTGCCAGAATCCTAGTCCCAACTCACTCTGGCAGTGATGAAACCCTCCAGTAGGAGTGGCTGATAGAATTCATCTATCCTGAGCTTGCCTTGGTCTCCTTCTGAGTTCATCAAATTCTGTACTAGTCACTGAATAACTCTTGAGTCAACTCTATTCCAAGCCCTCCTCCCTCTTTTGCCACCCCCCATTATTTGTTGTATCTGCAGAAACTAGGGATGCATTTCACTATATACCTGAAATTTTTCACAATTTTTAAGTTTTAAGGATAGAGTCTTCTGCAGAAGAATTTAACATCTCCCACTGATTTCTGCAATACCAGAACCCCCATGCTCATTCTCAGAAGTTGCATCCCCCAATGGCTTGCAGAGTACAGCCTTTTCTTTCATGGCAATGCCACTGGGAAATTAACAAAAGAAGTTACAGGATAAATGTAGCCCAAATAACTTTCTGGTTGAGCTCAACTTCTCCAAGACTTAGCTCATGGCATTGACTTTTTTAGCATTCTACAGGTACTTTCTGTGTTTTCATAAAGTTTATCTCCCTATACTGTAGGAGTTACAAGTGTTGACCAGTGGCCCCATCCTGCTATTTGACATTTTATTTGCACTGTTTGTTGGCTTTACTTGTAAGCCCCAAAAGAATATCAACTGTGAATCATGGTATATTTGGAAGTTACTTAAACCACTTCAGAACACCCATCCGAGCACGGATGGGGAGAGACACACTAACTACAAAATAGTGGTATTTGATTATACTGCACAGGAACCACTGGAAAGGTTAGATGAATATTTAAAGGTTTTTGTTTGTTTTATCATGATTCTCTGAAGAGGAACAGTAACAGGAATAACTCATTGCAAGGAAAAGAGGTTTTTAATGTGAATTTTGAGAATGATTCAAAAGTCAGATAGGATTTAGATATTTTTAAGAAGGATGGGTGCTTTTTAGCTTTGCTCTAAAATACATTTTAAAAGATTGTTTTCAATTTTGAAGAGTACTATTAGAGCTGCATTTTGAGGGGTGGTCTAATTTATGCACACAGAAGGACATTCTGATATTCTCAAAATTTAAGGAATCAAATTTATATAGAGAGATGTTATTAGTGATAATGATAGCAATTTATCTTTGGAATAAAGTTTACAACCGACGTAAAGTTATTTTTTGTCTTTATTGCCTCTTTACACATCAGGCATAATATGAATTAGAATTAAGTGCTTTAAAAGCTAATTCAACAAAATGCCTTTGATGATTATTCCATTTAAACTGAATACCAACTGCTGGTTTTCCAATTTATACAAAATTTCATAGCAAAGGAAGAAACTCAGGAATTAGGCTGAAATATACTGAAGAATAAGGGTTTATGCCATATATTCAAAGCTTAAGGTTTCCTAGGCACATCGTGGATTCTTTACATTCAGTATTTATTTAATTGACTCTATCCTATTAACAGCCCTTTAGAGATGAGGACTTTAACTATGGTAGCCAATAGGCTCATGAAGTTACCATGATAAAGCATAAAGGTAGGTTGAATCCATAAATGTTCAAGTTAGTGTTTCAGGATCCAAGATTCTAGCATAATCCATAGATGACATTGTTGTGGGTACAGGGGATATCTAAATATTTATTTCAGTAACTTAAGTATTCACTTTCATAAAGATGTGAAATTGTATATATAAATACACACTCATAGATTATATATCTATATATATATAAGTGTAAAGGCACACGTATACACTCTGAAAACAACTGACATTTATATTAATCATACACAAAGTTGGGTAAATTTGAAGAAATAAAAAAATCCTTCCCATAACCCAATAATTTCACTTCTAGCTATGTACCTAAAAGAAATAAAAACATATGTCCACACAAAATTGCATATGCGTGTTCATAGCAGCATTGTGTTTAATAGCCCAAAAGTGGAAATAATCCAACTGTATATCAATAGGAAAGAATAAATGAAATATAGTATGTTCATACAATAGAATATTACTTGGCAATAAAACATAATGAAGTATTAATACATGCCACAATATAAATGAACAATAAAAACTTTCAGATAAGTGAAGAAGCTAGTTTGAAAAGACATACTATGTGTTTCCATCTATATAAAATGTCTAGAATAGGCAAATCCATACTGACAGAAAGTAGGATAGTGACTCTAGGCACTAGGGAATACACAGTGATTGCTATTGGGTATTGGGGGTGATAAAACCACCTAAAATCAAAAAGTGACGATGATTGCATAACTATGAATATATCAAAGACCTCTGTATTGTCTACTTTAAAAACGCAATTTTATGGCATATGAATTTTATCTCAATAAAGCTATTATTAAAATATATAATGATCACATGTAGACTAATATTACAAATTTGTGAATTCATGAGAACAAAGTACATCATCAAGAGAAAACCATTGGCTAGAGACATATGACAAATAAGATTAGGGCAACAAGAGCAAAACTACTTCTCAAATAAATAAATAAATAAAATTGTGATGCATATCCAGTCTAGAGGTTATTAACTTTTAAGGATAGATAACTGCTTTTCAAAAGAGAAAATATCATGTGACCAAATAAGCTGTCATGGCAAATGATTGCAAATCTAGCTGAAATTTGATGGTCATTCTAGCAAGCAATTTAAAAATAGTATTATTATATTCATTAAACATGACCAGCCTTTCATGGTAAATGAAGAGAAATTCACTCCATCCAAAAATTCATTAGTTTTTTTTCCTATAGGTAAGTATATTTCAAAGAGGCACACATAAAATTTTTTGTGACTCTTGAAAAAGTCATGATGCACAAGAAGGGAATTGATATTTAGGTGGTATCACTAGTTTTAAAAATAATAAAATTGTCTGTAAGTACCTGGTGAATAGCCTTTTCCTCTAGCTTCTTAGTGCCTTCTCATCTTGTGGACCTAGAACTTACCTTGAGACCCCAACCTTAGACCTCTGTATAAAGTAACTATAGGGTTCAAAACATGGTGTCCACATAATGTCAATTGTAAGTATTCTAAATATAGCCCCTGATAGATGGAACCTGAAGACATTAAGCTAAGTGAAATAAGCCAGTCACAAAAGGATAAATATTGTATAATTCCACTTGTAGCAGGTATCTACAGTAGTCAAATTCATAGAGACAGAACACAGAAGCATGATGTATTAGTCCATTCTTGTATTGCTATAAAGAACTACCTGAGACTGAGTAATTTATGAAGAAAAGAGGTGTAATTGACTCACAATTCTTTAGGCTCTACAGGAGGCATAGCTAGAGAGGCCTTAGGAAACTTACAATCATGGCAGAAGGCATAAGGGAAGCAGGCACATATTCACATGGCCAGTAGGAGAGACAGGGAGCGAAGAGAGAGGTGCTACATACTTTCAAACAATAAGATCTCATGAAAACTCTACCACAAAAACAGCAAGGGGGAAGTCTGCCCCCATGATTTAATCATCTCTCACCAGTCCCCTCTCTAATACTGAAGATTACAATTCAACATGAGATTTGGATGGAGACATAGAGCCAGACCATATCAGGTGGTCACCAGTGTTTGAGTGAACAGAGAATGCGGAGTTATTTAATGGGTATAGAGTTTCACTTAAGGAAAATGAAAACATTCTGGAGATGTCTGGTGGTGATAGTTGCACAATATTGTCAATGTATTTAATACCACAGAACTGCACACTTAAAAATGATTAAAATTGTAAATTTTATGTTATGTATATTTTATTACAATAAAACACATTTTAGACTGGGTGCGGTGACTCACACCTGTAATACCAGCACTTTGGGAGGCTGAGGCAGGTGAATCACGAGGTCAGGAGATAGAGACCATGCTGGCTAACACAGTGAAACCCCATCTCTACTAAAAATACAAAAACTTAGCCAGGCATGGTGGCAGGCACCTGTGGTCCCAGCTGCTTGGGAGGCTGAGACAGGAGAATGGCGTGAACCCGGGAGGCAGAGCTTGCAGTGAGCCGAGATTGCGCCACTGTACTCCAGCCTGGGCAACAGAGTGAGATTCCGTCTCCAAAAAAACCACACACACATTTTAAAGTAGGTAACAAGCACAGAACTTGCTAACTCAAAGACAGCACTGAAAATATTTAAACTATCCATTTTAAATATGTAAAACCCTAAGTTCAAGAAGCATCTTGATAAACAAGCTTGTGATAGGTCCATAACTAGTCACTTAGGAGAACTAAGAAGAGTTGAAGCTTTAGGCAGCACTCGGAAGTTGATATCCTACAAGATCCTGTATTCGTCTGTTAAGGCTACCGTAACAGAATACCACATACTGGGAACCTTCAACAACAGAAATGTATTTTCTCATAGTTCTGGAGGCTGGAAGTCCAACATCAAGATGTCAGAGACTTGGTTTCTGGTGAGGACTTTCTTCTGGCTTGCAGAGGGCTGCCTTTGTGTTGTTTGCTCACGTGACCTGTCCTCTATGCGTGCACATTCCTGGTATTGCTCCTTTTCTTATAGAGATGTCTGTCCTATTGAATAGCATCCTTGCCTTATACCCTCACTTAACCTTACCTCTTTAAAGGCCCCATCTCCAAATACATTGAGAGTTAGGGCTTCAGCACATGAATTTGGGCAGAAGAATACAACTCGATCTATAACAGATCCCTATGTACTTTTACAGACCACTCCACAGTGCTATCATCAAAGGCAAATTGCTGACCAAATTCTAAAAATTCTTTTATGATCAATCTTATGACATTCTTATTTGATAATAAAGCAGTAATGATTGTCTTGTGAACTGAATGGAAATTTTAAAGATAGCAAATTATTTGAAAATGTAGTATATAGTTGTTCTCTGGGGGAAAAGTGTAAGCTCAATTATTAAACAAGGAAGCACAGAGCACTACACCTTTGCCTAGTATCACATCCATCAGACCAGATAAGTGCATCTTCATCCACCATTTGATACATTAGAAATGAAATTGTTATAATAGAACATCAATGTAGACTGCTTTGAAACTAAATTTCAATAAATGTCTTGGCTGCTCCTATGATTCCAACTTACAATGTAATAACATTATGTGTGATCCACATTCTATCCCTCTCATATTCTCTCTTAATTAAAGTTTAAGAAGATTTGATTAGATAGACAAAACAAAAGCTTCTTCAAACCCATAGACTCCATACTTCAAGCATTTTTTGAGTCTTTGCCAGTATTAAATTGTCCAACTTTCAAAAAGCGGTAGGTTGCTAGCTTCCTGGTCATATTGTGGCTCATCTGAACCACCTAGATCTGAGATTAATAGAAACTGACTTGCTCTTGTCACTTAGGATCTGTCCAGTTTTTTCAGTTCGTTTTATTTTATTTTACTTTTTATTTATTTATTTTTTGAGACAGAGTCTCACTTTGTTACCCAGCCTGGAGTGTAATGGCATGATCTCAGTTCACTGCAACCTTCACCTCCTGGGTTCAAGTGATTGGCCTCACCCTTCCAAGACTACAGGTGTGTGCCACCATGCCTGGCTAATTTTTGTATTTTTAGTAGAGATGGGGTTTCACCCTGTTGGCCAGGTTGGTCTTGAACTCCTGAACTCAGGTGATCCATCCACCCTCGGCCTCCCAAAGTACTGGGATTACAGGTGTGAGTCACCGCACCTGGCTCAGTTCATTTTAAATATTTTAAAACCCTAAACTCATATATATCTTATCCGTCATTATAATATCCTAAAAAAGAGGATTTGCCAGTTGAGGTTAATAATTTATATTAAGAAAGCAAAGTTTCTGAATTTACTTATAGGAAGAAACACAATATAGAAAATACTACATTGTCTAATTTCCTTCTCACTACTGCAGCAAACAAAATATTTCTCTCTAAAAGGTGAAGATTTTAGTGAAAATTTTAGAATCTTTTCTAGTGTTTATCTTATTTTATATGTGTATATTTTACAAAGATAAATACTACCACAAGTAAAACATCTTTTTTTATCAAATTTTAGAGTATTGATAACAGATGTCTGCTGATCAAATAGCTGATTTATCTGGTTTCTAAGAAATTAATTGAGCCATCTGGAAAGTTCTCTTACCTCAGAGAAATACCTAGTAATATATGTATATTTCAATGGCAGGCAAATTAAAGGTACTCAGTAGATAATAATAATCATAAAATAATTATTGCTGCATCATTTATTGTTTTGTGATTAATATTCAAGTAAAAATGAGGTGTTCATATAAAATTGATGCAATTCCTGTCCTGAATCAAAAATAATTTAACCCATAATTATTGAATGCCTACAATGTGCAAATCTCAATAAGCACCTCTGAGGAAAAGTTAGTGCATCAAATAATACTTTTAGAAGGGTTAATACCAAAATAAGACTTCTTTTTTTGTTTACTGATTCTTTGGAACTTTTTTTTCTCTCATAAAACTTAAATCCAATTTGCATAACTTGCAAGCGTAATATTTTGAGAGGGTTTTTTGTTCCCTCCAGTGCCCCATAACCAGCACCAAAACCAAATTACTACTGCTATCTCTTTCTTTCTTATTTGGTTCTATCACTGCTGAAAAATATTAAAGACAAAAAGAAATCTGTTCTAAGTTTCTCCAGGAATGTTCTTAAATTTGTCTCACTATTCCTCATCTACCCCTTTTGAGCTTACTGAAAGTGAAAAATAGAAATGGTTGGCCAAAGGCAAGAATATCAAGTTAGGAAGAAGTTGTGCTCAGTTAACTCTTTTTAGCTTATTAGCATTTTACATACATCAGAAGAGGGAGGAGGAAGAGGGAAAGGCAATAAGAGGGAAAGAAAAAGTCTACCTCCTCTGAGCTGTGGTGTCTAGTTTAAAAGAGTCAGCTCTGTTATAGCTCTTCTTTGAAAAATTGCAGTTGGAGATAAGGAAAATCAAAACATCTCCATTCAACATTATGTTTTGTAAAGGATTTCCCCCAAAGATTTTCAGCTTTCATATAGGAAAGAATCAGAGTTCATTGACTCAGATAAACATCTTTGCCTATAGGATTAAAATCAGATGGACTTAGCCCTTTTTCTTGGTTGAAAACCTCAAAAGATTAGAGAAGCGATGTGGTGGTTGACTACTGATGAGATCAAGTGCTGTTTGAGTCCGAGTTTTCCTGCAGTCAATGAAGAAGATATTCTATTATACTTCCATCAAATTTAGCACTGTATTGTATTATTATGCCAAAAAATATCTTCAGATGTGCTAAAAATACAAGAATATTGTTATTGGAATTAAAATGTACCATCTATAATTATTTGATCCCAATCTAGTTGGCTAGACTTATACACATATATTTATCATTTTCAAGTATGGTAAAATAGTGTTAAATCCTGACTTTTCGACCAGGCATGGATATTTTGCTCCATAATGAGGACTCCAGCTTCTGCATAATACCTTTATCATCAAGGTCAGAGGAAACAAGAATGGACTCGGGTTGCAGTCCCTCATATAAGTGGAATTATGTAGTATTAGTCTTTTTGTTACTGGCTTATTGCACTTAGCATAATGTCTTCAAGGTTTATCCATGTTGTAGCATATAAAGGATTTCCTTCTTTTTTTTTTTTTTTTTTTTTTTTTTTTGAGACGGAGTCTTGCTCTGTTGCTCAGGCTAGATAGAGTACAGTGGTGCGATCTCGGTTCACTGCAAGCTCCGCCTCCTGGTTCACGTCATTCTCCTGGCTCAGCCTTCGGAGTAGCTGAGACTACAGGTGCCCGCCATCACGCCTGGTTAATTTTTGTGTTTTTAGTACAGACGGGGTTTCACCGTGTTAGCCAGGATGGTCTCGATCTCCTGACCTTGTGATCCGCCCACCTCGGCCTCCCAAAGTGCTGGGATTACAGGTGTGAGCCACCGGGCCTGGCCAGGATTTCCTTCTTTTTTAAAGCTGAATAGTATTACATGGGGTGTATGTGATATATGTATGTGATATATGTTATATATGTGAGATATATATGTGATATATATAACATGATATATATATATCACTTTTTTTTATCCTTCACCTGTTGATGAACATTTAGGTTGCTACCATCTAGGTTGCTTCTTGGCTACTGTGAATAATGCTGCCATGAACACGGGTGTGCAAATATCTGTATGAGATCCTGTTTTTGATTCTTTTGGATATATTCTCAAAAGTGGAATTTCTGGATCATATAGTAATTCTGTTTTTAATTTCTCGGGAATCACCACACTGTTTTCCACAGTAACTTCACCATTTTATTATACATTTCCACCAATAGTACACAAGGATTCAATTTTCTCTACATCTTCACTAACACTTATTATTTTTCATTTTTGTTTTTTTTTAAAATAGCGTCTATCATAACAACTATTAGTTGATATCTTATTGTGGACTTGATTTGCATTTCCCTAATGATTAGAGATGCTGGTCATATTTTCATATGCTTTTTGGCCTTTTATATACCTTCTTTTAAGAAATGTCTATTCAAGTCCATTTGTCATTTGTCCATTTTTCTTTCCTTTTTTTTTTTTTTTTTTTTTTTTGAGATGAAGTCTCACTCTTGACCCGAGGCTGGAGTGCAATGGTGCGATCTCGGCTCACTGCAACCTCCGCCTCCTGGGTTCAAGTGATTCTCCTGCCTCAGCCTCCCTAGTAGCTGGGATTACAGGTGTGTACCACCACGCCCAGATAATTTTTTGTATTTTAAGTAGAGACAGGGTTTCACCATGTTGGCCAGGCTGGTCTTGAACTCCTGACCTCAGGTGATCCACCCACCTTGGCCTCCCAAAGTGCTGGGATTACAGGCATGAGCCACCACGCCCATCCATTTGTCCATTTTTCAATCAGACTGTCTGTTTATTGTTGAGTTGTGGGAGTTCTTTATACATTCCGGTTGTTAACCCCGTATCAGATATATGGTTTGCAAATATATTCTCTCATTTCATAGGTTGCCATTTTACTGTGTTGATTATTTCCTTTGCTGTGCAGAAGTTTTAAAATTTGATATAGTTCAGTTTATCTATTTTTTACTTTATCCTCTATGCTTTTGGTGTCATCTCTAAGAAATTATTGCCTAGAGCAATATCATAAAAGTATTTCCTTTATGTGTTTTTCTAGGAGTTGTATAGTTTCAAGTCCTGTATTTAGGTATTTAATTCATTTTCAGTTAATTTTTGTATATGGGGCAGATAGGGATTTGAATCCATTCTTTTGCATGAGGCTATCTAGTTTGCCCAACAACATTTATGGATGAGATCATTTTTTCCCCATTGTGTAGCCTTACAATCTTTTTTCAACAATCATTTGACCATATATACAAGGGTTTATTTCTGGACTATTTATTTTATTTCATTGGTCTATATATCTGACTTTATGCCAGTACCACACTGTTTTGACTGTATCATTGCAGTACAATAACATAACCTATAGAAATGATAGTGACAGAACAAGAACTTTGTAGTCTCCTAACATTGTCCAGGAGAATGAGACCTGCTTTTATGAGACTAAAAATTATAGGTCTCTGTATAGAATTTTATAGTGTAAGACAAAAAGATCAAAACAGTCCTCAAAAATATTGGCTTCCACTTTTTCAGATTCTTTGCTCCCCGTGCACCATTCTGAATATAATTTGACATTACATATAGGTTATGCTATTATAAAAGAGAATGTACTAACCAAAAGGTGAAACTCCTAATCTCCCTGTTTGTTAGCTTTCTCATTGTAAATTAACTAATACAGTATGTTAGCATTTTTTTTTTTTTTGAGACAGAGTCTCACTCTGTCACCCAGGCTGGAGTGCAGTGCCACGATCTCAGCTCACTGCAACCTCCACCTCCCAGGTTCAAGCGATTCTCCTTCCTCAGCCTCCCAAATAGCTGGGATTACAGGTGCCTGGCACCATGCCTTGTTAATTTTGTATTTTTAGTAGAGACAGGGTTTCACCATGTGGGCCAGGCTAGCCTCAAACTCCCAACCTCAGATGATCCACCAGCCTCGGCCTCCCAAACTGCTGAGATTACAGGCATGAGCAACTGTGCCCGGCCTATATTAGCATTCTGGTTAATGTATTATCTCATGAGTTTGTCTTCCTGCATCACATTATCTTGGGATACACTGACAAATGGAACTCCTAGATTTACAAACCCAAAATCCAGATAATAGTTTCCTTATCAATTTACTGCTTTGGGAAACTCTCTCTTTGCAGTGACCTGTGAGCTCCTTGAGAGTGTCCGTCTTTCCTTTAGCTAACTTAGTTACTTCTCAGTCAGTGTTTATTAAATGAATGAATGAGTGAATGAGTGGTCAGTCATCACCTTTAAATGATCATCCTATAGTCTGATTAGACAACATGAATTATATTTGGAAGTTCTGCAACTTCTTTGAAGGAGGAATTATTTGAACCGAGAGAGTATAATGAAATGAGGTATAAATAATATTAATCTTTTTATTGTCTTGAAACATTTTCCTAGCATCTTGCTTACTCTATGAAGACAATTCTCACAATAACTTAGGCTTTGATATTGGTATGATTTGGCTCTGTCCCCACCCAATCTCATCTTGAATTATGGTTCCCATAATCTCCATGGGAGGAACCCGGTGGGAGGTAATTGAATCACCGGGGCAGTTCACCCCATGCTGTTTTCGTGATAGTGAGTAAGTTCTCATGAGATCTGATGGTTTTATAAAGGGCTTCCCCCTTAGCTCGATTTTCGTTCTTTGTCCTGCCGCCCTGTGAAGAGGTGTCTTCCACCAAAATTGTTAGTTTCCTGAGACCTCGCTAGCCGTGCACTACTGTGAGTCAATGAAACCTCTTTCCTTTATGTGTTACCCAGTCTCCGGTATTTCCTCATAGCAGCGTGAGAATAGACTAATATAGATACTGTTGCCTTGCTACATTGATCTGAGAGGGAAGGCACTGAAGCAGAAGATAGTTATAGCTATTATTGTAGGCTACGATGACACCCTCTTGAAGTGCTATTGACTCTAATCCCCCATAGGTTGTTGAAGAGAGTGATGAATTGATGGGTTAGGCATATGAGGAAAAGATGTTTACCTAAGATTGAATATTGTGGGGATTGATTGATTTCCAGACAATAAAATAGCTCACTCTTATCATTTTCCTCCATCACAAATAATATTGATTACTAATTGTTCAAAATGTCTTCCCAACTACTACCTTGAATTTTCAATATATTTCAGAGTAATATCAAGTTACATTTTTGAGTAGCTAAAATAATAACCCACTTATTGAGTAAGCTTCCTTAGGTATCATGACCATAGGCAAGAGAATTTTTAATTTAACTTTTAAAAGTAACAATAGAAAACAGTGGCTTTATGGTGATAAAATCTATTTAATATACTCAATTTTTACATTTTTAATACAAAACTAGTGTTAACTAGGATTATGAATGCATTTTCCAACTCTTTAGAAAAAATTTCAAATGCACACACATTTTAGAAACCTTGGTCAACTTGAATTGAATGAAGTATGTTTATTAGACTATCTAAATTTCTCTGTTTTAGTGTATGAAAACTAAGTTGGTGCAGCTGAATTAATCACAAATTCAAGCTAATTCTTTTTGCATCCTTATTAAACAGGCTAGAGTTTCTGTTTTATGAATGTAAACAGAGAAAGGTCAACAATTTCGCTAGGGGCAAGTTCCAGGGCATGGGAATTAAGTGAAAAGTCATCCTTCATTCCCTTGCTGAACTGAAAACAGCCTCAGTCCTCAATTCTGAGTTTTAGATAATGTAGAATGTGCTGTATTCACAAAGCATATTGTTTCTGAGCAGCAATGAAGGTCATTCATTACAGCATTGTCAGCCGACTCTGCAATGATTCTTTGATTAGTGAAAAGTGCTTTTGCATGTTATGCCTTAGGATGTTTCTTTACTGGTTGTTTTTGTTTTGGGTTTTTTTGTTTGTTTGCTTGTTTGTTTCCTCCAAAAGAATTTTGTGGATTGTGTTCACTCCATGAGAATTTTTGGCAAGAGATTTGCTACATAATGTGCCAAAGGTGGTCCACAATAAAGCATAAAGCTTAAATTAATATACAACGTTTGTGTGTTTCTCTATGGGAGAACTGTTATATTCCTTTAGGAGCCTTCATAAAAGACAGCAGAGTAAGTTGTATAGAGCTCTTATTCACTCTTAACTTTTAGGCTGGGCGCGGTGGCTCACGCCTGTAATCCCAGCACTTTGGGAGGCCAAGGCGGGCGGATCACGAGGTCAGGAGATCGAGACCACGGTGAAACCCCGCCTCTACTAAAAAATACCAAAAAAAAAAAAATTAGCCGGGCGTAGTGGCGGGCGCCTGTAGTTCCAGCTACTCTGGAGGCTGAGGCAGGAGAATGGCGTGAACCCGGGAGGCGGAGCTTTCAGTGAGCCGAGATTGCGCCACTGCACTCCAGCCTGGGTGACAGAGCGAGACACCGTCTCAAAAAAGAAAAAAAAAAATTAAGAATGTAACCATTTTGGAAAAAAGTTGCAAGACAGTGGGTGAGTTTGTTATATTTTAAACTTAAACCACTGAAAGCACAATATACGACCCATCCTGCTCTCTAACATACAACAAAACACCAGTTATTTCTTTTTTCTTGCAAGGAACACAGGGCTTCATAGGATCAGACAAAAGGATTTCAAGTGAAGGCACTCCTTAGCTCCAAATCTGTGCAGTAGCTTTAGACGATATGTTTCATTGGATCAAATAATTAAGTGTGGCAAATAAGAAATACTCTCTGCCTCTTGAACTAGGTTGTGATTGATATCCTTCTAATTTCTAAAATTTGGTGTTTGTACTCAATTTTCTGATATTCCAGTTATTTAGCAGATTCCGGGATGGAGATACAATACCTAAGGTCTTCTAGGGCATGTGAAGCCCAGGGTTCTCACTTGTTCATTAATTTATTTGGTCAACCATTGAACCAAAATTTATTGACCCCTTCTTCAAGCTAGTCACCATGCTAGATATTTGAGGTAGGGCTATGGATACAGAAAACAAGCCAGAAATTGTTCCTATCCTCTTGAAGCTTATAAATTAACAGGTTAACAATGAGAAGACATAGACACAGGGAGGGGAACAACACACACTGGGGCCTGTTGTGGGGCAGGGGAAGGTAGAGCATCAGGATAAATAGCTAATCCATGTGGGACTTAATACCTAGGTGATGGGTTGATAGGTGCAGCAAACCACTATGGCACATGATGCTCTTCCAGATCCCAGAATAGTTTCCACAATTGAAACAAAGACTTTAACCCTTCTCTAAATAAATCTTGTGGATCCCTGAGTATTTACTATCCCCAACTATTACATGAAGCCAATAATCCAAAAGAAGTTAGGTCCTGTTCTTTCCCCAGCTTCTTAAAGATTATTGCTAACCTTTCAGCTTACAGCAGCAGCAGCAGCAGCAGCAGCAGCAAACAGCTATTGGCCCCTTGTGATGGAATTGTCACTGATGGGATATAGAAACAGAAACCATCACTTCTCTCCTAGAGCGGCTTATAGCTGAGCTGTCCCTGCAGTGTCACCTACCATTGTTCTTGCTTTATGCCCTCTCACATACTGAGGTCTAGAGCTTATGAATGCTCTAGCTGCCACTCCCACTAGGGTCTTATAGTTCAACAGATTACTGGAATTTAGACTCTTTATCCCAGGTTTCTACTTTAGGGACGTATCTGAACTCAGAAATTTTAGCAGTCAGATTGGCAATAGAGAATACATGAACTCATGTGCAACTGGCTGACAGTGATCCCTGCAGGTCTCATATTAAGACACTTGGGTTATTGATTCACTTGTCAGGGGTTTTAGGAGTGGCACACTAGGCTGAGGGTATGTCATCTGTATCACCCTTCTACCAAAGGCAAGTCTGAAGTACTTACTTATTCAGTGTCTACCAAGAGCCAGGCTCAGTGCTAAGAATTCAACATTAGTACTAATTTCCGTAAACAAATTTCTCTACAGGACAGGTATAGAAAAGCTTTTGTTGCCCAAGGAAATGAATCTAAGATTCCAACCTGCTTCAGCTTTCTGACTGTGGCTCTAATTCCCTAATGGGTCAGATCGGCTACCCTGAAACCAACTCATTTGGCTGGGACTTGTCTAATCTGCCTGGTTCTTGTCTAATCTTCCTGGTTCTTACCAGTTCCCTAGTTCAAGACTGAATACTGTTCCGCAATATTCCAAGACATTCTCAAAGACCCTACTTTCATTAGTACAGACTCTATGAGCCCTGTTGCTGTAGTTTACCTGGCTGAAAATATCACTATCACCTGGAAACCACTGCTGACTCCACCCAACTGCTCTAACTCCTTGAATGATGATGATGTGAATAATATTGATGAGATCCATCAGTTTTGAACTCCTGTTACATATCAGACTATATACTTGGATCTTTAAATTTAGCAGGTAATTTATTCCTTACAGAAATTATATGATATGAGCATTGTCATCTCTAGTTTACAAATGAGGAAAATGAGACTCAGAAAGATTAAGCCATTTGCTCATGGTCTATGACTAGAAACTCAGTTTAGCTTACCCAAAGTCTATTTTCTCACCTATAGGAAATATTGTGATATAGGTCTCCATTGAGGGAATTGGCTTCTCTGATTTAGGGTAAACTATCAACCCAGTTCTCCTGGGTCTCTGACAGTTTTTAACTGAGACATGCATCCTGGGAAACCTCTTATTCTCACAAAAACCGGGAGTGTTGGCCACTCTTTCCATGTCAGAAGCCTTATCTCTGGCCCCTTCTCTCTTTGTGGTACAACATGGCCAGAAGTGGAGCAGTCCCAGTGTAGCAATGGACCTCCCTGGTGTAACCTAGGAAAGATTAGAGGCTTCTAGCCCTCCAATCTCAAGAGTTATACAATTTTGAGACTACTTTCAGAAATGAACTTTAGGCTGCCTCAGTAAGAAAATAGAGAAGTATTGGGAAGCAACGTCCATTTACTTCCTTTTTTATTTCTTTGCACTGTTGATTTGTTTCTTTAGTAATGAACAGAAGAGAATGCAATATTCAGAGGAGCACTAGTTGTCACTCTTGTCAGCCTTCACATCTGAATCAGTTCTTGATGAAATGGCCCACCTTACCTTTCCTAGCCCTTGTTTTGCACCCTGCAAGGAAAGGTTTCTGGAATGCTTTACCATGGATGCCATCTACACTACAGCTTCAGAGCTCACCTGCTCCTGGTAGTGTTCAGGGATCGATGTGTCATCTGGTTGGCAGCAGAGCTTTTTCCAGAAAACAATGAAAGCTTAAGCCTCAGAGTCCCTCACCTACCTGAGTCTTTTCAAAGTCCCAGAGAAAGATTTCAACAATGTGTTCACATGACAGAACATTTCTTTTTTTAAGATTTATAAAAGTAAGACATTTTAACCTCAGTCGATTAAGACTGGTGTCTCCTTCTAGACCTACTACTCTTCCATCATGCTTCATCTTCAGTGCTTGGCTTTAGCAAAGGTCTGGCTATCTTTTGGGATCTGGCGAAGGAGCCTAAGTTGAAAATGTGCCATATTATGTAAAATTTGGAAGGGTGTTTTGGAAAGTTTCAATAAAACAAATAGAAATTATAGATAGCTTATTTGGCTTTATATTTCATCTCTTTCAAGATTTATATATTAATCAAATTTTTAAAACAGATAAAAGTTAATGGAGTCAAAAATATAGGCAAGGAAATCAAGAAGAAATTATGCTGCAATGAGAAATAAATTGTAGCAAAACAAAAACTTACATACTATCAAAAGCAGTAATTCCTTATACAAAAAGATTATTTCAAAATGGAAATCATGAATAGGTATTTGGTTTGTTTGAGAATCCCATTTATGAAAAAGAGCAAGTCACATTAAAACACTGGAAAAAAAGGATTTAAATTACCTGTTAATTTGCCAAACATGAATAGAGACAATGATGATAAAATAATTACTACACCAAAGACATTGACAAACTGGTTAATACCATTTGTCAATTCAAAGATCATTGAAGAGCAGTCATTGCACAAGAAAACTTGAAATGCTCTGAAATAGCCAAGCTAATTACATGGAAGAAATTTTAATGGAGGTTTTCACAATTTTGACAAGCATCTTAAGTGTTCATATGATATTACAAATGCCAAATTAGGAATCTAAAAGATTTTCAAAATTACCAATAAAAAATACAAATTTATACAGCCATGCTAAAGGAAATAGTTTTTTTTAATTTTCCTTTTAACAAATGTTATATAATTGTTATATGAAGAAGTGAACAAAGAGTATGCAGGGAAAAAAAACATGTTTCTAAAAATAGTATGGAAGTGAATCTAGAAGTTAATTCATTAAAAATAATTATTTTTCTGAATTTGGGGGCATTTGTGATACTTGTCAGCTTTTTGAAATATAATTTATTTAACATTTTCTTCATTCTAAATATTTATTTTGCTACATAATTTCATAATCTCTTTCTGACTTAAAGAGGGTATTCTCAATAGTCTAAGCTCCAGATCTCAAAGAGCCTAGACCTGCTTTTCCCTTACTCAAATTGTAAGGGAAAGTATTCACTTACTGAGCTCAGTAAATTCAATCAACCAGGCTGGCCCGGGGTACCACTGTGTGCACAGTCAGAATTTATCTCATATCATTAAAACTCCTACTTCCTATTTTAGGCAGTAACTTGTAATTGAAGTGCTCAGAACTTTCCTGTTTTCAGCACAGAAATTAGAGATTCTCCAAAACCAATCTGAAAATATCCTTATTGGTTCAGAGGAATCCACCATTGCTTTTTCCCACAGTACATTTTAGTACCTGGTTTTTGTTTTTCTGTAAATTTGTAGCCTAAATATAACAGAGCCCCAATAGATGTTCATTCACATATTAATCATTTGCATATATTTAGAAGATTTGATGGTAAGTAAAGTTTCATGAATTTAATCAGAATGATTTTGTAGAACCACCTGGTTTTCTTTATTTACTGTAGTGATTTTATTGTTGTCGAGCCAGCCAGCAGCATTAAAACTCAAAAACTCTAAACATAACATATCAAATAGGCTCAACAGGACTACTGCATTTCTTCCATCTCAGGCCAACTGGTTCTTCATTTAGCCTAGATTCTACTCATTTATCTACAGCGTCAAGGATTGTGACAAACTACATTCTATTGTATAAAAAAGTGAAGCAAATCAAAGACACCATGAATCAGTTTATTTGAAATAATTTCAACCTTTTCTGGAGTTATCAGGTTATTCACTGGTAGGAACAATCAAGTTTACTTGAAGCATCTTATTTATTAGATATAGCACAAGTCTCACAACATTCAAGCTATGTTCAAGTTATGACTTAAAATCCTGATTTTTATCCCAAATGTATGACTGATGATTTCAGACAGATAATGTGGTGGAATGAAAAGGGTAGAGGAGTCATACCTCAGGAGAGAAGACTATACTTCCAAGAATAAATGTTTTAGTACACAAAATTTATATCAGGAAATAAAGCCAATCATAAGATATTTAAAGCAGTCATTGGTCTTAAGGTGGCTGAATTTAGACATTGGAAGCACTGGACTGAGAATCAGACAGACCTCAGTTCAGAAGTCATCTGACATGGGCAGATTATTGAACCAGCTCAGTGTAACTTTCTTCATGTGTAAAAATGGCATAATAATACTGACCTCATAAGGCTATTGAGACAATAAATGGAAAAAATGTATTTAATACTTGCCAGTAACTGGAAGATATTTTTAACTTGCTCAAATAAGATTTAGACAATGATTTTTTACAAATAAAGGTAGTGTCTATACTGTTATCTATGTAAAATACCTTCTATTGTGTATTATATTTTGTTTGCCAATATACAGTTTTAAAATAATTAGGATAAAAGTTAACTTTTTAGAGGATCTTTCCAAATATATTTGTCAGGGAACAACGTGAACCTCATAGAGGAAGAAAAGAAATAAGTTACAACCGTTGCATAAATGCCCAAAGTAGACAAGACAGTTTATTACTCATAGCACAGCCAACAGCAGGGACATCAGCACAGTGGTCCAGATTCCTGTCTCCAAACCCCATGGGCCCAGATGGATGCCACACACACAGTGGGTTGTACTGCAGCTGAGGAACCCAGAGCCAGGGGTCCAGTAGTTACTGAATTAACAGCAAACAAACCAGTCCCTCTTCACTAGGCAGTGAGCAGTTACATTGCAGTGACGCTGTGGTAACCCTGACTTGCTTAGGGGTCTTTGTGACTATGAAGATTACGTACTATCAGGAGATGAATACAGCTTGCAGTTTACACACATGGCAAGAACATGCAGGGATGCTCAGGGCCCATGTCCAGCTGCTTCCCCTAACGAGGTTAATGTCAATGAAGAAAAATAATCTTCCTTTGAAGTTAAACAGTAACTGAAGATGCTGTTATTCACATACTCTGATTCTGATTTTGATTCAATGACCTGAATTCTCTCCAAAATCTACAACATTCCACTTTACAAATTGAAGTTTCCAAAATGGTGAAGAAACTACTTCTTCCCTTCCCACCTATCCAGAATTATCTAGCTAATAAGCTTTTACAATTTAGTGCAATATTTCAAACTGGAATAAAATTATGTGATACAAACCAAGCATTTCATTTGGGGTGTCATGTTACTCTTTAGCATCTACATATATTTTTTACAGATATTCCCGCCTCCATCTTCTACTCAGCCACAGGAGGACATGCTGAGAGATAACACAAAAATACAAAAATCTAGTAACAACATACAAAGTATTAGCAGTTCTAAAATAAGTAGGTTGATTTTAGGTTCTCCCATCGCCTGAGACTTGTAAGTTGTTAACAACCAGAAAATATAGTTTTGTTTGTTTGTTTGTTTCTGCAAAGGTACAAGATAACATAATTTTAAACTTCTACAAAGCAAAAAATTAAAGAGTTTGTAGGATTATGCTAAATACCATTTAACACCATAGATTTTCAAAAGATTAACTGCTTGATACGATGTTAAATATACTTGAATGTGGTCCCACATCTCTGTGCCACTTTGCCAAGTTTCCGTCGGATGTGATTTGCAACAAGCAACATATTAAACCCCCATAAATAGTCATTATAATGTAAACACTGAACACTCCTTATTGTAGCGTGAAAGCGCCTCTCCAAAATATATAAAACAGAAAACAAATCCTTGAATTCCATGTCAGGGCAGAAGGTGGATTTGAATTTGAAGAGATGCCAAATGGTAATTTCGGGCACAAATATTTCAGACAAAGCTGATCTATTATGAGTAATAACAGCATATGTTACTTTATAAGTCAGTTTGCATATGTCACAGGAAGCACACCCAATTAGCATGTGAGGCCATTTGCACTTCAGCTAAGTTATTAACAGTAAATCATAACAAAGTAGGTAGTTAGAATTATACATACTATTTGAAATATACATGAAAATCTCACACAAAAGCAGTAAAAGAGAGAAAAAGAGACTCTTGAATGAATTAAATCAGCAAATTAGCTTTACTTCTATTCGTTCCCACTCTTATTATTATTATTATTTCTGCTTTCTTTTCACATAGGCAGTTGCTATGGCTTTTGACAGTTTCCTTTTAGCTAGCTAAGCCTGGGAGGATTAAAGAAGACATTTGGCCTTTATGGTTTTCTGTGTCTGAATGTGTATGTCCCGAGGAGAAAAGGAACTGTGCAAGAAGCTATTAAGCACCGATGAGCGAGCACCGATTTGGAATGTCTGAGTTATGTTCACTGAAACAGATGTTGTGTCCCAGAATTCCCTGAGCTGCCTCAGGGTTTTGCTGGTGTCAACCCTGTGGTAAATGGGTTTTCATAATGAATTTACTGTTAATTCTCTCTCACACACACAAACCATTAGAATCACATTAAAGAGCTGACTAAATGCCACCAAGACTCAGAGCATGACTGTCTTTTGTTCACTTCTGAAGAAGCTCTGAGAGTCCAGAATCTCAAATCAATCATTCATGATCATTTGGGGAGAGTAACGCCTCCCAGTGGCTGGAGAGGGGCAGACACATTTGTGGGGGCGGTTCCCAGACCCCACTCACTAGGGCAAGACTCCGATGTTCTTCTAGATAATCGTAGTAAAAATTATTGCTCTTGATACCAAATGTGGAGTATTTTAGTGAACTGACCCAATTTTTAAATTATTTTATTTAAACATTTCTCTTTTAAAAAATGTTTTAGTAAATAAAAGGATCAGAAAGCTTTGAAGTAAATGAAGTAAATATATTCAAGATACAAGTATTCCAGATGAACCACTAGTCATGGGTGGAATATCTAGAGAATACAACAGCTGAATATTTGTGCTCTGAAAGTAAGAATAAAAGCAACAGGGAGAGTCCTGAAGACTGTGACAGAAACAAAGATGGAACAGAGCACTAACAGGAGGCACCTGAAGTGTGATCTGCTTTTCAAAAAATAGCAGTGCCACTAGTACTGCTAAAATAACAATAAAAATAATAGGAGATACTATTGGTTGACATCTACTATGTTTCAAGCACTATATTAAATTTTTTACATATTACCTCATCTCATCTCTTCCTCATATAAATCACCAGAATAAAAGCCACTGCCTTTTGTAAATGGTTCCTCTGTACCAATCCCTGTTCTCACCCTTCTGTTCCCCTGTAGTACTCACTGTCCCCAAGCCATGCTGTGGTCCTTTCAGCATTTGAACACCTGAGTTCTTTCCTGCTTCTGAAATTTTGTGCATGAAATTTCCTCTCTTGGAGTCCTCTCATGCCTGCTTCCTCTACCCTAACATGGCTTTTTTGTTTGGGTGTCTTCCTCTTATCCATAGTGTCTCACTTTTAAACTTCCTGCTCCAAGAAGGCTTCCTGAGCAGCTTACCCAGAGTTAGTTCCCAACTGTCTCACCCAGTCTCTCCTCTACTCTCCTATTGGCTGTGTTATTCTCTACCATGGTGGTACCTTGCTTATTTCTTCAGGGCACTTTCTCAATTGGTAAGCATTTATTTGCATGTCTATTTACTTTGTTTTGTCTCTCCATTTTTATATTAAAACATCAAATGCCAGTTTCCAGTTCCTTTTCATTTAGTTATCTATACTAAGCACATAGAAAAGTAGTAGGTACTCAATAAATATTTATTAAACAAAAGAATGCGCTAAGTGCCTTGCATCAATTCTCTTATTTAACAAATAATCCTCCCATGAGTTTTCTGAGGTCAATGGGCTCTTAGCCATACAGGTAGGAAATGCCTAAGGTAAGATCCAAAACCAATTTAGTAGGACTTCAGAGCTGTGATTAGAACCATTATACTCCCACTTTACAGATCCGATATTTATTTAATTTTTTTTAAGACAGAGTCTCACTCTGTTGCCCAGGCTGGAGTGCAATGGCTCAATACCGGCTCACTGCAATCTCTGCCTCCTGGGTTAAAGTGATTCTTCTGCCTAAGTCTCCTGAGTAGCTGGGACTACAGGCCTGTGCCATCACTCCTGGCTAATTTTTGTATTTTTAGTAGAGATGAGGTTTCACCATGTTGGCCAGGCTGGTCTCAAACTCCAGACCTCAAGGGATCTGCCAGCCTCGCCCTCCCAAAGTGCTGGGATTACATGCATGAGCCACCGTGCCCGGCCCTTAATAGATTCTTAATATCAGTTTGATATAGACTTCTTGGGACTAGTTTTTTAGGAATCCATCATGATCTTGGCCAATGCACATCCTTTTGTGCAGCTTCAGTACTACTTTTCTCAAGCATCTATCAGCTACCTTCAGTTTAGCAGCTCTGCAATTTACAGCCAAGTAGATTAAGAAAATAAAAGGCAAAGCCCTCCCCCTAGATATAGAGCTCTCACTGTACACAAGCTTAGGGAATAAAAATCTCACCCTGTTCTAATTTCATTGCTATGGGAAAAGTGTGAAGAAGAAATTCTTAAACAGATTATGATTAAGAATCCTCTGATGATCCAAGATTTTTCTCTCTATATTTGCCATTGTGCTTTGAAACCCAATTATTTCTAGCCTTACGAATCATGACTTTTAGTAATTGGCCTCAGATATAAACCAGTTATATGGATGGGAAAAAGCACACACTATTTTGCTTTAGTAAAATTGTTTATACATTCAACTATTTTGCCTACAGAATAGGTAGGTATATATAGAGATACATATAGAAAAGAAAATGTGGATTTTCCTGCAATGTTAAAAAAAGTGTGCCTAGATGCTTGGACATCTTAAGCAATGTTTAAGACAAACTAAGAGTTATACTTTCTACCTATTTAGTGGCTTTAAGCATAAAATTATACAACTAGAAAAGCACTTAAAATAGTGCTGACACACAGTAAATAACCAAGAATGATAATTTATTATATTTTACTTTTAAATATTTTACGTATTTTGCTATAAAATGTATCAATCACATTACCTAATAACCTAGAAATATGTTCATTTTGTTATATTTTCAATTACTTATGACTTTCAATATTTATTTTGCCTTCTCTTGGAGTTGGTTAAGGTGAAGGAGATAATTGTCTCTAGTCAAATTAAATTGCTAATTTAACAATGCCTTGAATAAGCTGTTTCCCTTTTTAAAATTGTTTTTCTTTAATATATCTTTTAATTAAGTATCATAAAAGGAGTGGGATGCAGTATAGATATCCTGGACAAATAATTTTGCTAAGAAATCCGTGAGATAGGGCAGAGACAACTAATTGTTTAGGTCATAGATTGGGAAGTGGAAGTTATCAGGTAGAGAAAGAAGGCAGGAAAAGACACTTCCGGGCAGTGAGCAAGCTCCTTCACTTACACTTCCCTCCCTCCAGTTTTGCGTCAGCACCTGCTTCACCCAACTCTGAATTGAAGTCAGGGGCTGCAAATGGCTGAAATAAGAAGTTGATGTTTGGGTTGCTGAGATATATCTGTATATGAAGACTTTATCTATATTTATAGCTTTCATCCATTTAACAGGCATGAAGGACAAACTGCTATGTTCCAGGAACAGCTATTTTAGGAACTGACAATAAAGCATTGCACATAGCGGATCTGCCTTCATAGAACTTGCATTTTGATAGGAAAGATCCATGATAAAGATACAGAGGTGTTAGATAGATAATGAATGGAGAGGTAGGTAGATAGATTAGATAGAGACATATAGAATGATTATGTCATTAATAATATCACATTGAATAACCATTATGAAAGCATCAGGAAAATGGATAAAGAGAGTCTGGATATGATTCTGGATATAAGATTGTCTATTAAGCGTTCTCTAGCAGAGTGACAGAAGAAATCTAACTGAAGTTTGGGACCAAGCCATGTGACTTTCTCAGGGAAGAGCTGCTGCTCTGGACCAGATACTTTCATGAAGGAGAAATAAAGACCCATCTTGTTTAAGTCATTTTTTTTCTGGGGCAGTAGAGAGAGGGACTTTTACTTAGAGCTAAACCTGCTCCTAACTGAAAGAATTTTTCCTCCTAACCGTGGATATGCAGTAGGTTAATGGCCACAAACTCCTCCCATTCTAATAAGCATGTTCCTTTAACTGCAACTTTGCAATTCTTCCCATCCAGAGAAGTCCATCCCTGTGTCCCCTTAAATAACTGGGCTGGTGTGTAACTTGGTTTGATCAATAGAATGTGGCAGAAATGACATTCATGAGTGCCAGACGGTGGGCCTCAAAATGCTTTCCAGCTTCTCCATTATGGTGAAAAACCTAAGATAAAATGTCACATGGAGAGAAAGTTCCAGCAACCTTCACCATTACAGCTGAGCCCATCTCTAGCCAATGCTTCAGCTGCATGTAGCTACAAGAATGTGCACGAGTGAGATTACGGAAGATCAAGTCGGCCAAACTACAGAATTCTGAAAGATAATACATTGCCAATTTTAAAGCTACTAAGTTTTGGGGTGGTTTATTACATAGCCATAGATAAGTGATACAGAAACTGGTATTGGTGTGGGGGGCTGACATAAAAACTAGAAACAATGTGGCATTAGTTTTGCTATTGGGCAGCAAGCAGAGGCTGGAAGAGCAGTGAAGAAGTGCTATTGCAGACAACCAGAAAAGCAACTCAGTTATAGCCGGGCGCAGTGGCTCACGCCTGTAATCCCAGCACTTTGGGAGGCCGAGGCAGGCGGATCACCAGGTCAGGAGATCAAGACCATCTTGGCTAACACGATGAAACCCCGTCTCTACTAAAGAAATACAAAAAATCAGCCGGGCGTGGTGGTGGGTGCCTGTATTCCCAGCTACTCGAGAGGCTGAGGCAGGAGAAAGGCGTGAACCCGGGAGGCGGAGCTTGCAGTGAGCCGAGATCGCGACACTCCAGCGTGGGAGACAGAGCGAGACTCCATCTCAAGAAAAAAAAAGAAAAGAAAAGAAAAGCAACTCAGTTATGTGGTGGCAGAACAACAAAGAAAATATAGCCTGCGGCAATTTGAAATACAGAAAATGAATGTGTGGATCTGTAAGGAGAGTGCCAGGCAGTGTTGAAGGTGCTTTTTAAGCTGCATCTGCTAAGTTGAGAGGAGAGAGATGAGCTGAAGAGAGAACTGTTCAGTTTGAAAGCAGAATTTAGAAGAAATATAGACGAGCTAGAAATTGCTGTGCTGAAAGATAAAATTCATTCACATGTCTGTCCTGTAGAATATTCCCAGTGTGATAAATGATCTTAGGAAAGATCATTTATCATAAGTACCTATTTAACTATGTTGTTATAAACCCCTTTAAAATCTGAGAAAGACTTAAAAGTGGTGTCTGGCTAGTAGCCTTTTGATCTCACCACTCTTAAGAGTCAAAAAAAGCTTCTAAGAATCAAAAGTATGTTGGCTAACAGCAGTTTTATATGCCCAAAGTAGACACAGAACAGTCCTAAAAAGAATTGTGGATGCCACTTTAGGGCATGGCATCAACTTCAGTAAAATTTGCAACAATTTTCAGAGGATGGTTCTGACAGGCACTGCCTCTTTGGGTCAAAAAAAGAGAAACGGGGAAAAAAAAGGCCTCTGAGTCTGAACTTCCTATGAAAAAGAAGCAGACTGAGGCGCAGCTGCAAAGACCAGCTATTTCTGACCAAAAAGTGAAGATGTCTTTAGAGAACAGAACCAAAAGACCAGACAGTGTAGCCAGATCCAAGATCTGTTATTTGTTACAAGATCCAGTAACAATGGAAGCACGAATCACTCCCAGGTTGTAGAACTGGGCTTTAACCAAATAACTTCTTTTGCCCACAGAAAAGGGGAAATGGGTGACATGTGCCCTACTGTTTTTCAGAATTGCTACAAAATTGAGACTGCTTCTCTTTTTATTCTTTTTTTAATTTATTATTATTTTAGGGTAGTTTTATATTTACAGAAAAGCTGCAAAGTTAATACAGAGAGTTCCCTTACGTAGACTCTTCATCTAGTTTCTCTATTAACATTTTACATAATCATGAAGCATTTGTCACAACTAAGGAACTAACATTGATACCTTACAATAAATCAAACCCTACAGTCTATTTCAATTTCACTACATTTTCTCTAATTTTTTTTTTCTGTTTCAGGATACCCTGTAGAATATGACAATACCTTTAGTCATCATGTCTCTTAGCCTCCTCCAGTCTGTGACAATATTTTAGTCTTTTTAAATTTTTTTGCATTTGATAACCTTGACGGTTTTGAGGTGTATCTGCCAAGCATTTGGGACACATTAAAGGTATTTGTCTCTCAACCTGGGTTTTCTTTATTTTTTTTTTTTTTATGGTTAGACTGCTCCAGCCCTAGAATCATCTTTTTCTCCAAGGAGTCCTGCTTCCTTCTCTTGGGTAATAGTGTTAGAAACCAAAATCCAGGAGCTGGGTGTGCTTATTGCTCCATTCTTAATATTTTAAAGGGAGTGTCTACTGTGGTGATTCTGTTCTTGTCTCACCAAGGTATGTTGAAGGTAGTTCAACAGGTAGTTCAGGTAGTTCTTTAGAACAATGGGAGAATTAACTAATACATGTTTCTAGTTCACATATCTCATCATCAAGAGAAGCTACATCTGAGGAGCCTCATCCATACCCAACCAGATGCTGATCATGAGGTCCTAGACTTAAAGCCTGGTGCTGTAATTGGGATGAAACTTTGAAGGTCCTGGATGGGATAAGCATACTTTACATATCGAAGGAATGTTAATAATTTGTGTAACCAAAGGTAGAGAACTCTAGAAGGTCATTTAATGGAAGCTTATGTCTGTGCCTTTGCAAAGTGGCTTTGCTGCTTCTCCCACACAAAGGTGGAATCTAATTCTCTACCCCCTTGAAACTGGGCTGGCCTGTGGTGGAAGAAATGTGGTCAAAGTGACATCCTTAAGTTTTTGAGCTTAGGCCTCAAGAGGCCTTGCAACTTCACCTTCATTCTCTCACAATTCTGTGGCTTCCAGGCTTTTGAAGAAGTTCCCCCAAAAAAGACCACATAGACAAAGGGGACTCAATCATCTCTGCTGTCCCAGATGAGCCCAGATCCCAGCTAACTCAGCAGCTGAGTGCAGCAACATGAGCCCAGGAAGAACAGCAGAATCCAGTAAACCTCAAAATCATGAGAAATGATGAATAAGTTTTAGAGTAGTTTGTTAAGAAGAAATGGATAATTAACACAGTATATTAATTGACTGTAATAAAGGCAACTCTTCTATTAATCCAAGTCTACTTTTCCATAAGTCCCATTTACCCAAGTCTGGGTTCTTGATACGCAATAATGTACGGTAAATTGCGATGATGAGTTAATAAGCTTTATTTTCCTTTATCATATTATACTGTCCTTATTGATGACATATTGAATTAATGCTTTAACTATGAAAGAGAGTTTTTATCAGTAGAAATTTTGAGAGCTGTCACAAATTGACAACAGATTTGGAGAATCGAAGCTTCTCATTAATCTTCAGATGGCATCTTAGAAATGCCTGCTTACTTTATCTGAAAGTAGTGATTAGTTCTCTAGGAGTCAAGTTAGGTAACTGCAGTGTAACTGTGATTTAAAACTGGTGGTTTAAAGTGATCAATAGGGGCAGCAGCTTTTTCATAGTCAAGTTCTATTTACCTTTTCAGATTTGCCTCAAGCCTTTGACTGTTTCCTGCTGTTCCAATCACACTCACCTTCTGGGTCTCTTGAAAATGCTAACCTCTTTTCTTTAGTTGATTTCTAGGTTTTTAATATCGTTAAATATTTTTTATTTTGATTGATTGATCATTTCATTCATCCCTTCAACAAATACATAATAAACGTAACATTTAAAGGGCCAGGAACACACCAATGATTACTAGATTGCCAGTATGTTTGGAAGTATAAAGTGAATAATTATGATAAAATACGGTGAATATATAACATTAGAAGAAAGAATAACATGTTAGCAAAACATATGTGTGCATCTAACATTAACTGAGTCAATTTTAATAAAGAATTTGACTCCATTTTTTGAAGTTTGACTACTCCTGACAACATTTAAGCTTCACATCTCTCTCTTTCCTTTCTGCCCCACATTTGAGCAAGCTGATAAGAAAGCTTTTTCCTTTGGTGCAAGAAAGTTCAAAACACTTTAGGGACTTTCCTTCAAGCTTCACCCCTTAACCACCATAAGAAGTTTAAGCTAGTCTCTTTTGCTTGTTTTTCAAGTAACTTTTAGACTAGCTTAAGCAGCCTGCCCTGCTCTTATCAGAAGGCCAAATTATGTAAGTTAATGAACATTTCCATACCCTTTTCGTGCCTTTGTGGCATCATCAGTCTCAAACCAAACTTTGGGTGGAGGTACCTGTCTCATCTCTAAAAAGTGACCACAAAATAGGTGATCATAGACAGTAGCTTGAATGGCATCTTAAACTGTGAGCACATAATATGTGGGATTATAGTTCTTCTTTTTTTTTTTTTTCCTGTTTTGCCCACAGGTATCTAAAATCCTTAAGGGCAAATAATTATTCAACCTTGTGCCTGTATCAACCAGCATGGTGCCTGGCTCATAATAGATGTTCAATTTTTTTTGATACATAAGTGATTTCTAGAAGCCAAAGGAGTACGATGTTATGAAAAAGAGTGGTCAAGAGTATAAAAGCAAACAAAATTAATAAGAAGAGGACTGAAAAGAGGAGCCACTGACTTTGGAAATTTGAAGTGAATGGCTATCTGTGCAGAACCCTTTAAAAGTGTAGTAGAGGCAAAGTTTAGACTGCAAAAGCCAGAGATGAGCAAGTAGAGACAGCAAATGTCTACTCTTTCAGCACATTGGAATTGAAATTATTCAGGGGGGACTGAAGAAAATCAGAGATAAAGGGCAGAAAAGGAAGCATGGCCAAATGAAGATTTTTGTTTTAAGAGAGAGGATAAATAACTTATTTTTAATATACTATAGTTACATCCAGTCTAGTAAAAGAGATCAAAGACACTTGGAAAATTAACTGATAGAGATGTGCCTGGGAAAACACAGTGGAAGTTTTTGTTTTTTTTTTTTTTAACACAAGTGAAACTAAATTAACAAGCAAGGTTAAGAGAAATTCAGAGTAGCACATTTGACCTTGATTAGAAAAAAAGGACGGTTCCACCAATTGCTTCAAAAAATACAAGTACATATGGATTTTGATGTACATATCTTTAGGTTACCAGGCAATGAATAGAAAGTTGAGGAAGAAAACGCATAATGGCTTCCTGAAGATAGAGGCAAGATAATCTGTGGAAGGCCCTTAGGAACAGGATTTAGAAGGGAGATTAAAGATGTAGTTGCATCTTGGAATACTGGAAAGTGGGAATGGTAAAGTTACTAAGCACAGAGAAGTGAAAGCATTGACAGCACTAAAGGTTCACTCTAGGATAGAGAGAAGGAATTTTCAGGAACACCAAACTGCAGAAATGGGATTACCTTCCAGCCACCTCATCTGGATACCAAACAATTGAGTCTCTATATACCACAAGAGTTGGAATCCTGAGTCTCAAGAACAGAAATATCAAATTCTCCCCCATTTTTACTCAGGCTGCTAGTAATTTTTCTAATTGTTGTGTCCTATTTTCCTTTATTCTCTCTCTTTCCTTCACATTGCCGGTGCTCTGGGCAAGTGTGGTATGAGATGCACAGTGAAGTGCCCCACACAGCTCCTCTGCAACTCGGGCTACAGAACATTGTTACCTAACATACACTTTAGATCAGTTTCTGATTTCTGTTTTGGATTGTGAGACGGAGTCCAAATATATATTTTATTAATTTTTGGATGTTCTGAACATTTAATGCCACTAAATCTATTACCCATGGAATGAGAATCACTTCAAAAGTGGATAAGAAATAAACTACAGTAAGCATATTCCAGAAAATGAAACTTGAAGACATACATTCACACATCTGGCAGTGATTCATAATTGAATATCATTTTCTCTCTAGTTATGATAGTTTACATCAGCCTCAATCCCCAAAATGAAAGTAGCTGAGTAATATTGCTGGCACCATCTCTTTATTCCAGCTCCATATGTGCAGAATAAAAGGTTTAACTATAATTCACTCTGGTAGCATTACACAGGGAATTTCAATGAAGGTGTTGAAAGAAAATAATTACCCATATAGCCTCAGGCTGGAAGGGAAATATCTCCTTTTCTTTTACGATGTATTTTTAGTGGATGTGTATGAGAGGCAACTCGGAGGATGGGATCATTTTCTTATATGACTACATCAATATGTGTTGGAAAAGTATAAATTTGTGAAACAAGGAGAAGATTTAAATTTTCCATGATAAGGGATATTACATCCCAACTTCCAGTCTTAGGAAAACTATTGTAAGTCACCCAAGAATATATGAATAGGGATAATATGTTTCAGATACTTTCTGGCCTGACATAATCATATTGAGCAAAGGCTTTGGTTAATCTGACATTGTCCTTTGCAATGTGACATAACTATGTACCCAGTTTTTGTTACCTAAGAATAACACTATAGGGATACTATACAGCAACAATACATTATGACTGATGCACAAGCTGAAACAGATGAAGTGATGAAAACATAAGTACCTAAGAATTATAGTACAGGGCTTCTTTTAAATACCAGACTAAAGAAAGTGTTTGTGACTGTGATCCTAAACTTTAGGGTCTAAAACTAAAGGGATTATCATTTTAAGATACATATTCCCAAGGCCACCCCAAATAAATCCTGATTCACTAAGTCTTGTGTAGGCCATTGGAATCTGTTTGCATTTAGCAAACAAACACTCATGACAATTCTGGTGTAGATGTTATAAGGTTCGCATTTCAAACAAGATTCAGGAGGACTCTAGCAACATCATTTGATTGATTTTAATTGATTAAACCTCTACTCTCTTAAGCTAGACTCTTACTACTTCAATGTTTTCATTGGCTAGGTGAAGAGGGACAATTGGAAAAACAAAAGGTTTCCATGAGACAGAAATTAGATGCCAATCCCATTTAGGGCAATCACACTGTTATTCTCAAATTTGAATTCCCGAGGCAAAGCAAAAGGCATAGATCCGAGCCCCAGAAAGAGTTGCAGTGTGGGAAGAATTGTGTTTGGCTTTATGAAACCCAGTTCTGCCATGTCTGTGTCACCAGGGGTTGGGGGCAAGGGAAGAACCGGTCATCCAAAAATGCCTGAGGCCTGTCACTCAGCCTGCCTCCCCTCCCCCATCCATTCCCCCTCACCACCCATCTTGCCTCCCAGCACCATGCTACCACCCCAAACCCTGTCCTCTGCAGCACCCAAAATATTCTTAACCATGCTTCTTCATCAAAATTTATTGTATGCTTTGTTATTTCAGGTCTTTGGGGACAATGTCTTATAAGCTCTTTAGATGAACTGGTTCTTTATAAGGCTAACACAATGTGTTACAATGGCTTCCATGTGTTTTTCCTTTCACATACTATTTACTCCAGCCCAAGTGAATGACTAATGATGAGAACTTCAAGCCTCTTGGAAGACTGTGAAGTAGATATTTGGACTTAGGAGACATTTAGATACTCCTGAAATCATACCACCACAGGGTCAATCATACCTACTAACTTTCTCCTGAAATATCTTTTGTAAGCCTGGCCTTATCTTCAGCCTTTATTTCTCCCCACAAAATCCATTCAATGCCTAGAAATTGCGTTCACTTCTCTCCCTTTCCTCCTCTCTCAGGCTTTGTTAGCATAAATTAAGGCACCCCTATTTAAACAATAGGTCCCTAACTACAAATTTAAGAAAATAGGGAGCATGGAAGCTTGAGAAGCCTGTAAGATATAAATCAAGGTGAATGGAAGTATAGAAAGAGAGGCGTTTAAATATGAAATTTGATCTGGAAGACACATGCTAGTCCAAAAGAGGTTCTGTATTTCCTCACTTTTCTAGCCTTATGAGTCCATAAATTGCTTCAAAACCAAGAAGATTTTAAAAAGTAGCTCTAGTAGTAAAGGAAATAAAGATAGATTTCTAGTTTTATTTTTATTTACTTGATTATCAAAGTATTTTATTTTTTAATGTAACAACTGTTCTTGTAATTTACGGATACTTATAGGACTTATTAATGAGCCAATTTCTAAATGACTCTTTAAAACAAGAGGCTCCAAATAAAAAAAAATTCTGAAAAACTTCCTACACTTACTATAGGGAATAGTCTTTATTATATAGAAGAGAAAGGAGATAAGTTTGATCAAAATGAATTTCTGGCCAGGTGCAGTAGCTCACGTCTGTAATCCCAGGACTCTGAGAGGTCGAGGCAGGCTTATCATCTGAGGTCAGGAGCTCAAGACCAGCCTGGCCAACATGGGGAAACCTCATCTCTACTGAAAAATACAAAAATTAGCCAAGTGTGGTGGTGCACATCTGTAGTCCCAGCTACATGGGAGGCTGAGGTGGGAGAATTGCTTGAACTCAGGAGGCGGAGGTTGTAGTGAGCTGAGATCACACTACCACATGCACTCCAGCCTGGGTAACAGAAAGAAACCCTGTCTAAAAAAAAAAAAAAAAAAAAAAATCCTGTTGCTGAATCAATTAAAAAAAAAAAGTAAGGATTTTTGAATAGGAAGTACTTTAAAAGAGATTGTTTCCAACAACTTAATCAACTTGGAGTAACTGAGCATTCTTCTTTAAAAAAAAAAAAAGCAAAACAAAAGAAAGCAAAAACTCAAAGTGGAAAGTTATCAGCAAGACTGTGCTCTGTGCCTATCTCTGAGACAACTGGTGAAATTAAGCAAGTCTATGCTGTTATTTTTGTTAAAACAGTATGATAACTTAGAGAAAACTAGACGAGCTACTTCAATTCTATCTTCTTTAATGAGATAGCTAATCATTAGGAACCATCACCAGAATATCATATGCCTCAGCTTCTGAATCACCATTGGCATGTTGCAAATCCATTCCTGAACACATCACTGTTTCATGGCCACAGCCTCATCTGAGTAGCCAGGTATTACTAGTTATGTCTATGCTAACCTACTGTCTCTAGCAGCAGAATGTTTTAACCAGACCATGATCAATTATTATGTTTTTAATACAAAAGCATGACATACAGTAAATGAAAATACAATTCTAGTACGGCCGGTTTTCAGATTGAAAAAAAAGAGAAAATTGTTAAAATTCTAGGAAATTCATAACTCCCTGCTTTTGCCTGAATTGTGTCCCTGCACAATTCATATATTGAAGCCCTAATCTCCAATGTGACTATATTTGGAGATAGGACTTATAAGGAGGTAATTAAAGGTAAATGAGGCCATAAGTGTCAGGCTCCGATCTCATAAAATTAGTGTTTGTATAAAAGAGACAGCAGAGAGCTTACTCTTTCTTTCTCTCTCCTCCCTGAGGACCCAGAGAGAAGGCATCCTTCTACTAGCCAGGAAGAGAGCCTTCATTAGAAACCAAATTGGCCGGCACCTTGGTCTTGGACTTGTAGCCTCTGAAACTGAGAGAAGTACACTCCTGTTGTTTAAGCCTCCAGTCTATGGTATTTTGTTGTAACAGCCCAAATAGACTAATACAGATTTTGGTACTGAGAAGTGAGGTACTACTGTAACAAATAACTAAAAATGTGGAAGAAGCGTTTTGAGGTGCATGCTAGAAAGAGCCTGGATTGCTGTGAAAGGACTGTCATGAACTTAAAGGCGATTGTGGTGAGGGCTCAAAAAGAAAAGGAAAGAGAAAGCCTCCATCTTCTTGGAGAAAAAATAAGTAATCCTAAATGGAGGGTTAGTAGAAATACGGTCATAACAGGCCATTCTGCTGAGGTCTCAGATAGAAATGAGGAACATGTTATTGGAAACTGGAGGAAAGGCGACTCCTGTTGTAAAGTGGTCAAGAACTTGGCTGCACCATGTTCTAGTGTTTTTTTGGAAAGTAGGAACACAAGTGATAAAACTGGATGTTTAGCTGAGGATATTTCTAGGCAAAACATTGTAACGAGTGACTTGGTTGCTCCTGACTGCTTTTAGTAAAATATGAGGGGAAAGGGGAATTGAACAAGGAGTTGTTAAGCAGAAAGTAACAAGAAGTTGAACATGTGGTAAGTTATAAGTCTGTTCATATTGCATAAAATGAGAAATCTTGTTCTGAAGAGAACACTAAGGGTGTGGCTAAACAACCATTTAATAAGTAGATTAATGTGGTTATGAACCATGAATCTGCTTATTAGCCACCTCAGCAGGAGCCAGAAATAGAGATAAAATTACGTCAGCAAACCACTGCCAGTTTGAACTGAAGGGGACAGAGATGGAACAAAATGAAGGACAGCGATCAGATTTTTTAGGTTCTACAGCACACCACCATAGAGCTACTCAGCTGTAACATGTGCTGTTCTTCAAAAAAAGAAAGAATGACACCACAAGCAACTCAGAGATCATCCATGCTGCCTCCTTGGTTTCAAAGGGTGGGATCATTGCCTCAATTTTAATAGGGCAGACAGCCTCAAATTGAAGTTCTAGGGGTGGGAAGACCCTGCAAAGCGATCGGGTGGAACCACCTGGTGGAACCACCCTGTGGAACTCTGGAGGCAGGACTGCTACCCCAGAGGGTCAAAGAGGTGGGGGATCAAAGCAAAAGGAATTATTTTTGTTTCTGGGTCTGATGGAATTTTCCTTGGTAGGTTTTGGACTTGCTTGGGACCTGTCACTACTTCCTTCTTTCTTATTTCTCCTGTTTGGCATGGGGATATCATTTCTATGACAATGCCACCATTGTATTTTGGAAGCCTATAGCTTTTCTGGCTTCACAGGTTCACAGTTGGAGAGGAATTTTGCATAAGAGTTAATCTTGTTTCTATTCTCATCTATGTATGATTTAGATGATATTTTATGAAACTTTGAACTTTAGACTTGTGGGTGGATGCTGGAATGAGTCAGGACCTTTGGGGCTCTTAGGATGTAATGAAAGTATTTTGCATATGATAAGGACATGAATTTGGTGAAGGCTAGAATGTTGTGGACTGAATTGTGTTTCCCCAAAATTTAATCCCTCACCCTCAAAGTGACTGCATTTGAACACAGGACCTATAAGAAGGTAATTAAGGTTAAACATCATAAGAATGGGTCCTGATCCAATAAGATTAGTGTCCTTATAAGAAGAGTGCTCTCTCTCTCTCACTCTTTCTCTCTCCCCCATATGAGGACATAGTTTGAAGGTGGCCATCTACAACCCAAGAAGAGAGCCCCCACCAGAAACCAAATTGACTAGCACCTTCAAGTTGGACTCCTCAGACTCCAGAACTAAGAATTAACTTTTGATTGTTTAAGCGCTGTAGTCTGGTATTCTGTTATAGCAGCCAGAACTAAGACACTACCATTTATCACCTTACTGCCACCCTATGTAGGAAGGCAACACTTTATCCTCTGCCATACTTCCTGTCATCTTTCCTTAATGTATTTTCATTTTGGCACATATTATCATCTAACTTACAATAAATGCATTTTAAACGTATTCTATTTTGTCTTCCCTTGTTAGAACAAAGTTTGTGAGGGCTTTTATTCTTTTTCTGTTTTATTATCTGCCATATCTCTAACACCTAGAAGACTTCCTTCGCTTCTTGTCTTTGGAAAAGTAGCCTTTAATAGACTGAAGAATATTGAATTCAGCCTAGGAAGTCAGGAAAGACAAACAACAGTATATAATGAAGAGCCAAAGCAAATAAAAAATTAAAATGTATATATTAATTAAAATTGAAATGCAAAGGATGTAAATCTGGTAAAAGAGTATGTCTAAATGTAGTTTTGTAGCAAAAAGTATTCTTATCAGCAGTCCATAAATTAAGGCACAGTATCTTACAGTCCTAGGTTGAGATTTTGTAAGAACAAATTACCAAGAATAATGGATACTTCCAGGAATATTCAACACATAATACTCTGCGGTCATTCCAAGAAACAGTATGTATTATTTGCTTTGCAGGAGAGTAAATACTATGAAATAATAGACGCAAATCCATTTAAGCATAATAGTTATCATATTTCGATTTATTTCCATGTAAATTGGTTGTTACATGCTGAGTTAGTACAAAGAATTATAAAAAAGATAATTAAATGCATTGAAAAATATAAAAAAATAACTGCAGCATATTAGACTACATGATTTTTAACTAAAAATCTTTGGATTGTGAAAGTACCACTTAACTCCCTATTTGAAATCTGGCCACAAACTCATTGCCAAACAGCATATTCTATACTGAATTAGATTATCATCCCACAAAATACAGAATGTGCATTTCTAAGGCATAATGTATGTTCAACAATATACTAATATATTTTGGAAACCACTAAATGTCAAGCATTATCCATACAGGGTATTAACACATTAATGTTTTCATTAAAAAAGAAAGATCTCTTTCTTCATCACATTACACATTTATAGAATAGAGATCTGTCAAATAAATTACTGCAAAGTAGTTCAAGCTAAAACTTATAACACTTGAATCATATAATCGGGAGCAAATAACCTTTAAAATGAAAGACAAATGGTGAAATTTAAGGGCATTTAATTTGCATAAATGTAATGTTAACAGTCTTTTCCTGGTTACATATTTTATGCTTAATTTATATATGTCACTCTATTAGGTCCTTAACACTCTTATAGGTCAGTTTTAATTTTTTCCAATTTTATTTTACCATAATAAGCATTATAGAAGTAGTTTGTCATATATAAAAATAAGGTAATCTCATAAAAATAATTCATTGTGACTCTAGAAACAATCCAGCATCAAGACCACTACACAGTTTTTGTGTTGTCAATGCCTGCTTCAAAATAAACATTTGCATTTTAGAATCTTGTGTGTCTAAACTCATGTTTAGCTCTTAAGCTCTCAGAACTCCATACCAGAGACTTCCTCCAGGTTAACAGTCATTGTAGCCTTGGTGTGTGGAAGTCTTAAAACAAAGGTCTTCATAAGGTACATGGTTTGGTCTTCCTTTACATTGAATAAAACATTAGCATTTGACCCCCAAGTTATTGGACTTAAAGTTTTATCCACTAAACTTCTACTATAAACACTGAAATGCATTAAAATATAACTGCTCAGACAATACTGTGTCCACTTTATCAACAAACTATAAAAACCATCCATCAATTAACTATGATTTTAATGTCAGAACTGATCCATAATCTCTAATAAATTAGAAAGTGCCTGCATTATACAAATTCAATTACAGGAGTTGCATAGCAAAATATCAATTTATACACAGCAAAATATATTTTCATTTTTGACTTTCCTTAACTCATGCTTACCTACCAGTGACCAATGAATTAGAGATGGTGAATATTACCATCCGCCATTGGAATAATTTAATTGGACAAAGCAGAATAAAATTATTTTCTCTAAGGAAACTTTACCTCCAATTATTACTTCTGCTTTTCCTTGGAAGAGTGTTTGATGGGAATGTGAGTTGGCCTCACTCATTTCAATCCAAGTTAGTGATAAAGAGACTGAGGCTACCATAGGGACAAACACTATTCTTTGTAGTTCATTTCAATCAAAATTGAAATGGCTGGATATGTTATAAGAATTCAAAACCTTTCTTAATTCTCTTTCATTTTACTACATTGCCCTACCTACGATTTAATGTTAAAATTAATGGCCATATGAATGTTTACCACACATTTGCTAGAGACCATTATAATCCATCACTTGGCAGGCACTAGAATTTACTTTTATAGATGCCAGAGAAAGCACCTAAATGGCTGGTATTTTAATTTTAGTTTCAACTTGTTTCTCAAACTCACTTTAAAGTACCTAGCTTTTTCTTACTCTGGTAATTTTTAGAGCGGTTAAAATGCTGTTAAAAGCTTAAGCATAATTATGTGTCTATGCCTATCTTTGAAGGTGATAATTTTTTCCTAGGTAAATCAATTTGCTAAATTAAAATGTGAAATTCTATGTACTTGTATGTGATTGAAAATATATGTATAAGCATGAAAACAGTAACATACAGTTCAGCCTAGCCTATGGCGTTTATTTGTCAATTATCCTGTTGGTTTGGTGGGTTTGAAGATAATCACATCAAGCTCTCCTCTAACAAAAGAAAAAAAAATCTATGAAGATCTACCTACCTATCCATCCATATGGATATAGATAAACATATTATATTGACTATCTCTGAAATAGGGAAGTCAAAAATTATTACAGTTCATCTTATACTGGAATAGCACAAAGCTATTCTGCTAGTGGTATTTTCTCATCTAAAAATTATAAAATGTGTAATTTTCATATTCTCTTTCTCCAACAAAGCTTCAGTGGAAAACAGAGCCTCTTATTGGGTAGAAATGTTAAAATTAGAGCTATTGGGTCTGAAGATCCTAAGCATTTCCAATATTCACAGCAAAACAGACCAATGTCAAGAACTTGGTTTTATTTGGATACCCGTTTCTTTCGATTATGAAAACATTCCTGAATACTTCAGAAATGGATGTATGGAAAGATATGGAAACGAATTATTTCCAGTTTTTCATTCGTTTTGTTTGGTTTACTTTTTGTGAATTTCACATCTTACTGTGTAAAGTAATATTTAGCCTTATTGATATTTCAGAGGCCTATACAGAGAGAAGTTGTGTGAAAATGGCACATTTGCTAAGTTGTTTTTATGTATTAGTTACAGATTATCTTAAAATTTTACAAATGGCTTGTAAATGTTCCAAATTACCTATGACAAAAGTATTTCTCAATTTTAAACATCAACTTACAGCACAATAGAAATAAAACAACACAAAATAATATGGTAAAATAAAATAAAACCATGTTTACCCTTCAGTACACTAAAACTAAACACATACTGATTTTTACATAAAATAACTAAGCGAATCTTCTTACTAACAAAAATGAGAAAAAAAAGTTGGCAGTTCTTTCCAACTGCTATGCAGTTACTAAGTCACATCGTACTTATTGTAGCAGAGGTCATCTGTAGGATCTAAACAACCAAAAAGTTGTGCAAAATGCCAGCATATGGCCTCTTCAGGCAGTTGGTAAAGACAAGAGCTGTACTGTGACAAAAGGGTCTCAGACTTCACTGTGGTCACTGAGTTTGCTCAAATTCTGAAATACCAGAGGAAGAAGTAAGTATGTGCTATTTACTCAACTCTTAAATTGGTACCAAAGTAAAAGAACAGTAGTAACTGAAGCAAGCTGTCCAGCTAAGCCAAAGAAAATGAACCTTTTATGAGGCATCAGAGTAGAGCAGTTCAAAGCTCCAGGTCCAAACTCAAACTGCTGACTCTGCAACCAGCTCTACCACTTACAGATGGTGTAATTTCCCTGGTCAGTTTCCTTGTTTCTAAAAATGGGTTAAATTATCATATCTACCTCATAAGGTCATGGCAAATTCAGTTAAACAACATAGTAAAGCTTTTAGAATATTCCTGGAATATAATGAGGGCACTCAATATATGTTAGATTTAATAATAATAGTGTTATTATTATTTTGTAAATACATACTGTTCTGATTGTATACAATAGGGATGACTCTGCGAGGCACCAAATGTTATTCTAGGGGTGAGGAAAGGCAAAACAATTCAAAACTCAAGGAAAAATTGCAGGAAATTAAAGCTCTAAGAACAGTTGTAAAACTAAACCATAAGCCCAGCATTTGTAAAATAACTTTGACACTTCAGATCATGTGAGCACTAGATTCTACAAATAGTATTTCCAAAGATGGCAATATAAGCTTAGAGGCAAGATATCAGAGCAGAAAAAACTTAAAAGGCCATATTTAGAGTTTTTATATTTGAGAAAGGTGGATTCAAGTCCCCAGGACAGTAGATCCTGGAAGAAGCATTTGTTGTACAAGTAAGCAGTTTGCAAATGATAGGCAACCACCCAATCCTCAGAGCGGTGGCATTGTTGGAAGATCCAAGTTATCAAACAACAGTTTATAACTGGCCTAAAAAAAGAATGGAAACATTCTTTTACCTGTAATAGAAAGTCTGAGGTGGGGTGGGGTGGGGGGCTAACAGATTTTAGATGCCAATGGAGTAATAAGCTAATATAAAAGATGCAAAGCTTCGATTCTATATTCTGAATATTCTTATAACTCCTTCAGCCCAACTTAATCAACTCACCTTATTTGAATGGATATGACTTATTGCAGCAGATACCGATTCAAAAAAAATTGGTTTCTCTGAGTCTAGGTTTCCATAATACGTCATTGCTTTTATCAAGGAAGCTTCAAGAAAGCACAAGTGATATAAGAATACATGTGGAAGTGCAGAAAAATCACATTCAACGTTAGTCAGGGACATTCTCTTACCTGTACAATGGGCTAACAATACATCCACACTCCTGCCTTTACAGTCCATGTAAACCTGGAAGAATTAAAATAGGATACCCACAATTAATTCAGAATAGCCAGCAGGAGGAAATAAGATGGGCTTCAGAAGAAATCAAACTTTCTTTAAAGCCGATGTTTACGAAGTCAAACCACCAGAGGGAGGCATTGTTACACAGTCAGGCATAATCTGGCAAGCGTCTAAAAGACTAAGATTAATACAGCAGGGCATCTACCTTTATTGCAACTAAATTTGACTGCTTACCTTTTCCACATCATTTAATAAAAGTAAAAACAGTGCCTCTGCTGCCCTATAAGAATGATATAAAATTGTTTTCAACCTCTTTTAATAGAAGACAAGGACCCATTTGTGAAAGTGAAGAAAGCTGCAGACCTACTGCTTGCTTTAATATTTTACAATAATTTGGATATATTCACGGGCTCTACAAACCCGGTGCATGAATGTTAAATTGAGAACCTCACTATAATCCAAGCCAAGTTTGATTACCCAACTTCCATTTTAAAAGGAATGCAAGATGAGAGATCCTAATTCATTTGTTTGGCCTCTTTTAAGAGTTTTGCCTCTTTTAAGTCCTAGAAAATCTCAAGCAGAAACAACTTATTAAAGGCTCTGATCTTAAATTCACCCAAATCAAAGTCAGTCTATGAACTTCTGTAAAAGTAAATTTAGGCGTTTTAGTTACCAGAGGATGGATTTCGTTATATAACAGTGATGTATCTGACACATAAAATATAGAAAGGTGCATTTACAATATATTCTAATAGTGTGCATTGTACATTCAAAATTTCATTCATATTCTTCCAGCAGTAAGAAGTTCTATGTGAGAAGAATTGTGAAATAATGGGAGATATATTACTAAGCATAAATGAGAAAACAGCAAAAAGCATGGACTGCATCTTTGCCATTGAATAAATGGCTCCCATTTTTGCAAGTTAAAATGATTAATTCAAGGTGACCTCCCAGTGTTTCACTCTTTCTTAAACTCAGTGAAACATAAACACATTGCTATGGGTGGTTTGTTGATGCTGATAAATATAATCTCCAGTTCACTGACCTCCTCAATGTCCCAAGTAAAAGAACAAAGAGAAGTCAGCCTACTTCCTTCAACCTACAACTCCCAAGAGAACGTTTCTTATGCTAAAGCAACTAAGAAAACAATGCAAGGAGTGTTGTTAGAAAGCATGAAGGCATGCAGGGCTGAAGAGTCCTTGTGGCTGTTTACTCTGAACCTTCTTCCATGGTGGCTGGAACTAAGAAATAATATGCAATGATATTATTTACACTTTCAGAAATGACATTTTTAAAATGAGAAAAAATAACAGAAACTAGCATTATTGAGTTCTTCCTAACTGCTAGACACTTTCTTAGGTGTTTTATATGCAATACATCATTTTTAAGCCTCACAACAACTTGATGAAGTGGGTATTTCCACTTCCAGTTTACCGAAAAGCAAGTAAACACTTAAGTCCAGATCACAGAACTAGTACATAGATGATATTTGGAACCAGGCTTAGTCTATCTTTAAAGTCTATGTTCTTAACATAGATCACGCTGTTACTGTAACCATAATGAAATAAAGAAAATAGGAATAATAAGGAAATTTAAAAGGGCAAACTGATACAAAACTGCTGGTTTTGTATATATAGATAAAACACACCTGGCTAAGGGAATGTCATTTTATGCCAATTTAAAAATAAATTGCATCAGTTGATTGATCCTGTCATTCCAGTGTACAGATCTTTAAAACCACTAAGATGAATGATGAAAAATAAGTCTTTTTTCAACATGTCCAGTGCCAAGATTGTTTGAATTTCTCTGAATTGTCAGCCATGGATCCTAAACTCAGTGGGAGTAGGTAACCATTTCTCCTTCTTTCTTTATTAACCCTAAGTCCTGTTTGTAATATCTAGAGAAGGAAGCTAATAATTTCAGAAACCAATTTAAAATGGAATTGAACAACAACAACAACAAAAACCATACTGGCCTTTCCCAGTTTAAAAAAAAAAAAATCCTAGTGTTTCTCAAAATAGGATCCTTGAGCCCCCTGCATCAGAATCACCTATGGGTGTTTAAAATGAAGCTCCTAGGTCAGAACCAGAACCCAGAAGACTGCATTTTCAATGAGCACCTCAGAAGAGCCTTAAACACACAATTATAAGAGACTCTTGTAGACTTTAGGAACATAGAGTAAATAAAAATGCCGAATACAAGAGGCCCTCCTGTGAAGAGGAACCATGTGTTTACAATTTAGGTTCAGCTAGAAGAAAACACGAAGTATTCAGGTTGAATCCTAAGTCCAACCGTGAAAAGGTTTTATAGTGAACCACAAGCAAATAAAAATATATTCGGTGGGGAGAAAGGGCGACTTGCTAAAAATAGCCACTAGATTTCAGGCCTCTGATACTTAAACTTCAATTGTTTTAAGCTATTTCTTTATTTTCGAAATATCTGCCAATTCTGAAACAAAATCGCTGCCTCATTTTTACAAAATGAATAAACTGAGATCCAGAGAAGTGAGATGATGTCCCCCACACCTTAGCTAGTGTGATGCAGCTGGGACTATGCTGTGACTTCCACATACTAAGCAATTCCCCTACACACACTCCCACCCGTATCTTCACAGGAAAGCAACACTAATGTTGACCTTTGTACTATCCTGAGTTTGAAAGGCTGGACATTTCAAAGTAAATTTAAGATATAAATGAATAGAGACACAAGGTATGCTACACCACAAGAAAACAATCCCAGTCCACAACATGAGACCTTTTCAAGGATTCTGATCTGAATCCTTTAAAAGTCAATGTCTGGTTTCCACTTTCTGACCATGCTGTGTAACTAATACAAGACTATCCCCTCCTCCACAAAGAAGTACACAACTGGACAAAAATATACAACAACCATGTTTAGACAATCGGCACCAGGCAGGGCAGCACAGGGTGGCTGAGTTTCCTGAGAAAGGTGGACAAATGGGGTGAGCCCTCCGATCATGGCAGCTTTCTGCCGCAAAGCAGTTTCTGGGTCCTGGCATGATGAGGGGGACCCATTAAAAATGTGGCAGCTTCCCTGAGCTGCACAGACACAACCAGAGCTCAGGGAGAGATCAATGGTGAGGAAAGAACTCTAGAAATTTCCATAAGGTTTTAATTATTTGGCTCAATGTCAAGCCACGCAGGGAGGCTCTAGGTGGTCTGAGTAAGAAAACCTCTGGGAAGTAAACACCTGAAGATGAGGTGAGCCGATTCACAGGCTCAGAAGCTGGCAGAAGACTGGGGAAACCAAAGAACAGATGCTGCCCCACCCTCAAGACGTCCCACCACCACCAATTCAGGGTATTGAGGGAAAGAACAAAAAGAAATAAGAAAGAAGGTGAATTCCCTGTTGACTTAGTATTTACTAAAAAAAGAAGGAGGTTCACGCCTGTAATCCCAGCACTTTGGGAGGCCAAGGCGGGTAGATCACGAGGTCAGGAGATGGAGACCATCCTGGATAGCATGGTGAAACCCCGTCTCTACTAAAAATACAAAAAAAATAGCCGGGCGTGGTGGCAGGTGCCTGTAGTCCCAGCTACTCGGGAGGCTGAGGCAGGAGAATGGCGTGATCCCAGGAGGCAGAGTTTGTATTTGCAGTGAGCCGAGATCGCGCCACTGCACTCCAGCCTGGGCGATAGAGCGAGACTCCGTCTCAGAAAAAAAAAAAAAAAAGGCGGGTGGGGAGGTAAAAAAATCTTAGAAGTGCCTGAGTTTTCTGTGAATTGGCAAAATTAGGTGTTCTTCCATCTGTGGAAATGAGGTTTGGAAGCTATGTCAGTTTTAAAGCCATAAGTGGAGTGTTATTTTTTGCATACCTGGATCATGGAAACCACATGCAGATCACAGGGTAGAGAAAGAAGCACCATTGCCTGAGAGAACAGAGAAAAGCCCCTGCATTGGGCACTACTTGTGAGACCAGAAATGATATTAGGCCAAACTGTACCCAACCGTGATGTAAGAGAAAACCTCCTGCCATCATCAAGGCACTTACTTATGCAGCCTGTGCTCTAGAATGGGCTTTTCTCCTTCCTAGAATCCTTGTAAATTGACTGCCTAGGAGCTCCTATGCCCACTGTATCTCAAGTCTATGTACTGTTCTCTCTGACTACCCCATGCAAATATTCTGATCCCTGACCCTCACACATACATACAACTAGAAGCTGAATAGGATCTCCTGAAAACAAATCTACAGTGATGGTAGGCAAAGTTCTACGTCCTTTGTAAATAATGGGGTGAGATGAGTATTGCAACAAGCAGGCTCAAGACTATGGAGAGAAGGTGGTGAAAACCCCTGTTACTGAACAAAAGGGAAGAAACAGTTCTAAACACAAGTTCCATAAATACCTCAACAAGCATGGAGACTCCAGAATAGTCAAAAAAGGTAAATCCACTGCAATCCAGGATTAAATAACACTTCTCATTAGGGCAGGACTGTGAAGCTTCTTCTGTAGGAGAAACAGAGACTTGAGTTAGGGAGAGTTTTAAGAGACTTCTGCTGCTGGCTTTGTTGACTGGTGGGAGGGTAACAGTGGCCTCATGTTTAACAACAGTAATTCTAAACACTTTTAATTTTTACATTTTTCAGTAAATTATTAATTATTCCTGAACTCTCTGATTTTGTATTACTGGAATGCAATTTCAGGTGATTATGACATGACTCAAAGAAGAAGACAAAATAGGTTAATTACCAGTATCATTTCATACATGGACAAACTGAGGTTCAGTTTAAAAGTTTAAATAATTTTTAAAGAATATCTGGCAAGTTAGTGCTAAACACAGACAGAAGCAAAGTCTCTAGACATTCTGAATAGTACCTTTTCCACAATATCACAATGTTTCCTTAGTAGGTATGCCCGGAGTAGAGCCCCGTTTTGTGGTGCCTGAAGCGTATACAATTTTGGAATCACTCTAAAAAAAAAAAACTCCATTGCTAGGGCTTGTCCCACAGCCTTGGAAGGGATCTGTATGACAGGCCCTGAAAATTAAGCTTCATTCGGTTCATAGTAAATCGGCCTCTGAATCTACCTGATGAAAACAACAAGATTTTACTTAGGAGTTCATGACCTCTTTTTGACTGATATTCTTAGGGCCACGATTTCCTTACATGATATGACCTATTTCTTAACAGTGACAGGCCACATTTGGGGTCCCTCCGAGGAGTGATGTGGCTTTCAGAGCAAATCACATATGCTGATTCCCCCACCACTGTAGGCAAAGTCTATCACTTAAATTCAAATTCATTAATTATTATGAAATTCTCTGAAAAAATTAATTCTTAATTTAAATAGCGTTGCCATTTAAAATGTTCAAGGTTTTTCTGTATAGTGGCTACATAAAAGTGGGACTGTGGTTCTTTCTCAAGTTGGGAGAAAATATGAGGGAAATAGTGCAACTAAAAAAAAATCCCGCTCGGGAGGCTGAGGCAGGAAGATGGCGTTAACCCGGGAGGCGGAGCTTGCAGTGAGCCGAGATCCCGCCACTGCACTCCAGCCTGGGCAACAGAGCGAGACTAAAAAAAATCCCGCTCGGGAGGCTGAGGCAGGAGAACGGCGTGAACCCGGGAGGTGGAGCTTGCAGTGAGTCGAGATCGTGCCACTGCACTCCAGTCTGGGCAACAGAGCAAGACTCCGTCTCTAAAAAAAACAAAAATCCTGCTTACAGATTTAAAAAAAGCAGTAAAATAAAAAATGAACACTGAAAATTTATATATGACAGTAACTGTTAGGAAAAGGAGAAATGCTACAAAGTAATTTCTATGTATTTGAAAAGTGGTAGTCAGGTATAAGACTTGGTTTTCAGTTTCATCTTTAGATCTGTATTTATATTAATCCAATAACATGCTTTAACTGAATAATAACTATGTTATGTTTGTACTATGTTCAAGAAGGAGTGGATAATAACACTAAATAATCAGTAACTTTTAAGGAGTAATTTTTTTAAGGAGTGGGTGATAACAAATATGAGTGAGGTCTTATTCCTTTCTTTAGGAGCTTATAATACTTTTGAGTGTCAAGGATAGCAATGGTATATAAATGACATGATTAAAATGATAAAATGAATAAAAATGTGAATTTACAAAACAGAGTAGTCTCTTTGGAGTAATCAGGGAAGACTTAATGCAAAAAGCAGCCTTGCAGGATATATCAGATTGATTCCAAAAAGGAGAAGTAATGTAGACGTGTATGCATTCTAACCATGTGGACAGCCTTAATCAAACACTAATGACAGCTTAAGATCTCAAACTCCCTCTGCTCCCATTCAACCATTTAATGAGGACCAACTATATGCCAGGTACTCCAGTAGTGCCTTCTGTTCTGCTGTTCCCAGGGCAAGGGGGGCTAAGTGGTTAGTGGACATTCAGGCTATGTTTCCTTCGGCCTGAAATGGTAAACTAGAACCTCAAGCAAAATTGAAAATAGCCACAACATAGCTCATCTACTGACCACTCAACTGTAATCACTATCATTCATTATTTGCCTAATTAAACATAAGATTTATCTCTACTAATGCAGAGGCTTTTATTTATATTTTCAGGTATAATATGCCCTGGCTTATTATCACAGATAGGAAAGTATTAAGATTGCAGGAAATAGAAAAATACTCTATGCAGAGAGTACTTCTTCTAATCAACAGTGGAATGTTGACTGGTCATAAATGCATTTTTGGAAATGTTCTATTAAATTTTCACAGTATAAAAATCTCTAACAATTAAATATTAGGTAAACTTTCTGAGAAAACATAAAAAATTTATATAATATACATAGGTAAAATATATATAATGGAGTTAGATGTTTTCTTACAAAGTAAGATTTAAAAATTAGTAAGACTAATCATGTTTACAATGTATATTGGAGCTTAATATTTGAAGATTTCTTACACTGACTTTTTCAAACTTTTTTTAGAAAATAAAATTTATATGGTTTCTTTAAAGTCAGTAATGAGTTGGGGCCAGATGATGCCAGTTCTTGAAAGTCAGTTGTGTATATATCTTCCATGCTTAATGACAGCATGTTGGTAGCTTAAAATCAGTGATAGTAGAAATATTTACACCATGGAAATTGGCAAATGCTACAGATCAGAACTTCTCCACCATCCGACCTTATATCCCCACTCCAAGAATCATTTGTTATTCACCAGCATATCACTGCTTAAACGTGGGTACTCTTATTAAATATAAAGAAAATCATCAGTAAGTTTTAAAAATCCAATGGCTTTGATTAAATGAAAGACTTAAACCACTGACATATTTGACAATACATCTTAAAATAACAATGATGACACAAATTGATGTCAAATTTTGTCCTTTTTTATCCACTTACTTGTTTTTACCAAATGATACCTCTTTTATAAAATAGTACATATTTCAAAATAATCTGCAATCTAAAATTTGTTCAAAAATTTCCGTAGAAAAAATTAGCATTCATATTTAACTTAAATATTAAGAATTAATAGATTATGAATTTTTCTAAGATATTTAAGCCTTATTATTTATTTACTACCAAACATAATAGTAATGTCTATAAGACAGGCTTGCTAGAAAGAAACTGTAATCTGAAAGAATATTAGCAGTTGTTTTATTTGGAAAATATTTCAATGCATTGCTTTTCCTGGAAGATGCTCCATAAATTATTATCTATAACTGTCTGACATGAGTTCAATCATCCCTATCCACAGCCATGGCAAACATGGCTAATGAATTTTGATATTTTTTTCCACTGAGTTCAAACAAGACCTTACAATTTCCATCAATTCAGTGCTTCAGGAAGCCACTACTAGCTGATCAAAAACTTATTTGTCATTCTGAACTTAAAAAAAATTACAGTGAAAAACAATCTGTGTATATGTTACTTAGAGAGATTGATAACTGCATTTAATTGACTAGAAAATGGTGATTAAAAGGTATTGAAAATTCTTAAACAAGTTTTTGTTCCTTTTCTATCCTACCATATTTCACTTCTAAATTGTACTTGCAATTTCCTTTATTTTCTTGTAATTATCTCATAATGTACATGATGATAGATTATTAACTCTGAAAGTGTTTGGGGCTTTATCAATAGTGATTTTAAAATGTCCCTTCCATTGTCTGAGAGTGTGTTCATGCCATGTTTGCTTCGTCTTTATTTTTTTATCCAACTTCCTCTGTGCTATCCCTTTAATTGAAGTATTTGTATATTTTCAGGCCATCCAAAAATAAAAATAAAGTAAAGCAAAACAACAGGCTTATGCCTTATAGTTGTGGATAATAATTTAAGTAAGCTATTTGAAGAGAGGCAATTCATGATTTTCTTCTAAATGAGAAAACACAGTCTTAATGGTAAAGTTACCCATTCACCCAAATGAAAATTTAAATACAATGGACATTTCTAACATTTTTCCAAAAATAAGTGAAGTTTTCTTTTACACAGTATCCTTTCAGTTCTGCCATTGCACTAATTTTATGGCTATAACCTTGTGTTCTATACTCCTAAGGAAATCAACCAGAGCAATAAAAATCATATAATCCTAGAAAAGAGTAAAGTGAATGTACAGCTAATATCCTGCCTTAAGCAAAATGAGGTAAGCTTGGAGCATGTGCAAAGGAGACAACTAATCTATACCCATGTGGAATGTGGTAAATGATGGGCTTTATCTACACAAAAACAACATTTCAGAAAGAAATTAACCATCAGGTGTGGGTGGGTAATTAACTCCAGACTGTGGAAGCCAGCTCTCTCCTGTGGAATATTCATTAACTTCTTTAATTAAAAAATATTCATAGTTGCATAATTTAAGAGTGCTTTTTATATACTTCAAAGATTCTTGACAGTCTGTGAGTAACTCATAATTTTTTAAAAGAAAGTATTTTCTGTTGATATCAATTAACTATTGAAAAGCAGATTTATATCTTGAATTTCTCAAGAAAATAAGAAGATAAATATTGAAGACAAACCACAGCATTGCCTTTGGAAAACACGTGCACATATTATTGAACATTTCTTTCCTTCTTTCCTTCCTTCCTTCCTTCCTTCCTTCCTTCCTCCCAGCAGTCAGCTAATATAGATGTATTGAGTGCCTACTCTAAGCACTGTCCTAGAAAATCTAAGTACAATGATGAACAAGGAAGACAGTAATCACTGCCCTCAACAGACTCACAATCAGGTAGGGAAACTAGTCAGTTGAACTAGTAAATTAAAGTGTGATGAGGGCTGGAGATGGGCAGAAAATGCTATGGAGATGAAGGAGACCTTGTGTGATGGACAGAATAATGCCCCTTAAGGATGCACGCATTTTAATCTCCAGAAACTGCGAATATGTTGCTTACATGGCAAAAGGGACTTTGTAGATTTGATTAATTTAAGGATGTTGAGATGGGCAGGTTATCCTAGATTTTTCAGGTAGGCCCAGTGTCATACAAGGAGACAGGAGGTTCGAGGTCAGAGAAGATGTGGTGACAGAAGAGACCACATCTCTTCTGAGATTTGAAGATGAGAGAGGAGAGATTTGACGATGTCACACTGGCAGCTTGCAAATGGAGGACAGGGCCATGACCCAAGGAATACAGATGGCCTCTGAAAGTTGGAAAGGGCAAGGATATGAGTTCTCCTCTAGACCCTCCAGAAGGAATGCAGCCCTGCCAAAACTTGATTTTATCTCCAGACTCATTTCAGTGACTTCTGTCATCTAGAACTGTAAAATAACAAATCCGTGCTGTTTTAAGCCACTAAATTCATGGCAATTTATTACAGCAGCAACAGGAAACTAATATACCTGCATTGTTTATTTGGGAAATGAGTAATAAGGGTGGGAACTTGTTTAGATTTCAAGGTCTATGATGGCAGAATTCATGTCTACTTTCTTCATCCTTGAATATCCAGCATTCATTGTTGTGCCCAGGATTTATTAGATGTTCAATATGTACAAGAAAGATTAACTGAGTGAACAAGAGCATGAATTAATGCAGGAGTGAATGGAAGAATGTGATGTGTGAGCTGAGACTTGATAATGATTGGAAGTTAAGTAGATGACTAGGCAGTGGAGGTAGACCCAGCAAGTCATAATGCTCAGAAAGACCTCAACAGAGTGCCTCTTCGTATTGACATAAACTGACTGAAGTGTTTTGGAGACTCAAACTACTAAAAGTGGTAATGGAAGATGTCTCTAAAAATTGAGAAATTTGTATTTTTACTAAGAGAAATAGCATGATTTCCACTTCATAATTGATGTAACCCTGCTTCATATATTTTGATTATTCTATCATGCGCTCAACTACAAATCTTTTCCTTCTGAAACGATTTTTAGGGGAGAGGGCTATTTTTAAATCTCTTCCTTCTTGCCCATTCCCTTACTCAGTTTATGTCTTTTCTTCCTTTAATCACTTCTAGATCTATTCTGTAGTCCCCAAAACCCACTTGATGTCTCCTGGATGACTTTATTTAGCTTAAGTTTACCATTGTCCTACCTAAACTCACTTTTCCTTTTAGCTGTTTTCCTGGCTTCCCTATTATTCCCAGTTTGAGAGTTTCAAAGTTTCAGAATCATCATTTGTATTGTTCTCTCCCTTACTCCAACTTCCAAACAGTTCCAGCTGGTGTTCATTACACTGCTGAAATCTCTTCTGAGTCCTTCATCTCCATTTTCATAACCTGGTGACCAAAGAAGAGGAAGATAGAAACTTCACTCCTCTTCTCTAGATTATTATTGCCCTATCATTCTTGCTTCCTTCCATGCAGGCTGCATTTAGACCAATCCTCTTGAATCTCAATTTTAAGTATCCCCTTTCATGTATATAGCCTACTTTCAACAGGGACTTAAGTCCTGCCTCTACTACCCCTAACTAGCTGCATGATCCAGAGCAAGTTAAGTCTCCCATACGGGCCTCAACTTCATCAGTAAAATGAAGAGTGTTCTTGTAATTATTTTAATTATTTTAAAATGAAGAGTAGAGCGTTTGCCTATTACCTATTTTAGTTATTGAGAATAATGTCCTGTGAATTGCTATACAAACATTTTGTTCATTGGACAATGAAGGATAATACAATGGAAATTAAAAATGCATTATTTACCTTAAAATCTAGTTAGGAGGAAAATATGCATAAATAAAATGACTCTATAACCATATAGGCAATATGTGATTGATTAAAGCATGTGGTAATTTCTCTGTTTCACTATTACTATGAATTCCACTTTATAGGTGAAGATACTGAATCCCAGTCTGCACTTGACTGAGAATTCTTCCATACAGATCTAGTTGACTTTTTTCTCCCTAACAAGATTGAAAAGAAGTGTGTACCTTCAATATATTTTACTTCTCTATTAAACCTCAGAAAAAGTATAAAATTTGGATTGGAAGAAAAGGGAGATAGTTCTAGTTATGAGAATCCAAATAGAGGCTTAGACCCAGAAATGATTAAGTTAGATGTTGGAGCCATAAATGGATTTGTCTGGCTGGGATGGAGAGCTTGTATAATGTGTGGTAAGAAGGAAAGCAATTTGAAAGGATAAGGAAGCCTTTTAGGTGCCATGCTAGGGAGTAGTACTTGATCCTCAGAAGGAAACCATTATAATTTATTAAGAACAGGATGGATTTTTTAAAGTAGAAGTGATTTAACATTAATCTGTTATTATGTCACAGAATGAAATAAAGCTGGAATGGCAATTAGATCTCAGCTGCATGTAAACTCCATTTGTAGTAGCTTCTTACAACAACATGTTGAGAGGATTCTGAGGCTACTTTGACTCATAGGAAAAAAATGCCCTGATCTATTATTGTGTCTGGTATGCACATACATACTGGGTATTTTCTATCTATAGAATACAACAAAGCCTATCTCATAGCATAAGATAAAAAACAATATGAAGATAATACTAATTTCAAACATAATTAAGGACAGAATCAGAGTCACAGAAGTAAAAATGTAAAGGTAATGAAACAAAGTTACAGGTTTTAGGGATTAAATTAAGAAGTGAAATAAAAAATAAGCACAGTGCACATAACCTCAGCATTTAAAGCATAGGAGAGTACAGCAGGGCGTTACTTGAACAAGAGAGAGAGATAAGAGGACTGAGGAAACTTTGGAGGGGAGAGAAGAAGGATGTCAGAAGTGTTCTGATAAACTATGTCTGGCAAGTATCGAAGGGCCACTGGGTACCAAAGAGTTTCACGAGGACCCAGCAAAGGTGATCATGCCCATCAGCTACTGTTCTGTGCAAAGTGGGCCTGGTCAGGATGCAGAAGTAAGAAACTCCCTTAAAAATTTTTCAGTTCAGAAAGAGAGCAAGGCACTCAAGAAGTTAAGTAAGTATTATTCTAGTATTACATAAGTGTTCTCTGAGAGCACAAGGCAGGTAAAAGTAAATTTGCCACAATAAACTAGAAAAGACCAGAAAAGCTGACATCTGAGATGCATCCATGTTAATGTGGGTCCATGCAGTTCATTCATATATTTATATTCTATTTTATTATGTTGTATATTGATTTACAACATATTATATGTTGTAATTCAATTGATATTATACTATGTATTTTATCCTCTTACAAAAACATTCTACATATTATTTGTCCATTGTACTGCTAATGGGTGTTTTGCTTATTTCCAGTTTTGGGGAATTAATAAACAATTTTATGAAAAATCTTGTAACTCCTCCAGATACAAATATTAAGAGATTCTTTTTGTAATTGTCTTAGAAGTGCAGAAATTAATATAATTCAGCTTTTTTATTCATCTAAGTTTATATGAATGAAATTAGAACCTTACTATATGTTTTCATTTGTCTTGCTTTTTTCCCCAACATTGTTTATAAGATGTATATAATTTTCATTATTATGTCAGTATAACATATAACAAATATATTAAGTAAAAACTCAATTGTATAAATATGTCACAATTTATACATACCTGCTGCTTTAGTTGGACACCTGAGTTATTTCCAGGTTTGGACAGTTACAAACAATATTATTGTGAATATTCTTGTGTGTGTACTTGGCTGCACATAAATTATCATTTCTTCAGGATGTACAACTAAGAGCAGAATTGCTGATCACAGGATATGTGTATCTTCAACTTTATAAGACATTGCCAAACCGTTTTCCAAGGTGGATGCACAGATGGTAATCAGAAAATGCAAAATCCGAAATGCTCCAAAATCCAAAACTTTCTGAATGTCAACATGACATCATAAGTTACCTTGAACACATCATTTTACTATCTTAATGGTATGTCATAATTGTTACTGTTCAGTACTTACATGGGAATAAATGTAAGAAAATGATAGCTTATTAGTAGCATATAAATTCAGTCAGGAGTGATGGTAATGCCAAACAACCGGAGATGATTGTCCACATCATTTGCTTTCTGATGGTTAAATGCACACAAACTTTGTTTTATGCCCAAAATTATTTAAAATATTGTATAAAATTACCTTCAGACTATGTGTATAGGGTGTATATAAAACATAAATTAATTTCGTGTTTAGAGTTGGGTACCATTACTAAGATACCTTATAATGCATAAATAAATATTCCAAAATCCAAAGAAATTCAAAATATAAAACACTGCCGGTCATAAACATTTCAGATGAGTGATACTCAACTTGTAAGAGTTTATACTACCACCGACTTTGTAGGAGACTTCTTGTTGCCCTATATCCTCACCAATCCTTGGTATTGTCAGATTTTTCCATTTTGACCAATATCATACATATAGAGTTATTTAATTTGCATTTCCCCAATAATAGCTGTGAATAATAATAGTGAAGTCAAGCATATTCCTATATGTATATATTTTGGTAACTTAGAAAATGTCCCTTTATGTGAAATGCCTGTTCATGTTTTTTGCTTATTTTTCTACTGAGTTGTTTGCCTTTTTTTACTCGTTGATTTGTAGTAGAAAGCAGTCCTTTCTGCATTTTATAAGTTACATCTATCTTCTTCCACTCTGACTTATTTTTTCATGTTTTATATAGTACCTTCTGGTAAACAAAAGTTCTTAAAAATAATATAGTGAAGTTTAATAATCATTTTCTTTATGCTTAATGCTTTATATTTCTTGTTTTAAGGAAATTTATTTATTCCAAGGTCTTTTAAGATATTTTCCTATATGCTCTTCTAAGTTTACATTTTGTCTACTATATTGAGATTGATCTACCTCATACATATGTGTGGTATGGTGTGGATTAGGGGCCTAATTTCATTCATATAGATACATAATTGTCTCTGCATTATTTATCATCAAGACTGTCCTTTCCCATTGCTCTATAGTGCCATTTTTGTCATAAATAAAACTGCAATACATGTGAGGGTTTTCCCCCTCTGAACTCTCTACTCTGTCATATTGACCTATTTATTTCTGATCCAATACTACACTGCAGTGATTATTAGAGCTTTATAATACATCTTGATGCTAAGAGGACATACCCTTCATTTGTTCATATTTTTCAAGTGTCTTGACTATTCTTGGCCATTTGCATTTTTATTTAAAAATTTAAATAAGCTTGTAAAAAGCCATTAAAATATTCTATTGTAACTTTACTTGATATTAAATATAAATCTATAAATCAGTTTTAGAAATTATGCTTTTTGATATCAAGTATTCTAATCAATGGGCATTGTGCTTCCCTCCATTTATTTATAAATATTTACTTGCTACAGGTATTTTTAATGTCTCATAATAAAGTTGTACACCTTCATCCTGTGTAGGTCTATACATTTTTATTTAAATTCACTTCTAAGATTTGATTTTTTTTAAAGATACTGTAAATGGTAGCTTTTATGTATTTTCTCTTTGATGCTAGTATATTGAAACCAATTGATTTTATATTGATTATGAATTACAGGAAACTTTTAACTTCTTATTAATTCAAATATAGTGTATTATTTTTATATTTTAAATAAACAATTATTTCATGTGTGAATGATACGAGTTTTCCTCTTTTCCTTTTAATTGTTACAGATTTCCAAATATATGGTAGTTTTGGGGTTATATTTTTGTTGTAAATTTCCTTCTGTTAAATATTTCCAACTTAACTGAATTTTGGACAGAAACCTGCCTGTATAATTTTCATTATTTGAAATGTGTTGAAACTTGTATAATGACCCAGTGTATGGTCATGAGAGAGACAGTAAGACTCGGGGCTCTCCTAGCTGGTATCTGAGAGAGAACACAACAGCCCAAGTTTAATGTCCAACCAGATCTTCAGCCAAAGATGATAGTCCTAATTAAGTTCTTCAGACTAGTTTCCCCTTTTCCCAGACCTTTAGCAAGATGCTTCTGAATCATTCTCACATTTATTACAACATATATATACCTAATAAATATATCAATTTAATATATAAATACATATAAAATTATATATTTATATATACTTTATATTATATATAATATATATTATTTATATATACTTTATATTATATATAATATATATTATTTATATAAATATATAATTATACATTATAATGTAATTATATATTTCATTTATTTCTTGTTTCTTTTTCTCTCTTACCAAGGAGTGATGTTAATATTATATACCATATGACCTTATATAATCCTAACAAGTGTTTAGGTAATGATTTGGACCTCAGTGATTCTGCCTTCATTTTTCCTGCTCTCCCTCCCTTGTTTGCTCCCTTTTTTCCATTTATTCATTAATTGACCATCTATTAAGTTTTTGTGCCTAGTGATAAAGCCATAATAGTAACAAATACCAAATTCTTTGGGAAATAATGTTAAATGAAAGAGACAGTCAATGGGAAAAGAATAATAGTGAAGACTTGAGAAATAAGGCAGTAACCATGCCATTCTTGCTTTCTAAAAATATTTGTAATTCGTTTTTTTCAAGATGGCTAACTAGGAACATCAGATACCAGTTCTCTTCAAAAACTACGTCAAAGTTTTTGGTGAATGGGCATGTCCTAAATGGAATATTGAGGGAAGAGAGCCAGTACCTGTCAAAAATCCTAATGGAGGAAGCAGGGTTGCACACACTTAAAAAGCAGCAAAGTCTGAGAGACTGGCAGCCGAGGAACTCAGAGTTCACGGAAAACATAGGTGGGGGTGCTTCTCTGTTCCCCTCACCCCTGTGACAATCGACAATCTGCAGACCACCAAACTCTTAGGGTGTCCCTCTGCTCTTGTGACTGTGCAATGCTGTTGGTGGCAACTTGAGAACTTCTCAGGGTCAAAGAACCAGGTGACCAGCTCACACATGTGTGCCCTCACTATCCTCAGATCTAAGCTAAGATGGCACCATACTAATTCTGCACCTATGGTGGACTTCTGCCCTGCCAGAAGATTCTCTGTCCTTGAGTCACTGCGCCACCAGACTGCCCGCAAACATCTCCTACAACCCGCTCTGACTTTGGCAGGTGCAGAGGACCAGTGGGTCCCAGGGGAGCTTTCAGACCTCTGGAGATCTAACTTTCCGCCACTTCTATGGGTGGGCACTCAGCTCACCAAAGCCCCCCTGGGACAAAGGAAACGTAGATGTGGTACCAATCACTGAAAGGGGGCAGCACCAGCAGCCAGGAATAGACATGGAGAGGTGATCATGTCCCACTCCCCTCATCCACTATTGCAGACTCAGAAGAGGTTCTCCCTGATGGGGGCTGGTATGTGTGAAGGAAAGCACTTGGAGAAAGTGCTTTTCATGGCAGCTCCACCACTATTGAAAGTGAACCCTCCCTGCTTGGGATTGCACAATGAGCAGGGACCACCTTCTCCTTCCTATACAGAACAGCAGCAGCCCTGCAATGGAGGACATAAGCTACAGAGTTGTCTGCTCTGGACTGGGGAAGGTGGCTCTGCCCTGAGTTGGTTTTAGTGGGAGTGGACAGAGGGCTTCATCCACAGTCTGCAGCCACTTTGCAGCCATGAGCCAAAGGACAAAGTCTATATAAACTGAAGGTCATGAGTCCTGAGGCAGGGGTGCGATAGGGAGGTAAACTGCATTCCTGCCAGCTCAGCTTGAGAATCTGGTGCTCGCCCCACTGCCCCTTCCCTGGAGACCTACTCACAGCCCAACATGATCTCCCCTTGCCATCCTCCCGTGAGACTGAGTGCTTCCACTCATCAGCCTCCTGGGAAGTGAGCCAGCTCTTAGTCTTAAATACCACCTACTGGACTGGAGCCTGAACTGCCCCACAAAATAAAAACTTGCTGCCAGAAGGACACAGTGATAGTGCAGAAGAAAAGCTACCTGAGATCTCTGCACCCTCAGCCCTGCAGAAGATACTGTTTTGGCTCTTACATTCGATATATCACTACAACAGGCAGCATCTGAGAAAGCCAGTGCACAGAAGCTGTCCACAACCAAGGAACTCATGCAGAAACTTGCCCTGAAAGCACCCAGAAATGAAGCCAAAAGATTGTAAAACACATACACTGCAGTATACCCTCAAGGGAAAAAAGAGTGAAAAATGTAAAAGTCCCATCCAAATTATATAAAATTCAAAAATAAGCAAGAGCTCCTTCAGATGAGAAGGAATCAGTGAAAGAACTACTGCAGTACAAAAAGACAGAGTGTCTTGACACCTCCAAAGGATCAAGCTAACTTTCTAGCAATTGATTCTAACCAAAAGGAAAAGTCAGAAATGGCAGATAAGGAATTCAAAATGTGGATTCCAAAGAAACTCAGTGAGATCCAGAAGAAAGTTGAAAACCTGCACAAAGAAACCAGAAAACAATTCAGGATTTGAAAGATAGCTATATTTTTATAAAAGCCAAATAGAACACCTAGAATTAAACAACTCGCTAAAGGAATTTCAAAACACATTTGAAAGCTTTAATAATATACTAGAAAAAAAAGAATAATTTTAGGCCTTGAAGACTAGTCTTTCAAATTAACCCAGACAGAAAAATAAAGAAAAAGATATTTTAAAAATCAAACAAAGCCTTTAAGAAATTTGAAATTATGTAATACAACTAAACCTATAACTTATAGGCATACCTGAGAGAAGAAGAAGAAAAAGTAAGCAATTTGAAAAACACATTTTAGCAAATAATTCAGAGAAATGTCTTTTATCTTGCATGTGAGGTAATTATCCAGATACAAGAAATTAAGAAAACACATGTGAGATACTGTAGAAGAAGACATCACTGAAGCAGAGTCATCAGACTACCCAAGGCCAACATGAAGAAAAAAAAAAAAAACAACTTAAAGGCAGCTAGAGAAAAGGGCTAAATTACCTATAAAGGAAATCCCATTACACTAACAGTAGACTTCTCAGCAAAAATATTACAAGCCAGAAGAGTTTGGGGGTCTGTTTTTAGCCTTCTTGAAGAAAAAAAAAATGCCAGCCAAGAATTTTATATTCTATCAAACTAAGCTTCATAAAAGAAGGAGAAATAGTCTTTCTCAGACAAGGAAATGCTAAGGACAACCAGACCAACCCTACAAGAAATGTTCAAAAGAGTTCTAAACATGAAAATGAAAGGACAATACTTGCTACCATGAAAGCATATTGTGTACAAAGTTCACAGATTTTATAAAGCAATTACACATTTGAGACTACAAAGCAACTAGGTAACAACACTATGACAGAAACAAAACCTCACAAATCAATATTAACCTTGAATATAAAAGGCATAAATGCTCCACTTAAAAGATATGGCTTGGCAAAATGGATTTTTTTTTAAAGACCCAACCATCTGCTGCCTCCATAGCCTCATTTTTTGTGTAACAACACTCACAGGCTCAAAGTAAGGGGGTGGAGAAAGATCTATCTCACAAATGAAAAACATAAAAGAACAGGAGTTTCTATTCTTGTATCAAATAAAACAGACTTTAAACCAACAATGGCAAAAAAAAAGAAAGAAAGACAAAGAAGGGCCTTATATAATGATAAAGGTTTCAATTCAACAAGATTTAACTACCCCTAAATATATATGCATCAAACAGTGAAGCACCCAGATTTATAAAATGAATACTACTAGACCTAAGAAAAGGGACAGTGGCCAGATGATAATAGTGGGGGACTTCAATATCACACTGGCAGCACTAGAAGGATCACTGAGGCAGAAAACTAACAAAGGAACTCTGGATTTAAATTGGATTCTTGACTGGATTGACCTAATAGACAGCTACAGAACATTTCACATAACAAGCACAGAATATACATTTTTCTCATCTGCAAATGGAACATTCTGTAAAATTGACCACATGCTTGATCATAAAGCAAATCTAAATAAATTCCAAAAAAAAATCAAATCATATCAAGCATCTTTTTGGAATACAGTGGGATAAAAGTGTAAATCAATACTAAGAGAAACTCTCAAAATCACACAAGTACATGGAAATTAAGCAACTTGCTCCTGAATGGCTTTTGAGTAAACAATGAAATTGAGGTAGAAATCAAAAGTATTTTTGAAACAAATCAGTATAGAGATACAACATAACAAACCTCTAAGATACAGCAAAAAAAAAAACAGTGTTAAGAGGTAAGTTTATAGCATTAAGTATCTACATCAGAAAGATAGGAAGCTCTCAAGTTAACAACCTAACATCATACCCAAAGGAACTAGACAAATAAGAACAAATCAAACCCAAAGCTAGCAGATGAAAAGAAATAACAAAAATGAGAGTACAACTAAATGAAATTGAGACAAAAAAAATACCAAGGAGAAATGAAACAATAGTTCTTTGAAAGGCTAAACAAAATTAATAGACTATTAGCTAGATAAACCAAAAGAAAAAAAAGAGAGAAGATTCAAATAAGCACAATGAGAAATGGTAAAGGTGACATCACAACTGATAGCACAGAAATCCAGGAGATCTTCAGAGACTACTGTGACCATCTCCATGCACACAAACTAGAAAACAAAGAGGAAATGGATAAATTCCTGGAAACATACAACCTCCCAAGATTGAACCAGGAAGACATTGAAATCCTAATCAGACCAATAAAGAATTATGAGATTTATTCATAATAAAAAAAACTACCAACCAAAAAGAAGTCCAGGACCAGATGGATTCACAGGCTAATTCTACCAGACATACAATGAAGAGCTAGTGCCAAGCTCATTGAAACTATTCCAAAAAGTTGAGGAAGAGAGAGTCCTCTCTAACTCATTCTTTGAAACCAGTGTCATCCTGATGCCAAAATCTGGTAAGGACACAATAAAAAAGTAGTACTAAAGGCCAATATCCCTGATGAACAAAGACACAAAAATTTTCAACAAAATACTAGCAAAGTGAATGCAGCAGCACATCAAAAACAAAAATTCATTATGATCAAGTGGGTTTTATTCCAGGGACACAAGGATGGTTCAACATTTATAAATCAATAAATGTGGTTCACCACATAGACAGAATTAAAAACAAAAGCCATGTGATTATCTTAATAAATTCAGAAAAAATATTCAGTAAAATCCAACATCCCTTCACGACACAAACCCTCAACAAATTAGGTATTAAAGGAACATACATCAAAATAATAAAAGCAATCTACAACAAACCCATCTCCAAAATCATACTGAATGGCAAAGACTGACAGTATTCCCCTTAAGAACTGGAACAACACAAGGATGCCCACTCTCACCACTCCTATTCAACATAGTACTGGAAGTGCTAGCCAGAGAAATAAGGCAGGAGAAAGAAATAAAAAATATCCAAATAGGAAGAGAAGAAGTCAAACTATCTGTCTTCACAAATGATACAATTCTATACCTAGAAAACTCTGAAGACTCTACCAAAAGGTTTCTGGAACTAATGAATGACTCAGTAAAGTTTCAGGATACAAAATTAATGCACAGAATCTGTTGCATTTATGTACACCAACAAAGCTGAAGCTGAAAGACCAAATCAAGAACTCAATCCTATTTACAACTGCCACAAAAAAATAAAATACCTAGGAACACATTTACACAAGGACGTGAAAGGCCTCTACAAGTAGAACTACAAAACACTGATGAAAGAAATTGCAGATGACACAAACAAATGGAAAAACATCCCATGGTCATGGAAATGAAGAATCCATGTCATTAAAATTACTACCACTCAAAACAATCTACAGATCCAATACAATTCCTAACACATTATATCACTTTTCACAAAAATAGAAAAAATAATTCAAAACTTCATATGGAACCAAAATAGAGCTAAAATAGGCAAGCAACCCTAAAGGGAAAAGAATAAAGCTGGAAGCTTCACATTATCCAACTTCAAACTATACTTCAAGGCTATAGTAACCAAAAAAGCATGGTACTGGTACAAAAACAGATACATAGATCAATGGAACAGAATAGAGAATCCAGAAATAAATCCACATACCTATAACCAATTGATCCTCAATGATATTAACAAATATTAAAAATGAAGAAAGGATTGCTTATTCAAAAATGGTGCTGGGAAAACTGGCTAGCCACATGCAGGCAAATGAAACTACACCCTTACTTCCATCATATACAAAAATTAACTCAAGATGGATTAACGACTTAAATATAAGACGTGAAACTATAAAAATTCTAGAAGAAAACCTAGGAAAAACTCTTCTGGACATTGGTGTAAGCAAAAGATTTATGACTATGATCTCAAAACAAATGCAACAAAAACAAAAGTAGACAAATGGGGCTTAGTTAAACTAGAGGCCTTCTGCACAGCAAAAGAAACAACCAACAGATTAAACAGACAACCTAGAGAATGGGAAAAGATATGTACAAACCATGCATCCAACAAAGGACTAATATTTAGAATCTATAAGGAATTTGAACTTCAATGAGAAAAAGAAAATAACCCCACTAAAAAGTGAGCAAAGGACATTAACAGACACTTCTCAAAAGAAGACATACATGCGACCAACAAACATGAAAAATGCTCAACATCATTAATCATCAGAGAAATGCAAATCAAAATCAAATCAGATACCATCTCACACCAGTCAGAAAGGCTATTATTAGAAAGTCAAAAACTAACAGATGTTGGTAAGTATATGGAGAAAAGGAAATGGTTACACACTGTAGGTGGGAATGTAAATTAGTTCAAACCCTGCCCTCCACCATGGAAAACGGTATGGAGATTTCTCAAAGAACTAAAAATAGAACTACCATTCAACCTAGCAATCCCACTACTGGGTATCTACCCAAAGGAAAAGAAATCATTTTATCAAAGAAAATCCTGCAGTCTTATGTTTATCACAGTACTATTCACAATAGAAAAGTCATAGAATCAACCTAGATGGACTGGATAAAGAAAATGTACTATATATACACGATGGAATATTACACAGCCATAGAAAAGAATGAAATTATGTCTTTTGCAGCAACATGGATGGAGCTGGAGGTCATTATTTTAAGTGAATTAATTCAGAAATAGAAAACCAAATACCAGATGTTCTCACTTATAAGTGGGAGCTAAGCAATAAGTACACATGGACATATAAATAGAAATAATAGACACTGGGAACTCCAAAAGTAGGGAGGGTAGGAAATGAGGAGAAAGTTGAAAAACTACTTATTGGGTACTATTTTCAATATACCAGTGTAATCATCCTGCACGTCTCCCCTGAATCTACAATAAAATAAAAATTATTTAAAGTAAATTTAAAAAATAGATCCATAATTGACTTCCTCTTATTAATAAGAAAAAGGGAAGTTAAAAAATCCAGTTTTCACCCTGAATTTTCAGCATCAACCTATTTCTTCAAACTTGTGATCTAATAACAGAAAAATGTATAATGCTATTTCATTCTTTTAAAAATCATGTTATTTCTTTAGCTCCATGCTAAAAAGAACATAGTTATTTTGAAGCATATGTTTAAAGTAATAGATGTCATTCCATTAGTAACATTTTTAAAAATCTAACACATTTGTAACTAAAATTATTTCCAAAAATTCAAAATAAAAAGTAATACAACTAGATATCTGTCAAAGATTTCCAATAAAAATCACTGTTATCTCTACCTACTTAGAAGAAATTGGCTAAGCAAATATTGCATGACACAAAAAATAAGAGATTTTTGTATAACCTTTTATATTAAATAAAAGTCACAATTATGAATAATTTAACTACACTGATGCTTTAATCTTAGTAAATATCAAAAGATAAATATACAAATCTGTTTCAATTCAACTCTTTTATCATTTAGTTATAATATCACAACACTTCTCATTCATATTTTCTTGTATATCTTTTAATTTTCTCTATACTGAGACAACGGTCACATCAATTGATGAGTTTGCAAAGAAAGATAATTAAACTTCTAGAGAATATTGACCTGGTAATTTAACAAGCATCCGCCATCAAAATATTTGTTCTTGTCACCTGATTTTTCAGGTAAATCTGAACATGTAATAGCTTTAAAGTGCTAGTTTGTTTTGGGTGGAGATCCAAAATGTATTCAAAGATATATTTCATGATAAATCCTCATCCATATTAAAACTACACTAATGCCATGAATTTCAATTTGTGGTTCAAATGTTTAAGTAAATGAAAAGAAGAAGGAGAGGAAAGAGGAGAGAAAAGGAAAAGAGGTGGGAGAGGAGGAAGAAGAAAGAGAGGGAAAAGGAGAGAGGAGGGAAGAAGAAAAGAAAGAAAATGGGAGGAGGAGATTGAAGAGAGAACAGGGAAGAGGAAGAAGTAAAGAGAAAAAGGAAGAAAAGAATAAAGAGAGAAAGGAGGAGAAAATAGAAAAAAAAAGAAGGAAAGAAGAAGAGAGAGGAGGAAGAGAAAGAAGACTAGAAGTGAAGGAGAGAGGGAGAAGACAGGAGAAGAAGTGGGAGAAAGAAAGAGAAGGGAGAAGGAGCCAAATGGCTAAATCTGTTTTCTGCAGATAAAAGTATTAGTGCTTATTTGGTAACATAAGCTCAAGCTAACGCCAGTAGAAGGGAGGAGGAGAGTAGAGGGAAGAGGACAATTAGGAGAGAAAAAGAAGAAGAACAGAAGAGGGAGGCAGATGAGGAGGAGAAGGGGAAGAAGATTTTATTCTCTGGTCTATCTTCAAGGTAAACACTTAGATTTTCTTTTTCCTTAAAGCTAACTCACCATTGCAGTTGCCATTGGATAGGGAATTAAGCAATGTGTTTTGTTCACACTAAAATAAAAACAAACATAAAGAAGAAAAATGTTATAAAATTTTACTTCTGTCTGAAAAAAATCACATAATTCTTTTACTTATAAAGAATAACAAAAAAACTCATCTCCAAAATTGTTTTTCACTAGCATTCTTTTCAGAATAATGTATAAAACAAACTATGAAATAATAAAATAATTAATTCTAAGTATACAGCAATTCATTAAATAATTTATGTTATCAGACTGTCTTCTTTAGAATATTTTCTGCAAAACTAAGTTTGTTTTGATTTTGGATTAGAAATTAAACATTTGCACATTTTTTAAGTAGCATATTCAATCAGAAATCATCTTTATTAACATTGCATTTTAAGAGAGAGAACCACTGATCATATATACTACCACTACATGAAAATGCTGGATTAAAAAAAAAAAAACAGCTCTGTATCCTACAGTTAATCTTGTCTGACAATAATTGATGCCTCTAAGGAGATCATCTGCTATTTCTCAAATAATGTATTATTGCTATTTTTGTTAATCATATTAATAGCAGTTGATATTTCTTCACTCGTCACTATATGCCAAGGACTTCACACTAACCATTTAATCCTCAGAACAAGCATATGAAGTTATAAATTTTATTTTTTATATGAAAGAGTCAAAGATTAGAAAGGTTAAATAACTTCAGCAAAGTCACAAAACTAGTAAGAGCATGGGTTAAAACCAAAGTTCATGCCCTTCCAATTCCAAGCCTCTTGTTCCCAGCCACTACATTACTCTGCTTCTCTCACGAGATCAGTTTTTATCTTAAAGGCTGACTAGAGAGCCCGTGTTTTCTCTTCTTTATAGCCAGTGCTACAGCGTATGTATTTTAAGCCTGACTTACAGTTATCAGCTATACAATTTCCATCTGGTTATTTTATCTCTCTCTATTTCTACCTCCCTTTTTATGTAACATTCAGGTAATGCCACTTACATCTCAGGGCTGGTGATGATTAAGTTAGCCTGATTAAAGGGACTGGCCCCTGAGAGATATTCAGTGAACCTGAGTTTCCTTTCCCTCCTCTTAAAAATACCTCATCTGGGCCGGGCGTGGTGGCTCACGCCTGTAATCCCAGCACTTTGGGAGGCCGAGGTGGGCGGATCACGAGGTCAGGAGATCGAGACCATCCTGGCTAACACGGTGAAACCCCGTCTCTACTAAAAATACAAAAAAAAAAATTAGCCAGGCGTGGTGGCGGGCGCCTGTAGTCCCAGCTACTCTGGAGGCTGAGGCAGGAGAATGGCGTGAACCCTGGAGGTGGAGCTTGCAGTGAGCCAAGATCGGGCCACTGCACTCCAGCCTAGGTGACAGTATGAGACTCCGTCTCAAAAAAAAAAACAAAAAAAAAAACCTCATCTGAAATCTCCCTTGCAAAAGAATTTCAAAATAATTTATGTAGATATTCGACCCTTAAGGTGGTGGATCATAATTCCACGCTTCTTAAGTGTAGGCTGCACACAGTGACTTTCTTCCAGAGAGCACAGAATAGAGACAATGGAATCACTTTACAGTGTAGAAACCTGGCAAACACTCCCTTATCCAGGTGATCAAGGTAGAGTAAACATGTTGATAAATCATGTTGATTGTAGGTACCCTTGATACAGTGTGATGAGAAGGGCACTTTACCTCTATAGTTTTTCTCACAAAAGGGGCCCACTCTTAGAAGGATCTCCCATCTGGCTTAATGATCTTCTGTCACCATCTTGAAATCCTTAATAATTGTTGAACAGGAGACCTCACATTTTCATTTTGCACTGAGCCCCTGTAAATTACGTATCTGATCCTGTATATAAGGTTTCTATGGTACAAATTAGGGTAAGGCCCAAAGGCAGAAGTGTGAAGCTGTAAGGGACAGGAATGTGGCTCAGGACAGCTCCTAAGACATCAGAAATGGGAGGGTCAAGATCTTCTGTGTACCTAAATGACTGGGGGATAAGTAGCTCGAGGACACAAGAAAAAGAAGAGATCCTGTGATCTAGAGGAGTCAAGGAAAGCTTCATGGAGACAGTAGTCAACCAAACTAATAATGCTAACTAAGATGTTATAGTGTTGAGTAGGCCAAACACTATTCTAAGTGCTTTGCCTTTATTAACTCATTTAATCATCTCAATTACATGTGAGAAAACTGAAGAACAAAGATTCAACAAGTCAAAGTTCCACAGCTAGTAAGTGGCATACCCAGGCAGTTGGCCTCAAAGTCCACACTCCTAACATTACAGAGGCTTAAGGATTCAAATGATAATAGATAGCTTATTTATATTAAATCATATTGATGCACATTTGATTCAATATCACTGTTAATTGACAGTATAAATGGAGATAAAGAATTCTGGAACATTATAATAAAATTATTAAAATGATTGCAACAGTTTATGCGTCTCTGAAGTCATTTATCATATTCTATCACGTTTAGAGTTAAATCTAATGCCTTTTTTGTTTAAAGAAAAGATCCTTTCGACTGGGCGCAGTGGCTCACGCCTGTAATCCCAGCACTTTGGAAGGCCGAGGCGGGTGGATCACGAGGTCAGGAAATCGAGACCATCCTGGCTAACACCATGAAACCCCGTCTCCACTAAAAATACAAACAAATTAGCCGAGCGTGGTGGCGGGTACCTGTGGTCCCAGCTACTCAGGAGGCTGAGGCAGAAGAATGGCGTGAACCCGGGAGGCGGAGCTTGCAGTGAGCCGAGATGGCACCACTGCACTCCAGCCTGGGTGACACAGCGAGACTCCATCTCAAAAAAAAAAAAATCCTTTGGAGGTTGGTTAAGAGATCCATTAAATTGGATCATTTGTCTTATTTATTCTTTTTAGTGCTGTAGTACCTGCAACACATGTCCATTAAATATATACTGAATAAATGAAGAATGAACAAGAGAGTGATTACCTAAAAATTAACTAAAATAATCAAATAATCATAGGTTTTGCTGAAGGGAGAGGTCTCGAAATACTCGTGTGATGTATTATTATTTACTTGATACATGTTTTATTGTCATGATATAAGGCTACATGTAGTATGACATTCTAATCAAACCATTGATCCTACCTTGCTGATATCATCAAGTGGCTGATTACAGGCATTTTCCTTTTGGATCATGTTCATTAAATCAGTATAAAATTTTTTTGCATTCAGGAAAACAAGCGGGTTGTTTATTGAGATAATTTTCACCTGCTGCAGGGTTTCCTTTTGGAGGAGAAAAACAGATTCAGAACTCTAAATAGAAAATTATAGCCAATAAACAATCAGATCTAAATGTCACTCAATTTTATAAGCAATCTCTCAATTAACATTTTTATTACTAAAATGTATTTAGAGGCCTTAATGTACTATCACACTTCCTTAGGGGAAATATATACTTCCTGCTTACTAAGAAACATTAATAATGGCAAGAAAGGTTGGCAGCTTTTCAGAAAGTGGCCCTTATTCCTCCTAGCTGGTTTTTCAGGAGGCAGTAGCCTAGACTATCCAAAGAGTTCCAGGAAGTCCTATCCTTTCAAAAGTATCTCTTTCATTCAATCTACCAATTAAAAATTAATTTACTTAACCATCAGTATTTTTTTAATGAAAATGTGTTATAAAGGGTCAACCATGAGTCATTTGCTTCATAATGACATAGCTTTCCTTCAGCTGAAATATAACTTTACAAGTGATTAACAGTCCTAATTTGAAGACAGAGACCTAGAGGTAGTATTAGGAATATAATTTCACTTTGGGCAGGCCTAGGAACTGGATTGCCAGGATGTGGTGAGCAATATAGAAAGGAAGAAGGAAAAGTTTTGACACAAAACATGTCCGCTTTGGCCATTTTCCCGTCACTTGGTGATGTGCAACTAAAACAGTCTTCTCTATGACCTTTGGGGCAAGTGGCTGGCCTAGAAATAGACAGGAGGGTAAATTCTACAAAATGACAACTCCTTACCAACTAAGTAAAGCAATATTCTTTCAGGCTTTACTTCCATAGAAGAGGAGATGCAAAGAATAGCGATGCATACAGACAGAGGATAGAAGTATGAAAGAAAGAAAATATTAAGTATGCTAATTTGGACAATTCATTTAACTTCTCTCAGTTCCCTCATTTCCAAAAATGAGATAAATGTTTAAACTAGAAAATCTCAAAAAGTTCCTATAGTTACAAAACTGATTGAACTTTGCAAAGTGAGGAGATTTGCAACAAATAACTCAAGAAAACAAACAAACCTTAAGTTGCCAAACTAATGTTCAGACAAGAGTAAACCTCTTAGAAACAAAAAATAACAATGAACTCTTAGGCCTGTCATATTAGTCATCCCAAAGCACCAAAGCTTAGCCTGACCCTCTAATCACACTATGTCAAACTTGTCCAACCCATGGCCTGTGAGCCACATGCCACCTAGGATGGCTTTGAATGCAGCCCAATACAAATTCATAAACTTTCTTAAAACATTATGAGACTTTTTTGCAATTTTTGTTTAGTTTATCAACTATCATTAGTGTTAGTGTATTTTATGTGTGGCCCAAGACAATTCTTCTTCCAGTGTGGCCCAGGGAAGCCAAAAGATTGGACAACCCTGCACTACATAATTGTGCCAATGTGTTGTTTTAAGTTAATATGAAAAAAAATGTATTTGTTAAAGAATAGATATTCAAATTGTTCTAGAAAAGAAATTATCAGTGGGGTTGAATTCACTGAGTGGGAAGAGATCTCTCAAATCAGGAAGGGTCATTTCACATGAAGAGATGGAAGAGTGCATAAATGGAAAAGATAAATGACAGATTATTTTAATTTAGCTGAAAATTCCACCTAAGAACTTATATTCAAATCTTGCTTTATCTTAGTTTTCTCCCTCTTATTTTTTATACAAAACATTGAATAATTAGAGAGATGTAATATTATAGTAAAATTAAAATCTCCATGTGAAACAGTTATTATTCAGGTCAGTGAATAGACAGAAACCAATCAAGACTTAAACATGTGGAGAAATTTCTAGCATTTTCATCTTCCTACAAATCCCCTCATTCACTTCTGTACATGTTTAGCCCAAGAAGAAGTTAAGGATTAGATAGAATTTATTAAACAGTGATTTTTAAGCTGAAAATAGTCAAATCCAAAGCCAAATTCAGTCTCAAAGCTAAGGAGATCAGGGCTAATACATGTGTACTTGTGGTGTGGATACACAGGGGACTTCAGGGGCCCAAAAGTCAGTCTGGGGCTTTGCACAAGCACTAAATTCCCATGGAAAAAATAAGGAAAGAAAAGAAAGGCAAAGTTGGTGGAAAACTTGAGCCTAGAACACCCTGGAAGGCTCTGAACCCAAATAGCATTCTGTGAAACAAATCTGTCCATAGTATTAAAAACATAAGCCATTCCCTTGGGTGCCGCAGAGGGTTCCTGATGCTACTTTCTACTTCCAGTCTATTTGGAAATACCCTGACTCTGGTCCTTCTGGTGGGAGGCCAGTTTACTCTGTCCTTAGGGAAATTATGAGATACTGAAACCAAGTGTATGTGAAAAATAAACGGAAAAAGGTTAGCCAAACATTTACAAAGCAGGTTCAAAATGAGGGCAATTTTCTTTAATTGGCAAAAATATTTCAAGTCAACAATTTTACCCTCACTTTAAACTGTTATAGTCATCCCTTAGAACAACAAACTACAATTAAGACATAATCAATTGGCTTTCCTAAGCATGAGCAGAGCAAAACTGTTTATACAAGTTGTGTCCTTAAAAAGGTACCCACTGTGTAAGAAACCAATTCTATTGGCATTCTGTAGCCATTGGACTGAATTACCCTCTGCTAACATACAGTCTCATTGACTGAGTTAAGAAAAAAAAAAAAAAAAACAATACCATGAACCAAATTTGCTTCATTCCCTTTCCTATTTCCTATCTTCCTCCATGATTTAATTCAGAATAGACTATCAGTTTAGTTTGATTACTTTATGCAACTCAGTAATGGAAAAGAGGTGTCCAAATGCCATGATTCTACAGTGAACTGTAGTTCTAGGTACCATGCTATGCTTTTGTCTGAATGCTGAATCCAAAGAGATTTTCTTTTGTTCTATTGATTTGTTGCATGTAGTTTGCCACATATATTGTGATCACATATGTACCACTGGAAGTTTATACTAATTAAAAAGTTATATTTTTAACTATCATAATTTATCTAATTTTTGTGATGTCTTAAAATTATCTCACCCACAAAATGATTAACAATTGCATAAAGGAAAAATAAAACTAAACTTACACTGTCCATTTCTGTCTTCACTTTAAATTCCATTTCTTTCATATTTTTTATACTTACAGTCATTGCTCTGAAATTAAAGCAGATAGAAAATAAAACAAGTCATTTCCTAATCATTATATAAACAATGAAGAAACCAAAAGTAGTCATTTAATAACTAGAATGTGTCTGAGATGATTTATATCCTATAACTCATTTGTTCATAAGAGGACATTGGTGAATCTATATATCTCTGGGATATTCGGGGATAGAGGTTAACAACAGAGGCATATAAATAGAGCCCCATCTCTCCAAGCTACTAGATGTGGATTAGTAAAGAAGAATTTTAAAAGAGAAAAGGCAAGAGATTATGCAGTATTGATAAAATATTGTTTTAATGAAAAGCAAGAAAAGAAAGAATCAATGGCAAGATAGGACTGGATAGTATTGAATCTGAATATATAAATTCTATAAAGAAAGACTCTATAGAGATAAAACAACATTTTTTAGAATACATTATTTCACAAACAGCTTTAAGGGAAAGATGGATGTGAAGTAAATAGAAACATTATTCCCACAAGAATACTTTGTAAAGCAGAAAAAGAATTGGTCAGACTAGGGAAATGATTTATAAATTTATAGTAAAATGACAAAAAGAGACAGTGTGTTTCTCAATAAATTATCTAGAAAATAGATTAATCTGACTTCTGAAAAATAAAATTTTCTGAAGTTATTTAATTTTCTAAATATATTGTGAAATGGTTTGTGATCATTAGCTACTAACTCTTTTCACTTAATTTAAAGAAATCTCTCTCTGATGCAGTATAAGGCCAAGGGGTTTATTTATTTTAAGAGTTTATATATTCTATTTTATCACGTTGATAAGCTATTTATCTTCATTAAGATCAGCATTGTTAAATATCATATGCAGATAAAACATTTTCTTATCTGTTTGTCTCTAGTTTTCTGACAGCAAGAAAAACATGAGATTGTAGTACTATATGTTACAGAGAAATAAAAGTAACTAGCAAGTACCATATGGCAAGTAACCATGTATTTTGCTGCTGTGCAAAAATAAACAGAGCATTTACATAGGATCCTACCTTGGGAAGCGTCCTATCACTATAGCTATGGTACAAACAACACCAAACAGCAGTCCCACATTGGCAGCAAAGCATATTGTAAATACATATGTACTGACCCATATTCCCTGAAAGAGAAACAAGAAACAGAAGTTGTGAATCCTTTGGAATTCACTTCTTCTCATTATTGCTAAGTTCCTCACAATCATATTCTTAACACTCTTGTGACCAAATCTTTCAGCAAGAAAATATTATTTAACAAGTGGTAAACAGAAGCTCAGAAATACAGAAACAAATCCTGCTCCATCAGACTCTCAGCAGCAAAGGTGGGAAAAAGTTTCTTCTTTTATTTCCAGACACTGCCAACCCTTAGTTCAATCCCCAACAAACACTGTATTTAAGATCTGTAAATACTTGGTTGATGTGTATGGTTCAAAAGCATGCCATGATTTCCCACTGCTTTCTCATTTAATGTAATATTATTACAAGCAATTGTGTACAGATTTTTGGTCATTCCCAACAATATTTTGTCTTCTAGGACTGCTATAAAAATAACTAAGGTTGTTTATTAATACATAAGGCTCAGGAAGCCTAATTTTAAAATGACTGAGTCAAACAACACTGCCAGTGCCACTTTTAGATCAATCACTATGAAGATCATTATAGTTTTATTTGTAAGGGGCCATTCATTATGAAAGCTAAAATATCAGGGCCAACTTAGTTTTGGGGAACATTTCAAAAGATTACACGAAGCTCTAATTGTCTTCTAGTTGGAATACCAAAGTTATTGCAGTTTTGTTCACCACTTAAAATTATAATTTGCAACAAGATATTGTATTATAGTTGGCGTTTCTAAGCTTAGTGCTGAAAAAATATCTTTAAAAGCAAAATAATTTGTGAAATCCAGGTTATATTTTCTTAACACTAAATCCTGCATTTATCAAACAGTAAACTAACGTTTTTAACCTCTCTCTTGTCCTCCCAAAACTTGCAGCACTTTGCCTCTGACTGCAATTCTACATTTATTTATTTCTGTCCTAATAGCTATATTATCACTTTAAAACATCTTTGAAAACATATTTCAATTCCATACACAAATGACAAAGTTAGAAATGTTTGTGTATTCTAAAAATAGCATACAATCTTGGGGAGGGAAGGAGTGCAACTGTTTTTCAGACAAGTCTGAAATAAATATTTCTAAAGGGCTCTTTTTGTTGTTATTGTTGTTTTTGAAATACTTCTCCTTTGTCTGGATTATTTATCTACACTGAGTTTGAGTGATTCTTAACAGACTGTTTTGAAAAGCTGAGCCCTTGGAAGCAAATGGAGGGAATTTTATCCTTAAAATTCCTTTTGATGTAGGACAAACACACATTATGGAGTAAAAGAGAGAATACAATTTAAATGAATCTCATGTTAAGATCCATCATCTACAAATGTAATGCTAGGTTATTACTTATTATGAGATCATTCCCAGCTGAGATGGTTTTTCTTTATTCAGGTGAACACACAGTCAGTCATTTGAGTCTTCTGTTTATATAGTGTGTGTTTTTTTCTTCCTGGTGTATTATGCTGTACTTAATCATATACAAAACAAGGCTGCAAGTTTTTGACTATTATTTTAGCTTCCCATGATGACTCTGAGTCTCACTCATTTTCAAATCCTAACTGAATCTGCCCGAGTGTGGCAGAATAATACCTCACCAAAAGCTTTATAAGTCTAATTCCTCTGGGCCATCCTCCGTGATTCAATATGGCATAGGGAACTAAGGATCCTGGTCCCTGCCACTTAAAAAACCATAGAGCCTGGAGGCCAGAATTCTTCAGAGCAACCAGAAATTTTGGTACCATCTGGTTCTATTTTTAAAGCATATTTACTCTCCCACAACGTCATCTATTATAAGTTGGGCTTTCCAAATGCTTACTTATTTCCTGGGGCTACATTTATAGCTTTGAAAAAATATCAAATGGAAATTAATAACATAGACCAATAAATAATTCCATTGGTTAGAATAAATCCCAACAGCATTCTGTAATAATTCCTGTTAAAGACCCAAATGCTAGTTGTCACAGTTATCAAGAATTAGTTGGCTCTCGGGCCCCTATTTTTTATTTTTTGTTATGTGTTCCTACTTGCTCTCTTCCTATTTGGCACTCACAGTCCCAAAACACAAACTAACCCCAGTGTTAACCTTAAGTAGGGGACACAATCCTTTGTCCTTGTAGAAAATACATCAGCATAAAGCACAGTTTAACAGCTACTAAATTACCTCATTTCCCCCAGCCTATCTGTTGTACTATCTGTTTTTGTGGCAGATCCCTATTACTAAATGTTTATATATCTGAATTCTGTATCCAATGTTCAGCTGTTCAAACTTAGTTCTGAGCCAATGAGTTGAGCCTCCATTTGGACCCCTATTTTCTCATTACTTCAAAGAGAGTTTTGACCAACAACTCAAAATAGAATCAATATTAAACTGTTAATAGATGTAAAGAGGTGCAACAGTTTCTAATTTTCCATGTGATGACTATGTACATGATATTTTAAACTTTAAACCTTCAAATTAGTTTACACACACATGCGCACACACACACACACACACATATCTTGGATAATTTTACTTCCATGATACTCTAGGCACAGTCCATCTATTTAGTAATCTAGACATTATACGTATTGGGTATATAGCCTATATCCACAAAAGTCTGTGCAATATTCATACTTTGAATGCTGTGCCCAATAGTCCAATAATCCTTTGAATGCTGTGCCCAATAACCCAATAATCCATGGCTTTTCTCTGCTGAATCCCTTAGCAGCTAAGAGATATCTATCCACTCCAACCACAGAAGGCTATTTTCAAGCTAAACCCAATGTCCCACTGAATCATCATGCGCCTGCTATATCCATGTCACCTTTCTCACACCATATCTTTGCACACACCACATTGCTTACTTACTCCAAGTATTCAACTATCACGTCTAAGTAGGAGACTACAAATTCTAAGCTCTTAAGCAATTTTTCAGCTATCAAACACCTTGAAACTTAACATGTCCAAATGCAAACTCATTAACTTCACCCCAGAATCTGTCCTTCCTCCAATGTTCTCCTTCAGTTGTAACACTAATATCCTTCAATACACTATAATCGGAAACTATGGAATTATATTTTACTTTCTCTCCTCTTTAATCTACTTATCCAATCATTTCACAAGTTCTATAAATTGTTAAGAAAAAAATCTTAAGCCGTATCCTTTTCTCAAATTATTAATGATATCTCAGTTCACACTGTTCCTTTCCTCAACTCTTTTGACAGTGTCCTACTTAACTGTCTGCTTTTGTTATCTGCATTGTAAACCATTTGCCATACTGCTGCTAGAATTAATGTTCTTTTTTATATTTTTATTATACTTTAAGTTCTAGGGTACATGTGCACAACGTGCAGGTTTGTTACATATGTAAACATGTGCCATGTTGGTGTGCTGCAGCCATTAACTCGTCATTTATATTAGGTATATCTCCTAATTCTATCCCTCCCCCGTCCCCCCAACCCACAACCGGCCCTGGTGTTGATGTTCCGCTTCCTGTGTCCGAGTGTTCTCATTGTTCAATTCCCACCTATGAGTGAGAACATGTGGTGTTTGGTTTTTTGTCCTTGTGATAGTTTGCTGCGAATGATGGTTTCCAGCTTCATCCATGTCCCTACAAAGGACATGAACTCATCATTGTTTATGGCTGCATAGTATTCCATGGTGTGTATGTGCCACATTTTCTTAATCCAGTCTATGTTGGACATTAGGGTTGGTTCCAAGTCTTTGCTATTGTGAGTAGTGCCGCAACAAACATATGTGTGCGGCCAGGTGCGGTGACTCACACCTGTAATTCCAGCACTTTGGGAGGCCAAGATGGGTGGATCATGATGTCAGCAGATCGAGACCATCCTGACTAACATGGAGAAACCCCGTCTCTACTAAAAATACAAAAAAATTAGCCAGGCCTGGTGGCGGGCACCTGTAGTCCCAGCTACTTGGGAGCCTGAGGCAGGAGAATGGCATGAACCCAAGGAGGTGGAGCTTGCAGTGAGCCAAGATTGTGCCACTGCACTCCAGCCTGGGGGACGGAGTGAGACTATGCCTCAAAAAAAAAAAAAAAAAGAAAAAGAAAAAAACATATGTGTGCCTGTGTCTTTATAGCAGCATGATTTATATTCCTTTGGGTATATACCCAGTAATGGGATGGCTGGGTCAAATGGTATTTCCAGTTCTAGATCCCTGAAGAATTGCCACACGGTCTTCCACAATGGTTGAACTAGTTTACAGTCCCACCAACAGTGTAAAAGTGTTTCTGTTTCTCCACATCCTCTCCAGCACCTGTTGTTTCCTGACTTTTTAATGATCGCCATTCTAACTGGTGGGAGATGATATCTCATTGTGGTTTTGATTTGTATTTCTCTGATGGCCAGTGATGATGAGTATTTTTTCATGTGTCTGTTGGCTGCATAAATGTCTTCTTTTGAGAAGTGTCTATTCATGTCCTTTGCCCACTTTTTGATGGTGTTGTTTTCTTTTTCTTGTAAATTTGTTTGAGTTCATTGTAGATTCTGGATATTAGCCCTTTGTCAGATGAGTAGGTTGCAAAAATTTTCTCCCATTTTTGTAGGTTGCCTGTTCACTCTGATGGTAGTTTCTTTTGCTGTGCAGAAGCTCTTTAGTTTAGTTAGATCCCATTTGTCAATTTTGGCTTTTGTTGCCATTGCTTTTGGTGTTTTGGACATGAAGTCCTTGCCCATGCCTATGTCCTGAATGGTACTGCCTAGGTTTTCTTCTAGGGTTTTCATGGTTTTAGGTCTAACATTTAAGTCTTTAATCCATCTTGAATTAGTTTTTGTATACGGTGTAAGGAAGGGATTAGTTTCAGCTTTCTACCTATGGCTAGCCAGTTTTCCCAGCACCATTTGTTAAATAGTAGAATTAATGTTCTAAGTATAGATTTGGATATCAGATTTAGAGAGTATATTAAAGGCATTTTTACTCAACCCTCCTCTATTAAAATCCACCCAAAACAATATAAAATGTGAACATAGAAGGGAAAAAATCAGCATCAATGAAGCCAGAACATGGTCAAAACTTCTCACTACAAAATATGATATAGACTTGCCAAATACTGTGAAATTTGGATGATAATCAAGGAGGACACTAGAAGCCAACAAACTTATCCTCAGAGCTCAATCAAGTATAGATTTTTGCAGAAATGCCAGAATCCTGAAAATTCTATGCAATAATCTGGTAAGAGCTTTTAGGGGCAACAGCTTCTAAGTTCTAAGGTCAAACATGGGCTACCAGAGAAAAAGGAAATGTACTCATAGAGATTTATTTGATACCAGATGACTGTAGAGTGAAAGGCCATTTGTATCACTTACAATCTGACCTCCTAAGTAAAGGTAACTGCAGGAAGTAAAACAAGATGAAGAATGGAGAGATGACAACAGCATGAGATCTCCAGTGAACCTGATTTCTGAGGCTTTGCTTCCATGATCTAAATAAGAACTGCGGGCTGCTCTACCTCATTTACGACCTCCTGCTCTCCTATGTTGTTTTCCAGCAAATAGGTCCCCTAAAAATGCATTACAATTCTAAATAAATCATCAAGGGCCCTATTCATGGAAATGAGGAAAATAAAGAAATAAAATAATGAATAAAAAACACCAAAAGCAATGGCAACAAAAGCCAAAATTGACAAATGGGATCTAATTAAACTAAAAAGCTTCTGCACAGCAAAAGAAACTACCATCAGAGTGAACAGACAACCTACAAAATGGGAGAAAATTTTCACAACCTACTCATCTGACAAAGGGCTAATATCCAGAATCTACAATGAACTCAAACAAATTTACAAGAAAACAACTAACAACCCCATCAAAAAGTGGGTGAAGGATATGAACAGACATTTCTCAAAAGAAGACATTTATGCAGCCAAAAAACACATGAAAAAATGCTCATCATCACTGGCCATCAGAGAAATGCAAATCAAAACCACAATGAGATACCATCTCACACCAGTTAGAATGGCGATCATTAAAAAGTCAGGAAACAACAGGTGCTGGAGAGGATGTGGAGAAACAGGAACACTTTTACACTGTTGGTGGGACTGTAAACTAGTTCAACCATTGTGGAAGTCAGTGTGGAGATTCCTCAGAGATCTAGAACTAGAAATACCATTTGACCCAGCCATCCCATTACTGGGTATATACCAAAAGGATTATAAATTATGCTGCTATAAAGACACATGCACACGTATGTTTATTGCGGCACTATTCACAATAGCAAAGACTTGGAACCAACCCAAATGTCCAACAATGATAGACTGGATTAAGAAAATGTGGCACATGTACACCATGGAATACTATGCAGCCATAAAAAAGGATGAGTTCATGTCCTTTGTAGGGACATGGATGAAACTGGAAACCATCATTCTCAGCAAACTATCGCAAGGACAAAAAAATCAAACACTGTATGTTCTCACTCATAGGTGGGAATTGAACAATGAGAACACATGGACACAGGAAGGGGAACATCACACTCCGGGGACTGTTCTGGGGTTGGGGGAGAGGGGAGGGATAGCATTTGGAGACATACCTAATGCTAAATGACGAGTTAATGGGCGCAGCACACCAACATGGCACATGTATACATATGTAATAAACCTGCATATTGTGCACATGTACCCTAAAACTTAAAGTATAATAATAATAAAATTTAAAAAAAAGAGGCAAAAGATAGATTTGGATATGTAATAGGCAATATAATCTCAGGAAAAAAAACCTTAAATATAAAAATTCAAAGAAGGAATGATCAACAAAAACCAGAAAAACAGAAGGAGATAAAAAGCAAGCAGCCTAGAATAATTCAGGAAAGAAAATGAATGAAAATAAAAGCCATGTTTAAAATTAAAAAGTAAGAAAATCACAACTAGAAATACATAATCAGAGATATGTGTCTAGTCCAAAGAAATCACTTATACAGAAAAACAAAATAATCATGGGAAAATATATAGATATGAAGAAGAACAAAGTAAAAACAAACAAAATTCACTGAGAAGAGAGCAGAACACAGATTTGAAAAAATATTCAAAGATATATTAGAAGAAAAAATTTGTAAATAATTCCTGATTATGCGATCAAAAGATTATGTCATGCTCAGAAATTTGAGACTGAGTGCTCAACCACAGTGATATTCTGATAATAGTACCAAACTTCAGTAGTAAGAAGAAAAAACTTCATTGAGCATCCATTTAGAAAAACAAGCTTACTTAAAATAACAACAAAAAAATTACGTTGACCTGTGATTTCTCTACTTTACCCCTCAATGCCTAAAGATAATGTTAGATTTAAAAAGACCTGAGAGAAAGCATTTTACACTCAGTCAAAAACTTCCTTCTAGTATGAAAACAAGCAGATATTGTCACCATGAAATAGCTCAAGGAATACAAAACACATGAGTTCTGGGAAAACTACTTGGTGATGTACAGAAAACAGAGATGAAATAAATAACGAGTATGAGAATCCTTTTTTTAAAAAAAAAGATTAAAGGTAACCACTAAATGCATCTAAATAATAGAATTTTCTATATCTTATAACTCAATGAATGATATAATCTTCCTCCAATGATGCTCCTAAATAGAAACTCAGAAGTCATTCCAACTGATCCACATTATATAATGAACTGGTGGTGAGGACTAACAAATACAATATCTTTAATATTTTTCATCTGATTCTTTCTTGTACTTCATGGTCTCAGCCTTGGTCTAGGTCTTCCTCATTTATATGCCTGAAGGGCTAAAGCAGTGCTCCAGTTCCTGTATACTTCACCAGTTTGATCCATCTTCCTCAAACTACTCAAGTGACCTTTCTAATACATACATTTTATTCTTATTTCACCTTTCAGTGATGTTTCACTGCCTTCATAATGAAATCAAGTCATCTTTGTAAAACTTGAGTTGCCTTGCCCAATCCAACCCATTCTTAACTTTTCCACATCATCTGTCACTACTCCCATCCTCACATTATATGTTCTACCCATGCCAAATACCTTGATTTTTTCAGAGACAGACATGTTCACACTCATCTCTGTATCTTTGCATATGAGATTCTCTTTGTTTCTTCTCCAGGTAATGCAATTCTTCAATTCTCAACTTCCTAATAGAAATCTTACTTGACATCTTCTCTACCCTTTCCAATATGGTAACATGCTGCCTCCTATATGATCAATGAGTTCCTTAGAAATAACTTAACCATAGGGTTATCAAGTAGCTTGTTGAGTAAGTTTGCATCTTCTCATTTCTTTGTTTTCATGAGCCACCTAACATGTATCACCTTTAAAAGGTCATGGTTAATTTTGGCCTTTTGTTCTGCCTACAAAATACTGTTCCTTCAAGTCTCAGTTCATATTTCAGCTCTTCTGTGAGAGTCTTTCATGTTAATCAGTCCAAATTAAATGCTTCTGCCTCTATTTTCCCCAAAACTAAGCTCTTACTTTTCCTTCCAGGTCATGTTGTATCCTGTCTTGCATGATAATTTAGTGTTTCTATGTCCACTGCCTCCACAAATAACTGTCTAGAGAGACTGGATAGTTCTTTTTTCATCTGCACATTCCTCATGGTGCCCAGCATTATACTTTGGTGGGAGCTCAGTAATATTGAGCCCCAGGAGGAATATTACAAAAGTAGGCACCAGCATAAATAATATCCCAAAACCTCTCAGAGAAAATGATCTGAAGAAGAGAAAATATGTATTTCATATTAATAATTATATTCCAATATGGTGACTGTCATAATAGAGCTAAACAGAGGGTACTCATGAAGTACTTCTCCCATATTGGAGAGGGAGAGAATTCTGGATTGCTCTTGCATAGATAGGTTTCTCTAGAATCAGTGTGCTATTTATGTTCGTAGAAATCACACTTTATCATGGTTCAATATATTTTAATCTGTTTCAAGCATGGTCCTCTTAATGTAACCCATTTAAAAGGCAATTCATGAGACCTTTTGTATTTAGAATGACAGTGGTCACCATTAAGAGGTTCACCCTATATGCGCGCAGCGTGCATTCTTAGTGATTCATGATAGTTTTTCATAAAGGTTATAAATTGCCATATTTCTATTAGTGTCTATTTCCCTGGTAAGTCTTACTTCCAAAATTAATTCATATTGTAAATTGGGCATCCCAAATCCACTGAAATTATTAGCATTTCTTTAAAAGTTCTCAAACTATACATTCATCAAAATTTGACCAAACTCTTATTTCTGTTTCATATGAAGACAATTTATATTTTAATGCTTTTATTAAGATTTTGGAAAAAAAATGGTAGTTTGTAAAGTGTACAAGTCTCAAATGACAATATCTATTTTCTGCAAATAAAAGTATTAGTGCATATTTGGTAACATAAGCTTAAGCTAAAAAGGGATTGTTTTAGGTCAAATTTCTACTTACCCAATCGATTTTATCCACATTCCAATATTTTTTTAAATCTCGGAACTGTATTAGCATTCCCTTCAGTCCCACAACAATAATGCTTGCAAGGACACACTAGAAATAAAACGTAAGTTGAAGAAGAAGCAACATAAAAATTTTAACTTAAATTTAAAAGGGCTAAGGTATTTTTATTTTTTTGTTTTTAAAGTACTTAATAGAGAAAAGCAATCACCGATTAGAAGACAAAAGCAATATTTATTTTGTTTAAAACTAACCTATTATTGCACTTTAGGAATATAATATATATTCTAGAATTCATAAGGTAATATTTGTACAATTCTAAACAACAAGAGCAAAAAGAAAATAAGTAAATGGTAAGGGTGAACATCATGAAGCTAAATGCCCTCTTAACTAAACGTATTCACGGTCATTTGTTTGAAAAGTATTTGTTGCATGAAATTAAATATGTATATCATATATTTTCTTATAATTGCCTTAAATGTCAATTATCTGATTTCACCTGAAGATATTTATAACTCTCTTGAAAAGCGAACTTGATTATTGGAAGATCCTACCATGGAAATGGTTTATTCTCACTACACACATGAAAAATTAGAATAACAAAGGATGGAGACTGGCTCTCATAAGCCCAGTGTTTTGCATTCCTTTAGTGCCTCAGGCTTATGAAGAAGAAGGTGAAGCACTGGCACTAATGTTCTGAATCACTTTGTGTAACAGATATATCAACAGCAGGAAGCTGTATTTTGTTTCCTATTTCCTTGCCCCAGCACATATGTTTTTCTAACAGTCAAAGTTTTAGTAAAATTTATACTTCTTATAACAGAATATGCCTAGTTCCACTCTCCAGATGAGCACAGAATGAATCTAGTTCCACAATACCATTCTTATGTGAGAGCCAAAAACGTAAAAAAAAACAGCCACGGTACCCCCTCCCACGCCTGCCTCAAATGTGGTAGCTTTCCACACCTCCCCCATTCAAACTTTACTTCTGTAACATGGTTTCTACATTTAGGATTGTTGAGGTTATACTTCCAAGAAATTTTATATGCAATGATTCTCATGAAAAGTTAAATTAAAAAGTAGATAGTGAAAAAGCACTACCGTACCATGGGCAGCCAGTAAAGCAAAGGTCCTATTGCATAGATGACTATAAGGACGAAAATGCAAGATATTAGACAAGCCACCTGTAAAATACAAGACAGACAAAAAGGAAAAAGAAAGCCTTGAACTTTTTTATTATGTCAAAGTTATGGGGTGGGGGGGATAATTCTTAGTTTATCTTGATTAGAAGAAGTAAAATGTTGACACATAACTGTTAAATTGCTTAGACTGTCATTATCTATATTTTGCAACTGAGGGAAGCCAAATGTGACAGCTGACAAACTGGTGCAATCAAATTAAGTCAGTGATGAGAGAAAAGCAATTTCACACAAAGAAACAGGACACCATCAACTTTTATCACAATCACAGTGATGGCTTTTTTGTTTAATAGTGAAAGTGACATTTCAATTAAAATTTCTTTAGCCTGTTGTTGTTTAGCCTGACTCCCCTCCTTATTTTGTAGGAGGTTGTTTGAGCAATAACTGAATATGTGGCTTAGGATTTTTCTGTGCTGATAATTTCCACTGAAGCATTTACCTTGTTCTTTGGATTTCTTTGTTAGTAAAGGCTCAAGTTGTGGAGTAGTTATATGGGATATGGGAGTGATCTCTGGCTGTGGAACAGACTTAATTTTACTAAACCTGAAAAGCCATTAGTATCATGTTCTAACCAACCAGCCTGCTGACAAAAGGCAGTTCAATTCACCTGACTCCTATAGTCATGTTCCACTTGATGGAGAACTTGATTTCACAGAAGCAAATGTTCAGGACCTAATAAAACATTTGGCCAAACTGCCTTCCTAACAAGAGAAAAGAAGGCTTTCACAGGCCATGGAGATGCCTAGAACATCATTATGGAGATATCAAAGGGAATTTGGACCTAGTAGAATGGCTTAAATTAAAAATAAATATATAAACAAACAATCAATATCAAAGGCTGGCAAAAACTCAGCACAACTGGAATTCTCAGGCATTGCTGGTGGGAATACAATATGGTACAGCTACTCTGAAACAGTTTGGCAGTGTCTTATAAAGTTACACATACACTTACCTTATGACTCAGGACTGGCTAAGAGAAATGAAACATATGTCCACGTGAAACCTAAATATATATTTGTAGAACCTTTATTCATAAATGCCAAAATCATAAATAACTAAAATATCAACTAATTGGTGAATAAAGTGTGGTACATCCATACATTAAAATACAACTCAGCAATTTAAAAAAATGGATGAAATTCAAAATCATTAAACTAATGAAAGAACCTAAACACAAAAGGCTACATACTATAAGATTTCATATATATGACTTTCTGAAAAAAAGATAAATTATAGGATGCTAGAGGCTGGAGGTGGAGGCAAAGAATTGACTACAAAAGAGTATGAGAAAACTTTTTAGGGTGATAGAAATATTCTATATCTTGATTTTACTTGTTATACAACAATTTTTTTTTCAAAAAAAGTGAACCGTATACCTTAAAAGAATAAATTTTACTATATCTAAATTATACCTCCATAAACCTTACTTTTAATTTAAAAAAAAAAAGAAACCTGGGAAGAGATCTCTAACAATTGCTTACATGCATATGTCCACACCCACAACACTTGTCCTAACCTGGTACTATTAAAAGGTGTGTGTATATGGGAAGAAGGAGAGTGGAGTGGCAGTAGCTATAATTATTCTGCTAAGCAAGCAGTCATTCAAGGCCTTTCCCTGTTGGCAGAGGCTGAGGGAGTCTGTTCTCCCTTCCATAGTTTGTGTAACTCATCACAAACACTCGTCAGCATACAAAGGGGAAAAACAATTCTTACTTGGGAATTAAATCAGTAGGGGAACTAATGATTGCCCATAAAAAAAGTTATAGTACACCAAATTGTCACTATCCTGATCATTTAGGAGCAATTGGTGATTTTACATAAGAATTTTTAAACAATAAAATATGATGCCTGACATTCTACTATACTGCAACGAGGTAGGTGTCAGAGTGCAGCTCACAGGATCCAGTCAGAGAGCTCAGTCAGTGATTCAGTAATTCCATGTTTACATGAAAAGAAAAAAATACCAACAGCTAAGGTTTATTTTAAGACAAAAGACAATGGCATGTACCCTTTTTGTGGGACTCTTCACTCATATCTTTACAATGTACCTGAAACCAAAACCCTAAATCTTAGGAGCTGGAATGAACTTTGTACACATGCAGTTGCAATTACTTGGAAGGATCTGAGACACAGAGAGGCAAAGTGACTATGCCAAGGTCATAGAGCTAGGGAATTAGAAAGCACGAAGGTAATATAAAATATGTACTGAATTGGGATCCAAAAACGCCAAATATATTTTAAGGTTCCCAAATTTATTATAGTACACTAAAGCTGTTATAGAAATTACAACCTAACTAAATAATTCTATTTAAAAACAGTAAATCACAACTACATTTGGGCTTTTCTCTAAATAATATTTAATTTATCTTTTATTTACATGGTGCTTTGTATGTTCATTAACAACAATTGAATTACAATTTCAGTCTTGTAGTAAAAATAAGTCAAGAGTTAAATGGATCTTATTTGGTAAAGGGTGACAAACTGTGGGTGAAAAAGACTATTTGTTTACCTTAAATGGTAAGTCATGTAATGAAATAGACCATAAGCAAATGGGTTATGTTAGCTCCCTTGACGCACTTGCCTTATCATTGTTGATGCCCTTGGTCAAAAGATAAGTTCATCTAATCAGACAAGAAACTCTTAAGCTCTGTCCAGTGTATATACTCCCCAGTCATGGAAATTAATATTATAGTGTCTGCCCTCAAAGCTCTCAAAATACTGGTATTCATTCTCTTCATAAAGAAGAAGCCAGGACACTGAAATTTGGATTCGTAAAAAATCTTTGAGATTATGCAGTGAAAGCCATCATTCCCTAACTGGCCAACTCAGTAAATTCAAAAAGAGCTCAAATTAAGATCAAATATTTGCAGTGTATAAAATAGAATTCTCTAATTTCAGGATTCTATAATAACCCACTTAAGCTATATTTCAAATATCATCTACTTTCTTCGTATATTTTACTTTGCATATGAGGTAATATTTTCTTGCCTTTCTCTGACCTACCTTGAGAAAAATTTGAAAAACAAGTTAAAACCAGAACAAAAGAGATGAGCTTGTTCCTTTTTTAATCTCAGGAAAAAAAAAACAAAACTAGCTCCTTCTTAATAAGTTTCAGGTTGGCTTCTATTGCACTTATTAAAGTGTTCACACAATTACCCACTGGGCAAACACTGGCTAGGATTTTACTCTTTAACTCCTTCTTTCCACATCATACTAACTAAATGACCAAATATATTTTTGCTTCAAAATCATAACTACTGATATTTAAGAGTTAATTCTGCATAAAAGATAATGAAATAATCTATATTTTATTCTTGTTATGTTCTCAAACAATTATTTTATATGCTCTATGTTAGTTACAAAGATGACCATACATGCATTTTTATTATCCATACCTAGATATTTCGTTGGGAGTAGAGGGAGAAACCAGCCATTTACTTCCTAAGCAGTTGTCAAAGAAGGCATAAGTAGTTCTCGAACTCACTGCATGTGCAGTCTTGTGGAAAGTAGTGAAATGGCAAAAGAGATGGGAAAGGGCAGAAAGAAAAAAAGAGAGAGATGACATTAGATAACTAAAGCTAGATTAAGAAGGTTTTAAAGGAGATGAAAGCAATTAGCCAAATTTCAAAAGAATAAAGGAATACAGTTTGGCAAATTAGAATGCGGAGACAATCTCAGTGTTGCAGAAAAACATGCCAGCTGTTGTTTTCAGTTGTGGCTGAGCTGCCTGTGCAGCAGACACAGTCTCTCATCCCTCCTGGGTATACCTCCCGAGCTCCCTGCAGAGCACCAGCGGATCTCCTCTGTTGGAAGTGAAGAGAAGCATGCAAGGAAGAAAGCCAGGGGACACTGAGCTCCCTCCCATACTTACCGTTCTTTACAGGGAAGGAGAAAAGGAAGAAATGTAATTTTTTTGTGCTATTTGTCTAAGCTGTGCCACAAATTTCTTATTCCCCTAAAGACCTTTCTTAGATATGCATGCTTTGGGTGTCACATCTAAAGGGGGTCACTGTAAAAAGGGTTTCTTCATATGGAAGATAGAAATGAGTCTGATGACCATGGCACTTGGTGTTAAATGATCAGTAACTCTTGTTGTTCCAATCCAAACATTTGGTTTCATTTTCTAAAGCACTGAAAGTCTTTACCATCAACTCACTTCTATATAAAATTGTCCCAAATTCACTGTCAAAACAGCCTCATATGGCTCTTGAGGACTTGAAATTTGGCTAGTTCATATTAAGGTATGCTGAAATCTAAAATACCAGATTTTGAAGCCTTGTACCAAGAAGAAAATAATGTTAAAATATCATTAATAACTTTTAAATTATTAACTTTGAAATATTAACATTAAAATGATAATATTTTGACTCCATTAGGGAAATTAAAATATAAAATTAAAATTATCAATTTCTTCTACTTCTAAAAATGTGGCTACTGGAAAATTTAAATTATCTGTGTAGCTCATATTATGTTTCTGTTCAATAGTGCTTCTCTGAAGTGCATGATCCTAAGCCTGGTTTTAAATGGGATTTTCTGTAAATGTGCAACATTAAGCAGTAATTAAAAAGAACTGTCCAGCCTGACCAGTCTCTTCTAATGTCAGCAAAACTGGTAGTTTTCTTTTATAGTTATTGGAAGCTCTCATTTCTCATTCATTCTTTTCTGTAGTAGTTACCTAACACCTACCACATGCCAGGTCCTGGGCTAGCCACTGAGGATACACTGAACCAAACCAGACAAGGTTTTGTGTTCTCCAGTAGCTTTAAGTCAAGGATAGAAGGGTAACATCAATCATATAATCACAATAATGAACATTTAATGTCAAATAGCACTAAGGACGCTGACAAAGAGGAACATGACAGACCCAGAAGTGGCAGTGAGATACGAAGGATGGGAGGAATTCACATAGAGAGGAAGGGAAAGGCAGCCTCAAAGACAAAGGGAACAGACACTGGAACCCACAAGGGCTGGAGAAGGACTAGGTCTGAGAATGAGGTGGAGAACAGGCCAAGAGGAGGCTGTGCCAGGACGCACTCAGCGCCTGGTAGACAGCAGAAATGTCTGAATTCTAAGACCCACGCAAAGCCTTTTAAGGACTTTAAGCAAAAATAACATGACCACATTTGCATTTTGTAAAGATAACTTTCCACAGAAATACCATTTCTGCAGAAATACCAGAAATGTTTCTGAATAAAAGTCAGTTGGTAAATTCATTAACAAGTGTAAGATGATTATCACTGATCCTTTGATTGGTTGTCATTAGCCTAAAAAATGAAGATTGTTTATCATCTACATCAATTTATGGGATATAAATTTAGTACCTAAGAGAATCAGAGCCATTTAAGGGGTTGTTTTGTGAAGTCATGTCACATAGAAAGTTGCTTTCACAAATAGCCTATTTAGAACAAAACTTTTAAGGCTTGGCTTACATAGTGCTTCCTCGGAACCATGTCAGTTATCAGTTTTACCCACATAAACTTAACACTTGCAATGTTAAAGGTCTGAAATGACTACCATGGGAAAGCATCCTCAATTTGAGTATGCACATTAAATTAGATTCTTTCCCTGTGCAATTTAATGGAAGTTGTTGAAAAGATTAGTGACCATCTCAACAAGCAGAGGAGCATGAAAATATTCTGCCACTGAGCTTTGTTTTCCTGGAATAGCATTTTGACAGATTTCTTTCATTTCTTTTGGAGGCTGATGAATAGAATACCATGCAGAAAAAAAATTCCTATTAAATAAAAAGTCCTTAGAAACGTTCTGTTGTTCTAGCCATTCAAATGTGTGGCCTCCAGAACAGAGAAGAGAAGGGGCGCTGCTTTATCCCAACCATATTAATCAAACATCTGTACACCCAACTCAAGTGAAAAAAAATCCCAAATTTAAAATAAGTATAATCTTTCTCAAATTATTATCTTTCAGACACTCGATATTAAAGGTTACAAAGATGAATCAGATAGACTGATTATTACGAAAATAGCAATTAGAAAAGCAGGGAAATGCCTAAGGAAACCCCAGTTATGGAACACATTGAAACTGGAAACACTTCGAAGATACTATTTCAACCTTTTCTGCCCATGTGATAAGTGAGTATGTTAACTTGCTCAAGATCCTGCCGCACAGTGGGCATCTTGGACTAGAAAACTGTCTCATTGCATCTTGACCATACCAGGATGTTTTAATATTAAATGTTAAAATAAGGTTCTAAACATATTTAATTATTTTCTAAATAACAATAGTAATAATAAAATCAATGATCATTTTTAACATTTTAAGGACATTTAGTGCTCAAGCATTGTGCTAAATAAGCATTATTAACTCCTTTAGTTGTTGTAATAATTCTACTTTAATAGGCAAGTCTACTTATGCCAGAGAGGTCAAGTTACTTGTGCAAAGTCACTTCACTAGTGGTGAAGCCAGGGTACAAGCCCAGGCTCTGGAGCCCAACGCTGAACCACTCACTATGTTTATTGAGCCTGACAATGAAGAGAGAAACCTAATACATTCACTCTGGTAAGAAACCAGGAAGAAAGTACTATAGAATCCAGCTGGCACAATAGCTCATACCTGTAATCCCAACACTGGGAGTCAGAGGTTGGAGGATTTCTCAAAGCCAGGAGTTCAAAATAAGCCTGGTCAACAAAGCAAGACCATTATCTGTACTAAAATTTGAAAAAAAAAAAATAGCAAGGTGTGGTGGTGCACGCCTGTTATTCCAGCTACTCTGGATACTGAGGTGAAAGGATACTTCAGACCACAAGTTTGAGGCTACAGTGAGCTATAGTGGTGCCACTGCACTCCAGCCTGAGCAACAGAGCAAGACTCTGCCAAAAAAAAAAGAAAAAAAGAAAAAAAAAACTGCTATAGGATCCTAGGATTTTACAGATAGAAGAGTCATCAGAGTAGGGAATAATATTAAAGTTCACTGCATATTAAACCTTCAAATTTAGATCACAAAGATTTGAGAGTACAGTTTGCAAAAATGTTTACGCCACTACAGAAGATGACCCTACACTTGAAAATCAAAGCTGTGTAAAAATCTGTCAGATTACTTGTGTCATATAAACCAAGGTCGGAGGAGGATTTTACTTCTTAGCTGATGAGCTGTGGCAATTATTTGTCAAATTACAATAGATTCAGAATTGGTTACTGCTTCCTTTCATGTACTCTATGATACATTGATATGAACTTGATTAGCTAGTTTTATGTTAAATTTTAAGATCTGTTGATCACTTTCCCACAAGGTCAACAAACACATACTTTTCAAACTTAATTATTCTACAACCTAAAATAGTATTTAATAAGGAAGACTCCCAATGAATGTTTGAGTTAGCCCAAATAGTGTTTTAAAAGTTCTCATTTGATTCCTATCTTAAACATAAATTGTTTGAATAATGGTTTGCTGTTAATGTTAATTTTTTATACTAAGATACACATGATTTTTCTTGTGTATCCAAGTTTTGAAGTAAATCTATCTGGGTTCCAATCCCGGCTCTGCCATTTACTACCTCTATGACCTGGGTAAGTTACTTTAACCTTCTTTCCCTCAACTTTCTCATGTAGAAACTGAGGATAATAATTACACCTCCTTCTTAAGGTTGCCTAGATCATCAAAGGTTTAGTTTTTCATAGGATTAAACAAGTTCATTTATAACAAAAGTATGACAGCCAATGCCTGGCACACAACTCAATATCTTTTCCACCACTACCACCATCATCATCAATAGCAACATCTTCATCATTATGATTGTCATCATCAACATCGTCATCATCATCATCATCTTACCAGTACCCAGCAGAATGCCTGGTATATCACAGGCCCTCAATAGATGTCAAATTGATTTGAGTTCCTAAAAAATATAATTGTTTAACTTAAAATATGTGCAGATATCTTATTATTCATTTATATACTTGTACATATCTATAGATAGAACTTTCAGTGTCAAAGATTGATTTCTTTTTCATATAATCGATTTTATATATTTAAAGGAAGTTAACAAAAATGGGAAAACGTCATGTTGACCATTTAGATTAGAAAGAAAGAGAGAGGCACCACTAGAGGGAGCTTTGGCCTCTAAGGTTGCTAACCATAAAGCTTCAATTTGTACAGAATTTTTTAGTTTCCTTGTTGAATCCTTAGCTTTCGTAAGTGTCATTTATGGGATAGAGATGAGAGAGAGAAGGACTTTCTTAAAACAACTTAGAAAAAAAATTAAATAAGTGAAAATAGTTTCAGGGCTTTAAAGAGAAGCTAGCTCTTCCCACTCTCCTAGAATGGGAGTGAAGGCCCAGCAGTGCTTTGTCCCTGTGGAACAATTCAGTTACCTGTGTCTTCGCTCCTGTGCTGTACAGGCCAGCCGTCCTTCCCATGGCAGCAGCACTTGGTATGCAGAAGAAAAATGAAGAAACTATATTGCTGAGGCCATGGGCCAAAAATTCCTGCAAGATTCATGAGAGAATATATAATATCTTAATCACAATAGACTTTTAGAGACCACAGGTACAATTTGTCACATAATGAGGCTTGTTTGTATTCAGATTTTGTTCTCCCCACCAGTTGGGATTTAACAATTACAATACAAATAGCTAACATTTATTGGGTGCTTACAATGAGCAAGAAATTGTTCTCAAGCACTTTACTCATTTAATCCTCAGAACAACCTTATAGGGAAATACTATTTTTTTTTAATGCTCTCTGTCATCAATTTCTCCTCCATCTTTAGGTCACATCAGTCAGGTTTTTCTTCTCATCACTGCACAAATGACCTTCACAATGCTAAACCAATGATTCATTTTTGGCTTCCCTTGCCTAAAAGAGGCATTTGGCATAGTTGCTCATTTCTTCCTCCCTAAAGTCTCCTTCACTTGGCTTCTAGGATGTCCCTGATTTCCTCCTACCTCCCTGGCCATCACATTTTAATGCCTTTTGTGGTTCTTTCCCATCTAACCAATTGCAAATATTGGAGGACTGCTTCTCTTCTCTATCTACATATAAGCTACTCAAATACACATTGACAACTCTAAAATTTTTATCTACAACTTGGACCATTCTTCTGAATGTCAGACTGTATACCCAATCTGCTACTCAGTATCTCCCTCTGGATGGCTAACAGATATCTCCAACTTCCTAAATTGGGCTACAGCTTTCTACCACCCAACCTGGTTCTCCCATGTTCTTCCCTATTTGAAGTTCCAATTGCTTAGATTGAAAGCTTTAGGGTTATTCTTGATTTTTCTGCTCCTTCTTTTCCCGAATGGCACCCATATCCAATCCAGAATCCATATACTTCCATCTCATCCATCACTACATCATGGTCCAAGTCATCAAATATCACTTGGATTATTGCAAATTCCCCTTAACAGTATTTTTGCATCTGCTGTTTCTAGTAAGCACAACAAATATCCCTGCCCCATAGAGCTGTGGTGGTGGAAAGCAAATGCTGGCAATAAACAAGATAAATACAGAAAGCAAAACAGAGGAAAGCATGGGCAAATCTTGAGTTTAAGATTTTAGATTACCAAAGAAGGCCTCCCTGAGAAAGGAGCATTTGATAAAGAAGCTGGCTGAGCACGGTGGCTCATGCCTGCAATCCCAGCACTTTGGGAGGCAGAGGCGGGGGATCTCTTGAAGCCGGGAGTTTGAGACCAGCCTGAGCAACACAGCAAGACCCCCATGTTTAAAAAATGAAAAAAAAAAGTAGCCAGGCATGGTGGTGCATGCCTGAAGTCTCAGCTACTGGGGAGGCTAAGGCGGGAGGATGATTTGAGCCCAGGAGGTTGAGGCCGCAGTGAGCCATGATCATGCCACTCACTCCAGCCTGGCCAACAGAGTGAGGTTTGTCTCTAGAAAACAAAAATTAAAATAAATAAACAAATAAATGGAGGAGCTAAGCAGGTATTGGAGAGAACAGAATTCCCAGAAAGGGGAACAGCAAGTGCAAATATCCATAGCCAGAAGCATGACTAATGGGTTCAAGAAGAAGCAAGGTGGTGGTGTTAGCACAGAGTATAAAAGGGTATGAGACCAAAGAGGAAAAGGGTATTAGCAGGTTATGTAGAGCCTTATAAGCCATGAGAGAGGCTCTTACTCTGAGTGTGACCAGAAGCAACTGGGAAGTTTCGAGTAAAAGAAAGACATGGTCTGCATTGCTCACCATTTTATCACTTGTACCTAGACCAGTGCCTGCTATGTATTAGGGTTCAACATATATCTGTGGAATGAATAAATCTACTTTTGTGAAGATGAGAAAATTGGTGCACAGAGAAGATTAAGGTCACATAGTGTGAGAATGAGATTTACACACAGGTAGTTCGATATTCGTAAACCACGGCACTGCAACTTCTCTGCAGACCAGCACAGCTCTGTAGGACCATGACAGGACTTGAAACAGGACATATGCAATCGTGATAGACTGGATCAAGAAAATGTGGCACATATACACCATGGAATACTATGCAGCCATAAAAAATGATGAGTTCATGTCCTTTGTAGGGACATGGATGAAATTGGAAATCATCATTCTCAGTAAACTATCGCAAGAACAAAAAACCAAACACCGCATATTCTCACTCATAGGTGGGAATTGAACAATGAGATCACATGGACACAGGAAGCGGAATATCACACTCTGGGGACTGTTGTGGGGTGGGGGGAGGAGGGAGGGATAGCATTGGGAGATATACCTAACGCTAGATGACGAGTTAGTGGGTGTAGCGCACCAGCATGGCACATGTATACATATGTAACTAACCTGCACAATGTGCACATGTACCCTAAAACTTAAAAGTATAAAAAAAAAAAAAGAAACAGGACATATGCAAAAGTATTTTCAGAAATATGATCAGTATAATCTACATCCCTTGGTATTCTAAGAATAGACGCTCACATTCTTTAGTTTTTTTACTAAGAGTAATACTAATGTTATTTGTACTTAGAAATCCATAATTATTAAACATTAGCATGCAATAATAAATCTGTTTGGATTCTCTCCTAAAAACAAATCAAAAAGAACATCATGATGCCTTCTATTTTAACCAAAATAAAAAGCATTGTGAACAATCAATGTCAGGTTTTTAGCTTCCTATGAATGATTTTGATATTTTTCTTTTTTTTTGTTCAACCCACTCTTGCTGTACAGTTAGGAAAGTTTTATTTTTCATAAGTTCATCATTTTTAGGATCTGGGAGTGCACAGTGCAATGATACAACTGGAGTGGAGAGGGACTGGGGGCACACTCCACCTGGTTGTCATCAATTGAATATTTGAATTTTTTGGCAGATCCTTGAGCAAGAGCCAGTGAGGCCACATAGCCTACAAGTGCCACTCCGAAAGCTTCAGTGATCACCGCAGAGAGGATGTTCATCGGGGGAGCTCTAGGTGAGGGAATTCTGTGGAAAGAAGGACCATATTGAAGTCATCAAACTTCATGTAATTTCTGTAACAACTTGCAATGAATTTAACTGTGGCAATGACTCTGAAGTTTACATAGACTAAGTGAAATACCCATGAGAAAACCAAGCAGCCTTGCCCTTAGAAGCCCTTCGTTTTCAACATTATTTAGCAGAATAGCAAAATTACAAGGAACACCACAGGGACAGCTCCATGCATTTAACTGGCATTTACGCCCAGAGAATTCAGATTACACCACAGAAACTCTGACTCGACAGAAATTTCCTGTATCAGAACAAAAGCAAATCTGGAGCATTCTTTCATTCGAACCTTTCCAAATATTTATTTGGCTGGTGTTGAAGACTACATTTCCTCCTTTGAATACTACAGTGCTGTATGCAAACACTGGTTTACTGTGAGCTACAATTCTTGAGTTCATCCCTAAATTTGCCATTGAGTTCGTTATCTTAATTATGTTTTTAACTCAATCCTTTCACAGTACACTTAACTGTGCCTTACATCCATTAAGAAAAATATGTATAAAGGCTCCATCTAACTAACCCTCTGCTTCAAAATATAGGACCATAGTTGTTTTTCCATTTCAAAGAACTGTTCAAAATATTTCTCTCAAATAATACCCAGCCCTTGTCTAATTGTCTTTTGAAAACAACTTGAGCCAAAGTGTCATTATTTATTCATCCCTGATGATTCTTTGGGAGACTTACCCAAAAAATAAATTAAATAAATAAATAAATAAATAAATAAATAAATAAATCCCTCAGGCAGTAGAAGAAAACAGGAAGAGAATTCATGTTGATTTTTAAAACCCAGTATGTAAGTAGAATGCTTGGCCCTTTCATAATAGCTATTTTATTTAATTCTCCCAACAACCTCCAAACCAAGCATCATTATACCCACTGTATAGAGGAGAAAACATTTTGAGAAAGGTTAGGTAATTTATTTAACATCACAAGGTGAATGGCAGAGCTGGAATGCAATCTCAGCTCCACTTCTGTTCAAAGCCATGTTCTTGTTATAATTCCTTTAGCGGATGGGTCTGGAAAGGTCACTCAAAATAAAGGAGAATTAGAGGTGATAGAGGAGTGGCGTGACTTTTTTTTTTAACCCACCTCCTTAAGTTTACCATTAAGACAAATTGATTTGTATCATTACAGGTTATTATGCTACACAAAACCATTTCAAAGTAAAAGAACTTTGTTTCATGAAGACTGAGTGAACCTAATTACTAATAACAACAAATTGGCATAAAAGGAATAATAAGCTGACTTTCAAAGGTAGAAAAGCAGGAATCTTTGAGAAAATTCAATTTGATTCATATAATCAGCATTAGCCTATATCTATATGTGCTAAAGATAGGATTTTTAACATTCCCTTTTTAATTCCTGAGAATTTTTCTACTGTTTCTCCATTTTCATGTAATTAGAAACAAAAATTTGGGATTGGAAGATAAAAATTTATAGGATTCAACAATTGTAACTTTGCCCCAAATTTACAATTATCAGTGTACATGTAATGCAGCCCATTCAAAGTGAATAACCCATAAGACACTGTCCTCCTTCCCTCATATATTTTTATTTTCTTTCAGCCCATATGTGGTACGAACTTTTGCTCATTTTAGGGTGAACATCTCTTTTGTTAAACTCCTTCTTAGTGGCCAGAGGAAGGCTATAGGCCAGCTAGGGAACAATGCCTTCTTCTCCACTTCCACTCTCTCATTATTATATACTACCCAGGCCTAGGGTTTGCTATTTCAGATTATGCTTGTCTACTTTTACTATGATTTAAGTGAAATGAAAATAGTCATAGAATATGTGTGGTGGGGAAGAGATAGGGCTGACTAAATCCCAGATCATAACTCTCATTTGCAAAGTCAATGCCCTCTATTTTGTTAATAATATATTTGCAAATATTTCCCAAACCTTTTACCTGAAGCAATGCTGCATAAAGCAATTATCAACATCCTTAGTAAGAGGTGAAGTCTAGGAAGTTACTCTTTCTCTACACATGAAGTGTGTATTTCTATCATTTTGTAATAGAAATTAATTAGAATTAAGAAATGAAATATCCATACCCACTCACTCCCTGTCCCTTTCTCCATCAAAAATAAACAAACAAACAAATAATATGTTTTTAAAAAGGACTACATTACCCTTGTGGAATATGACCAACTACTTCTAATCCATATGTGTTTTCCATATTGGTGCAATAACAAGCAAATGATGCAGCAATAATCTGTGTGGTTCCATTTGAAAAAAGAAAAAATATATACATTACTGACCTCTCAAACACCTTAAAACAATTTTTAAAAGTAAACATTGTTCTCATGTCCCATAAACATCAAGAATAATCTAGCAGTTGCACAGACTTTCAAAAATAAATAAAATATTAAAAGTCAAAAAGTCCCTCAGTTTTGAGAGCACTGACAAGTCTCCAAATTAGATGACATCCCAATCATATGGCTTTTCTAATATCCTACCGTGGTCAACCCAATTATGTCCAATTTTGAAGAGGAAAAACTACAGGATACAGGAGTGTGTGTGTGCATGAAGACAGCACAATCCAACCTAAATACTTGCCTCCCATGATACAAAGGGATGCTTCGTAAGACAGCACATTTTCTCTCCATGACAGCAGCCTTTCAAGAGTTTGAGATATTGCATCGATATTCCTAATCCATGTTAGTAATCAATGATGATTTACAGTCTCCTTGAATATTTTCAAATTTTTAGCTTTTACTATTTCTTGTAGTGAAACATGCTGCTTCACAGCCTGCTGGGCTCAATGCTTTTAAAATGACCCCTATGGAGTTTCAGATACCCTATCCTTCTGTTACTGACATATGCTAAGCAAGGTTACATGTTCCCTGCCTATACCCATAATCATCTTTAACATACATATCAGAGCCCAGTTCACCAGCCACTGCATTCTACTGTTTTCCATCGATTTTCATTTTTCTGATAATTTTAATAGATATTAAAAATTTCACATGATTATGGTATCAGTTTGGAGTAATTCATCTTGTAAAAGAGGCACATCAATTATCCACTTAAAGTACAAATTTACAATATACATGGCCAGAAAAAAAGGATAACAAATTCAAACTAGCAAAATAAGGAATATCTAATAATCAATGGCCAATAATATAATTGTATAGGTTTTTTTCCCCTATTCCTGTTGTTCTCTTCTCTGTGATGATATTTAGCTGAATTTGCAGAGGTTTTATAAAACATCAAATAGGCTTAAAAAGCAAAACACCTGAAGACTTAAAGAAAAAGATAAAAAGGAACAAAAACCATAAAGGTGATATTGTTAAAATTTATAAATATTGTAATACGATAGTAGCATTTTCTAAAGAAACTAGTAGTAGCTAAAGATTCAGGCTATTAAGTTAGAATCAGACATATTAACATACTTAAAAATTCCTACGCCAATTAATAAATTATAATTGTTCATAATCATCATGAAACATCTATACTAGGTCAGAAAATATTGAGAGCTATAAAGAAAATATGCCATAGCTACTAGATACTGGATTCTTATTGAAAATGGAAGTATGCAGGGTATTTGATACACAGTTAATATTAAAATTAAGTGCTCTAACTCACTGAATTAGCCTTTCAGTGTTTTACCTCCTCCCTGTATTTCTTTACCAAAATTAAACTTTCCTTATCAGTTGAGTAATTGGTCCTTCTTCAATATTAATTCAATATGCGTGTATAAGGCCAATACTGCCCTTAGACCTGGGCAAGGGGGGGATTGCACCCCAGGTGTGACTAGTGCTTTAGAGCAGCAGTCCCCAACCTTTTTGGCACCGGGGATCAGCTTTGTGGAAGACAATTTTTTCACGAACAGGGTTGGGGGAGGAGGGGGGAGATGGTTTGGGGATGATGAAGCTGTTCCACCTCAGTCTATCAGGCACTAGATTATCATAAGAAGCACGCAACCTAGATTTCTCACGTGTGAAGTTCACAACAGGGTTCGTGTTCCTATGAGAATCTAATGCTGCCACTGATCTGACAGGAGGCAGAGCTCAGGCAATAATGCTCACCTTCTGCTGTGTGGCCAGGTTCCTAACAGACCATGAACTGGTACCAGTCCATGGCCCAGAGATTGAGGACCCCTGCTTCAGAGGGTTCTAATCTGGCTTCTTCCAACTGTAGACTTCCCCACAAGAAGGGAGCTCTGTGGGAGTAGGGGGTTTGTGCCCAACTCAAACCTGTACCCTTCTTTCTGAACCACACTCTGGATACTTAAGAATCTAACATTTCCTGCCCAAATGTCCTTCTGCCTGCTTGCAGGGCACCTTCTGGAAGTCCATCCTCCCAGGGTGGCTCAAGAAAGTTGGCAAAGAGACAGTCGTAGTGGTGATGGAGTGGCGATGTGTTTGGAGCCTGGAAGTGAGGACGGAGGTGTCCACACATACACATATGAATCCCCTGGCAGGTGGGATAGAGCTGGAAAGTGAAGAGAGGGAGCAGAGCAAGAGGCTGGGTCTCCCCACGCTGCCACATACTGGCAGAACATAAACGACTAGGAAAATTCTCTGTTCTAACCCGGCTTTTAAAGTCATCACTAAGGGATGTTTGTCAACATAAGAAAACAGAATCTGTTATATTTAACATTTTGATCTATAACTTGTAAGTATTTGGGCTTGCATTGGTACTTTTTCCTTGGGTCTTAGAAATGTTAGGGATAACACGTATAAAGAATACCTTTAATCTTATTGTAAGAATAATCGTAACTGGTTTTGCAGAGAATAAGCAACTGGTTTACTACCAGCTCAACAGCCTTCATCCCTAAGGCTATTTTCAATTTTTAGTTTTATGAAACATGCGATATAGCTTCCCAAGATATAATAAGTATTTCTTAATATCTACAGGACTTCAAGATAAGATGGTATGTTTCACAGTTGTTGCTGTGAAAACTAATAATCATAGTACTCTGTATTTTTATGGCTTATTTGAAATATACACACATACATATTATATAAATCACATATGTTATATAAATCTCAAATTATCAAGAGTATAGGATCATACATGGCCTAGTTATGGAGAGAAGCCTTTCTTATTAGTTGTATAGAAATGAGTCGTAGCCTTAATAGTCAATTGCAATGTGCTAGCCTTATAATTGTACATAAACCTACATAATTTCAACAATTAGAAGGAATATTTTATTAGATGAAGTTATTTAGACAACATTTATCATATACATGTATAACTCAAAGATCATTGAAAGACTAAAGCCAATTTTTAGTAAATTAGTAGACTGTGGTTATATGTTAAGATTTTATTTTCAACTTAATGCTTTGTATAGTTAAGAGTTCCTATTAGAGGTTCTTGAAATTTCAAAACATATTTTCTAATGCCACAAGCCTTAGGAGCAAAATGTAATGTATTGCTTTTCCAGGTACAACAAAAAAATATTTTAGAGAACCAACTTTGGCCAATGAAAATCATGAGCATCCTTTCAATGAAGCAAAATTAGGTAAGTAACAAAACCTTTCAATCATGAATGAACATTTATCAATTGATAATATTTCTATACATATCTTATAGGTGCCATATAAATAGGAAATGATACCATATTTTATTAATTTACAGAAGATCATGCCAGAGACATTTTGAGCCTCACCCTTATAAGTACCTCCTTATTTAAGATCTTAAGCTATATGTTCTCTTATTTATATAAACAATTATAAGCATATGAGAAATGTTTTATAAATTGAAAACATGTGTGCCTTCTTTTTTAAATTATTAACTCAAAATGTTTCCTGTTCTTACATTAATGTGTAGCCATGCAAATTAGCCCTGCTTTAATGAGAGACAGGAGTAGCTGAGGGTTACTACAGACAATATAGTAAGCATCTGCAGATCTCCCCAAGAACTGGAAAGCTTTGCATGGCAAAAAGCTAAATGTTGATTTTATACTTACCAAAACTAAATCTACAGGAAGAACAACTTTAATTTTCCTTTTAAACTGTTCATTCAGCTCTTTAACAAGAACAAGGACCACAATGCTCAGCAAGGATAAAAGCAATGCTTCCAGTCGCACAGACTTGATGTTTTCAAAAACATATGCATAAATCTACAGTAATGAGAAAAAATACAAACAAAATTCAGGGTCACCTATAATATACCAACATGAAAATATGGCCCCAATAAACTCAATGATGTTTTATAAAACTATCTTAATGGCTAGGGAGAGGAAAGATATAGGTAGGCGGGTAGTCAGTGCTAATGCTATGTATTTATTTACATCTACAAAATTTCTGTACCCTTGATTCTTTCATCAAACTCAGGTTTTGCACCTTCCTACATAAGAACACTGCTAAAGAGAATGACTCTTCTGGCTTCATCCCTGACACTCTGAGGGGCAGAGATGCTTAACTCATTATTTATATGCAGATTCATCATTAACAGCGGTCAGGGGACCATGGGTTCCCCAACTTTGGGGCCCTCCTCAAACCCCAGAAGCAAACAAGAACACAGATAGAACACACACAAAAGAGTTAAGAGCTGGCATTTAACTGACATCAGATATTTGGCTTCATATAAAATATTAACATGTTCTCAGTCATTCAGCATTAACTTACTTGTTTATTGTCACTTACTTTATACCAAGCACCATGCCCATTGCGAGGTCTACATAGTAAAAAATTGAGACGTTGCTCAGTATTCACAGAGCTCATGGTCTAGTGTAGGAATTGCTAAGTAAAACAATACATTAATGCAAGCAGTGCTATGGACATGGAAAGGGCACCTGAAGTATATGACTTAGGGTTTTGAGTGGTGGTGGGGTGGGTCCTTCTCAAAGAAGATAAATGGGAACTGGCCAGGTTATAGATGATAGAGGGGGTAAATGAAGAAACCTGGGAAAATGTTCTGCCTAAAGGGCATATTTGTAAAACTTACAGCATAAAATGTGAGGGGAGGGGTGCATGACTTCCTGAAAAGTATGGTCAAGAAATCAATACAACTATTTGTCTTTAAAAGTGTGCAGCCCTGCTTGAAGTTATACTTACCTCAAAGAATTTGCCTGAAACTAGGAAGAAAGTATAATACATTAATATCAAACACTCAATCTTGGTAATTTGGGATAATCTGATGTGGCAGAAAAGGTAGGATCAATGTAAGAGTAAAGTCAACCAAAAGAACAACATTAAAGCCCTTTTTAAAATCAAAGGCTATGTTTCAGTTAAGTGCCAATAACACTTTGTTCAACAACTTAGAATGTTGTTGATAGTTATGTAAGCATCTAAATCGACTAGCACAAAAAAGATAGGGTGAGATTTTAAAGAACCCTAAATTAGGTGCTGAAATATAATAACCAGCCAAATGCAATCCATCCTCTACATGAATGTTTGATATAAGGAAACTCACCTGGAATTTTGTTGTCTGGAAATTTAACATAGTGGTTCTCAAATTCATACAGAATATTAAATGCACAGAATATATTAGAAAATGTTGAAAGAAAATATGGGTTTATACTAACAAACATAAAAGTATATTTATAATAAGTCAAAACATGTTACTAATAATAAAATATATAAGAAAAAGCTGGGTGTGGTGGCTCACCACCCAGAACTGTGGGAAGCTGAGGCAGAAGGATCGCTTGAAGCCAGCAGTTTGAAACCAGCCTGGGCAATACAGCAAGACTCTTTCCCTATGAAAAATTTAAAAAATTAGCTGGGTATGGTGGCATGCACCTGCAGTCCTAGCTACTCAAGAGACTGCTGGCGGTGGGGAATCCCTTAAGCCCAGGAGTTCTAGGTTACAGTGAGCTATGATTGCACCACTACACTCCAGCCTGGGCAACAGAAAGAGATCCTGTCTCTAGCTTAAATATGTGTGTGTGTGTGTGTGTGTGTGTGTGTGTGTGTGTGTGTGTATTAAATATATATACAGAATATATATTTAATTTATATATTCAATATATATTAATTAAATATATATTGATTAAATATATATTGAATAATTAAATATAATATATTTTTAAATTATTATATAATTTTATATATAATTATAAATTTATATATATTATATATAATATATAAATTATATAATTATATAATTTATCTATATAATTATACATTTATAATTTATAACTATATATAATTATAAATTTAATATATAATTAAATATTAATTAAATATATATTGAATATATATAGAAAGAGGTAGGGTCTCTAACTTAAAAACATATTATATATATATGTGTGTGTATATATATATATATGAAAAATTTAAAACAGTAAGAACCCAGAAATATAACAGTTGCATTATCCAATATTAAAGATTATCCAATATATCATGTTTGAACAAAAACTAAGCAGAACAAAATAAATTCTAGATCAAAAGAGGTTAAATATAAAACCTGAAGTCATAGAAAATAAATATTTTAAAATTAGCAGAGGACATAAACAGATAACAGAAGAAATACAAATGGTCAATAAACATATGAACAAAGAGCTCAATTACACTATTAATCAAAGAGATGTAAATTCAAACTATAAGAAAGCATTCTTTCTTTTATCAAATTATTAGTGATGCTTAAATAATAATTTAAATAGTCTAATCTGGGGGAAGTAATGGGAACTCTTTTACATGCCCTTGTGAGTATAAATTGTTGCAATACTTTGGTGATCTGATAAAATGTATGGAAAACCTTTGAAGGCAATAGATATGTTAATTAGCTTGAGTTTGGAAATCATTTCACAATGTGTATATATATATCAAAACATCACATTGTACATTTTGAATATATACAATTTTTATGTGGCAATTATATCTCAATAAAGCTGAAAAATAAACACTTTTGAACTGCTCTATTGTTTGCCTTAGCAATTCTACTTCAAAACATTAAGCTAGGAACATAATTAAGCTCGTGTGAAAAGACCTTGTTACAAAGATATTCACTGAAACATTGTTTAAAACAGCATTGAAAATGGAATCCATTTAAAGAGTAAAATAAAAGAGAACTGGTTGAATTCTCTAGGTTACATGTATACATATAGTAGTCTACATCCATTAAATTCATTATTTTAGACAAAATGTACATTTATTGACATGGAAAGACCTTCCTGTTATAATGCTAAGTCGGAAAAGAAAAGTTTCAGATAAATGCATATGGTTTGACATTGTTATGGGCTCAGTTGTGTGGCCCCCTCTGAGTTCATATGTTGAAGTCCTAACCCCCAGTGCCTCAGAATGTGACTATACTGGAGACAGGGCCTTTAAAGAGGTGATTAAGGTAAAATGAGATCATATGGGTGGGCCCTAATCCAAAATGACTGAGAAGAGATTAGAACACAGACATGCACCTTGTACAGGAGAAATACCATGTCAGGACACAAGGAGAAGGCCACCATCTGCAAGCCAAGGAGAGAGGCTTTAAGAAGAGACCAAAACTGCCATCACCTTGATCTAGACTTCTTGATTACAGTCTCCAGGACTGTAAGAAATAAAGTTCTGTTGTTTAAACCACCCAGTCTGTGATATTTGTTTTGAAAGCCCTAGAAAGCTAATTTAGATATTACTTTTGATGAAATAAAATTTCATGCTTCTATATATGTATGAATGTATCTGGAATGTTAACAGCTCTGCATAAGAGCTTATTTGTATCTTCCATGTTTTCTCTTATGAAAATATATCACTTTGATAACTTTAGGGTTTTGAATTGTCCTTATATGATTATTTCCAAAATGTCTCTTAACTTCTCCTTCTCTTGAACATGCTGAATCCAGTTTTTATAACCTCATTTCTATTTGTCCACAGCGGATTGCTCAAGTCTAGTTTCAGGTGATAAAGATTAGTTTTATTCTGGCACACAGGCTATTCTTATAGTAGCCTAACTTTTTGTGTTCTTTGTCCTTTCTATTTAGCATCTTAAATATAATTTGACCACAACTCAAAATATTGAGTCAAAACATTATATAGACAATGGATCAAAAGAATTTATATGGACTATATTTCTTAGAATATCATAAAATTCTGCTTAGTAGGTTTCCTCATCAAAGGACTCAGCCCATCTGGCCCAAGGATCAAATGCACCTGGTATAAAGGCAGTGCATCAGGTTGAGCCTGAATTCTGCATATTGAATTTTATCATTAACATGTTAAATCTTTTGAGCAAAGAAAATGTACTCAATTAAGTGGAGCCTCACTGGGTGAAAAGAATTAGCATAACGCAGGCTATCCAGACCCCCTTTTATCCATACAGTTAAAATGACAATAACAAAAGAACCCACTAGTTATGTAATCAGATACATTAATAAACGTATTAGGGGTCAGGTAGCTTTGCTTTTTATCTTTTTCACATAATTCTATTTTATTCCATGCTACTTCAAAAGAAAAGTAGGTACTACAATGTCATCATTATCTTAGATGCAGATGACATTTTTCCTCTCTGTCTCTATGTTGTGGATGATAACTGTTCACAGGATTTCTCTAGAAGGAACAGGGTTCATTGCTTAAAGTTGCCCACTACTCAATCAATCCCAGGATAAAAATCCAAAATGCTACTCAGTGAGAAATATTCTACAGGGAAAGGGGATAGAGACGATGTAAAATAACAAATTGTCCAAATGCTTTCTGATGATTTTTCATGATCTCAGGATAAAATTGAGAATATTATTTAGATGATCTGTCAGGAAGAAGACAAATATCCAAGTATTTTAAAGCATTTAGAGAATATCTTTTCTGCTGTTTTATGTGGTATTAAAAGTATGCCATGACAATGTCTGTATAAGAAAGAGTAGAAATATGCAAAACTTCCAAGCCATACCAAATTTGCTGTAGTGTGCATTTTGAGAACATGTGTTTGCAGTAATAAAAATGACCACCCCAGAATGAATGGAATGAGAAAACCCCCCAGGGTTTTTATTGTCTGTCTGGATTAAACTATAGCTCATTAAGCAAAGCACATCTCACAAGATGCTCCAGAAGAACAAGGGGGTGGATAGCTCATTACAACCAGCATGAAGAACAGAATAGGAAAGGAGGCTGGTGAGGAATGTCATTCTAATGACTGTCATGTGGACCCACAGAGAGAATCACAGGCTAAAACAGGCTCATGATACATGGGTGGCATATGGAAAAAGAGACAGGAATGGGGCTAAGGATAGACATGCACACATGCACACACACATATTTACATATGCTTATTTAATAGAGTTCCAGGCATCCTAAGCACATATTAAATTTCTAATTTCTGGTATAAATCCAGTCATCTGAATACACTATCATGCACTAAGCTCCAGTAGATAAAAATTCCTATTGAGGATCAGCATTTTCTCCCCAGATCTCAGAGAAGCAAAGATAATATTTATATCTGTATGGATAAATAAGTAAGCTATCTAACCAGAACTGCCTAGTCAGTTTAATAAAACTGTAATATTAGTTCATTATATATTGAGAGTTCAGCTCATTTTGAGACTGTAATATTGGTTGTTTAAATTTACCATTTATTATAATGATATAAAATGAAAAATATCAATATGCATAAACAATCCATCTTGAGGTAAATCACCTATCCACAGCACATGTACTGCTTCTCATTATTTTCTTTAGATGTGAGGCTTTTTTCTAAAGTACTTCACAGACATTTACACACACACATACACACACATATACAATATATTTATATAATGTGTTTTTGTCTAATTTGCCTTTCTTTATAAGCTTTTATTTTCACTGATAGATTCTCAACTTCTAGAATGGTGTCTGGGAAAAAAGTAGATACTCAATAAATTTTGTTGAATGAATGAATACTTGGGTCTAGCATAGTAATAGTAACAATAAGTCTGTAAGTAGGCATAGATTTTACCTTGAATAAGTAGAATAGCAAGAAGAGAAAGGATCCAGACTCTTCTCACTACCAATACTTGGACTATATCATATTAGGGGGATTTGCAGTTATCAAGTTTCATTTATTCAACTTGTTTATTGAGGTTATATTATGTGCAAGGCATTGAGCCAAATATTAAAGCTACCATTGCAGTAATTTTAAGTAATCCATCTTTGATATAGTCAAATTTTAATTTTATAAAAATGAAGCAACATCAAGGCTGAAAAAGTTTAGTATTTAGTGAAGAAAAGATAAATAAAGATCTCTCTGGGACCATAGCTATTGAATTCTCATTGCACAACTGCCGTGAATTTCTAAAAAAGGCACTGTAAAGAAATACCTATGCAGGAAGAAAAATCCAAAGTTTATCCACTCTTAAATTTCATAACACAAATAGAAAGATCTTATATGTTTAGAAAATATTAACAAGTATTAAAAATTAAATAAACTTTCTGCTCAATACTTTATTAACCAGAAAATTCTATTAATCAAAACATTACTTTCCTCTGCATTCTGGTTGGTTTAGGTTTTGTTGTAATAAAATATACATGAGAAAAAATGATTTAAACATTTTTAGAGCATAATGATATTATTGATAATAATTCTTCACTAGTAATGATGAATACATCTTTGAATTATCCATAAAGGGACCACAAAGATTATTTGAATAAATATTTCTACACTAAAAACAACACATAACCCTTTAGTAGCATTTTTTATCATTCCTGCACTATCTTGGCTCTAAAGATCTGTGATAAATAAGTTAGTGTTTGACTAGAGAAACAACAGAGCATTAGTAAAATTAGCACACTGTAATAAATCTATCAGCACACTATTTTAATAGTAGGTATAAACTACTAATCTGCAATCTACAATTCTTAATTCCCAATAAATTATTTTGAGTCAGTCATCAACCACAAAACCATAACTATCTCCAGAAACAATGGTAACATCCATATATGCCAGCTACCACATGTGCAAACTTTGGTTTGAAAGTGCATTTGGCATAATCAGCATATAGATAGGTGTCTAAAAATATGGACTGTTTTCTATGTCTCAAAGAGTATATATTAAAATAAGACAACAGTAGCACCACCGAATAAACTATTTTACTCATTGTATCTACTGTAAAGTCCTATGTTGAATAAAATTTATTAATAATCTATTCATTTAGATGGTACTTCTATCAGAAGCCTCATCTCACAACACAGAGCGCTCAGTGGTAGTCACGGCCCTGAAATAGCTTTGAAATTATATTAATTATATTTACTGATTGCATCACATGGATAACTTCAGTCACATTCTAATTTTAAAACCAACAAACAAACAAAAAACAAGCAAAAACATAAAACCTCCTCACCATACATGGTTGGGTTACTGCAGTGAGTGAATTGTAGTCCCCTATCTCCCCTCCCCACCAAAAAAAAGTCTACATTCTAAACTCCAGTGCCTGTGACTGTCACCTTATATGGAAAAATAAGGTCTTTGCAGATGTAATTAAGTAAAGGATCGACCACAAGATGAGATCACCTAAAATTACCTGGGTGGGCCCTAAATCCCATGATCAGTATCCTTGTAAGAGACAGGAGAGAAGAACAAACAGCAGGGAAGGCCATGTGAAGACAGAGGCAGAAGTTGGCGTGATGCAGCCACAAGCCAAGGAATGCCAGGAGCCAGAAGAAGCTGAAAAGGCAAGGATGGTTTCTCCCCTAGAACCTGCAGAGGGAGCATGGACCAGAAGAGACCTTGATTTTGAAGTGTCTTCCAGAAATGTGGGAATAAATTTGTTTTGTTAAACCACCAGATTTGTGGTAACAAGTTACAGTAGCCATTAAGACGCCAGCACCAAATCTAATGCTGCTCACTTCTGAGACAACTCAAAGAAAGTATTATGGGCTGACTTGTGTTCCTTCAATATTCATATGTTCAAATCCTAACCCCCAGTACTTCAGAATGTGACTGTATTTGGAAACAGGGTCTCTAAAGAAGTAATTAAGTTAAAAGGAAGCCATTAGGGTGGGCCCTAATCCAATATGATTGGCGTCCTCCTAAGAATCAGGACACAGAGACACAGGGGCTGTGCATGCACAGGGGTTCCACCATGTGAGGAAGCAGCAAGAGGGAGGCCGTTTGCAAGCCAAGCGGGGAGGCCTCAAAAGAAACCAGTCCTGTCAGCACATGGATTGTGAATCTCCAGCCTCCAGAACTGGGAGAAATTAAATTTATGTTGTTTAAGCCACCTCGTCTGTGATAGTTTATTGTGGCAGCCCTAGGAAGCTAATAGAGAGGGCAGAGGGGATTCCAAGCTTTTGTTCTTAGAATCACAGATAGACCCTAGCAAATTCCCCTCTTTTCATGTTAGCTGAGATAGAAGTATTCTAAAACACAAAAAGAAACAAAACAGAACATTTTCAATAATAATTACCAAGTGATCAGTACCATTAAGAGAGATGGCCAACTGAATGACCATCTACCAAAGATCAATCAGGCATAGTTGATATCTGCAGTGAGGATTACAACTAAAATGCCTATCAAAGGAAATGTTCAGAAGACACTTGTCAGCATCAGAAAAAAACCTCAGAAATCAACCAGTTCCACACACTTATTCTGTAGAAATAGAAACCAAGGCTCCAGAGACTTGTGTCCTGCCCCAGGTGACTTGGCTTGTGAATGAGAAAATCAGGATTTTGACACAGGTCCCCTCAACCCTAGACAAACACGTGCACATTTTACCAATGACTATCTCATGATTTTTTCAGTCCAGCAAAGAATTTTTCCAAATCTCCCTGCTGCTTCCTTTTCCCTTGGGTTATGGAGGGAAGATGCTACCTCTTTGAAGAGGAGACTATTACAGAGCATGAAGTCTTAGATTTGGGGTTTTAGTGGTGGTATTCAATGGCACCTGGCTGCTTCTCAGGCATACGAGCTCTTCTCACCCTCCAGTCTTATGCCTTCAACATCAGCAGCAGAGTCACATTAGTACAAGGGAAGCAATACGCCTTTCAACTTGATTCTGAAAGCTGTTAATACACAGATTATGGCCTTTTCTTAACATAAGCATATTTGGTGAAAGCCTACCTGTATCTATACAGTGCCTTCACCCTCCGTTCCTGAAGGGAGAGGAATTTTCATATTTTCCCTATCATAGGCAGATGGGGGTGGTGCAGGGGGTACTCAGGAAGAAAGAATGGGGAAACTGTTTAAACTTAGTCACTTCCTAGAAGAGTAGGGGAATTAACACTTTCAGGCTCTATGCTGGCCATCTTATACACAGTGATTCATTTAATGTCTTAATTAATTCAAGGTGAGCATTATTATTTCCATTTAACACATGAGGAAAATAAGACTTGGAGAGGTTAGCTAAATTGCTTAAGACCACACAGAAATTGAACAATGGAGCTGGCATGTAGTTCTTGGTCTTGTCTCACTATTAAACCTATATTCTGCCAGCTACACATATAAAACAAGAGTAGGGTCTGGTCTTGTAGCCAAACCTCAGGAGTTAATGAAATAGAATCACAAAATTTCTGAAATTCCACTGGAAAGAATCTTAGAAGCAAACCCATTCTGTCTTTCCAACATGCCAACCTTATATCTACCTTAGGGAATTAGCATTTGCTGCTCTTTCTTCATAGAATACTCTTAACTGAAATCATTCTATGGCTGGGTCTCTCTCATCTTTCTAGCCTCCATTCAAAAGCCATGTCCTCAGAAAAGGTTTCCCAGGCCATCTTATCTAAGCAGACCCACCCCTGTCACTTGACCACGTTACCCACCTTCAATCACACCGCCTTGTTTCCTTCATTAACACTATCTGAGATTACTTCATTTGCCAATTTGTTTGTCTCCTCTCTCCATACTTTGCGTCCCTCCTCAGTGTTTCAATAAAATTCCACGGGAACAAAAATGTTATTGTTCAACTGTATCCTCAATGCCTGTGAGGTGGTCAATTTGTTGAGTAAATCTGTTCTAGTGGTTCTTTAATCAAGGATGCATGTTTATCTCTTCCTACTCATGTGTAGCTTGTAAAATCCCCCCAGATTATTCTGATTATTCTGTTGGACAATTAAGGCAGCTTTCACATCCTTGGAACCTTTAAACATGAGTCATGATTGCCCAGGCATGCCCTCTCCCCACCCCAACTTGCTTTCAAGCTCATTGCATTTGAATCCTACCTCCAAGCAGATCTAAATTCCTGCTCAGGGACACCTAAAGCCAACTCTGATCCTTTAGAACCTGATGTTAGCACAAGTTCTCTCTATTCATAAGAATTTGATGTCTCTTGTCAACTTTGCCTATATCATTATACATCATTAAACATTTTAGAATATGTATTGATAAGATCAAGCCCCTCAAATCCCACCTCCCTCTACAGTAGTGAACATAAATACAAAAACAAGAAAAATATAAGCTGAGTGCAGTGGCTCATGCCTGTAATCCCAGCACTTTGGGAGGCCAAGGTGGGCAGATCACATGACGACAGGAGTTCAAGACCAGCCTGGCTGATAAGGCAAGACACCAGCTCTACTAAAAATACAAAAATTACCCAGGCGTGGTTATGCACATCTGCAATCCAAACTACTCCAGAGGCTGAGGCACGAGAATTGCTTGAACCATTGAACCCGGGAGGTGGAGGTTGCAGTGAGCCGAGATGGCACCACTGCACTCCAGCCTCAGTGGCAGAGTGAGACTATGTCTCAAAAAAAAAAAAAAAAAAGATAAGAAAAAAGAGAAAGGGAAAGATTAAGTTGGATATTAACCACAGGCTGTATTTTTATCAGTACAAACAAAATCCCAAAAGAAAGAGGGAAAACCAACATTCTGGTAGTTTTTTACATCATTATACCCCAATTTCTAATCAATAACTATATGATACAGTTGGAATAAATCCATTTGCTATTACTTCAAGGGATAAAATAAGTCTCAGAACAAATGTGGTCTAAGGGAAGTATGGTATGTTAAATAGCTAAAGACATCATGAGTATACAAAAGTCACTTGGACCAAACATACAACCAAGCATTCCAAGGTCCAGGTGGCATCCAGCCATCTCTTGTTTGGTAAATTAGTTTAATTTGAATTACTTGAGCACTGGATTTTGTGTTGATGCATTTTTCAGTGAATTGTGAGGGATGGAGAGAGTTTGGCCTACGATGGTTGAGTTGCAAAAATATTTGCTCTCTGATTTAGAATCCTAAAGTAACATTGGCTACAAATTTACATATAGTTGTTTCATATCCAAATTAAACCTGCCACATCTTCTATCCCCTGCATCACTGATTGAATCAAGTTACAGATGAACATTCTTTTTCTCTCCCCTTTAATTTATTCTGTCCATTTTTCAGGGTATACTGAACATTCCCACAATTCACAATAGAGATGTCACAATATCTGCAGAGAAACTGTGAGCTTTCATAAACCATCAAAGCATGTTCTTGATTCAGAAATCCCACAGAGCCTAGGTCTACAAAGTAGATTTGTTCTCCACGTATAAACCCCACTTATACATATTTAATTGTGATCTCATTCCCTATAAAAGAAAATGTTTCATTGGTTCTGACTTCCTTCTGACATTTCTATCCCATTTTATTAACATTCTTGGTTCCCCTTTGCAGTCTTTGCAGTCCAAACTAGAAAAGTACTTTGCTTGTACTTCAGGGGTGGGGGGTGAGAATTAAACTGCTTTCCAGTTCTGAAACTACCCATTTTTAGGGCAGAAAATAAAAACTTCCAAGAAGGATGGCTGAATATATTGCCAAGCTCGCCTTTTGCTCTTGGGTTTAATATATATAACTGTACATAATTATTTAGAGCAGTGCTCATATAAAGCCATGCCAATGAAAGTATCCTTGCCAAATTTATCATAGGCTGCTGCAGGCTGAGACACTGGCACCATCTCAAAGAAACCCACATGTGCTAATACGAACTAGGAATTTTTGTAATTTTTATTGTGCCTTTTGGGGGAAAACATCCTTTCTGATAAAAAGATACTTCATCATTCCTCAATTTAAAAATTTTTTTTGTAAATAAGAATTAAACTTTTTCTTCTTATCTGTGTGAGGAACCAACTTACTGGTCAAATATTTGAATTTAAAGGAAGCCAAGAATAGAACAATTTAACTTCTGAGCCAGGATCCCAAGACACAAGTGACCCTTATAACATTATTGTTTCTTCTTATTTTAAAATATATTGCAACACTGTTTATAATTTATTAAATGGGTTTATAACTGCTGAGGGAGATTTGAGTTGAACTGTTGAAAACCTTTATAAATAAAAATAAACTAAAAAACATAGCTTTTTTAATTTTAATGATCAACCCCCATTAACAGAAGATATATTTGTTTCTAAAGGTTTTATAAATTTTCAAGCCATTCTAAAGTCATTAAAATACACATAAGTTTGTTTTGTTATTTAGTCTTTTTTAAAATCTGATTAAGAGTCCTCTATAGAGGAAAAGCATTAGTATCTATTACTTAAATGACACTTAAAAAATGCATAATTTTTTACATTGAACTATTCACTACTAGTAAGAAAGACAATGGCTTCCACTTAATGAACACCTATGTTCCATGCTTTTCATTTTGGAAATGAATTCCAAGAAGTATAATTATCATCAGTGCACAAAACAGACAAGACAACTGGAAATCAAAGACACTCGGTCATTAGCTCAAGTTATGGTAACTAACAAGAGCTAAAAGTTACCTCAGAGAAAAAATAATAATTTTTTCCCAATATATACCTGAAAAAGAACACATTGATGTAATCTTTAAAGTTTACAAAGAACTAGCCATAATACTAAAAGAAAGATAGTTTAATCAGAAGTATATGAATCTAGAGATAAAACTCTTAAGAACAAATTTAAAAAGTAAAGAGTTATCTGTGAAGGAATTTAGGAAGGCTAAATAAAAGGATAAGTTAGGCCTAATTATACCCACTCTTCTTAGGGATATAGTAGGGTCATGACAGTTATTCTGGAGGCTCCCTTTGAATATGTGGACCCTAGAAATTCTCGAAGGGCATTCAAAGTTCTAGGGGAAAGCCTTAGTAATGTTTCACACTCGGGAAGAACTCCTCCCCTGAGGAAACTCTTTAACAACTTTCAGCTAGAAGAGAAAGAGCGGCCCAACCACCTGAGCTTCGCTGGAGTCGGGGCGTGTTTTCCTCATGCCAGAAGTAGAAAAGGGGAAGGCATTATGCCATGTCTATCCCTCAAGCCTATGAGAAGTCTGTTATCTATCATCTAAGAGGGCAGAACTGAGCACAAACCCCTACATGTATCTGATTCAAATTGCTCCCTAAAAATATTTCATTGTGGCAAGAACACCTGCCACCCCAGAGCAACCAAAGAGATGGAAATATTAGCTGTTCATACTCATCCAACTCAACTAGGGAATGAGATTCTCTGAATAGCACAGAATCAGACATCCCCTGTGAGGAAGGCACTGTAGAAACCACACAGTGGCAGAATAAATAGACCCCAGTCTACAGAACTCAACCTAAGAATAATTAATTAATCAATGGACATTTTGATTGGCTAAAACTGGACTCTTTTGACAAAAATGAGTAGCCCACCTGGGACTATTAGGAATCATGACTGGCTCATTGTGCAAGAGTCTTAAATATTCTAGATATCCAATTTATGTTCCAAGAATATCAGTAACATGGGCTTTATCTCTCATCAGCCTGAATTACTTTCTGAAAGGATATAACAATTGTGAAAACTCAGAGGCAGGATACATGTCAAAGAGTGAAAAGTCTTACAAATGTGTCAATTCATTCTGCTGTAGGTTCTTTGACATGCTAGCCAAGGCCTGTATGATGTCTTCTGCTCTACATCCTTGCTGAGTTCAGCTCTGCTTCTTTATGTAACACTTAAATGATCCAGTGGCAAGTGTAGCCATCATGAGATTCTCTCAGCCTAAGTACCCCAAAGCACACTTCCCAATATCCCACTGCAACCTGTGCATGATGTAAGATTTATTTCTTAATCTAACACTCAGATCACCAGAATTTTTGGCATTGCAATATCAACATCCATTTGAAACCATGGCAAAGAACCAAAGCACCATTCCCACCTAACAGCCTCACAGTACAGGACTCTGTGATAATTGAAAAGCAAGAGCAACTCTTTTTTTCCATTTTCCATCAACACAAAGCATAGCAATTTCCATCAACTGAGTAATGTGAATTTAAAGCCAGCAGTCCAAAAACATTCCCAAATCTGATTCCGTTTCACCGTAAAGTTTTTAAGAAAGACCTCCACCTGGCCAATATGGTGAAACCCCGTCTCTACTAAAAATACAAAAATTAGCTGGGCACAGTGGCACGCACTGGTAGTCCCAGCTACTCAGGGGGCTGAGGCAGGAGAATTGCTTGAACCCAGGAGGCGGAGGTTGCAGTGAGCCAAGATCATGCCACTGTACTCCAGCCTGGTGACAAGTGAGACTCGTCCCAAGAAAAAAAAGAAACACCTCCAAAAAGTCCCACAGTGTTGATCTACAAGACTAGGGTAAAGTAGCTTGCAGTTTCCCTCAAAAATACAAAATGAAAAACAAAATCACACACAAAACCTTTAACCGAAGTGTTTAATAGAAGTTTATACACATTCCCACCAGAGAAACAAGCTGAAAGACCAATGTCATTCTCACAGCAGGCTACCCTGCTTCTTTAACACAACTAGAAAAAAGAAAGATGATCGTTTGTGTATGCAGATATGATTCAAGAGGCCAAGTGGTAATGGACAGTCATTTCCTTAAACTGCACATGTGCCGACAAGCAGGCCAGGCCATTTCCAGGTGAGAGGTCAAGACAGAAACTATCACTGCTTTGGTTCTGTCGTGTAGACCTGCTGTCACTGAAAGTCTTAAACTTTCAACCAGTCACCTGACAGCTTACAGCTACTTTGGTCTGCTTTTGTTTGAGCTGGAGCTTGGAATTATGTTGCTTCCAGGCCCAGTTCCAGTGTTCTTGTTTCAGTGTTAATCATTCTTACAATGAATGAATCATTGAGCAGGAAATTATCTAAGAAATACGAATTCAGATCCAGCTTCCAGCTCTGTGTTGCTAATTGCTTTTTATTAACTTCTTTACCAACTAATCAGAGAAACACACTTAGACAAGTGATACCATTTTTTTCACATATCAAATGGTCACTTAAAAAATAGCCATAACCAGAGTTGACAGTGATAAGGTCAGAGTAAAATATTAATGGATACATCTTTTCAGATTGAAATTTATACCCCTTTGATCTAATAATTCTATCATAGGAACTTATCCTACTGAAACAATCAATGTTTGTTTGGTGCAGAGAATAATATGCAAATAAAGAGGATCCTCACGGGGCCATGTATAATACAGAAATGACAGAAACCACCTCAATAACAGATAGATAAATTACCATACTCCATTCATTGAGTTACTTCGAGCCATTAATATTTAAGAAAATTAAGAATGGCAATACTCTCATTATGAAACAAAAAATTAATGTTATTTAGTATACAGCAATGCATAAAGTTAAACAAAACAAAGTTTGGTTGTCAGCAAATTCATTAACAAGGCTTTTTAAAAAATAAACCTCTAATAGGATCTGAGTTCTTGAGCGGTTATAGATTTTAGGTCCACTTCGAAAACAAACCCAAGAACAAAAAAGTGTTGTTAGAAAAATATGTTGCAAATGGCCAGGTGCTACTCTCTTTCTTGGGTTCAGGTGGTTTTTAATAGCTGATTGTCTGCTACTGAGGCTTCAGCCACCAATTTCAACCAGGCCTCTGATTTAATCCACCCCAGGATTTGTAATACTGAAAGAATGTGGGGGAGTGCACTATTGTTAAACTTGGCCATAATCCCAGTGGATGACTTCCATTAGAAGCTGGCAACAATACCTGGCTCACAAAAAATTCAGGTTTTTTTTTTCTAATTATGCCCCCAAATTAGCTCATATTCCATTGTTCATTACAAGGAATCATTTCCAAAATTAGTAGAAATTACTCACTAAATTAGTTGCATACCTTAAGTCACACTCAAAATATCCTATAAGATTTTATTTAAACCCAAGTTGCTTTAATACAGAAAAATCTCAGTACTATAATTAATCAAATTCTACTTTGTGAAACCTGCACATTCAAAAGATATGTATGAAAGCATACGAAAAACTCACATAAAAGAATCCAAGTGGTCCGGATATATATGGCATTTTCATTCCCAAGAGATATTTGACTTGTGAAGTCACCACATGGGTGGCAGCCCCAGTTGTCATTGCGCTGATCACAGGCTCTGTGACCACAAATGTGGCACTGCCCAGTTGCAGCACAAACATGGCCACCTAAGAGGAGAAGGGAGAAGTGAGATGAACTTCAGATGAAACTCCCCAAAGTTCCCAGAGGGCTTAATATTTGACACATTCTCATTTTCATTTGATAGAATCATAGAGAACTGACATGTAACAAGTTTGTTACATTGTATATATACAATATCTTGGGTTTCCCTGAGCACATTGTTAGGTTCTAAGAGGTTTCAAAGGTTTCTTTTTTTTTTAATTTAATTTTATTTTATTTTTTTTGTTTATTTTTATTTTTATTTTATATATATATATATATATCTTATTATAGTTTAAGTTCTAGAAAACGTTATTAGGTACAATGTGAGTATCTCAGTTAAAATTAACACAGTATTTTTTCTAAATTTAGACTTTTCTCTTTTCCTAATCCTACATGTTTCAAAAAAGGGAAATACACTCAAATCAGTTTAATGTATGGGTCTATGTGGAAGAAAAATTGAATTTGCCTTGCTATATCTGTAATTTAAAATTTTAAAAAGGAAAAGACATGATTCACTACTTTATACCCAGTAGGCATAAAACCTCAAAACCGTTGAAGAAAGAAAGCCATTCCTCAAGATTCTCCCAGATTCTGAGAAATGGGAACATACTCTTTGACCAGATACTTGGTCAAGAAGTAACCCATTTATGCCAGAGGTTGTAAATTTATTTTGTGAAAAATCATACCTTGGCGATGACCTTGAGCAGTAGGATATAAATAATTCCCACAAGCTTAGCATTCCAATAGTGGAACACTAGGCATAATTATTAAGGGCTAATATTTAATAAGAATACATTAGGACTTATTTGTATATGTGGCACCGCAAAAGACAGATAGGGTAGAGACATATGTGTTGAGAAGCCCACAAATCAGTACAAAAATCATTGTCCTTCAACATTCCTTACTTTTCATAGCAACATCCTCCATCTCAAAACCATTTCATGACCAGGCAGAATCATCATCTCTATGTAGAAGCTGTGCATTGAACTCTGCTGGGCAAAAGGTGACAGGAATGACAGGAAGCAGCAAAACTCTTCTCTTTTTTCCTTTTTCTTTTTTTTTAGATAAGGTCTCACTCTGTCTCCCAGGCTGGAGTACAGTGCCATGACCATGTCTCACTGCAACCTCCACCCCCCAGGCTCAAGTGATCCTCCCATTTTAGCCTCCTGAATAGCTGTGACTACAGACAAATGCCTGGCTTTTTTTTTTTTTTTTTTTTTTTTTTTTTTTTTAGAGACAGGGTCTCACTGTGTTGCCCAAGCTAGTTTCAAAATCTTGGGCTCAAACAATCCTCCTGCTCTGGTCTCCCAAAGTGCTGAGATTACAGATGAGAGCCACCATACCTGGCCTCTTCTAACTCCTGATACTTCAATGACTAATGTTCTTCCTTTACCAGAGAGCTTTGAGAAGATGGCCCACACTTTGGCATAATGCATCTGTGTAAACTCAGTCACAGAAACTGCAAAAAGTAAAATTTACTATTTTGAAAGTAATGTTAAATTACATTCACAAGTATAAGCACTAGAAAATGGAAACAAAAGAGGTCATGCTGATATAACTTCTTAATGTGTTCATTATAATATTTACACCAAGTCTTAAAATTCTTGTTGGCAAGCCCAGCACAGTGGCTCATTTCTGTAATCCCAGCACTTTGGGAGGTCGAGGCAGGAGGATCACTTGAGCCCAGAAATTTGAGAGAAGCCTGGGCAACATGTGAAACCATGTCTCCTAAAAAAAAAAAAAAAAAAAAAAAAAAAAAAAAAAAAAAATTAGTGTTGAGTGTGGCAGCGAGTTCCTGTAGTCCCAGGTACTCAGAAGGCTGAGGTGGAAGGATGGCCTGAGCCCAGGAGGCAGAGGTTGCAGTAAGCTGTGGTCACGCTACTGCAGGCCAGCCTGGGCAACAGAGTGAGACCCTGTCTCAAAAAAATAATAAAAATAAGAAACTATTGTTGGCAAATGAGATTAACTCTTAAAGAAATCGGAGGGAAGGATAACAACGAGATCTCCTTTATCAAGAGGGCACAGTGATGAAAATGAGAAATATAAAGTGATATCTGGTACCACTAGAGCATAAATCGCAAAATATATTATTTCTTTATTCTGATCATAATACAATAACCCCTTGGCCAAAAGCAATAATGCTCTGAGCCTGAATTACAGTGGATTTTCATGGGCTCAAATCTGAAAATTTGAACCTATATTCTGACCCAGGTTCTACCACATCCTAGGTTTGTGATGATAGAAAACCTACTGAAATTCTCCAAGCCTCATTATCATCTATAAATTATTAGAGTGATATTTGCCTTATTTTGTAGAGTTGTGTAAGGTGAGTGTGAAATAATACATGCAAGGTATTCGAAACCTGTAAAATGTTTAACCTATGATGTAGCAGGAACAACAGGGGGTGTCACACATATTTACCTAGTATGGAAAACCAGTCACCAGTTTCGAAAATGTAGGAAGGGCCACACTACATTTTCTAACTCTGTAAAACTTAAAAGAATGTAATGAAGAAGGAAATGTATTTAAATTGTTTGCAGTTTAGCAGCCACCTTTTATTTAATACATAATAAAGAAAAGAATATGGGGGGCCAATGTGGAAATCAGGCAATCTGTTACAGTAAACTCAGGACGCCAAAGCAGCAGCTTCTGCTACTAACATTTTTTTAGCGACTGTATTTGTCAAAGAGAGACGTTCTGGGGGAAATACCCAAGCAATCAATTGTGTGGGCACAAGTGGAACATGGTGTTTTTTTTTTTTTTTGGCAGCTCTTGATTCGTGGTCAGTTGGTTTTCATCCTGAAAACACAATCAGCTATGAAAAACATTGAACCAATTATTCCCATGTATTTCTCTATTAGTAAGTTAGTTCCAACTTATGACATTAACTCTTACAGGCCATGAGGATGAAATTAGCATATTACTGAGGTATGATGAAAACCAGAGTTGAATTTTCATTTCAGCTAAATGTAGAATACAAGTAATCCAAATCTTTGAAGTGGCAAAACCAGTGTGCATACATGGAATTTATGCATACTTGGAATGTTGGAAAGTTTGCATCAGTATGCCAAGTAATCTTGAGGCCTTGTATAGACCATCATCATTTTACCTTCTGTTTTCCACTTGTTTCCTAAATTCCAGTGCCTACTGAGAGGGTTAAATGATTTGCCCTGCCTGGGAAAAAAAGGTTACCTAACCTTAAGTGTCACCTACCATACCACTTCAAGCTAAACCACCATCTTCTAGTAGCAGCTTCTTTGTCATTTCCACAATTTAACAGTTACAAACAAAAGAGTCCAGAAGAAGTTCAAGATATAAAAAGAATTCAACCATTTCAAGTATTAAAAAACATGGGAACCTACCTTGCAACACAAATGAGAAAAGATGAATTATCCTCTCTTAAAATGTCTAAAGACTCAAAATATTATTGTAACATTCTACTTGTATACATTATTATACTTTTAAAAAAATCCTCCTACCAAAAGATAAATCTTTAACATGGAGAGTTCTTGACTCTGAAAGGTCAAGTTCCTTAAAGACCTAATTTCTGATACAAACCACTGGGCATATGAAGGATGATTAAAAACATATGAGGTTTAACTGAGGAGAAATTTCTGTCTTCTGAATGACAAACTTCTTCAAGACCCAAGACAATGGCAGACATGTTAAGAGGGAAGAGGAAGAAGAGAAGTAGGAAAGGAAGGGGAACTAGTGGAGGATGGGGAGGAGAGATTTAAGAACTCCCTCTTTCCCACCACTCAAATTTTAATAGCTAATTCACACTGACATTAGGAATCTGGCATACAGATGCTGGTGTACACAGCTCAAAGGTAGCAAGTACACAAGCAACACAGGCTTTGCAAGAGGGGCCCACAGATTGAACCATGTTTATCTTCAAACTGAAGTAGGTGAAATGGGGCTCTCCTGGAATATTGTGCTTGGAGACCCAGTATTTAAATTTGATATCAATGTCAAGGATTTTTAAAGCTAATTACTTAATAAACAGCCACATCATCTCCTTTTACCAATAATACGGATGATAACATTTCTAATCTAGCTAGCCAACTCCCAAAATCCTGGCCATGCCATATTTCATGAGGAAATTAATTTCATACAATATAGTTCAGCTGTTTGTAGTAATGCTGATGTTCTGGGCTAATACTGAAATCCTCTGACATACATGATCAAGATTCACTAGCATGATACTATTTGATAATGCTTCTATAAACACCATATGTTCCACATTAATTGAATGTATCTCAGATTTCAGTCCATTTTTCTTGCAAGTAGCTTTCAAATATTTAAAAATAACAAAGAGTACATAGGAAACAATTATATTAGCCAAGCGGATAGAATATAGAATGTATTTTAGGTTATGTTGGTTAGTCTGCTATCTGGCTTTTACATTATACCAAATCACTTATTGTTCCATTCAATTAATATTTATTGAATATCTACTAAGAGTTAGGCACAGCACTGTTGCAGATTACACAGCTAAAGATACAGTTCACACCCTAAATGATCGTGTAAAGAGATGTGAAATGATGATGTTGGGAAAGGGGACTGTTAACCAGGACCATGAAGAAGAATGATATAGGTGACTGGATGGTAAAGTCTGAAAAGCTGTTTGGGTGGGGCCTGAAATGTTAAAGAGCCCTGTGTTGTATGCTGAGTAATGTATTCAGGTTTGGGGGAAAGAGTTAAATTGCTAATAACATTAGGAAAACAATTTAGTGCTGTTCAGAGATATGGGAGAAAAAAACCTCTATGTGACCAGAGGTCTTGAGAAGAACAAAGCTGAAGGATTCATACTTCCTGATTTCAAAACTTATTAAAAAGCTATAGTAATCAAAGCAGTGTGGTACTGGCATAAAAAGATATATAGACCAATAGATAAAATAGCCCAGAAATGAACCCATACATACATGGTCACATGATTTTTGACAAGTGTACAAGACCATTCAATGAAGGAAAGGACAGTCTTTTCAACAAATGGTGCAGGGAAAATTGTATATCCACAAGCAAATGAATGAAGTTGGACCCTTACCTAACACCATATACAAAAATTAATCAAAATGGTTCAAAGATCTAAATATGAGACCTGAAACTATAAAACTCTTAGAAGAAAACATGGAGCAAAAGCATCATAACATCAGATTAGGCAGTGCTATTTTTAATATGACATGAAAAGCATGGGCACCAAAAACTAAACAAATTGGGCTTCGTGAAAACTTTAAAAATCTGTGCATCTAAAGACTCTATCAACAGAATAAAACAGAAACCCACAAAATGGGAGAAAACATTTGCAAATCATATATCTGATAAGTGTTAATATCCAGAATATATAGAGAACTCCTAAAACTCAACAAAAACAAATATCTGATTCAAAAACGGGCAAAGGATGTGTATAGACATCTCTCCAAAGAAGGTGTACAAATGTCCAATAAGCACATGAAAACATGTTCAACATCACTTATCATTAAGAAAATGCAAATCAAAACTACAATGAGAGAGCACCTCACATCCGTTAGGATGACTACTATCAAACACACACACACACACACACACACACACACACAGACACACCTACATACACACACAGAAAATAAGTTTTGGCAAGCATATGTAGGAATTGCAACACTTGTGCTCTGTTGCTGGGAATGTAAAATGGTATAGCCACTACAAAAAGCAGTGTGATGTTTCCTCAAAATATTAAAAATAGAATTACCATATGGTCCAACAATTCCATTTTGGGGTATACATGCAAATAAACATTGAAAGCAAGATCTCAAAGACATATGTTTACACTGATATTTATAGCAGCATTATTCAGAGTAACTATAATGGATAACCAAGTGTCCATCAGTGGATGAATGGATAAACAAAATGTAGTATATAAATACAATAAAATATTATTGAACCTTATAAAGGAAGGAAATTCCAAAAATGTAACAACATGGATGAGCCTTGAGGACATTATGCTAAATAAAATAAGCCAGTCTCAAAATGGCAAATACTGTATGATTCCACTGACATGAAATACTTAGTCAAAATCACAGAGACATAAAGTAGAATGATGGTTTCCAAGGGCTAGAGGAAGTGAGGAACGGCAGTTATTATCTAATGAGTATAGAGTTTCAGTTTTACAAGTTGAAAAAAGTTATGGAGACATATGTGTGAAAGAAAAATAAAAATTTGGGACCTCAATACAATAAGCCAAAAGGAAAAGAAATAAGCTGAAAACTGAGTCATGCAAGAAACTGCCTTTCCTTTTGTTCCTAAGCAGATACCTACAGATGAAGGTGAAATATCTCCACAGGTAGCCACTCTATTTTTACCTTATCTTATGTAAAGTGCTGATATACTGAGAGCAAGAGGAATACATAGTTAATAATTCCCCTACCTGCTCCTATTCCCCTGCTACATGTGGATTACCACATCCTCCCTCTTCCTCCCCTAGCCTGCTTTTCCCCTTTAAATATTGAAGCCCACAGAATCCTCTGGAGAAAAGCACAGACCATAGACCATTTTTTTGTGATGCCATGTTCGTTTCCGCTGGGCATGTCCTTAACCTTGGCAAAATAAACTTCTAAATTGATTGAGAACTGTCTCAGATACTACTTGGTTTACAAATGGTGGAGGTGGTTGGTGGTTACATAACATTGTAAATGTATTTAATACTGCTGAATTATATACTTAAAAATGGCTAAGATGGTAAATTGTGTGCTTGTATATTTTTCCACATTATATATATGTATGTGTGTGTGTGAGTGTGTGTATATATATATAAATATATATCTAACTAATCATTTAGGAGGTCAGGAGTTCTCAGAATGGAATGTAGAATATGATAAAGAATCTAATTGACAATGATTGTGCTCTTTACTGTCTCTATAGACTTTATAAGTTCTGCCTTTTACAGAAGGTTATTTAAATGGAATCATATAATATGTAGTCTTTTCAGACAGGCTAAATGGATGCAACAACCTCACTGAAGTGGGTGGCAAAAGAATGTGCTAACATAAATAATTTTGAAAATGACTAGAGTCTGGAAGACTAAAGGCAAAAAGAAACACTAGACTCTAACTGCTGAAGTTGTTTCCCATGGGGGTAGGGGTTAATAATTCTGAAACCACTGTTGCAACAAATCCATATGGGTATAGCTCTGCAGCAACCTCAACTCTTGCCTCCTCGGAAGAAAGAATTCAACTGAGGGACATAAGGCAGAAGGAGAGACTGAGACAAGTTTTACAGCAGGATTGAAAGTTTATTAGAAAGCTTTAGAGCAGGAATGGAAAAAAAAAAGTAAAGTGCACTTAGAAGGGGCCAAGCAGGCAGCTTGAGAGACCAAGTGCACTGTTTGACCTTTGACTTGGGGTTTTATATGTCGGCATGCTTCCGGGTCTTGTGTTCCCTCTCCTGTGATTCTTCCCTTGGAGTGGGCTGTCTGCATGCACACTGGCCTGCTAGCACTTGGGAGGGGAGCATGTGCGGTGTGTTTACTGGAGTCATATGCATGCTCACTTGAGGCATTCCTCCCTTCCCAGTTGAATTTTCCTGGAAGGTCATATACCAGTTAAACTCTGCCATTTTGCCCCTTAATACGCGTTCTTGAGCCCACTCGCTTAACTCTTGAGATCTTATTGGGAAGCTGTCCTCACCCCCTTATTTCGTTTTAACATTCTTCTAAATCTAGTAACCTGATTTGTCTCCTCTTGCTTTCAGGCCATCAAGCTCCAGATCCTCAGTGAGGGATACCATCCTGCCAAATCACCCTTCTACAGGGGACCCATAAACTGCCCATCAGTGGGACACAACAGAGGAAAAGTCCTGTCCCTGTCCCCCTTGGACTTGGCAGGATACCACTTTTACCAACCAATGGAGCCAACCCTGCCTTGACAGCTAGCTAAAGGCCAAGACCCACAGAACCACCGGACTTTTCTCCATTTTCTCCAAAAAAATTGGGGTCTTTGACGCCTGTTGGCGGAAATGTTATAGTAGGTAGCTAGTCAGACATGAGCAGGGCAGTAGAGGGCCCTCCTCCACCCCAACCTAGAATGTCAGGCGACCATCAAGTGATGGTCAGGCAGTTATTAAACTGTTTCTCTAAAATAATAATTGGTCCCAGCCAGAACCAGGGAAAGGAAGTCTCCCAACAGATAGAAGCACCTGACACTGGTGATCAGCAGCTTCTCGCTAATATCTTAAGAGTTGAGCAAGTGGGCCCAACCATGCATATTCAGAGGCAAAATGGCAGAGTTTAACTGGCTTATGACCTCCCAGGGACATTCGAGTGGGTAGGGAAAAACACCTCGAGTTAGCATGCATATGACTCCAGTAAACACACTATACATGCTCCCCTCCTAACCAAGTGCTAGCAAGCCACCGTACATGCAGACAGCCCACCTCAAGGGAAAAATCAGGGGAGAGGGAACGCAAGACTCCAGAAGTATGCCAGCATATAAAACCCCAAGTCAAAAGGTCAAATAGTGCACTTGGTCTCTCAGTTGGCCCTCTTGACCCCCTCCCAAGTGTACTTTATTTTCTTTTCGTTCATGCTCTAATACTTGCCTTGGTCTCTCCTTCTGCCTTATGCACCTTAGTTGAATTATTTCTTCTGAGAAGGCAAGAATTGAGGTTGCTGCAGACCTGTACCCACACAGATCCACTGCTGGCAAATATACTGGAATTGCAATATGTATTATATTGCAATATATTATTATATATTATATATACTGGAATTGCTAACTTAAACAAATGGATGGTGAGTGTTAGGAGCCAGGTTCTCACTGCTGGAGGGGGAGGTTTCAGACAAACAAGGCCAGAAAGCTAGAATGATCATTCTGGTAATGCATTAGGGTTGAAGACCTAAGTATATGCTCATGTTTAACTTAATATAGGCATAGATGGATATATAAATACATATAGATATGATTACATACATATAAATTATACATAATATAATTAATATACATAACGTATATTTTATTATGATCTCAAGAGTTGGGCAGTGGGCTCAAGCATGTGTATTAAGAGGCAAAATTACTGGAATTCTGCACAGATTTGCCTTATAAGATTTGCTGTATAATTAAACATAATTATATTATGTTTAACATACATAAAAATATTCCCTTGCTCTGTCAGATAAAAAGGCTTACAAGCAATAACACCCCAGTAGCAATAAGCATACCTACCATCTAAATCTTAAAGTCTAACAGCTTTCTCTAATAAAACAAACCAGAGATCCTTAGAGAAATGGCTGATTCTAGGACTGAGCAGGGCATATAAAATATGAACCTGGATTATCTTGTAGTGCCAGAAAGGAAGGAAGTGTTAAACAAGTAAATAAACAAATAAGGGTGTCAAAGACAGACACAGAGCCAACTGAAAGAACTCCCAATGTCCAAAGCCAGGACAATTTGAAGAGCAAAATAAATAAAGTAGTATTGGATTATAACCAAAGAATAGAACAAATATCCTAGAGTCCATACTAATATAAATGATTGACTAAATAAATAAATAGGGGAGAATAGGCAAATATGTTCAGAATTCCAGTAATTTATGCAGACAATATCCACTCATTAACTCCCCACTTGACATAACCTCCACTCCTTAAGTGTGGGCTATTCATAATGACTTATTTCCACAGAATACAGTATGGAAAGGGAGAAAATAGAGTAACTGACAAGTACTACCTCAGCCAGGTGATCAAGTTAACATCAACAATGATAAGTGTTGTTATAGTTTATGATGTGGTGAGACTGTCACTTGTTTAATGAGTATAGAGTTTCAGTTTTACAAGATGAAAGGGTTGCATAGACAGATGACGGTGATGGCTGCTCAGCATTATGAATGTATTCAATGCTACTGAACTACACACTGAAAAATGGTTAAGATGGTAAATTTTATGTTATGTGTATTTTATCACAATTATATGTAGACACACACACACACACACACACACACACACACACCTCTTCCTCCTAAAAACATATAACGCCAATCTAATCATGGTAAAAACATCAAACATATCCCGATTGAGGGGCATTCTGTAGACTACCTGACCAGTACTCCTCAAAAGTGTCAAGATAATTAAAAATTTAAAAAGTCTCAGCAATGTTCAGTAATAAGGAAACTGAAGAAAGACAGGACAACTAAATGTAATGTGGTATCCTGGATGGGATCCTGGAACACAAAAAAAGGACATTAGGTAATAATTAACAGCCAGGCATGGTGGCTCATGCTTATAATCCCAGTGCTTTGGAAGGCCAAGATGAAAGGATGGCTTGAGGCCAGAAGTTTGAGAACAGCCTAGGCAACATAGTGAGACCCCATTTCTACAAAAAAATTTAAAAATTGGTCTAGCATTTTATTTTATTTTATTTTAAGAAATTTATTTTTTTTATTTATTTATTTTTATTATTATACTTTAAGTTTTAGGGTACATGTGCACATTGTGCAGGTTAGTTACATATGTATACATGTGCCATGCTGGTGCGCTGCACCCACTAACTCGTCATCTAGCATTAGGTATATCTCCCAATGCTATCCCTCCCCCCTCCCCCCACCCCACAACAGTCCCCAGAGTGTGATGTTCCCCTTCCTGTGTCCATGTGATCTCATTGTTCAATTCCCACCTATGAGTGAGAATATGCGGTGTTTGGTTTTTTGTTCTTGCGATAGTTTACTGAAAATGATGATTTCCAATTTCATCCATGTCCCTACAAAGGACATGAACTCATCATTTTTTATGGCTGCATAGTATTCCATGGTGTATATGTGCCACATTTTCTTAATCCAATCTATCATTGTTGGACATTTGGGTTGGTTCCAAGTCTTTGCTATTGTGAATAATGCCACAATAAACATACGTGTGCATGTGTCTTTATAGCAGCATGATTTATAGTCCTTTGGGTATATACCCAGTAATGGGATGGCTGGGTCAAATGGTATTTCCAGTTCTAGATCCCTGAGGAATCGCCACACTGACTTCCACAATGGTTGAACTAGTTTACAGTCCCACCAACAGTGTAAAAGTGTTCCTATTTCTCCACATCCTCTCCAGCACCTGTTGTTTCCTGACTTTTTAATGATCGCCATTCTAACTGGTGTGAGATGGTATCTCATTGTGGTTTTGATTTGCATTTCTCTGATGGCCAGTGATGATGAGCATTTTTTCATGTGTTTTTTGGCTGCATAAATGTCTTCTTTTGAGAAGTGTCTGTTCATGTCCTTCGCCCACTTTTTGATGGGGTTGTTTGTTTTTTTCTTGTAAATTTGTTTGAGTTCATTGTAGATTCTGGATATTAGCCCTTTGTCAGATGAGTAGGTTGCAAAAATTTTCTCCCATTTTTAGCGTGGCAAGTCCCTGTAGTCTTAGCTGCTTGTGAGGCTGAGGTGAAAGGATAACTTGAGCCCTGGAGTTCCAGGTTACTGTGAGTTATGATTGCATCACTGTACTCCAGCCTGAGCAACAGAGTGAGACTCTGTCTCAAAAAAAAAAAAATAAGGAAATCTGGATACAACATATAGACTTTAGTTAATAACAAAATATCAATCTGGTTCATTAATTGTGACAAATATACCTTCCTAATGTAAGATGTTAGTAACAGGGGAAACTGTGTGGGTTATATGTCAACTCTGGGTACTATTTTTGTGCTTTTCTGCAAATCTAAAATCATCCTAAAGTGAAAGTTATTAAAAGTGAAAAAAAGAAAAGAAAATCCTCTCCACCTGTTCCACAGAATCTTCAGGTAAGTCTAAATTTCTCACCAAAGTGTGTGCTATTCATGAAGAGTTCCCGAATCCTGCATACATCAGCACAGGGAAAAAGAAGGACTCTAAGAAAAGCACCAAACAGCTGGGTTTTAGAAGTATGGCATGTGTGCAAATAACCACACCAAGACAAAAATATAAACCACGCATACAAAAGAGAGAAATAGAACATGTGCCACTGGATTTCAGAGGGAAAAGGGAGTATTGCTGGATAGGGTTAAAATTGTTAACTTGACACTTAAGGAGGAAAACCATTAGAAAGCATTCAAAAAGGAGGGAAGAGTATGAGGATCAAACAGGACAGCATGGATATGTTCACAGCAAGTCTGGAAGTAACAAAACTAGCCAAAAGTGAGTAACAGAAAATAAAGCAAGACATTTTGAGGTCAGAATATAGTCCACTGTAAAAGTAGTGAAAAGGGAGTTTTACAGGAGTGAGTGACATCACTTTTCCATACATTCATTAAACATCTGATCTTGCCAAGAACTATGGTGCACACTGGCTCAAACATGAGAGCTGTGCTTTGGTAGGATTGATCTCATGATAGAATGGCCATTTAAAGTGTTGGTATAACAGGAATAGTAAAGGAAAAAGGAAAAAGTCACCTAAACTAGACAGAGCAGGAATGGAGAGCAGAGAGATGAGCCAAGTACACATTACTCCACAGACAAACTAATCATATGTTCAGGAAATGTCTATCTAAGTTTTGTGTAATATATCAGAAATTCACTGGAATTTAGAATCATCTTTATTTGGAATTACATGGTTGAAGGCAGAACCATAATCTTTTCAGTTCTCAGACACTTCAAGAAGAAACTAGCCTCTGATGCTAGACATTATGAAAGTCAGAACTGCTAGGGATAGACAATTTGACTCCTCTGGTTTCATATTTGTCTAAGAAATATGAGCTCAATAAAACAATAGTCATACAGTCGGATGATTGGAAGCATGATATTATTAAAATACACAAGTGTAAGGAGTTGTAGAGTAGTTGTGTTTTTGTTTTTCATCAGATGTGGGAGTATTCATAAGAAAAGGTGGGAGATTTTATTGACTAGGTCTGCACACTTGAGCTAGATGGATCTAACAAAATAACCATGAGCAAATTAGAGAAGTATAAGTTTATTACTATTTGTTTATCAAGAACTGTTTTACAATTTAAACAGATACAGACACATTCCCTATCTTCCGGTGAAGGATGAAAAAAAAAACTCAATTTAATTTTGGTTATTTAACATAGTGATGCCACTAACATTTAACTGACCTTTTTCCTCTTCAATTTAATCAACTCACATTTATTAAGTACCAGCTGTTGGAATTATAGAGACAAATAGTCTCTGTTCTATAGAGACTCACAGTCTAGAAAAGGAGGGAAATGTGTAAAAAATATTTCCTGGTAGATTCAGAAGCCCTATGAGGTAGGACATGAGCAATGTCTTACAGGAACAGTAAGAGGAATCACATATAAGTATGTCCAGAGATCCAGGGAAGGCTTCTCTGAGATGATTATGTTTGAGCTGAACCTTGAAAGACACAGAGGAGTCATACAAGCAGCATGAGAAGGGGCCTGGCATGCCTAGAGAATGACAGGCACACTGTTGTGGAGCCAAGAACATTGTTCTGCCACATGACACATGCCCAGTACACATGCTGCCACTATTATTAATGAGGTAAAATGTGGGAAAGAGCTAGAACAATGCCTGGCCCTAGAAGTAGATGGATTAAGTTTCCTTGCTTCCTTTGTCAACACTAGTTTAGAAAGCTGCATAGCAGCAGTTAAGGAAGTGTATACTGGAGTCTGACTCCTACTGTGTTAATTCCTAATTACAAGATTCTAAATAAGTCACTCTATTAGTCTGTTCTCACATTGCTATAAAGAACTACCTGAGACTGGGTAATTTATAAAGAAAAGAAGTTTAGTTGACTCACAGTTCCACAGGCTGCACAGGTAGTATGGCTGAGGATGCCTCAGGAAACTGACAATCATGGCAAAAGGGCAAAGGGGAAGCAAGCATGTCTTCACATGGTGGCAGGAGAGAGATAGAAAGAAGGAGGAAGTGCCACACACTTTTAAACAATCAAATCTCATGGGAACTCACTATCACAGGAACAGCAAGGGAATAACCCACCCCCATGATCCAATCACTTCCCACCAGGTTCCTCTCCTAACACTGGGGATTATAATAATCCAACATGAGATTTGGGTGGCAACACAGAGCCAAACTATATCAGTCAGTTTATCTTCAGTATCTTTATCTGTATAATAGGGAATTATTCCTAAATAATTTTTCCTAAAATGTCAATGAGGATTGAATATATGAATACATGTAGTAAGCTTAGAACAGAGCTTGTCAAATACTAGGCTAATAAATATAATTATTTTTGTACATAAGGAAAGTTTTTTATAATTTTAAGAATGTTATAATTCTAACTTGGTTAAGTTTATTACTTCTTAGCTTTGCCAGGTACAAACACAGATGGAAAGATTTAGATTAAACAGAGTAATGACTTTCTGCTGTAATGGTTGTAAAACAGTGAAACATTATCAAAAGAGATTTCAGATTGTCCTCCTCCTGCATTACAAAAGAAGAAAGTTGATGATGTTTCTGAGAAGAGTAAGTACGATGTGTTGAATAGGCAGTATAAACTAGTTTTATATCTTGTGTCCCTTCTATACTCCTGATCCTCTTATTTAAAACTTGCAAGAAAATGTTTAGCACAACACCAAAAGTAATTGAAGAATCTCCTATTTAGCTTACAGTTGTCTTTTTATCATCCTTGAAGACATAAGACCATGTGTCTCCAGAATGCACTAGTATCATAATACAAGGCTTTGTCACTAAACACCCACACTTTTATAATTGTTGAATATATATTTATGACACAAACATATATAACTTAACTAAAAGATACTCAAACCACTACAATGGCATTATTCTAGTGAAGGCAGCCTACAGTAATGAATACACCTTTCTCAGTGCAAGAAAGATCAAAAAGACAAACTAGATTTCCCCATGGCAGAAATCTTGTCCTATGGCTTCTTCAGAAAAGTAGAGCTTGGGAAAATTTCCAGAGGTGAATGGGCAAGGGACAATCCCAGACCCCTCTTGGAAAAGCTCTTGGAAAAACAAATATGCAAATTGTCCATCACAGGGAATAATAAAAGCTACAGGGAGAAGATAACAATGGTTTTTAAAGTGCATTGGCTTTTATTATGTGTTTGTGTCCCCAGCAGAAATGCTAATTGATACTGGCATTTTAAAACTAGCATTTCATTACTGTGAGTGTGCTAGCAATTCCTTTCTTGGCTGCTACTGTTTTTACTGTTTTTAGCTAGAAAAATTGTCTTTTCCTTGTGTAAAGTAATACTAATAGTACAAAACTGCATCAATTCCACTAAAAGACTTTCTTATGAGACAACGTGCCTTAGAAATAGATGGTAGAACTGGAAACAATAAGATTATCATACCAGTCAATTCAGTCACTGCATTATCAACTGTCAGAAATTGCATGAGTCCTAATCACAAGAGTTCCTACTGTTATAAAACCATGGCAATAAATCTACAATATAAACAGCAATAAAGTTTTGCTGAGTGAAAGAAACCAGACCAAAAAAAAAAAAAAAAGAGAAGGGGAAGGGACATTACATTCATTTTTATAAAATTCTAGAAAATGCAAACTAACTCATAGTGACAAAAAGCAGATCAGTGTGTGAGGAGGGGAGCTAACGGAGTGGGATTACAATGGTCAAGAAAAAATTTTGTGAAATTACAGATATTTTTATTGTCTTGATGATGGGTTCATGAATATATACATCTGTCAAAAGATCAAATTGTACATTCTAAATATGTAAAATTTATTGCATGGCAATTATACCTCAATAATGCTGTTGTTAAAAAGCCCGTATTCTAATGTACAACACAGAAACTATCACATTACATTATTATGGTTGTATAAGTGCACTTTGTTTATACTAGCAATATAAATCAAATGGTAACAGAGAAGAGAAACAGAAATTATTTATTTTGTCTGAAGGCCAATGAGTGAGAGACATTGGATGGTCTTATGTTTATGACACAAACATATATAGCTTACCTAAAAGATAATTAAACCACTACAATTCCATTATTCTAGTTAAGGCAGCCTACAGTAATGAACACACCTTTCTCAGTCAGTGCAAAAAAAATCAAAAAGGCAAAAAAGTGAATAATCATAATCAACAAGGAAGAACCTAATAGCTATATACTGATCTTTACACTCTGATAATCAAGGCTATATATTTTTTCTCAAGTGCTCATGAAACACTCACAAAAAAATGATTATACAGTAGGTTAGAAGGAAAATGTTAGTAAATTAGGTAACATAAACTATTATAAACAATACTCCCTGACTGCAATGAAATAACACTAGAAATTATTGACAAAACTGAAAAGCAAAAAGACTCACCCACCTAAAATTAAAAACTCTTCTCTTAATCTTTGGGTAAAGGAGGAAATACAAACTGAAATCACAGAATTTTTATTCCTAAAAAATATTGAAGCAAAACACAGTATATATAAAAATCAACAGAATACATTTCAAACAATTAGCATAGGAAAATTCATAGCACTATGTGCTTTTATCAATAAAAATGAAAAAAAAATAACAAGTAAATTGAATTCCTAGATGGAAAAAATAGAAGAAGAGCAACAACCAAACAATAAAATAATGGTAAATTGAAGGAAATAATAAAGATAAAAGCAGAGATAGAAATAGGAAAAAAGTAGACATACTATTTCAAAATCCTGGTTTTCTTAAAAAAGTAACAAAATAGAAAAACCACTAGCTGCCTGGATCAAGAACAAAGGAAAAAGCACAAATATAAAAATAGAAAATATCAAAGGGTAAAACATTGAAACAATAAATTTTTTTAAAATTACAACAGACTACTTTAAAGACCTACATGTAAATACATTTGAAAAGATAGATAAAAATATAATTTTCCAAGAAAATAAAGATTTCCAATTCTGGTTGTTTTAGAGCTAGGCTGCTTAAACTGACCAATTTTTGTAAAAGAAACTGCAGAGGATCATCAAGAAATTATCTTACAAAAGAGCACCAGGCAACATTATTTTAAAGAGGAATTCTACAAAACCTCCAGTACTAGATGCTCCAGAAGTGCTATACATGCTGAAAAGCATTGAGAAGGGACGTTAAGAAGAAAGTAAAACATTGAGACTTAGACCTGATAAAGACAGCACAAGAAAGAAAACTACAGTCCAGTACCACTAAAGAAAAATGATGCAAAATACTAAAGAAGAAAATTAATCAACAGAATCCAGTACCACATTAAGAATAAAATAGACCGTGACCAACTGGAATTTATTCTTGCAATTTAAAGTTGGTTCAATATTAGGGAATCTATTAACATAATAAATGATAGTTTTGAGAGAATAAAAGTAAGATTATTTCTATAGATGCTGAAGAGGCTTCAGCAATATTCAACATTTTTTCTAGTTTCTATTAAAAACACAAAATAGGACACAATTTATAATTTCTTAACATGACAAGACATATAAACTTTATTCATGAGGACTGCATTATAATTTGTGGAGATGTTAATAGCATTATAAGTAAGCTCATGAAAGGGCAAGAATGCCCACTGTTTTCACAATTACCTAATGTTATAATAGAGGTTGCAAAACCCAAAGCAATTGGATTAGAGAAATCACCAGTCATATGATTTTGTAAAGAAGTAAAAACATCTCTGGCCGGGCGCGGTGGCTCACGCCTGTAATCCCAGCACTTTGGGAGGCCGAGGCGGGCGGATCACGAGGTCAGGAGATCGAGACCATCCCGGCTATAACGGTGAAACCCCGTCTCTACTAAAAATACAAAAAATTAGCCGGGCGTAGTGGCGGGCGCCTGTAGTCCCAGCTACTTGGGAGGCTGAGGCAGGAGAATGGCGTGAACCCGGGAGGCGGAGCTTGCAGTGAGCCGAGATCGCGCCCCTGCACTCCAGCCTGGGTGACAGAGCAAGACTCCGTCTCAAAAAAAAAAAAAAATTCTAGCAAATTAATGAACAATAAAACTAATTCAAATACTAAAAGAATTCAGTAAGATATCAGGATTCAAAATTAACACGCAAAAATCAATAGCTTTCAAAGACACAAACAATAGCCAGCCAGAGGACATAATGGTAAAGAAAACTCCACTTATAATAGCAACAAAGAAGATTAAATCCTTGGGAATAAACTTGACAAAAATGTGCAAAACCTGTAGGAGGAAAATTTTAAAACACTCTGAAAAACACAAAATTAGATTTGAACAAAATGAAAGGCATCCTCTGTTCTTGGACAGGACAAATCAACATCATAAAGATGTCAGTTTAACACAATCCCAATAAAAGTATCAGCAAGTTTCTTTTTATACAAGGAAGTTTCTCCCCCTGAAGTGTAGCTTGTATTTGTCTAATGTTCCCCACACACAACTCTTTCTCCACTTCTTTACTTGACTTATATTTTTTAACATTATTTTAATGATTCTAGTATGTCTATCTCTTTAATTTTAACTTACGCACTTTTTAGAAGAAAGCATAGCATAGAACAATAAATTTCTGATTTTAGTTTGCTCTTTGCCTTTTTTTGCTTTTCCTCCAATGCAAGTTGGTGCTGAAATTCATAAGGAAAACAAACATGCAAGAATAGCCAAGAATACACACAAAAATTAAAAATACAAAGCTTGACTAGTCCTACCCTACATTAAACCATTCTATAAAGTCTCCATAAAACAGGGTGCTACAGTCACAAGAATAGAGTTAAAGGGCAGTAGAATAGCAAAGAAAGTCCCAAAATTGATATAAGTACATATGGAAATGATAATGGTGGCATCTTAAGTTATAGAGGTAAAGATGGGCTTTTTAATAAATGTTGTTGGCACAAGTAGGCAGCAACTTAGAAAAAAATAAAATTACATCCATATCACACACCACTCACAAGCATAAACTCCACAATTATCAGGAATGTATATATAAAAAGAAAAAAAATAAATCATGGAAGTCTAGAAAAAAAATATGGTGACTTCCTCCATAAACTCAGTGTTGAAAAAAGCTAACAATGACTCAAAATAATGGGCAGTAAAAGAAACGACTGATAAATTTGACAACACAATTTTTTAAATTTGCATAGTAAAATAAAGTCAAAGTACAACTGCCAAATTAGAAGGAAATACTTTCAACATCTATCACAGAAAAAGGGCTAATATCCATAATATATAAAGAACTCTTAAAATTTGAAGAGAAAAAAATCTAAAACTCTGATGGAAAAATGAGACAAATATAAATAGACAATTCACAAAATTAGCACAAAATGATCTTAAACATATGAAAAGATGTTGAACCTCACTCATAATTAAAGAAACTCAAATTACCTTGAATACTACTTTTCACCTGCTTGGCTAAAGTTCAAAAGGCTGAGAACACATTCTGTTGGTAAGGCTGAGGCACTCTCATACACTGCTATGGGAATGTAAACTGACACAACCCCTTCGGAAGGGAATTTAACAATGTCTAACATAACTACATTTGTTTTTGTTTTGAATTTACCTTTTGACCCAGTAATCTCATTCTAGGAATTCATCTTGAAGAGATGTTCCTAACAAAATGAAAATCCAGATATACACATACATAGCAGCATTAGGGAAGGGAAGTGACAGTTCTGAGTGTGCCTTTCTTTTACAGTCCCATCTTGCTATAATAATTATTAAAATTAACAAACATCAGACTCAGTTTATATTTTAAAATCATTATTACCTAGCATTATGTTTCTTGGTTTTCAAGTTCCTGAATAGATAATTCATTTTTTAATTCAACAAGTTTTCTGAGAATCTACCATGTAGAGTTCTATGCTAGGTACAATGATGACTTTAACATGCTTGAAGATCGTATTAATACCCTCAAGAACTTTGTTCTCTAAGTAATGTCTTACATAGAAAACAAACTAAAATATTATAGACATACAAGACATTGGAGGAAAAGCAAAAAAAGGCAAAGAGCAAACTAAAATCAGAAATTTATTGTTCTATGCTATACTTTCTTCTAAAAAATGCATAAGTTAAAATTGAAGAGATAGACATACTAGAATCATTAAAATAATGTTAAAAATATAAGTCAAGTAAAGAAGTGGAGAAAGAGTTGTGTGTAGGGAACATTTAGACAAATACAAGCTACACTTTAGTGGGGGAAACTTACTTATCAGTTACAAGAAGAGAAGGCAAAAAGAAAACACACCTAATAAGTCATGGAGCCCTTATTATGTAATAACAGAAAGCTGATTAGTTCATCAATTGAATGTGTTGCCAGACACCAAAGCCCCCCCAGAACTTACTTCTATAACTTCCTGTAATACAAGAAGCAATAAATATCTTTATGGTGTAAGCCTCCGATAGGAGGGTTCTCTGTTCCTTGCAGGTGAGAGCATTTCTAACTGTGAATCAGATCAGACATGATTGTTTCAGACACTTTAACAATACAATCTTATTAACCTAAATAATTCTGTCAGCTGGATCTTCAGAGAGAAAAAAATCAACCTGAAACTAAATAATATGCAAGCAAGAGCAAAACAATACACAAATAAATAAATAAAACAAGACAAACACACACTTCATATGTTTGTAGAAACTGGATACTTTGATTCAGTGGGTTTCAAATCTGAAGGAATAAAAGGAAAAATGACTGAGCAGCTAAATCCTAAAGATGCAGAACTCTTGAAGTTTCTAGTTGACAATGGAAAGAAGAGTTTGGAGGTCAAATAAAGTCCAGCCATCTGCTTAAAAATTGGCTAAAACGTAAGTCACATATCCAAGATCAGAGCTAAAGAGGAAGAAAAGCAGATGCTTGATGAAGTTATAAGAGAAAATATGCAACTCTCTGAATCAGATTTTACATGTAATAAAAGGCCATGAAAACAAAATTATTTTTATTATCTTTAATAATATTCTGCTTTGCTCTTATAATTCTAGGGAGTTTCATTCGGGGAAATGAGACATATATTTTTTATGTTGTTAGAATCCTGGCTTTGACTTTTATATGTTATCATTTTAAGTCATAATCCAAATATACTAGATAATAACAGAATACCTGATGATTGTTTCAAACTTTCAGAAGATGGTTAAAATGAGACTAAGCAGAAGGTTGCCAGGTCTTACCGCTAATTATGTATACTCTTAGATTTTTACTATACTAATATATACCTAAAACTAATACTACACTATTAAACAACCTAAAACTACTTGTTTCATGCTTTGTAGAGTAAGAGAATATCCAACTCTAGTAAAAACCATGAATTCAAAAAGAAATATGAATGAAAAAATAATGGGACAGAAAACAGACACAATATTATCTTTGCAATGTTAATACAAAGATTTTTTATTTTAAATGAATAGAAATTAAGGAAAACCTATGCCAAATCCAAGGCAATATATCCATGTTTGATCTACCAGTTCACAGGGCTGATTATTTCTGAGATGGGGATAGATGACAGATCTCAGAGAGCCTCATACAGGCCAGGCAAGGAGGAAAAGCCACTAAGCCTGTCTGTGCAAGCCTCAGAATAGGCTGACATCCATGGTTGGAAAAATAAACTGAAAGTTACAGGGTACCCAGGCAACTAATTTTTATTTTATGATAGCTCAGATACAAGCCATAGAAAATACTGATTGGTCCACCAGTCTGGTCAGTCTCCTAAGCAAATGAGCTGCCACTCAAATGGTCTATTTCTTTCAAGGACTATGAAGACATGAGTTCTTATTCTCATTTCATTTTACATCCTTAATTCTTTCGGCCGTTTCACCTAGCTAGAAGGCAATGTAACTCTAAGAATTTTAATGCTTCCTTTCTTTTAGGTCACATGTTTTCTCTTACCATCATTCCAGCCAATCATCAACTATTTTTCGCCCTTCTTGGTGTTTACAAGATCTTTGACCTTGTAAATAATGTTACGGTGTAAAATAGAGCCTCCCAACCCAAAACACAGCCACCCAAGAAGTTTATGCACACATAATTCAGTTGACCATGAGAGACTAAGCAAAAATGGCTATCAAACAGGCAATTCCATGTCTAATATTCAGTGCCTGTCTACATTTATTTTATAGTCACCTCTGAGCTTTCAAATTTTGACGACTGATTAGAAACATCAAATTACATATTCTGATATTTTGAAGAAATAGACTGTAGCAATCTTGGCAGCAACATGATGCTGGTGGTACAGATCTGAGTCCAGTGACCTCAGATCAGCAAACCTATAGCATAAACCAAGCACCATTTGTTACTGATGTAAGCAATAACATCATAAAATCTGAAAACTGGGAAGGACACTAGAGATCTGGTCACATCTCCTTCCTATTGCAGGAGTTTTTCCTATAACATTCCCTTACAGTGACGACCTAGTCACTGTGTGGACACAGGGATTGCCTCATTGCCTTACAAGGAAGCTCATTCCATTTTCTGAAACATTTTTTAGAAAGTTCATTCTTAAAAGACCAAAAACTGTTTCTGTGTAACTTCAATTTATTGATTCTAGTTCATTCATTCAACCAGCATTTATAGAGTAATGACTCTAAACAGCATTTCCATAATGATAAAACACATCAGGCCTTTATCCACCTATAAAGACAAATTCATGAACAAGAATAAAAATAAAACACCAGCTGCCTTCCCTGTGCCGCTGTGTCCCTTTCTTTGTGCTCAAGTGTCAGTATCACTTACCTGAATCACACCTCCCAAGAAGGAAACTGCTGCAGCAACGTGGATCCTTTGCATTTCAAAGTCGGATAAGCCCAGCACGCTTGTGTTACTCTGTGTGGTGAGATTCTGCATGTTCTGAGGGACAATCCGTTCCACGGCGTTGGCTGATATTAAGGATGTCAAGGCAAAGGTGCCTGAAACCAAGTGGTGTGGGGAATCTTCTATTAGTAATTTGATTTAAAGGCTCAATAAAAATTGTGGGATTCTGTCGAAGCTACATTGTGAAACCAAACAGATCTATTAGAAACACTGTCCCCTCCTCTGTGGCCTTGCTTCTCCACTCTTCACCTCTCTCCATGGATGAAATGGAAACTTACCTCCATATATGCTTATTCATTCAACGTACAGCCACTCATCTATTTGCTATTCCCTCCTGGTTCAGACATTTTCCCACCTCTCTGCAGATTGGCATAAAGAATGTCCTGGTACAGGAAATAAGATTACGGCCTGGATTTAAATTCAACCACTCAATTTACCAATAATGTGACCTAAAGCACATTACACTGGATATAAATGGTCTTATCCATAAAATGGGAGTAATAATGCCTACATTTCAGTATTTAAGGGGAGTATAAATGAGATGATAGGTATGAAGACCTCAGTAAATTCAGCTTTTTCCCTGAAATGCTTGCTTCTTCATTCTACCTGTGCAAATCCTATTTGTTTTTCAAGGTCTGGCTCAAATCCCATATCTAATAAGGGTCCATCCCAGATCCTCCCAACTAGGCTTAATCTTTCCACCCTCTGTGGTCTCATAGCAGAGTATATTTTTATTATTGTATAACAACATATTGTGGCCCATAAAATAATTAAACATACCATTTCTGTCTACTGTTGTTAGATAAGGCTTGGTGTTATTTTCCAAGAATTGCCATGGCCTTGCACATTTGTGGGACCATTTTCAGTGTGTTCCCCTCTTCCTGTCAAGAGTTCTGAAGCCTCTCATCTTGGCACAGCATGCCTGAGAATGCAGCCTGGTGAACATGGAAATGCTGATTCTCTCAAAGAGGCGTTGGCAAATTTGGGTTATAGAAACAAACTGCAGCATTGTGCAAACATTTGCTCTCATTACTTGAAGATCTTACTTTGCTTCTGGTCATAAGTGAGATTTCATGAAAAGGGCCTTTTCAACATGTAGACAACCCAACACAAACCATGCACAAAGCAGCATAAGGCAAGAGAGACATGAGTCAAACAGAAACAGGTCTCAATGGAAATTCAACACAGCCAATACTTGGTCTTACTAGATAAGAGAGGCAGTACATGCTATGGATTCAGAAAAACATGATGATTGTAGCCTCCAAAAAACCTGGCCTAAAATCCCAGAACTGTCACCTCAATGTTTTTGTCTATAAACAGCATTCCTCACCCAATGGGATTGTTATGAGGCTTAAATAATGTAATATAGCACATATCATAGAAGATGACATGTAGTTAACACCTGATAAATGGTAGCTATTCATATAATTTTTAATAAGACTAAAGTCAGAATGCTCTGTTATGGTCTATCATTGTATGTTTTTCTCTGTTCCATAGAGTTGGTGGTACATAAATACAGACAGCAGATTGAATAACATTCTTTTAGTGAGATAAGTCATTCTCAATAAATCATCAATAAATCATGACCACTGTCCTTATCACAAAATACTAAATTAAGAGTACATCAAGAAACTAATGTAATATAACTGATTATTAGAAATGAGATTCTAGCACCCAGGATGGGAAACACCAAGTAGAGAATATTCACCATAGAATCTGGTCTTGATAGGACATATTTCCGAGGTTATATTACAACACGATGCTCGGGAGATCAAATCAGATACTTCTGAGAGTAAAGAGGTTTGTCTTTTGGTGTCTAAATCTCCTAGAGCACAGAGCAAAATGTTTTGTACAAAAGCCACTGAACAAATTGACTACAGAATTTTTTAAAAACATATAGATGAGTTAATTTTTTAATTTAGGCCTGTTTTTCCTGGGATTTGGAGGAAGATGGGAAGGAATCGAACAGTAAAAGAGAAAGCCATCTAAAAGGCTTTGTTAGGGGAACAAAAGGAAGCTTCACCTGCGTGTGAGTCATATTTCAAGAACACCTCCAGAGAGAGGACTTGCCAGCAATGGGTACAGGCATATCCACCACGCCAATGTGGACATGGGAGTACTGCTTCTTTAGCAAGGATAATGCTTTGCTGTTTCTGAGATAATGAAGGCCAATCAAGGGAAGTGGGACTGCCAGTGAATATGTGTGGCTGTTGTGGATGACATTCTATATTATCTATTTATAGGTCTCTTCTTTGTCTTTGTCTCCTCTCTACTAATTCTCTATCTTTGCCTCATTTGCTCAACATTTTACCCTGGTTAGGCTTTCAGCCTATTAGTGGTACCCTTATATACCACTACTTCTACCTGATAGCTCAACAGTACTGTGGGTCACAGGGTCTCATAGGAAGTGAATATGAGCCCTAGAGTTAAACAGACCCAAGTTCGAATCCCAGCTCTACTTAATATGAACCTCTGATCTTGGTCAAGTTACCTAACCTCTCTCAGCTTCCTTATTTGTAAAATGATGATAAAATACCTATTACAAAATTTTGATAGAGAATAAATGAGATTTCATATTTTAAAAAAACACTGTCTCAAGTCCTATCATATTATAATCCATCAGTAAATAATTGTTTATTTTTGCTTCTGAAAAGTGCCTTATATAGTCTCCACAATATCCTCTCTAAATTGTTAAACTTTGCTCTTTAAATAAATTTCCCTAATTTAGAGAAAAATTAAGATTATCCAATTGTCTCACATTGGTTCCTACAACAATGCTGTTGCCATTGGATTAATACCCAGGTTTTTTACTGTTGTGTATTTATTCCAATATATGTTCTTTGCAAGCCACAAAAAGTAATCAACTGATTTATTCCTTTTTTTAAAAAAAAAACCTATTTTAAATTAAAATAAGAAAGTTCACATTGTTGAGCAAAACAGCATGTTTCATGTCTTTATACTCTGATTTTATGAATTGTTTACTTTTAAAGATGCCTCTAACATAATTTATTATTGTATTTAGTAAGTCAGCATTGCATTCCAGCCATCTAAATTGAAGGCAAAATCCCAAATAAAGTAATTTTTCTTCATGAAAGTAACATCAATATCTTAATAATACTGTGGAAGTGGGATGCATATGCATCAAAATTAAATTATTTTAAAGAGAAGTAAGTTCTGTATATTAATTTGCAGGAACTTATTGGTGACACTCAGTCCCTATGTCCAAGATTAAAGGAAGGTCAAAACATAATTAGTCTATTTTCCCTGACATATATATGTTGCAAAATAAGGGAAAATTATCTTCTTTTTTTTTTTTTTTTGAGACAGAGTCTCGCACTCTCGCCCAGGCTGGAGTGCAGTGGCGCCATCTCGGCTCACTGCAAGCTCTGCCTCCCGGGTTCACACCATTCTCCCCGCCTCAGCCTCCTGAGTAGCTGGGACTACAGGTGCCCGCCACCACGTCCAGCTAATTTTTTGTATTTTTAGTACAGACAGGGTTTCACCGTGTTAGCCAGGATGATCTTGATCTCCTGACCTTGTGATCTGCCTGCTTCGGCCTCCCAAAGGGCTGGGACTACAGGTGTGAGCCACCGCACCCAGCCTATCATTTATTTTTTAATGACCCAAAGAATCCTAAATACTGGGATAAAAAACTAATAGGAAAGCCCAGCTGACTGTCTTTGGTGAAGTACAAATGCAGAAATAAAATGTCTCTAGCATTTATTGTGTGGTAGCTCATTCGACTTAACAGAAGGGAAATCAGAATTAGTCTCCGGCTTTAATGTTGAATGACTACAGTTAAGGCTGTAAATTATGTGTATTTTGAAATGCATATTATTTATCAAGTAGACTATAAGATTCTGACAGCTGTTAAAAATTTGTTAAATATAGAGTCTTATGTAAATGGTAATTTCAAAGTAATTCAGTTAAATATCTGTAAAATGTTTACAGTGATTCCTTAGGACATCAAATATTTTGTGTAAGTACGTATTTAAGTATGTTCAAATTGTGTATTTTTGTTTTCTTAAAGCAATTATGGTATATTGGACAAACTTGTTTTGCCTTTTTCTTTTATCTTGGGTTTAACAGAGAAAATGTTTTTAGAGGTTAGTATTAAAACAACTTTTTTATTGCTAAGGATATGTTTAAATGTTTTGAAAAATGAAAAGAAATCGTTAGGAAATTAGGAAGCAAGATAATTGAAAAAATAGGCTTTAATAATTTATAATTAATTATTGTGCTTTTCTCTTTTTTGCATCAATACAAAAGAAAAGCTTATTCTTGAACAGTGAGTTGTAAAGTTAAAAGCTTGTGCTTTAGATTTGGTCGCACCTGGGTTGCAATCCATGCACCTGTGACTTTTAATCTGTGATCTCACAGAAACTTTCTGAATTTTAGTGTTTTCTTTTCACGTGCAATGTAAAGGTAATAATATCTATTTAAAAGGCTTATGCTAGAACAAAATAAAATAACATATGTAAAGCTCTTAATAAATTACCTAATAAATAGAACATCCATGGTTCTCAAACTTAAATATATATACGTACACAAATATGCATAAACATATAAACACATATATATACTATATTACCTACAGATTAAATAAAAACAGAGATCTTATGAAAGTGCTGACTCTAATTCAGTAGGCCTGAGATGGAAATAAAGGCTTTGCACTTTTAACAAGCTCCTACATAATGCTGAACCTGCTGGTTCATGAGCCACACTTTAGGCAGAAATGTTGTAAGTGATTGATAAGTGTTGTTCCTTCCCTCATAACAAAATTAATTGATTTAAAAAGCCAAATCTACATAAATAAAATGTTATGTTAACAGAAAATATGTGTATCAATGTAGTAGGCAGAATTATGACCTCTCAAATATGTTCCCATCCTAATCCCCAGAACCTGTGAGTATGTTATGCTATATGGTAAGAGAGAATTAACATTGCAGATGAAATTAAAGTTGCCAAGCAGCTGATCTTAAAATAAGAAGAGCAGCCTGGATTATCCAGGTGTGCCCAATGTAATCACAAGTGTCCTTTAAACATGGAAAATGGAGGCAAAAGATCAGAGTCAAAGAGAATTTGAAGATGCGATACTGCATGTTTACATATCGCATGGTTGAAAGGTCCATGAGCCAAAGAATGCAGGAAGCCTCTAGAAACTAGAAAAGTCAAGAAAATGGATTGCCCCTAGAGCCCCCAAGAAAGAAACACAGCCCTGCTGACACCTTAGTTTTAGTCCTGTGAATATCATTTCAGACTTCTGAGCTGCAGAACTGTAGAATAATACCTTTATCTTGTTCTAAGCACCAAACTTATGGTAATTTGTTACAGCAGCAACAGAAAACTGATACAATCAATAACACAAAATGACCATTGAAGAAATGGTCAAGAAATATTATTACTTAGAGGCTGAGATCATGTAATCCCCAAATAAATAGAAATGTCTCTATAGATATTTTTAGTTAAAATTATTTTATTATTTCCTTAATAGTTAAGACTAAGATACCATTTTTGTAATAATAATAATAGCTAACTTTATTAAATCTTATTATGTAGCAAGTATTAAATTAGGCACTGTATATCAATTATCTAGTTCTCACTATAATCATTAGAATTTGGAAGGTAATTTTGCTATCAAGAAAGCAGCAATGGAGCTTAAAATTTTGCCTAAGACCATGTAAATAGCAAACAACAAATAAGATATGCACCCAGGTTTATCTAATACCAAATCACCCCTCATATTTTCTTTGGTAATATAGAGGTAGGTAAGGTAAGAGTTACACCAAGTAAAGAGCATTGTATAAACTAGCCTGGAATAAACCTAAAGATCATCATTTAGTCCACATATCAAATACATGTAAAATATTTTTCACTGTTTTTTGAGTAGCTATATTTTATGTAGTCTTACCTCCCAAGTACTTACTTTCTCTCATTTCATTGTAAATTCAGAACATTTCCCTTCCTTTTTTTTTTTTCTTGAGACAGAGTCTCGCTCTGTCACTCAGGCTGCAGCGCAGTGGCGCAATTTCAGCTCACTGCAACCTCCACCTCCCAGGTTCAAGCGATTCTCCTGCCTCAGCCTCCCGAGTAGCTGGGACTACAGGCGTGTACTACCACGCCCCATCTCCCTTCTTTTGTGGAATCTTTGCAACTCAAAAATGCAAAGAATCCTTAGCAATTACCTTGGCTACACAGTAATATAGCAATAAACCACAGTGTATATTGACTATCTGATGCATGGAGAGTAAATATCTTCCTCTAATATTTGCTGTGGTTTTCAGCAGTGACATTAACACTGCTAAGGAGATGTAATCAGTAATAATCACTAAGTCTTTTTTGCGAGTAACATTAGAAGCATAAACATAGGAATTATTACCTGTGGCAACATGATGTCCCATTCCAAATATGGCATAAATTATGGCAGGAAACAGAGACCCATATAAACCAAACACTGGGTGCACAGATGAGAGAACAGCAAAGGCCAATCCTGTGAAGAAGACTAGGGTAATTAAAACCACCTTATAACCCCAAGACACAGTCTGTTACACAAAAGAATAGGTATTGGTTTACTTATAGACAAAATGAATCATACTTTATTCTACTTGCTCAACAAGAGTCTAGCATTATTGCCCTAAATAAAAGAAAATTCACGCTTTAGTTCATTGTTATGATTCCAAAAACCATTATTTTTGGACTAATGCTTTTTCCTTTGATTGCAGAGATGTCTACAAAAAACAGTGGTTCAGAGAGTCTTCCTGTTGAATGGTAGGTTGGACAGTAACATTGTAAAATATCTCCAGGCACACTAAAATTTTAGAAGCATTTCACATGTATAATTTTATGTGCACAATAGCATCTGTAAGATAGGCGAGACTAGAAGATTTACCCCTGACAGATGAGAAGCCTGAAATGGAAGGGGAACTAGGGCTGGACAAAAAGGACGCATACTCAACATTGGCTGGTTGGCCAGCTGCACAGCCAGCTTGAGACTGTGTGTCACAGCAGTAGGGCCGATGAATAAACCCATGTGCTTCCCAACTAATGGGACCTTGGCTTATATTTCAGGTACAGTGTCTTAGAGTGGAAAAAGAAATCAACTTTTCTTACTCAAGGAGTAAGAAATAATTCATAACTGTTAATTTTTATTCCTTGTAAAGACTATTGCCTACATAGTTGGTATGATACATGCACATGGAAAATTTTCTTAGACATGTCTAAATGACCACTGGTGGTTTCAACGTGACCAAAATATCTACAAGTAAGGGTTCATAAAATTATCTTGATTGTGGCTGATCCTTGGAACGACAAATTCATTCAAATGTTTCAATTAAATTGGGCATAAAGGACTTTACATGTTACAAAGAGACTTGAGAATGGAGGAGGCATTAGATTCTGGAGTCTCTGAATATGAGGCAGGTAATTATTCACACTATAAAGCCTGGCTGTCTGATTCTAATATCAATAATATTTACTGTTGAGCTTTTACCATTTTTAAATTAAATGAAATTCCCTTCTTAATAAGCTCCGTAGTTATCTTTCAGATATTTTTCAAGCAGTAGAAGCCACTTTTGCTGCATTTAAAATACATGAAAAGTTAACCAATGACCACTCCTTTCTTCTTTTTAAAAACCATCTGGGTTGCTTGTTTGCTGGTAATGTATCCCTACAGTCTGGTGAAAATACGATAAAAGTGATTATAGAAGAGTCAGTGGCAGAGGCTGTTCTAGAATTTCATAAAGGCATGGTGAGAGGTAGAAAGGATGGTGTTAAGGGGCAGGTCTTGAAGCTTCATTAGTATTGGCAGGCTAAATATTTCCCCACCTCTACCAAGAAGCACCTTTTGGCATTTTTAGTGTAAGCAACTTTGTAAAATATACTGTTTACATCAGCCATATGAAAAGCTAGAAAACAACTTTTTCTCATCCATTTTTCAGAATAAGTTACCTGATAAAAATTATCTATTAAGAGACAGAAATGCAGAGTGTTCCTAAGCAAGAAAAAAATGTAGCTCGCACTTTATAAGATCACAGATTGACTAAATCAGTGGTGGAGAAGAAAGGCATATTTAGCAAAAGCTCCTGGATTAATCATATGGACACAACATTCTGATAAATGTGGTCAATACTGACAGGATCAAAATTGTTCAGAGGTAGACCCATTTGGCTGCTCTGCTTGCAACAGGCAAACGTAACATAAAGCTGGAAGCAGCTGGACCCTCTTATCTTACCATATGAATAGCGTGAATAGCTACCTCCTGCTTATCTGTCTGCCTTATTACAATAACAGTCATCTCTCTCTGTGTTTATCCCAAATAAAATCTATAACAAACTTAGTTTAAAAACTGGATTTTCCCAGATCTCATGTTCCTATCAAATTAAAGTGGGAATAATCAAGTAAAATATGTTTAATTTTTCAATGGTCTCTAGACCTGTAAATTAAATACAAAATATCATGTCAGGAGATTCTTCTACAACAATCTCCAAGACCAGAAATCATGTAGACATTTCCTTTATCTCATATTACACTGATATTGAAATTTTACTTTAAACAACAATATCATTCGCCCTCAATGGAAACCCATTTCTCTCTTAATGTGGCAATGAACAATGGCCAAAACACAGGAGGAATGAACTAATTCAGATATACAGTACTGTAAAACATCAAGTATCCTTTCCACAAATAAGAACTACAAGGCCCAAGACCAGCCCCCACACACGTACCTCAAAAAAAGGAGAGACAGCTGGATAAAGTTTCCTTTTTCTGATTCATTTATTATTCTGGTTCATAATATAAACTGGTTACATAGTCTCATACATGAGCATATGCACACACATACACACACATTCACACAAGCTAAAATATGTTAAGTCCCCCCAAAATAGTGAATATCTTAATAAGTCGCTAACAAATTAGCAGAATTATCTCTACTTTCTCTGTAATAAAACATGGCTTTCAATTCAAATAAGAGCAAAATTACCACTCTCTAATGCTACTATTTCGGGGAAAAATATTGCAAATGCCGACAGATACTTATGTAACTTAATCTAATTTAGATAAGAGCAAAAGCAACAACAACAAAAGTATCAAGGAATAGACACAGTGTTAGGCTAATGGGTCTCAAAAGAGGATGGCTGAGGGGATGGATGAAATCTTTACATGGCTGATTATTTTTAGAGGGACAATTATTTAATGGTAATGTAAGGCTGATTCAGCCACAAAAGAATGGTCACGAGAAGACTTTGAAAGATGAAATTTTTAAGAAAACATGCTTTGTAGGTATGATAATGGTTACAGGAGAAGAAATTCTAGATTCCCATATCAAAATCACCAATAGTCTCAGGGTTTGTGAACACTACCAACCTTTCGAGAAGCCCTTAGTGTGAAACTGAACATTTGCCACCAGTATGCCTTGTCCCTCCAACCCACGCTGTGCTGAGATTGGCTTCCCTAGGCACAGTGCCTGACCCCAGACCAAGAAGGGCCATGAAAGCATGTAAGTAGCTCAATCTCTGGCTCTGCTCCTACTATAATCTTTTGGCTGAGATCACTAGAAAGTGACTCAATCACTAGTGATGAGAAAGTGAACTATTTATCACAGAGAAGATTTATATATTAAAATTCAGATTTTTATTTCAGTTTCAGACTAGTTTATTTAGATTTATATGACATTATAGCAAGTATTCAGAAAACCAAAGAAACACATGGAGTTTAGAAATTGAGTAATGTACCTGAATTAGAAATTGGTGCTACAATTACACATAGAAAACCCCTCTGTTAGATACTCTATGTTTTGTTGGCCTAGCAGCCTTACCTTTTTATTGTAAGATCAGACAGCTAGGACTTAGAAGCACTAGTTTTGTTCCTCTCAGATATGAATACAAGACCAACAATATTTTATAGACCATAGCCATTGGTTATGGAGCTTCAAATATGACCCAGAAAACTAGAGCTAACACAATTCAAAGGAGCAGCTATTACAGTAGAATTTACTGCCCCAGAAATGTCTATCATCTTCATAAAGCACTTCTTTATGCTTTATGGGTTGAATTGTGTTCCCCTAAAATTTATATGTTGAACTCCTAACCCTGAGTACCTCAGAATGTGATCTTATTTGGAAAAAGGTCATATCTTACATAGTTAGTTAAGATGAGCTCATCGTGGAATAGGGTAGGACCTTAATGCAATATGACTGGTGTCCTTATAAAAGAAGACCATGTGAAGAGACATGCAAGCACACAGGAAGAACATCATGTGACAATGAAGGCGTGTGAACGCCATGTGAAGATGAAGGCATGTGAAAACACATGTGATGAAGGCATGTGAATGCCACATGAAGATGAAGGCGTGTGAACGCCACATGACGATGAAGGCATGTGAACACCACATGACAAGGAAGTCGTGTGAATGCCACGTGAAAATGAAGGCGTGTGAACATCATGTGAAGATTGAAGTGCTGTTTCCAGATGCAAAAGAATGTCAAAGCTTGCCAGCAAACCACCAGAAGCTAGAGAAGAGGCATGGAACAGATTCTCCCATCATGGCCTTCAGAAGAAACCAAACCTGTCAACACCTTAATTTTGGGCTTCTAGCCTCAAGAATAAATTCCTGTGGTGTAAGCCACCCTGTTTGGCACTTTATTATGGTCACCCTACACAACTAATTCAGGTGACAATTTTTAGAGGGAGACAGAAAGTAAGAGGTCACTTGATGCTGGAGAGTTCAACCTCACTTTCTGCACAGGATCAAATCACTTGTGCTTAATAAATATTAAATAATATTACAACCTTTGTACTTCTAATTCATAATCCCCAAATCTCTATAATATCATTTAAATTTTGTATTAGGAATCATAAAAGTAGCACCAATGAAATTTAGTTTCTAAAGAAGGTTATGAGGTTATGTTGCTAAATGTAAAGATAGTCTTTTAAGGAACTGCTTGCTTAATACTCAGATGTAAGAGTTAAAGTTTCATCCAATCTCTGCTATACATGGTACCAACACTAGAAATTGTGTTAGCAGGATTCTCAAGGCAATATTCTCAGGACTCAATATCTGTAACTTTTAGGAGACGAAGCCTGTTCAATGTCTAAAAACAAATGTGAATAAAGATAGGCCAATCATATTTGGAACTGTGGTTAGTCTTTTAAAGCTTTGTAGAATTAAGTTTCCACAAAAAGAAACACAATTTAATTGTCTCCTTCGTCTCTCCAATCTCTGGTGCACAAGAAAGAAAATATTTGCAAAATATCAAGATGACTGACTAGGCTGACTAGCTCATGTAAAACCCTAAAGGCTCCTGGCCTATACTCCCAGCCTGCTTCTAACCAGAGTTGCTGTTAGGGTATTCACCACATTTTTGGGGAATAAGAACACAGTGCCTCTTCCCAGATGATCTAACCCACCTTATTTGTGACCAATGACAGAGAAATTACCACTCAGAAAAACAATTATAAATTTCCGCTATCTTCTACAAAAATAGAAAACTAAATATCTTCTACAAAAACGGAAAACTTTTAGTTTGGCTAGTTTCTATCTATATGTATCTATCTATATATGTATATACACATATTTCTCAAAATCATGTTAAAGTACTGTATTCATTTTTTTTAAGTTGCCAAACCAAAACCAAGCAATGCTTTTCAGTTAGTTATAAGTATTGGGCTCACAGATGGATTACTGCATTCGGCGATGGTAGAAAAGGAACTCTAGGATTTGAGAAATTTATTTTAAAAGCAAAGCCAAAATTCTTGTCCTAATAAGTCTTACCACTCAATAATTCATAGTATTATCCAACTAACACCCCCTCAGTAAAGATATTTCATATGAATAAAAGCAAGCCAATGACAAAAGCTTAAGTATTTCTTCTAAATACCTGAGAGTTGGGAGTGGAGATGGCAGAGTGATGTCGTGAATATTGAGCTTCAGAGTTATTTTTGCTTGCATTTAAAAACTTAAGCCTAGAATGGCTAAGGAGAGAAGCACTTTAAAGTTCTCATCCCAAAGAATAAAGGCTAAGTACCAATAATTTCCATAAGAGAAAGAGTAAGAGTTATGAATTTGGAGAAAATACCAACAAGAAGACCGAAAGAAAAGAAATGAAAGATTCAATCCTGTGCTACATTCTTTGATCACCCAGTTAAGGTCCTGATGAGTAGCCTTTTCAATGAAAATGAAAGGACATCTTTTATGAACAAGAGGAATGGAAAAGAAGGTGAACCTGAGGCACTTTTCTAGGTAACAATTAGAAAATAGGAATAGCTACCTCAGGAAACATGAAGGTGTTGTACAAATTCTGTTCTCCCTCTCCCTATTCCTCTCTCCCTTCCCCATCTTTCACTTCCTCCCTCTCTCCCCTCCTGGACTTCTCCCCTTCTCTTTCTGTATTTTTAAGTTTATCTCATATATTCTCTGGCTCTGAAAAAGGTGGTGGAAATATCTTGAATCCCTTAACATTAGGAGAGTGGAAAGATAAAAATCTTGAGTCAGATACCCTTCTTCTAAAAGTCGAGTTTTCCTTACACAAAAGTTCTAGAATGTTTTTAGCTCACATTTATGGTTTCATGGAAACATGAATGATTTTTTTAAATTTTTTGCTACTAAAAATAACTAAACAATAAAGGGGGAATTACTGACTGGATCCCAGTTAGTCTTACAAAAAGGAGAAATGCTTATGCTGAGTGCTGAATGAGGAGTAACAGATGAACAAAAAAGCATGAAGAGTAGATGCCTGAGGAGGGGACAAATTTAGGTAGAAGAAATGTGTTCAAAGGCACAGCATTCTGAAAATGTTTGCTTAGCTCACCTGGAATGTAAAGCCATTTGGTATGCTCAGCAAAAAGGACACATGTGACAAAGTGCCAGGTGATGAAATTAGATGGTAAAGAGTCTTCAGTATTAAGTGGTAAGAACTTACCTGAGATTCAGGGTGATAGGACCTGGAACCTACGAGACCTTCTGTTTCCCTCAACTTCCTCTGTGTTGTAAGACTACAATCAGGTTAGAGTTGGCAGGGCTAGGAAGGAGCATCTGAAGTCAAAGTTGATGCCACAATCACAAGTGCTTAGCTGCATTCTCTTTGGTGCCAGAGGAAATCCAACAGACCTAATGACAGAGGAAAGAGCTTGCACCTCCTCAAGCTCAGCAAAAACTAGGATTTTGCCATTGATTAGGGAGAAAGGAGGAGGATTTTGGCCAGCAGAAGCATAGAAGTTTCCTCTATGAACCTTCTGTCTCATCAGCCTGCTGTTGCCTGGGAGGGGTTGTTCCATCCTGTGGCTCTAGAGAAGAACTGCAGCAACACGTAGAAATTCCGTAGTCAGAGAAGCCTTCTACTCAATCCTAGAAATGTCTTCTCAAACCTCAGCTGACTGGCCTCTGCCCACAAAGACAGAATCTGCCTTCCCTTGAACAGCTTCTTGTTCATTCCTGCTTGAGAGAGCCTAATGGCCAGGTTGATGTAGGTGCTGAGAGAACACATACCCTGATTAGAACTAACTTAAGTGGTTAGTTCTATTTTGGTTCTCAAAATAACCAAAGGGAGGAGATCAAACTGAATCTAACAGTGAGTACACCTGAACGAAAAATGATGGCCTCAGTTAGCTGAGAAGCTGAAAAAAGTAATCATGTGCAAATTTTACCTCAATAAGTGTGACTAAAAAATAAGAACTCCCAAAGAGATATCAGCTAGCAAATACCAACAAAAGATGTACAACTTTCCAATGTAAAACATCAATAAACAGCTGAAAAGGTATGCTTAATATTCTGAAAAGCACAATACTACTATCATTGTGGCCAGAGAGATGCAGTCTCTAGTTAGGCCAGAGTCACTTCCTATCCCTCATGGCAGATAATGTTGGCTTATAGGAACCAATGGCCCGAGAGTGGGAGGGAGATGATTCTCCAAGGTACCAGAAGAAGAAAGAAAAGATGTGGGTAAGAAACACCTCCACATACATATATACCTTGATCCAGTGGCTTGGGAAACTTTCACATCCTATAAGAATGCATACCTAATATTGTGAATTTAAAACAGTTTATGTACTGGTTGAACATGAAAATACAGGCAGACTTTTGTATTTGCTGGCAATTGGTTCTAGGACACCCCGGGATACCAAAATCTGCAGATTTTCAAGTCATTTATAGAAAATGGCATAGTATATCCAGCCCTCCATATTCCAGGGTTTTGATGCTTCTGGATATGGAGGGCTGATTGTAATTTCAATGCCTGTATCAATATAAAGATCGTTAGACACACTTCTGCACAATTGTACTATGGAATATTATACAGCTCTTTAAGAGACTAAGAACTACACCCTTTAACCGGGAGACATGACCATTATATGTGGTTACACACGAAAAACAAGTCTCAGACTTATGTTTTGTATGATACTCTTATGTAAAAATCCAAAAAGAGGGCTACTGGTGTTTTTTTATATATCTTTGAATCTTTATCACTTTGTACAATGAATTCATAAAACCTATGCAATTTAAACATTTTTGATTAAGACTTTTTAAAGCAATCTGAACATTATCCTGAATTTTAAGGAAGCCATTAGGAAATTTTTTTCTAATGGGAGAAATTGTGATGAGGTTTACTTTTAGGTGATAACTACAGAAGTTATACAGAAGAAAAACAAAATTGACAGAAAGAGCAGTTAGGAAACTACCACAGATATCCAGGTTGTGGCAGTGAAGAAAGGGACAGCATTTCCCAAAGAAATATAGCTCATCATATATAAACAGGTGTTACACATACATATTTTAAAAACTAATCAGTTTCACTGCCTGAGGCTTGAGCACAGAACACTTTCTTTTGGAATACACCACAGGGCCAAAGGTGGCTGACTGGATCCAAAGTACTGAATTAGTCATGTGAAAAGACTGATCAGATGAAAAGACGGAAAAATAAACCAATAGGAATTGCCAGATGCAGAGAAAAAAAAAGTAGGGGAAAAGAGCACAAAGGAAGCCATGGCCAAGAATCTGTGGTAATTCCACTGAAATGGCACTCCTGGCAAATAATAGAAATGTCCTTTTGACTTTGACAAGAGAGAGAGCACTGGTGGCCTTGGCAAGAGGGCTTCCTGGGGAATAGAGCACGAGGGGAACAAGGAGGAGCAAATGGATCTTGGTGGAAGCAGAAGAGGCAGACAATAGGAATTCATCTTTGGAAAGTGCCGTTCCGAAGAGGAGAGAAAGGCTTGGTGCTAAATGGGAACGTGAGATCAAGAAAAGTTGAGTTTGTTTTCTTACAAGTTTTGAGATACGAGAAACTTGAGCCAAGAGACAGATCCAGGTCTCGTAAGTCCTAAATCTTACATATGTTGGGAGGCTTCCCACAGGAAAGATAAAATTGCACATAGAATTAGTTACCTTCCACATAAAAGGTGAAACTATAAAACAACTGGAAGAAAATATTGTGGAAAAGCTCCATGACATTGGTCTGGGCACTGATTTATTTTTTATATGATGCCAAAAAACATAGGCAACAAAAGAAAAAATAGACTAATGGGATTACATCAAACTAAAAAGCTTCTGCACAGCAAAGGAAAAGAGTGAAGAGACAACCTACAGAATGGGGATAAAATATCTGCCAACCATACATCGAATGAGAGGTTAATATCCAAAATATGTAAGGAACTCAAACAACTCAAGAGCAAGAAAATAAGTAACCTGATTTTTTTAAATGGGCAAAGGACATGAATAGAAGTTTCTCAGAAGAAGACATACAAAGGACCAATAGGTATATTAAAATAAAAAATACACGGCTGGGCGCGGTGGCTCACGCCTGTAATTCCAGCACTTTGGGAGGCCGAGGCGGGTGCACACGAGGTCAGGAGATCGAGACCATCCTGGCTAACACAGTGAAACCCCGTCTCTACTAAAAATACAAAAAATTAGCCGGGCGTGGTGGTGGACGCCTATAGTCCCAGCTACTAGGGAGGCTGAGGCAGGAGAATGGCGTGAACCCGGGAGGCGGAGCTTGCAGTGAGCCGAGACTACACCACTGCAGTCCAGCCTGGGCAACAGCGAGACTCCGTCTCAAAAAAATAAAATAAAATAAAATACACAACAACACTAATCATTAGGGAAATACAAATTAAAACCACAATGTGATATAGCCTCACCTCCGTTAGAATGACTATTACCAAAAAGACAAAAGATAAGTGTTGATGAGGATATGAAGAAAAGGAAAGCCATGTATGCTGTTGGTGGTAATGTAAATTAGTATAGTCATTATGGAAAACAGTATGGAGGTTCCCCAAAAAATTAAACATAGAACTTCCATATGAATCAGCAACTCCACTACTGGGCATATATCCAAAGAAAATGAAATCAGTATATCGAAAAGATACCTGCACTCCCACATTCATTGCAGCACTATTCACAATAGCCAAGATAGGGAATCAACTTAAGTGTCCATCAAAGGATAACTGGATTTCTTAAAATGTGATACATATATATATATATATATATATATATATATATATATATATACACACACACACACATACTATGAAATACTGTTCAGCCTTAAAATAAGGGGATCCTATCATTTGTGACATTGTAGATGAATTTGAAGGACATATTAAATGACATAAGCTAGGCACAGAAAGACAATTACTACCTAATCTTACTTACACAGGGAATCTAAAGAAGCTTAACTAATAGAAAGAGTGAAATGATAGTTACCAGAAGCTAAGGTGGGTCGGGATTTGGAGGAGAATTGGAGATATGTTGGTCAAAAGGCAAAAAATTCCAGTTAGGAGAAATAAGTTCAAAAGACCTATTGTATACTATGATGACTATAGTTAATAACAATATATTGTATACTTGAAAATTGCTAAGAGAATAGATTTTAAGTGTTCTTACAACAAAAAAAGTGTGAGGTAATGCGTATGTTAATTAGCTTGATTTAGCCATTTCATACTGCATACATATATCAAAACATCATGTTGTACTTCATAAGCATATACAGTTTTTGTTAATTAAAAAAAGGCAAATATTTATTTAGAATGAGAAATCACACCAAATTATAAATTGTAAGAAGCTGACAAATTCCATGATCCAGAAAAAAATAACATCTTTGCATTAATTTCGTGATATACTTCTATAATACTTTTACTCTATGATACCTCTGTATACATATATAGTATATACTTCTATATATTATGATTTTAGGCTGTATAGTCTTTGAACACTTCTACATATGACAATGATTTGTGTAACATTTTCTATAGAGAGCATAGAAGGATAATTTTGGATTTTCTCTTGTATGTCAGACATCTCTTATGCATCAATTCAGATGTTCTTGGCCTCACCCGTCTCTTGCAGCTCTGCAAGAGCTCTGTCTGACTTCCTGTGATGCAATCTGACAGGTCCTTTTTTTTTTCTGGAGCCGTGGGGCTTCCCTGTTGACACCTGCTCTGGGATTCTGTTAATGCCCACTCATACATGCCAACTCAGAGGAGCACCCAAGGAATAAAACTTTGACCAATAAGAGAGTGAGCTAGAGAATAAATATTTCCACTTCCCTCCTCCCCCTGCCACTGAAAGATGGTCTAGAAGTGACATTGATAGCTTTGCAGGGGGCATGGTCCCAACGATATGGCAGTCAGCCACTCTTGAAGGTAGTCAGCTCTGTAACAAGCATCCTCTCATCTCTCCCTCCTAGTCTCTAGCTCCTGCCCTCTTGGTTTACACTCCCTAATGATATATGGTAGTAGCACATAAATCCTGACTCAGTCACTAATTTGGGGGGGAATAAGCCTAAGATAGCATTGTTTATTTAAGTTTGTTTTTTAATATTGATACATTAAAATATTTTATTTTAGCTTTGTACCAAGTTAATAATATGTGAAGTTTAAACTATAAAATTGAAAAAGCCTCCATTAAAATTCTTGATAGCTGTAAAGTTTTAGGGAATTTTAAGTTTTCTTATACAGAAACATAAATATTTGAATTGCAGACATTAACAAGTTTATTGATAATGTTCTGGTTATAGGGCCATATTATGAGTTCTATTTTATGTCCATCAATGTCAGTATTTTGTGGCAACTTTCTCTTAGCCAGATTGTAAACATATTGCAGCCACTTTGATGCCACTGGACATAAGATGTGTGACCCAAATGAGGTTGAGTTGGGAAGAGACATTGTTCTCAATTTATGTTAAAATATCTTACTTTTAAAATTTTACAAAAATATATGAGCATGAAAAAATATTGACTTTGAAAGGAGCATATGCAAATGGGGATGCAGTATTGAACAGGGCAGATAATGAGCATACAAATAGCAGTTTTATGCACGAATTACCAAAGGCAGTGGGAGAATGATTAGCCTCCACTCGAGAGAGATGTTCAGGAGATAATGCCTTTGTATAAGAGAGCCAGGTTTTAAGAAAGGCAAACAGGTAGAGAGAATATTTTGTGAACATTTTGAAAGTGTGCAGTTTATTCCCAAAGAAAGAGGGGTTCCTGAGGGTGCATTAGTAAAGGCTGGCAATGAAGAAATCACTGGAAGTTCAAGCCAGGGAGAAGGACACACATCTCAGTATTCGAAGGAAAGCAAGGGAAAAGAGGGCTCATTGAGAAAGGACTTGAGGCCATGTCAAGAATTCCAAGGATGACAGGAACCAGAGGCATGTATGTGTGTTGAAACACAAATATACATGAAATATACCATTTCTTTGTTTCTTCTTACCATTTTTACTTCAGACTCTGAGACCCCCAGGTTAGGAAGAGAAAGTGACAGCAACAGTGGTTTCTGGTTTTCTGGGTCTCAATGTTAAATGGAATAAAACGAAAAGTTTCTGTGATATGGAAGGAAGCACGTGATAAGATGAAGTGCATTTTAAAAAATCAGCAGTTTATGGCTTTGTCTGAGATTGCTGGCCAAGGAATTTTTTCTGCTTCAGCAAATTTTAACCCAAGTAGAAAGAGGGACAGTCCAGTGTGAATCCTGATGAGAGTCCCAACATAGCTTCTAACCCCCATAAAACCCAATTATTACAGGAAGGAAATGAGAATGGTCAGTTCAGGTCCAGTTCAGCACAGAAAGAAGAAATAATCTTGGCTACAAGGGGGCTTGATTTGGAGAAGAATTTTGATGAACACCATCTCCTACTCCTATATCTGCTAGAATTTTCATTGTAGTTATATTTAATGGAATCCAGGATTTATAAACAAAAATGAGGCTCATAGCGCCACACTAAAAATCAATGACTTCTTTGAAAAGTAAAAAAATGTCAAATGAATGCAAGATAATAGTAATAATAAAATAATATACAAATGCAAGTTAGTAGTGAATTTGTTTTCTTAAACTTGATTTTGAAATTCTATGAATTATTTTTTCAAGATCACTAATAAAAAATGGCATGTCTTTCTTTTTATGATTTCTATCTTTTGATATTTTAGTAGAAGATATGTTACTTAGCTATATTCAAAATTTTAGAAAAAAAAAGAAGTAATCCCTTGGCCATAAAGTGACAGAATTATGTAAGTAAACATCACACCATGCATGTGGGATGATATCACTTTTCAGATTGTGATTGTTTAATTAATTCAAAAATTTATTATATACAGCCATCATGCTCTGAAAGGGTTAATTTACTACTTAAAGATAATCCAGTTATTTTCAGAGAGGATTAGTTAGCTCACTGGCTTCAAGAGGATAAGTGTGCAATAGCAAACATTAAGGCCCACATGAAAATGTGGAAATACCAAGCAAGGGAAAAGGCACACAACGCTAATCCCTGACTCTAAGCAAGACTGAGAAGCGATTGTCTGGTCAGACCAGTGCATACAGTCATGGTCCAGGCCAGCACTCCCTTCTCACACAATTTACCCTTAGAGGAGGAAGTGGCTTGGACACCCGATATCATACCAAAGCAGTAATGATGTTTCTCTTTGCACAGTGCCATTCCCCAGCAATTCCCCCAAAGTTTATGCACAATAAGCTAAAAGAGAAGGATCATGGATCCACATGTATCATGTAAGGATGCAAAACGTCATTAAAATATTCTTTTAGGCCAGGCATGGTGGCTCACAACCATAGTCCCAGCTCTTGAGAGACCAAGGAGGGTGGATCACTTGAGCCCAGGTTTTCAAGACCAGCCTGAGAAATACAATGAGACCCTGTCTCCACAAAAAATTTTAAAGAAAAAAATCAGTGAAAGATGCATGCCTGTAGTCCCAGCTACTCAGGAGACGGAAGTGGGAGGATCATTTGAGACTGGGAGGTCAAGGCTGCAGTGAACTGTGAACATGCCTCTGCACTCCAGCCTGGGCAACAAAGCAAGACACTGTCTCAAAAAAATAAAATAAATAATCTTTTACCCAGTTATTGTGAAAGTGCTGGCTACATGCCCAGAGACCCAAAATTCTATATTCTATGTTGTTATATATTACAATTATATATTCTATATACATTCTACATATAGAGAGTGAGTCTAAAATGTTAATTAAGCTATATGGTATCTTTTCCTATGCCGTTTTGGATTTGTTTGTTTTCTTTTTCTGTTTCTGTTTTTTAACCAGATAGATGAGGGTGAGGGAGATAAGAGAAGTGGAAGAGAGACGGAATATATGCGCATTTATGCATAGAGTACCTGCAGATGTTGAATGGTATCTATCCAATGACTGATATCAGTGATATATGGAAGTGAATTTCAAAGTACCCATCCTTGGCAAATTTGAGGTAAGAGACTGCCCTTAAAAAAGATGTCTAGAATTTGTCTAACCGAATTGTTTTTGAAAGATTTCTTGCAAAGCTAATGTTCTCCACCTCCTTATCTTCTTACCTTCAGGTAGCAAAGCTAAAATCTAGAAGTATAAAAAATTCTAGAAGTGTCTAGAATTAAGCACTTTGTATGCTTAATTCACCTATCTATGTGCCAGGCACTGGAGATATATCAATTAACAACTCTGCTATGGTTTGAATGTTTGCTTCTTCCAAATTCATGTTGAAATTTAGTTGTCAGTATAAGAGTATTAAGAGGTGAGACCTTTAAGAATTAAGTTATGAGGGCTCCACTCTTGTGAATGGACTAATGCCATTATTGAGGGAGTGAGGTCACCCTCTCTTGCACACACTCTTGCATTCCTTGGTGCTCTCTATCTCTCTTTCTTCCTCTCTCTCTTTCTCATTCTCTTGCTCTCTGTTTCTCTCTCTCTCTCTGTCTACCACTATGTTATAAGACAGAAAGAAGGCCCTTGCCAGATGACAGCTGTTCAGACTTGGACTTCCCAGCCTCCAGATCTATGAGCCAATAAATTTCTGTCCATTACAATTTATCCAGCCTCAGCATTTTATTATAGCAGCACAAAATAGACTAAGACAAATCCAAATAAAAATCTTTGTCTTTGTGGAGTTGATGTTTATAAATGTCATATCCTAGTTTATGTTCTAGTGGGGAATAGATGATAATAATAAGGTTACAATAATAGCATTTATTGAACATTTCCTTTGTACTAGATTCTGCCCTGAGCACCTTATATTCTCTCATTTGTTTTTCAAAGTAACTCTGTGTACTAGGTATTATTGTCCCTATTTTACATACTGGAACACTAAATCTTAGAGCAGCTGAAGAACTTGTTCAAGTGATACATCCAAAGTTAAAAACCGAGATCTTCCTGACAGTTCTTAATTATTTATAAAGCTCTTATGGTGTCTCCAAATCCATATTAAATTCCATGAGAGATACAAAGGGACATAAGATATGAATTACAAGGTCCTCAACTAACACAAAGTTTCATCCAACATTCAACAATTATATGTGCAATTTATAGGATAATTAATGTAACCAAAATTCAGAGAAAGTAGAAAAATTATGAGAAACATAATCACAAAAAAGTGTTATCGGAAGATAAGACTTGAAGTGGGGGTTGAAGGATGAACAAACTTTCACAAATGATGGCCTTTCCAAGTTGCCTACCTTCCTGAAAAGTCACGAAGTTATTTGGTTGTATCTGATTTTGTCACTAAGCATATTTTCCAGTGTTATATTCTTATTGAATTTCACTCTTTGAGTTTCTAATCATTAATTTTTTCTGTCCTGAGAACTGTATGTCTCATATATACATTTTAAGTTTGCTACATTTGGCCCTGTCAATACCTTTGTTTAAACTATTTTAGCACTTGCCTCCCAGAGCACCCTGATATTCACAGACCATATCTTCTCACCTCGCTCTTCTAGCTCTTACCACTCTTAAATGTCAGCATTCCCAAGGTTACTTCCATCCTAATTTCTCTTTCTATTCTACAAACTATCCATTAATTATCTGATCCAATCCCATACCATGACCACAATATATACATCTTTATGATATCCTTCCTAAGGTCTAGACCCAAATGGATAACAAGAGGTCCTGTAGGCACTTATATAACAAATACAAAATGGAAATTGTTTATTTTGGTCCCTCTCACCACCAACCCCTCCATAACAACAAAACAATATGCATTAAAAACAAAACAAAAACAAACACTGGTTGTTTTGTTTATTTATGCTCTATCTCAGAAAATGGCATCACCACCCATCCAGTCACCCAATTAAGAAACCTGGAAGTCATCAAAATAGACTCTTTTTTTCACCCTTATATTACATAAAACACTGATCTAAACTTATCTATTCCACTTAATATGGATGGAATTTGTCCCTCTTTTCTATTCCTACTGCCACTATTTCTGCCTTTGTCTGTTCAGATAACATGCTTTATTTTCCAGAGATAATTTCTCCTAACTAGTCTCTCCTAACTAGCCTCTTGCCTCTTCCAAGCATGTAATGTAAGCTGCTGCCACAGAAATTATTGTAAAACACATGTCCCTCCATAGCCCTCCTTAAGATCCACCAATGGCTCTCCATCGCCTTCTAAAATCAACCCAAACTCTTTTTCTGTGTCATACAAGCCTTTTATGACCTAGACTATGTTAAATTCTCCAGTTTCAATTCTCACCAAATTATATTATTAGAAAGTATTTAAACAAACTTTCATTCTTCTTGTCACTGCATACGTTTTTCCTTTGTCTATAGTGCCCTTCGTCAGTGGTATCTAGTAAACTTTTATGTAGCCTTCAAGATCAGGTAAAAACGTAATTTTCTCTTGAAACTTTTGCTGACTAACAACTTCATCCCCATTCCAGGAAGAGTTGATCGTGCTTTTAATGATGTTAGTTCATGCTATATGTTCTGCATTTGCAGTATCTACCAAAATGATTTTAATTGGTTGCTTTTGTGTCCAGGGGTCCATTTAGATTGCAAACATCTATTATTAAGGAATATTATACTAAGAATTACTTCAATTTATCAGTAAACTATTGTATATCAAGCAAAGTACCAGGGTCTCTTCCATGAAGCCCAGGTGAACACAGAAAGGATTCTGAAAATTATATATTCACCTAGAGTAACAGATAATATGAGGAGAGAAGCAAAGGATCAAAGACAAAAGGAAGGTCCTGACTATCAGGTAGATGAAAGGGTAAGCAAGGCCAAGCAGTCATCATCAATAGGACTGTGAATGAGACATAGAATCAAACTAAGAAGTTCATTACAGAGGCCAGTAACAACCCAACAGTGTTAAAGGCTAGTTTTTTAGGAAGTACTAAGCACAAAAGCTTCTTGTAGATCCTGACACTCTTTCCCCATGAACACCCATAACTAGGTAAAGGTAAACAGTAATTATCCCCTGGCATGTTTCAGTGTTTTTGTGAAGGACTAACTTTCTATAAGATTTCTCGGCCGGGCGCTGTGGCTCACGCCTGTAATCCCAACACTTTGAGAGGCCGAGGCAGGCGGATCACAAGGTCAGGAGATCGAGACCATCCTGGCTAATACGGTGAAACCCCAGCTCTACTAAAAATACAAAAAATTAGCCGGGCATGGTGGCAGGCGCCTGTAGTCCCAGCTACTCGGGAGGCTGAGGAAGGAGAATGGGGTGAACCCGGGAGGCAGAACTTCCAGTGAGCCAAGATCACGCCACTGCATTCCAGCCTGGGCGACAGAGCGAGACTCCGTCTCAAAAAAAAAAAAAAAAAAAAAAGATTTCTCTAGACCACCCCCGAGCCTGGAAGCAGCAGAGGACAAGAATTTTCCTCCCCACATACTTTGGTTCTTTATCTCTAACTTTGCATTCAGATGAAGAAAGTATATAAGAAAATGGTGGTCTCCAAGTTGTCTGAGCTTAGTAAGAAGCAGCTAAAATAATATTTATTCATTTAACAAGCATTAGTAGAATTATCTACTATTTTCCAGCACTGCTCTAGCCACTTAGGATAAATCTTTTTTAAAAAATAGGCTACAATCCCTGCTTTCATGGTGTATACAAGAGAATATGCAGCATACAACAATAAACAATTGACATAAAATATATAAATTATTTAGTGCTATAAAAACGACAAATCAGAGCAGAATAAAAGACATTAGGAAAGTTTGGAGAGCATGGAAGGGAGGAAATGTGAAATGGAATGGTTGGGGTAGGCTCCAGTGAGAAAAATAATATTTGGGCATTGTCTTAAAGATGAGAAGTACACATGCAAGAACAGGTAAAGCTACTAGTATAAAGCAAGATAAATTATAATACCTTAGTTATAGTGGACTGGGGAAACAGTCATTATGACTACAGCAGAATTGAGTGGTTCAGATCTTGACAGAGAAGAGCCATTATCAGATTTTCTTCTTGATGGTACTTGCAGACAGTGGTGCTGGTTAGCAGAAACCTTACCAAGATCCTTGGTACTTTAGAAACCTCTTGGATAACCAGTAATACAGTCCTATTTTAACCTACTACCAAGTTAAGATGATGCTGGTAAATTCAGGGGGATCTTGAGGGTAAAAGTCCTAAAAACTAGCGAAAAGAACAATTTATTTGACCAAGGAAAAGAACTCAATTCATAGAAATTTGAATTTCTCAGAATGTTCCTAGTAACTTCCTCTGTAAGAGATATCCCTTAGAGAGACACCTGAAGTACTCAGCTTACCTATTTCACTTGGTCAATGGCTGCCAGAGATTGGTGGGTGGCAAGAGTATGTGTTCATTGAGAGCTTTAAAAAATAACCACCTGAGGCCTGAAACCCTGGCTGGATTTATCACAAATCTCTGGTGCTCAAGTGGAGCTGTCCCCTGTCCTGGAAACAACTAAAACCCTGGCAATTAAGTGCTGGTGCTCCTTTAAGTCTTTCCCAGGCCTGGAAAGCACTGCAGCTCTGTGTTTTGGTTCTAGTGCAGTGTTTAAGTTCCAATGATCACAGTAAATTTTCCCCAGACCAGGAAACAACGGCAAGCAGTGATTTAGTTTGGGTGCAGCATTTAAGTTCTGGTGCTCACTACAAGTTCTCCCCAGAATGGAAAGGAATAGCAGGCCTGCGATTAAGTTCCAATATTAAGTAGTAAAGGTCTAGTACCACCAAAGAGTACCTCCAAAAGCTGGAAGAAGTGGTTATCTTCTCAAATGTGCAGGAATCAGTGTAAAGATACAAGGATTGTGAAAACTCACAGAAATATAAGACCACAAAAAGAAACCAACAGAGCTCCAATAATGGACCAAGAAGAATTGACAATCTATGAAATGGCTGACAAAGAATTCAGAATAATACTTTTTTAAGATTTTAGAAAAATCACAAAAAAGTATAAAAAATTAAATTTATAAAACAATCCAGGAAGAAAATGAGAAATTTGGCAAATAAATACAAACAATTTAAAAAAAGAGAAATCCTTGAAATAAAAATACAATAACTAAGCTGAAAATCTCAGTACAAAGCTTCCACAGTAGATTTGATGAAACAGAGGAAAGACTAAGCGAGCTCAAACATAGAACATATGAAATCACCCAATCAAAAGAGAAAAAGGAAAATGGGACACCATTAAGTGAACTAATCTCCACTTACTAGGAACACTTAAAAAAGAGAGAAAAAGGACTGGAAGGCATATTTAAGAAATTAATGGCTGAAAATTTCTCAATTCAGGAGAAAGATGGCAGCATCCAGGAACGGGAACCTTGGAAGTAACCAATAAAATTCAATCCAAAGAGAAAATTCCCAAGGCGAATTATGGTCAAATTAGCAAAAACCAAATACAAATAAAGAATACTCAAAGTAGCAAAAGAAATATATCACATTGAACAGAGTCTCAATATGGCTTTCAAAAAATTTATTAGCAGAAACCCTACAAGGCAGGAGACAGTAGAATGGTATATTCAAAGTGCTAAGGGAAAACAACAACAACAACAAAAACTGTTATCCAAGAACACTATGTCTAAGAATACCACACCAATATATGTACTAAGCGAAGTTAACCTTCAAATGTGAAGGAGAGATCAAGACTACCACACAAACAAGATGAGGAAATTCATCAGTACCAAACCTGCCTTACATAAAATGCTAAAGAAAGTTCTTTAAGCTAAAAGAAAAGTATGCTGACATGTAACAAAAAAACTTCAAAAAGTATAAAACTCACTGGTAAAAGTGAGCATACAAAAAATTTTAGAATACTCTAATACTGTAATTGTGGTGTATAAACCACTTATATCTTTAGTATGAAAACTAAAAAACAAAACTATTAAAGACAATAATGACTACAACAATGGGTTAAGAAATGGGCAACATAAAATACGTAAGTTGAAACATCAAAAAGTCAAAATGGGAGGAATTGGTATAAAAGTACAAAGTTTGTTTTTGTTAGTTTTTTTTTTGTTTTGTGATCAAGATTAAGTTGGTATCAGTTTAAAATAGCCTGTTATAACTATAAAAATTTTTGTAAGCCTCATAATAACCACAAAAAAATCTATAATGGATACACTAAAAATAAATAGCACAGAAGCAGAACAGACTTTCTCTTTACTAGAGAAAGTCACTTAACCACAAATGAAGACAGTAAGAGAGGAAAAAGGGAAAAAAGAAACTACAAAACAACCAGAAACAAGAAACAAAATGACAGTAGTAAATCCTTACCTATCAATAATAACATTAAATGCAAATGGATTAAATTATTCAATGAAAAGACACACAGACAGTGTGTCACTATCAGTGACACTTTGAATATGGCTGAATGAATTAAAATAAAATAAGGTCCAACTATATCCTGCCTACAAAAAACCCACTTCATCTCTAAAGGGACACATAGACTGAAAGCGAAGAGATAGAAAAAGATTCTATGCAAATGGAAACCAAAACCAAGCAGGAGTAGCTATACTTATTTTAAATAAAATAGGCATTATGTCAAGAATGGTTTAAAAAAGACAAATAAGGACATTATACAATGATAAACGGGTCAATATACCAAGAGGCTATAACCTTTTCAAATATATATACACCCAATACTGGAGCACCCAAATATATAAATCAAATATTAATAAATCTAAAGGGAGAGATCAGTTGCAATACAGTAATAGTAGGGGACTTTAACACCTCACTTTTAGCAATGGACAGATCTTCTCAACAGAAAATGGAACATTCTCCAGGAAAGACCATATATTAGTTCAGAAAACAAGTCTTCATAAAATTTTAAAAATGAAATCATATCAAGTACCTTTTCTGACCTAAATGAAATAAAAATAGAAGTCAGTGTCAGAAGGAATATTGGAAACTGTAGAAATACATGGAAATTAAACAACATTCTCCTGAATAATAATGCATCAATGAAGAAATTTAAAAGGTAATTAAAAATTCCTTAACACAAATGAAAATGGAAGCACAACATACCAAAACCTGTAGGATACAGCAAAAGCAGTTCTAAGAGAGAAGTTTATAGCAATAAATCCCTACATTCAAGAAGTAAAAAGATCTCTAGTAAACAACCTAATGTTATACCTCAACAAACTAGAAAAACAGCTAACCCACTAATTAGTAAAAGGAAATAACAAAGATCAGAACAGAAATATTTTTTTAAAATAGATTTTTTAAAATATGAAAGATCAAGAAAAAAAGGGTTGGGTATTTCTTAAAGATAGACAAAATTAACAAACCTTTAGCTAGATTAACCAAGCAGAAAGGAGAAACAACTCAAATAAAATCAGATATTAAAAAGGAGATATTACAATTGATACCACAGAAATACAAAAGGTCATAAAAGACTATTGTGAACAACTATTGACCAATGAATTGGGAAATCTGGAAGAAATGGATAAATGTCTGAACACATAGGACCTACCAAGATTGAATCATGAAGAAATAGAAAACCTGAACAGACCAATAATTAGTAATGGAATTAAGGCAATAATAAAAACTCTTCTCATCAAAGAAAAGCCAAGAATCTGATGGCTTCACTGCTGAATTCTATCGAACATTTAAAGAAAAACTAATGTCAATTCTTCTCAAAGTCTTCCAAAACAGTTGAAGAGGAGAGAATACTGCCAAACTCATTCTATGAGGCTAGCATTACCCTGATACCAAAATAAGATAAAGACACAACAACAACAACAACAAAAAGAGGTGGGGGGAATGTCAATATGCCTAATGGAGTTAAGTACGAAAAATCCTCAACAAAATATTAGTAAACTGAATTCAACAACACACACAAAAAAGAAAAATCATTCACGATGATCAGTTAGGATTCATCCCAGGGACACAAGGAAGGTTGAGAATACACCAACCAGTAGACATAATACATCACATTAAGAGAATCAAGAAAAATATCCATATGATCGTTTCAAAGATGAAGAAAAAGTATTTGATAAAATTCAATGTCGCTTCATGACAAAAACTCTCAACAATTTAGATATGGAAGGAATATACCTCAACACAATAAAGGCCATATATCACAGGCCCACAACTAACATCACACTGAATGGGCAAAAGTTGAAAACTTTTCCTCAAAAATCTGGAACAAGACAAGGATGTCCATTTTCACTTTTATTCAACACAGTACTGATAGCCCTAGCTAGAGCAATGAGGCAAGAGAAACAAATAAAGGGCATTCAAATTGGAAAGGAGGGAGTCAAATTGCCCCTATTTGCACATGACATGATTATATATCTAGAAAATCCTAAAGTCTCCACCACAAAATTGTTAGAACTAATAAATGAATTCAGGGAAGTTTCAGGATACAAAATCAATATACATCAATCAAAAAAACCAAAAGCATTTTATATGCTACAAATGAATTACACAAAAAAGAATTCAAGAAGGCAATCTCATTTACAATGGCTACAAAAATAAAATAAAATACCTAGGAATAAATATAACCAAGGATGGGAAAGATCTCTACAACAAAAACTATAGAACATAGATTAAATAAATTGAAGAAGACCCAAATAAAAGGCATCCCATGTTCATAAATTGGAATAATTAATATCATTAAAATGTCCATACTATCCAAAGAAATCTACAGATTAAATGCAATCCCTATCAAAATATCAATGACATTCTTCACATAAATAGAAAAAAAAGCCTAAAATGTGTATGGAATCATAAAAGACCTTGAATAGCCAAAGCAATCTTGAGCAAAAAGAACAAAGCTGGAGGCATTACACTACCTAACTTCAAAATATACTACAGAGCCATACTAACCAAAACAACATAATATACAAAAATCAACTCAAAATGAATTAACGACTTAAATGTAATACCCAAAACTACGTAACCACTAAAAAAAATCATAAATAAAATGCTTCAGGACATTGGTCTGAGCAAGGACTTTTTGGATAGGATCTCAAAAGCACAGGCAACAAAAGCAAAAATAGATTAATGGGATTCTATCAAACTAAAAAGCTTCTGCATAGCAAAGGAAACAACCAACAGAGTGAAGAGACAACCTACAGAATGGGAGAATTTGCAAAGTATGCATCTAACTAGAAGTTAATATTCGGAATATAGAAGGAACTCAAACAACTCAATAGCAAAAACCAAAAAAACTAGAAAGGCGCGTGCGCACACACACACCCCACAAAGAAAATCCAAATAATCCCATCAATAAATAAGCAAAAAGCCTAAATAAACATTTTTTCAAAGACATACAAATGGCCAGCAGGTATATGACAAAATGCTCAACATCAGTGATTTTCAGGGAAATGTAAATCAAAACCACAATGATGCACCTCACCTGAATTAGGATGTCTATCATCAAAATGACAAAAAATAAATCAATAACAAATGCTAGTGAGGATGCAGAAAGAGGGAAATTCTTATATACTGTTGGTGGGAAAGTAAATTAGCATAGCCATTATGGAAAATTGTATGGAGCTTCCTCAGAAAATTAAAAATAGAACTACCATATGATCCACCAATTCCACTACTGGGTATATATCCAAAGGAATTGAAAGCAGTATGTTGAAGAGAGATCTGCATTCCCATGTTTATTGTAGCACTATCCACAATAGCCAAGAGATGAAATCAATCTAAGTATTTATCAACAGACAAATGAATAAAGAAACTGCAGTATAAACCATGGAATTCTATTCAGCTATAAAACTAGAATAAAATCCTGTCATTTGTACAAACATGGATGAACCTGGAGGACATTACGTTAAGTAAAATAAGCCAGACACAGAAAGACAAATACCGCATAATCTCACTTACATGCAGAATCTAAAAAGGTTTATCTCATAGAAGTAGAGAGTAAAATAGTGGTTAGTAGAGGCTGTGAAGGGGATGGGGGAGAGGGAGTGGGGAGAAATTACCCAATGGGCACAAAGTTACAGTTAGATAGGAGAATAAATTTTGGTGTTCAATTACATAGTAGCATGCAGCTAATAAAATATATTGTATATTTCAAGACAGCTAGAAAAGAAGATTCTGAAAGTTATTACCACAAAAAAATGATGAAGATCTGAAGTGATAGACATGATAACTACCTTGATTTGATCATTATTCAATGTTTATATATATTAAAACCTCACACTGTACTGCATAAACATGTACAATTATGTGTCAATTATAAACAAAAAAAAATTTTTGGCAAGTAACCTCCTGAACATCTGTACTTAATGAGGTTTGGGAAACCATGAAAGTAAACACTCTTAAAGAAGCAATTTGGAAGTGTCTGAATCCAAGAGTGGGCTAGTCTGGGAGATTAAGTGACCTGTAATACAGAGCTATCAACAATAGAAACAACATCATGGGGAGGACTGGGGAGAGACTGGAGGCAAATCTAGTGTGGTGACCTTCCAGGAGGCTCAGGTATAAGGAGTGGATTGAGTAGCATTTTGGTTTTCCAGGTTTATTCTTTTTCCCTAGCTTCTATTCTGCAGGTTCCCATGAAGTTCCTATTTTGTTTTGAAGTGTCAGGCTGGCAAGGCCATCGTCTATCCAGGGATACATCTGTGCTGACACCATAGCCTCCCTCCTTGTATGTAGCATTTAGGAGTGCTTCAATTAAATGATTCTGATTTTTCTCCCAGTGATTCTGGGGGACAATGTTAGAATTAGTTTGCTTGAGCTTGTTGGAGACATGTGTTTCAATTCCAAGGAAAGCTGTAGATGCATGAGTCTCAGCAGGCAGGAACTTTTCCTGTGATAGGTGGATTCCTATATGTTATTTTACTTGGTCTTGCAGCGCAAAGCCCAATGCATCTGGCACTAACTAGCTGTCCTCTGGACCAGCCTTAGAGGTAGTAACATTTAGGAAAGCGGAGCAACATGGATTTGGATCTCAATTTCATCTCTTTTTGGCTGAGACCTTATACAAGTTATTTAACCTCTCTGAACTTCAGTCTTCTACTGTTAAAAAAAAATGGAATGATAATCCCTATCAATATGATTCTTTTATTCAACTAATATTTATTGAACAACTCCTTTGTGCTCATCACTTAACCAGTTACAAGAAATTAAGTGATAAATGAAGTAGACACGATATTATCCCTGCACCTACAGATCTCAGAGTTTAACATGAAAAACCCAGAGTAAATAAATATTTACATGTGAAGTTTTTAGAAAGAAAGAAGTATTGGAAGTTACAGGATCACATAAGAGACTTAATCCATTTCAGAAGGATTAGGGTAGTGTTGTTTAAGTCTTACACGAGGAACCTTGCAAAGGTGATAGGAAGGAAAGAAGGGAACTAAGAGAATATTCCAGGCAAAGCCCAGAAGAAAGGGAGCTTATGGCCCAACACAGGGCAAGCACAAAGAAAGAGTTAAATAAATGTCAGCATTTGTATAGGTTTGGATATAATTATCATTCTCTTAAGATGGCATCTTCAAGATTTAAATGCCATAGTAAAGGGAGAAATTTGCACTTATAGTTGCTTTCAGTCAAGAAGGATAAACTGAAATTCCCTATTCAGTTTTCTAAATTAAATGATACAATGTTGCAAGTGCTTGTATCTATGATTAATATAAAGAACCAAGGCTATAAAGTCAAGGCAGCATGGTCATAAATAGCAGCAAAAATGATGAGTACAAAAAAAACCATTATAACAGATTTCCAATATCTGCCTTCCAATATCATCCATATCTGCCTGATGGTTGTCCCTTTATAGTTCAGTTTTTACTTCAGAGACTTGCAGAACTGAAATAACTTTTAGCTGAGATGCATATATTATGAATCTAATTAGGACCAGAGAATTACCTTTCAGAGCCAATTTCCTTTCTGTAAAATTGTAGTCCTAAAATTACTACCAATCACTTTGTTGCAATTGAAAAACCTTGAGATAGAATTGGTTTTAATACAGATAATGTTTGTAAGTTAAAGAGATTCACAGCACACAAGGTAAGATTTATGCATAGTGGTACATGGTTACATTATTAACAATTATTTAGAATTATCCTAAATAATGGTTTGTTTACTTATTAAATGCTGAAATATTGATTTTATATTAATAATTGTTAAAATATTTATGAAATTAAGCACTTTATTCAACAACCTTCAAGATTTATGAGTGCATTACCAAAATATTAAACATTTTATAGTCCACAAATTTTTAATAGAGGTAATTCTTAAAGTCAATATCAATAAAACTCCCTCTTCAAAACTAAAGAGCATAAAAAGCTGAGATTGTGGTAATCACTTGACCCTCCATATTCAGGAGAAAAAAAAAAGTCAAATAACTCCTATTCTTGTGGGCCTACAATAGTCCACAAGAGGCCAAGAGGCCAACCTGATATTCTAATGCGAGGACGGGGGACACCAACACATGACCTTCCATGATGCTGGCTGATGCCTTCTTCCCTTACTTCTCTTGTCAGCCAGGTGCATCTTCTCACTGTCTTCCATGGGCTCAGGTTTACCCACCAAAATCTGAAGACTGCTCAGACGCTGGGTAGAAAATTAGAAAACACAGATCTATCATTGCTGTTGGCTTCCTAGATTGTAATTCAGACTCCTTTCTACCCAGAACTTTGGCCCCAGGTTCTAATCCTGACTAGTTTCTCCATTTTGCCTAAACGTCAGATACTTGATTCCCCAGTTTTACTTTTTGTGTCAACCAGTCCTACAGGTTGACATTCAAGTGCTAAACTTTACCCTCACCAGGCTGAGTTTATATGTCTTAGCTAAACTCCTCAAACCGGACCTAAATCCTACCTTTGGCAATGTCTTGATTCTATCCAGCCATCTCCAGGCGCAGTGCCACAACCTCAGCTCAAGCTGTAGAGCAGAAATTCTCAGACCTCTTCTGTCTACCACCTCCTCCAAGAGGAATGCTGCTAAGTGGAAGGGTCAAAGTTGAACACTCTGAAGAGGATACATTTCCTGGTAGGAGGAGTTCACGTCCAATGGTACGTTTTACTCTCTTCTACTATTTCCTAATCCATGCTACTGGCTAATAAAAGGACCAGGGCCTGCCTCAAGGTAAGCTCTAAGTTTCTCTTTCTTTTCCCCACAAGTCCATCCAAACCTTAGCTTTAAAAGAAAGAAAGAAACTCCTCTTGGATATCAGGTCAAAACTGCTTTGTTCCACTCCAGTTTTGCTGGAGCTATGCTTTGCACACTAACTCAGCTGATTAAGTGGGACAATGGTTGCCCTTCCCTAGATGTTACCTGTGTGTACAGTTCCCTTGAGATCCTTTCCAGGGAAGGAGTGATTAGCAGAACCTGATTTCTTAAAATTCTACATCATATAATATAGATCAGTAGCAAATCAAACCTTGATAGCTTTTTAAGACTGCCAGTTTGTTGATCCAATTTTTACCACCAAATCATCATTTCATGTTATGTTATATAGATGGGATTGTACTAATCTTCATGTTCCTAAATAAAAACACAGAATTCTTTGGCGACTCCCTGGGTTATACAATCTACTCAAGGCAAAAAGTGGCTGAAACCAATACTCCACAAACTTTCATTAAGAAAATGTTCCCACCCTTAAATACCCACACCAGAATGATATATTCAAGGTTAAAATAACAAGATCATATTCTCATATACTTTTGTACGCATTTCTGAAGACAGAAAAAATAATAAGCCCCTTGTGGGCTGGATTGTTGTCTTATACTCCTCTATCGCTTTCCAAGAACATAGCAAAAGGCTGTATTCTTTCAAATATTTTTTGAATAGAAATGAATAAAGAATCCTAGCAAGATGGATTAGTATTCTTAAAAACAAAATAATTAGGTGGTGGTAAGCACTTCCAAGAATTACACATAAAAAATCCAACCCAAATTGTGTGGGCAACGATGAAAGTTATTTCCCTGTGGTAACTGGTTTGTGGTGGTCTTAGAATAGTTATTAGCAAACCACAGTATAACCAGCTGTCTAGTTTACAATATCAGCAGGATTAGGGTTAAGCGTTATTACAAGTGAGTCTCCTGGGGTAAATTTACATATATTCAACAACCATAATTGTGTGAAAACAAATTTCTATAAACACACATTCTTTTGGTCCACAGACAACCATTATTACTCTAAGGTCAGTATTTCTAATCATTAGAGAGGTTGAGGCCAATCACATCATACCTTCCTCCTGTGACTTGCTACACAGGTGAGGTCTCACAAGCATGAACACGAAGAATCACTATGATCAAGAAACCCCAAGTCCAACAGACCTAAGAGCTTAAATAATAGAAACAGAAAGACAAAGTTCCCATGAAGAGAGGAGCCACCAGAAGGAGCATGGGCCTAGGAAAACCCCATCCATCTATCTCAATTATGATTGTTCACTGTCAACAAATATTTTAGTACTTACACTGTGCCAAATACTGGGGATAGGAGCTGAAAGTGTTTCCTGGAACTCAGGACTTTCAGTGCTAAAGCCAAGGTGATTGGTCTTCCTAGGCTGTAAATAATCTCTGCCCTCAAGGAACGTATGGCTTAGGCAATTGATATGGTTTAGCTCTGTGTCCCCACCTAAATCTCATCTCAAATTGTAATCTCCATAATCGACATGTGTCAAGGGAGGGATATGGTAGGAGGTGATTAGATCACGGTGGTGGTTTGTCCCATGACGTTCTCGTGATAGTGAGTGAGTTCTCACAAGATCTGATGGTTTTATAAATAGCAGTTTCCCTTGCTCTCTTCTCTCTCCTGCTGCCTTGTGAAGAAGGTGCTTGTTTTACCTTCTGCCATGACTATAAGTTTTCTGAGGCCTCCCCAGCCATATGGAACTGTGAGTCAATTAAACCTCTTTCCTTTATAAATTACCCAGTCTCAGGTATTTCTTTACAGCAGTGTTAAAATGGACTAATACAGTGCTCAATCAAATATGAATCAAAAATAAATGCTATAAAGTTAGTAAAGGATATAAGTACCATGGAAAAACAAAATAGAGGTATCAACAGTGCTTTCTGAAAGCCTATAGTTCTCAACCCTGGCTGCTCATTTTTATTTATTTTTTCATTAGTTGAGTAAGCCAAGACACAGAACATAAAATTATTTGCCCTAAATTATCCAGAGATTCTGATTTAATTAATCTAGGGTGGAGATTGGACATGAGTATTCTTTTCAGTGCCACAAGAGACTGTAATATGTAGCCATGGTTGAGAATTACTGAACTAAACCCATTCCTGAAATATGGTAGGTTATAATCAGGTGAAAGGGACAAGGCAGGGGAATATTATTCATTTTAGAGGAAATACCATGTGCAAATGTCCTGAGGCAAAGAAGCATGATCCTTTAGAATACTAAGTGCGGTCCAATATAGGCAGAGCATATGATGCTGAAGGGAACATAAAAAAGGTGTGGCTGGAAAGGTGAGATTCAGATATTGAAGGGCCTTGAAAAGCATTCTCAGAAGTCTAATCCTGTGCAATGAGAGGAAAGTTGGCAATTTATAGCCATAACTGCCTTCTAGGTGTTGTTTACTTTTATATTAAATACCTTGTTATTCTAAATGCTTTGATGACCTTGGCCAGTCATGTTGTCCTTGAGCTGAGTTTGAGAACATCTGTTCTAGAGCTGAGCAGAATAAAACAGCAGGTGTTAAGTAGTGATGATGTACAAAAGAACAGGAGTGTGGAAGGGTATGGCAAATTAGAAAGTCCATGTCCATATAAAGGGTGCAGGCAAAAGTCAACTTCAGCCTATTGTTGCCATTTGGGAATATGGAACCTGTGTGATTAGATGACTATATTTGAATGAAAGGAGGGAAAGCCTTCCATTTTAAAATTAAGTCTTCTGGTATTTAAACATTGATTCCCAATGCTGTAGAGGCCAATCAATGCACGCCTGTGGTTTCAGTCCCAGGGGTAGTATTTGGAGTTTCAGGAAGGAGCTAGAAATAGAAAGGGATGAGAAAAGACAGTAAGGAAAGTGAGAGAGGCCAAGGAGATCATGTGAAGCAAGGGAACAACACAGAGCGAACGAGCAGGTAAAAAGGTATTTGCAGTGTTGCTGAAGGAATTTTAAGAACAAGGTTTCCACTACCTAACTCAAAATTTAGTTTTGTTGGAGTTTAAGATAGAGAATAGAGGGACAAAACTGTATGTGAGAGACATCCTAACTAGCAGGGTAAATTTTGGTGGCTCTTAAGGTAGAAGCACGGGCTCAGGAGTCAGAAAGATCTGCATTTAAACACTCCTTCTGCCTTATGCTAACTGGATTACCTTAGCAAATTAATCTACTTTCCTTCATCTGTTAAATACAGATAACAGTATCAAACTCTTAGGGTCATTATGAAGATTAATTGATATAATAGACAATGAATCCTTAGCACAGTTTATGGCACACTTTAAACATTTAGCAATTGTTGGTTGTATCTAGTACTGTCAGGGAAGTGGCCATGAGGACAATGGGCATCAGGTGTATTAGACAGACATTAAGAGGGAAGAATTTACAGAACTTGGTTAATTGAATATAGTTGTTGAGGGGACAGGGGAAGAAGGATCACTCCCAGGTTTCTGGCATGAAAAACTGTGTAGATGGGGGGGTGACTTGCATTATAAAAAAGAATGGAGGATAAGGATTACTTTTGGTAGGAAAAATGCTGTGTTCAGTTATAAAATTTGTCCCTGGGAGACATTGAGATTGTGCCCAATAGGCAGCTGGCGATTTATCTCTAGAGCTAGGAAGGAAGAGTTAAGATGGAAATATATTCCTACAATTAACCAATAGAGCAGTGGCAAGTAAAGCCATGAAAATGGATTAGCTTAATACCTGGGTGATATAGTGTGGCTCTGTGACCCCCCAAAATCTCACCTTAATTGTAATCCCCATAATCCCCATGTGGAGTGGGGACCAAGTGGAGGTAATTGAATCATGGGGGCAGTTTCCCCCATGCTGTTCTCATGATAATGAGTGAGTCTCATGAGATCTTATGGTTTTATAAGTGTCTGGCATTTCCCCTGCTTGCACTCATTCTCTCTCCTGCCACCCTGTGAAGAGGCACCTTCCGCCATGATTGTAAGTTTCCCGAGGCCTCCCAGCCATGTGGAACTGTTGAGTCAATCAAACCTCTTTTCTAAATAAATTACCCAGTCTCAGGTATTTCTTCATAGCAGCGTGAGAATGGACTAATACACTGGGTGATATAATATGCACAACAAACCCCCATGACACATGTTTATCTATGGAACAAAACTTCACATGTACCTCCAAACCTAAAATAAAAAATAAAATGGATTAGCTCATGAAAAACAAACTGTATAGAAGGAAAAGACAGTCAAGCACAAAGAATGAAGGGGAAAAAATGTGTTTTTTTTTTATTTTTTTATTTTGAGAAATGGTGTTAAATGAGAAGAAACTATGCTGTCTGAGGCTCATGGCTATGAATAGGAGTCAAGTCTTGCCTTTGTGCAGATATCTCCAATGTTAAAATGGTTAGGAGAGCCCAAAGCAGTCCTTCCTCTTGGACTCAGAATGGGAGAAGTTAAATGTCCACAGTAGTGCTCTGAGCTGGGGGTGGTAAATGTTAGAGATGGCATCTGTCCTGATAGAGGAAACAGAGCTGAGACAAGAGGGATCAAACCAAGCGGACAGCAGTAAGCCTCGTTATTTTCCCTTTTCGTTGCTCTCTAGCCTTTAGTAAAATTTCATTCAAACATTTCATCTGTGTGTCACCTCTGCTACATGGTAAAATCTATTATTCATGGATGCTCAGGCCAGTATTAAAGCATGTCTCCCCTCCATCTCTCCTAAGCTACTCTATGTAGCAGGGGGCAGTGAGAGAACCTCAGGGGAAAGAGCAATAGCTCATTGTATTGCTTCTCACCAGCAAAGCTCTCTTCTGGTGGGAAATCCAGGGTTTTATTTTATCAAGGCAGGTGACATGTCATCATGGGAAGGGGCAGCCTGAGGGGTAGATGTGAAGGGAGGCTCAGAGTCAGCCCCGGTCCCACCCAGGCTATGTCTGTCATGCTAGAAGCAAGCTGGGCAACAGATACCAGTGAAGAATGAGGAATGGAGCAGGGCAGTTTTAGGTTTTAATCCATCTTAGCAGTCCTAGAAGTGGGCCAATTCACCTAATGTTCAGAGCTCATATTTTCATGAGATGCTCTTCAGTAGAATAATATCAATCTTTCTGGGTTTCATAATATTTGAAATAATTTATGTAACACATTTATACTATAATAGCACTCAAATGTGTCATTAAGGTGACTAGAAGAAACCCAACTTAAATCTACATAAACAAAGCAAAAAAGTGTTTGCACATGCAAATGGAGAGTCAGGGCTATAGTAGTTGTCATCAGGACTCGGTTTCTCTCTGCTATGCATTTTGCTGGATTGGCTTCATTGTCAGGCTGTGGAGGTCCTGGGAAACTGTAGAGGCACATTATCTCTACTGTCATCATTTCAGCATGAAGGAAGTTTTGGCTTCCTAAAAGGTCTCATACATGTACTGAGACCCAGACTGACCACTCAGGTCATTTAGATTGCCATTACCATTTTAATAATAAATAGCTGGCCCCTTGTATAGTAAACTCATATCCTTATGCCTAGAGGTCAGACCTTATTCTTGAATCAGTCACTGGCCAGGTGTATGGAACTGTGCTAATTATCACATCTTGGCCGACAAACCTTCACCTGGTCCAATAACTATGGCTAGATCCTGCTCTCACCTGTTTCACATTAGAAACCGCAACATTTTTTTAAAAGAATAGAAGGAAGACAATGCCTCAATGCCGGGGCACAATTTCCAGAAAATCTGGTTTCGTTGCTAGATATGGAACCCTTGTATTAGCATTCTTTTAATCCCCAAGATGGTTCCAATAGGCCTCCAGTTTGAGAATCCTGGTCTAGAGGCATTCAGTCCCCTGATCAGCCTGGACACCATCTGCTGTGCCAGCAATAGAACCTCACCTAAATCATTTGTACTATATATGGAACAGGGGTTATTCACCCAAACTAATCTGAGATACAGTTACTGAAAAGAGCAGGGATGGTTCATAGCAGGTAAAAACAGAAGATAGACCACGTATCTCATCCTGACACTCACTGCCAATGTATTTTGTTGCAAACCTTGCCATGTTTTCAACACTCTAAAATTAAAGGTCATGGTTCTTCAATATGGACAGCTCTAAATGTTATAGGGAGCATTATGCTAAGTGCATAAATAAATACAGGGTCCTTTAATATCTAAACCATCATTGTTTTGCATTAAAGAAAAATAAAACAGGAGTCAAAAGTACCGAATGAAGCTTGGAGCTATAGTGAGGGATTGGGTCATGGGATGAGGGGAAATAGAGAAGGAAAAGACAGGAATGTGTCACAGCTCTTCTATATTTTCATGGGGTAAGGAAAATATACTTTAGACTCATTTAGGAATATTTGGATGCCATTGCTCCTGGAGAAAAGTTACTAGCAGGAAGATACAGTGATTAAGGGAGCTAAGTTAGAGATACGTGGCTAATGCTAGGATTCTGTATCGCCAAAGCTGAGACCATGCAGGGAAACATTCCCAGACAAGTCTTTAATCTGTGCAATGCAGTATGCCTCAGGAATTTCCACTTATTGTTCTGCATGTCACTAAGCTGCCCTCAGGAGTGCAATGAAGCTCAGCTTCCACACACAAGTTTTGGTGCCAGTAATGCCACACATTCTGCATAATTATAAGGAACATCCATCTTTTGTTTGCAGCCCAAAACCTTGTGGTTTGAACATCAGGCAACCCTATGGCAGCTAAAAGTTGCATGGTTTGGGAAAAAAAAAGTCTAGGTGAGCCCTTGGAAATGCAAGGCCAAACATTCTCATATTCCACCCCAGTGCATTAGGTTCTTATATGGCAAGTCATGCATTTCAGGTCTCCACTCTGTCTCAATGCTTGAGTTTTCATGTTGGAAACAGAGAATCTCTTTCCCCCAGATGGTCATTCAGGCTGTAATGTGCACAAAATGCTTTAGAAACCAGAGTCTTATACTGCTTAGCTTGCCATCCATGTTGGTGACATGTTTTAAGTCAATGTCATTCTCTACAAATGTTTGCTTATCTATAAAACATATTTGACAGTGAAGGTCTTCAAGATGTCAGTTAAAGAACATCATGGCAGATACTAAATATAAAGGCTCTTACATGATGTTACTAATGAGAACTGCCAAATGTTAAAAATATTTTTAAAAAATACAAGTGGTTTCTAGGAAATATTTGAACTTAGTAAAAGAAGGACCTGAAGTTTCTTTTATCTTTCTTTCTTTGAAATTAATACATCTACATGTTATTTTATACATCTCTATATTATACCTATTTATTCTGAAGAGGGGTAACCACCCCTTTGGCAGTCTAATAAAGCTGCTGGACTCCTTCCCAGAACACATTGTAAAAATCAGTAACAGACAATGCATATGATTATAAAGAAGTGAAGTATATTGAAACATATGAGTCCAGGTTCACAGACCTGAAGGTTCTGTGGTCTTAGGTGAAGAAGCTAATATTATGTCATCTCCCTATGAAGGTTTTATTCAAGGGCAAATTTGAGGCATTTCAACAAAATATGTTAGAAAGTGTCTTGGCAGGGGAAACAAATTTAGTCATTCATAGAGCTAGGTAGGTAATGGTCATACCAGCAGGAAGAGTGGCAGTGAACCTGTGAATGGTGGGTGCTGTGGCAAACAAGGAGGCTCTCTTAAGGGCCTGCAGATTTTGCCGCATGGAGATGTGGGCCCTGCGTGACCATGTCTCCCTAGATTTTTCAAGAGAAGCTGGGCATCTGGACTTTTATATAAACTATTCATATTTGTTACTGTTGGCTGAAGAAAAAATTAACATTGGGACAAAGAAAACATATCTTTTACCAGATTTGTCAGGAGGCCTGCAAATTTGTAACTTCAAGAAAGTAAGAGAAGTTGGAAAAAATCAATTACTTGTATTTTAATGTATTTTTTTACTATCAGTATCTTTATTACATTTATTTATATAATAAAACATAAGAATTAGTTTAAATTCAGTTTCCTCTCTAGAGTGATAGCATGCTGCAATGGAACAATTGTTGGCTTCTAGAATGTTTTAATTCTTCCAACAAACATTTATGTGCCAAGCAATTCACAAGCTGGTAAGAATATATAGATTAAGACATTGTCTTGTTTCCAGAGCTTACAGACTAGTGTGGAAAGAGTTGTAGCAAGATATTATAATACAATATGTTAAGGCCTATCAAAGAGATATGTAAAAAGTACAAAGGGAGTAAGAGGGAAGAAAACATCTTCCCAGGAGATTGGGAGGGATTCTTAGAGGAGAGATCTCTTTGAGTAGAGCTTTGTATCAAGAGGCTCAGATTATTAATGATCTAATAGGACATGCTGAAGAAATGGACTTTTACTCTAGAGAAAATATAGGTTCATTAAATAATTCTGAACAGGATCAATGCATTCAGATTTTTGTGATTATTCTGGCTGCAGTATGGAATATGGCCTACAGGTGGAGACAGAATAAGGAATGAAGACCCACAAGATGATGACTTCAATAGTTCAGACAGAATTACAGCGACTGCAGGGCCCATGAAACAAGACTACTTAGTTAAAATGAGAGGGGATAGAAACAAAAGAACCTGGCAGCTGGTCGTATGCTAGTGGGCAGGGTGGCAAAAGAGAGGAAAGAGTTGAGAATGATGTGCAGGACTTTCTAAGAGAAGAAGTCTAGTATAAAAGTGAGGGCATAGTCTCAGGAGCCAGATTACCTGAGTTCAAATCCTACCTCTTCCACTCATTTGCTGTGTGACTTTAGGCAAGTTGTTTGTCCTCTCCCAACTTCAGTTTTGTATATATGTCAAGTGTTCTTACAATACTGCTTGCATCTGTGCCTAAAAATTACTGTTGTTATTATTATAGTTCTGGTTCGAATGGAGGTTACATTCAGTTTGTTTTGAAGACACAGCATTTGAAGTACATTTAGAACATTCTAGGTTAGCATATTTAAATATGTGGATCTCCAAGGTCACTCAGGAACCAAGGCTGCTGATAGAGTCAATGCTACCTCCAATACATAGCTTCCAAATTTGCCTTGGGCATTAATACCTGCCAGCATATAGGGGACATGAGGATCATACATGACTTTTACAGGCTAGGACTGGAAGAAGTATACTTCTGCTCATTTTCCCTTGGCCAAAATATAATCACAGGGCAACACCTAACCTCAAAGAAAGCTGGAAAAGGTAGTCTTGCAGTGTATACATCACATTTTAATGATAATCTGGCTGGTTTTTAAAAATTAATAAATAAATATGTAGATCTCAAGTTGAGAAGAAAGTTTCATTAGCATGAAGGGGGTGATTAGCATCTTTTATGCTTTTAGTGAAGGCCAGGGTTTGAATCTCCAGGACACCAGTGTTTGGTGGGAGGCAAAAAATCTGCAGAGAATCATAAGAAGAGAAGGACAGACAGGTAGCAGGAGAAAAACAAGAGTGGTGTCTAAAAACCAAGAGAATAAGGGATTTCAGAAAGACTGTAGTCAACACAGAAAATGCTACTGATAATAGAAAAGCATCTATATTTAACAATTAGGAAATCTTTAATAAAGTAAAGATTTACTTTATTAAAATAATTTAAAACAGCTTCTTGCTATTTGACATATAGAAAACACTCAAATGAATTTCCATTATCCTTAATTTAAATGCACTCCTTGAGAAAGAAGAACGAAAAACAACTACTAGATTGAAACATAAACATTCTATCTTTGTAGGTCAAGAAACAGTAAATTGGACAATTTTATATAATTCAACTATGCTGAGTAACTGAAAAGCTGCTACAAAAATGGGTAAAGCTAAAAAAAGGTGCTTGAGCCTATTGTTTGCGTTATGATGCAAGAACAAAAATTATCCCTCTTTCTTCTAATTTTCCTTAGAAAATTGAGCTGATAATAATTGCCAATATTGTATTCAGACAAACAAGAGGTAATGATATCTAAATGCCTTCCTTACTCTGTATCCTATTCTAGTTATTTTTCTTGTCACTTTGCCTTTGAATCTAAAAACTGCAGGGATGAAACCTGAATGCAAAAGCAATTTGAAGGGAAGGATAGTCACACCTTTCCAAAGAAATGTCTTCTATTACTAATAACATTGGTGTTATGAAAAGTCTTGTTATTTTGGCAGTGTAGACTATAAAGTGAAAATGTTGAGTGTTGGCTTTGGAATCAAGTCCTGACTCCACTACTTATCAGGTATGACGTCCAGGGAAAATTTCTAACTCTTCTAAACCTCCATTTTCTCCTGTGGAAAATGGAGAGGAGACTGCTGTGTCTTGGGATTCTGTTAGGATAGGGGGAGATAATGTATGTAAGGGTTTAGGGCATTGCCTCTTACAACAAATGGTAGCTTATGGCATTTCACTTTTTAACTGTCTATACGTAGTAGATGAGCATGAAAAAGTTTGAGAAAATTGTTTTTAAAAGAATAGACATTTTAAAAATAATTAGTCTTAAATTTCACAAACAAAAACGTTTTTGTAGTGCAGCCTTATCCATTCACTGGTAGCCTTCCAAGAGAATCAGCAGCCAGATTCATAACTTCCCAAGACACAAGGGCTGAGTATGTGTTGTGCTTCTCATCAGTCTTGGGGCTGGCCAATGTGTCCCTTCATAACCAGTGAAATACATGACTCGTAAAACAAAATCCCTCAAAATCTATACCCAAATAAAAGCCATATAATTAACTACTGAAACTTATACATAAATAGTATCACTAATGATACACCATAGATAACTTTATCTTATCCTCAAATTGTCTTATTAACTTGATATTTTCCAAAGGTAAAAAAAGAAATTATTTTTAAAAACATAATTCTCTTTCATTTTACATTAAATTAAAGCAAAATAAATTTATAGCATGCTGAAACTATCTGGTTAAAAAAAAAATTCATCACTTAAGTTTTCAAAGTACATTGGTATTGTTTCATTTGGAATTTAAAACTGAATAAAAGCAAGTCCAAAAATGCCCAAAGCTGTTATTTACTTTGCATTTTTCTGAAAGATTACTATGCATTTCTATTGGCAAAATGGTCATTAAAAATATAAGACTATTCAGTAAAATGGAATCCTATAAAGTATGACAGTATTATGGATCTTAAAGTCACTAGTGCAGATGTTCCTAATTATACCAAAAACACAAATACACAAACCAGTTTGTTCCAGCTACAGAATAATTTAATTAAAAGAGTGCTTATAATTTAACAGTGTAAATAATAGTTAAAGCCAAGGAGGTAGTGAAACTGCAAGGAAATATAAGCCTGCAGTGTCTATGCCAAGGAAACTGCTCTAAATTCTCAAGGTTCAGAAATTAGTTCCTTTCCTTGCTACAGGTAGAAAATTATTTGAATTAGCCAAGAACTGCAATGGATATATCTTTAAGGCAAACAAATACACACACATGCACACTAGGTCGGTAGCTTTTGCCAATAGAAACACCTATCTAAATCCAGAATATCATTTAGTCTGTTTTGGGGAAAGTTAAAATCAGACTTCTCACCAGTTTAAATATCTTACTGAGAAATAGATGTAGTAGGTAATGTGATACAGAAGTAAATCAGCATAGACAGTAAAACATAAGCTCTCAGGACACACAGGATTCTCTTTGCAAATACCAATCTTGGCAAAGAGCCTCCTTTATGTACAGAAAGCTTTGTTCCTTGTTTATAGCAACTCTCAAGGCTACAACAGGTAATTGTGTGCTGCTAATTAGGTTCCAAAACGATTGTGTTCAAGCCAGGAGTATTTTATAGCTTGATTCAGTGAAAGTAGGCAACTATATCCATAAGATCATGTTATAAAAACTCACACTCCCATAATTACTAATCTTTCACTCTAAAACAGTGTGAATTTTAACAGTGAAAAAATGTAATGTCATTCAAAAGTTTATTCAATGCTTAATAGCTATCAAAATACAGAGGAAAAAAGACAATTAGGAAAACTCTTCTCCAAATATATCCAATATGCTTGTTTCCCCACAGCTAATATCCATTTATTTAGCTAAATTGTTTATTCTAGGTCATAGTATTATTCCAAGGAAGCAAAGTGACATCTACTCTGCATAATACAGGAAACTCAAATGCAATACATTACCTTGGGTCACCTGTTGAACTGCCAACATTATCCCAGACACAGTGTCTGGAAGCAAGTTTTCTTTCAGATTGTAATGTGGTGCCCAATCCAAAATGGGCAGTCGCCTTCTACACCACTGTATAATGTCTTCACACTGGGGGGTATGCATCTTGCTCCAAAGCATGCTTTTCTTTTTCCTCTTTGCTCCTGTCATTTTTCAGATTTCTTCTTGTAGAAGTAAACTTCTCTAAACAAGAAAAAAAATCATTGCAGAACACCTCCTTTCAATGCCAAGCTCCAATTCGTCTGTGGTTTACAATGTCAAAGCTGCCCAGAAAATAAGTAAATAAAAGAGAGAGAGAGAGAGAGATTAACAGAAGCACTTCAATATATGCAGCTGTCTTTTTATGATACAGCTAATTATTCTAGATTTAAAAACTATAGATTAAAACCTTGAATTCTTATCTGAAGGAGAAGTAGTTCCTGTTCATGTAATATTTTTTTCTGGTCTTGGAAAAGTAATGGGTTCAGTGTTAAGTTGGTCTACAGCTCTCTCGCCAGTAATTCCCCTTATATTCACTGTAGTCTTATGTTTTTGGCTGCAATCCCAATGGTTAATGAGGTAGTTCTGGGCGTGTGTTGGAAGTGGGCTGGGCTATGCTAATGAAACCAGGAAATATCCAGCTAGTCCAGTCTCTCTCTACAAGCTGTGCAAAATCATAAAACTGCCAGAGGGATCTATTGTGCAAAATATATTCAGAGAATCCAGCCCTATTTCTTTGAGAGCTATATATTTTCAACATTATCAGATGACTGCCAGTTCTACAAAATTCAGAAACATAACAGGGCATTGCTAAAGGTCCTTACCATTTTTATTCCCTGGCAGATGAGGTTTTCATTCATACAGAAACATTCAGATAGCTACTGCCCAGTCTGGGAAAGGAGTAACTAGTTCTCATAAACAAACTGAAATTTCATCTCATGGGCTAAGAGAATAAGTATCACAATGAGCACATATTTGTGACAGGAGATCTTCCCTGTCTCTGAAACTGTTCATTCAGTTTTCTCTGATGGTTTCTCTAAGTCCTATAATTCATTCTACTGTAACTGAAATTTACTGAGGAATGTTATATGGTTCAAACTATTGTTTGAAGTATCCTTAGCTTTTTTTATGGTGCTGCCTTCTTTTTGTATAACTTTTGGGGGTAGGTGTTCTCTTTTTAATAAGGGGTGTTACATTTTATAATAGAACAGACTGTCAAAGATTTTTATTTTATGATCATTTTGCTTAGCCTCCAAAAGAAAAAGAAAAACTTAAATCTATGAACTGTGCCATTGGAATTAAACCAAAAAGGCAACATACTAACTAAAATTGTGTAGCCAAGGAAAAGAATACCATGTATATAGTTTGCTGAGTCCTTTTTAATGCCCATTTGTTTGGAGAATAGAAATCTGATTTCTGGAAGCCTTTATAATAACAAAGTACTTGGATCCCTCCTGCTGCACTTTTTCCCTTTGTTTTTAAATTAAAGTGAAGAGTTGCTCTCCATCTTCTAAAGATGACATCTCTAGCTTTGTGTCTGTGCAAAAATACCTTTCTTTTTAAATCCAACGAAGAGACGCAGCGGGGTGGGGGGGAATTTATTTATACTTACAAAATAGAAACTGCTTTGTTTGTCCAACTGTTTTTACATTATATTAAATTTCTAAACCATTCAATAGTTCAGGTTTGGGGCCTGTAGAGAGAGCCCCATTTAGAGACCAAGTTGTAGCATTTTAATCCTATCCTCTTGGTATGAGAGATGAACTCACCAAATAATTGTAAATTCATGCTTGAAACATTACATTGGTTTTCCTTCACAAAAAGCAATCTTTACTTTTGTTTTATATACTCCATTTATTATATACGCAAAGAAATTCAGAAGCTATACATACACTGATTATGTATTACCTTTATAATAAAAATAAACACAAGATTTTTTTTCAAATCCTATCTAGGTCATAAATTCTAACGTATGTTAACAATATGAGAAAAATAATTGAAAGCTTAACTGAAATCACCAATCAACATCTATCATTTGTGTAATTTCAATCATTTTTAAATTTGTGTTAAATTCCATAACAAAAAATTCACATGAACAGGATTTTATGAATTGAAGGTAAATAGAAGTACCTAAATCATATAGCACCAGCAATTGTTCTAAAACATTTCAAGACCAAGAGAGGGTAGAAATTAACAAAATAGTTCTGAAATCTCTCAATTTAAAAATTTCTTAAAATTAGAATGAATCTTTCCTAAAAATCTTTTTTGAAGCTTAAATCTGGAATTCCAATTCCAGATGTTTTTTTTCAATTTCCATGTGCATACATATTATTTAAAACATGTCAAACCAGAGCATGGATCATGCCTATTTATAATCAGCAATGCCAGAAAGAAAGAAAAACATTATGAGGAAATTTATTCACACACATAAGATTCTCAGAGTAACTTGAACAGCCTGCAAAATTCAAGAATGCTAAGTGTATTCATTCAAAAGTTTCAATGACTAAAAGTAGCTTACAGTTCAACAGTATGTACCATCTATATGGAATATCTCTTCCTAAACATCTGGGATAATACCTATACAAATAAAAAGATGAAATTGTTATCTTCTACTTCATACATGGATTAACAGAAAGATTTTTTGTAAAATCTCATTTTGATTACATCACTGATATGTTTGAATTTCAGTTATCTCCAATATCAAACTTAAACTCATTAGTGGAAGCAATGCAGTCCTTCTCTGCTCCCCTTCCCACCTTCTACTCACTAGCTTCTCATTAACTCTAATTCAGCAAGTTTTTATTAAACAATGATAATTTGCTAGACTCTGTGTGAAGTGCTACAGAAAAGGGAAGGAAAAGGAGTAGATACTACCTCTGTATTCTAGGAGTTACTATTTAATGAAGAAAATCAAAACATGTATAACTAACTCAAGGCAGAATGTGATAAATAACAGTCAAATCACCCAATAAGTCATACGGGAGCTCAGAGGATGGAGAGTGGCATTCCCTTTGCGGGGAAAAACAAAAGTATTTCAGCCTGCTGAGACTCTCTGTTGTAGCAGGTAATTATACTCATGATGTCCTGGCCATTACTTTTCCGTTTTGTTTTTTTTTTTTTTTAAGACAGAGTCTCGCTCTTAACTCCCAGGCCGGAGTGCGATGGCACAATCTCCACCCACTGCAACCTCCACCTTCCAGGTTCAAGCGATTCTCCTGCTTCAGCCTCCGGAATAGCTGGGATTACAGGTGCACTAGTCTATTTCTATATTAATGGCCCTAGTTACATGGTATTTTACATCTTCTAAACATTTACTCAATGTTTACCTCTTCCACGAAACTTTCCCTGGTTTCTCCACAATTTTATTTATGCTGTGTAATGAACATTCAGGTAACTCTCAGTGTATTTGTGTGTATAGAGCTGTAGTCATTTTCACTGTTTATTGGTTTTCCTCCTTTAAATCTATTTCATGTGATTTTTATCCAGTCTGACTCATGAGATTGTACATTCCTTTTGAGTAGGGATTATTCACATAAATTGCTTTGCTTCTTTTTTAGAATTTAGCAGAAGGAGCTGCAGACATTGGATTCACACAGTAAGTATTAACATACAAATGTTCATCCAAAAGTACCCAAAAATCATTTAGTCTATCTCATCCTGGTTTCCAGGTTGTGCTCTTAAAAAATCAGATAACCAGGTGGAGAGAAAATGAGAATAAAGGTTCTAGGAGAAAAATAAGATGAGATTTTATCTTTGTTTGCTCAGCTTCTCCCAGTTCTCTCACAATCTATGGAAAGTTCTTTTTTCAACACAGTTATTTTTTCTAATATTATAAAATCTGGAGCACAAAGAGAAGAAAAACCAGATGGGAAATGCGGAAGAAATAAAGGAGACAAAGGATAGACAGACACCCTCATGGGTTGGGGCTTCAGAGAGAATTTGTAGAGGGTTGGCATGTGAGGATCTCTGCGGCAATTATGAAGTGTGAGGGAATTTGGCCAGGCTCAAGTGAAGAAACAGACTTTTGAGAAATGCTGTGCAGGTTATAAACTGAATCACATTTAATGGTTTCTGAGAGACATTAGTAAAGAGTGAAATTCTCTCGCAGTATTTTTGGTTTTGACATGAGGCTTCTTTGAATGTGGTCTCTGTGGAGATTGGGACACCTAAGACACTGATTTATATCGAGGTTACAATGAAAAGTATAGATCAGACATTGGAAGTTATCAACCCCAAACTCATACCTACCTCAGGAAGTTGATCTACAGCATTTCTAAGAAGACACTGTAAAAGGCTCCCATCTGAGAGGGAAAACGAAGGCTGATACTAAGGAAGGCCATACTCTACCCACCAAGCCACATAGCTGGCATGGGGATACGTCCACACAATTGCGTAATTTGTATCAAGTCTACCAAAGTACTTTTTTTCTTAATTTACCCAAAGTTTCATACAGGCACATCCCTGAATCCAACCTCTGCTTTAATTCTTCCGATTTCTAAAATTAAAAGGCCTAGAAAAATAACCGATTCCAATTTTCTAACATTGTGATTGTTAGAACTTTTTTTCCCCAATTATTGAGGCAAAATCTGCTACTTAAGAGCCCAATCCCAATGACACATAACACATAATTAGTTCCTCAGCTTCAGGCCTAATTAATTTAGTGTAAACCTCTAAAGAGTTCTGATATTCTATGGTGCTGTTTATTTAAAAAATACTCTTACATTCAAATATGGACGCACATATATAAGTTAATTACAGTCCTGAACAGTGCCGTTAATATTTTTCTCATGATAGGCCAACCAGTACAGTAGAGTGAGCAAAGTTCTATGTTCTCAACAATGATTGCCAACATGTCTTACTTTGCTTTCTTTGGATTAAACTTTCCAATAGTTTCTTTAGTGTGTTTTTTTCTTTCTGCTATTATTTCATATTCTGTGATCTATTTTGATACATAATAGGAGCCAAAAGAATATAAATCAAGTGAAGTCACAAAATGCCTAGGGGCCAGGTGCAGTGGCTCATACCTATAATCCTAGCACTTTGGGAGGCAGGGGTGGGAGGATAACTTGAGCACAGGAGTTTGAGACCAGTCTGGGAAACATAGTGAGACCTCATCTCTACAAAATAATAATAATAATAATAATTGAAAAATTTAGCTGGGCATGGTGGCTCATGCCTGTGGTCCCAGCTACTCAAGAGGCTGAGGCAGGAGGATCACTTGAACTCAGGAGGTCGGGGCTGCAGTGAGCTGTGATCATGCCACTGCATTCCAGCCTGGGCAACAGAGCAAGATCCTCTCTCAAAAACAAACACAAAAAAGCAGCAAGAAAAAAAAAAATGCCTAGGGAAAGAATCACTTATATATTCAAACACATTTTACAATAATATAAGACATTTTCAAAGAAATCATAAAAAAAGAATGAAAAGAGGGAAAGAGGGGAGGAGAAAAAGGAAGAAGAAAATGAGAAAGAAGAAAAAGGAAAAGAAGAAGAAAAGGAAGAGGAGAAAGGAAGAGAAGAAAAGGCAAGGCAAAGGAGAAAGCAGTAAAAAATAATTAATTGAGGATTAATAAAAGCCTTGTCTCATTTCTGACTAACAACTGATAAAAAATAAGTAAAATAAACTATGGCCGTATCATGGCTTAAGAAGAATTGAAGATGCTTAAAAAGAGATTTACCCAATACACATTTAGGAAATTCACCTCCCTAAGGACTACATAATTGTGTGTCTGTAACTTGCTTTAGCAATCCTATTTCTAGAAACATTAACCTCTATGCTAAAGGAAATATGTATATATTGGAAGATTATGATTCTGTCTCTCTTTTGTATCTCATTTTGCAACTACACATACTAAGTTCCTTCAGTTATTCATAATATGATATATTTTCATCTTTTTACTTTTATTTATGTCTTTATATTTAATGCAGGTTTCTTTTAAGTGGTATACAGTTGGCTCTTGCTGTTTTAGTCCAATGTGATGACCTGTGCTTTATTTAGACCATTTACACTTAATGTAATTATTTATGTGGTTGGGTTTAAATCTACCGTCTTGCTGCTTCTTTGTTTGTGGATTGTGAGATTTTTTTTTACTCTGGCTAATGAAAACATGAACTGTGATGAAAACATGGAAACTATGTGAGTTCCTAAGATTACTCATTTTAATCATTCCCCAGTGTCGGTAGGTTCCTCCCATTCATGTGCTGATCATTACTTAGTTGAATATTCTGCATGTGCAGATTTCTGAGTCAGTGTGTCTCTCCTCTCTCTGGTACTCTGCCATGTGAAATCTAGCTGCTTTGGAGTCTCCAGACTCAGCTCCTTCTCTTCAGCCTATGAAGACTGCCAGCCTCCTCCTGAGTTATCCTCCACCCCCACTCTTTGGCACCATGGTTGCAAACTTTTCTAAAAGAAGATGGGACGGGACAATCTTAATGCTTGTTTTGTTTACTTTCCATCTTTCCAAGATCAGTCCTCTACTGACTGATGTCCAAAATCTTGACACCATCGTTTTATATATTGTATCAGGTTATTTTTATTTGTTTCAAGCAGGAGGGTAAATCTAGTCCCAATTACTCAAAACTGGCTAGAGATGGAAGTTATCTATTATGTAATATGGCTTTTAAACTGTCCAACATTATGATCACCCTCCCTATGACCTGCTACAGCTTGCCAATTTTCACTTTAGAATGTGATACAAAAATTTAACACAATTTTTAGCTGCGTTCTGACTTTAAAAGCATAAACATTACCGCACAATTAAATTTTAACTTTTTGCAAATCCACCGCTGTTTAAGTGATATATTCTCTATATTTTTTTATGTAGGAGGTTTTTATAAAAATTTAAGCACAATATTTGGTATTAAACCTTGTTTGATATCTTGAATCTAGTCAATTAGTTCATTGTATCAAAATCTTTTTAATATGATTCTGTTATTATCAATACTGATAGTTATGCTTTTCACTTATAATGTTAGCTATTCCTCCAAATTTTGTTATCTGTACTAATGAGCTGAGGTCGTTATAACAAAACACTATAGACTGGGTGGCTTAAACAAGAATTTATCACTCATAGTTTTGGAGGCTGAGAAGTTCCAGATCAAAATGTCACCTGATTCAGCTCCCTGGTGAAAGCTCTCTTACTGGCTTGCAGATGGCCACTGTTTCTCTGCATTCTCACATGGCAGAGAGAAACAGGAAGAAAGCTCTCTGGTGCTTCCTTTATAAGGGTATCATTGCCACCATGATGACCCTACTCTCATGACCTTATCCAAACCTAACTGCCTCCCAGAGGCCCTGTCTCTAGATTCCATCACACTGGGGGCTAGGGCTTTAACATATGAATTTTGAAGGAATACAATTTACTCCATGGCATTACTAAAAAATTGATTAAGAATGCTGTATATAGGCCTTTATTAAAATCATTCATGAAAAATAAAAGCCAGACATAGTTACAAGTCCCTGTACTTCATATCAAAATTTATTCCTTAGTAGGCATTATTTGAGAACAATCAAATGGAATTTTTTCATGCTGTCCAAAAAGATATGGAGAGCTCATATCAAAGTAATTACTGAAATCAAATATGTTATGTTTTCAGCAGTCATGTAACTTTTCAATATAGTACTTCTATTAAAAGATATTGAAGTTTGTCTAAAAACTTCATTAGACTCTGTCCCTGGATAGAGAGTTCCCACCTGGAAGGGATAATAATAGCAGAGAAAAAAAATGAAATATTCAAAACTATTGTGTTACTCAGAAGAAAAATGGCTAAAATACTCCATACAGCCTATATTGTTCCAAAGGGATAAGTCTAAAAAATATTTACTGAACACTGCCAAATAGTGTTTGACATGTAGGGGAAAATTTCAAAACTAGGGAAAATTCAGAACTAGCCTCTATCTTGCAATGTTAGCCTCATTAAATCTCTTAAAGTTGAAATAGTACCAAAAGATCATTCCTAATTAAAAGGACACAAGCAATGTGAAAATCATTTTTATAGCATTTCTAAGATACGGTCACGCAGCTTTTTATGTGCGAAGTAGGGGATTATTCTAAGATGGAGGGCTTATAATTATTTTTAGGGTTCCCTCTTCCTTGCAACAAAGAATGTTTTTCAAGACAATTATTGTGTCCATAGAAATATGAGTAAGTGTGCAAAGTTCAAAAATAACCAAACAACTCTCATGTATATTATTTAGAAATTAAAACTCAACTTTTAAAGTTGACTTTAAAAATTTGCTTTTACTGTCAAGCTTCATGGCTTTGTATTCTTTGTGTTAAGGATCAATAGAGCAAAATGCACAACACACTTTGATAAGAATTCAGAAGCTATTTATATTTCTCAATATTTTTCTTCATTTTTCTGATTATTAAATAATCAAATTACTGTTATAAAGTAGATGATTTCAGAAAGTATAGAAAAGTGTTTTAAAAGATAAAGAAAATATGTTCCATAATCACACTGTTGATTTAAATTTTGGTATAGTTTGTTCAGCTTTTTAATGTGAAATATCTTTCTTTACGTAGTTGAGGCATTACTATACATGTAATTTTTTATTTCATTGAGATTTATATCATAAGCCTTTGTCATATCATCAAAAACTCTTAGAGAATATCATTTTTAATGACTGTACAATATTTCTTCACAAAAATGTACCATAGTTCACTTACCCAAGAAGTAGAAACTGGTTACTTACAATTTTTATTATTATTACAGATAACACTAGGGTAGACATCTCTGAGAATAAATCTTTATCCAGATTTCTGATTGTTTCCTTAGAAGCAGAATTATTAGGGTCCAAGTGTCAAAGAATCATTGCTAATGATGTCATTTTTATTGGACAGTATTTTTTTCTATGTGCCAGTGAGGCTCTTCTGGGTCACCATTTTACATGGCCCTGGACCTATAATAAACTCATCTTTTGAGGGTCTCACTCAACACTGTTGTGTGTTGACTTCCACAACACTTACTGATGTCTAGTTTTCTGGATCAATTGAATTTCCAGCAAGAATTTAGAGCATTCATGCTTTCCCAGGATCTTAAAGCCAGGGAATATATTTTTCTTTTGTGCTTGTTTTCACTTGCTAGTTTTCATTCCACAACTGAAAACCTAATTTAAATATAGGCTACCACTAATGACTTGTTCACAAACAACACATAATAATATTCAGAAATTTGCTGTGCTCAAGCTTATTTGTCTCAGGAAGTCAAATTGAATGCCCAAGTATAACTCAGACAGTGGAGATTAAAGTACTATAATAAGAAAAGGGACAGTGAATAATTATAAGTTTCTCATTTATTGGAAGATGCAGAATAAGTTTATAAGCCATTTTAGTTTGTTGAAAATGCAAAATTTTAAGAAACTTTTTAGACCTTCCACAAAGAATTTCTTTCACTTCAAGAAATAGCACATAGGGAAGAGTTCCAGAGTTCTCATTCTCCCCATTAATTAGTAACACTATTGAAATTTACTCTAGATGTTTCAAAGTTTACATTGCACACAGATTGGGATGATATTGTGTACCATATTCACTATATTACTAGCAGTAAAATACATATACTAGAATAGATAAACCAATCCTTATGGAACTTTACTTTTTATTCATGTCAAAAGGAGCATAACAAAAAATAAATATTTGAAGTGCTGTAATATGGAAGCAGACAACCAACCAGAACATTGGCAAGCAAAGCTGAAATTCAATCCCACCAAAGCCAAAACTCAATGCCAACTTTTCAAGGTCTTTGAGGGAAGAATTTAGATAAGTAGAGTACCAAGGACAATGCTTGGCACACAGGAGAGGTGCTGATAGATGTTAGTTGTTAGCTTCCATAAATTTCATTAGTTGCTAAGATAATTTGGATAATGTTTAAGTCTTTCAGTAGTTTTGAGTTGTTTTTAATATGTCTTAATACATTAAAAACGTAAAGGAATAATACCATGTATGTCTTACTTCCCACCATTATTCAATTTGAATGAAATGTTTTCCTTTTCTCCTGTGATGGACAATCTTACCCAGTTTGTAGTCCCTTTCAAACCTGTCTACTTAGCCCCTTGAAAAACAACTCAAATCCATCTGTGTCAATCCTATGTCAACAAAGATGAATTAGTTCTTGAATTGAAATACTGAAATGCAGAGTGGAGAGGATTTCTGAAGCATTATGTTCAGTAAGAAAGTTTGTATAGACCCATACCTGCTGCAGGCATTAGGGGATGTAACAACAACATAGTGTGTGTGAATCTGTCATTACTGATCTAGGAACTTTTAATCTAAGGCAATTTCTTATGAGAGCTAGCAGAAATATTTTCTCATATATATGTGTATATATATGTACACATACACATATATATACATATATACACATATATATACGTATATACACATATACACATATATACATATATATACATATACATATATATATATATATTTTTTTTTTTTTTTTTTTTTGAGACGGAGTCTCGCTCTGTCGCCCAGGCTGGAGTGCAGTGGGGCGAACGCGATCTCGGCTCACTGTGAGCTCCGCCTCCCGGGCTCACGCCATTCTCCTGCCTCAGCCTCAAAAGTAGCTGGGACTACAGGCACCTGCCACCATGCCCGGCTAATTTTTTGTATTTTTAGTAGAGACGGGGTTTCATGGTGTTAGCCAGGATAGTCTCGATATCCAGACCTCGTGATCCGCCCGTCTTGGCCTCCCAAAGTGCTGGGATTACAGGCGTAAGCCACCACACCCGGCCTCATCTATATATCATTTTTAAGAGACTGACTCTGGGTATATATGATCTATAAAAACAAGATTTTATTGCACTTAAAACTAGGGCCAAAATAAAGTAATAAATATGCTTAGTAGCACATAGTACTTACGCCTATCAATCCTTATAGATGTCCATAGAGAAGGAATTGTTTTTATGGTCTCTCTACTAACTGGTATTTAAAATAAAATATCCATCTAATTAAATATATACGTCCAACGTCTTCTACCCTATAAACGTTCTTATTATTTGGAGTCACTGTCTTAATAGGTTGCTTTAAAAATTATGCAGGATGATCAGAATTTTTTGACATAGCTTCCATACCCAAGGAAGACTCAAGAATGAGGGAGAGATATACTTCAAGATACTTAACATAACCGGGATTGTAGGAGTCTTTAAAACCAAGGACCAAAGACTTAAGAGCTCAAGGTCTAAAGTGCCCTTTTTGAATGTATTCTTGATATTAGTAATAAGGCAAATTATATGTATATATATATATGTGTGTGTGTATATATATATGTATATATAAATATATATATATAAAACCTTTCTCATGTTCTAATCAAGTCTTGTGTAGATAATGCACAAAAAAGTGAATGTAACAGAAGTGGCTATATCATATACATCAATAAAGCAATTTCTGAACCTGATGAGCCACTTTAGCTATAGAATAAAAAGTTATTTTCATATCCCACCTCCATTCTCATGAGCACTGTCAAATGACAACCAGTGGAAGGCAGGGAGCTCATCAACTTATTCATAATGAAGAAAAATAAAGAATAAAGAATCCCACCCAAGGATATGCCTTTTATTCCTGCCAGCCCCAGGATGATCATCAGATGAGGAAAGTGAAATAGAAAATAAAAAAGGAATATAATGTTTCTCCTATGAATTTTTAATTCCTTTACAGGCTCCTTTTACTTTTGTTTATAATGTTATTAGATTGAAAATCAAAAGGAAAGATTCAAGAATACAGCAGTGGTAAAAGCAACATCATATAGCAAAAATCTGGGGGTCCAAAAATGTCAAAGAGAAATGTTTGCATGTGACTACATATATGGTGATACTATGAACACTATTACAGGAGAGATGAGAATGGGAATCTTGGAATCCACCACAATAAGGTGATGATTAAACCCTAGGAAATAATACCAATAGAGTGAAGTATGGGATTAGAGATGGAACAATATCAAATACAGAGAAAACAAAGAAAGATGAGGGCTTAGAAAAGTCTGGAATTTAGCAATTAGAAATTTGCTGAGTGATCTTTGGAAGAGGAGCTTTATTACAATGTTGGGTGCAGAAACCAGATTGCAGTTGAAGAGTGAATGAGTGATAAGGAAATAGGGGATATGAGTTTAAGAAGTATAATCAAATAGAGTGCAGTTAAAGCTTGAGGTTTTTAAAGGTAGAAATCTCTAATCATGTTTATAGAGGAGGAAAAGACACGGTAGAGAGAAAAAGAGTGAAAATGAGGCAGGCATGCTGATGCCAGATGGAGCAAGTCTGGAAAGAGGTAAGAAGTAAAGGGATAAAGGGCACTGATTACAGGAGCATCCTTTAAAAAGACAAATATATATTTCTCAGGGAGAAGTATCGACAAAGGAGAGAATCTGAAATAGAGAGGAAAGAAATTGAGTTTTTTGTTAAACTGCCCCAACTTAACTGGAGTAATAGCTAAGCATTGCCAGATTTAGCGAATAAAAATACAGGAAATCTAGTTGAATTTGAATTTCAGATACACAAGAAAAAATTATAGCGTAGCTATGTCCCACACGATATTTGGAATATACTTACACAAAAAATAAATGATGTTGTTTATCTGAAATTCACTGTTTTGCATGAGACATACAGTAAAAAAGTCATTTATCAGACACACAAATTTAAATGGGCATCCTGTGGATTTTGGTGTAGTGAATTGGATTGGAAATACTATAACAGAGTTCAGGGTATGTTCTACCCCTGGCCACCAGCTTGCTGTGTTACCAGGGAGCACATCTGTCAATGATAGCGGGTAGTAGTAACAGTCAAATTGGGTTTGAATTCCAGTTCTGTCACTTCTTAGCTTTGTAATCTTCTGCAAGTTCGGTTGACAGAAGGATTAAATGAAATAATTTACCTAAAGTACAAAGCACAAATGTTGTTACAGAGTAAGCAATTGATAAATATTAGACATTAGTGTGGTGATAAATGGCCCTGGGAGTAGAGGTTGTAGTTGTTTGTTTTATTCTGCACATATATAAATTTTATGTAGTAAATAATAATGTCAGAACTATTTGTAATAATAATGACAATCAGTATTAGTTGAGTTTCAGAACTGGGAAATCAGACACTCACATTTAAACTATAAATGATATGTTTATTACAATAGTGCTTCCTGTATAACTTTAACAATATTAATGGCTCTTCTTGCACTAACTCTTAAAGCAACAGTGTCATCTAGTGGCCATGAAGTCAATAATGAACAATTAAGAACACCTGGATAAAATTTGTGAGTTTTTTTTTTATCTGCACAGAAGTTATTGAATTTATATCAGTGATGAATGTTGATGGTAATATTTTCTGTAACCTATTACATCAGCTCATCTCATTTTGTCTCATTAAAATGATGCACACTTGACAACATGAGGGCATTGGGTATCTGCTGTTCTTACCTACTTTTATTAAAGAAACATACCAGAAGGGTTTAATTATGAAATTACTCAGAGGGACTTTGGACTTCCCAGACCTTCTCCTAACTCTATTATTCCCTGAAAACTTTGGCAGAAGGGGAGGGATAAGTGAACAAAGCTGGAAATACGAAGCTTGAGACTTTCTCAATTACCAGCCTCAAATTGCTTTTCATTCTATTTAGGTTAGAGGTTTCTATTTTCTTTTTCATGCAGTTAAGAATATCTATGCTTTTCTTTTGGAAAAGAAATTTTCCCAAAACACAAATTAAGATATAAATATTTGGTTACAAATTTTGTATCTGTATTAATTGGGGACCAGTGTCTGTTCCAGATACATTATTTAGCTTCTGTCTTGAGGGCTTTTCGAAGAGATGAGAGATTTATAGTTCATAAAGTTATGCATCTAAGTAAAATTTTCAGAAAGTAATGAATAGGGCAGCTTTTGTTCACTTCCAGAAATGTCAAGAGAAATTAAGTTAAGAATCCCAAGTAGCTTTTAGGAGAGATTTTACTCTGACCCCATTTAATCTATTTGTTATATGAGCATATTATAGAAGTCACAAACTAGAGTCCCATGGCCTAATGGTCAAAAGATGGTTAAATTAAGTAAACTTGGCATTAAAACTGGTAATATATCAACTCAGATATGGCTCAAGAGTTATTAATCAATGATTGTTGGAAGTATTTCCTGAGTTTGTGAGAAATACATATATTTTAAACATCAGTTTGAAATCAGTCCTTTTAAAGAACTAATCTTTTTTAGGTATACTTTTGAAATCCCCAGACAATAATTTTCAATTACCAAATATTTCTGTGGCTCCCAGACATTTTGCAGTTTTCTCTTCCCCCAGACTCCCCTTCACCCAAAATCTCTCATAAATATTTCATGGCTTACACTGTTTCACAGTGTTCCTAGACTGGTGGGAATTCTGATTTTTCTCTTTTCGTCTTGATCTAAATGAGTAAAGATATGAACATGGATAATTTATTAGAAACTGCATACCAGATTCTTTAAAGTCAGTCCTAAATATGAGTGAGAATGTACCTCCAGTAATATTTCTTTCCATCTCCTCTAGTTCTCCTTTTTCTTTTGCTGTTTATTTTTAGGACTTTAGGGACTAAGCCCTCAATGACCAGAGTTGAGACATAATTCTACCCTGCAGAAATTCAGGCACTTGGGCTGGGCATGGTGGCTCATGCCAGTAATCCCAGCACTTTAGGAGGCTGAGGTGAAAGGATTGCTTGAGCCCAGGAGTTCAAGGCCAACCTGGGCAACATGTCAAAACCCACTTTCCACAAAAAAATTTTTAAAAAATTAGCCTCGCGTGGTCACTCATGCCTGTAATCTCAGCTAGTCAGGAGGCTGAGGTGGGAGGATAACTTGAGCCCAGGAGGTAGAGGTTGCAGTGAGCCACGATCACACCACTGCACTCCAGCCTAGGTGACAGAGGAAAACCCTGCCTCAAAAAAAGAAAAAGAAAGAAAGAAAGAAACAGAGAGAGAGAGAGAGAGAGAAAGGAAGGAGGGAAGAAGGGAAGGAAGGAAGGAAGGAAGGAAGGAAGGAAGGAAGGAAGTAGGTAGGTAGGTAGGTAGGTAGGTAGGTAGGTAGGGAGGGAGGGAAGGAAGGAAGGAAGGAAGGAGAGAGAGAAAGAGAAAGAAACAATGACTGTTTTGCAACAATGACAAGCCTATTCATTGAATGAGAAGATTATTTTCAATTTTCCCATTTGAAAAAAATATAGGGTTTTCATTTGGGCTTGTCTGTTTTATTTAACAGCATCACATACTTCAACATTTAATTTCGGAATTCCCTTATGGGACTTGAGAATGGAGCAAGTATTTTATGAAGCTGAAAAGAAGGCAAAGACAGGTGTCTTTCACTACCAAGTCTCTGTGCCCCACTTCTATTAAAAAAAAAAAAACAGAAGGGCCACCCAATTTTAATGAATGCAATAACAATGACTATGTGTCATTGCTTTAGTAATGGCTAACTGGTAGGCAACTACTCTACTTCTTAAGAGACCTAGAAGAGTTTCCTAATGCACACACTAATTAATGAAGGGTTTGGTGGGACACCCTGAAAAATAACAGCTTTAACATTTTGAAAAGAATTAAAAAGTTTGTGATATGTCCAATAGACTTGCTTAAAGCCAATTAAGTTATAGAACTCGTGAGCTCCAAAATGTATTCCTAACCAACATTTAACACACAGAAAGATGGTAGTCATCCATCAAAGGGCATGAAAAAAACAGATACCAGAACTTTCAGAGAATTGAGGATTATACTAGTGAAAAAGAAATTAAACTAAGTTGATTAGGAAAATTATTTCAAGATTCACATAAACCAGTGTTAAATCTATTCTTGTTTCAGTTTTCTACCTCTGCCCCGATCAATTTGGAATAAGCAGATGTTTCTGGAAACCCAGATTAGAATATCATCCTTAAGATTTTTGGAGAAGAGAGGAGCCCAAGGACAGAGTGAAGGCAGTAAAAGAGAATGGAAGGTTGTTCTGGGGGCTGGAAGACAGTAACTCATTCACATGTCTAAAAATAGCATGTCTATAGCAACAAGGAAATTCAAAAGATTGTTGTAGCAATTCTGGCTTTCTGGAGGACTCTATGACCAAAGCATAGGTGAACTGAAAATAAAACACATTGAACTAAAACAGAGGTAGCTGAGAGTTTTAGTGTAGTTTGGGACAAGTTGCTTGGGGCCTTTACCTTTTCAGCTTTCAAGAACATATTTGTCTGAAAGGTGAGATTTCAGGTTCCACACCCCTCTCCTACGTTTTCTTTTTCTTTTTCTTTTTTTTCTTTTTCTTTTTTTTCTTTTTTTGACACAGAATCCCGCTCTGTTGCCCAGGCTGGAGTGCAGTGGCACAATCTCCACTCACTACAACCTCCGCCTCCCAGGTTCAAGTGATTCTCCTGTCTCAGCCTCCCAAGTAGCTAGGATTACAGGTGTGTGCCGCCATGCCCAGCTAATTTTTGAATTTTTAGTAGAGACTGCGTTTTGCCATGTTAGTCAGGCTGGTCTCGAACTCCTGACCTCAGGTGATCCACCTGCCTCGGCCTCCCAAAGTGCTGGGATTACAGGCATGAGCCACTGCGCCCTGCCCCTCTCCCACATTTTCTAAGGGAAAAGCTGTCTACTTCTCTGCTTTTTCTCCTGATGTTTCCTCTTCTCCTCTTCTGCACTTATCCTGTTTTGCATTATTGCAAGCCTCAATCCAATGAATCTTAACTAGGCTGAAATAAATTATCCTCTGTTTGATGGTTTCTTTTTCATTAGGGTCTCACCAGGATATCAAAAAGCACAATTTAAATACAATCAAGCAGGACTGTGGCAGCATCTTGAAAACCCAAGGCATTCTCCACCAACTTGGAAGTATTCCCAATATAATTCAATTCTCCTGATGAACATTAAGCACATTCTTAGCTAGAATTGTCAAGTCTTAATTTGTCAGTAATCACCAGCTTTCACAAATGCATAGCCTTTCTTGGAATCACAGGAGCCCCAAGAGATCAACTCATTCAATCATCTGTATTCTCTAAATGCTTTTCCCCCAGTAAAAGCAACATTTTGTTTAGATTGAAGCTTCATAGAGGTGTATTACAAGCCTGTTAGGCATAGGCAGTGCCTGATTCTTTTATACAATGCTTTGAGCCTTGTGGATGTTCTGTCAACAAACACTAACTCCATGACATAGGCCAATTTATGATGTCTGAAAACATCATCACTAAGTCTCCCCACTCCTTGCCACCTATTCAAGCATTCTGGCACTCTGATTTCCCCAAATCAAACCAATGTGATTTTTTTAGATGCCTCTGAAATTCAGCAAGACATGTTCAACCCAAAACACTGGTTATGGGGCACATGCCCTGGAAAATCTACTGGTAAAATATAAAAGGGAATATACTTAATATTGTAAGGAACGTAGTATGTTGCAGTGGAAAAGGACTTTTTTTGTTTTTAACAATAAAGTATCCCTTTCATGGAAAGTGAAGTGTGGAATCAGCAGTAAAATACTTGATATCTTTTCATCACAGATTCTCTGAGTTTCTCTAAATATTGCTCTAAAAACATAGTGTATTAGAATTCTCATTCATAATACAGACCCTATATTATGGGAAATAAAAATAGCATATTTTGGTTAGAAATAAATGTATTTGATTAGAAATAAATCTGAAAATGCTTACATTGAAAGACTTGAGTTCCATGAAAATTTCTATCAGGAAAGTAGTCCTTTATTTATTGCATATGTACTTTAAAAATACATTCAGGAAAAACTTAATTTCAGATTCATTTTGTTTTTCTTAATTAGTCATTCTGGTCCTAAAAGAACTTGTGAGCTTGAAAATCTTAGGTAGTCTTTGTTATATTACACACTAACAAAATTATACAAAATAATAGATGAAGATTTCATATACCTACTATTCTAAAAAATGACACAAAGACCCATCACTATGACTATGAAGTTGTTATTATATCAAAGGAAAAGCCATTGTAGTAATGTCAGATAATTCTCTGACCTCCAGTTCCTGCCTAGCCGTGGTAAAGAAACAAAACAGGGAAAAAAGACAATGCTCACATGTGCACACACACACATACACACACATACACACATACACACAGAGTTCCCTATGTCATACAGTATTTGCCTCCTGCCTGGAGATCAGAAACCAAACCTACTGGCTCCATTTTTTTTCTTACAGTTTTAGAATTTAAAATAATCCACCAGAAGCTGCAAGTTGAAACACAGTGATTCAAAGTGTCAGACTCTTAATCCTTCAGAAGAAACAGAAAAAGAAAAGAAAAGAAAAGAAAAAGAAAAAAGAAAAGAAAAGGAAAGAAAGGAAAAGAAAAGTATTTCATCGCTGACACAGCCAGACCTTATTAAGTGGTCCCTTTCCAAGAGTGTGCCTTCTGACTTTGCAACAGGCTCCCCGTGTGTGATTTTGGCCTTCTCGCCATTACAAGAGCCTTCTGTACATGTCCCTGTATTTTTGCTATCTGAGACTACAACATCTAAGGAAATAAGTTAATTGTTCACTTGTTAAAACTCCATATAAGACTAGTCTAAAACAGGACTTAAATTTGTAGAACAGCAATGAAATCATAGTCATCTGATGATATAAGGATATAATTCATTCCTCATCAGAATCCATGCCTTTGCTTATATTTTTCTTTCCAATGGCCTGCTGAGCATTTCCACTAATGTCCAGTTAGCATCCTTAATTTCCCACGTCTATCATAAAATCAAACTCATCCTTTTCTACCATATCCAGGCCCCCTTTCCAAATCTCTTACCTTGCTACTTGGCACCCACATTCTTATAAATACCCAGATAAAACCCAGATAAGATGGAAAGTTTCCAGCTATTCATGTCTCCACCCACTTTGCTCTTTGATGCATAGTAAGTTGATTCTCTCTCTAAAATAAAGGTCTTCTAAATCTATCTCATGGTCAGTTCCCCCTGCCATAAACTCAACTGTCATTTAGTGTACTCATGCAGACTAGTCTTATAAATTCAATTTGGTCTTTTTCCTCCTTGCTTGATTATACCCTCTTAATTCATCTTCCGTGTTGTTGCCATCACTTTTAGCCATTCCCTGTTCCGTAGTATTCAGTATACATAAAGCATAAGCTTCTAGAAATTCAAGGTCCTCCATGACATCTATTACAAACATTGACTGAACACATACTGTGATGCTAGGCTATGTGCTTTTCATAAATTGATTCATTTAATCTTTATAGTAACCCCCTGAAAAGGGACTATTTTTTATGTTACAGGTAGAGAGGTCACTGATAGAGGTCCTGAGAAGTGAGAAAACTTGCTTCTGGTCCCACTGTGGTAAATACAGGAATAGGACCAAAATGTGCCAGGAACCATCTGGGAGAAACTGTTTTCCGATTAGAGGGAATTGCATAGAGAAAGTCCCCAGGTGGGAATAGCATGGGAGCTTCAGAGCACTGAAAGGAAGACAGTTGGGAGGAAAGTGAGCCTAAGGAAAGAGTGGCAAGAGGTGAGACCAGAGAAGAGGTAAGAAAAGCTAAACCACAAAGTGCCTGTGAGAGATGTCAAGGAGTTTGGACTTTGTCTAGAACATAACTGGCAGCTAACCAATGTTTCTATGTATGCTTTGGTTCATAGCAGCTTACTCATATTAAACAAAAATTGGACAAGCCCAAATTGGAGAATGGATGAGCAAAGTGTATTACAGTTACGTTATGGAATACTATTCAGTAACAAAAAGGAACACACTCGTGATATATGCAACAATATGGATGAATCTTGAAACCATTATACTAAGTGAAAAAAAAGCCTTGCAGAAAAGAATACATATTGTATGATTCCTTTTATAGGAAGTTCTACAACAGGCAAAAATCTATGGTGGAAAAAAATATCAGAAAAATGGTTGTTTGCCGGGGGTGAAGGGGCAGCATGGAATTTACCAGAAAGCAGCGTTGCCAGATTAATTTTGAATTTCAGATAAACGAATTTTTTAGTACAAATGTGCCCTGTGCAATGTTTATGACATTACTATATAAACGGGTATCCATTGTTTGCTAACATTCATATTTACCAGGGCATTCTATATTTTTATTTGTAAAATCCAGCAACCTTACAGGGAAGGGACATGAGAACATTTTTTGGGGTGGTGGCAATGCTCCATATCTTTATAAAGGTTTGGGAATGTATTTGCCAAAGTCTTGTAAATTTGTGTATAAGAATGTTCATGTAAAAAAGATAAAAAGATAAGTATTTAACTCTAGTTAGTGATATGCACACTGAAATGCTAGAAGGGAAATATACTGATGTTTACAACTTACGTCAAAATGCATAAAAAATAAGATAGACTGATGACTGAATAGAGGAATAAATAGATATTTAATAAGGCAAATATAGTAAATGTTAATTTTAGAATCTAGGTGATGAGTATATGGGTGTTCATTGCAAAGTTCTTCCAACTTTTCTTTATGTTTGAGAATTTTCATAATAAAATGTTAGAGGGAAAAATTCATGCCCTGCCCTCATGGAATTTACACTATAGTGGAGCAAGACAGACAATAAATAAATGAGTAAGTAAACAGTAGAGTGAAATAGAAGGTGATGAGGGAGAAAGATAAGGGAAAGGCCTTTGTGCATGTTGGGGTTGGCATCATAACTTTAAATAGGGTGGCCAGGGAGGGACTTCCTAAAGGTTGTGGGGAAATGAGCCAGAACATCTGAGGGAACAGTGATCCAGACAGAGGAAATAACATATGGAGAGAGAGACTGGCAGGATTCGAGCAGGGAAGAGCTTGGTCTGACATTTTAAAGGAATCCCTTTCTGGTCATTGTGCTAAGGACAGAAAAAAGCTCTCTGAGGCTTTGTCCGTCCACTCCTAAGTTTGGATAATGTCTTCCTTATGAGAAGTAGCAATAAATATTTGTTGGATGAGCACTTAGAAACATAAAATGAAAATCTTTTGGTGAGATATGGATATTTTATTCTTTGAAGTAGTACTTTCTTTTTCAAACCAATGTTACTTGAATGAGGCATTTTAATTGGTCGGTTTTAAAACATTTTAAACGCACTTTTTTGTCCTCTATTTGGAAAGATAAAATAATAAACCACAAGAAACCCCTGGTTTCTTCAGTCACACCAGAAAGAAATCACAGGCTTTAGTTATAATTAAAGTGACTGGAGGCTTTTTCTAATTTTACTAGGGGAGTGATGGCCGTGATCCAGCTTCCCTACTTTCCAATACACTCACTTTCTTCCTCTCTCTCCAAATATGTATCAAATTACTTACAAGAATAAAAGCCAGTAACTTCCCATAAAGTGGCCGTTGTGAAGCTCCTGGCCCATGCAGCCCCTGCCCCAGGCTGTCTGCCTGAAACTCATGATCCAGGCTTAATGCTGACCAGCTTGCTCACCTTTAGTCTGCAGTGATATTAATAAGCCCCATCTCACTTCTTAAGGCCCAAACACTTACCTTTGAATGTGTCAGAACTCTCAGCTGCCCGTGGATGGCCTGAATCTATGATTATATATCCTTTGCCTTCCGCATCCCACCTTCTAAAGCAGGCTTGCTCTTTTAGTTTTCATAGCTCATTTCCTCACTCGCCAACACCTATGTTTACTACCGTGCTGTCGTATTAACCATCTTCACTCACTCCAACCATGCATCTAGAAACAAGGCACATGTCTCCCATCACCTCAGGTGATTTCTCTGGCCCCTCAGGGCACTGACTCTAATGAGACAAGGACCTTTTAAAAGTCCCTTCTTTAATTCTGGTGTGCCATGGCTGCTCTATGAGTCTCCAGATCCCTTTTGGACTTCAGATCAGGAGGCTTCATGCCATTTGGAGCCTTGTGGCCTACAGAAGGCTCCCAAAGTACCAGCAGTAAATTTGCATCTTAAGCTGCCTAGGGACATTCTCAAGGCCACGAGGGAAAACAGTTCTTTAGCAAGAGCAAGTGACTTCCAGCCACTTATTTTCTAATAGCTGCAGTCTAGAAAATAACTTAGACAAGAAGGAACATGCAGAGATATTTTATGAAGAAATACCAACGAGAGTTTCAAATGTTATTCTGGAGATGTAAGAAGCTTCAAAATAAAAAAATTAAGTCCAGCTTCATTAAAAACTTTCTTGGTAATCTCCATTAATAAATATGTTAAGAAAGAAAACAATGCTTTTTAACATAAAAGTCCTAAAATAGCTAATATACATAATGGTTTATTGCTTTGATTATAGAAAAATAATATCAATACTTTAGCTAGATGTAGCAACTCTTTATCCACTGAATCCAACTAATACCATTGTGAAAAGTTGTTCGTAATATTGAGTAATTAAATGGAGAAAATCAATTTGGATTGCATTTACAAATAAGATACACAAATATAAAGAATCAGAGACCACATTTGAATTACTCTTAATAACTGAGGACATAAATAGAATTCATTAATAATCCTAAAATAATATATATTCTTCTGTTTGAAACTACTCCCCCACAACATAGATGTTAAGAGTTTATAACAAACAGTGAAAGAAACTTGAGTTTCTCTTTTTTATTCTCTGAGGCAAATGTGAGTGAAAAACAAAAATTCCAAAGGCCAGCCACAGAAGAGACAAAACAGGAGAAAAATTGAAGCTAGATAATTCACAAGAAGTTATTTCTCCAGTTGCTTTAACTTCATCAGAATAAAAGAAAGTTGGTTGTAATTGTTAGAAAATATTTTGCAGTTCCAGATCCCAAAAAGAGAGTTTCAGATGGATTACAGATTGACAAGATAACCACATTCTCAAACACATACACATACATGTATATGTGGAGTGAGATTGATTAAGTTTCTAATTTAATTAATCAGTGATTCAGAACATTAGTTGACCCCACAGGGCAGAAGCAGATGCATTCTTCCAGAATCTGGTTACTATGGTAACACTTGATATATGACCATGCAACCAGTAACAGTAAATTTCCTGACATCAGAGTCATGAATTTTTTTAGCACACATTTAGCCTAAGCTTTCAGCTTTTCAAATATTCAACTGGTTCCTATCCATTATATCCATAGGACTCACTCATTCACTTGCTTCAGATCTCTGATCAAATACTACCTTGTCTGATTCAGGCCCTCCATAAAAAGTATTCCCATAATTCTCTATCTTCTGGATCCCCTTTTACTTCACCAAAGTACTTATCATTATATTGTTAGCCCATTGTTTATTGTTTGTCTCCCTACATTAGCAAGTAAGTTTCATGAAAGCAAGGGCCCTGCCAGTTTTGTTCATGCCATATCATTAGAACAGTGCCTGGTAGATAGTAGCTCCTCATTAATATTTATCTAATAAGTGAATAAATGGGAAAAGAACAATTTGTGAAGAAGAGGTAATCATAAGAAGCCATTATTATATATTAGCTTTTTTAAGACTTTCATGTTAAAAACCATTGTTTTCATCCTTAACGTATTTATTAGTGGAGATTACTGAGAAAATTTTAAATGAAGCTGGACTCCATTTTTTCATTTAATAAAGCTTCTAAAATCTCCAAAATAACATTAGAAACTCTCATTAGTTTTTCTTCAGAAAATACCTCTTTGCATGTTCCTTGTTGTCTAGGTTATTTTCAGGACTACCACTGTTAGAAAATAAATGTCTGGAAGTCATTTGAGGTTCTATTTTAGATGTCTTGAAATTGAGAAGCTTGGAAACATAGGTTAAAATGGAGAAACAGATTTAGATACTACCCACCGAGGTGTGGTAAATGAAGCTAAATGAAACTGGTGAGAGTAGAGATTCATTTGATAAAGAAAAAGCACTCAAAGAGAAGAAAATGAGACTGAGTAGAGAATCCTCTGCAACACATGGTTTTGAGAGAAATACAGAAGAGGATTCTGTTAAAGGGATGGGGAAAAGGAATGGACCTCAGGGATGTAGTTCCAAGAGGCAGGAGACAGCCAATTAAGCCCAACCTTCCATGGAGTACCAGCCAGAGGAGGAGCAGCTGGACTGGGAGTAAGTCACTGATGACCTCTGAAATGCCAGTTGCCATGACATGGAGGAACAGAAACCAGGTTGCAGTACCTTGGAATCTGACAAGGACAGGAGTAGAAAGGAGAAGTTAGGGAGCCAACATTTTCTTTTGTGTCACCTGAGATAGATGGATGGATAAAATTTTCTCCCCACAACCAAGACAGCAAATACATTGTAGCTGAGATCATGGGGTTAAAATGGTAAAAAAAAAAAAAAAAAAAAAAAAAAAAAAAACACTTTTCTAGGGGGCAGGGCCAAGATGGCTTACTAGAAGCAGCATTGTTCAGAAGCTCCCATCAAAAAAAAAAAAAAAAAATCATAATAAGCATGTGAATCCTTCACCGGCAACCAAGGTATCCAGGTTCCCTCATCAAAATTGACTAGAAGGCTGGCAAGACCCACGAGAGAAGGAAGAGCAGTGTGCTGCAGCAGCCCACCTGATAGCCACACAGGGAAGGGCAATCCCCTCCCACCAGAGAAGGGAGGCAGTGAGTGAGCATGCTACTCAGCTGGGGAAACTGTGCTTTTTCCACGGAACTGTGCAACCCACAGATCAGAAGATCCCACTTGCAAACCCATGCCACTGGGATCTAGCATCCCAACCCCAGAACTCGCAGATTCTTATAGCCTCTCAGCTGGAATCTGTTCAAGCCTAATGAACTCCCAGAAGGAGGAGCAACCAGCACCTGCTGCCACTGCCTGCTGTCTAAGCCATTTGAGCTCCTTGGGGAAGAGGCAGCAGCCAGCACTGGGACTCACAACTGCCTAACACGCAAAGCTCCCTAGGCAAGGGAAAGGCGGCACCCATTTCTATAGCTCCAGGCTGCGCTTTTTCCCCTGCTGGGGCCAGGGAGGCTGGATGGCTTGGTCCCAATTCTTGTCCCCACAGCCCAACGCATTGGCTGTGTCAGTCGGTGGCCAGAGTGCCTCTTCAGGTCTAACCCTGACCCATCCTTCAGTGGGTAGGGCTTCCCTGCAGGATCTCCAATAACTCCAGCCAGAGGCTCAGGGACAGAATTCAGATCTCCCTGGGCCTGAGCTCCTCGGGAGGGGTGGCTGCAGTCTCTAAGGACCAGCAGACTTAGCCTCTCCTCCTGGTCGTTCTGAGGAATCCAGGCAACCTAGAGAAGTGGGTTTCCCCCCAGCACAACACACCCTCTCCACCAAGGGACAAAGTGCTTTGTTAAATTAGTCCTGCTCCCTGTGCCACCCAACTGGGTGAGACCTTCCAACAGGGTTTGTCAGACACCCTATACAGGAGCAATCCTACTGGCATCAGGGGTTGGGGCCTCTCAAGGTCAGAGGTCCCAGAAGAAGGAGGAGACACCCATCTTTGCTGCTGTCCAGCCTCCTTGAGTGACATCTCCAGGCATGGGAGCAAATCAGATGAATAAGGCCTGAAGTGAACCCCCAGCCAACTGCAGCAGCCCTACAGAAGAGGGTCCTGACTATTGAAAGAAAACAAACATGCAGAAAGTGACCACAACAGCATCAACAACAACAGTAAGTCCCCACAAAAAAACCCCATCCAAGGATCAGCAGCCTCAAAGATTGAAACTAGACAAACTCATGAAGATGAGAATTGATGAAAAAATGCTGAAAACCCAAAAGGCCAGAGTATGCCTTCTCCTTCAAATGATTGCAACATCTCTCCATCAAGGGCACAGAACTAGACGGAGGATCAGATAGACGAACTGACAGAAGTAGACTTCAGAAGATGGGTAATAAAAAAACAACAATGAGCTAAACAAGCATGTTCTAACCCAATGCAAAGAAGCTAAGAACCTTGATAAAAGGTTAGAGTAATTACTAGCTAGAATAACCAGTTTACAGAGGAACATAAAGGACCTGATGGAGCTAAAAAAACACAGCACAAGAACTTCTTAAAGCATACACAAGTATCAACAGCCAAATCAACCAAGCAGAAGAAAGGATATCAGAGTCTGAAGACCACCTTACTGAAATAAGACATGCAGGCAAGAACAGAGAAAAAAAGAATAAAAAGGAATGAACAAAGCCTCCAAGAAATATGAGATTTCTTTAAAAGACCGAACCTACGATTGATTGGAGTACCAGAAGGAGACAGGGAGAATAGAAACAAGCTGGGAAACACACTGCAGAATATTATCCAGGAGAACTTCCCCAACCTAGCAAGACAGGCCAACTTGCAAATTCAGCAAATACAGAGAAAACCATTGGATACACCATGAGAAGATTAACCCAAAGACACATAATCATCAGATTCTCCAAGGTCAAAGGAAAAACTGTTAAGGGCAGCCATAGAGAAAGGTCAGGGCACCTTACAAAGGGAAGCCCTTCAGTTCTTTGAAACCAATGAGAATGAGGAGACAATGTACCAGAATCTCTGGGACACAGCTAAAGCAGTGTTAAGAGGGAAATTTATAACACTAAATGCCCACACCAGAAAGCTGGAAAGATCTCAAATCAGCATCCTAACATCACAAGTAAAAGAGCTAGAGAAGCAAGAGCAAACTAATCCAAAAGCTAGCATAAGACAAGAAAAAACTAAGATCAGAGCAGAATTGAAGGAATTAGAGACATGAAAAACCCTCCAAAAAATAAATGAATCCAGGAGCTGGTTTTTTGAAAAAATTAAAAAAACAAATAGACTGCTAGCTAGACTAATGAAGAAGAGAGAGAAGAATCAAATAGACACAATAAAAACGATAAAGGGGATATCACCACTGACCCCACAGAAATACAAACTACCATCAGAGAATACTATAAATACCTCTATGCAAATAAACTAGAAAATCTAGAAGAAATGAATAAATTCCTGAACATACACACCCTACTAAGACTAAACCAGAAAGAAGTCGAATCCCTGAATAGACCAATAGCAAGTTCTGAAATTGAAGCAGTAATTAATAGTCTACTGGCAAAAAAAAAGTCCAGGACCAGATGGATTCACAGCTGAATTCTACCATAAATACAAAGGAGCTGGTACCATTCCTTCTGAAACTATTCCAAATAATTCAAAAGGAGGGACTCCTCGCTCATTTTATGAAGCCAGCATCATCCTGATACCAAAACAGGGAAGAGACACAACAAAAAAAGAAAACTGATGAACATGGATGCGAAAATCCTCAGTAAAACACTGGCAAACTGAATCCAATAGGACATCAAAAAATTTATCCACCACGATCAAGTCAGCTTCATTCCTGGGATGCAAGGCTGGTTCAACATAACAAATCAATAAATGTAATCCATCACATAAACAGAACCAATGACAAAAAACACATGATTATCTCAATATATGCAGAAAAGGCCTTTGATAAAATTCAATATCCTTCATGTTAAAAATTTTCAATAAACTAGGTATTGATGGAACATATCTAAAAATAATAAGACAAATCCACAGCAAATATCATATTGAATGGGCAAGAGCTGGAAGCATTCCCTTTGAAAACTGGTACAAGACAAGGATGCCTTCTCTCACCCCTCCTATTCAACATAGTATTGGAAGTTCTGGCCAGGGCAATCAGGCAAGAGAAAAAAATAAAGGGTATTCAAATAGGAAGAGAGGAAGTCAAGTTGTTTCTGTTTGCAGAAGACATGATTTTATATTTAGAAAACCCCATCATCTCAGCCCAACTTCTTGAACTGATAAGCAACTTCAGCAGTCTCAGGATACAAAATCAATGTGCAAAAATCACAAGCATTCCTATACACCAATAATAGACAAGCAGAGAACCAAATCATGAGTGAACTCCCATTCACAATTGCTACAAAGAAAATAAAATACCTTGGAATACAACTTACAAGGGACATGAAAGCCCTCTTCAAGGAGAACTACAAACCATTGTTCAAGGAAATAAGAGAGGACACAAACAAATGGAAAAACATTCCATCCTCATGAATAGGAAGAATCAATATCATGAAAATGGCCATACTGCCCAAAGTAATTTATAGATTTGATGCTATTCCCATCAAACTACCATTGACATTCTTCACAGAAATAAAAAAAAACTATTTTAAATTTCATATGGAATCACAGAAGACCCTGTACAGCCAAGACAATCCTAAGCAAAAAGAACAAAGCTACAGGCATCATGCTACCTGACTTCAAACTATACTACAAGGACACAGTAATCAAAACAGCATTGTACTGGTACCAAAACAGACAGATAGACCAATGGAGCAGAACAGAGGCCTCAGAAATAATACCACACATCTACAACCATCTGATCTTTGACAAACCTGAAAAAAACAAGCAATGGGGCAAGATCTCCTATTCAGTAAATGGTGCTGGGAGAACTGGCTAGCCATATGCAGAACACTGAAACTGGACCCCTTCCTTACACCTTATACAAAAACTAACTCAAGATGGATTAAAGACTTAATGTAAGACTTAAAACCATAAAAACCCCAGAAGAAAACCTAGGCAATACTATTCAGGACATAGGCATGGGCAAAGATTTCATGACAAAATGACATAAGCTACTGCAACAAAAGGCAAAATTGACAAACAGGATCTAATTAAACTAAAGAGCTTCTAGAAGCACAGCAAAAGAAATTATTATCAGAGTGAACAGGCAACCAACAGAATGGGACCAAAATTTTGCAATCGACCCATCTGACAAAGGTCTAATATCCAGAATTTACAAGGAACTTAAACAAATTTACAAGAAAAAGACCAACAACCCCATCAAAAAGTGGGCAAAGGATATGAACAGATGCTTCTCAAAAGAAGACATTTATGTGGCCAACAAACATATGAAGAAAAGCTCAACATCACTGATCATCAGAGAAATGCAAATCAAAACCACAATGAGATAATCTCACTCCACTTAGAATGGTGATTATTAAAAAGTCAGGGAACAATAGATGCTGGTGAGGCTGTGGAGAAATAGGAATGCTTTTACACTGTTGGTGAGCGTTCCACTGTTGCTGGGAGTGTAAATTAGTTCAACCATTCTGGAAGACAGTGTGGCTATTCCTCAAAGATCTAGAACCAGAAATACCATTTGACCCAGCAATCCCATTACTGGGTATATACCCAAAGGATTATAAATCATTCTACTATAAAGACACATGCACACGTATGTTTATTGTAGCACTATTTACAATAGCAAAGACATGGAACCAACCAAAATGCCCATCAATGATAGAATGGATAAAGAAAATATGGTACATATACACCATGGAATACTATGCAGCCATAAAAAATGAATGAGATCATGTCCTTTGCAGGCACTTGTGTAAAGCTAGAAGCCATCATCCTCAGCAAACCAGCACGGGAACAGAAAACCAAACACCACATGTTCTCACTCATAAGTGGGAGTTGAACGTTGAGAACACATGGACACAGAAAGGGGAACATTACATGCCAGAACCTGCTGGGGGATAGGGGATGAGGGGAGGGGACTTATAGGATGGATCAATAGGGGCGGCAAACCACCATGGCACCCGTATACCTATGTAACAAACCTGCATGGTCTGCACATGTATCCCAGTTTTTTTTTTTTAGAAGAAATAAAGAAAAAAAACAAAAACACTTTTTCAACAGCTTAGGTTATAAGAAATTATTTCCCTAATCAAAATCAATCTACTGAGCAATTTTCCCTCAAAATAAGCACACATACTTTACCCCTGTAACGCATTTTTGATGAGCTCATTTGTACTTGGTTTTTTATTTTTGTTTAAAATGCATTCTTGGTTAATGGAGCCTTTAGAAAGTTACCTTGAGGCCCCATCTCTGTCTCAGTGGGGCCTGAACTTTGCTCTCTGGTTTGAGGATCTCTTTGCTGTGCTCCATTGATTTCATTTCTCAGTTATGCCAGAGGCAACTCTGATGCATAAAGAACCTGAATTAAACTCATAAAAGGCCTTGCTAGGAAGGTAACCTGATAATAACTACCTGGAAGATGAGAGACTCCACTCAGCTTTCCACCAGAAGGACCATACGTAGTGACAAGAAGAAATAGATTTCTGGTGGGGTTTAAATATGAAATTATAATGACATTTCTCACTTTTCTGAACATGCAGCAGCTTTATCTAAGTCTATCCTGTGGTTCTCAAACTAGAGCATGCAAAGAGATCACGTGGAGGGTTTGTTAAAATAGCGATTTCTGGGCCACACTCCCAAAGTTTCTAATTCAGTGCTTCTGGAGTGGAGCCAGATAATTTGTATTTCTAACACGTTCTCAACTGATGTGGATGGTGCTGAGTAGAACACAATTCCAAGAACCACTGGTCTGTGCAAAGCACACCACATATTTTCATAACTTATTTTTCTACTTTTCTGTTGTCCTTAAAGAAAATGAGCACAATTCTCATTTCTGAACTACTGCCTCGGCAGTTTGTCGTGTAAAAAGTTTTTTTAAAACGAGAAAAAAAAATTAAAAACAGTCACAAAGTGATATTAGGGGTTATCAAACCTGAGTTTCCAGGCTTCTACTCATTTTTTCTGTGAAGGTCAGTAGATATTAGTGCCTCAAATGAAATCACACAAATATAATACGACTATCTAGCACAAAACAGTGATTCCTTTTCAATTGCAAAACATTCATAAAATAAATACTTTTCCCCGTCAAAGTCTCTTAATACTCACCTAGAAAAAGGGGAGTGGTAGTCATAAAACAGCAGGAAAAAATAACTCACTTGCCACACAAATCTTTATTTTTCAATTTTTTTTTGTACTTTTTTAAGCCAAAAAAAGCACACCTAGAATCTAAGCAAGCTGAAGGCAGATTGTAGTGCTTAGATTGGGAACGTTATAATGGAATTATTTTTCTTCCTTTATTTAATGTGTTGACAAAGAGAACAGGCATGGTATCTTAAGTAGGGCATAATCTGTGTATGCAGAGCTGACAGGGCAAGTGGAGTGAGGCTATGAATGAGCACCTCACCTGTTCTACACCTGAGCAATTCCAAAGAGGTTAGGGTCACGTTGAGTAAAACATTTGTAAGAACAAATTAATACTTGGAGAGGCACCAGCTTCAGATTCTTGCTTATCTTCCAGTCCTAAAAAGTAAAGATTAAAAATAAAATTTAGGCAGTGTTCAATAAGTATTTTTCATTAAAATAAATATTTGCTTTCTCAGAGGTTTCAGAACATTGACTTCTAAAGACGCACTATTCTATTTATGCTTGATTTGCTCTTTTCTCACACATAAAAACACAAACTTAACTAGCTAAGAAAATCATACTCAAATGCTAAACAAAATCCAAATGATGAAAGATTATGTGTGCTTTTATTCAAACATATCATTATGTAGTCTAACCATAAAGTGTTTGAAATGAAGGTGAAAAAATGATACAGAATCTACATGAACCTGACTTTTGTCCTTCAGGGGTATTAAATTGATCAATCAGCAAATACGTACTGAACTTCTTAATGGGTATCTTGGTTTTACCTGCCCAGCATGCAGTTGCCATGGAAATTAATCTTCCTAAAATTCTTTGTTCACTGTCTGTACTATTCATTAAGATCTTCACTGGCTGGGTCTCAGGCAAGTTGCCTAATACATGAATTAAATTTTTGTACTTCAAAATAATTTGTACAAAATAAGCAGTCAAAATCCTGTTAGCCAATTTAGTGCACATATATTGACCATTTATGTTTGAAATAATGGTAACCTCAAAAGCTTACCATTTCTATGTTTTATAATCATGTCCTGAAATCAACACAGCTCTCAGTGAGAGAATCCAAAAGATTTCCACAACTGGTAACTGGGAAATATTTAATTGGTTGATAACGCTGCTTAGTTTTACCATGAAACCATTTGGCCAACACCATCACAACCCACAATGAGAGATTTGATTGCTGTTCTGTTCACTCTTCCACAAAAGAACTCTGAGATCCTATTGAAAGGTTCAGACAGGTAAGCACAGTTATTGATCCACCCTTGAGAGAGTAACAGCCTTCTAACCCTGGTGATGTATCAGCAGGGAGCCAAAGTCATAAGTCACATCCCCTTCACACAGACCTCCAACAGTGGCTGTGAAGCACTTAGAGGATACACAGCACTATCCTAACTGTAAAATATTTTGGATGAAGGTGAAAAATGGTATAGAATATCTACAAACCTGACTTTTTTCCTACAAAGATATTAATTCATCAATCAGCAAACAGGTTCTGAACTCCTCAGTGGACGTCTTGGTTTTTCCTGTCTGGGATCCATTTCCCATTGTGCTGGCACAAAAGCCCTGTTTTTCCTTTGGGCAACTACCACTCCTCCAATCTCAGTGCATATGCTGGGGGAGTGAGAGAGCAACTTTTCTCACTCCCTGGCTCAATATATGACCATGTAACTGCGGCCCAGGCAATGACTCAATTGCTTCCCTCTGACAATGGTGATTAGTCTGGGGTAAGCACATAAGGCAAGACAGTTCAAGGAAGCCAATGAACATCAGCCCCAGGACATTCTCTGCATCTATTGGGAGAAGGAAGCTCTCCCTTTACTCCCAAAAGACACAATTTAGGCAGCAGCCACTGGAAAACAAAGCCAAAACAAAGGAATGCAGAGATAATAAATAAAGGACAGATTCCTAATGATAAATTTGGAAACCTAATTTAGACATGACAAAATCTTCAGCCAGATTCATCCCTGGACCTTCTTCATTGCTTAAGTTGGTATATGAGTTGGGTTTCTTTAATTTGCAACCACGAGTCCTGACAAATTATAAGTTACCTAAAATCTGCACATTAGGCAAAGTGTCAGGCTACAAAGATATACAGCAAACAATCCCTGCCTCTAAGAATCTTAGCATCTAGTTGGAAAGACAATAATCATACACACACACACAAATAGAAACATATGGCTCAGCCCAAGGATAGGTTCTATATGAGTGCAGAGACAGGAGACACCATAGGCTGCATATTAAGCAAGATTTCACAATATAAGAAAAAGGTGAGCTGGGTTTTGAAGGTTGACTAGAATGTGTCTGCCTGGGGAGAAACCAAAAGGACATTTCGGGGAGGGTGAACTATGAGAGCATAAATTCAAGAATGTGCACATTGTATTGGGGAAACAATACAGTATAAACTATAAATAGACCATAAAATGTTAAATCATGGGATATCAACAATACATTAGTCCAGAAATAAAAAGATTTCATAAGTATTTTTGAATGACAGACACATATAATATTTTAAATCTACTATATAAGATATAATATTGATTCCCTAACTAGATTATAATGATTAAGTGATGAAATTGTGGTTGGAGAACAAATGGCAAAAGACAGGCTAAATATGGTCTTTTCCTTTTCCATATACTAGACAACCGTCTCACCCAACCAGTTAATCCTGCCTACTTCTGTAACATATCTCAGCTAGAATTAAAGAACTATTGAAAATAAAACATGCTACATACATTTTCCTCAGCTCCTCTTTAAGAAACCTGAACAATTAATAGAGCCAAGAACCAAGAGGAGGAAGTTAGAGAAAGAAACAAATATAAACTAAGGAAACAAGTTCGACATCTGATTTGCTTTGTCCAGTTTCTTCATGAGGTGAAAAGTTTATAATAGAAAGTATTAAAGGCATTTTCTATTTCCAGTGTGGTTTTAGCCATTTCCCTTGTGTCATTAGGACATCGCATGGGCAGAGTTTAGGTTGGCTCTTATTGCAAGCAGGAATGCAAAGTGTCTGTGTCCCTCTTTCCCCTTCTTGGGGGAAACATTGTTTAGTTAATTATAATAAAATGAATATTTTGGTGAGATTTTTAGAAGTCTATTAAATGCCCGTTGTTAGTTTTATAGTGAACATGAAACTTTGAAGGTGATTATTCTCCAACTTAATAATTTCTATTTCTTATACAATATTTTTCAGGGCTATGAATTGTTTTCTAGAAATTTAACTTAGAAAAACAACTCAGCATAATTTCTTGGTATTACACTTTTCCATCTAGATTCATCATCTCTAGTAATGTTTGCATAACATGAAATTCTCGTACCACCTTAACACTTGCTGCCCTTTTAAATTTGTATTTCTATTTGTGGCATTATTGCAACTGTTTCTACTGGTACGACATATGTCCATTTGAAATGAGCATGTTACAAAGGAATAAGACACTCCCTGTTATAGAGGACCTCTCTTCACAAACCTCAATTAACAAAACCTCATGATTTTGTCAAAGACAAATACTGCTTTTGTCATTGTTTATAGATAGAGATCAAAGCACTCAATGAAATATCCTTTCTGTCAAGCCAAGGTCAGTGAATAGGAAAAGGAGTTGGTCTGTGATTATATATGCTTTTATTTTGAAAAAATATCATTTTAGCAAAAAGCTTTAAAAAGTAAAATGCTATAATACAGTTTACTTTTTCACCATTAATATTTGCATTATTTTCTAAAGCAAACAAACACATGATTATATTCTCTACGTGTTTTTTAAAAAGTAGTTTTCCACTTTAAATTCAAATATTACTCTTTGCTAAGTTTTATGTTTGTTGAATGGTAGAATTGAGAAATTTTTAAAAATCATTCAACATAATTGGTAACCATCACTGCCATATTTTAAACTTTGAGAAATTAAAAATTATTGCAATATATATTTATATGGCACAGTAAAAAGTTTGGATAAGATTTCAATATTATATGAAGCACAAGGAATAGAAAAAGAGCATAAGATGGTTTCCTGTTTTCTCAGGAAAATGTATCTCAGTAGGCAAAATAATGTCCCCCCAAAGATGTCCACATCCTAATTCCTGAAATTCATGAATATGCATGTCACCTCACATAGCAAAAGGGACATTGCAAGTTGGGTTAAATTAAGGACCTTGAGATAAGGAAGTTACCCTGGACTACCTAGGTGGGCGCCATGTAATCACAAGAGTTGTTAAAGTGGAAGAAGGAGATAAAAGAGAAGGTCCAAGTGAGGTGATATGAGAAGGCCTAGATCAGCCAATACTGACTTTGAAGATGGAAGAAAGGAACCATGAGCCAATGGATATGGGGAGCCTCTAGAAGCTGTCAAGGGCCAGAAAATGGTTCCCCCCAGGAGCCTCCAGATGGAAACCCAGCCTGCAAAATCTTGATTTTTGCCCAGTGAGACCCATGTTGAATTTCTGATCTACTTGACTGTAAAAAAAAAAAAAAAATTTCTGTCAAGTCACCAAGCTTTGGGAAATTTGTTAACAGCTTCAATGGAAAACTAATACTGTTATCATGTTCCAAATTAGCAGGACTTGAAAAGCATAACAATGGCAGCCCTCCCTGCTTATGGAATCAATGCATTTTCATGCTAGAAGAGACTGGTCTAATCCCTTCATTGTCCAAATGAGGAAATTAGTCCTGATATAGTAAGGTAGATGACTTACCTTAGGCCTCATATTTCAAGGTAGAGACAAGATTAGAATCTAAGTTCACTAAATTATAGCTTAGTGTTAGTCATTGTATGATTCCCAGGCTCTTTCATTAATGAGGGTTTCTATTATAGCTTAATAGCAACTACAGAATGGTTTAGAAGAATGAACAGTTGTTGGAAAGTGCACATGTTTTCAAATAACATACTGAAGAAGTATATTTCTTTTCCATGCCAGTCTGTCTCCAACTGAGGGTTAAACGTATTCACTTGAATTATCCAGGCATCACTTGAAACTCAACATGTCTAAGATACAACTTGGGGTCTTGCCTCCCAAACCAGCTCCCTTCTGGACTCTTTCTCCTTCACACCCCTCAGAGGTTTCCCATGCTCAATCAATCAACAATTTATATTGTCCTTCCTTCCTTATGATACTTTCCTTGCTTTTCCACCACCACACCTTACACCCACAGTAGGAAACCACTCTAACTAGCCTCTTATCTTCAGCTTCTCTTCTCTTCAAACTTCAACTAAGCCAGCACACTATTGCCAAGTGACTCTTTCTAAAACACACACACACGAACACATATATATCTCACCGGTTTTCCCCCACATGTTCAGTAGGGTTTCATTTCCAAACAAGATCAAGTTCAAACCCCTTACTTAATCTAATCCTTTGACAGGTTCATGGCATGTGACCTCAACTTTTTAATAATGTCTCCTCCTGCCACTCCTATCCACAAACCAACCTAACTGATTCACTGCCCTATGAACATGATTTATTCTCCTCCTTACCATTCTCTTCTCCTAAAACATTCTGTTTACTTTCTTCTCCATGTATCTGAATTCCACCTATTTCAAGGCTATATACAAGTCCTGTGTTTCTAGGCACTTCCCAAACCAGACAACCTACAGTGATCTCATCTTCCACTTTGAATCCTAAAGCAATTGGTCTCTATCACTCATTTAATATCTAGATTTTATTGCTAATATCTTTTACCTCTTTAGCATTTAAACTCAAATTTTAAACCATTTGGAACAGACTAGGTCTCCTACTTATTCGCATTGTACTTAGCATTCAGTTCCCTGCTTAAAGCAGGCCCTCAAAAATTTATGGAATGACTAAATATAATTTATCACTGCCATGCCACAGTGATAAGTGACATGAGTACTGCTCTGAAGTTAACTACTCCATTTAGCAAGGGTAACCATACATTGGGATTTGCCAAGGACAGTCCTGGTTTCCTGTTGTTTTTACAGCTATTAATAAAATCCACTTTTACTCTCAAAAGCATCTTGGCTTAGACGACACATTATATGGTCATTCCACCCTTAGGGCAATTTGGACTGTGATAAGAACAGAAACGACAAAGAAAATCCCATCATGTTCCAGCCAGCCACCCAGCTAAGCAGCATTCCCTTCCCCACACAGTGGTCCTGCTCTCCCACAGCACCCCCTGCATAATCAATATCCTCTGAATTTCACAAGGAATTTTCAACATTTTGATGATACACAGCTTCAGAAAACTAAACTAAAGCTCAATAAAATGTAAGATTATTTAGAAGAAAAAAAATTATAGATACAGAATACTACTGTGACTGTATCCAGCAGTTTGAGAACAAAAGGGAGAGTTCTCCGAAAGGGTAAGAGTATTCGAGGAGTTCTCACAGGAGTAAAAGTAATCAAGACACAGTGTATGAGCTCATGTTTATACTCTAATTGTTTTGTTATTTTTGGAATAAAACAATAAGAAATATATATCCATTTTAATATTTCTAAATAAATACTTATGACTTTCATGGCTGTTTAGAATTAGAAATGTGATGCTTTCTGATCCTCTTAGTACCTAATGTACATTAAATTGACTAACCACGGCATAAATGTTTTAAAACCTACATTCATTTTCACAGTTGACTGGTTGAAATGATCAGTTTCATAAATGAATGTCAGTGGTATCTTAACAGTAATAACTTTTTACTACAAAGTAAGATTTTACTTTATAAGTAATGAGTAAAATTATTAAATGTAATCTTATGTTTCATTACTGGCAGCTTGTCATAAAAAAGGAATTAAAGTTACAAATTTTCATTTATTTTCATAAAGTAAATGAACGTTTTCACTCATTTATAGGGAGACCTACGCAGTCTAATCTCTTTTGAGGGTAGTTTTAATTACATTACATCATTTAATACAGGGTTGAGAGTTCATGTTCCAAACCATTCCCTCCCTAAACTATTCAACTTTAAAGGAATCTGGGGAAATGTTAAGTTCAACTAACGAAACTATAAGAAATGAAAACTATTAAATGCATATCTTGGGCACAGGATCACTCAAGTGTTTGGAAAGAATTTTATGAGACTATTTAGGTTAGGTCTAAGTCATTGTTCAAATACAGACAAAGTTAGTAGTAACTAAAAAGGATAATTTGTGTTGCTGTTTCAAAGATTTATATCATTAGTAGCTAATATTGAAATATCAACTACATTGAAATTATTGATCATTTTGTAATTGCTAAGGACTAATTCAACTTTGATGGCAGAACTATAGCATTTAGAAAAAGACAAAAGCATCTGGATTAATTATGATCAAGATTGATATTTGAGACTGAATAAAATTGTTTTGACTATTTTCCAATCCTCATCTCATTATTTCATTAAAGCAAGCATGACATAATTTTACATTCACCTGAATAGAAGCAATTACAACTTGATATTTGATTGTTCTGTGTTTTATGTTGAGAATAAAGACCCATTTATCATCCAGTGTCTCCCTCCTTTGAGTGTAAACCCCATAAGAAGCAGAACATTGTGTAAAGCACAACAGGGGCAACTAGACTTTGGCATTATCAAATATGTTCTCCCTTCCTGATAAAGTATTTGCTCTAAAGGTCAGCAGTCTCTAAGTTTAGTTTCTGAAGAGATAATTAACAAATTAAAAAAAATTTAACAGAAAGAGAGGCTTCCAAGCAAAAAAAATAAAAAAAAAATATATATATATATATATATATTTGTATAATTGCTGTCTACTTAACATAAAAATCTAGAGATATATAAAAGCAATTCCTTACCAGTGTGGTTAATCTGATTATCATCCCCAAGTATTCTGTGCATGTTTTCACTCTGTTTCAACTCTGGAAACAAGGAACTTATGAACGGCATTTAAATTTTTTTTAACTGCTAACATCTAGTAATATATATTCAAATCTCAATTTTCTTTATCAATCTTTAAATATTTTAAGCATCCTTAAATTTATTTAGCATGATTAACAAGCTGTATACACTTATTCTAATTCCATTGTGATATACTTTTTTACTATCATATACTTACTAGATATTATTAGCTTAATGATTTTAATAACGCTAGAATCCATGGTTTTTATAAAGCAAAACAATTTTCCTTTAAAAATTTTTTCTTCTTATAATTTTCTGACACTCCCATGGCTTTTGCCTATCAATGTATCTACACATATAAGTCTACATTTTGAGTTATTTTCCCTTAGTGCTTTGAAAATAGTATGCCATTGTTTTTTCTGGCATCTATTACTGTCACTGAGAAATCTGATGTCAGTTCATTGCTGCTGCTTTGTAGGTGATCTCTCTTTTCTTAACATTTCATCTTTAGCTCTCAATAGTTCAACTTTGGTGGTATATAGTTTTACCAAAATGTGTCTATGTATGGATTTGTTCTTGTTTGTTCTGCTTGGAACTCAATGTGCTTTTTCAATCTGAAATTGTCTTCTTTCAATATTTGAACATTTTCTGCCATTAGCTAGAACATTCAAAGGGTGTAGATCCTAGCTAATGGGTTTCTCTTTTAACCATTATGTTTTTAATCCATGCTATATTCTTATGCCATTATGTTGCTGTTTTTATAATGCCCTGACATATTTAATTCATAAAAATGTATTCTCTTTTAATTTTTAAAGTGAAATTATATAGATATCAAATCTCCTTATTTTCCTACTCTTGCTTCCAAGCTTGTTTCCTCAGTGATGATTGATGTTAACCTGTGTGTGTGTGTGTGTGTGTGTGTGTGTGTGTCTGTGTGTGTGTGTGTCTGTGTTTAAAATCCTGTAAGAAAGTTCTATCTATCTGACCTGAATGGTCAGTGGTTCTATTTTCTTACTCTGCAAGTCAACAGAAGGAAAGCCTCATCTCTCTTTCACATGACAGTGTTTCAAATATACAAAGATAGCTATTGGGAGTAATGGTATCATCATCAATCAATAAATTTATTTGCACTTTCTCTTATGATTCAAAATGAAATTGTGCATGTTCTAGTGCAGGAAAAAAGAGACAGAAGGTGGTATCAGGAGGTGTCAGGTAAGCTAAAGTCCTAATTCTATTATTTGATAGATTTGAAATTTGTGAACAAACTACTTAACTTTGCTTAGTCTTAGTTACCTCAACTGTGAATAGAGACAATGAAAACCAAGTCACAAAGTTAATATGAGGGCCAGAAACTCTATTACTTAAATGTCACCCCCTGGGAAATTTACCTTTTAGCCTCCACCAAAGTCGTTGTTGGTTCTGTCTATGACTCCATAGTATGGGTATATAATGCTTTATGACAATGCTTCTAACGTTACATTTTAATAGTCTGTGATCTCCTCAATAGCATGAACTGCATCTTATTCATCTTTGGATCCAGAGAGCTTAGCATAGTACCTTGCATATAGTAAGAACTCAGTAAAGATGTTGAAAGAAAAAAATATGTAAAAAGCATTTTGTAAGTGGAAAAGCACTACCATTACCCATCTTCTAGTTGTTTAAAACCTTTCATATCTCCTCTTCTTGGCTTACTCATTCCCTTAACATGATGGAATAGATAAGGTTCATCATGCAGTAACAAAATTCTATTAAAAATTCTACTAATTTTTTAAAGTAGCAGTACCTAATCACAGCATTAAACTCTTCCTGAATTGGTGTACAAGACAGACTAATTTTACATCCTCCTTACTAGCTCTTTCCACAGCCTACAACCATGCACATATCTTCCCATTTTCAAAATTTTTCTTCAAGCCTTCCTCACGTCCAAAGAATATTCTATAGCACTCCTACCTTTTACAGCTACATTGCTTGGAGATTAGTCAAGACTTGCTGGCTTCACTTCCGTATTCTTACCAGGCTTTTTTATTTATTTATTTATTTATTTATTTATTTATTGAGACATAGTTTCACTCTTGTTGCCAGGCTGCAGTGCAAGTGCAATGGCGTGATCTCGGCTCACTACAACCTCTGCCTGCTGGCTTCAAGTGCTTCTCCTGCCTCCTCAGTCTCCCGAGTAGCTGGGATTACAGGTGCCCACCACCATGTCTGGCTAATTTTTTTGTGTTTTTAGTAGAGACGAGGTTTCACCATGTTGGTCAGGCTGGTCTCAAATTCCTGACCTCAGGTGATCCGCCCGCCTCGGCCTCGCAGAATGCTGGGATTACAGGCATGAGCCACCACGCCTGGCCCCATCAGGCTTCTTATCGATGCAACCTGCTTCCAGCCCTGCCACTTAATGACACAAAGGACACCACCTTCCTCTTTTGATTTTTCAGTGCTGTTTCTTCTCCTCAGCCCTGGATCTGTCAACTTGGTGTCTTTAGTCAGCTCATTCTTGAGCCCATATTAGAGTAAGAGAGCAGCCAAAATTTTCTTATGCCCAGAGAATAGTGTAGAAGTGGTTGAAAGAGAACCAGCAAACAAAAGGGACTTCAACATCAGAACAAGAAGACACAGGGTACATGGAAGAAGAAGCATGACCAATGGGAAGTAGACACTACCACGGAGCTTCGATCTAGATAGGAAGATCACACACCAGAGGATGCCCACATGAAACAGGACATTGGCAGAACATATGGCTCCTACCTCCTAATACCATGACACTACTTAAAAACTCCAAGAATTAGATAATATAGGCAGAAAGGAAGGGAAGGAAATTCTAAGTGATCAAGATAAAATCTGAAATGACTTAGGAAATCCTAAAATTACCACATAAGCCTTGAATTAACTAGGTAAACTTTCCAGTAGAATGGGGCCCAAATAAAAGCTAAGTTCAGTGGAAGAAAAAGCAAGAAAGCCCTGTTTATTGTGCATCTGTGTTTTATAGCTGAAGAATTTGTGCCACTCTCCCTGTTTTGCCCTTCTGTCCCTGAATGTTTCTTTTCATTCTCATTTGCTGACTCCTGCTTTTGCCACCTTTTAATAATATTGCCCTCCAAGGTTCTGTCCTTCTGGTCTTCTCACCCTACTGAGTAGATCTCCTTAGGTAATCTTCATTCCCAGGGCTTCGAGTGTCTCACTTATATAAACAATTTTTAAATCCACATCACCAGGTCTAGCCTCTCTTTGTCAAGCAAAAATGTCATCATACCCCACTACTTCAACAACTCTAAGTAGCTGTTACGGGCTAAACTGTGTCACCCAAAAATCCATATGTCTTAAACCCCAGTATCTCCGAATGTCACTGTATTTGGAGATAGGGTCTTTAAAGTGTTACTTAGGTTAAAATGAAGTCAAATAAAGTGAGCTCTAATCCAATATGACTGACATCCTTATGAGAAGAGGAAATTTGGACACAGACATGTACCAAAGGAAGACCATGTGAAGACACAGGAAAGAGCCAGCCATGTAGAGGCCGAAAAGAGAGGCTGCAGGAGAAGCCAACCCCTCCTGGCACCTTGCTCTCAGACTTCTAGCCTCCAGAATTGTTAATAAATCAATTCCTGTTGTGTAAGCCACCCAGTCTGTGATACTTTGTTATACAGCCCTAGCAACTTATACACTAGCTTTTGAAATTAAGCTCAAACTTCACATAAAAGAGTCACTGTAACCCACACTGCTGTTTTCTCCAACTTCATCTCTCATACCTCACCTTCCGTGACTTCACTGTACACATTGTGCAATTTATATTTGCACAATATTAACTCTGCACAGGCAACTGCCTAGCCTGAAATGCTTATCCACTAGTTCTTTATCTATTCTAAATGCCTCCCTAGCCTTCAAAGCACATTTCTAAGAAATGCCTCTTAAAGTAACTTAACATTTATTATGGATTCGCCAAACACAATCACTGTGGTAGGCACCAGGGTTAAACCAGGGACTATCCCATTTACTGGAGATGCCTTCTTCTCACAGCATCCTGTGCAGCTTCACATCTGCTTATCACAAGAATGCAATCATTCTCTCTTTCTTGTCTGAAAGCCTTGGTTTACAAAACACACACATAAAAAAAAATACTTATTAAGCACCTACTATATGCTACCTTTGTTGAACACCCACTGTACTAAGCACTGTTTATGCATTACCTCATGATCCCTAGCCACAGTTCTGTGTGATGGGTATTATTATTATTGCCATTTGACAGGATGAGGAAGCTTAGCCTTGAAGAGGGAAGTAACAGGACACAGGTGGCAAGTGGTAGGGCTGGACATCAAACCTAACTTGTCAGATTCCAATCCTTATTATCCCACTTCTCCTGGGAACATGTGAGTTTCTCAAGGATCAGGGTTCTGTATTCCCAGCCCTGGCAAATAATCTGACACACAGTTAGAAAAAAATAAATAAGTTTCAGTGGATAAATAAATGAGGACAGAAGAAGGATCTTTAACATAAATGTCTTAAGTTCAGCTGAAGTAAATGGGGAATAACTAGGTTGGAAAAGCATAGGAAACATAGCCCAGACTCTCTGGTTAAGGATCAGGAATAACATGTATGAGTTCCCTGCCCATATCCTCTACTTGGCAGCTTTCTGAAATTGGCAAAATTACTTGGTTTCTCCTTGCCTTGGATTTCTTACTGGTGTCATGGGGTTATTTTGGACATTAATTGAGGTATTCCAGGTGACATATTTAGCAGAGCACCAGATGCACACTCAGTACCAAATAAATTCTGGCTGTTGTTGCTTGTATTAGGTTGTAGTTTCTGAAAGAGAGACATGAAATAAGAGTAGCAGCACATCAGATGGTTTTGAGAGGGAATCTGTCAGAGCACAATTAAACATGGCAACTTGTCTAAGGTGTTCAGAACATCACCAGTGGAAAGCAGGATGTTTTGAAAACTGTTTCCGAGTAATCTGACACGCTGTACTCATTAAATGTCTCTTGAATATAACAATCCATTCCAGATGATAATGTGAACAATTCACAGATAGCTACATATGTGATCAAGATTACATATTTACTCCCATCTTGAGGACCAACATACATTTCTATCCTCATTTTCCCACCGATGAGCTGTCTTTTCTCTTTGTATTTAAGGTCCAGCTGGTTTTAACTTTCAAATTCCTGCTCAACCACTATTTTAATGTTCTCTTTGGCTATCTGTTTAGTTCTAGATTCTGGGCTTTTAAAAATTTTAACATTAGCCTTCCTTGGCAGCACCTTTGCCAGATTTTTCTTATGATACATAGAGATGTAATATGTTGACAAACTAATTAAAGGAGGAGCTGGTATTCAAATCCAGATCTGATTTATCATTCTGTAGAAATAAAATTTTATCAGGTATTGTCCGAAGCTCTCTCTCTATAAAGGTGAACAAAACCAAAATGGTTCTTAAATTCCTTGAGCTTAGTATTCAGTGGTAGAGACAGACACCAACACCAAGTAAATCGATTACTACAAATTTTGCTAAATGCCATGAAGACTTCAAAGCTTTCTGATATAAACACCAACTCAACTTTGACAAAGACATTTCCATAGCAAGAGCATCAAGGTATTGAAAAACTGAACAACTTAAATCACTGTTTCTTATTCATAGAGAACTTTTATAGGCAACCACTACACTAAAGCCCAATATACATGTAACTGAGATGAGAATGATTTCTCTGATTAGATTCTTCCACTTTTATTTTTTTGTCTTAAGCACACATGGTTATGTCTAGTAAGACATAATTTGTACATGACTGGATCAAGAGGAAAACACTTCTAGCCTTCCTTTTAGTCTCCCAATTCACATGCAACATTTTACAATACTTGGCAGTGTCAAAAACTCTGGTAAAGGACATTGTGAGAAAAATTGTAGTAGCTCTACACCACAACCACAGCTGATTTAGGTCTTTTACTCTGGACTAGCTCTGTGGATCCTGTCTATCAGGCTGTCTGTCAGGATCCACAGAGCTAGTTCAGAGTAAATACCTGATATCAGGTGACGTGAATACCTGGCATCAGGTGATGTGTAAATACCTGACATCAGGTGATGTGAACTCTGATGACTGTTCCTGGATTTCATTCTACAGGATTATAAATGAACTACGTAAAGCAGCTGTTGTAAAATCTGTACTCTGCTTCTTGGAAAGTAAACAGGCCAGTAACGTGAGCCTCCATGTCCTAAGCGTGGGTTAGTATAGCTAAAATAACCTACATATTTTCTGGCTCATATATTGTGTTATCCACTGTAACTCTTGATAAAATCTCTCTACTTGGTATGAAGGATAGCTTTATTTATCCATTCATTCATTCATTCATATTTTTTATAATTCGAATCTATTCTTCTATTTTTGCCCTGAAAAGTAATAATACAATCTTTCTAGGTAGGCTACATTCTTGGCTTGTGTCAATATCAAATTTGTTTTGGACAAGATGCATCCTGAAAGGCAAAAAACAGTAACAGATAAGGCCAATGGAAAAAAATATTAAAAATCGGCAACTCTAGGTAAAGGGTATACAAATGTTCATTGTATTATTCATTCAAGTTATGTGTTGTTTTCCAATTTCTCAAACTAAAAAGTTGGTGGAAAAAAAGTTGTCCTTGTTGAACCTCATGATGAACAACACATATAGTGAAGTTCATGAAAGAAAGTTTCACAATTACAGTTTTGAGAAAGATAATGTATCTCTGAACCTAAGTAGTGATGATCTCATCCAGGAGTTAGAAATGTAAGCTTATGAAACAACTAATAATGCTAGTAAGAATACATTATCAGCATTCACATGCACTCATCGATTGTCCCTGGGGAGGCCATGGGCTGTGAAAGGCGAAAGGCCTAATCCAGGCTCTGGAGATCCTTGGGAACATAGCATACTTGTATGCAGGAGCCTTTGTTCTGCTTACAGTGGAGTAAAGTGAAAGACTTTCAGCATAGGGTCCAAGAAGCAGACTGACAGAGCAAACTCTACAGTGTGCCTGAAGGCAGCCATAGTAAGAATTCTCCCCAGCATAGAGGCCATATTAAGGTGTTTGTCATCTTCCAGTGCTCCACAGTGGATTTACTCCTTCACCAACACCTCCTTTTCTTTTTTCACTATTAGCTGTACTACACCTTTGTCACTAACAATTCATTAATTCATATATTCAACCAATGAATATTCATTCAACTTTTTTTATATTCAACTTTTTGTTATGTGTGAGAAACCACATAGGCCTTGCTTAGTAAGGTGTGTAAGACACAACCATTTCCCTGTGGTACTGGGACAGCCCTAAACAGGGAGAGCAGAGATTCTCAGCCCTGACTGCACATGAAAATCAACTAGAAATCTTTTTTTTTTTTTTTTTTTTGAGATGGAGTCTTTCTCTGTTGCCCAGGCTGGAGTGCAGTGGCACGATCTCGGCTCACTGCAAGCTGCTCCTCCTGGGTTCACACCATTTTCCTGCCTCAGCATCCCAAGTAGCTGGGACTATAGGTGCCCGCCACCACACCCGGCTAATTTTTTGTATTTTTTTTAGTAGAGACGGGGTTTCACTGTGTTAGCCAGGATGGTCTCGATCTCCTGACCTCGTGATCTGCCCGCCTCAGCCTCCGAAAGTGCTGGGATTACAGGCGTGAGCCACCGTGCCCGGCTAGAAATCTTCATAAAAATGTGGATGCTCAGGATCCTACTGCTACAGACTCTGATTTAGTAGTTCTAGGGTAGGATAATCTGTATTTTTTAAAAGATTCTTTGGTAAATTTGGTGAGTGGCTAGTGATAAGATACACTGAGGCTGGGCGCAGTGGCTTACGCTTGTAATCCCAGCACTTTGGGAGGCCAAGGCAGGCAGATCACCTGAGATCAGGAGTTCGAGACAAGCCTGGCCAACATGGTAAAACCCCATCTCTACTAAAAATACACACACAAAAAAAAGCCAGGTGTGGTGGTGGCCACCTGTAATCCCAGCTACTTGAGAGGCCGAGGCAGGAGAATTGCTTGAACACAGGAGATGGAGGTTGCAGTGAACCAAGATCACCACCACTGCACTTTAGGCTGGGTGACAGAGCCAGACTTTGTCTCGGAAAGAAAAAAAAAAAAAGATAGGTATAAGCATATTCACAACTCAGATCCTTTATTGGCACAAAGACTACTGGAGCATAATGATACCCTAAATCACTTGAACAACAGGATTTAGAATCAAACTCTTTAGAGATAGAGATGATGTTAGAGGTCACATATCTAGTTCCCTACCAAAATCTTCCCACCCACCCACACACACACTCACAGCTAACAATGAGTCCTAGACTTCCCAGCATGCCTAACAGACTAGATAGGAGTCTATAGCTTCCAGGTTGCTCAGGCTCCCAGATTTTGCAGGAGTCTCATACTTAACCATGTGCAAAAACAGAACTTCTATCTCTCCCCAACAAGCCTACTTCTCCCTTAGTCTTCCCTATTTTAGTAATAAAAAAAAAATCTGCTTTACACAGTTCTGTAGGCCAAAAAAACCTGGAAATCTAAGTCTTATCACTTCTTTCTCCAAGATGCATCTTCAATCCATAATTTCCCTCCATTGCCACTGCGATCATCATCTCTCAGCTGGTCTAGTGCAAATAGCCTACTGCCTAATCTCACTTCCTTGCCCTCTAATTCATTCTCTATGCAGATGTTATATTGTTAAAATGTAAATTAGGATATACCACTCTTTTACTTAAAATTCCTCAAATGTGTCTCATCACATATTAAATAGAAGCCAAATTCCTAATGTAAACTACGTGGTATTTTGTGATCTCACTCCTGCCTATCTCAACTCTCCTAGTCAATTAATACTTTCTAATCACACTGAACCATTTTTCAGTTCCTCGAATCAAAAAGTGATTTCCCATTAATACACACTGTTCCTACTGGAACAGTTTCCTGGAAACACTCTTCCACAATTCTACCTGACCTTCTTTACCTTTGAGGTGTCATTTAAAATATCATTTCCTCTGTGAAGACTTCCCTTATCCCAGATTTAAAGAAGGGCTTCCCTGATACTCTTCCTTGTGAAACCCATTGGTTATGGGCTGAATTGTGTTTCTGCCAAAATTCATATGTTGAAGTCCTAACATCCAGTGCCCCCAAAAGTCACCTTGTTTGGAAATAGGGCCTTTACCAAGATGATCAAATTAAATGACACCTGATTTTAAACTTCTAGCCTCTACAACTGTGAGACAATACATTTCTCTTGTTTTCTTTTGTTTGTTTGTTTGTTGTGTTTTTGTTTTTGTTTTTGTTTTTGTTTTAGACAGAGTCTCGCTCTGTTGCCTAGGCTGGAGTGCAGTGGTGCAATCTCGGTTAACTACAACCTCTGCCTCCCAGATTCAAGTGATTCTCCTGTCTCAGTCTCCCAAGAAGCTGGGATTACAGGCGCCCATCACCACACCCAGGTAATTTTTGTATTTTTAGTAGAGATGTGATTTTATCATATTGGCCAGACTGGTCTCAAACTCCTGACCTCAGGTGATCCACCCACCTCGACTTCACAAAGTGCTGGGATTACAGGTGTGAGCCACCGCACCCAGCCTAAATTTCTCTTGTTTTAAGCCACCTAGTTTGTAGTACTTCGTTAGGTCAGCCCTAGCAAACTAATATACCATTCTTTTATGTCATGTTAGTCACAATTTATGTTACATTTGTGTTTACTTATTTGTTTGTCTCCTTCACTAGATGACAATTTTCAGAATGGCAGAAACTGCAGCTGTTTTTATTAATTTATTTAAAATTATCCCCCAATATTATACTATGCTAGCCCAAGGAAGGCCAAGGGCTCACCAAGAGCAGAAAGGAATTCTGGTATTAAAAGCAAACATTAGACAGTCTAGAACAAGTGTGGGAAAACTATGGTCCCCAGGCCAAATTTGACCCACCTCCTGTTTTCATAAGACTTGTAAGCTAAGAAAGGTTTTCACATTTTTAAATGGTTGAAAAAAAAATCAAAATAAAATAATATTTCATGATATGTTAACATTATATGAAATTTAAATTCACAAGTAAAGTTTTATTAGAACACAGCTACACTCATGTACATATTATCTAGAGCTGCATTCATGCTACAAAGGAGAGTCAAGTAGTAGTCACACAGATCACACTGTCTATAAGGCCTAAAATATTTACTATCTGGCCGCTTAGAGAAAAAGGAGTTTGCTGAGCTCTGGTCTAGAACACGCCTTATGGGCTATGTGAACTGCCCTGGGATTCACAACTCCTGGGTAACATAATGTTGCAGGTGCACATTCATGCGTATTTAGTGTTCTAGAACACCATCATGATATAAACTAGCCAGCACATTCACCTTTTCTACACCAAGAATTCCATGACAGACTACTGACCAATTCTTCTTCTGAGAAGAATTTAGTTCTGGTTTTATTATTAATATTCATGAACAAAAGGGATTTACTGATTAAAAACTTTCAACTTTCATGAAATTTTGCTAGAATCCATGTATTTTGATAAATTTGGGAGTCTATGAATGTAAATAGAATGGGTGATGATGATTATTACCGACACTTATCCAAATTTGTCTATCCAAAATTTACAGTATACTATCCTATAAGCCAATCATAGGTACAAATCTAGTTAGTATTAACTGATTTAGATAAGAACAAAGGATAGGAATCAGTATTATGCTCATATTCGCATAAAAAGCATCATTTACCTTTGGTGGAGGAACAAATCGAACACATTCCAGCCATACGGTTATAAAGTACTGTCCACATATTGCACATGTTTTTCCCTGAGAGATCATGCTCCTGACTTGTGGGTACCGTTCTATGTCATCCATTAGGAAAGGGTTATTTTCTGCTAGCTGATTCATTACAAATCTTGATGTTATTTCCTAAATTGAAAAAAAAAATACAGTTCCTCAGATTGTTTTCAAAACTATTTTACATTACATTGATTTCCATTTCATTAGATAAAGTGTATGGCTTATTATCTAGATTCTGTTAAATTAAGATTCTGCAGTGTATCTAATGAATTGTGTTGTAAATGACTGGCATTGCAAATAAGTTTGGTTTTCATCAATATAAGAACAATAAGTTTCTTACATTGTCGTATTTCTACATCTCTTACATATAGGAATCCAAGTCGTAATACATTTGCATTACACATTTTATAAAGTTAGATACAGTTTAGGTTTAAATCTGGCACCTCTCATTACAATAAGCAAAAACTGTACAAACATTCAGACTGGATTCAAAAATGAATTTTGTCATGTTCACTAAGGTCTAAATCCTAACTACTTGAACTGTGGTTCACAGACTGCATCACATGGGAGCTTATTAGATATGCAGAATGTCAGACACACTCCAGACCTACTGAATCAAAATCTGCAATTTAACTAGTTCCTCAGGTAATCTATACGCATATTGAAATTTGAGAAGCACTGGTCTAAATTCCTTGCTGCACTGAGAACCTGAATAGTGCCATCAAAAAAGCAATGATTTCTAGGAACCAAATATGTGAATTTAATCTCAGTTAAACCTATCTACCTAGATATGTTCAGAAAATTGACTTGCAATAATAATAATAAAATACTAAATAATAAAGGGAGGAAGTAAGAAAATGGAAGTTGCCTTTCATTAGGGCTATCATCTTAATAAAAATATATTACATAATGCATAAAATTAAATCTTCACTGACCAAGCAAAGAAAATAAATAAACATTTGCCTGAATCCATTAAATTTTCTCCATTGTTTTTGTCAGTAGCATGGAAGTCCTGTATAAATGTTACACAAACACTGCTTGAAATTTTAACAGTGTTTGGGGATGATTTATTTGGTACTTTTTTTTCCCAACAAAAGTGAAAGATTTCCCAGTAGTATTGAAATAGTCCACATAAAGCTTGGATAGGAATTTTTGAAAATACATATATACACACATAATCTTTCATGCATTCTCCCCATGCATGAAATTAATTTAATTTTAAAGAAATTAAATTATTTAAAAACTTAAAAAATAACAGCAAAATCTTATAAATTGCTGTGTCCATTTCCTATTATCCTATCCCTCCCAATAAACAAGCACCCGAGAAAGCTGCCTTTATACAGTAAACAGCCCTGAGCATGGATTCTTTATTTGTCTGATCGTTCAACAGCACAACCTCCTACCCACTTAAGCTCATTCTCCTGGGTGGTTGCATGACTGAGGTCATGCTTTCACACTAATATTACAAGGGTGCCTAAATCAGATGTTTATTTTCACCCTTTCTCCAACTACTTAAGCAGATCATAGCTTGTGATTCTTAAATAAATACTGATTTTATAGGTGGGCTTTTAGCTACACGAATTCAATGGCCAAGTCTTATTATAAAGCTGTAGAAAACTCATGGATAAGGATTCACTACCCAAAATAGCAGATGACAGAAGCATTTGCTGAAATACCAGGGACCTAAAAATAGGTTCATATAGATCACTTTTTCCATTTATGATTTCTGGACCCAAACATGTTTGTTGCACTCAGTATATCTGACAGCTCTTACATCAACTATTATTTATATTTTTCTTTTACTTATTGCCAATGTGTTATTTTGGAAGGATAGCATACACCATTAAAATATAAAGTTCTTACTTGGAAATGTGAGTATATATAAAATAAAATACTATTGGCATGACCAATAGTATCTTTTAGGACATCTCTTAGAGATGCATTCAGTGCAATTTTTGAGAGTATACAATTTAATGATGGTCTAATTCCAGTGTTATTTAAAAGTCAAGAAATCTTTTATAGACCAAAGTGGTCTATAAAAATATTTCAAAATACTCAAATTGCTCCTTTTAGATAGCTTATATGCTATTTTCTTAGAATATTTGTAAGTTAATTATAATTCATCATAAATGAAATTGATTTTATATGTCCTACATTTTCCTTATAATTTTTGAGTTATTAAATTATACACATAAAAATTATATAATATGAAAAACATAAAATGTAAAAACAAATATGAATCCTTAGGAGTGATACATTTTGGAACTATTGTATACTCAGGTGTTACTATGTGTATGATAAGCACTAAAACGTAGCATCAAGAGCAAAAATTCAAAGTCTGAGACAAATACATGCATAGGTGTAAATTCTGGCTCTATGACTTATTTGCTGTGTGGTCATATTTGGATGAACCCTTAACTTCCCTGGTCTTGAACACCTCATCTGTAAAGTTGGGATTTTTTTCCAATACTATCACAAAGAGTTTGGAGAATTAAATTACATAAAAACGGTAAACCATTTAGCCTGGCATCTACTAATGCAGTATATTCCCGCTAATATTTTTCTATAATATAGTTATTAGCAATAAATTTTACTTCATAAATCTCTGAGGTGAGGTAAAGTTTCTAAAATCTTTACCAAGGCATAACCCATATCATAGTTCCTAGAATTCTTTGACACAGCAAGTACTTTAATCAGTAACATTGACTAAATGCCCAGTAGAAATAACTCTTACTTTAAGTACAAATCAATTTAAGTCACTTTTCTGAGAAGAATTCTTAGGGATACTCTTAAAACTACACACATCATTTACATATTACAGGCATAGATAGCTACTTCCACTAAACACATTGTAAAAATTAACTTTTGGAGACGGGAGGAGCCAAGATGGCCGAATAGGAACAGCTCCAGTCTACAGCTCCCACCGTGAGCGACACAGAAGACGGGTGATTTCTGCATTTCCATCTGAGGTACCGGGTTCATCTCACTAGGGAGTGCCAGACAGTGGGCGCCGGTCAGTGGGTGCGCGCACCGTGCGCGAGCCGAAGCAGGGTGAGGCATTGCCTCACTCGGGAAGCGCAAGGGGTCAGGGAGTTCCCTTTCCTAGTCAAAGAAAGGGGTGTCGGACGGCATCTGGAAAATCGGGTCACTCCCACCCTAATACTGCGCTTTTCCGACGGGCTTAAAAAACGGCGCACCACGAGATAATATCCCGCACCTGGCTCGGAGGGTCCTACGCCCACGGAGTCTCGCTGATTGCTAGCACAGCAGTCTGAGATCAAACTGCGAGGCGGCAGCGAGGCTGGGGGAGGGGCGCCCGCCATTGGCCAGGCTTGATTAGGTAAACAAAGCAGCCGGGGAAGCTCGAACTGGGTGGAGCCCACCACAGCTCCAGGAGGCCTGCCTGCCTCTGTAGGCTCCACCTCTGGGGGCAGGGCACAGACAAACAAAAAGACAGCAGTAACCTCTGCAGACTTAAATGTCCCTGTCTGACAGCTTTGAAGAGAGCAGTGGTTCTCCCAGCACGCGGCTGGAGATCTGAGAATGGGCGGACTGCCTCCTCAAGTGGGTCCCTGACCCCTGACCCCCGAGTAGCCTAACTGGGAGGCACCCCCCAGCAGGGGCACACTGACACCTCACACCGCAGGGTACTCCAACAGACCTGCAGCTGAGGGTCCTGTCTGTTAGAAGGAAAACTAACAAACAGAAAGGACATCCACACCAAAAACCCATCTGTACATCACCATCATCAAAGACCAAAAGTAGATAAAACCACAAAGATGGGGAAAAAACAGAACAGAAAAACTGGAAACTCTAAAACGCAGAGCGCCTCTCCTCCTCCAAAGGAACGCAGTGCCTCACCAGCAATGGAACAAAGCTGGACGGAGAACAACTTTGACAAGCTGAGAGAAGGCTTCAGACGATCAAATTACTCTGAGCTACGGGAGGACATTCAAACCAAAGGCAAAGAAGTTGAAAACTTTGAAAAAAATTTAGAAGAATGTATAACTAGAATAACCAATACAGAGAAGTGCTTAAAGGAGCTGATGGAGCTGAAAACCAAGGCTCGAGAACTACGGGAAGAATGCAGAAGCCTCAGGAGCTGATGCGATCAACTGGAAGAAAGGGTATCAGCGATGGAAGATGAAATGAATGAAATGAAGCAAGAAGGGAAGTTTAGAGAAAAAAGAATAAAAAGAAATGAGCAAACCCTCCAAGAAATATGGGACTATGTGAAAAGACCAAATCTACGTCTGCTTGGTGTACCTGAAAGTGATGGGGAGAATGGAACCAAGTTGGAAAACACTCTGCAGGATATTATCCAGGAGAACTTCCCCAATCTAGCAAGGCAGGCCAACGTTCAGATTCAGGAAATACAGAGAACACAACAAAGATACTCCTCGAGAAGAGCAACTCCAAGACACATAATTGTCAGATTCACCAAACTTGAAATGAAGGAAAAAATGTTAAGGGCAGCCAGAGAGAAAGGTCGGGTTACCCTCAAAGGGAAGCCCATCAGACTAACAGCAGATCTCTCGGGAGAAACCCTACAAGCCAGAAGAGAGTGGGGGCCAATATTCAACATTCTTAAAGAAAAGAATTTTCAACCCAGAATTTCATATCCAGCCAAACTAAGCTTCATAAGTGAAGGAGAAATAAAATACTTTACAGACAAGCAAATGCTGAGAGATTTTGTCACTACAAGGCCTGCCCTAAAAGAGCTCCTGAAGGAAGCGCTAAACATGGAAAGGAACAACTGGTACCAGCCGCTGCAAAATCATGCCAAAATGTAAAGACCATCAGGACTAGGAAGAAACTGCATCAACTAATGAGCAAAATAACCAGCTAACATCATCATGACAGGATCAAATTCACACATAACAATATTAACTTTAAATGTAAATGGACTAAATGCTCCAATTAAAAGACACAGACTGGCAAATTGGATAAAGAGTCAAGACCCATCAGTGTGCTGTATTCAGGAAACCCATCTCACGTGCAGAGACACACATAGGCTCAAAATAAAAGGATGCAGGAAGATCTTCCAAGCAAATGGAAAACAGAAAAAGGCAGGGGTTGCAATCCTAGTCTCTGATAAAACAGACTTTAAACCAATAAAGATCAAAAGAGACAAAGAAGGCCATTACATAATGGTAAAGGGATCAATTCAACAAGAAGAGCTAACTATCCTAAATATATATGCACCCAATACAGGAGCACCCAGATTCATAAAGCAAGTCCTGAGTGACCTACAAAGAGACTTAGACTCCTACACATTAATAATGGGAGACTTTAACACCCCACTGTCAACATTAGACAGATCAACAAGACAGAAAGTCAACAAGGATACCCAGGAATTGAACTCAGCTCTGCACCAAGCGGACCTAATAGACATCTACAGAACTCTCCACCCCAAATCAACAGAATATACATTTTTTTCAGCACCACACCACACCTATTCCAAAATTGACCACACACTTGGAAGTAAAGCTCTCCTCAGCAAATGTAAAAGAACAGAAATTATAACAAACTATCTCTCAGACCACAGTGCAATCAAACTAGAACTCAGGATTAAGAATCTCACTCAAAACCGCTCAACTACATGGAAACTGAACAACCTGCTCTTGAATGACTACTGGGTACATAACAAAATGAAGGCAGAAATAAAGATGTTCTTTGAAACCAATGAGAACAAAGACACAACATACCAGAATCTCTGGGACACATGCAAAGCACTGTGTAGAGGGAAATTTATAGCAATAAATGCCCACAAGACAAAGCAGGAAAGATCCAAAATTGACACCCTAACATCACAATTAAAAGAACTAGAAAAGCAAGAGCAAACACATTCAAAAGCTAGCAGAAGGCAAGAAATAACTAAAATCAGAGCAGAACTGAAGGAAATACAGACACAAAAAACCCTTCAAAAAATTAATGAATCCAGGAGCTGGTTTTTTGAAAGGATCAACAAAATAGATAGACCACTAGCAAGACTAATAAAGAAAAAAAGAAGAATCAAATAGACGCAATAAAAAATGATAAAGGGGATATCATCACCGATCCCACAGAAATACAAACTACCATCAGAGAATACTACAAACACCTCTACGCAAATAAACTAGAAAATCTAGAAGAAATGGATAAATTCCTCGACACATACACTCTCCCAAGACTAAACCAGGAAGAAGTTGAATCTCTGAATAGACCAATAACAGGATCTGAAATTGTGGCAATAATCAATAGCTTACTAACCAAAAAGAGTCCAGGACCAGATGGATTCACAGCCGAATTCTACCAGAGGTACAAGGAGGAACTGGTACCATTCCTTCTGAAACTATTCCAATCAATAAAACAATAGAGAATCCTCCCTAACTCATTTTATGAGGCCAGCATCATTCTGATACCAAAGCCTGGCAGAGACACAACCAAAAAAGAGAATTTTAGACCAATATCCTTGATGAACATTGATGCAAAAATCCTCAATAAAATACTGGCAAACCGAATCCAGCAGCACATCAAAAAGCTTATCCCCCATGATCAAGTGGGCTTCATCCCTGGGATGCAAGGCTGGTTCAATATACGCAAATCAATAAATGTAATCCAGCATATAAACAGAGCCAAAGACAAAAACCACGATTATCTCAATAGATGCAGAAAAGGCCTTTGACAAAATTCAACAACCTTTCATGCTAAAAACTCTCAATAAATTAGGTATTGATGGGACGTATTTCAAAATAATAAGAGCTATCTATGACAAACCCACAGCCAATATCATACTGAATGGGCAAAAACTGGAAGCATTCCCTTTGAAAACTGGCACAAGACAGGGGTGCCCTCTCTCACCACTCCTATTCAACATAGTGTTGGAAGTTCTGGCCAGGGCAATTAGGCAGGAGAAGGAAATAAAGGGTATTCAATTAGGAAAAGAGGAAGTCAAATTGTCCCTGTTTGCAGACGACATGATTGTATAACTAGAAAACCCCATTGTCTCAGCCCAAAATCTCCTTAAGCTGATAAGCAACTTCAGCAAAGTCTCAGGATACAAAATCAATGTACAAAAATCACAAGCATTCTTATACACCAACAACAGACAAACAGAGAGCCAAATCATGAGTGAACTCCCATTCACAATTGCTTCAAAGAGAATAAAATACCTAGGAATCCAACTTACAAGGGATGTGAAGGACCTCTTCAAGGAGAACTACAAACCACTGCTCAAGGAAATAAAAGAGGATACAAACAAATGGAAGAACATTCCATGCTCATGGGTAGGAAGAATCAATATCGTGAAAATGGCCATACTACCCAAGGTAATTTACAGATTCAATGCCATCCCCATCAAGCTACCAATGCCTTTCTTCACAGAATTGGAAAAAACTACTTTAAAGTTCATATGGAACCAAAAAAGAGCCCGCATGGCCAAGTCAATCCTAAGCCAAAAGAACAAAGCTGGAGGCATCACACTACCTGACTTCAAACTATACTACAAGGCTACAGTAACCAAAACAGCATGGTACTGGTACCAAAACAGAGATATAGATCAATGGAACAGAACAGAGCCCTCAGAAATAACGCCGCATATCTACAACTATCTGATCTTTGACAAACCTGAGAAAAACAAGCAATGGGGAAAGGATTCCCTATTTAATAAATGGTGCTGGGAAAACTGGCTAGCCATATGTAGAAAGCTGAAACTGGATCCCTTCCTTACACCTTATACAAAAATCAATTCAAGATGGATTAAAGACTTAAACGTTAGATCTAAAACCGTAAAAAACCCTAGAAGAAAACCTAGGCAATACCATTCAGGACATAGGCTTGGGCAAGGACTTCATGTCTAAAACACCAAAAGCAATGGCAACAAAAGCCAAAATTGACAAATGGGATCTAATTAAACTAAAGAGCTTCTGCACAGCAAAAGAAACTACTATCAGAGTGAACAGGCAACCTAGAAAATGGGAGAAAATTTTTGCAACCTACTCATCTAACAAAGGGCTAATATCCAGAATCTACAAAGAACTCAAACAAATTTACAAGAAAAAAACAAACAACCCCATCAAAAATTCGGCAAAGGACATGAATAGACACTTCTCAAAAGAAGACATTTATGCAGCCAAAAAACACATGAAAAAATGCTCATCATCACTGGCCATCAGAGAAATGCAAATCAAAACCACAATGAGATACCATCTCACACCAGTTAGAATGGCAATCATTAAAAAGTCAGGAAACAACAGGTGCTGGAGAGGATGTGGAGAAATAGGAACACTTTTACACTGTTGGTGGGACTGTAAACTAGTTCAACCATTGTGGAAGTCAGTGTGGCGATTCCTCAGGGATCTAGAACTAGAAATACCATTTGACCCAGCCATCCCATTACTGAGTATGTACCCAAAGGACTATAAATCATGCTGCTGTAAAGACACATGCACACGTATGTTTATTGCAGCACTATTCACAATAGCAAAGACTTGGAACCAACCCAAATGTCCAACAATGATAGACTGGATAAAGAAAATGTGGCACATATACACCATGGAATACTATGCATTCATAAAAAAGGATGAGTTCATGTCCTTTGTAGGGACATGGATGAAATTGGAAATCATCATTTTCAGTAAACTATCGCAAGAACAAAAAACCAAACACCGCATATTCTCACTCATAGGTGGGAATTGAACAATGAGATCACATGGACACAGGAAGGGGAATATCACACTCTGGGGACTGTTGTGGGGTGGGGGGAGGGGGGAGGGATAGCATTGGGAGATATACCTAATGCTAGATGACGAGTTAGTGGGTGCAGCGCACCAGCATGGCACATGTGTGCATATGTAACTAACCTGCACAATGTGCACATGTACCCTAAAACTTTAAGTATAATAATAAAAGAAAAAAAAAATTAACTTTTGTGCTCCTGGACCCAACAGTTCTGAAAATTAGAACAATTTCTCTCTCATTCACCACCCTCACAGACAAGGTTCTTGTCCTTGAAGGCTCTCTGTAAGACAGCTACCAGATTGGGTTAACTGCTAATTCAGCCTCCTCCACAAACCAGAACCTCCTCCAACCCAGGATGACCCTGTCTCCATTTCCCTCAGCTCCCTATATCCCCTTTCTGAACCAATATTGCAGCTGGGAGTCTGGAACCCAACTGCTTAAGTTGGCGTCATTGTCCCAACACTTAGTAGCTCTGTGACCTCAGATAAGTTATTTGACCTCCCTGAATCTCCATTTCTATATCTATAAAAAGTGGTCAATAATGATACCTATCTTTTTAGGGTTAGTAGAGGACTAAATTAGTTTATTCCTGTTAAGTGCTTAGAACAGTACCTTGTCCATAATAGGCATAAAATAAGTGTTAGCTGCTATTATTATACTGAAATGATTGATGAAAGGAGAAAAAATAAGTTATAAGGGAATAAAAAATTAAATACAACTGTTACTCAAATTATTTACTATTAAATTTCAAATGAGATGTTTTTCTGTTACAGAAGAGTAAGAAATAATGCTGTTTGTGAAAATATTCTGTGAAAGGGAATCTGAAAAAAATAAATCAAACTTTACAAGATGTCAGTTCTTTGGCCCAGCAGTTACATTTTTAGGGATAATATGCACAGGAACTAAAAATGTACTATGAGAATGGTCACTGTCCCTTTGCTTTTTGTTGTTGTTGCTTTTTGACTTGGGGGGGGGGGGGTTTGAGACAGGATCCTGCTCTGTCACCCAGGCTGGAGTGCAGTAGCATGAACCCAACTCATTGCAGACTCAACCTACTGGGCTCAAGCCTCCTGAGTAGCTGAGACCACAGGCACACACTGCCATGCCTGGCTAAGGTTTTTAAAATTTTGTAGAGATGGGGTCTCACTCTGTTGGCCAGGCTGGTCTCAAACTCCTGGGCTCAAGCAATCATCCTGCCATGACCTCTCAAATTGCTGGGGCCTCAGGCATGAGACACTGTGCCCAGCCTTGTATCTTTGTTTATAAAGGCTAAAAAGCCAGAAAATTATTAATAATTTAAACATCCAACAGTGGGGAAGTAGTTAAAAATATTATGATATCATCATATACAGAATACCATGTATTCATCAAAAAAGATGTCATGGTCTGGTTTTATTTTGTTTTGTTTTACTGATTGGAAAGCTATTCACAATAATTGAGTGGAAAAACAACTCTATATAGTGTATAGAGTTTGAACTCATCTTTAATTACAAAAATATTTTGAATGCATAAAAAGTTCTAAAAGAATAAATGTCATAGAGCATTAATTTGATTTCTTAGTATTTTTATTAACTTCTATTGGCTTTTTTTTGCCCTAATTTCTCTACGGGAGCTTGTATTACTTTTGTAGTAAGAAACTTTTTAAAAGTCAGTATAAGAAATTTTGATTTTCTCCATTGCTCATCTGTATGTTATTGTTTTCTGCAATAAACAGGTATTATTCATACAATAATTTAATTAAAAAAAAAAAAACAAAGTAAGCCACTGGACAAGACTGGATGTTTCCTGCAGCCAGGAAAGTTGATCCCATACAAATCCTAAAAGTCTTATGACAATCCTGCACATTAGCTACAGACCCAAATGGATCTCAGAAATCTAAATTCTTGATGGAGAATCATAGCCAAATGTGGGAGGACCTGTGATCTCTGACTTGTCTATTACCAAAGAGTTCTGTAATATGCTTTCCTGTTCCTTCTTTTAATACCATTAACTTGTTTTGCTGAAGTGAACACAGTTTCTGGATCATATTCATTCATCCACTAGGGATAGAGACGAGTAAAAAGGGAGTGAAAGAGGTAAAGACTACACTAAGAACAAATCAATACATCTTTAAATAACACTGAAAAGGCTAAAGTGAAAATAAATTTCTCTCTTTTATTCATCCTACAAAATATTTCCATTTCTCTGAATTAAGTCACTCTGGGAATCAGAGTGACTTAGGATTTCACTGGATTCTATAAGCAAGTCAAAAAGATTATGTATAGGATCCACATTGCCAATGGACTAGGATTACATTAATCATTTGCTGGCTTGGCAAGAATGTTTTAAAAGAAAACGCTTTAAAATTTAAATTGTGGCTTTAGTTTGAAGACTTAAGTTAATGAGGTAAGTCTTCACCTGTAGACTCCAGACGTTCTCCTGCTGTGTAGAAATCACTGGCTGCTGCAGGAACAGTGGGTTTCCCTCACAGTAGAATTCCCTCAGCTTCAGATCCTGAAACTTTTCAAACAAAATAAAAACCTTATTGCACAACAAAATAATGAAACTACCTCTAAAGCTACATTTTTAATAAAATTAAACTGAAATTACTTTATTTAGGACTAAAAATCCACAGTAAATACTAATGTGGATTTAAGTCCTAAATAAAGTAATTTAGGGGCACACTGGGGCATACTCTACTTATCAGAAGCATAAGAATTTTAATGGTGGCATGAATGGCCATGACCTTAGGGGTCACTGGTCATATCCCCATCCTGAACAACTAAGAAAACTTGTTTAGGGTTATAGAACTGGTTAGTAATAGAATAAGCATTAATAAATTGAGTGTTGGGAACATTTTGCAAATATATTTATTAGAAAACCAAGCATAACAAAAAATAACATCCTAACATACACCAACCTCTAGATCTCAAAGACTGTCTTATGATCCATTTATGTTTAATGAGGAAAGTAAAAGAAATAAAAGAACATCAAAATGTTCACATTATAACTTATTAGGGACCAAGAAAATATTACTAAAAATACAAAAATTAGCCAGGTGTGGTGGTACATGCCCATAATCCCAGCTACTCGGGAGGCTGAGGCAAGAGAATCCTTTGAACCCAGAGGTGGAGGTTGCACTGAGCCGAGATTGTGCCACTGCACTCCAGCCTGGGCAACAGAGTGAGGGGAAAAAAAAAAAAAAACAGAAGACGGAAGATATACAGTTCACAAGGATATATAAACTTCTATGGAGAAAGTCTAAATCCAATTGCAGTCTACAACTTCAGTAGAAAAAGAAAAGATTAAGAAGAGAATAAGAAGAGAAAAGAAGAGAAAAGACAATGTCTTACTCTCTTACAGAATATCTTGCCTTGCCTCCCAAAAACCCATGTAGCTTTCACAGTTAACCTAATTTAGGGAGTTATTTCTCTGAACCTAAATTTCAGCTGTAAAATGGGGACATATGACCTATCTTAAGTAGTATGCTGGTAAACCAGGTCCTTGAAATGAAGAAATAAAAAGCCTCAATTTGCAGTGAGTGTTGATTCCACAGTGTAAATCCTCCTGCTATAGCTGATTCAAGTCACTGAACACAGAGTTTGGGAAGGGATGTGCAAAATTAGCTCTTGTGAGCCTGGGTGAAGTGGCTCCACACCACTGCATCTCACAACATTTATAGGAAAATTAGAGATATTTCCATAATTTGAGACCAGAATTTGAAACGTAGCAAGCATGCAATGAATTAAAAATAATTGATTTTAAACATCTGGGATATCATGTCATTAGGTTTCAAAAGTACAGGAAATCTTACACAACATAGGCAGATGTTTAAATAAAATACAAAGCTCAAGTCTATGTTGGTATCACCTTGAGTCCTGGTCTCAAAACAGACATTCTAACTTTCTTAATTCAGTTCCTATGTTAACAATCTCATGGGTACAACCTAGAGTTGAACCCAATGGCAGCTCTAAGTCAGTACTCAGTGTGCTGAAATGAGAAGGGTTATTCCTTGTGCTTCATTCTATGTAACCACCATTCTTTCCTTTTTTGTCCTAAAGGATATCATTCCATAATTTATACTAAACTCACAGTCCTCTAAGAAAAAACCAATACAGAGAGATCAATGTAAAGGAGAAAGAAGGAATAAGTAAAACAGAAATAAGCAAGTGAAGGACACAGAATGATCTTAGAATATTAACATCTTTTAATTATCTTCTCCTTTGTGACCAGAGGAAAAGGCATTTAAGTGAACCCCTGAATAAGTCTGAAGACACTGGATGGTTGAAGGAGTCAGACATAGTCCCTTCAACTGTTTGAAGCAGAGAATAAGACCGTATGTCAGTTGAGTTTGGAGGCAGGGTATCAGTATGAATGAAGACAGGAAGAAAGCAGTGAAGGTTTGAAATGTCCCACAGTTTTCAGTAAAGGAACCTGGACAGAAATATATTATACAGAAGTGCTGAGGGAACCACTGTAATCTACATATTAGTGGTGGCCCCTGTCTGTACAATAATGTGCTTCCCTTTAGCATTCAGCTTCCCAGATCCAACATAAAGAGTCTGCAACATAAGTATGTCAGAAAGTAAAAGAATGAGCATGTTGTGTGTACTAAATATTAAAGGGCAGGACTGCTCCTTTTCAGTCTAGACTGGTTACAGGAAGGAATAACAAGACCAACTCTGATGGACTAGGAGAAAAGAAGATGTGGCAAGACATGAAGTCTCAATGACTTTGACTTAATGACTCATTGAGTGACTTCATGTCATTGAGTCATTAAGTGAAAAGATATGGATATAAAGCAATAAGATAGCTTGAACATACAAGGAACCAGTGGTCACATTGCCATACCAGACCTTAATTCTTCAAATTTAGAGCATGTGAAGGTGATGTCAGGATCTAGACTTGACTGTAGATATGGTTTGCTGAAGTGAAGACTGAGGAAGCTCCTTAAAGTGAAGGATTCAAGGAACTTTGAGGCTAAGATGTCTGTGTCAACTGCCTTCTTGAGTAATGGTCTCAAATATTTGGCTGTCCAATGAACCACTCCAACTGGAAGTTCCATTGGCACCTAAAGTTCTAAATTCTAAGCCTAAATTCATATTTCCCCTAAATTATGCTTTTTCCTTTTTCTCATCACCCACTTCAAGTCTCTCACCATGTCCTGTCAATTCTACCTTCTTAAAACTTTTGGAAACCTCTCTTTCCATCCTCCATCCCATCCACCTCCTCACCACCCCCACACAATCTTCTCCTACTCCTGGCCACACCCACTACCCACCCCACCTTCATTGGAGGCCTTTGTCTTATGTGAGTTGTTGCAATGGTACTTGAATTCATCTCAGCGCAAAATTTTGCTGAAGAAATGGTTTTCTGAAAGGAAAATTTGGTCATATAACAACCTTGCTTAGAACCTTTCAAAGCTCTCTTTTGTCCATAGGATAAATCCAAAGCCCTCATATGTCATACTTGGCTCTCCTTGGCTGACTCTCCAACCATATATCCTAGTAAGCCCCATCTTTACCCTTTTAAGCTTTCAGAGATACTTAGAGATCTCATGACAGGCCTGTATCTTATCTCACAGTTATGACTCATGCCATACCCTTTTAACTCATCCTACAACTGGGTCATCTCTTCAAAACTAAAATGTCACCCCTCTAAGCTTCTCCAGCCTCTATCGAATGTTTCCTTGTCTCCTCATTGGGCCTGGTATATAAATTAATCATATTACCTATAAATACTCTGAGACAATCATTGTTGAAAAGTCTATCTTCATCTATCAGGCTTTGGTCTCTTTAAACACTATGACTTACGTGACTAATGCAAGCTCAAAATTCAATGCCTAGTACAGAGCTGATGTTCAATAAATGATTTATGAATAAACAAATATCTTCTCAGAAACGCCAGACACATTCGCTTCTCCCTGCGCACTCAAGATTTGCGAAGGCCTTCTTCTCCAGACTTGGTAAATTTTTATAATTGTTCCCACAAAGCCCCAGGACTCAGGAAGAATATACAAATTTAGCAAGTCCTTCTGTTGCTTCAGACTAGCCCAAAGCAATGAGGGAGATCAGAAGGGGGCTAGATTAGCAGGAGCATTTATAAAGTAAACTGGGGGTGAGGGAGGAAGCTGAGATTTCACATGGACTCAAAAATAGAACCAATAAGTAGGGTATGACAAATCCCTGTGCATTCTTCAAAGCATCTCAAAATTCATAGCGTTACTCTTTAGTGAGAACTGGGATTTCTAAATAGGCTTAAGGTCAAGTTTCAAGGAGGGGGGAAAAGATTCAAGTGTGGGGGCTAAGGCATCCAAAAATTAGATTTAATTAGTAACTCTAAAGGATATTAATACTATTTGTGACCAATGGGAAATTCAAGAAACTGTATGATAAATTTGATATCTAATCAGAATTGTGGAGAAATTAGGCTGATGATATCATTTGAACATAAGAAAGAAAAAATATCTGTGCTGGGAACCCATGTCTCACACACCCTGCATGAAAGGGAGGGAAAATAGTCAGAAAGTGACCTAGAGTCATAATCCTTCAGTATCTGCTGAATACTTCTCCCAAGAGAAGATCCTTAGAGGGAGGTGAAGAAAAGAGGCTAAGAGCCAAGCCTGGAAAGAAATAGATAACTAAACTCCCAGGCTATAAACACACACACACACACACAGATAGAGAGAGAGAGAGACAGACAGACAGACAGACAGACACTGAGACCTTCCTCATTCTAGTCAGGGAGAAGCAGATGAAGGCCCCCAAGCCCAGGCCCTGCCCTGCCTTTTGTACCCTAGGCCTTAAAGCCGAAGGGAGAGTCCTCTTCAGGCTTTTCCATTTAGACATCAGCATAGAAATAACTGATCTGGGAGGGCTTATTTGTGTCACCGCACAGTCCCCACCCCATACCTGCTTTAGACCCCATTTCTGCCCTTGAACTACCTGAGAACCAGTAGCCCGAAGAGGCCTCTACTTCCACCCTGCCTGTGTGTGCCAACCCTAACCATGCAATTGCTTTACAATGCAAATCATACCACTTCACTCCCCCTCTTACAACCACCCAGTGGTTTCTCATCTCACTCAAAATGAAATGCACACTCCTCACCCTGCCTTCAGGACTTGGTTATGATTTGGATTCTGCACTATCTCTTTGGCCTCATCTCCCAGTACCTGCTCTCTCACTCTTTCTCCACTTCTCTCTTGTCTCTCTCCACTGTGGTAACACTGGCTTTCTTCCCAAGCATTCTCCACCTTGGGGCCTTTGCATTTCCCTCTTCTTGGAACAATTTGGCCTCAGTTTTGTCCATATCATAAAACATCACAACAAAATGGAGTAAGATCTTTAGTGGTTGAGAGGGAAAGTGCTTATGACCCAAAGATTCAATAACCAGAAGGTTTTCTTTGTTGTTCCAAAGCAACATGAAGACCTTCTCACATGTGCATGAGATATGCACCTTAACCAAAGAAAATTACTCATGACACAGCAGCTGAAAGAGAGTAAGAAAGAAGAATTTGAAGGATACATTCTTTTAGCCTGTCAAAACACAAAGAATAAAAATTAGAACAGCCACTGCCCCCATGCAAACAAGATTAGAGGAATCTGGAAACAAATTGGCAATGTCATTTAAAAGGCTGAAAGTTATTCTTACTCTTTGAGTAATTCTTATAGGAATTTCTCCAAAAGAAATATTTAAAAGAGACAAATGTTTATGCATAAAAGGTATTTCTCAGAATTATTTAAATTCGGGGTGGGGGGATGAGTGGGTGGGGTTTTACTCTGTCACCCAGGCTGGAGTGCAGTGGTACGATCTCAGCTCACTGTAGCCTCCACCTCCTGGGCTCAAGCTATCCTCCCACCTCAGCCTCCCAAGTAGCTGGGACTACAGGCATGTGCCACCATGCCCAGCTAATTTTTTGTATTTTTGGCAGAGATGGGGTTTCACCATATTGCCCAGGTCTCGAACTCCTGAGCTCAAGCGATTCACCCAATTCGACCTCCGAAAGTGCTGAGGTTGCAGGTATGTGAGACACGTGCCAAGCCTCAATTTTTTTTTAAGAAACCCTTTTCTATGTTTAAAAAAAATGAATGGTAAATTATGCTATCTCATGCCTGAATCCTCTGACACTCAACCTTCTCGTTTCACATATCTTACAAAACCTTTCTGGGTCATTCTTGCCACCAGGCTTCCTTGCCTCTGTGGTGCTGTTTGCAGAGTCACACCTCAGGGGAGACAAGAATCACCATAAATTCATCATCACCAACTTCCAGTATACCCTCAGTTGTTGCCAACAATTCCAACCTAGTTAACATGCTCTTCTAACTAAATTTTCCTTGATAACTCATAATTCTTTGCCCAGTCATGAAATAGTGCTCCCCAGAGCCCACTACATTCTCTTTGCACTTTATCTTCTTCTTTTTTTTTTTACCCATATTCATCAAATTGATTAAATCTCTATGGCAAAGACTCTGGTTCCACACTCAGTACGCAACTGCATACTCAAAATATTCACATGTCAAACTCACTGTTTCCAAGATTGAACTCATGATCTGCCCTCCTAAATTTTGGTCTTCTAGTATTGTCTATCTCAGCCCATAGAAAACATACTAACTCCATCACCATTTTCAAATTTACCTGTTAAATATCTCTTAAATATGTTCAGGTCTTTCCACCTTTCCTGCCACTACCTTAGACCGAGTTATCTTCATTTCTTATTCGACTTCAGCAAAAGTCTACCAGAAATCCACCCCACATTCCCTCTAGCCTCCCTCCAGTATGTCTGTCATTCTTCAGATGGAAAGATCCTTTCAAAATAAATCTGATTATGTCACCACCTACATAAAACTCTGAGATTTCCATTGTCCTTAAAGTTCAAAATCCTCAGCATGCCCTACATTCCTGGGCCACAGCCTGCTCCCATACAATCTGTGAGCCCCAGTCACACTGAATTTCTTCCAGTTTTCTGAACATTCATGTTCCCTCTCACTCTAGGGCCTTTCTGCATGCTATTCCTTCTGTCTGGAATGTATCTTTCCCCTTTACCTCACTGATTGTTGTTCGTTCTTCAGCTGTCAGCTTGTGTCACCTCCTCCAGGAAGCCTTCCCTAGTTTACTCACTTAGTCAGGCTCCTGTTGTCTATTGTCGATCTATGTTCCTTTCATTTAGTGTGCTGATTTCAGTTTGTAATTATACATTTAAAATGTTAATTATTTGGTAATAACTGTTTCTCTACACGCTACAGCTCAGCAAGAGCAGACCCTCTATGGTTTCCTTATCATTCTATCTCCAGTTCCTAATGCAAGGCTTAAACATATAATGCAAAATGTATAGATTTAGAAAGATGGACTTGGGAGTCAAATTGCCTTGTTTGGATTTCAGCTCCATACTTACTAGCTGTGAGAACTTGAGCCACATTACTAAACCTCTTTAAGTAAAACGGGAATAATAATTATAGGTTCCTCATAGTGGCTAATATGATTGTTAAATGATGTAATCCATACAAAGTACTTAGAACAGTTCCTGTGGCAGAGTAAATAATTAGTATTACCTGTTATTATCACAGTACGTAGTCAACAGTTTCAACCATTAATAATTTAAACATGTATCATTTATTTTCTATTTTGTATTATAATGTTTTAGTAAATATTAGGATTAACTATCTTATGCCCCTTAAAATTTATTCAAAAATTAAAAGGTAATAAATTTAATGATGTTTACAAGAGATTTTTAATGACAAAATTGTCCTGATATGATACTGAGTAAAGTAAGCAGTATGCAAAACTGTTTTTAAAAAAATCTTTTAAATCATAAATATTAAAACAAAACATAGAAATGTGCTAAAATATTAACAGTTGTCAATGGGTTGTATAGTTGTAATTTATTTTTATGCACTTTTATATTTTCCTAAATTTTCCAATTCAGAAAACTATGTTTATAACCAAAAGAAATACTAGAAAACCCTTTCTTCATTTAAATGTTGGAAAATAGACCAAAAATAGGCCCCCTGATGTGAAGAAAAATGTGCCTGTCAATATCAAAGCTGATAGTCTTTTATTTTTCCATATTTTATGTAAAAGATCATCATCATTGTTCCCTCTTAGGTGAGTTAATGCTTAAGAGTAAGACAAAAATCCCCATTTTGGGCCTCCACTGACTATCTTTAAAGTCTGTACTCTGCTTTTTAACAGTCTAGTTACATCCCTTGAACTTTACTTATTTTGGACACTCCCTTCTCATGGGGACCATTGCTGCCAAGTTAAATCATATGCCTAATTCCATTCATCAATTGCTTCTTTCTCCTATTGATGTTTCTAAGATACTCCTCTTCCTATTAACTCTGCATTGTCTAAACTCTACAATGTCTCTCTTGATACTTAACTAGGTCTTGCCAGTTTATTTGCATGGGTCTTATCTCTTTTCCTTCTAAATAATATCCTGGTCATATAAATTGTCTTTGTGTAATTGACCTACACAACTAAAGCAGTAAATCTATCTGACCACTTAGTTTGCATGTATGTTATGTCAGTTCCACATGTTGTATCTCTGATATCTAAACATGCCACAAGATTATAATGAAATTTCTCTATATCTGTATGTGAAAAAGATGAAATGACTTCAATACTTTCTCTCTCCCCACTAAGTAATTAGGAGGGGAATGAGGAAGGATGGAATTTTAATTCCACCTTGCCTTGGTTTCATCACACATTTATATTTCACTTTTCATAGCCTAAATGTGTTCATAATGTGCCCAGCAATGACTCTTCAGTTATATAATTATTGTCTCTGATAACAACTTTATTTCTAAATCTTTTATACAAAAAAACTTCTACCAATTCTTATCTTTTTTTCTCCATATATTTTCTTTAAAATAATTATAAATTGTTCTACTCTTGAATCTTAATTCATTCTTTTCAGCATTGGCACCTAAATCACCATAAAAATGTCTCAAACAGTTATACTCAGATACTATACAATAAAGATTTTAGAAAATAGCCCCTTTGGACAGTTCCAATGGGCTTATTTGCTTCACAACTGGGCAACAGCTTTTGACTGATTCCAGAGATTTTTTCCTAGAGGTATTTTATTTTATTTTCTTCTCTTGCCCTTTCACTTTCTACACAATTATCCTTGTTTTCTCTCAGTTATTTTGTTCTTCTTCATTCTTTCCCCACTTCCATCTCTCACTGTCATTCTCTTTAGCCCCCTTCTTATGAATACCTAAGACATCAGAACATAACATTCCCAGGTTGTGTAGATTCTTTGCCCTATGCCAGACCCTCATTCCCTCTAAACTACCCTGTGCATTCTCCCAGTCCCTCTTTATTTTCCCTGCCTTCATCTTCCTATTTTCTGAAGTTTTGCCCTCAGCCTACAGAGCTCAAAAAGAAAATAATGATAGAGTACATTTTGTGCTGTTAGTGTACTGTGGTAACTTTAAGATATATCCACAAATTATTTGTTACTGCTCCTTTAAGAGGTAGAGCCTAATTCTCCTCCCCTTGAGTGCGTACTGGACTTAGTGACTCACTTCTAATGAATAGAATAAAGCAGAAGTGATGTGCACAACTTCAGAGATTAGACCATAAAAGGTATTGCAATTCCTGCTTATTCTCTCTTCTTTGTGAGTCACTTACTCTGGGGGAAGCCAGCTGCCATGATGTAAGAATATTCAGGTAGCTCTGTTGAGAAGCCCACATGCTAAGCATCTGGGGTTTTCTGCCAAAAGCCATGTGAGTAAGCCATCTTGGAAGCAGATCCTCCAGCTCCAGTCAAGCCTTCAGATGACTGCAATTCCAGCTGACAACTTGATTACAACTCATGAGAGACCCTGAGCTAGAACCAACCAGTTCAGATACTCTCAGATTCCTAATCCTCAGAACCTGTGTGAAATAACAAATCTCTGATGCTTTAAGCAGCTAAATTTTGGGGTAATGTGTTATACAGCTACAAGTAACTAATATGTAATAGAGAGCTTCTATTTTACTAAAGCAAATCAATAAATATATGGATAAATCCCAACACCTACTAAGAACAGGACACTAGGCTAAAAATAATGAAAAGTTGAATGAAATAGAAGACTGGTTCCTGCTTTCAAAAGCTTAACATTCTGTTGGAAACAGAAAACCCTAGTTTCAAGCTGTAGACCTACACATACGACGTTTCATTGTAATATCCCAATTTACAATTCAATGTAACTTTTTACAAGACCATGTCACATTGTCTTTCAGTCCCTTCATAAGAACGATTTCTTATTCTTTGTATCTCCTGATCTAGCATACGTTTAATACATAAATGTGGTTCAATAAATATTTTTCAATAAATGCTTGATTATCCATACCAAAAAATAATATTTATCAATAAAAGGTAGTGAATGCCTAGGGTCAAAAGACCAATGCAGATAATAAAGGTATCTTTAGAAAGAATGTTTGCTATATAAATGGTAGACTAGGAAAAAATAAAGTGGGTAGTTGCTTAAAATATCTTGAGCATTATATTTTATATGTTATGAATCTGTGTCTCTGCCCCAATCTCATGTAGAATTGTAATCTCCAATGTTGGAGGTGGGACTTGGTGGGAGGTGACTGGATCATGGAGATGTTTCTCATGAACAGTTTAGCACCATCTCCCTTGGTGCTGTTCTCATGATGGTGAGTTCTCATGACACTGGTTCTTTAAAAGTATGTTGCACTTTCCCTCTTGCTCTCTCTCTCTTGCTTCTGCTCCTGCCATGTGAGACAACCCGCTCCCCCTTTGCTTTCCACCACAATTGAAAGCTTTCTGAGGCCTCTCCAGAAGCAGAAGCCACTATGCTTCCTGTACAACCTGCTGAACTGCAAGTCAATAAAACCGCTTTTCTTTATAAATTACCCAGGTTCAGGTATTTATTTATAGCAATGCAAGAATGGCCTAATACACTGTTTAAGTGCAATGACTTTGGAGTTAGCTAGACCTGGGTTCAATCCCATGTCTCATTTAATCCTCAGTGAAAAGGATATTATTAGCTTCTATTTACAGATGCAGAATATAAAACCTAGGTGAATTACAAGAACTCTGCCAAGTTTACATGGGGAAAATATTTCATCTGAACCTTAAAAGTCAAGGCGAAATCATACAGGAGAAGAAAAAGCATTCAGGGTAGTGAAAATTGTGTACACATAAACATCCAGGAATGAAACTGCCATGGCCCCCTGCCAATCTTGTCCCAGGGTCACCTCTCAGGTAGTCCTGCTTCCTAGGGACACCAGTTAAGGAAAGATTTGTTGCTAGAAGCCAGTTCCTAAGGTCCCTTCAAATAATGTGAAAGGACTGAGCTGCCAAACCTCTCATGTCTTGAATCACATACACCCTGAAATTTCTGAATGTTCCTTGAAATGTAAAGACTTACATCAGAGGATACCATTTTGCAAACATTTTTCAGGGACTTTCATCATCTTTACCAGGAGTCTGAAAACTTGTGAGCACCAGCCTAATGTTGTCTAGTACATGACAAAGGGAAACAGAAGATAAAAGCAAAAAGCTAACAAAATATTTGCCTCAATTTTACATAGTAATTGTACTGTCTGAAAATTTAGGAAAATTTTCCTTTTTATTGGATTGCCCCTGAAGCTCTTCCTTCTATTAGGAAGAAAGTCATCTAAGTTAATTACATAGAATAAAAGGTAACTCAGAACAAGTTATCAAAGCTGTTGTTTTAAGTGGCCCAGAAAGAGGAGGGGCCATATCAATTGTAGCACACAAGTTTTCAGCTGTTGCAAACAGAAATGAAATAGGCCTCTAGGCCTGGACTCTTTCCAACTACTACTCTGTCATCTATCATATATCATCATATTTTATCCATCGCAGAAATCCGATAAACATAAAGCACAAGAATTGGAGTTGAAAAGCAGAAAACAGGCCGGGCGCAGTGGCTCACGCCTGTAATCCCAGCACTTTGGGAGGCCAAGGCAGGCGGATCACAAGGTCAGGAGATCGAGACCATCCTGGCTAACACGGTGAAACCCCGTCTCTACTAAAAACACAAAAAATTAGCCGGGTGTGGTGGCGGGCCCCAGTAGTCCCAGCTACTAGGGAGGCTGAGGCAGGGGAATGGCATGAACCCGGGAGGCGGAGCGTACCGTGAGCCGAGATCATGCCACTGTACTCCAGCCTGGGCAACACAGCAAGACTCTGTCTCAAAAAAAAAAAAAAAAGAAAAGCAGAAAACATTTAGTATTAGAGAATAAAACCTAGGAGGTCTGGAAAGAGACTGAGATAAAAAGAGAAAGAAATACAGGTTTTTAACCCTACAATTCTACTGCTAGAACCTACAGACTTTTATTTCTCCAGAATAGCTGATACTATTCATTTCCATTTCCCCTTGTTCACTTTCTGCTTTTGAAAAGAAAATTTTCCACATTCCAAATAGATTTGTTATCATTTGTTGAGTACCATGTGCAGCAGTGTTTCAGAACAGTGTTCATTCATACCTATATAGGAGCCTAATACTATTGGCAGCAAGAGTCATTTTTGCTTATTATATTAAAGTGAATGTATATAATTATGTAGAACTATAATTCTTCTTAAACATATTTCAATATATATATAGTTGATGCTTATCATATTTGATACAAATAAAGTAAAATAGAATGAATAGTCTATTGAATATTTGCCTGAGATCATATCTAAGAATCAGATGAGATGAAAAAGTACAGTAATTGATTGTCAGATCTTTCCTAGAATATCTTCACAAATAAATTAATAGAGAATACCAAAATTTCTCTTAAAACTCTGATAACATTTACCCTTTTTAGAATTAATACTATTCCTGAATGACTTGATGTTCAAATACACATAAACATGTGCAGCATAATTTTGAGATGATCCATTTAAAATTGCCATCTATGGTTCTAAACTGTACATTCTTTATGTGCTAATCAATCAGTCCTTGATTAAAGGATATTGTAATTACAAATAAAGTAATTCAGATCTGATTCCTCCCCCCAAAAAAGACTATAATTACCTATTTTTAATAAAATGACCACACAGTTAACTAAACATTAGTAAATAAATTAAACAGAACATATAATAATATTTCAAATATATTTAAACTTATTTACTGTAATGATTAATTTTATGTGTCAACTTCACTGGGCCATGGCGTATCCAGATATTTGGCTTAACATTATTTCTTGGTGTGCCTTGAGGGTGTTTCTAGATGAAATTAAGCAATTGATGAACTGAATGAAGCAGATTGCCCTCCCCATTGTGACTGGGCATTATCCAATCTGTTGAGGGCATGACTAGAACAAAAAGGTGGAGGGAGGGAGAATTCACTCTGTCTGACTGAACTAGGACATCAGTTTTCTCCTGTACTGGGACTGAGGCTTATGCCATCAGCTCTCCTGCTTCTGAGGCCTTCATGATTGAACTGGAAGGATACCACTGGCTTTCCTGGGCCTTCAGCTTGTATACAGCAGTTAGTGAAGTGAGACTGCTCAAACCCATAATCATGTAAGCCAATTTATTATAATAAATATGTTGAGAAAGAGAGAGAGATATCCTGTTGGTTCTGTTTCTCTGGCAGACCCTAATACATCTATTTAAAATATATCCTAGAGGCCGGGCACAGTGGCTCATGCCTGTAATTCCAGCACTTTGGGAGGCCTAGGCAGGCAGATCACAAGGTCAGGAGATTGAGAACATCCTGGCCAACATGGTGAAACCCCATCTCTACTAAAATACAAAAAATAAAATAAAAAACTAAATGGGCATGGTGGCACATGCCTGTAGTCCCAGCTACTCAGGAGGCTGAGGCAGGGGAATCGCTTGAACCCAGGAGGCGGAGGTTGTAGTGAACTGAGATTGCACCACTGCACTCCAGCCTGGTGACAGAGTGAGACTGTCTCAAAAAAAAGAAAAAAAAAAAATATATATATATATATATATGAGGGATGGTGCCTGAAACCATAAGCCAAAGAAACTACTAAGGAAAGAGGCAATGGAAATGTGACAGCAATTGCAGCTGAAATAGAGGATGCCATGAAATAAATTCTGTAATAGAGATACCTACAAAATGTTAAGTAATCATACATGAAAGAAAAGAAAAGATTCAGTAAAAGAAATATTGTTACACTGGAGAAGAAGGAAATACGCCAAAATGTGAATAGTGATCATCTCCAGAGAGCATCTAAAGTAGTCCTTTAAAGCATGTCCAATTATATCACTCCCCTGCTCAAAAAAAAAAAACTCCGGTGGTGTCACGTCTTACTCAGAACTTAGTCCTTTTCAAGATAGTTAAAAATTAGTCAAGAATACCATTCAACATACAATAGGACCACCAAACGTTTCCTACTCTGTTGATGCCCCCCTTTCGAAGTGCAACCACCCACCCAGAGACCCTGTCATATGCAGATTTTACACCATATAATTCTACTGCTTGGGAACTGAACTAACTGAACAAGAGCTTGACTCTTGAGCCAAAGAAAGCCAATATAGCCTGGCCACAAACTCTGATTCAATCACCTAGCCGCAAAAGGGTTGGCCTAATCATACACTCTTCAGGAATTCAAACCAAGAAATATGGAAATAATTTGACATTTAGTTCTGGAAGCTGAAATAGAACAGGTATTATGTCAGGGACTGGAGAGTTTACAGTGGGCTATGTGCACGTTGAAGTTATAAAGGAGTAGAAAAAAGGTATAAGCAGAAGAAGCATTTGGAACATGGCTAAGATATGCTGCATTTAAGTGTAACAGGTATGATGACTTAAATGTTCATGCAGCTGAGGATTCCAGCTCCTCCTTGAACTGAGAATCACATGCTAACTCCAGTACCTCTGAGCTCTGCCCAGCCTTACCGTATCTCCTGTTTGAGTCCCCATGAGATTTTCCCTACTCCTCCCTGTGTAACTTTAATTAAACTCCATTTATGTTCCAACCAAAGAACCAAAAGAAAACATGCACAGCAATTTCAACATGTCATAGAATTCTCCTGCTCTACCTTTGGCAGATAGATAAGTCCCTCCAATATTTCTAAATTGCTCCAAATAACCTTCATGGGTATTTTTAGTGAATTATCCTTTGCAAAATGTCAAACTCTACTTCTCTCTTCTCTCAATCTAAGACTCCCAATCCTTAGTCATTTATTCCTTAAAAACAGTCTTTTCAGGTTTTAAAAGCCAGTTATACAGTTAGCACCTCTCCACTGGATAGGAGAGCCGTATACCTAGTGATGTTCTTTCAACCATACTTGTAAACCTTGCAGCACTAGTTACAAAGAAAAGCTGGAATGAGCAGTAACCAGACTCTACAAAAGGCACTTTCCTTAGGGAATACCACAGATGTGAAAGCTCCCAACTTCTGCCCTGGAATAGTCTACAATTTAAACTAAGGAATTCCATTTTAAAATGTATTCAGACCAAGCAACAACTCATAGCAGTGAACTAGACGAAATATATTCAAAGATTTCATGAAGGCTGTTTATAGTTTGAAACCTAATTGTGAGATCTTGTCTTCCATTTATCTTATCTGACAGGAAATTAAAACTTGAGTGGTCAGATTCATGATGGAGACTGCAGAAAGAATGTCAGTTGAAGCTTATGGCTTGGTTTCCATACAAGGCCCAGTGTGGTTTTAAATAAAGCCTCTCAAAGGCATAGCGCCTTTAATTTCACTTAGTATATTTTTGTTCTTCTGTATTAGACTATATGTTTTAAGGGGTTCTTGAATGCTTTTCTTCACCTTCCTTTAAGTCACTATTTTAACCAAAAGAATACTGTTTTTTAGCTTTTCATATAACTTTATCTGTACTTAATAGTAGACTAGACAAAGCACTGGACTTACAGGCTGGGGAAAGGATTTAATTCATTTCTTCCACACAGCCTCTATGAACATATTATTTAGAGTACCTCAGCCTGTTTCTCATCTTATAAATAGAAGTAATAATATCCATCTCATTGAATTGTGAAGATCAAATGAGGGATGTTTAAATAACTTCAAGGCATTGTAGAAAAATAAGGTACTACACTAACATGTAGTTCATTGTCTAAAGTAGGCAAGTCATGTTTCTTGCTCTCTTTCAATAAAAAGTCCTTGTTAGGATCAGCTTTTGTTTTTTCTTCTTTTTTTTTCATTATTGCTATGGTCTGAATGTTTGTGTCCCCCAAAAATTCGTTATGTTGAAACAATCCCCAGTATGATAGTATCGAGGTAGGGCCTTCGGGAGATCATTAGTTTGTGAGGGTTGAGCCCTTATAAAAGATTCCCAAGGAATCTTGTCTACCCTTCTACCACATAAGGACATAGCTAGAAGGTACTATCTTTGAAGCAGAGTGCAAGCCCCGAACAGACACCAAATCTGCTGGCATCTTGATCTTGAACATCCCAAATTTATAAACAATTCCTGTTGTTTATAAATTACTCAGTCTAAGGTATTTTGTTATAGCAGCCCAGATGGATTAAGACAATTACTTTGCTTCCATTAATCTCTACCTGACAATATACTGCAAGTGTATTAGTAAATTGATACAAGTACTTTCAGTTTTAAGACGGTAAAAATAGGCATACATAGTGTCCCTCCTTCCCATGCCAAAACTTAGAAATGATAAGAGGATAACTTTTAAAATAATACATAAATAGCCACTTAAATACAGGAAGATAAATTCTTACAGGAACAGAAACCACATGTAGATAGTATCAAATGAGGAAGGAAGCATTGACCCAGGATGAATATGGAAGCCCAAGGAAGAGCTTTTACCAAAAATAATTAAGGCAATTCAAAACACAGAGGTAGTAGAGTCCTTCAGAGAATAATGGGATCAGGGAACAATAGACAGAGGGATTACTATACTCTCTCAGGACCAAGCAGCTCTGTGGACTAGACTACCTACTCTACCCCATAGCCACACTATTCCTCCTATCCCTCACCCTCTTCCCCTACATCCTACGCAACTATAGCCTAGTTAGGAGATGTGCTTTGAACAGAGAGAAATAAAATGGAGCCGTGAGTAGCTGGCAACACCAGAGAAGAATCAGAATGCATTATACTTGCTTCCACACACTCACTGACCAAAGCAATCTCCTGTCAGACATTTTTCCTCTCTGTAAAGTGAACTGAAAAAACAGTCATAAGTCTTTCAGGGAATCTCCTGTGCCCAGAATTCAAAAATAAGCTGAAATTTAAAAAATTATTCAAGGAGCTGATAATCACTGAATGCCAACACCATTCAGGCTAATAGATGAAAGAGTTTATGGCCAGGAACAGTGGCTCATGCCTGTAATTCCAGCACTTTGGGAGGCTGAGGCGGGCTGATCACGAGGTCAGGAATTCGAGACCAGCCTGAGCAACATGGAGAAACGCTGTCTCTACTAAAAATACAAAATTAGCCGAGTGTGGTGGTGCATGACTGTAGTCCCAGCTACTCGGGAGGCTGAGGCAGGATAATTGCTTGAACCCAGGAGGTGGAGGTTGCGGTGAGCTGAGATCTTGCCATTGCACTCTAGCCTGGGCAACAAGAGTGAAACTCAGTCTCAAAAAATAAAAATAAATAAAGAGTTTATACCAGAGGAAATAGAGCTGATAAAACAGGACTATAAAATAATTAGTATAATTACTATCTTCAAAGAAATATGTAAAGAATTGCTTACATAAAGCAAGAAAAAGAAGTGATAATAACCAATTAGAAAACTTGGAAATGTTGACTCATAGAAGTTTCCTGAAGCATAATTTAACAATATTTATCAAATCAGTAGAAGTGTGCATAATTTTTGAGATAGCATTTACACTTCTAGATATATTTCCTAAGGGAATAACTAATGGTATGTACAAAGAGTAGCCACACTGAACTTTATAGAAGCATTTTTATTGTGGTAAGAAGTGTGAAGAATCCTACCTGTCAAAAAATAGGGGACTGTTTAATTATATACATATATCAAGGCTAAATAGCCAGTAGAAATAGTGATGTAGGAAAATACTCTAAACCATGGGGAAATGTTTACAATAAAATGTAAAAGATACATTACAAAGCATGTATGAATAATACATTAATATGTATGATAATACTAATAATACAAACACATTAACATGTCTGAATATTCCATTTTTTAAAAAAAAAACCTCCATGTGCATGTGGATACATGCCCTCACACTCACATACACATTTTTAAAATGGAAAAATAGTAAAGAAATAAGCCAATATGTTGTTCACACCTCCTTGGTCAGACCATGGGTAATTTGGCTTTTATTGTTTGCTTATCTATATTTTCCAAATAATCTACAGTGAAAAGACATTTTTAAAAGTTTTTCCAGGAATCATTAAATTTACATCACTCTGATTCTGATTACCAATGTGTAAATTTTCCAAAGACACATTTGGGAATGAGAATACTAGGAGATAGATTCCTCCTATACTTGCTCAAAAGACTGAAAACACAGCTTCCCAACGTGGATATGATCTTCCCAGGGCTAAAAATATTTCAAGACTTTCAAGAAAGCTGTATCAACATCTGTGCTGATTCTAAGATTTTCTCAGAAGTTTGAAAACTCTCCCACATATCTGGCCCATGAGGTAAAAAAGTAAGAAATATTTTTTCAAGTTCAGTGCTGGTTCAGCTTACGCATTTTAATCAGGGAGCAGGAGGGGGTGATATCATCCCCAAGGACGTAAAAATCGGTTTATGGGGGAGGTGAAAAAATCTTAGATATTATAATTGTTTATGATCCTCCGAAGCTCAACTCTGACAATATAAATGTATACATGGAATAACTAATACTAAAATTTCATGGGGGGTAAGAGGAGGTTATTAGAGGAATAAAGTCAAACAATTGTCCTGGGTGAAGGGAAACAATAATGTAAAAATGGTTGAGAAACACGATTCAGCCTTAGGAACATAAAACCCAAATTCTTTTTTTCATACATTCTGTTTTTGTTACATTCCTTAGAGCCTCAGAATTGACTATTTTAAAAAAATTATATACACCCACTTTTTGATGGGGTTGTTTGTTTTTTTCTTGTAAATTTGTTTGAGTTCATTGTAGATTCTGGATATTAGCCCTTTGTCAGATGAGTAGGTTGCGAAAATTTTCTCCCATTTTGTAGGTTGCCTGTTCACTCTGATGGTAGTTTCTTTTGCTGTGCAGAAGCTCTTTAGTTTAATTAGATCCCATTTGTCAATTTTGGCTTTTGTTGCCATTGCTTTTGGTGTTTTAGACATGAAGTCCTTGCCCACGCCTATGTCCTGAATGGTAATGCCTAGGTTTTCTTCTAGGGTTTTTATGGTTTTAGGTCTAACGTTTAAGTCTTTAATCCATCTTGAATTGATTTTTGTATAAGGTGTAAGGAAGGGATCCAGTTTCAGCTTTCTACATATGGCTAGCCAGTTTTCCCAGCACCATTTATTAAATAGGGAATCCTTTCCCCATTGCTTGTTTTTCTCAGGTTTGTCAAAGATCAGATAGTTGTAGATACGCGGCGTTATTTCTGAGGGCTCTGTTCTGTTCCATTGACTATATCTCTGTTTTGGTACCAGTACCATGCTGTTTGGTTACTGTAGCCTTGTAGTATAGTTTGAAGTCAGGTAGTGTGATGCCTCCAGCTTTGTTCTTTTGGCTTAGGATTGGCTTGGCGATGTGGGCTCTTTTTTGGTTCCATATGAACTTTAAAGTAGTTTTTTCCAATTCTGTGAAGAAAGGCATTGGTAGCTTGATGGGGATGGCATTGAATCTGTAAATTACCTTGGGCAGTATGGCCATTTATGCAGCAAAAAACACATGAAAAAATGCTCATCATCACTGGCCATCAGAGAAATGCAAATCAAAACCACAATGAGATACCATCTCACACCAGTTAGAATGGCGATCATTAAAAAGTCAGGAAACAACAGGTGCTGGAGAGGATGTGGAGAAATAGGAACACTTTTACACTGTTGGTGGGACTGTAAACTAGTTCAACCATTGTGGAAGTCAGTGTGGCGATTCCTCAGGGATCTAGAACTGGAAATACCATTTGACCCAGCCATCCCATTACTGGGTATATACCCAAAGGACTATAAATCATGCTGCTGTAAAGACACATGCACACGTATGTTTATTGTGGCATTATTCACAATAGCAAAGACTTGGAACCAACCCAAATGTCCAACAATGATAGACTGGATTAAGAAAATGTGGCACATATACACCATGGAATACTATGCAGCCATAAAAAAGGATGAGTTCATGTCCTTTGTAGGGACATGGATGAAATTGGAAATCATCATTTTCAGTAAACTATCGCAAGAACAAAAAACCAAACACTGCATGTTCTCACTCATAGGTGGGAATTGAACAATGAGATCACATGGACACAGGAAGGGGAATATCACACTCTGGGGACTGTTGTGGGGTGGGGGTAGGGGGGGAGGGGATAGCATTGGGAGATATACCTAATGCTAGATGATGAGTTAGTGGGTGCAGCGCACCAGCATGGCACATGTATACATATGTAACTAAGCTGCACAATGTGCACATGTACCCTAAAACTTAAGGTATAATAAAAAAAAAATTATATACACACATATGTACATGTACTCATGCTCCTTTGTGTCAGGAAACTCTTCAGTAATTTGCTTCTATATTGAAATTTCTATACCAAAAAGATAATATTTTCTAAATTTAACTTTTATTTTAGGTTCAAGGGTACATGTGCAGGTTTGTTATATAGGTAAATTGTATTTCATGGAGGTTGGTATACAGATTATTTCATCACCCAGGTAATAATCATAGTACTTGATAGAGAGTTTTTTAATCCTCTCCCTCCTCCCACTTTCTACCCTCAAATAGGCCGCTGTGTCTGTTGTTCCCTATTTTGGTCCATGTGTATTCAGTGTTTAGCTCCTACTTATAAGTAAGAACATGCAGTATTTAGTTTTCTGTTCCTGGGTTAGTTTGCTTAGGATTATGGCCTCCAGCTCTAAAAAGGACAATATTTTATAAAGTCCTGGATCTTTTTCCAAGCATTTTGTTGCTTCCTGTTTTGAAATATAAGTGTCTGAATTGTTGATGAAGTGTCAACTGACAGCTATTAACGTTAGTCCCAAGATTTTAAATTCAGTTTGTTTTTTGTATTTGACTCTGGAATCACTCACATTATTATGATTCCTATTATAAAGCACAGAATAAGGGCTCAAAAGTATGTAATGATTCTTTATTACTTGAGTCATTATGATATTAAGAGCAACATTTTTTGAGCAATGTTTCTTAAATTCTACTGTTTTATATGACTTATTTAGTATTCATTATTCTTTCTATATTTTTATGGCCTGGCTTGCTATATTAATTGCAAAAAAAAACACAAAACACAAAAAAACAGACAACACATAGAGTGTCATTTATCTCATGTAACAAGTGTCACAAGTTGAGCAGGCCAGGAGTAGTAAGGCTGTGCAATGCTGCTGCCAGAGGTCCATCCTGCTTAGCAGGTAGGTTGTTGTCTTCGTGCTTGCACTTTACAGTCCCAAATGGCTGCTAATTCTCAATCAAATTCAGGCAACACAAACAAGAAAAGACCAAGGGGCAAGAGATAAAGTCTGTCCAATTTATAGGAAAAACAAAAGCTTTCCTGGAAATCCCACCCAAAAGATTTCCATTTATTTTTCCCTAGCCAGAACTGTGACACATGACCACTCCCACTGGAAGTAGTTCAGGAGAGGAGGGCTGGAGATGGGGGTGTCAGCAGCTACCCAACAGCACCTGCCACATTTGTTCTTGTATATCAATCACATATTTCTGGTCATCTTTCGGCCCCTCAGTCTTTTCCAAAAGCCCTAATTAGAGTACCAGAGCCTTCATTTATACTCTGAATCATTCTTACAATGTCGTAAGCACTGAGGACACAGCAGTGCCCAAAACAGACAAAATTTCCCCTCCTGGGCTTACAATGCCCTAAGCGTTTTCTTCATGACACTACCTTAAATTTGTTTACCTGTGTATTATCAGTCTTCCCTACTAGATTATAAGCTCCAAGAGGGCAGGGAATTTGTATTATTCACCTCTGTATCCAGATGTCTACAAAAGTTCCTGGCATACAAAAGACACTCAGAAAATGTATATCGAATACATATATTAATAAATAAGGAAATTGAGACTTGGGGAATTTAAGGATCTCTACAGAAAGTCATACAGTTAATAAAGCAGTAAAGCTAATATTTTAAGAATTTCTATCACCAAAAAGGGAACATCGTCTCTTAAAATTCTCTACCATATCCTCCCTGTCTCAGTCAGTGGTGCTAAGGCTACTATCACTGGTGTGCTGACTGGCACCAACACAGAAGAGCCAGTTCTGAGCATCAATGTCCAACATGGCTTTTAGTGACATTATATTGGTAGCTTGAAACAGGCCATGGTGGGAGTATTTACATTATGGGAATTAGCAGATGCTACAAACGAGGGTTCCGCTCTGGCGCCCCAGGGAGCTGATTGTGTTAAACATTTACTAGCAAAACACTGGATGTTTCACATCTCACTTCCTTGTATATATTAGTGCTGAAAGCATTCCGTTGAGCTTTCCAGTTTCTCCCCTTGATATGGTTTGGCTGTGTCTCCATACAAATCCAATCTTGAATTGTAGCTCCCACAATTTCCATGTGTTGTCGGAGGGAGCCAGTGGAAGGATATTGAATCATAGGGGCGGGTCTTTCCCGGGCTGTTCTCGTGATAGTGAATAAGTCTCACTAGATCTGATGGTTTTATAAAAAGGAGTACCCCTGCACAAGTTCTCCCTTCCCTGCAGCCATATAAAATATGACTTGTTCCTACTTCCTTCCGCCATGATTGTGAGGCCTCCCCAACCATATGGAACTGTGAAGCAATTAAACTTCTTTCCTTTATAATTACCCAGTCTCGGGTATGTCTTTATTAACAGCATAACAACAGACTACTACAGCCTTCCCTAGAAGCAGTCCTTATTTTGCTGCTCCTGTAGTACTCACTGAGTTTTCAGCATGGTGCCCTCCTCTTGCTTTCTTTACCCTCCAAATCTCTGAATCTTTGAAGAAGTATCACAGCCCAACAGGGAGTGGGGCAAAAACTGTAACTAAAAACTGTGACTATCCAGCAAAGTGGGCAAAGGCACCGGAGTGTAGGTGGGGAAAAGAACAACAGAATCTATAACCAGCTCTGTGTCTGAAAACGACCAGGGGCAGAACCTTTGTTAAATAACAGCGTTTGGTTGGCAGTCTTGAGCTTCCTCTGTGGAGGCATAAATCTTGTTCTTTTTATATGAGGACGGGTAGTACTGGACTGACTCTACTTGCCATTCCCCAGGGCACTTTCAGTGGAACTTGCACTCTAAAATAGTGAATAATTGAGTAACAATTGTATATGTATCCCATAAAACAATTTCGTAAAGTGCCCTTTTCCACGCTAATATTTAACACAAGCTATATGTTTGATTTTGTTTTCTTCTTGCTTTACAGAGCATATCTTTGATCAAGGAATATAAATTATAATTCCTCTTCCTGCCATAAAGTTTTTCAAAATTGCTAATATTAGGATTTTCAGGTATTCATAGGTTTTTTTTTTTTTTTTTTTTTTTTCAGTTTATTTTACAACCCCCTCTTCCCATCTGTTCTCTCATTGTCCAGGTTAGATTGCCCCAGAGGACTCCCATATATGTAGGGTAGCCTAAGGAAAAATGAGTGGCAAGAAAGCAATAATACCACCTTCTAGCACAATTTGTCTAAGGTTCTGACATTATGGTGGCAGTCCTACACTACTGTAATAGTGTGTATGAGGTGGAGGAACATGCTGGAGCTTTGATGGTGACAAGGGAAGACAGGAATTAGAACTAATGTAATATTCAAAGTACTTGCTATGTTCCTGGTGATTTATATTTGTTAGCTCAGTCAATCCTCATGGTAGACAGTATCATTTGTATTATTATCCCATTTTTTAGATAAAGGAATTAAAGTTCAAGTTCAATTAAAATTTTCCCGAAGTCACACAGTTAGAAAGTTGCAAAACTGGAATTCATATGCAGTGCATGAAAGTTCATGTGTTTTCTACTACACAATGCTGCCCCAACCAAGTCAGCACTCTGGCTGCCCTTCACTCTATTATGACCTAAAAAAGAGGTTACTACCAAAATCTTGCTCACTAGATTTCCCTGGGAAAGCTAATTTGTAAAGAAATATACCAAGAAAAACCTGCATTCTTCTACAGCCAACTCAGGGATCTCTTGCAATAGCTGTTATCTGCAGGAATCATAAAACGTCAACCATAAGTATTGTCAGAATTAAAACCCAAGTTTGTCTGATTCCAGACTCTGTCTGATGTTTTCACCCATCATACTTCTTCCATTAATGAAAAAAATTAAAATATATCTACTACACAAAAACAGAAAACCCATTAACTGCATGTCTTTATTAGAGTTGTACATGTGACTTGAATCAGCTATAATTCTCATGACAGAGATGCACATAGAAAAAAATCTGAGGTCCAAATACGCACCAAACCACCTGAGAAATCTTGCCACCAGATTATTTTAATATATTAGCACTAACTCCCTTCTTACAAGTATAAGAAAGAGAAAGGAAGCAAAACTTTTGCATTCTGAAACAAGCAACTACAGTAACAAAAACCTCATGGTCTCCCCACAGTGACACGATCAGCTTTTCTGAGGGTCACCTAGTGTGTCACCCTTTGTGATTCAGTTGCATGGCATCCCCTGCACAGCTAAGTTGCCTAAGTCTTTTACTAACCCAGTGCCTTCTGTTTGGAATTATTTCCTTGACTTTCAGCTCTGCTTTTTCTTTAATGTACCCTCCTATAAAACCGCACCTGAAATTTCTTTGACATTCCCATTTTATCCTGGACTACAGGAATGCCAGCAAAGACTCTAAGATATGGTGCCAGAGAATATCCTTTCTTCCTCTCAAAAATTAGGCAAAATTTTCCTTTTGTGGGGGAACTACAGATGTTGCCAATTGTTCCTCCTAATTACCAGGCACAAAATGTCTATTCACCAACCTTCCCATCTCAAATGAACCTTCGTAGGAGTCTTGACTTCTATTTTCTAAAGTGAGCCTATAGGAGTTAGGGAGGTATGTAGCAGCAAGGAAGGAATTCACAGATCAGTCCCTTCTCTGGCTAGTTCAACTCAGTCAAGTCTTCCTCAACAATTAAAAGAACATGCAATATTAACGAACAGTCAAGAACAATACATGATAATCAGGCATAATATGTTTATATAAATCACTACTAGTAATTAAGAGTATTTTTGGTTTTGAAGCAACCTAGGTTTGAGTTTCAGCTCTGAAATTGAGAAAAGTACCTTAATCTTTTCTGAAAGCCTCAGTTTTATCATCTGTAAAATGGAAATGGTAATAGTTCCTAGCTCATGAAACTATAATGAAAATTAAATAAAAGGATACTATTTAAAGTGTTTAGCACAAAACCAGCATAGTTTTCAAAAAATATTATTAACCATTGTTTGTTTTTATATAGCAACTTTACATATCCTTTCTTGGCATATTACTGTTTCCAGAAAGCATCTGTGACCTAGATAGATGAAACCATAGCTAACCATTCTGAGTATACCCCAGACTGAAGAGTAGCCTTCTACGATGGACTTTGGCCATCTTTGAAGGTTCTGACCTTAATCTTCAGACTTCTAGGCCATGGAATTTCCTTGCCAGCTTTTCCTAAAGGAAAGCAGTCCTGGCTCTAACAAAAGAATGAGCTATTTTCTGAGCCTAGTTTCCTGACACCTTTGGGTAGTTGTCTTCTTGACAGAGAAGTTAGTTTTTAACCCTCATTATATTCTAGAACCTTCCATATTTACTGCCTCTAATCACTATACCTATCTCACAATACCTTCTCCACAATCCCAATTTACAATGTGATTTTCTGTATATGGGCACTTGGAGAAAAAACAAGAGAAAGCTAACATTTATAAAGTTGTAGGAACTTTTCTATAAATTTATTTGATCCCACTTCATAAAAATCTTAAGAATAATGAAAAAATTGATTGCCTTGCCTCATACTCTCACTCCTGACAACAAATAAAATATTCTGAAATTCCCTGAAATTTTATATAGGGAGCTTTGGAAGTCTCTTGAGATACCTTCTCAGTCAAGAGCTGAATTTTTATTTTTGATTTGGCTTGTATTTTAATATATATTCCATTATCCTCTAAGAACTTTGTAATTTATAATAGAAGATATGAAAAGTGTGGCCAATAAAATTAGAGCTCAAAATATAGAAAAAAATATTGATTTTAAAACTATAATCTTTTAATTTTTTTCTAAACTTGGCAGCCATAGCAGTAAGAATTTTTAGGGGTTTATATAATTTTAACTACCTGATAAAATTTAAAAGGAAATATAACTATAATAGAAATGTAATGCAGCTATTAAAGAGATTTACCTTAAAGTGGTCTTAGAAGAAAGAACACAAAGTCTTCTGAAAAATAAGTGGAACAGGAAAGCAATATAAAAGCAAGCAAATAAAGTGGAAGTTGAGAGAAGTAGGATCAAGATGGAGACAAGTTCTGACATCAAGGTCAGAGAAGATTTTTGAGACCCTCCCAAAGTTTGTGACTTGTGAACATTAGATGAAGTGTAGGGAAATCAGACAAAGGCTATGATAAAGCTATTCAGTCATTCATTCATTCAACAATGTGTATTGTTGCTTATTATGTATGCTTATTATTTGCCAAGGACTGCTCTTGGCAATAAAATACAGCAATGAATAAACAGGCAAAGATGCTGTTTTCATGGAAATTTGCATTCTATGGAGGCTAAAAAAATGGAGGGTGGGTACATAAAAACAATAAGCAAGTAAACAAATCTAAACATGTATTTATTACAGTGGTAAGTGCCATAAAGAAAAATTTAAAATTTGATGTCATAGAGTAGAGGCTACTTTGACTGAGTTGTGAGGAAAAGCTCTCCTGAGGAGTTGATATCTGAGCTGAGATCTATATAATACAAAAAAGACAACCATGGGAATATAAGATAGAAATAACTACACTTAACATGATCTGGAAAATAAAAGCCAAGTTTAAGATTTTCAGGAGATAAATGAAAAGTGTAAAAAGTAACATAGTAGATTTGAAAAAGAACCAACAAGAAATTGTAACAATAAATAAAACTGAAATACATAATCTAATGGGTAGGTTTGACAACATGTAGACAAAGCTGAAAAAAAAAGTATTAATTTGTAAAATATATCAGGAGAACATATCTAGAACTAAACACAGGGAGACAAAAGAATGGAAAGCAGAGGTGGAGGGAGGCAAAAAGATAAGTAAGTACTCACCATCAATAACAATATTGAATATAAACAGTTTAAATTTTCCCAACTATAAGATTTAAACAGGCTGAATGGATAAAAACATAAGACCCAACTATATTCTGCCTACAAAAAACTCACTTACCTGCAACAACACACATAGACTGAAAGTTAAGGGATGGGAAAAGATGTTCCATACAAATGGAAAACAAAAGTGAGCAGGAGTAACTATACTTACATTAGATGAAACAGACTTCAAGTCAAAAAATATAAAAAGGAACAAAGAAGGTCATTATATAATGATAAAGGGATTAATTCAGTAAGAGGATATAACATATGTAAATGTATATGCACCCAACACTGGAACAGCCAGATATATAAAGCAAGTATCAGTAGAACTAAAGGGAGAGATAGACCCTAGTACAATAATAGTTGGGGACTCAACGCTCCACTCTCAGCACTGGACAGAGTATCCAGACAGAAAATCAATGAAGAAACATCAGACTTAAACTGCACTACAAAATCAAATGGACCTAACAGACATTTATAAAACATGTCATCCAACAGCTGCAGAATACACATTCTTCTTTCCAGCACATGGAACATTCTCCAGGATAAACCATATGTTAGGACATAAAACAAGTCTCAACAAATTTTTAAAAATCAAAATCATAAGTATCTTTCAGATCACAATGGAATAAAACTATGAATCAATAACAAGAGGAACTGTGGAAACTGTACAAACACATAAAAGTGTAACAATGTGCTCCTGAGTCACCAAAGGTGAATAAAGAAATTAAGAAGAAAACTTTTAAGTTTCTTGAAACAAATGAAAACAGAAACACTGCATACCAAAACCTATTAAATATAGTAAAAGCATTACTAAGAGGGAAGTTTATAGCAATGAACACCTACAACAAAAATTAGAAAGATTTTAAATAAACAATCTGACAATGCACCTCAAGGATCTAGAAAAGCAAGAACAAATTAAACCCAAAATTAGTAGAAAGAAAGAAAGAAAATTAGCGCAGAAATAAACAAAATAGAGAATAAAAAGCAAATTTAAAAAGTTGTTTGAAAAGATAAACAAAATCAACATGGCATTAGACTAAAAAGAGACAGAAGATTCCAATACATAAAATTAGAAATGAAAAAGGAGACACATTAATATCACAGAACGCAAAGGATCATTAGAGATTATTATGAACAACTATATGCCAAAAAATTGGAAAACCTAGAGAAAACAGATAAATTTCTGCACACATATAATTTAACAAGGTTGAACCAGGAAGAAATAGAAAACCTAAACAGATCAGTAATGAGTAATGAGATTGAAACAGTAATAAGTCTCCCAAAATAAACAAACAAAAAAGCCCAGGACTGCATAACTTCACTGCTAAATTCTATCAAACTTTTAAGAAACTAACATCCACTTTTCTCAAACCATTCCGAAAAGAAAGAAGGAAATTCTTCCTAACTCATTCTTCAAGGCCAGCATTTCCCTTATACCAAAACCACAAAAGGACACAACAACAACAAGAAAAACTACAAATGAATAACCTTGATGAACACAGATGCAAAAACCTTAAAAAAATAGTAGCAAATGGAATCCAACAGTATATCAAAATGATTACACACCATGATCAAGTGGATTTAGGCCATGGATTCAAGGATGGTTCAATATATGCTAATAAGTAAATATATAATACATCATATCAACAGAATGAAGGGTAGAAATCATATGATCATCCCAATAGAGGCAGAAAACGGATTTGATAAAATTCTACACCTTGTCATGATAAAAACTCTCAACAAATTAGGTATTAAAGGAATATGACTAAACAAAGTAAAGGCCGTATGTGATAAACCCACAGTAAAATCATAGTGAGTATGGAAAAGCTTTCAGCAGGGAAAAGAAAAATGCTTTTCCTCTGAAATCTGGAGCAAGACAAGGATGCCTATTTTTTACCACTCTTATTCAACATAGTATAATACTTGTATTACTCCATTCTCACACTGCTATAAAGAACTGCCTGAGACTGGGTAGTTTATGAAGAAAAGAGGTTTAATTGACTCATGGTTCCACAGGCTGTACATGAGGCATGGCTGGAGAGGCCTCAGTAAACTTACAATCATGGAAGAAGATAAAGGGGAAGCAAGGCACATCTTCACATGGTCAGCAGGAGAGAGAAGGGGGAAGTGCTGTGCATTTTTAAACAACCAGATCTCATAAGAACTCACTATCACAAGAACAGTAGGGGGTAAATCTGCACCCATAATCCAATCACCTCCCACCAGGTCCCTCCCCCAACATTGGAGATTACAATTCAACATGAGATTTGGGTGGGGACACAGAGCCAAACCATGTCAGTACTGGAGTTCCTAAGAGAGTAATTAGGCAAGACAAAGAAATAGTAAGGAATGAAATTAAGAAACAAGAAGTCAAATTGTCCCTATTTGCAGATGACATTATCTTATATATTTAAAAAAAAAAACAAAAAACTAAAGATTCCGCCAAAAAACCTGTTTGAACTAATTAACAAATTCAATAAAGTTGCAGGATACAAAATCAACCAAACAAAAATCAGTAGTGATTCTATAAACCAGTAATAAATAATTCATCAAGAAAAAATTATCCCATTTACAGTAGCTACAAAAGATTTTTAAAGCTAAAAATAAATTTATCCAAAAAGGTGAAAGATTTCCACAATGATACCTACAAAATACTGCTAAAAGAAATTAAAGAGGGCAAACACAAAAATGGAAAGACATCTCATGTTCATGGATTGGAAGAATTCATATTTTTGTTGTTGTTGTTGTTGTTTTGTTTTTTTTAAGGTGGGGATTGACTTTTATTCCAAGGAACAACATCAGTTCACTGTTGTTGGAGACATGACAATCATTTTCATCCCAAGAACACTCTAAGGAAACATTTTACAAGTATGCTTGAAAGAATGTCACTAACTGGTCCAGAATTTTATCTTCTTGATTTTTCCAGATTTCTCTATGTTTTTGAGAAAGATGTTAATATTTTGCCATGGTAAAAAATTTCAAACCTCATTTTCTTTGTTCCTTTTCTTTTTACTTTAAGAAAACTCATGCTCTATTTCTCTGAATCAAATGAAGTAGTTTACAAAGCTAACTTTCTTCTTGTCTAGCTATTAACATGATTTGTCAAATGCATGTTTTTTTCAGCCAAAGCCTTGTTCCCATTTTTTTGTTGATGTGTACTCTTGCTCTTTCAGCTAGAGTGTATGTGAAAATAAAGAAATATGTCATTGTATTCACAACCATGTGTCTTCATTTATAACTTTTTGTTTAAAAAATTTTTAGTTCAAGTTTAGTTCATTGATATTATCCTCTGAATGCAGTTAAGGCTTGGCAGAAATTCTACTTATGTGACATCTGCCACAGGTCTATTTTGAAGCTTTTCTTCTAATGGCAATGTTTATCCTTACCAGGATTTAATCTATAGAATTGTATCTCAACTCTGCTTTTCTCCAGTTCCAGATAACGTCCTTTAGACCATCCCTTCAGGGGTTCACAAAACTCAGATTTGTGTCATTCTATTTTATTTATTTTATGTTTTATTTCCTTCCCTCATACCTTGCCCATTCCCTCTGAATATTAGGTGTGATGTCAACAGCATGTTAGAAGGATCAATGGGAAGGCAATGATTGAAAACATTTCAATGAACCTTAATAGTGTTCCTTTGAGGAGCACACAGGAGAATATCTGGTCATAGATCTTTTTTTAAATGCAGTTTTATAAAACCCTAATAGTGGTGATATGATTAGACTGTAGGAATCAATTTTATTACCTAGTGTACAAGTGTCAGTCATGTATCATTATATAGTCTGTTGATGTTTCCATTTGCAAAAAATTAATAGTTTTCCCCCACAAATGCACAAAGTTGTATGTTTCCAGTCTTCTTTCAATGTTTATAGTCATTCCAAAGTAACATTCTATTTTACACTTTCACATACATTGTTATGAATCATTGGTTTTTCTCTTTTTTCCACTTATCACCAATGTATTTCATTCAGCCAGACTTGGTGTCTTCATTTTGTAGAACAATGTAAGTGGTTTCCATTCCAGCATGAATGTGGTCAGTCACATGGCAGTGGAGTAACCAAATTCCAGGTGTTCTTGGAAACATTTCTAGGGTTTGGTATGTTCCAGGGAAAATGTCAAAGACATCAGAACTATAAACACCCCTGTGCTTGTATTAGAAGCTATGGCCGTGAAAATGTACAGTGTGTAAGTCTATTTCATCGCCCATTGGCTTCATCTCCCATGTGCATTGTGAGGCCTTGTGGGTTTCCAAACATTCTTCCATTAACAGCATGCATTTTATTGCTTTCTATGAATTCCTCATCATCTTTGTTTACTTTCTTGGGGTGATCAGAGTTTGTTTTGATGTTGTCATCTAAATACCAAGATTCATTCTCATCAAAAACTAGAAACAGAAGGGTAAATTCCAGTTTCTTTCTGGGATTGAATACTTTCAAGTAATGTCTTCGACAAACAATCAGGGGGCCAATTAATCCACTGTAGAGATCCTTAACTTGATCCACAGTTGAATAGTAAGCCCATGGAATACAAGCAGAATCCTCTGTTCCAGCTCCAGATCTTTCTGGGATTTTCCATAGGTAAGTGAGAGTTTCACCTGGTAATGCTGGAATAAATGTAGAACTCTCCGTTTGTACCCCATGGGCATGTATTGAGTAGGGCCTTGTGGTCATGTTTTTAAAGATAATTTTGACTTTGTCTCCAACATCTGCATGAAGTTGTAGACCTAGAATTCCCAGATGTTCTTCTTCAGCTTTTCTCTCCACTGGAATACGGAACGTGCAATCAGTATACTGCCGATACACAACTTTCTTGTACTTTGAGCCTATGTAAAACTCTCCCTTATCTAAAAATGCATTTGAAACATTCTGCTCTTGTAAATGATGCAGCTCCTTTTCCCACTCCCTTTGTGGGGAATAATCCCATTCCACTTCCACTGCTGCGATATAGTATGTCCTCTCTCCCAGGTAGAAGGTGGAATCCTCAGACTGCCACCTGCATTGGTTCACAGTATATTTTTGCTTCATGCCGCCTGTGTAATGATCAGCTAGCTGTAAGGCATTCAACATTAAAAGTCCAGTGCATTTTATTAGATTCCTGAAAGTCTTCATCTGCCTTATCCACCTGATCAGGTGCAGTTGTAAACATTCTGATATTATCTTCCAGGAGTAAACCCTCATTCTCATTAAATACTATAGGAAACAAATAGAACTCCTTGTCTACATCTTTCTGTCTCCAATTTGCATGTAAACTTCCTTTCTTGCATATTTTCATTGGCCCAATAAGCCCAGTGAATATATCTTTAGTGGGATCCACAGCAGAATAATACATCTTAGCTAGACATACAGGATCTGCATTAGTGGGTCCTACTTCTTTGGGGACAGTCCATTCATAGGTGAATGTTTCTGTGGGTGCCACATGGGAAGCTGAAGGAGGCACACCTGTGAGAAAGGTCACATTAGAGAGGTGAAGTGTGCTTTCTAATGTCAGAATTCATAATGTTAAAGTGATTATATTACACAAAGCAATCTACAGATTCGAAGCAATCCCTATCAAAATACCAATGACACTCTTCACAGAAACAGAGAAAGCAATTCTAAAATTTATATGGAACCACAGAAGACCCCCAAGAACCAAAGCAATTCTGAGCAAAAAGAACAAACCTAGAGTCATCAAACTACCTGACTTCAAAATATACCACAAAGCTATAGTAACCAAAACAGCATAGAACTGGTTTAAAAAAGACACTTAGACCAATGGAACAGAATAGAGAACCCAGAAATAAATCCATATATTTACAGTCAACTGATTTTTGACAAAGGTGCCAGGAACATACACTGAAAGGAGAGCCTCTTCAAAAAACGGTGCTGGGAAAATTGAATATCCATACACAGAAGATTGAAACTAGACTCATATCTCCCACCATAAACAAAAATCAACTCAAGATGAATTAAAGACTTAAATGTAAGACCTGAAACTATAGAATTGCTACAAGAAAACATAAGGGAAACACTTCAGGAATTAGTGTGGGCAAAGATTTTGTGGGTAAGACTCAAAATCAAAATAGAAAGAATATTTTTTTTAAAAAGAGAATTAAAAAATACTCCAAACCACGGACAACAAAAGCAAAAATAGACATGATTATATCAAACTTAAAAGTTTCTGCATATTAAAGGAAACAATCAACTGAGTGAAGAGATAACTTGTAGAAAGGCAGAAAACATTTCCAAGCCATTCATCCTACAAGTGATTAATATACAGAATAAAAAAGAACCCAACTCAAGAGCAAAAGGAAACCCCAAATAATTTGATTTAAAAATTGGTGAAGGATCTGAATAGACATTTCTCAAATGAAGACACACAAATGGCCAACAAGTATCTGAAAAACAGGTCCAACATCACTAATCATCCAGGAAAATGCAAATCTAAACCACAGTAAGACATATCTCATCCCAGTTGGAATGGCTCTTGTCCAAAAGTTTGAATTTGTTGTAACAAATAGAAACAAATAAAAATAAATAAATGCTGGTGAGAACACAAAGAAAACTCATACACTGTAAATGGGAACATAAATTAGTACATCCATTATGAAAAACAGTATGAAGTTTCCTCAAAAATCTATGAATAGAACTACCATATGATCTAGCACTACCACTACTATTTCCAAAGGAAATCAGTATATCAAAGAAACATCTGCACCCCCATGTTTACAGTAGTACAATATGTAGTCAACCTAAGTATCCAGCAAAAGATTAAGGAATAAGGAAAATGTTTCATATATATATATGGTGTGTGTATATATATATGTTGTATATATATATGTTGTATATATATATGTTGTGTATATATATATATACACACACATACATATTCACAAAAAGAATATTATTTAGTCATAAAAAGAATGAAATCCTGTCATTCGAGGCAATATGGATGAACCTGGAGGACATTATATTAAGTAAAATAAGTCAGGCACAGAAAGATAAATACCGCATGTTATCACTCATGTGTGAGATAAAAATGTTGAGTTCATAGAAGTAGAGAGTAGAATAGTGGTTATTAGAGGCTGGGAAGAGTAGGGAAGAGGTGAGGAAAACGTTAGTTAACAAATACAAAATTACAGCTAGAGAGGAGAAATAAGTTCTAGTGTTCTAGTATTCTATAGCACTGTAGGGTGACTATAGTTAGTAATTTATTGTATGTTTTCAAATAGATGAATTTCAAATAGATAGGTTGTTGAATGTTTCCAGCACAAAGAAATGATGAATATTTGAGGTAATGGATATGCTAATTACTCTGATTCAATCATTACTCATTGTATATATGTATAAAAATCTCACTCTGCACCCCCACAAATATGTACAATTATTATGTGTTGCTTAAAAATTTTTTAAAAAGATGGAGGTATGTAATAGAAAGTTTTAAATTGTCTAAGAGGAGAGAATAAGTATCAAATAAATACTTTTCATAAAGCACACAATAATTTTTTTTAATTTTTAGGGTAGTCAGTTAAAATAATAGACAAATGGTTCTCCTTGAAGAGGTCCTTCACATCCTTTGTTAGCTGTATTCCTACATATTTTAATCTCTTTGTAGCAATTGTGAATGGAAGTTCATTCATGATTTGGCTCTCTGCTTGTCTCCTGTTGGTGTATAGGAATGCTTGTAACTTTTTGCACATTGATTTTCTATCCTGAGACTTTGCTGAAGTTGCTTATCAGCTTAAGGATCTCTTGGGTTGAGACGACGGGGTTTTCTGGATATAGGATCGTGTCATCTGCAAACAGAGACAATTTGATTTCCTTTTTCATATTTGAAAACCCTTTATTTCTTTCTCTTACCTGATTGACCTGGCCAGAATTTCCAATACTACATTGAATACGAGTGGTGAGAGAATGCATGATTGTCTTGTGCCAGTTTCCAAAGGAAATGCTTCCAGCTTTTCCCCATTCCATGTGATATTGGCTGTGGGTTTGTCATAAATAGTTCTTATTATTTTGAGATATGTTCCATTAATACCTAGTTTATTGAGAGTTTTTAACATGAAGGGATGTTGAATTTTATCGAAGACTGTCTGCATCTATTGAGATAATCATGGGGTTTTTGTCCTTGGTTCTATTTATATGATGAATTATATTTATTGATTTGCATATGTTGAACCAGCCTTGCATCCCATGAATGAAGACCACTTGACCATGGTGGATAAACTTTGTGATGTGCTGTTGAATTCAGTTTGCCAGTATTTTATTGGGGATTTTTGCATCAATACTCATCAGAGATATTGGCCTGAAGTTTTTTTTGTTGTGTGTCTGCCAGGCTTTGGTATCAGAATGATGCTGGCCTCACAAAATGAGTTAGGGAGGAGTGTCTCCTTTTGAATTATTTGGAATAGTTTCAGAAGGAATGGGGAATGGTACCAACTCCTCTTTGTACTTCTGGTAGCATTCAGCTGTGAATCCATCTGATCCTGGGCTTTTTTTTTTCTTTGGTTGGTAGGTTATTTATTCCTGCCTCAATTTCAGAACTTGTTATTGGTCTATTCAAGAATTTGACTTCTTCCTGGTTTAGTCTTGGGAGGGTGTATGTGTCCAGGAATTGATCCATTTCTTCTAGATTTTCTAGTTTATTTGCAAAGAGGTATTTATAGTATTCTCTGATGGTTGTTTCTATTTCTTTGGGGTCAGTGGTGATATGCCCTTTGTAGTTTTCATTGAGCCTATTTGATTCTTCTCCCTTTTCTTCTTTATTAGTGTAGCTAGCAGTCTATCTATTTTATTAATTTTTTCAAAAAACCAGCTCCTGGATTCATTGATTTTTTTTGAAGGATTTTTCATGTCTCTATCTCCTTCAGTTCTGCTCTGATCTTAGTTATTTCCTGTCTTCTCCTAGCTTTTGGATTTGTTTGCTCTTGCTTCTCTAGTTCTTTTAGTTGTGATGTTAGGGTGTCAATTTGAGATCTTTCTAGCTTTCTTATGTGGGCATTTAGTACTATAATTTCCCTCTTATCACTGCTTTAGCTGCATCCCAGAGATTCTGGTACATTGTCTCTTTGTTCTCACTGTTTCCAAAGAACATTTTGATTTCTGCCTTAATTTCATTATTTACTCAGGAGTCATTCAGGAGCAGGTTGTTCAATTTCCATGTAGTTGTGTGGTTTTGAGTAAGTTTCTTAATCTTGAGTTCTAATTTGATTGCACAGCGGTCTGAGAGACTGTTTGTTATTATTTCAGTTGTTTTGCAATTTGCTGAGGAGTGCTTTACTTCCAATTATTTCATCAATTTTAGAGTAAGTACCACGTGGCACTGAGAAGACTGTATATTCTGTTGTTTGGGGGTGGAAAGTTTTGTAGATATCTATCAGGTCCACTTGATCCAGAGTTGAGTTCAAGTCCTGAATATCCTTGTTAATTTTCTGTCTCAATGATCTAATATTGACAGTGGGGCGTTAAAGTCTCCTACTATTATTGTGTGGGAGTCTAAGTCTCCTTGTAGTTCTCTAAGAACTTGCGTTACAAATCTGGGTCCTCCTGTATTGGGTGCATATATATTTAGGATAGTTAGCTCTTCTTGTTGATCCCTTTACCATTATATACTGCCCTTTTCTTTTTTGATTTTTGTTGGTTTAAAGTCTGTTTGTTAGAAACTACAATTGCAACCTCTGCTTTTATCTGCTTGCCATTTGCTTGGTAAATTTTCTTCCATCCCTTTATTTTGAGCCTATGTGTATCTTGGCACATGAGATGGGTCTCTTGAATACAGCACACTGATGGGTCTTGACACTTTATCCAATTTGTCAGTCTGTGTCTTTTAATTGGGGTATTTAGCCCATTTACTTTTAAGGTAAATATTGTTATGTGTGAATTTGATAATGTCATCATGATGCTAGCTGGTTATTGTGTACACTCACAAACCACTGCTCAAGGAAATAAGAGAGAAAACAAACAAATGGAAAAACACTACATTCTTGTGGATAGGAAGAATCAATATTGTGAAAATGGCCATAATGTCCAAAGTAATTTATAGATTCAATGCTATACCCATCAAATTACCATTGACATTCTTCACAGAATTAGAGAAAACTACTTTAAAATTTGTATGGAAACAAAAAAGAACTCTAACAGCCAAGACAATCCTAAGCAAAAAGAACAAAACTGTAGGCATCATGCTACCTGACTTCAAACTATACTACAAGGCTACAGTAACCAAAACAGCATGGTACTGGTAACAAAACAGACACTTAGACCAAGGGAACAGAATAGACATCTCAGAAATAAGACCTCAAATCTACAACCATCTGATCTTCAACAAACCTGACAAAACAAGCAATGGGGAAAGTATTCCCTATTTAATAAATGGTGCTAGGAAAACTGGCTAGCCATATGTGGAAAACTGAAACTGCACCCCTTCCTTACACCTTATGCAAAAATTAACTCAAGATTGAAGACTTAAATATAAAACCAAAAACCATAAAAACCCTAGAAGAAAACGCAGGCAATACTACTCAGAAAATAGGCATGCGCAAAGATATTATGATGAAATCACCAAAAGCAATGGCAACAAAAGCAAAAATAGACAAATGGGATCTAATTAAAGAGTGTATGCACAGCAAAAGAAACTATCACCAGAGCGAACAGGCAACCTACAGAATAGGAGAAAATTTTTGCAAACTACCCATCTGACAAAGGTCTAATATTCAGAATTTACAAGGAACTTAAACAAATTTGCAAGAAAAATAAACATCAAAAAGTGGGCAAAGGACACGAACACACTTCTCAAAAGAAGACATTTATGCGGCCAAGAAACATATGAAAAAAAAAGCTCAACATCACTGATCATTAGAGAAATGCAAATTAAAACCACAATGAGATACCATCCCACAAAAGTCAGAATGGCAATTATTAAAAAGTCAAGAAACAACAGATCCTGGCAAGGCTGCAGAGAAATAAGAACACTTTTACACTGTTGGTGGGAATGTAAATTAGTTCAACCACTGTGGAAGACAGTGTGGTGATTCCTCAATGATCTAGAACCAGAAATACCATTTGACCCAGCAATCCCATTACTGGGTATAATACCCAAAGGGATATAAATCATTCTATTATAAAGATACATGTACACATATGCTTACTGCAGCACTATTCACAATAGCAAAGACTTGGAACAAACCCAAATGCCCATCAATGACAGACTGGATTAAAAAAATGTGGTACATACATAGTTGGAAGTAAAGCACTCCTCAGCAAATGTAAAAGAACAGAAATTATAACAAACTGTCCCTCAGACCACAGTGCAATCAAACTAGAACTCAGGATTAAGAAACTCACTCAAAACCACTCAACTACATGGAAACGGAACAACCTGCTCCTGAATGACTACTGGGTACATAATGAAACGAAGGCAGAAATAAAGATGTTCTTTGAAACCACCGAGAACAAAGACACAACATACCAGAATCTCTGGGACACATGCAAAGCACTGTGTAGAGGGAAATTTATAGCACTAAATGCCCACAAGACAAAGCAGGAAAGATCCAAAATTGACACCCTCACATCACAATTAAAAGAACTAGAGAAGCAAGAGCAAACACATTCAAAAGCTAGCAGAAGGCAAGAAATAACTAAGATCAGAGCAGAACTGAAGGAAATAGAGACACAAAAAACCCTTCAAAAAATCAATGAATCCAGGAGCTGGTTTTTTGAAAAGATCAACAAAATTGATAGACCACTAGCAAGACTAATAAAGAAAAAAAGAGAGAAGAATGAAACAGACACAATAAAAAATGATAAAGAGGATATCACCAACGATCCCACAGAAATACAAACTACCATCAGAGAATACTATAAACACCTCTATGCAAACAAACTAGAAAGTCTAGAAGAAATGGATAAATTCCTCGACACATACACTCTCCCAAGACTAAACCAGGAAGAAGTTGAATCTCTGAATAGACCAATAACAGGCTCTGAAATTGAGGCAATAATTAATAGCTTACCAACCAAAAAAAATCCAGGACCAGATGGATTCACAGCCGAATTCTACCAGAGGTACAAAGAGGAGCTGGTACCATTCCTTCTGAAACTATTCCAATCAGTAGAAAAAGAGAGAATCCTCCCTAACTCATTTTATGAGGCCAGCATTATCCTGATACCAAAGCCTGGCAGAGACACAACAAAAAAAGAGAATTTTAGACCAATATCCCTGATGAACATTGACGCAAAAATCCTCAATAAAATACTGGCAAACTGAATCCAGCAGCACATCAAAAAGCTTATCCACCATGATCAAATGGGCTTCATCTCTGGGATGCAAGGCTGGTTCAATATACGCAAATCAATAAACGTAATCCAGCACATAAACAGAACCAATGACAAAAACCACATGATTATCTCAATAGATGCAGAAAAGGCCTTTGACAAAATTCAACAACGCTTCATGCTAAAAACTCTCAATAAATTAGGTATTGATGGGATGTATCTCAAAATAATAAGAGCTATCTATGACAAACCCACAGCCAATATCATACTGAATGGGCAAAAACTGGAAGCATTCCATTTGAAAATTGGCACAAGACAGGGATGCCCTCTCTCACCACTCCTATTCAACATAGTGTTGGAAGTTCTGGCCAGGGCAATCAGGCAGGAGAAGGAAATAAAGGGTATTCAATTAGGAAAAGAGGAAGTCAAATTGTCCCTGTTTGCAGATGACATGATTATATATCTAGAAAACCCCATTGTCTCAGCCCAAAATCTCCTTAAGCTGATAGGCAACTTCAGCAAAGTCTCAGGATACAAAATCAATGTGCAAACATCACAGCATTCTTATACACCAATAATAGACAAACAGAGAGCCAAATCATGAGTGAACTCCCATTGACAACTGCTTCAAAGAGAATAAAATACCTAGGAATCCAACTTACAAGGGACGTGAAGGACCTCTTCAAGGAGAACTACAAACCACTGCTCAATGAAGTAAAAGAGGATACAAACAAATGGAAGAACATTCCATGCTCATGGGTAGGAAGAATCAATATCATGAAAATGGCCATACTGCCCAAGGTAATTTATAGATTCAATGCCATCCCCATCAAGCTAACAATGACTTTCTTCACAGAATTGGAAAAAACTACTTTAAAGTTCATATGGAACCAAAAAAGAGCCCACAGTGCCAAGTCGATCCAAAACCAAAAGAACAAAGCTGGAGGCATCACGCTACCTGACTTCAAACTATACTACAAGGCTACAGTAACCAAAACAGCATGGTACTGGTACCAAAACAGAGATATAGACCAATGGAACAGAACAGAGCCCTCAGAAATAATGCCGCATATGTACAACCACCTGATCTTTGACAAACCTGACAAAAACAAGAAATGGAGAAAGGATTCCCTATTTAATAAATGGTGCTGGGAAAACTGGCTAGCCATATGTAGAAAGCTGAAACTGGATCCCTTCCTTACACCTTATACAAAAATTAATTCAAGAATGGATTAAAGACTTAAATGTTAGACCTAAAACCATAAAAACCCTAGAAGAAAACCTAGGCAATACCATTCAGGACATGGGCATGGGCAAGGACTCCATGTCTAAAACACCAAAAGCAATGGCAACAAAAGCCAAAATTGACAAATGGGATCTAATTAAACTAAAGAGCTTCTGCACAGCAAAACAAAGTACCATCAGAGTGAACAGGCAACCTACAAAATGGGAGAAAATTTTTGCAATCTACTCATTTGACAAAGGGCTAATATCCAGAATCTACAAAGAACTCAAACAAATTTACAAGAAAAAAACAAACAACCCCATCAAAAAGTGGGTGAACGATATGAACAGACATTTCTCAAAAGAAGACATTTATGCCGCCAAAAGACACATGAAAAAATGCTCATCATCACTGACCATCAGAGAAATGCAAATCAAAACCACAATGAGATAACATCTCACACCAGTTAGAATGGCAATCATTAAAAAGTCAGGAAACAACAGGTGCTGGAGAGGATGTGGAGAAATAGGAACGCTTTTACACTGTTGGTGGGACTGTAAACTAGTTCAACCCTTGTGGAAGTCAGTGTGGTGATTCGTCAGGGATCTAGAACTAGAAATACCATTTGACCCAGCCATCCCATTACTGGTTATATACCCAAAGGATTATAAATCATGCTGCTATAAAGACACATGCACATGTATGTTTATTGCGGCACTATTCACGATAGCAAAGACTTGGAACCAAGCCAAATGTCCAACAATGATAGACTGGATTAAGAAAATGTGGCACATATACACCATGGAATACTATGCAGCCATAAAAAATGATGAGTTCATGTCCTTTGTAGGGACATGGATGAAGCTGGAAACCATCATTCTCAGCAGACTATCACAAGGACAAAAAACCAAACACTGCATGTTCTTACTCATAGGTGGGAATTGAACAATGAGAACACATGGACACAGGAAGGGGAACATCACACACTGGGGCCTGATGTGGGGTGGGGGGAGCGGGGAGGTATAGCATTAGGAGATATACCTAATGTTAAATGACAAGTTAATGGGTGCAGCACACCAACATGGCACATGTATACATATGTAACTAACCTGCACGTTGTGTACATGTACCCTAAAACTTAAAGTATAATAAAAAAAATTGGTACACATACACCATGGAATAGTATGCAGCCATAAAAAGGCATGAGATCATGTCCTTTGCAGGGACATGGATGAAGCTGGAAGCCATCATACTCAGCAAATTAACCCAGGAACAGAAAACCAAACACCGCATGTTCTCACTCATATGTGGGAGCTGAACAATGAGAATACATGGACACAGGGAAGGGAACAATACACACCAAGGCCTGTTGGGGGGGCCAGGTGGGGAGAAAATCAGAACAAATAGCTAATGCAGGCAGGTTTTAATACCTAGGTGATGGGTTGATAGGTACAGCAAACCACCATGGCACAGGTTTACCTATGTAACAAACCTGCACATTCTGCACATGTACCCCAGAACCTAAAATAAAATAAATTTTAAAATAGGAATAGTAAAATGATATAAAACTTCGTAAGATTTTTTAAAATGTGTCATTAAGAAGTATCCAATTATTTCAAAAGAAAAAACAGAAAAGGAGTACAGAACAAGTAGAACAAATTAAATATACACAGCAGGCTGGGCAAAGTGGCACATGCCTGCAGTCCCAACTACTCAGGAGGCTGAAGTGGGAAGATAGCTTAAGCTCAGGAGTTCAAGACCAGCCTGGGCAAAATAGTGAGACCTCGTCTCAAACAAAGAGAAAAAAAGAATAGTCAGATGGATTTTTTTAAATGAAGTATTATATGGTACTTATAAAAGATACATCTAAAATATAAGGATATAAAAAGGTTGAAAGTAGGCAGTGAAAATAGATATATCATGTAAACGTGAATCAAAATATATATAATATATAATATGTTTATATATAATATATGTTTATATATAATATATATTATATGTTTATATATAATATAGCTATATTCATATGAGAAAAAAATAAACTTTAAAGCCAAAGCATTATTAGCAATAATTTACAATATATGAGCATGGGGCCCAGGGATCAACATTTTAACAGGCATATTGCTGATTCTTATAGACTCTAAAATCTACTTGATAAAGATATATTTTATTAGGATTAAAGCCTGGAGAACACAAAGAAATAGTCAATCCCTTAAATCAACTTGGTAGGAATGTAAACTAGTTTCTCAATCTCAACATGGACATTTTGGGCCAGGTAATACTTTGTTATGGGGGGACTGTCCTATGCATTACAGAACATTTAGCAGGATTTCTGGCTTCTACTCACTAGATGCCAGCAGTATCACTCCTCAGTTTTCACAACCAAAAATATCTCCAGACATTGTCAAATATCCCTGGGACATGGAGGGAGGGCTAAATCTTCCCTGGTTGAAATCCACTGCCTTAAAACAACTTTATTATTAATTGTGACAAATTAGTTTTGATTTTTCAGAGGAGCAAAGCAATCATGTTTGTTATGTAAAATCCATATCTACCCACCCATCAATCTATCCATCTACCCATCCTTTCTGTAATTATTTATTGGGTGCCTACTCTGTGCCAAGCACTGTTATAAGCTTGGAATACATCAGTGAAAGGGACAAAAACCCCGAACTCCATAGAGATTACTTGGAGATGTAAGGGAGAGAGAAATCATCTAAATGAAAATCAATGCTTAAACAGTCTGTACAAGAGCCACATTTGATTTCAATCAGACTCTCTTTATAATATTTTTAATTTTTTAAAGTTTACTTTCTCAAAAATATTGGCCCTGATTTTGAAATCATTTTAACTCCACTTTTACTGCAAGACTAAAAACACAGAAGTTCCAGCTCTCTGACTTTATGATCCTGTCCTTCTGGCCTCTCAACAAGAGAGATGAGAGGTGAATGTTGCTGAAATTTGAGGATCTCCATTTTGAAGGTAAGCAAGGCATCCCCTTTATCTCCTGAATTACTTTCATTAGGTACTTGGTTAGAAGAATAAAATTTCCAAGGGTAGCTAGCGATAGTGGTTGGTGAAATGCTGTTCACCAACCACTATACCATGTGAAACAGGGTCCTCTGCAGCACTTACATTTTATAGGCATTCAGGACCAGCCTATCTTTAATTCTAATAAAATCACATATAGAAGTAGAAAGTCAGAACTCAAATTATGTAAGTTAACTAAAAAGAGAAAGATAGTTGTATTCCCTAACTTAATTGGGCCCTCAATTTTTAAAACAAGAATTTGAACAAAATCACCATTGCATCAAGGATAATATTTCATAATTTTTTCTCTCTGCTTTTCATTTCAAAAAGTCTACCCCATGAAATTTTAGAATTACAATGGTGAAAGAAGCAATAACATATAATTCAACACCCTCTTCTTCACCCACCCCCATATAAGAAACAGCAGAAAATATGATCTCATTCTCATAAAAGTAGTGACAGGGAAAGCATTTAGTCAAGTTTTGGAACTCACTAATTCTATATTAGCTAAGCTTACATCACTTACATAAAACCACAGAACCCACAAGGGGTTTCCATTAGAATAGCATTGGCTTGTTTCCCATTTTTTAAAAGGTCAGTGAATGTTGTTTTAAATGTATGGCTCCTAATAAACTGAGCCACTGAAAGCAGCACTGACAACCAAAGAAAATTATACTATTTTAAAATCAAGGTCAAATTTTAGAGAGGCATTTAAAGAGCTTCAAGAATAGGGTATACTTTTCCTTAACATTAAACAGAGAAAATAAACTATTCATATGGGAACAAGAATAAAGTGGATCTCTAATGCTGCTAATCAAAAGAGGCAGAACAACAATGGGGATGAGGCAGCCAACTGGAATTTCTCATGGCTATTTGAGCAAAGTGGATAGTTCCAAGGAAATCACTATATTGTGGAGATATTCAGGGATGTTCTTGACCACAGCTTTATGGACCTTTCCCTGTGTATCACTTTTAAACTTTTAGGCTATTTTCTACCATCTTGCAAAAGAGTTTCAAAAGTTTTGATAGGAGTTTTGATACAAGGCAAACCACAATTTCACTTTCCCAAGGAGTTTCTTTCCCACAATTGTATTGCACTTTCTGGACCACTTAAGGACATTTTTGATCATGGACATGTTTAAATTTGAAATAGACATTCTCCAAGTGTTCAATCAATTTCACAGAAATATTTCTGTTAATGCAAAACTAAATGGTCTCCCTAGGAATGCTTGTCTGTATGTGCACATATTTGTGTTACTGCTCATATATGGAAATCATTCTATTGAAGGCAGATGAATTCATTTGGAAATGAGAATCATCCAAAAATAAAATGGTTTTCTTCACTTGATTTTGTATTAAGCACAAAAAATATTTATGTACTAACAAAAGATACCGGTAGTATTTGAATTAGACAAGTAACAGACAGAGAGTGACAGTAAACCAGGGTATGTACCATGCTAGATATCAGGCATGTGTCTGGAACCAAGGACACCATAGCAAGATATGCTTAGACTGGTGTGGATCAAAATCATTCATCATTGGGTATAAAAAGAGAAATCCTTTTAAATTAAAAATATCCAAGAAAAGAAGAGACGTCAGGATAAGTAGTAGGCAACGAGTTAAGTGAAGTGTCTAAGAAAAAGGGAATTCAGTAATGAGAGGTCCTATTTCCAGAGGAATCTGGTCTGGCAAACAAACCAAATGAGCCACAAGGGAGAGGGAAAGGGTAAGACAGAAATAAACAGAAAACCAAAGGCAAGGAGCCAGGGAAAGGAGACCCCCTTCAGGGAGATAGTTTATTGGTTCTGTTTTGTTGCCCAAGGAAGGTAAGCCTAAAGAATGTAAAGGAATCTGCAGAGGAAAATAACCTGGAACAGGGGCAAAGACAACATGGGGAATAGAAAGCAGAGTGCACTGCTGAAACCAGCCACCCTTGTACACCCTTGGGTACAGATCAGTTGGTTACAGTAACAGTTACGAATTAGAACCATTCAGGTGATCTCATGGCTTTGAAAGCCTTCAGAGACACCCCAAAATTTGGGGTGGATTGAGGGGCAGGTATCTCAGACCAAACCTTAAAATGACAAGAAAATAACATTCAATATCTGTCATGTGCCAAACACTAATAAGAATTCATATACATTATCTCATTTAATTATTCATTCATTCTATCATTACTGACCACCAAATGTTATGTGAGACACTTTCCTAACAATGTGATGTATACAAGTGTTATTAATATCCCCAACTTAAAGAGGAAAAAAGTGAGACATAGAGTAATGGAGTTACCTCTCCAAGGTCACACAATGGGTACATTGTTAAGCTAGGCAAATTTAATTTTTGTTTGGGAAAAATGGATTCAAACCTTCTCCTCACTATTCAAATGATTTGTATTTCTGGGAAAGTTGCTTCCATTTTTTTTTCCTCCTGTGTTTCTCATACTGTAAAAGAGGAAACTGCTTTCAGTATTCTCAAATTTTATTTATGATAACTCTAAAGAATTCTTGAAGGAAAAAAGGGGCATTGATGAAACGGAATAGGTGCTATAACTATGATTTCCCATAAATAGTCCAAGCATACTTTTTCTCATGACAACATTGTATGAGGCTTTCCCGCTTTATGTTTTTTTTCTTATAAAAACAGTATGTGCCTACAAACCTTAGGGATATACAAATACTTAAGATTCTTAACTCTGACACAGAATGTGTTTATGGAAGCTACAGATTCACATGAATGTTAAATCATGAATTTGAAACTGAAAGAAAGCAGTGACTGTGGAAAATGTAGCATTGGGTATAATTTACATCTTTTTAAGCACATTTCTTAAGTGTCTACTCTTAGCAAAGCACTTTCTCATAAGTTGTCACATTTATTTGTATCCTTGTAAATGTTTTAGCTACACTTGAGTTTCACTCCCAAACTATAACCACCCAAGGCAAAGGGTGAACTTTAAAAAGACAAAACTCAGAAACGAAAGTAACATGGTAAAGATTTGGCCTTCCCCAAATTTCTCCAAAATAAAATTTAGTGTTAAATTCACATGCTAAAAAATCTCTCCAATTTTAGATTGGCTGATGAATAAATGTTTAAGAAGTTTTGTCCGTGGCATATATGCACCGAGTACATCCACAGTGTGGCTAAAAAGAAGTAAGGCTAACCGAATTAAACAACATATAAAACTCAGCCTCCAACTATATAGGCATTCCTTGTGTTCACATACCAAAATCCTAGTTTCTATGTGAAATATTTTTCAGAGTATACAAGAATTCTATTGTCCAAAGAATGTTCCTTGAGTATCATTTTAGTCAAGGACACAGTGAAATTCTCAGAACCCAAACTCCCAGTGAGCTCAAAGAAATGCCTTATTTGTATAGCATGACAGAGACTGCCCCAACCTGGGACAAAGAATGGATTCCTCAGAGGCAGAAGGAGTCCTGACAGTGTAGCCAAAAGTCTTGAGTGCAAGTTCAACCTCTGCCACTGTTCCATCATTTAGGCCAATGGTTTTCCAAGTGTAGTTCCTGGACTTACAGCATCAGCATTACCAAAGAACATAACAGAAATGCAAACCTGTGGGATCCCCAGCCTACTGACTCAGAAATCCTAGAAGGAGGGCCTAGCCTTCTGGGTTTTAAGAAGGCATCCAGGGGATTCTGATGCACATTCAAGTTTGAGGGTCACTGCTGCGGACAAACTACTCTGGAGCCTCAATATCCTCAGCTCCAAACAGGAATAATGATACCAAATCTGTCTTCTTCAAGGAATTATTCAATAACAAATAGATTTGATAACTTGCAAATTTTTAGATAACAGCAAAGTATTCATCCAGAAAGATAACTTTTTGTGAATTTGAAAAGTAGTCATAATAGTACAGGTTGTTAGATAGATTGCTAACGGAGGATTCTAAGAGCTTATTTAAATGTGAAGTTTTCTATTTGGTCTGCAATATTTTATATATGATATTTTGTTATGAACTTCACATCAAACACAAAACTCATGATGCTCCCTGGTGATGATCATTAAAACTTTTTCTTGCTTTTGTCAGGTCATCTTTTTCTTCAAATGATTGCAGTTTGAAAAATAACGGGGCTCCTGAGGGAAAGAGGAGCTAGAGAAAGAAGACCTGTGACTAAAAGATTAAAATAAAAACTGTTTCAAAGGAAATATAAAATTTCAATAATTTACTTTTTTTTCTGTTGAAAAGACTGAATCACAACTACTTCATAGACTGAGTTTTCTGACCTAAAGAAAGATATTAGTAATCCTTTCTTCCCAGAAATCCCACGATGATAGCCTATCCAAAACCCTTCAGCAGCAAATAATAATGTTTTTTCTTTCCCCATCATCAAAAGTTATGAAGGCAACAGGTCACTTTCCCCTTATTATTTTGAACTCAACAATGAAATTACCACCTAGCTGACTTGCATCTTTGTTCAAGCTAATTCATGCCAGTTTCTTTGATTTTTCTCATTTTAAATTTCTGTACATCATTAAAAATCACATATTTATCTTGTTCTTATGATATCTCCAGGTTCCACTTCAATGTTTAGAGATTTCTTCAAACACAAATTCCAAAGTTTCTATACAGCAACATCCATATTTCTTCATTTACTTCCCCAGATTAGAAGAGAGCTTGGCAACAGAGAAGGTACTCAGTAATTGTTTATGGAATTGGAAAGTCATATAAACCTCATCAAGGAGGTTTATATCAATTGCCCTTGCAGATGCCAAATAGAGTAATAAACTCAATGTTCTATCAAGTATAATGGGTTAAATAGTGTCCTCCAAGATTCATATCCACCCTGAACCTCAGAATGTGACTTTATTTGGAAACAGAGTCTTTGCAGATGTAACTAGTTAAAATGAGGTCATATGGATTAGAGTGGGCCACAATCCAAGGACTGGTATCCTTCTAAGAAGAGAAAACAAAGACATGTCCTTTAAGCCCCAGTTTGTGATATTTTGCTATAGCAGCCTCAGGAAACTAATAAAACAAGCATCACTGTTTCCTGCACTAACTGAACAACCGACAGTGTTGCCATAAATTGTCCAGTGTCCACTAAAGGCCATACTTCAGATATGTTATTCTCTGAAAGACAGATACAAATAAAAGACATTTTATTTCAGATCATCCTTGTTCTCAAAGGCTTGTTCATTCAAAATCCAATTCTAATTCCAGCAATAAATAAAAATGTCAGAAAAAGTGAACACACGATAAAGAAAAGGTAGAAGAACACCCAATGATTAAAAATCACATATTGAGGCCGGGCGCGGTGGCTCACGCCTGTAATCCCAGCACTTTGGGAGGCCGAGGCGGGCGGATCACGAGGTCAGGAGATCGAGACCATCCCGGCTAAAACGGTGAAACCCCGTCTCTACTAAAAATACAAAAAATTAGCCGGGCGTAGTGGCGGGCGCCTGTAGTCCCAGCTACTTGGGAGGCTGAGGCAGGAGAATGGCGTGAACCCGGGAGGCGGAGCTTGCAGTGAGCCGAGATCGCGCCACTGCACTCCAGCCTGGGCGACAGAGCGAGACTCCGTCTCAAAAAAAAAAAAAAAAAAAAAAAAAAAAAAAATCACATATTGAAGAATATTCATTTAAGGAAAGTGCTTAATATATAATGTTAAATGAAAATGACAAAGCAAGACACGTATTTCTTTATGCAGTATACATTGAATTTTTTTAATGAGAATATAAAAATGAGATTCTTGAAGAAAACAATAAAGTGTAGTCTCTGGAAGGTAAACTTAAAGACACCTTACATTTTACTCTTTCTATACTTATTTACTTATTTTCTACAATGAATGAATTACCAGAAAAATGCTACTTACAAAAGGATAAATGAAGACAACATCTTAAATCTTAATACCCATTCATTCAAGAAGCAGAGGACACTTGCAAACTAATACAATAAATAATTTGGTATGTCTCAGACAGGAATTAGGTATCAAAAAATTGTATGTGAGAAAACTGAGAATGTTCTAAAATTGTGCAATGATAGATAGATCAGATCAAAATAGCCCCCAGAGTTTTGCTTTCTCTCGCTGATCTTTCTGCTATTGATACATTGATAATGCCTTATGGAGAATACTTGGATAGTACTTTTTTTTTTTTTTTTTTTTTGAGACGGAGTTTCGCTTTTGCTGCCGAAGCTGGAGTGCAATGGTGCAATGATGTTGGCTCACCGCAACCTCTGCCTTCTGGGTTCAAGCAATTCTCTGGCCTCAGCCTCCCGAGTAACTGAGATTACAGGCATGAGCCACCACGCCCAGCTAATTTTGTATTTTTAGTAGAGACGGAGTTTCTCCATGTTGGTCAGGCTGGTTGCGAACTCCTGACCTGAGGTGATCCGCCCACTTCGGCCTCTCAAAGTGCTAGGATTACAGGCGTAAGCCACCGCGCCTGGCCAGATGGTACTTTTTTAGAAAGAAAAATCATACTGGGAAATTAAATATAATGAAACCAATCCAGACATAGTATCGTGTGAAAAAAATGTTTTAACAGGCTTTTCTAAAAACACACATGAAGAGGTCCTGGAACGGAAACTTTCTTTTTTTGAGACGGAGTCTTACTCTGTCGCCCAGGCTGGAGTGCAGTGGTGCAATCTCGGCTCACTGCAAGCTCCGCCTCCCGGGTTCACACCATTCTCCTGTACATACGCCTGTAATCCTAGCACTTTGAGAGGGCCGAAGTGGGCGGATCACCTCAGGTCAGGAGTTCGCAACCAGCCTGACCAACATGGAGAAACTCCGTCTCTACTAAAAATACAAAATTAGCTGGGAGTAGCTGGGACTGCAGGCACCCGCCACCACGCCCTGCTAATTTTTTTGTATTTTTAGTAGAGATGGGGTTTAACTGTGTTAGCCAGGATGGTCTCGATCTCCTGACCTCGTGATCCACCCGCCTCGGCCTCCCAAAGTGCTGGGATTACAGGCGTGAGCCACTGCACCCGGCCGAAACTTTTATTTTTATTCCATACTTTTGTTTTGCTTCACATTTTAAGAAACATGCAGAAGTTGTACAACTTACAAAATTTTTAAGTTTTATTTTTTTAAGTTAAAATAAAAGAAAGGAAAAAAGAGGTAAGGAAAGAAACTAAAGTCTCTCTGTAGCAGATCTGACTACATGTTCATAAAAGAACCAAGATATTTCTTTTTTTTTTTTTCAAGACAGGGTCTCACTGTGTTGCCCAGGCTGGAGTATGATCTCAGCTTACTGCAACCTCTACCTCCCAGGCTTGAGTGATACTTTCACCTCAAGTAACTGGGACCACAGGGTGTACCACTAAACCCAGCTAATTTTTTTGGTGGTTTGTTTGTTTTGTAGAGATAGGGGTTTCACCATGTTGTCCAGGCTGATCTTGAACTCATGGAATCAAAAGCAATCCTCCCGCCACAGCCTCCCGAAATGCTGGGATTGCAGCCGTGAGCCACCATATCTGGCCATTTCTGAAACAATTAATTCACTATGTGGTCATGCCAGATTTTTTCTTAGGAACTAAATAACACAGAAACTCTTTTGATCCAACACATATGAACAAATATTTATAATAGTCCAATTTTTTACTGTAAATTTACATTTAATGTATATTCGTATACAAAAGTCCTAGTGCAAATACAGTTTCAAATGTTCAAATGCCATGTGAATTTCAAAAAAAAAAAAATACTGCTCTGAAAAAAATTGCATTTTCTAAATTGCACACCAAATTTATTTAAATCATAAAATAGCAAAACACTCTTAAATAAATACCTATTTTAAAAAGTAGTTATAAGGCAGTAAAATAAACTATTCAAAGGCACTTATGCACAATGCAGTTTCAAATCTTTGAGTTAAGAGTACACTTAAAAGTAATGGGTACACAGAGCTTTATTTTGCTTTTCTGTCTGTTTTTATATATGTTTGAATATTCTCATAGTTAAAAAAGGTTTTTAAAAATGTACTTCACAAGGTTAATGCTTCCTATCATCACCAGTAGAGAGTAGATGATTGCTATAATTATATATTACTTATTAGTATTTCATTATTGGTATATATTTTATACACAACATATAATAGTTTCTATTCCTGGAAACCAACTATGCACAAAATGCTTCATAATCACTATTTGACATAACAACCTTATGAGGTTAGTGGTTTTAATATTGTCGTTATATAGATGAAGAAATAGCAACTCTGAGAAATGAAGCAACTTGTTTGAGATTACGAATTTAGAAAATAGGAAATTAATGCTTTAAATCCATGTGTATATGACTCCAAAGTCTATGTTATTCATGTCTACACTACTGTGTTTCACAAAAAGCATGGCTTGTTTTGAATGTTCTCTACCATTATTTTGAAACTTACTCTCTTTCACTGATAATCATTGTGTGACCTAGAGTCGGTCATTTCTCCTCTAGGTCCACCAGTTGTGCCATATTTTTAATGTGGGAAACTTTGATTTTGAATCAGTTGAACCAAAATAATTTGAAATGGTTGGACCAAAGCTCAGATGAGTTTGCAGATCATCTTATGTGAGAGTGTTTATAGAAATTCCTGAAATAGGTACTACACAGATGAAACCAACTCAGACCTGTCAAAATTACTCCAAATTATTGGGACCTAAGTAATTATGTTTTATCAAAATTGTTAAGTACAGAATCACTTCATAGAAGAAACGGTCAATTAACAGACTACGAAGGTGAAAGGTGAATAATAAATGAAGTTTAAGAACATCAGTTAGATTTATTCATTTAACAAACACTTATTGAGTTAAAATTCAAGACACTGCAGGTATAGAGGAAAAAAAGAGTATTCTTTCTCTGGAAGTTTACCATCCAAAAGCAAGAAAGACTTGAAATGAATTACTCCATTATGTTGCTCAAGCATACCATAGAAATACCGTAGAAAACGTGGCACCAGAAGATACCATAGAAGTAGCAGTGGCACCAGGGGTACCATAGAAGAAGTGGCACCAGAAGGCATCGCAGGACATAGAGAGTTAAATTAAGACACAGAGGGTAAATAAAACCATGTCACATTTTCAAGGTCAATATTAACAATATCCAATTTTTACTAAACATTCAAATCTACACATTTTTGGAAACACTGTGGTGATTCCTTAAAAAATTAAACATAGAATTACCATATGATTCAACAATTTCATCTAAGGATATTCCCAGAGGAACTGAAAGCAGATAAAGAACAAATATTTGTATACCCATGCTCATTGCAGTAATAGCCAAAATGAGAAAACAGCCCAAGGTCCCACAGGTGGGCAGATACCTGTGGATAGACAAAATGTGGTATATACATACAACTGAATATTATTCAGCCTTAAAAAGGAAAGAAACTCTGACACATGGTATAAGATAAATTAATGTTAGTCATATTTTACTAAGTGAAATAAGTCAGTGGTAAAAGGACAAATATCTGGTTCCACTTATCTGGTACCTAGAGTACCTAGAGTAGTCAAATTCAGAGATATATAGTAGATATGTGGTTGCCATGAAGGGGGGAAAGATCTTATTTCAAAGTATTTATAGGAACTTCTAAAATAGGTGTACAAAGGGAATGGGGAGTTGGAGTTGAATGGATACAGAGTTTCAGCTGGAGAAGATGAACAGGTTCTAGAGATGGATAATGCTGATGGTTGTGCAACAATGTGAAAGTACTTAGTACCGTGGACTATACAAGTAGAAATGATTAAAATGGTAAATTTTATGTTGTGTATATTTTGCCACAATTTAAAAACTATACTTTTTTCTAAAACATAGACTTTACACTCATTTTTTTATATTTGAATTACCTTCAGTATAAAATATTGCTCTAGGAGGTAAAAAAAGACTGAAACCTCAATTTAGAGGGGATAAATCAGGAAAAATAATTAATGGGTCAACAACTATTCATTGAATACCTTCTGGATAGATGGACTTCTCATTATTACCATGAATGTTTAAGCATGTTCAATTGGATATAAAAATGCAATAGGAAAAACTGACATTTCTTTCTCAAAAGTTAGGAGTTGCCAAGACAAACGGTTTCTCCATATTTGAAATAAAATGAGGTCAAAATTCATTTTCAAATGAGAAAAAAGTGCATTTTTCATTGTTTATGGCCTAAAAATGACTAACAAAAGTGTCACCTTTGGATTAATTACAAGGGATAAAAATTTATGCTCCAGAAAGTAATATTTTCAAAAAGCCAGAGGTGACCAAAAGCAGTGTGTAATAACCAAAAAATTTAATCATAGCTGATATATTAAAATATTTGTGATAGCAATCAGAGTTAACTTAGTTCAAACAAGTTCAGCAGGCACAGAACACAAAGAAAAAAACAGGAGAGAACAGGTTTTGAAATTCTAAAAGCAAATCTTTGAGTCATTTGTATAATTTAAGGTTTCAATTACTACAGGTTTTACTGTCTGCCCATATTTTTTCTATTCCCAATAGCATAAACAAAATTATTTTTCAATTATAATGGAAGTTGACTCTACTTACTCCTGATGGAAATATCTGAATAATATTTCCAGCTATGTCTAGGATTCTTAGTTTTTTAAGATCACAAAGTTCCTGTGTCAGAAAACAGAAGAGAGAGATTTTTTAAATCTAATATTTAAAATCATAAGGAAAATCATAAATTTTTTTAAAGCTCCAACATGATGAAGGTGGCCATCTTTTCTAATCACTGTACTGACCAATTCTTCAGCACATCTTCCCGAGCAGACCCCCATATCCTGGACTGCCAGCTCTTTGAATTCTTCATTTCCTCTGACCACTCCAGGGCAACATAACATGGCCACTGTGAGTTACACTACATCTAGGTTGAAATCTCACCTCTGGCAGGTACTATAACTATGGGCAAATTTCTTAATTGCTTTGTACTTCAATTTCTTTATTTGTAAAATGAAAATGCTAATAGAAGCCCTTAAGTCATACGGTTGTTGAATGGATTACTTAAGTTACTGAAAGAGCTAACAGCTAGAGGCTGTCTGCAATCCCCATTCCCTACAGCTAGGCAGCAAATCCTTGAAGGGAGTCCTCTTCTTAAGTCCTACATAGTCTTCCATTGCCATGATACTCTCCTTTGTATTGTTTTAGCTGCAGAGATTTTCAGACTCCAATGTGTTCCTTCAGTATCTCATGTTATGATATAAGGGCTTCCACCCTACTTGAAAACACTTCATAGCATTACTTCCGTTGCTGTCGACTCTTGCATTTTCATTTGTTTGTTTTTGCTGCCATGACTGCCACTATTATTGCTGTTGATATTTGTTGCTGTCTTTTTCAAATCTTTGCATGTGTATACCCCTCACAAGTATTCAATGAAGGTTTAAAAACTCACAAATAGGCAAGGACAAAGTTGTGCTATGAGAATGAGAAGTGTTACGAAGGGTTAAGGAAACAGTGATATATGGAAAATTTGGTATTAGGAGGTCAGGAAAGGCTTCCTGGAAAAAGTGAAGTTTAAGCTGAGATTCTCTGAGTTATTTGGAACAAATGATGTTCCATTAAGAGCAAACAGTTGTTTGGGATAGAACTATAAGAAGTCTAGTGTGATGGTTAATTTTAGGTGTCAACTTGACTGGATTAAGGAATACCTACAATGCTGGTAAAGCTTTATTTTGGGTGTGTCTGTGTGAGGTTGTTTCTAGAGGAGATGGGTGTGTGAGTCAGTAGAAGGGGTGGGAAAGATACATGTTCACTGTTGCTGGGCACCATCCTATCAGTTAGTGACTTGATGAAAAAAAAAATGTAATTTCCTCTCTCTCCTGGAGCTAGGACACTTCTTCTTCTGCCCTTGGACCTCAGAACGCTGGGCTCTCCAGCCTTTAGACTCTAAGATTTACACCAGTACCCCTCCCCTCCAGCCACCACCACAACCTCCCAGTAATCAGGCCTTTGACCTCCAACTGAGAATTACACCGTTTGCTTCCCTGGTTCTGAGGCTTTCAGAGTTGGACTCAGCCACATTACCAGCACTCCAGGGTCTTCAGCTTGCAGATAGCCTGCTGTAGGACTTCTCAGTCTCCATAATTATGAATACCATCAACTACTTGCTATCCTCCTGCCCTGTCACTTCCTGCTAGTGCCTCTCATCTGCCATATCCAAGAGGAAACCAGAGGACAAAGAAGTTCACTGCTGCCCACACAGGTCAGTCTCCCAAGCAGAAGGCAGGACAGAAAGTGAATATGAAGGAAAAAAGGAGAGCCAGTACATATTCCAAAGCCAAAATGAACTTGTATTTTGTTCTGTATACATCGTTACCAGATAAAATATATAATGCTCACTTAAATTGAAATATCAAGGCTGGGTGCGGTGGCTCACGCCTATAATCCCAGCACTTTGGGAGGCCGAGGTGGGCGGATCACGAGATCAGGAGTTTGAGACCAGCCTGACCAGCATGGTGAAGCCCCGTCTCTACTAAATTATAAAAATCAGCCGGGCATGGTGGTGTCTGCCTGTAATCCCAGCTACTCAGGAGGCTGAGGCAGGAGAATCACCTGAACCCGGGATGTGGAGGTTGCAGTGAGCCAAGATTGTGCCACTGCACTCCAGCCTAGGCAACAGAGCAAGACTCTGTCTCAAAAAGAAGAAAGAAAGAAATACCAAACAATAAATAGGTTTTTTAGTCTATTCCATGCAATATTTGCAACATACTTATAGTAAAAAATTTAATCATTGCTTATCTGGAATTCAAATTTCAGTGAGCATTCTATATTTGTATTTACTAAATCTGGCAGCCCTAGCTATGTGGGATAATTCAAATTATAGCCTTCTTCTGTCATAGGGATTTGGGAACTGACTACATTTAATCTGAGAGAAAGCAAGTGGTGGCTTATACTCAGATACCCAAATCTAATCTATAACCACCTCCCATCATGTTGAGTTCTTCTCCAACAGCAAACTACTGTGGTTCCATGTTTTGCTTACCTCCGGCAAAACTCCAATGTTGTTTCTGGCTAGCAAAAGCTTCTGAAGCTTCTTCAAGAATTTAATCTCTTCAGGTATGCATATCAGCTGATTGTAGTTAAGTTGAAGTTCAACAAGATTCTCAAGAAAACAAAGTTCTCTAGGAATGCTGGCTAGTTGGTTATAATTTATACTCATATAAGTAAGACTTTTTAATCTAAAAAAAAAAAAACACCAAAGTATATGAATGAAACTCACAAGAATAAGAGTCCACTATATAGGCCCAACTTAGCAGAAGCCATGTGTCAATTTATTTTTTGTAGCTCTTCTGAGCTTACTTCAGTCAAGTGTTTACAACTATTGTGATCATGAGTATAAAAAGTTTTTGCTGAAATTTAATTTTTAAAGATCTTTTGTAATCAGATGGCTTATGTTAAAAGTATGTTAGGTAATCAAAACCTAGATTTCAGAAAAAGAAAATTATATTTCCTTTCTTTATACATATACATTGGCCATACCCAAGAGAAAGCTAGAGGACAAGGAGAACACGGACATACCTATGTATATAGATCAATACAGGAACAGGCATAAGCATACATAGACATAAATATACCTAGTACCAAATAGATATGAGTACTGCTCAATTGCTGTGGAAGTTCAAAGATGAATCAGCCACAAATTCTGCCCTTTTGGATGCCCTGGTTTAGGAGATATTAAATAGAGCCACAAACTGAGAACAGCAAATGCCATTGGCTAAGGAGAAAAAGGTTAAGGAAATTTGAGTCTGTAATTGCAGATATGGTTCCTGAAGCATATTGCAAGTTTTTCTAAAGAACTGACATTTTGAATTTGGCCCTGAATAAAAGAACTTATAAAATAGGGCAATAAGAGGGAATAGTAAGCTAAGAAAAATATTATGAATAAGGAAGCAGAAGGGAATTAACATTACTAAGCACAACTACATGCCTGTGCATTAAATTTAATAATCATCAACATGACTCTGAGGTTGGAATTACTACTCTTATTTTAAAAGTGAGGAAAATAAAGCATTAGAGGCAGTAAATAAATTCCCCAAGTTACCTATCTAGTAGGTAACAATGTCAAAATTCTAATGCAGGTGTGTCTGTTTGCAAAGCTAAGAGTGAAAACATGTAATGATCTCAAGGTTGAAGTGTGTTAAGATTGAAGTAATGTAAGAATGAGGGAACTAAATTTTTAGGCAGTTGAAAATGGGAGACTGGAGGTTAGGAAGTCATCAGTGCTAGCAAAGGGAATTTTGAGGATTCTACAGATCTCTCCGTACATAGTAGAAGCCATATGAATACCTGGGATTGATAGGAAAAACAACAAAAGAAAATGGGCAGAGAGAAGAGAGAGGAAGCCAACAGAAAGATTCTTGAGAAATATAAACAACTGACCATTAAAAATTAAAGGCACCCAGCAAAGTTATGAACACAGAAGTAGAAGAAGAACCAGATTAGCAAGGAATCTCTGAAGGTGTGAGAAAAGAAAATTTCAAAATTAAAGAGATGGTCAAAAGTTTAAATGTTAAAGAGAGATAATCCAAACTAACAAACAAAACTAGTAGAAATAATGCCGAGTCACAAACTACAAAGTCAATATTTAAAAAATCTATTGTATCTCCATATTGTAGCCACAAACAATTGGAAAATAAAAAGTTTAAGATTTCCATTTATAGTAATGTATAAAAAAACCTTCATGAAATAGTTAAGAGTACATATAACAAAAGACATGAGGGACCTCTACACTGAAAACTATAAATTATGAATGAGAGAATGTAAAGGGGCTTTAAATAAAAGTAGAGATATATTATATTCAGGTATAGAAAAGCAAAATATTGCTAAGATATCAACTTTTTAATATTGATCTATAGATTCAATAATAGATTCAAATACAAATTTTGACAGCTTTTTTTGTATAAGACTTGACTTGGGCTGGGTGCTGTGGCTCATGGCTGTAAACCCATAACTTTGGGAGGCCAAGGTGGAAGGATTGCTTGAGCCCAGGAGTGTAAGACCAGCCTGGAAAACATAGTGAGACCCCATCTTAAACAAAACAAAAAAAAAAAAAGACAAATCAATTTTAAAATTTATATGGAAATTGAAAGGACCTAGAATAGCCAAACTATTATAAAGAATAAAATCAAAAGACTCACTTTACCTGATTTCAAAACTTACAATGCAGCTACAGCAATCAAGATAATCAAGATCATATGGTATTGGAGAAATGACAGTGCTATGGTCTGAATATTTGTGTCTCTTCAAAATTCATATGTTAAAATCTAATCTCCAATGTGATGGTATTATGAGATGGGGCCTTTGGGAGATGATTAGGTCATGATGATGGGGTAAACCTCATAAATGTAATTAATGTCCTTACAAAAGGCCCCAGAGAGCTCCTTGCCCCTTCTACCATGTGAGGACACAGTGAGAAAGGTGCCACTCTAAGAACCAGGAAGTAGACCCTCACCAGACATCACATCTGCCAGCACCTTGGTCTTCACTTCCCAACTTCCAGAACTATGAGAAATAAATTTCTGTTTTACTCCTAGAAATTTAAATGAAAATGAAATTAAACATGTTTACAAAAAGATTTGTACAATAATGTTTATTGTAGCTTAATTCATAATAGCCCTAAACTGGAAATAACCCAAATGTACATCAATAGGAGAAAAGACAAATGATTTAGGGCATATTCACGCAATGAAATGCTACTCAGAATAAACAAAAACTGCCAGGCATGGTGGCTCACGCCTACAATCCCAACATTTTGGGAGGCCGAGGCAGGCAGATCACTTGAGGTCAGGAGTTCGAGACCAGCCTGGCAGACATGGCGAAACCCCATCTCTACTAAAAATATGAAAATTAACTGGGTGTGGTGGCAGGCACCTGTAATACCAGCTACTCGGGAGGCTGAGGCAGGAGAATCATTTGAACCTGGAAGGCGGAGGTTGCAGTGAGCCGAGATCATGCCATTGCACTCCAGCCTGGGTGAGTAGGGCCAGACTCTGTCTCAATAAAAAACAAAAACAAAAACAAAAAACAAACCAATGAACTACTAATAAATGCAACAGTTATATGAGTCTCAAAAAATATGCTAAGCAAAAGAAGACAGACACAAAAATGTATATACCATATTCCATTTATTTAGTTCTAGGATTGGTAAAACTAATTTGTAAAGAACACAGAAATCAGAATATTGATTGCTTATGAGAGGTAAGAATTCACTGGAAGGGTGTATGAGGAAATTTCTGGGCTGAAGAAAATGTTCTACATCTTATTGGTGTGCGTACATTTGTCAAAATGCATTGAATAGTACAAAATGCATTGAATAGTTTTATGTAATTTTTATTCAGCAGAAAAAAAAGGCCATTATATTTGACTATGTAAAGGACAGTAACGACTTTTGAAAATGATCTAAGGTAGAATGGAGAAGACAGAAGAGAATTTACAATGTGTTACACAGGAAGCAAAAGCAAAAGACACGGGACTTCAGAGAGAGATGACAAGGAAGCAAGAGCGAGAGGAAGGAAAGAAATAGAACAATGGAGAGAAAGATGCTGAAAAGAAGGAAATTGAGGGAGCTCAAATTTCTCAGGATAATAGGAAGTGAAGTTCTTTGCAGTATAAAGGGTCAAAGAAGGACAACTCAGCACTGAAATGGAGTAAAAATGTGTGGAGCAGGTCCTGTGGGGAAAGGGATGGGGAATTTTCTTCATTAATCATTTTTATAATCATTTTTATTATCATTTTTATTGATTCTACTCTGATTTACTATATCATGGGAGTTGGTTTTAACTTTTTTGTTCTTTCAAGGCAATAAAATGAGCTCAGATCCTATTGTTCATTTGTCCATCATTCATTTGTGTGAGTAAAGAGCAGGGAGAGAAACAAATATCTGCCATTGTTCCCGATTCCACAAAGCAGGGAGATGTCCTACTTTTCCAAAGAAAATCTATAGGAGATACACTTGTAGATTCTCCCTGACATCTGTCTTCCCCAGGAGATTGAAGAACAACTTCACTGACTGACGAATTTGGAGAAAGAACTGAGCCTGCTGACTTAGTCCCTTGCTCTCTCTCTCTGTCTTCCAGACTCATTCTGTCACCAGGATGCCCATGCTGTCCTCTTCCTGTGCCTGTGCAGCGCTGTCCATGACAGAGCTGTTTAGGTGTAAAACTCTTACCTGCCCAAATTTGACTCCAAGTCCATGAACTGATATTCTGTAGTTTAAATGAGCCAAAAACAAAACTCCTTTTCCCTCTCCTAAGTTCTAAATAAATTGAGAAATAAGATATGGAATTTAGAGAGAAGGAAATCAAACATCAGCACAGAGCTGACATGATCACTCTGAGTCCCTGCTAGCCCTCCTCTGCATTAAATATACCACCCCATTCACAGCCTTTCCTGCTGAGGCTGCTGCTTACTTCATGGCAGGGCAAGAGGAGAATGCCAAACTACATATGCTCAATGCTTTGCCCAAATCCACTGAGAAGTCATTCCTTTGTCTCTGGAAATCAGTGAACAAAGGGAACAGAAAGAAGCTAGAATAAAAATAACAACCAATAATAATAAAAGCTAACATCCATTGAGCACTTACTCAACCCTAATACCTTTTATGTCCAAGGCTCAACCCTAAATATATTGTATGAATTTGCTTAACTGTCAAAACAATCCGATTTATTTTCTGAAAATACTATCATCATCCTCATTTTGCAGGTGAAGATGTTAAGATATAGGAAAGTGAAGAAACTTTCCCAGGCTCAGAAATGGAATTCTACTTAGAGAGATGACCAATTAATTGATATCTAGTAGGATATGGCCAGAATATAGACAATCCAGAGTTAACTATAAGACAGAATAGACCTATACACTCTGCAATCCTACTTTCTTCAGTGAAAGCATTCTTTCATCTTTCTAACATATTCCCTTAGATTTACGATTCCTTGAATACTGTAATTTGTATTCCAAACAGAGATAAGTGTATGAAATTGTGAAATCATAACGTGTTATAGCTGCAAAAACTTTGAGGTTCATCTATTCAAAATTCTTTCTTTAGAGATGAGAAGGCAGCAGTTCAAAGTAGTTAAATTACTGGTCCAAAGGCATAAATCTAGTTGCACAGAGATATGCCCTGAACCTCATTCATGAGATCTCCCAAGGGATTTTTAAAATTATATCATCATCAATATATACATCGATTGATAAGCTGAATTTGTAAAAAAGCAAGCAGACAACTATTAGCATGGCATTTTCATTGCTGCAAATATTTATCTTTTATAGAAATTAGATTGATTCAATTCTTTTCTAGTTGCTCTGACTTAAAATATTGCTTTCCTTATAAAAATATATTTGGAAAAAATAATACATTGGCCAGAGGTATAGACAAGTAAATTGGAATAGATGTTAGGTGCTGCAGAAAGCACTGTGTTGAGGACTGTTCAAAGTTTTGTATTCTCTTTTAAAACCCTGGATGCTGCTCTTGCTCTGTGACACATCTGTTTCTGCTCAACAGGCAATAAAGGGAGTCTCCAAAGTAAACCTGAACAGAGTTCTCTCTCCATCTGTCAGAGGAAAAGCCCAAGAGCGTGTTTTGCCTACAGAAGGACAAGGCTCTCAGCTGGCTCCAGAAAGGCATTCTGCCTGTGCAGATATGCAGGATAAGGAAAAACAGCCTTTTTTTTTTTTTTTTTTTTTTTTTTTTTGGTTAATGACAATAAAATGTGGGGTTTTTAAAAACGAAAATGACATTGCAGTTTTAAATCCTTAGTTTTTACATTACCTTTTCCATCAAGCTCAAAATGGTTTACAATACACATGCGAAATAACATTTAATGTGCCCAATTCTGTGGCTAACCAAGCTCCAAGAACCTCAGAGTTGGGAAATCAATGAGACCATCAGTTTTAGAACTTTATGTTTCAAAGCCCAATGTTTACACTAAGATTATCATGCTGTTTCTCATTTCTCCAAAGTGTTTAAGGAATCATCTGCTTAAAATTAGTGGCTTGCCTCAGTCCTTCAGATCCCTCTTTGCTATGTATAAATCTCACAGGGACTTATGCTAGGCATAATGCTTTCAAATGACCAGGGTGGGGATAGAGGAGGGGCACGATTGTTAACCAAGTCTTGCTATAAACAAAATTACCTGCTGACTTCTTGAGGAAGCTGCGTAAGATGATTGTTGTTCAGATTAAGCAGGATTAAATTTTGTAAGCCATCTGTTAGAAAATAATTTTAGTCACTTTAGCCATCTGTTAGATAATTTTTAGTCACTTTTCTACTTTTCTACATACCTTTGTTTTCCTTCTGGTTCTTGCCTTGGCCAAGGCTCTTTTGGTGGTGGTAACAGAAACCCTCTTAAACTAGCTCAAGCAAAAAGGAGTAATTTATCACAAAGTTACAAATCTAAGTCACTGTGCCTGTGGAATGAGGATGCAACCAGGCTCATCAAAAACTGGAATCAGAAGCTAAAAGCACCCAGAACCTGAGAATGTACTGTCTGAATATCTCTGCAGAAAATATAATTTAGTTCTTCATTACAGCTTCTCTCATTTTCGTATTTATAATATCTTACCCGCTCTCTCTTTCCTCCCTCCATTCTCTCTTTTGAACATGTTTGCTCTATTTTTCTATGTACTCATAACCATATCACAACTTCTGAATTTGAATGTTCATTGACAGGGAAGACAGAGCTTTCAAACTCACATGTCCACAGGAATCAAAATGATAATCCCATGCCATGTCAGACAGGGCCACCACCATTCAGCCAGCTCTGGCAATTGTCATATGGGAACGCAACTGCAGTGTTGCTAAATCTTTCTTTTTTAAAACAGATTTTTAAAAAGAGCCAGAGATCCAGACTTCTTTGTGAACTCTCCTGATTTGAAAACATGGGCACCTAATTCAAAGATTTTTAAAGGCAAAAAAAATAGAATCAACTTATTTATGAACCAGCTTCAGCCCATGGGCCACCAGTTTGCAATCTCTGCCTCAGGTCATGTAATTATCTCAAACCAATTAAACTGTTTTAGACTCTATCACAATTCCCAAGAAAGAGAAAATATGACAAGCTTAGCTTGGGACCCAACTCCAGCCCTGATCAATCTGCTCTGGTCAGGGAAATAGGGTCATGTAATGCAACAAGGTTATTCTACCCATGCTGGGCAGCATTAAACTCCCTGACATCAAACTACTTCTGACCTTGAATCATCAGGACCTGACATAGAACATAACTTAGGTCAATCACATGGGATTTTCAAAGTTCAATAACCCCAAGTCAAGAATGTTCCCAACTCGAAGAAATGATAAGTGTTTGAGATGATGGCTATGCCAATTACCCTGATCTGATCACTATATATTATAGGTATCAAAATATCACTATGTACTCCATGAGTATGTACAATTGTTATCTGTCAATTAAAAAAATAATTATTTTTAAAAAGAAATATAGAAACTAAAGACATTCAAGAGCACTCCAAACAAATTTTATATACATATATAAAATATATCTAAACAGATATAGATACAGATATATATATACCTAACTTACCTCAAATTTAAAGGCAACATGATACAAAATTCCTTATAGAGCCTTAATTAGTATAAATTAGTATGTTCAATATTGTTTATGTATATCAGGTTGCACTTAAATTTGTCCCCTCAGTATAGGTCATAAAATATTATTATCTATTGATTTGCATGACCTTAACTTTTTTAGTGTAAACTGTTTTCTTCCAAGGTAAATTGTAACTGAACTCTGGTCTGTGGCTTTGCATATATAAGGTGTTCAAGTTCAATAATTGTTTGTTACATCTATTATTTTGGAAAAGAATATTGTTCCAAGATACATGACCTAAGATTTTAAAGTACCTTTAAAAAGACAGTACTAGAGTCTACTTGTGCTATTTGCCAAATATAACCCCTAATTTATTGCTGCATGCAGTAATGCCATTAATAAACTCTGTGTGAAGATGACAATGATTATATATAGCACCCATGCCTCAAAAGTTCATAGAAATTTATAAATTTTATAATATTTCTCTCATTTTACTACTAAGGACCAACACAGAAAGTGGTGAAGTACCTTACATTAGTTGATAAAGCTATAAAAGCCATGTAGATCTCTTTGTCATACATTTGTCCTTAAGCCCACTCTAGGAATATTAAATAAGAATAGCATCATCTTGAATGGAGAAATTATTAGTTAATGGGAAAAAGAAAGAAAAAAATGCTTATTGGATCTCATATCTTTTCTTTAAAATTCTCCCCAAATTGATTTAAGTTTAGCATCTTGATCAAAAAGTGTGACTTAATATCTAAGACAGAATAAAAAGTGAAAAGAACAAAGCTACAGTATAGCTTTACTTGATTTGATTTCCCAATAGAATTATCTCTGGCTTAGGAAAAGGGTCCCCAGATTCACAATCTGACTTTATACTGATTCTACAAAGAGGAAAATTCATTAACACTGATGCTTACTTATTTTCTTAGGTCTACATGTAAATAAACATATGATACAATACTTTTTTAAAAGTGTTGTCTCCTCCTATATTTCAAGAGTAGTATGTAAATATCTCCAACAAAAAAAGATTAAACATGCAAAATTCTTTTTCATTTCAGTCTCATATTATTAAATATGAGAGATTAAATTTGATGCTATAATGTTGTTCCTTGTTGATTAAATTACCACAGGCTCCAGGTGCAAATCTACAGATCCTATTTCCAGATAAATGGAGATTCTTCAGAGATGTAAGATATTTCATCTCTTCCGGAACTTCTTCTAAAAGGTTGTTTCCCAGATTTAGTGTTGTCAACTGCAAACATATAGAGGTTTAATGGACTCATATATCATCCAACTTCAAATGAAAAAAAGAAATAATTTAAGCTCCCTTGCTCACATCTATGTAACCTAAGAAAACTTCAAAATATTTTTAAACAATTATTTCAGTTATACCTAAAGTTATCTTTACAAACAAAGTTCATTTGAGCTTCATGCTCACTTTATGTTAATTAAAGCACAATTTAATTTTTAATTAGAGCACTTAAGTTCATTAAAATTATATTACTAACCATCCCAAGGATATGTAAAACCACAACCGATGATCCATTTATAAATCATTTGAACAATTTAAGAGTATCTGAACCTTGTGACCTATAGAATCAAACTATTAAACACTCAGCAAAGGAGCTAAGTTACTGAAAACAGAAACATAGCCAAAGATCTGAGGTCCTCCTGACATACTACTCCCAAATGAGCTAGGCCATAAGACCACTCTATTACATGTACACAGCCTGGTACTGCAGGCTGTGTGGGCTCTGTGGGTGATGTCACTCTGTGGGATCACAAAATTTAGAAAACAAACTATTGAAATGGTATAATGAGCGTAGAAAAGATCTACCCTACAGTTATCTGTCCTACAGAGAACAGATTGGTCAGGCCTAGGAAGAACTGCACATAACGGGAGTTAAAAAGTTCCTCCTTGATGTTGTAATCCAATAAATAAGTGATACAGATTGTTCCCAAAAATATAGTAATATTCTTTGTTGTAAAATCTAATTATACTTTCCAAAATACAAAGAGTCTTTTACTTTACTCCTAAACATAATTTACTATTCAGGTTTAATTACCAATTGCATACTTTAGAATTTTAATAGTAAGGGCCAAATAAAAGGAATCTTGGAAGTTTTAACAAACTAATGAATTTACATAAAACCAAAAAAATTAAGAAGAAAACTGAAGCCATTCACAATTTATATTTAAATGTCACTTAGTACTTGTTATGGATGTAAGACAATGATTTAAATTAACACAAAGAAATATACATTGATATTAAAATGAAATTTCTCATCCTAAGAATTCATGGTAAAGGTTTTACTTGCATATGTGCTTTTGTCTAAGAATTACCATTATCCTAATTTATAACAGTATAATACATCTACTACCATGTTTGAGGCCTTCTTCTATTGTAAATGTGAAGTTAAAATACATTCATGTAGCTATTTTATCCAGAGTCTGTAATTGTATTGGTTTCCTATAACTGCTATAAAAAATTACCACAAACTTTGTGGCTTAGAACGACACAAATTTATCTTATATTTCTGGAGATCAGAAATCAGAAACAGTCTCACTGACTAAAATCAAGCTGGTGTTCCTTTCCGGAAACTCCAGGGGATGATCTGTTTGCCTGCCTTTCCTAACTTTCAGAGTCAGCCTCCATTCCTTGGCTTATATGCCCCACTTTCCCCTTTAAAGCCAGCAATGGCTGGTTAAGTCTTTTTCAAATCATATCACACTAATGCTGACTCTTCCACATTTAAAAACCTCATAATTACACTGGGTCCACCTGGATAATCTAGGGTAACCTCCCATTCTCCAGGTTAGCTGACTATCCACCTTACTTCTGGCTGCACCCTTAATTTCCCTTTGTCATATAACCTAACACATTCAGAGGATTGGGGGATTAGGTGTGGGCATCTTTGGGGGTCCATTATTTGCCTATCAAAGTGACTATTTGCAGTCTCTTCCAAAACAAGGTAGATTTCATTCTTTTGCCTAAATTTAGTGAAACATGCACAGCAGTCTAGCAGTACTGACAGCCCAAGAAAATCTCCCTGAGGACTGGCGAGATACGCAAGAATGTGTCAGGCATTGTGAAAGGTCCAAGATTTTACCCAGTTTACAAGCTAACAAGTGAACCTGCCACAGTTTCATGAATGCTGGTAGAAAACATGAGACCCCTGGGAAAGATACAAGGGACCGTTTACTACTTAGAGCAATAGAAGTGTCCAGAATATTACTATTTTTGCACTGAAAATGCAAAGAACACAAAGAGATACCTAGATGTGAAGTAGGCTGTGTTACTGAACAGGAACAATGAGTTTTTTTTGATGGGCAAATCTTTTATGATGAATCTTTTATGATGGGCAGTAACCATGCCTGCCCTTCGGTCCAGAGGGAGACACTATTTCTAATTTCCAAGCTTGTCTGCTATGTAATTATACTGGAAAAATTGGTCCAAAACAAAGCCAGCCAGTGCCTCTGTTAACAGAATGTGCAGAAGTGTGAGACTCATGGTGAATTATCACCTAAAAAAAGGGATGGTAACATGTATTTTTAAAGTAAACAAGAAACAGCTTGTAATGTCCCACACTATCAATGCTCTTCTGTGTATTTCTGAGGGCATATACTGTACAGTGCTCATTTTGTATGTTATGTGGTAAGTTCTTACATAAGAGTTAGATATATTTTTGTCATTGTGTTTTACAGAATATAAGGGTCTGGCCCAGATATATGAAGATACATAGTAACTAGATTTCATCATATGTCAAAGGGAAATCACAGATTATAATCAATCTTGACTGTAAAGCAGGGTGGGTTTCAGTTTTGGTTTAGTTTTTGTTTTTTTGTGGGTTTTTTGATGCTTAGAAATATATCCATAAACAAACAGCTTAAAAATGCAGTCTAAACTGCACATATTCTAAGTGAATACATATCTCTTAAAGCAGGTGGGTCACCATTCATTTATTCACTCATTAAAAAATATTCATTGCATGCATAAGACATGTAACATCTTTGCCCTCAAGGCACTTACACAGTAAGAAAGCAACCATCCAATGACTAAATGGCTAAACAAATTAATACAAAAATAACAGACAGTATTAAGTGTTCTAGAGACAATTTAAAGAGTGAGGAGAAAGTGATTTGTTGATCAGGAGAACCTGTCTTAGAAGTTGATATATAGACTGAGATCTGAGTGACAATAAGGAAGAAGAAATTGTCAAAATAAAGACCCCAATGGAGGCACATTCTTGGTGTGGTTGAGGAGCCCCAGGAGATGCAGCTAATGTGGCTGAGCACTGCAGGTAGAGGAACACTCAGCGAAAAAGAGGTTGGAAAGGTATACTTGGGCCAGATTACATATGGTTTCATAAACTAGGGTAAGGGGTTGGGATTTTACTCTAAGTTCAGTGAGAAATGACTGTAGGGTTTTAAGCATATGTGTAACATTATTTGACATGTGTTTTAACAGGATCATCCTGGCATCTGTACAGCAGAATCTGCAGGGGTAGCAAGAAGTGAAACACAAAGAGAACACAGAGGCAATACTGCAGTGGTGCAGGCAAGAGGCAATGGCTTTAGCTAGGTAGTGGATGGTGGACCTGGAGAGACGTGGATGGGTTTGGGATATGCTTTGGATGAAGAGCCAGAATGTTGTATGATGTAAGATAAATAGAAGAATCATGAGTAGCACCTAACTTTGGAACTTGAGCACCTGAGATGGGGAAACTGGGACAAGGGCAGGTTTGGAGGAGGGACAAGGAATCAAGAGTTTAGTTTTATCCCTGTTAAAATTAAGAAGCCTTTTAGATCTTTAAATGAAAATGTCAAGTAGGAGCTGTAAATGTAATTCTAGGGTTCTCCGGAGTAATCAAGAGCACAGAATAAATTTGTGAGCTTTCAGTAAGTAAAAGGCATCATGTGGAATTTTAAGAGATGAGAATGCAAGCCCAGCAGAGGAACTGACTGAGGAGTGGCTGAAGTAGAAGGCAAAGATAGGCCACTTAAAGCATCTGGTACACCACATCCCACAGCTGAGTCGTGCTCCATCCGCAGCTACCATGAATTTATCCCGTGAGGACTTTCTCCTGCGCCCTTCTTGGAAGAATTTCCCTTAACTGCAAGGAAGGGCTTTACCTGGAAGGTTGTGCCTCTGCTCCATCCTTCCAGACAGCTGCTACACCATGGCAGATGCCAGGACATAACAGCCCAACCCCTTTGCCTCTGTGCTGCAGGGCATGCCCCAAAGCTCTGAAGGGATTGGGCTGAGACTACATTTCTCCTGGAACCACCTCTTTATCCAGGTTCTTTCCCTGCCCTGTCCAGATTCCCTCACTCCTGGGAAGGTTTCTTCTGAGAGAAATGCCTCAATATTACAAAAATCTATGTTTCAGGATTTCCCAGATATATAGTGTAACAGAATCCAAGGCAAAAGCAAAAGAAACAAAAAGTATTTTAAAAAGGAAAATTTGGGACATATCCCAGGGGAAGGCTAAACAAAATTAAAGCATCAAAATAACCACTGGATTTAGCAATTGGAAAGTGATTAGTGACCTTGAAAATAGGGGTGAAGTGTTGGGGAAGAAAGTCTAATTGAAGTGGGCTGTGCAGAAAATGTGAGAAAGCAAAGACAACAACTAATAGACAATTCTTGTAAGAACTTTTGCTATGAAGGGAAACTAGAAAATGAAGAAGAAGCTGGAGTTCCCCCCCACCCCCAAGATAAATGATAGTATAGCTTATTTATGTGCTGATGGAAATAACCCTGTAGGGATTAGAAACTCATGCCTTAAATATGGGGACACTCACAGAATCAAAATCCTTTAGAAGATGAGACAGGTACAAAGTACAAGTGGGTGCTGGCCTTAGATAAGTGAAAGGGCTCTTCATCAAGGGTAGTAGGAAGGAAGGTAGGAAAGGGTGAGTGAGGATCAGATAAGTAGATGAATTCGTGATGAAAAGATGAGAGAGTTCCTGAAGGATGATGTCTGTTTTCTCACGGAAATATGAAACAAAGTCATCTGCTGAGAGGAGGAGATTAGGAGGTTTGAGGAAAAGGAAAAAGTCACTTTGAAAGGCAATCTAGGGGAATGTAGTAGGGTGAACGACAACCACAGTTGATTATCTCATCCAAGTTAGCTCCCAAGATATTATAAAATGGATAGATGACCTAGGAAAAGACATTTTATCTGGATAACCACATGGTCCTTTGACTGGAAGAAGCTACCATGTGAAATTCTGAGCTCTGCAACCAAGAATGTAGCTTGGAGAAGAGGAAGAGAGTTCACATAAAAACCTCAACTTGTAAAGGATTTCAAAGTCAAAACTAAGATGAAGTGAGTGCGACTGGGAATATTCTTCATAGCATAGGATAACCAAAGGAAGATTCACTGATTGCCTTTAAATTCATAAATGTCTCTTAAAGACTAGGTAGTAGCATTTATACTCTGTCACCATGGCAAATACATCAGAGCTTCAGTGTAGATTACTTAAATTATACAGAAAGGTCCAGAAACACTGTAGCAAGGATAGAGTTACCTTTGAGAAATACCTCAAGCCCCAACCTAGATGTTTCATTAATTCAATTATGTTTAAGATATGTCTATGATGGTACTATTTCTGAATGCTAGAGGAAGAGTGAACAAGACACACAAGATCCCTCTCTACAATGCTTCTATGTTGGGAAGTGAGTCAGACAACAAATAAGTAAACAAATGAATAGTGTGTTAGTAGTTAGTCTTAAATATGAAAAAAAGACAACAAGATAATGCAATGGAAAGTAACTCAGGACTAGATTGAGTCATTAGAGAAGTACTCTCTGAGAAGATGACACTTGATGTAAGATATTTGGAATGCTTTGACAACATTGTTTCAAATGGTGTTTTACTAACAAAGAACTGCAGAAATAGCAGATATACAGAAAGAATGTAGGCAGTGTTTCATTAGTAACATTCTCTACGGTTATGTGTAGTTCCTGAAGGAAGGCTTTAGTCATATGACAGACAACTATTTGATAAGCTTTAAAGCTTGCATCTCTTCAGTAATTAAATGTAGAATGAAGTTCTATTGGTATTCTCTCTCCCTTGGAAATTGATATGGTTATAGATGGAAAGACACCATTGCTACTGATTGCTATAGATTGAAAGACACCATTGCTACTCATAGACCCATGAGCCACGGAATTATAGCAACTTACAATTAGAAGAATTTTTTTTTCCTTTTGAGACAGTCTCACTCTGTCACCCAGGCTGGCGTGCATTGGCATGATCTCGGCTCACTGCAACCTCTGCCTCCTGGGTTGAAGTGATTCTCATTCAGCTTCCCAAGTAGTAGGTATGTGCCACCACGCCTGGCTTTTTTTTTTTTTTTTTTTTTTTTTTTTTTTTTTTTTTTTTTTGCATTTTTAGTAGAGATGGGATTTTTGCCATGTTGGCCAGGCTGGTCTCGAACTCCTGGTTTCAAGTGATCCGCCTGCCTCAGCCTCCCAAAGTGCTGGGATTACAGGCATGAGCCACCGCACCCGGCCTAGAAGGAAATTTTACAAGTCACCTAGACCAACATACAGAATGCAGGTGGGCAATTATATACCTTCCCCATGAGCACACCCAGTAATGGGTAGCACTTTTATCTTGTTAGGAAGATCTAGCTATCTATATTTAATTTTTTAGTATTTAGGCTCTCTGAAATTTCTACCCAATTCTTCTCACAGCAATCATAATAAATATTTGCACTCCTTCTCTCTCACATAATCTTTCAAATTTTTGAAGATTGCTATCATATTCCCTCTAAATTTTTTCCATTTTCCCTTAACTATTTCCCTCAGGACATAATTTCCAGACCCCTGACCATACTGACCACTCTCTAATTTTTGTGAGCACCCCTCTCTGAAAAGATGGAGCCTATGGTGAGACAGGAAATCAGCTCTCATAGCACATATGTTAGTGGGACCACGGGTCTCCCTCTGGCGGATGACAACACTTCTATTATGCAGCCTAACATGGCATGTACTCTTTCAGCAACAAGGCACATTGTTGGTGCATAATTAGTTTTGTCTGTGGCCAATAAAAACCCCTAAGCTAACTGTCAAGCAGATATCCCACATCCTGGACTTGTGCAATTGAATTCATTTCTTAACCTAAATGTAGGAATTTACAGTTATCCCTGTAAAAAAAAAAAAAAAAAAAAAAAAGTGGATCTTGTTAGTTTCGGCTTCTAAGATAACTCCAGTGGATCACTCTAAATTCAAAGTATAAAACTGGACAATGCCCCCTGGACAAACTAGATCTGCTTCTCCCACTTCTCATAAACCTATGGCGGCCAAACATTGGAGCTACCTAGAACATCTTTCTCTCCCTCCACCTAAATTCAATCTGCCACCAAGTTTTAGTCTTAAAAATCCTTTTAGATGTACCTTTTTCAGTTCTATCTCATTGCAATGAACCTAGTACTCATTACTGCCTGCCTGTAGCATTACATAGCAAAAGATGTAAAGAATGGATGTATTGTGACTTAAATTCCCTTTATTCAATCCTACTAGATTGTATCTAAACAGCTGCCCAAAAGATGAACCTATAATTTCTCTACCCAGTATATCCTAAATGTTTCCAACCTCCCTGTAGATAGTCTTTTCTATGTCTTTGTATACTTGCTCCAAATACTGTCTGTCTATGCTCTTACTAAATTTTATCTGATTTGTTTGATTGTATTGACCCACTCATACCTGAAAGTTATAGCCTATCTGTGGCCTGCCTTAAAATAGGCATGTGCACTTTCTCTTACATCTTGGATATGAGGCAAGCATCTCAATGTCCATTGATGCCTTTGGATTATAGAATCTAGGTTCAATGTATAGTGATATTTTTAATAAGTAAGAGAGAAGACAAGAAATTTAAGGAGAAAACATACAGATTATTAATGACAATACTGACCAATACTTAAATTAAATTTAAATTAAGTGCCAAATATATGAAACACTGTGCCAAGCTGAATTTTGTCTAATGTGGACCTCGCAATAACCCTGATCTTACAGAAAAGGGATCTGAAGTCCAGGCTATGATTTATGGTGAAATGACCTAGGTTCATTCTACGGCCTATATTCCTAACTCCTACCCTCCACTGTCTTCAGTAATACACTGCGCATCTTTAAAAGGAATTTACTATTGCTCAGAATGATCATACATATGCACATGATACAAATATATATATATATGTATACAGACACATATGCTCACACACATACACATGCTCACAAAATGAAATGGAATACAATACATGAAATTCTCATTTTAAATATCCTTGTCCTATCATGTGCACATTCTTGAGTCTGTATTGTGCAGTAGGCAAAGCACAGGCTGTTTGCTATGCAATGTACTGAATATGTGATCTTGGGCAAGTCACTCAAATTCCTAAGCCTCTATTTCTTTATAAAAATGGGGATACTAGCATTTACTTCTTAGGGTTGTCTTAAGGATTAGAGACAGTTTAATAAAGTGCCAGGCAAATAGCAGATATTATTAAATGGTAATCTTTTAGGCCCAGGAAAATACTGTGGGGTAAAATGTTAGCCATACCTGGTGCTAGAAATGCAGTAAACACCTGATACACACACACATACACACATACATACATATTGACACTTTACTAGTTTTCAAATTTAAAACCTGCTTATTTTCTTAATTTCTAACTCATTTTTTCAAACATTTCTAAATTCACAAGCACTCTTTTATTAGGCATAGGTTATAAACCATGATTAAATTACACATATATATTCATTACCTGGCTCACGGTGAAGAGACATGTATGTTAGGCTTACCTGCAGGAGTGATACCTGTAAATATGAGTGGGATTGGCAGGATCTCCATGTGCAGGGTCAACCACAGGCAAGGAACCTGAAGCAGCCTTGCTGGAAGTGCCAAGGAACAACTCCAGGGTCAGCTTTGTTTCACCCTCAGAACTCACTAACCATAGTTAGGAGCCACAGTCACCAACAGCAATTCTATTTTCCTCTCCTACTTGACTGAATTTAGAAAATCGCTTTGATTTACAAATTGCAAAAAGGGAGATATCTGATAGAAACTAAGAGATCTTCCCAGATGTTTGGGCAAAAATTTAAGAAACATTTAGACTGGAAAAGTTTAAAGAAATATTCCTGCATACTTTAGTACATAGAGAACAATGCATCCCATTTGCTGAATTAAGCCTAAACTCTTAGCTCAGAAACTGGTATGACTAATAGACACAGTATTTTAAAAAATAGTATTTCTTTCCACAGAACCTTTAAATACACAATCCTGCTGTGACAAAAATCCACCAGTGCTGGGGACTGGCTGGACTGTCACTACTGACTATGCATGTATGAGCTACCAGTTAGCCACAGTTCCTTCCTAGTCCCTTTTTCTCATATGTTACCTGCCTGGAGGCATGTGTTTTCAACCTCTGAATAAAATAGATGGCCTGCAAAAGAAAATCTCATCCTATTATTTAACAGCTTTCTCCACCCATTTATCTCAAACTGTTTCTTGTAACTTCTTCTCTGTGTGCGTATGTATGATCAGAACACTTCAGATCTACCCCTTGAGCAAATTTCAAGTATACTATACAATATTAACTATAGTCACATCATTGTGCATTAGCTCTCCAAAACTTATTTATCTTACATAACTGAAACTTTGTGCCCTTTGACCTACATCTCCCCTTATCTCCCTCTCCCTAGACCCTTGTAGCCACCATTCTACTCTCTGATTCTGAGTCTGACATTTTTATATTCCATGTATAAATGAAATCATGTAGTATTTGTCTTTCTGCATCTGGTTTATTTCACTTAGTATAATGTCTGCCAGGCTCATCCATGTTGCTGCAAATGATAGAATTTTCTTTTCTAAATCTAAGTAATATTCCAATGCATATACAGTCATGTGTCACTTTACTATGGGGACACATTCTAAGAAATGCATCGTTAGGCAATTTTGTCATTGTGTGAACATCATAGTACTTACACTAACCTAGATGGTATAAGCCTACTATGCACCTGCTATAAGCCTACTATGCTATGTGGTATAGTCTATTGCTCTTAGGCTAAAAACCTATGCAATACAGCATGTTACTGTACTGAATACTAAAGGCAATTGTAGCATAATGGTAAGTATTTGTGTATCAAAAAGTATCTAAACATAGAAAAGGTACAGTAAGAATACCGTATAATCTTATGGGACCACTGTCATATATGTGGTTCACTGTTAACTGAAATGCTGTTAGGCATCACATGACATATGTGCATACATACATATATATATACACACACACACATACACAAACATTTTCTTTATTCATTTGTCCATTGATGGACATTTTGGTTGTTCCCATATCTTGGCTATTGTGAATAACGCTGCAATGAACATGTGAGTGCGGATACCTCTTCAACATACTGATTTCATTTGCTTTGGATATATACCCAGAGTAGGATTGCTGGATCATACTACTATTAATTTTTTGAGGAATCTTCATACTCTTTCCATAATGACTGTACCAACTTACATTCCTACCAACAATGTACGAACATTTCCTTTTCTCCACATCCTTGTGAATACTTACTTTTTGTCTTTCTGATAACAGCCATTCTAACATGTGTAAAATAATACTTCACTTTTGTTTTGCTTTGTGTTTCATTGATGATTAGTGAAGTTGAGTACCTTTTCATATACCTATTGGCTATTTACATGTCTTCTTTTGAAAAATGGCTATTCAGGTCCTTTACCTTTTTTTTTTTTTTTTTTTTTTGAGACAAGTCTCGCAATGTTGTGGAGGTTGGTCTTGAACTCCTGGTCTCAAATGATCCTCCTATTGGCCCCTTTACCCATTTTTAAATCAGGTTATTTGTTTGTTTGTTTCTTGCTATTGAGTTGCACGAGTTCCTTATATATTTTGTATTTTAACCACATCATATATATGCTTTGCAAATATTTTCTCCCATTCTGTAGAATGCCTTTTTATTCTGATGATTGTTTCCTTTGCTGTGCAGGTTTTTAGTTTTAAATTATCCATTTGTCCATTTTTGCTATTGTTGCTTTTGTTTTTGGCACCATATCCAAAAAATCATTGTCCAGACCAATGTCAAGAAGTTTTTCCCTATGTTTCCTTTTAGTAGTTTCACAGTTTCAAGTGTTACATTAAAGTCTTTAATCCATTTTAAGTTGATTTTTGTATACCATATGAGATAAGGGTCCAATTTAATTATTTTCCATATGGATATCTAATTTTCCCAACATTTATTGAAGACACTATCCTTTCCCCAATGTGTGCTCTTCGCACCCTTTCAAACATTAGTTGATCATACATACGTGGATTTATTTCTGGGCTCTCTATTCTGTCCCATTGGTCTATGTGTCTGTTTTTATGCCTAAGACACACTGTTTTGATTACTGTGGCTTTGTAATATATTTTGAAATCAGGAGGTATAATGCCTCTAGCTTTCATGTCTTTGCTCAATATTGTTTTGGCTATTCAGGTTGCTTTGTAGTTCCATATGCATTTTAAAATTGTTTTTTCTATTTTTGTGAAGAATACCATTAGGATTTTGATAGGAATTGCATTGAATATGTAGATCACTTCCAGTAATATGGACATTTTAATAATATTAATTCTTCCTATCTATGAAGGGATGTCTTTCCATTTACATGTATCTTTTTCAACTTCCTTTATTAATGTCTTATAATTTTTCATGTATAAATCTTTGACCTGTTTGGTTGTTTGTGAGTACTTTATTATTTTTATTGCTATTGTAAATGGATTGATTTTTTAATTCCCTTTTCAGATACTTTATTCCTTGTATATAGAAATATGATTGATTTTTAGTATGTTGATTTTATAACCTGCAACTTGACTGAATTCATTTATTAGTTCTAACGGTTTTTTATTGAGTCTTTAGACTTTTCTATGTACATGATCATGTCATTTGCAAACAGAGATAACATTATTTATTTTCTGATTTGGTTGCCTTTCTTTTTCCTTATTTAATTGTTGACTAGGACTTCCAGTACTATGTTGAAAAGTAGAGAAAGTAAGTATTCTTTCCTTGTACCAGATATTACAGAAAAAGCTTGCAGCTTTTCCCCACTGATGATGATGTTAGTTGTGGGAGTCTCATATATAGCCTATATTGTGTTAAGGTAAATTGCTTCTATACCTATTTTGTTGAGAGCTTTAATCATGAATGGATGCTGAACTTTGTCAAATGCTTTCTCTGCATCTATTGTGATGATCTGGGTTTTTTTCTTTCGTTTTGTTAATGTGTTATATCACATTGATTGATTTGCATATATTGGGGTCCTTGGCAGTAAAAGGTGCTGCAGTGCTGCTGATCTCTTTTCCTTCTATCAGGGGTAGTTGTGGCCAAGGGGATGCCCCTTGGTGGTAGGTCCAGCACATGGGCATGTTTGGGCCACAGAGATGCCACTGTCAGAAGTGCAAGTGCATGCAGAGCAGCCGCAGAGCTGGGTCTGGAGCACAGGTACATGCAGAGTGATCACGGCTTTGAGGTCCCAGGTCACAGCCACTTCTGAATGACATTTTCATGGAATGAGAAAAATGGCCACAGAAGGACTGTTAATTTTGCTGGATAAAAATTCTTTATTGTTTCTGCAGTAATGATGTGTTTCAGGATTCTGTTTTCATTAAATACTAACAATATCTTGGTTCTCCAATAATTATAACAGATTTTCGTGCTTAATGCTTCCCCTTGAGATTTACCATCTTCCCCATGAAGGCATCCTCCTTTTGCATTTGCATAGCACGGTGTACTTTCTATTATCAATTATTATTATTTATATTATAATGACTTGTGTATATATATTTTTTATTTTTTTCACTTTTAAGTTCAGGGGTACATACATGTTCAGGTTTGTTACATAGGTAAACTTGTGTCATGGGGGTTTGTTGCACAGACTATTTCGTCACCCAGGTACCAAACCTAGTAGCCATTAGGTATTTTTCCTGCTCCTCTCTCTCCTCCCAGCTTCCACTCTCTGATAGGCCCCAGTGTGTGTTATTCCCCTCTATGTGTCCATGCGTTCTTATCATTTAGCTGCCACTTATAAGTGACAACATGTGGTATTTGGTTTTCCATTCCTGCATTAGTTTGCTAAGAATAATGGCCTTCAGCTCCATCCATGTCCCTGGAAAGGACATAATCTCATTTTTATTTTTCTATTTATTTTTTTTGAGATGGAGTCTCACTTTGTCACCCAGGCTGGAGTGCAGTGGCACGATCTCAGCTCACTACAACCTCCACCCTCTGAGTTCAAGCGATTCTCCCGCCTCAGCCTCCCGAGTAGCTGGGATTACATGCGCCTGCCACTGTGCCCAACTAATTTTTTGTATTTTTAATAGAGACGGGGTTTCACCATCTTGGCCAGGCTGGTCTTGAACTTCTGACCTCGTGATCCACCCACCTTGGACTCCCAAAGTGCTGGGATTACAGGCATGAGCCACTGTGCCTGGCCCATAATCTCATTTTTTATGACTGCATAGTATTCCATGGTATATATGTACCACATTTTCTTTATCCAGCATATCACTGATGGGCATTTATGTTGATTCTATGATTCACATGTATATTTTACCTCTACTATTAAATAGGAAACTTTCCAATGACAGGGTCTGTGTGTGAATCATCTAGCATTCAAAGAACAATATCTGGAATATAATAGTTGCTCAATAAATATTAGTTGAATGATGCCTGCTTAGATCATCTCTGTAAAGACTCAAACTATGGAATAGTCATTATGGCTCCACATCAGTTTTTATTTTCAAAATCAAGTATCTTTTGAGCTTAATCTGTTCTAATTTGCCCAGCTTTATTTATTTCCTTCTAATGAGCTGCATGCTTTCTTTATTCTAGCCTGCTCATTCTCACTAGCCCCTATATTCAGTTCAATGTAGTGCATATCATATGTAGGCCTAGAACTTGGACCAGACAGCCTCTCTTAATATTTAATTATTCCATGCTTGTAGCTATTAATTATCACTAGAAAACTCTATGCTACTTATTATATATTTTAATTACTTGGTTTTGACTAACTTAGATAAACTCCCCCACTCCCTGGCCTTTTATTTGAGACAGAGTTTTGCTCTTATTACCCAGGCTGGTGTGCAATGGCATGATCTCGGCTCACTGCAACCTCCACCTCCCAGGTTCAAGTGATTCTCTTGCCTCAGCCTCCCAAGTAGCTGGGATTACAGTTATGCATCACCACACCCAGCTAATTTTGTATTTTTAGTAGAGATGGGGTTTCACCATGTTGGTAAGGCTGGTCTCAAACTTCTGACCTCAGGTGATCCCCACCACCTCAGCCTCCCAAAGTGCTTGGATTACAGGCGTGAGCCACTGCACCTGGCCAGATAAAACCTTTTTAAGTATTAAAAAAATTCTCAAATGTCCATCTTTATCTGGAAGACTGTCTTCCTAAACTAAATCATGGTTATACCATTTTGGAATAAACTATTTGATTATTTGCCTATAAGATGTATAAATATGTTTGAACTACTTAACTTCCTTAAGAAGAGTGAATCTTTAACTTCCTTAAGAAGAGTAAATATTCACATTTATTATAATCAAATAGTATATAATATACATGTCAGGTTCTGTAAACTATTTTGTAAAGGTAATCGAATCAAATTAATGAGGGAATAATAACGATTTTACATTTTTGAATTAGCATATGTATGGCCAACGTATGGAAGGAGGTTCAATTTATGGTTCAATCTGCTAATTCTTATCAATGCCTTTTTTTAAAGAAATCTGTGGCATCCTTAAAACCGCTGTTTAATACAACTGCCAAACTGCTTCTGAATCCAGCTCTTCCTGAAGGAATTTATTTATATGAATAACTGCCAATTTCAAAGCTACTATTTAATTTTGCAGTAACTTCCTAACAAAGTCATATTTCTCAAAACAATTATAATTTCACTAGAAATTGAGGGGAAGTTTCCATGGCCAGCATGTTATCTCATCTCTAGATATTTCATGGAGATCCCACAACCTCTTACTGCTGGCCCCTTAAATCCCAAAGTTAAGCTCAATGTCAAGAAATATAAGAAGGATTCTCTACTGGCATTAACATAAAAAGATTATCAAGCCATTGCCTTTTAATATGCCATCAAAAGCTTCATAAGGAAAGAATAAGAAGGAAGGACAAGAGTTTCAAATTATTAGAATTCAATTAAAATGTAAAATTTTAACATTCAATTAAAATGACATTCAATTAAAATGTAAAATCTTAAGTGTTTGGAAGTTTGAAGGTTCGGCTAAAATTTTCTATGTAAACAATATGGATAAGGCATCCTATATTAGGTAGATAACAGTGATGGCAACTTTAGGAGCTAAGAATGACGAGGCCCACTTTTCAGATGAGTCAAGGCAGGTCTACAGATAGAGTATATCAGTTTTTCCACATCACTAGTGAAGGAAAGAAGAGGGCTGTGTCTTTTCTAGACACCTGCCAGCAGAGAGAGAAGCTGCATTTCCAGCAGGGGTTCAAGAGACCTTAATATATGCCTTGGCATGAAAGCAGAGGCAAAGGAGACATGAACGGTTCCTGGAGAGAAGGTACTATGTGCCCTTGTACCAGGACAGGACACAACAAAACAGGATAATGAATCCCTGTTTTGATAGCCAGGCTTAGGAAATAGGAGGCATTACCTAATTGATGGAGAAAGAAGAGATTTTCAGTGGATGGAACAGGAGAAGAGAAAGGCTTGATGCTGACAAACAGTATAAATGACATGGATCTTCTCTGTTCTGCTTGGGTTAGAAAGTGAGACCAGAATGCCCAAGGAGGAAGAGTTACGGGAAGTCTCTGCTCATGGTCATTCCTTTCCTCTTCCTCTGCATAATTTTTTCTTTATCAGGGATGTCCAATTCTTTGGCTTCCCTGGGCCACATTGGAAGAAGAATTATCTTGGGCCACACATGAAATACACTAATACTAATGATAGCTGATGAGCTTAAAAATAAATAAATAAATAACAAAAACATCTCATAATATTTTAGAAACATTTATGAATTTGAGTTGGGCCACATTCAAAGCCGTCCTGGGCCGCATGTGGCCCGCGGGCCACGGGTTAGACAAGCTTGCTTTAGATCTTAACTCAGTTGCACGTTTTCACAATCACCTTCTCTGACTTCTCTGACTAGAGACTCTCATAGCACAAGACTTGTCTGACTAGAGACTCATAGTACAACACAATTCTCCTTTACAGCACTTTTCACAATTCTCCTACATCACGAGTGTAATATTTCACAATTGTAATAATACACTTATTTGTATGTTTCATTAACTTTCCCCACTAAACCTATTAGGGACATATGAATGATTTTGTTCCTTTTTGTACTGCTGCCACCTAGGAGAGTGCCTACTCCACTGCAGACACACATAACTAGTTGTTTAATGTATGAATGAATGAAGTTGATTGGGTTAAAGGGTCATTAAGGACAGCAAAAGTATGAAAAGGAGAGATTAAGGACACAATTAGTAAGTTTATAAACTACTCAAATCTGGTTAGAGTTGGTCTTATTTACTGTCAATTGTTTATGGCCAAATAAAAAGCTATGGCAGACCATATCTTTGTCCTGGTCAGCTGCACATGTGAGCAGCTTAAGGGGAACTTTGCCACACTGCCGTTGGACTTTATGATACATGTCAACAATGCTGCACACAATTAGAGATGATGGCTATTTGTTTTACCTGTGAGGAACCTTTGTTCCTACGTGTGTTTGGTTAGGCAGGACTTTGAAAATTACTTCCATTTCACTCATGTTGACATTATATGAGTTAGTAAGTAAAAAGCAATAGGGATGAGACAAGATCTTTGCCCTTAAAATTCATAAAGTGCTTCTCTGAAAATTGTTGACATCCCCATATTTCAAGAGCCACAGTCCAAATGCATTCACCATAAATTATAGGACATTAACCCATTTTGTTCATTGTCATTAGAAGTGACTGAAATTTTCCAGAGCTTCACTAGTTAAATTAGCAAAGAAAAATGGAAGTAGGATCTAAAGTAGGTTCTTTACTAAAGAACCCCTACCCCCTCATTTTATCATTGTTGCTAGTCATATCATAATGGTAACACTAATCATAATAGCTAAACTGTATTTAAAGCTTCTACATGCCAGCCATGGAGCTTTAAATATATAAACATTTAATTTAATCACCAAACATGAAGGCAGGGACCACACTTTGTACACATCTATATCCTTGGGAACAGCATAGATGCAAGAAAATGAATGGTAAATATTTGTTAAAAGAATCACTATGGGCCGGGCGTGGTGGCTCATGCCTGTAATCCCAGCACTTTGGGAGGCCAAGTGGGCAGATCATCTGAGGTCAGGAGTTCAAGACCAGCCTGGCTAACATGGCGAAACCCCGTCTCTACTAAAAATACAAAAAAAATTAGCCAGGCATGGTGGCAGGTGCCTGTAATCCCAGCCACTCGGGAGGCTGAGGAAGGAAAATCACTTGAACCTGGGAGGCGGAGGTTGCAGTGAGCCGAGATCACGCCACTGCACTCCAGCCTGGGTGACAGAGCAAGACTCTGTCTCAAAAATAATAATAATAACAATAATAATAATAATAATACAAGAATCACTATGGGCTAGGTGGGGTGGCTTACACATGTAATCCCAGCACTTTGGGAGGCTGAGGTGGGAGGATTGCTTGAAGCCAGGAGTTCAAGACCAGCCTGGGTGACAAAGTGAGACCCGGTCTCCAAACAAAAAAAAAAAATTTTTTTAATTAGCCAGGGGTAGTGGCACACGCCTGTAGCCCCAACTACTTGGGAAGCTGAAGTAGGAGGATCACTTGAGCACAGGAGTTCGAGCCTGCAGTGAGCTATGATCACACCAGTACACTCCAGCTTGGGTGACAGAGCAGGACCTGTCTCTTAAAAGAAAAAAAAATATGCAAACAAATGGGAGGAGAGGACAATGCATGTAGTGTTCAGAGCAGCCGTCTTTAGGCAACTCAGTTTTTAAGAACTATAAATTGAACACCATACCCTGATAAATTTCACACTAAATATATAGAATAATAATACAATAGAGCCGAAAGCAACCTCCAAGGAGACCTCATTTTATATTTACTGGTTGAGTGACCTTTGACAAATGATTTAACCTCTTCCTGAACCATAAATTTTATTAACAGTATGAGGGTAATAACTTCCTTGCAAGTTGTAGAAAATGATGAGCTCCTGATACTATGCTTGGCTCCCAGTGAATGGTTGATGTTGTTATTCTATTAGCATTTTATGAGTACAGAAATTTAAAAGTAGTGTTTTTGTTTTAGGAACTTAAAAACAAATCAAGACTATGTTAATACTTTGCATTCTGTGGGAAATATGACCAAAAAATCAGTATATTGGGGCAAACTGGACTTCATATGATGATAAAAGGCTACTTCAAAAGATAAACACTGTAGACATAAAACAAAATGAAACAAAAGTCATAGGTAGATGGGTAGCTTTAAACATTACTGATAAACGGTATGACTATAGCCACATAAGAAAGAGTTCAAATTAACTTTAAAAGTACACGGGAATTTTAGAGAAAACTGTTAGAATAAGAATTATAATCACTGAATTTTGACATACACATCACCAAGTTATAAAGCCCACAAGAGACACTCTGTGGCATCAGTCAGGTCAGCTGAATGTCACAATACACCCTGCCCCTTCTCTCTGCTTTATTTTTCCCCTTAACACTAATCACCGCCTCACGCCCTATTTTGCTTATTTGTTTCTTACATCATTCCTGACTAAAACATAAACTCTATGAGGGCAGAGATTTCCACCTGTTTTGCTCATCACTGAATCACCAGTTCTGAGTGCCTGAGACACAGATGGTCCTCATTGCTTATTTGTGGATTAAATAAATGAAGGCAGAAATTGAGGCCCAAAGAAACTAAGTGCCTTGTATATAGCTGGTAACTGCTGAACCAGTTAAGTTGTGCCAGCACTTCTAAACTCTCCTTTTCAATTCTCTAAGCTGTCTCTTTCTTTGAAACCTTCATCTGCCTTTCCTTTTTTTTTTTTTTTTTTGAGACAGAATCACTCTGCAGCCCAGGCTGGAGTGCAGTGGTGCAATCTCAGCTCACTGCAACCTCCCACATTCCGGGCTCAGGCAATCCTCTGGGACCAGAGGCACGTGCCACTGTGCCTGGCTAATTTTTATTTTTTTGTAGAGATGAGGTCTCACTATGTTGCCCAGGCCAGTTTCAAACTACTGAGCCCAATCAATCTGCCCACCTTGGCCTCCCATACTGCTGGGATTACAGGTGTGAGCCACTGCACCGGGCCATCTGCCCTTTACTACCAACTGTGAGACGGATGGAGCTGTATATCTGAACTCTATGATAATCTACAACCATTCTTTGAGGGTTTCTAGCACATTTTATCTAGCATGCTTCTAGAACTCCCATTACATAGGGAAAATTGTGTTTTTTTTTCCAAAATTCCACAATTTCTCCAAGACCCTATATAAGAAAAACTACTAGTTCATGAACAGCTAAACATAATACCATTGGCCTGAATCTGACTTTTAAAGTACTTTAAAGACAGAATAGACTATAAGCAGCCTAGTTGCAAATCAGTTGAATTCTTAGTGGTGTAATTTCTTCTTTAAAAGTAAGCACTGGGCTGAGACAGCTCCCTGGTGAAGGAACTAAGAGTGAACAAACAGAAGTCAACACGTAGGTTACCCCTAAATAGAAGAATGAGAGGGCAAGTAACAAAGGGAGCCACAAGAAGAAGACAATGTAATGATAATCAGACTCTTGGGGCTTTTTCCTATGGAAATATATCTTGGAATGTGTAACTTTTTACTAAACAACTATTAACCAAGTGTGAGACAAGAATACAGAAATTTTCAGATATGCAAGGGATCAAACAATTTAACTACCACATACCCAGACTAGGATGATTTCTCGAGACTCCTGAAAAACTAAGAGAGCAAGCCAAGAAAGGAAAATACAGGATACAGGAAACAGTGGGTCCAATTTAAGAGAGCAACAAAGGGAATGTCCTTGGCTGACAGTATCTAGCAAACCTAGATAGCAGTCAACATAGAGTGGGGCAGAGGATGGAGGGTCTTAGAGGGAAGTCTCTCAAGGAAAAGTACATTTGACAGAAAAAAATTATACAGTTTGAAATAAAATGAGGCTACCATAAAACTAAGGCACAAGAACAAAGGAAAGGTTATTAGAAACTCCAAGGGAACAAAAATGGCATATAAGAAAGAAAATATAATCATAGATTAATTGACTCCATGTGAATATTTATTTATTAGTAATATATATTTTTAGAAGTTTAGAGTTACCCAAGACACAAAACAAATATTTAATTATGGTTATAACTGAATAGGATATAAAAGCTGTAAGTGTTATAAAAGTAAAAACTTCAGAGTTTGTGAGGGGGGAGAGGAAAGGACAGCTGAAGGTGGATTACAAAGGCTGACACTGTCATCTTACGAAGTGGGGAGTCAAAAGAGACTGCAGTTGATGAAGGAAGAAATAAAGGTGTAGTAACATTACATGTAAAAGATACCTGTAGACCTAATCCCCTGATTCCAGATGTGGATCAATACACAATAGATACATTAATATAACTGTATCTAGAAGATGAAGAAAAATGATGCCAAAAATAGACAAATCAATAAAATAGATGAGTTAAAAGTGGTTATATATGGAGATCGGGATTGAGGATGAGGGGAAGTGGGATAGAAGATAGCTTCTTGCTATAAGCTTTTTGTAATATTTAATTCTCGGTAACCAATGGTTAGTACTACTTTAATGGAAATAAATTCAAATAGAGGGAGAGAATAGGTTCATGACTCAGTCAAGTCCCAAATTCTTTTGCAAAGAAACTCCTCTTTCCTATTAAAAAATTCCAAGTCCTTGTTGTCTTGTAACTACAAGTATACCTTCTGCAATTACTAATGAAGGGGGACTTTGTAAAAGTTACCCTATTTCTTATAAAGATACAACTACAGATTACAAACTCAATTTCTTAAACGTAAAAGGAAATGAGGTAGGGTGAAAGTAAGAAAATACAGATTTATTTTTTGGAACTGTAAATTCAAAATTAATGAGCTATAACGCCTTAGCTGCTTCTAGGTTCTTCCTGTGCTGATGACAATTCAGCAGTGAACAAAAAGAAAATTACAAAGTTAATATCCCTTGCCTTCTCTCAACCTCAAGATTTTTGGCAGCTAGAGTTTCACATTGTTAGGCAGAAAGGTTTAACACAAGCATATGGGATTCATTCATGTCAACTATTCCTCTTTAAAAAAGAATATTTTTTATTTAAAATATTAAACTTCCTTTAAAGACTATTTCAGGAGAAATAAATGTCCCCTCCTTCCTATTCCCTGCCAACACTCCATTTCAAAGTTTCAGCCTGCCCTAGGAAATTGAAAAGGAACTCCCTTGCTGCATCCTAAATGTCTCTTCATTCTAAATGCAAAAGCTTCAGGACAGTCCCCAGGGTGAACAGCATCTCCTGGATCCTCAAAACTACTTCCAGATGTAAGCCCCCAAGATAGACGACCAGATCCAGGTTTCCAACCCCTTTCCAGATGACAGCCTCTAAAAAGATGAGTGTGGCAGAGACCTAGTCCCCTGACTCCAGATGTGGGCCAAAGAGCACATGAATAAATTGAAACATCTCTCCCTACCACATGGAATTCCCTAAGGGAGAAAGCCTTCTGATGCCTCTCCAGCAACACTCCACATTAAGTCTCCAGATACCTAAGTCTCCATAGATCGAAGTGTTATTGTTCTGTCTCTTACCCCTTTTTTCTCTCTTCCTGTTTTCCATCTTCAATACCAAACCACAACAGCAAAACACTGTTCCTCACCTGGGTCAAGTTGCATAACTCTGGACACACTTTGGGGATTAGGTTATTCTGAAGGACTAGAGTCTTCAGGCCAGGCAGTTTTCCTAATGCTGAGGGCATCTTTGTCATCTTCTTCCCATTCAAAGTAATGATCTTCGTATTTTTACCACCACTCAATGCTTTTATTAACAATCTCTCAGTCATGATCTTGGAAAAGAAGTAGAAAACAAGGTAACCATTAGAGTTCTTTATTATACAGCTTTAGAACCTCTAATTACAGAATTGGTGTGTCATAGAAACAAGAACATTCTGAGATCCACCATGTTGAAGGGGGGAAGCATTAGATTATTTTCCTATGTGAAAGATACGAAAGGAAAGTAGATGGTCCAGGTTTGGGGCAGGAAATGTATAATGTAAGCCTAAAATAGCTTATGCCTGCGATATTAAAGCTATCAGAGATTAATGAGGACACAGAAGTGAACTTCTAGGAGCTCCCACTAGTCTAAGATGGAAAATATTAAGGATCAGAAAGAAATAATCTAGAATAGACTGAAACATATCAAAACACATTAAAATCTGAGTTCATAATGGCATTTTTTAAAAAGAAACATTACTCACCCTGGGAATTACTAGCGCACCAACTCAGTCTGAAAATTGATAAAGGAAAAAATATAAGCATTTATTCTGCTTTTCCAGTACAAACTGCACTTAAATATAACTTAATAGTTAATAAAGTTCTTATTCACAAGAATTGAAACTAATAAATGAGAAAGACAAAATAACTAGAATAATCACAATTTTTGCAAATTCTAATAAAATAATGGAGCTATGCAAAAATCATAATTGGAGACTGAAAGTATTAGATGAAAGGTTGATGAGGAACTTTATAATCAAGTGATCAGGTTAATAACCCACTAATCATTTTAGCATCAATAAAATTGAGACAATCACATTATAAGCCTTATGAAGTAATGAATTAAAAAGTACACAGCAGCACCACCTATGAAATGTTCCTGTCCAAAAATTAAATCTGAATCTAATCATGGCTTCAAGATCTAACTACCATTTACAAAAAAACAGAACTAGAGAATAAGTTAAGTTCATTATAGGGAAACAGTCAAATCTATAACATGGAAGATTCTACAGGACTGGTCCCTGGTCCAATGTCACAAGGTTTCACCAACAAATGAAAGACATTAATAAAAAGGAGGGAAAACTGTTACGATGTAAGTGAAACTTAGGGCAAATAACAGCTAAATGCAATGTCTGGACTGTATTTGAATCCTCAGTTGAATACAAACATCTCAGGGAAATTTGTTCATCGGCTATTAGATGAGAGAAATTAATTCTGTTACATGTGAAAATGGTATGGTGGTAGTATTTATTTTAAATGTGCTTAACATTCAGAAATGCATACTGAAATTTTCAAGTGAAATAAAATGATATCTTGAGTTTTTTTAAAAATAATCTAGGGGGGAAAGTGGGTGGAAGAAACTGATCAAACAAGATTGACAAAATGTTGATAATTATTAATGCTGAGTAATAGACACATAGGGGTTTGTATTTGTCCATTCTCGCACTGCTATAAATACCTGAGACTAGGTAATTTATAAAGAAAAGAGGGTTAATTGGCTCACAGTTCTGCAGGCTATACAGGAAGCATGGTGCTGGCATCTGCTCAGCTTCTGGGGAGCCCTAAGGAAGCCTACAATAATGGTGGAAGGCAAAGGGAGAGCCAGCACTTCACATGGCCAGAGCTGGAGGAAGATAGGAAGGAGGTGCTACACACATAAACAACTAGATCTCAGGATAACTCACTCACTCACTAGCAGGAAAACAGCACTGAGAGGATGCTAATGCATTCATGAGAACTCCACCCCCAGGATCTAATCACCTCCCACCAGGCCCAGTCTCCAACACTGGGGATTATAATTGAACATGAGATTTTGGAGGGAACACAAATCCAAACCATATCAGCATTCATTATATTAGTCTTGTTATTTTTGCATATGTTTAAAAATTTCCAAATAAAAGATTTAAACGGTGACAAAAAGGAGAGGGAGGGGAGTTGTGGCCAGTAACATTTGATTATTATCACAAGCCCACTAGCACCCAGATAGGATGAGTCTTAGAGGCATTAGGATTACACATGTATGTGACACACTTAGATGTGGGTTTCCAAAAACTTGAACATTATAAAATACATTCTGCACTGAAAGTGATCTGAACAGAAATCAATCCTTCCTTTGGCATTCAGAAATCACTTTATTTATTTATTCAACAAATATTTACTGACCACCTACTACATAGTCAACACTGTTGCAGGAGTGAATGAAAAAGATAAAAATTTCTGTTCTCAAGGAAATTCCATTCTAGTAGGGGAAGAAAAGCAATCAGATAAGTAAATCTATTATGTTAGATGGTGATTTGATGCCAAGGGGGAAAATCTAAGCAGAAAAGAGAAATAGGGAGTGTGGGAAATGAGAAGTTTACAATTTTAAATAGGATGACCAGGAAAGGCCTCACTGAGAGAATGCTATTAGAGACAAGACCTCTTCCAGTAAGAGAGTAAAATCAAGTGCCAGAATTCTAAAAAAGGATCATTAAATTTTTAAAGGGATTATAATGAATATCAATATCATAACAGTAAATCAAGAGATGCTAATAGTGACTTTCAGTTGCTAGAAAGATAATTTTTCAGCTTCTTAATCACTGCTGTTTGCCTTCCCTCTTCCAAACCTATGCTTCGTCTTCTTTACTTTGATATTATTTGTTTCCTAAGAATAATAAAGCTGTTACTATCAAAACAAACTGATCACAAGGCTTTGTTTAAAAAAAAAAAATCCATGACAATCACCACCTCTTAAGTAAATATCGGGTGGCTAGCATCCCAGATGACACTGTCCAAACCCTGGAAATTTGTTACTGCTTTAAGTAGGTAAACAAACCAATACAATCTGACACTGCTTTCTGTTAATCTGCTGAACCTAGAAAACCTGGTTAACATTCTTGAGTCTTTCTTCTCCCTTACTTCCAATATATAATCAATCCTATTCATACTGTCTATTCCAGTTATCTATCACTGGGAAACAAACCACCACACATCTTAATGGCCTAAAACATTTATTTTATTGACAAATCTTTTTTTTTTTTTTGAGACAGAGTCTCACTCTGTCGCCCAGGCTGGAGTGCAGTGGTGTGATCTCAGCTCACTGCAAACTCTGCCTCCCAGGTTCATGCCATTCTCCTGCCTCAGCCTCCCAAGTAGCTGGGACTACAGGCACCCACCACCACACCCAGCTAATTTTTTGTATTTTTAGGAGACAGGGTTTCACTGTGCTAGCCAGGATGGTCTTGATCTCCTGACCTCGTGATCCGCCTGCCTCGGCCTCTCAAAGTGCTGGGATTACAGGTGTGAGCCACCACACCTGGCCTTTATTGACAAATCTTAATCTGGGCAGGGCTTGCCTATAGTTCTCTTAGTGACAGCTATAGCAGCTCAAAGTCTGCAGCAGAAACCATCTAAAGGTTCACTAATCCACATCTGGTGGTAGATACTTCTTGTTGGCTAGGGCCTCAGGGTGGTCAGCCTCTACATGTAGCCTCTCCAATGTAGCTTGGACTCCCTCCCAACATGGTGGCTTGGTTTGAAGGTTGAGCATCCCAAGAGAGAAAGTGGAGTGGAAGCTGTATTACTTTCATGACCTTGCTTCAGAAGTCATACAGAATCACCTCTACCACATTTTATTCATTAGAACCAAGTGACAGAAACGAGCTCATATTCAAAGGAAGACAAATTAGACTCTGCCTCTTGAAGGCAAGTGACCAAAAATTTGTGGACATGTTTTAAAACCCACCACAATCCACCCTGTAGCCATGAGCTGTTTACATTCCTCCCATATGCAAAACAGAGGCACTCTTCCTGGAAAGCCCCTTTCCCCAAAAGTTTCATCTATTTAGAACCTCAGGTTCAAAGATCTTATCATCAAAGTTAGGTACAAAGGTAGATGAAGCTCCTCTGAGGCAGTTCCTTGAGTTCAGCTTGAGTGCAGTTCATCCTGACCTGAAGACCTATCAACTAAAGAGACAAGTTATCTGTCCACACATACCTAGAATACAACATAGGTAAAACAAAGGGCAGGCAATAGTTAGTCCCATTCAAAAAAAAAAAAAAAAAAAAGGGAAAAATCAGAGGAACAAAGTAGCCACCGGTTCATAGCAATTCTGAAATCAAATGAGGCACAAGGTTGTCATTATTTTTGTTTCTTGTTTGTTGTTTTTGAGATGGAGTCTCGCTCTTTCACCCAGACTGGAGGGCAGTGGCACAATCTCCGCTCACTGCAACCTCCGCCTCCTGGTTCAAGCAATTCTCCTGCCTCAGCCTCCCGAGTAGCTGAGATTACAGAAACGTGCCGCCATGCCTGGCTAATTTTTGTATTTTTAGTAGAGACAAGCTTTCGCCATGTTGGCCAGGCTGGTCTTGAACTCCTGACCTCAGGTGATCCACCCGCCTCAGCCTCCCAAAGTGCTGGGATTACAGGAGTGAGCCACTGCACCCAGCCCACATGTACTGCCTGGGATTAGCTTTTGGTTCCCGTTTGGGCTCTTGATTCCATCCTCTTGAATTTCTTTCCTTTTCCATAAAATGTAGCCCATGTTTGCCAAGTAGTTTCCTCAGTCTGCTTCCTGTCCATAGAAGTTCAAGGTGCCAAGGGCCTCTCATTTTAATTCTTTTTTGATAACAGCTTTATTGAGATAGAATTCACATACCATTAATTCAATCATTTAAAGTATACAAGTCGATGGTCCTTAGGATATTCACCAACTTGTGTAACTACCACCATAATCCATTTTCGAATATTTTCATCATCCCCAAAAGAAAGCCTGAAGCCTTTAACAATCACTTTCCTTTCCTCCCATCCACCCCAACCCTAGGCCACTACAAATCTACTTTTTATCTGTATAGAGTTGCCTATTCTGGGGATTTTATATAGATGAATTTATATAACATGTGGACTTCTGTGACTGGCTTACTTTACTTAGCATGTTTTCAAGGCTGAGATGCTTTGGATATGTGTCCCCACCCAAATCTCATATCAAATTGTAATCCCCAGTGTTGGAGGTGGGACCTGTTGAGAGGTGATTGGATCATGGGGGCAGATTTCCCTCGTGGTACTGTCCTCATGATAGTGAGTTATTGTGAAATCTGTTTGTTTAAAAGTGGTGGCACCTCCCCCCACTCCCTCCTGCTCCAGCCATGTGAAATGTGCCTTGCTCCTCTTTTGCCTTGCACCATGACTGGAAGCTTTCTGAGGCCTCCGCAGAACCAGAAGCTGCTACACTTACTTTACAACCTGCAGAACTCTGAGCCAATTAAACCTCTTTTATTTATAAATTACCCAGTCTCAGGTATTTCTTTAAAGAACTGCCAAAACAGACTAATACAAAGGCTTATCCATGTTATAGCATGTACTGGCACTCCACTTATTTTTATTGTCAAATAATATTCCATTGTATGAATACATCAGAGTTTACATTTCCACTCATCAGCTGATGGGCATTTGCATTGTTTCTACTTTTTGGTTATTACAAATAATGCTGCTACAAACACCATCTGTGTACAATTTTTTATGTGGACATGTTTTCATTCTCTTGGGTATATACTTAGGGGTGGAATTGTTGGGTCATACGGTACCTTTATGTTTAGTCTTTTGAGGCACTGTCAGACTTTTCCATAGTGGCTGCACCATTTTATACTCCTACTAACAGTGCATGAAGGTTTATCTTTTCGTTTTATCGTCCTTCTCAATCCAACCTGATGCAAATCCTTTAAAAATTTCATGGGTTTCTTTTAAAACAGTTTATAATTCACTCCATCAGACACAAACCACACCCACAAATCTCTTTCAGATGGCCCACCTCTATCTTGGGTTCCCATGTGAAACTGCCGTGAGACATTAAGATTTTTAGGGGCCCTATTGTTTGTTGGTAACACAGTGTATTTAACCTTCCTGTTCTTAACAAAGCCTTTTATAGCCATGCCTTTTCATCTTCATCATTTTGCTGAGAGTTCCCTGGATTGGCTCTGTCTGGAACAGATTGCTTAATTTTGGCATCATTCACTGTCTGGAGAGGTTAGGAATGAAAAAAAGTATTTTTCAAACCCAAAAAGTTGTGGCTCCTTTATATCGAACAATTTTTTATCTTGCTTGCCTTTCTCCTTTTGTCTTTTGCTATAGGGGCTAGAAGAATCCAGATAGCACCTTTGACATTGCCTAGAAATCTCTTTAGTGAGATCATCCAGTTGAGCTATACTTATTTTCCACTGTTTCATGGAAAATAAATTTCCAGCATTGCTAAAATTTCTGCTACTATGTCACAAGAGTCACCTTTCTTCCAGCTTCCAATAATATCTCTCACCTTGTTTAAACCTTCACCAATAGCTTCCTGAAGTGACATTAGGCTCCTGTTAACAGTCTCTTCAAGGCCCTTCTAACTTACACTCAAGCTCAGTCCCAAAGCTCCTACTACATGGCTTAGTAGCAGCAAATTGTATATCAAGATTTAATAAAAAATAATAACAATACAAACCATTAGGAATTGTATAGAACATGGGTTTTATTACAGGAATTTGACCTTATATAACTATGGGAGCTGGTTAAGCCCTCTATATATGGTTGTTACTTTTGTGCCCAGTGTTATGCCTTCCCTAAAATCCAGAGAAGCCAAAGGAGAAGATCTAGCAGAAGTGACAGTACACAAAGTGGCAAAGAGTCTGATCTGTTGGTTCAAGGAAAATTTCCTGCTGTTGACTGCTGGGTCCAGTCATAACGGATTAAAAAGAGCTAACCAGATGATGAAATAAATGTGAAGTGGAAAAGCATTTAAATAAAAGCATGAAGAAAAGGTTCAGGGACATGAAATACACAGGACCATGGGGAGTATAAATAATTGATTCTAGTGCATATATCTAAAGAAAGGAGTGATGGGAGGTGACACTGGCGGAGTAAATAGGACCTGTCAAGAAAGACCTCTTTTAAATGCCGTAATAAGGAGACTTCATCCTATGGGAATAGGAAGCCATCATAAGGATTAGGTTAGAAAGTATATTAAAATATACCCAGAATTTGTTTTAATCAAGTGATTAAGAAGTGATTGTTATGAAGGAAATTTATACTCGAATCCCTAGAAACAGAAGGCAGGGCCACGTGGGAAAGGACTGGGGACTGTCAGGAGGTAGAAGAGAGTAGCAAGGGTAGAAAGTCTAGGCCAGAGGGCTAGGCGCGGTGGCTCACACCTGTAATCCCGGCACTTTGGGAGGCCAAGGCGGGCAGATCACGAGGTCAGGAGATCGAGACCATCTTGGCTAGCACGGTGAAACCCCGCCTCTACTAAAAATACAAAAAAATTAGCTGGACATGATGGCAGACGCCCATAGTCCCAGCTACTCAGGAGGCTGAGGCAGGAGAATGGCGTGAACCCGGGAGCTTGCAGTGAGCCGAGATTGCACCACTGCACTCCAGCCTAGGCGACAGAGCAAGACTCTGTCTCAAAAAAAAAAAAAAAAAAAAGAAAGTCTAGGCCAGAGCCTTTATTGGAGTTCTTGTGGAAAATACAAAGCAGGAAAGGGTAAACAGTTTAGGACTGGCTAGTGTGAATAATTCTGGTGGGTTTTGGGATTTAGAGGTGGTTCCAGAGTACCTGGCCCTAGGATGATTAAAGCAAAGGAATATTGTCTCCTGGGGTGTATGGGTCAGACAGAGGAGGTCTGGCTTAGGACTGGTTAGTTTGCATATCAAACCCATGCTCCTGGCTGCACCTGCCCTTTGCTATCTCTAAGAACCAACTAACCCCAGTAGGAGCACCCCCTCCTCAGCCAGAAAGGTTTTTTAAGATGTCAAAACATCAGAATATACAAAAAATAAAAATCAAAAACATAAACGATACAGGAAAGTGGTAGTCAGATTTGCATTTGTGGCAGTTCACTTTAGTAGCATAAAAGAACGGTTTAAGGGAATAAGACTGGAGGCAGGGATGGCTTCTGTACTATTCCAGGTGATGGAGATAAAGTGATAGGTATAACCTGGGGAAGACTGTGACTAGAATCTGGTCTCTTTGTAGGAACATTAGATAAGCCACAATTTAGGATGTGGAGAGAGGAGAGTTGTGTAATATTTAGCAGGGTACAGCTGTGACACAGGTCTAGGTTTATTAAGACACTGAGAATCTAGGAAAGACAGATTCAGAAAAAGAGATGGAGTTTGCTCTTTCAAACTTTTCAGTTTTCACCTGCATCTTAAACACACTCCTTATGGACACCAGCTGAAAATGAAAGGGTTGCTGATCTCTGTGCCGTATAGGCTAGCCTCATGGAATGTCAGAATCTAGAGCTTTCCCAGCAACCTGAAATCAATCCATTTGGCAGGCAAATCGAAAAAATCACCAGCTTTTTGAGACAGCATCAGCCTGTGAACTCAGCAAAAAACTAGGAATCTAAAGTTGAATGTTAATCCAGACGGTTACTGACTTATTGTGTAAATTTAGAAAGTCAGTCAAATTGCCTGTATCTATCTCTCTTCTCATCAGTAAAACAACAAGAAAGAATGCCAATCTATTCCACAGAGATTGTGTGGGAAACAGCTAACTAATGATTACAAACTATTCTGGAAGTATAAAGTGCTGTAAGAATGCTAAAATATATAGCATCCTAGGAACTCAAGGACCCTAAAGTTGAAACAATCATTAATTTTATTAACAGAGAAGGGTTGTTTCATTTATTAACACTTTATAATACAAAATAATCTGGCTAATTCTTAATATGACAAGGGCCCATGACAAATTAAAAATTTTGGAAGTTGGAAAAATGCATAAAAAACAGGAGTTCATAAACACAGGTTATGGCAGAAACCAATGCACTTACTTGATTTGTTTTGGCAAGCTTATTTTGTGATTTAAAATGTGGTCTGAGACTTGGGGTAAAAGTTTCAAACATGATCAGATGCTTCATGTACTTGAAAACTGCTATGGAAATTCTGTCCTGTAATAAAGAAGGGTACTGGGTTTCTCTTGGTTAGTTTTCTTTTTAAATATGGAAATGGAAGGTTTGATTTAAAGGGCTTGGGATTCTCAAAGCCTACCTTCTAGAATCACTTACTAGCTATGTGACTAGCCTTTGGATTGTCTAACCTGCCTTCTAGAGTCACTTACTGGCTATGTAGCTTAAGCAAGTTATTCATTCTCGACCTCTTCAAGTCTCATTTTCATTCTCTAAAAAATAGGGATGAAAATAGCAACCCCTGCTTTCCTTGAGGCATAAGTAAGCCACATATTTAAAGCATTTAGCACACTGCCTGGCACACAGTAAGAGCTCAGTAAAGGGTAGTGGTTTGCTTTTGTACAATCTCATATACACATTTAAGTTAGGAGTTCCACTTTCTGTTAACAAATCTCAAGTGTGCAAGCACTACCCCTGAGGCTGATCTAAGGTGCTAACATGTGCCCACTGTGCCAAAGATGTCTCCCTGATGCCACTTTCTTGCCACTATACTCTTCTTTATCCATCACTACTTCAACTTATTGCTTAGATATATTGTTAAAGAAGTTCAAATGAGAGGCTAAATAAAGATCGTTGGAGATGTTATACAAGAGATCCTTAAACTGGCTACATGGCTGGAAATAGATTACTGGTTCACAGACTTTAAAACAGAAAGAGATTTGTAAGAAATACAGTTACCAACTCTTAATTTTGTCAAGTGAGGACATTTTTTTTTATTCACTCTCAACTACTGCCACCATAAATTCATAAAAGTAAGGACACTTTAAACCCTTCTGTTGAAAGAGGATGACATATACATAAGTTTCTTAAATTGATTAAATTTGCTTTATGAAAATCTCACTATCTTACACTAAATGTTGTTATGTTGCCAATGGGATCAGTTTACAGACCAGCATTTAATTACCACTAGGCTAGAGGAATCTCTCAATACTCTACTTAAAATCACATACACAAATACACATATATATTTTTATATTTTTGGGAAGCTTTACCAAGTATTAAACACAGAAAACAGAAGTAGCCAATCAAAACAAAAAGTAGCAATGAATAGATTACAAAATAGAACACTGAGATAAACTAAGACCAGTAAGATAGCCAAACATCTACAAAGTCTAATAAAGCAGGGAATAAACCAAAAACGGGGATAAGATAATGCCAAGATTTTGGCTTGGAAACTAGGCTTGCCTTTTTTTTTTTTTAAGACAGAGTCTTGCTCTGTCCCCCAGGCTGCAGTATAGCGGTATAATCTCTGCTTACTGCACGCAACCTCTGCCTCCCGAATTCAAGCGATTTTCCTGCCTCAGCCTCCCAAGTAGCTGGGATTACAGGCATGCACCACCAGGCCCAGATAATTTTGTATTTTTAGTAGAGACAGGATTTCTCCATGTTGGCCAGGCTGGTCTCGAACTACTGACCTCAGGTGATCCACTGGCTTTGCCTCCCAAAGTGCTAGGATTACAGGCGTGAGCCACCATGCCCGGCTGGAACTAGGCACTTTTGACTGAGATAAGAAATTTAAGTTAGCAGACCAGGTGGAGATGGTGGTGGGTGAAACCCTGTTTGAAACCTCCAGCCACTGCTCACTTCTTGTTGAGTGCTGCCACAAGGAAATCCTGGCTCAGTGTAGACAGCCCTTCTAGCTTTTTTTAAGAAGCTGGAAATATGAATTTTTGGTGAAATCTCCCCTTAAAAGCTACCAACTACGTCACATCTTTTTTTTTTTATTTTAAATCACTACACAGGTCTAACAAAGTATGTCTCTGAGCCACATTCAGTCCAGCAGTTTGGAAGCTCTGACGTAAGTGTGAAAAAGAGGGTCAAGGATAACATCCTAAAGGACAGTCAGGGGAAGAGGCTCAGACCAGAACAGCACCTAAGGAGGAGGAACCGTTTAGCAAAGAGTAGTGTATTAGTCAGGGTTCCCTAGAGGGGCAGAACTAATAGGATAGATATATATATGAAGGGGAGTTTATTAAGGAGTATTGACTCACACGATCATAAGGTGAAGTCCCACAATAGGCCATCTGCAAGATGAGGAGCAAGGAAGCCAGTCCGAGTCCCAAAACCTCAAAAGTAGGGAAGCCAACAGTGCAGCCTTCAGTTTTTAGCTGAAGGCCCAAGAGCCCCTGGCAAATCACTAGGGTAAGTCCAAGAGTCCCAACGCTGAATGAAGTCTGATGTTCGAGGGCAGGAAGCATCCAGCACAGGAGAAAGATGAAGGCCAGAAGACTCAGCAAGTCTGCTCATTCCACTTTCTTCTGCCTGCTTTATTCTAGCCATGCTGGCAGCTGATTAGATGGTGCCCACCCAGATTGAGGGTGGGTCTGTCTCTCCCAGTCCACTGACTCAAATGTTAACCTTCTTCGGCAACACCCTCAGAGACACACCTAAGAACAATACTTTGCATCCTTCAATCCAATCAAGTTGACACTCAGTTTTAAACATCACAAGTAGTATTATGGAAAAAGATAATTTCAAGGAGGGTGTAGTCTACAGTGCTAAAGGCAGCAGAGATTTCCAGTAAGTTAAGGATAAGTTAGCAGTTCCTGGTACTACTCTTAGAAGCAGTTTCAGTGACATGGTAGAGACCAAATCCAGACTGTTTTGAGTCAGGAGGAGGGGAGGAAGAAAGAAAACAAAACAAAACAAAACAAAACAAACAAACAAAAAATATATATATTCAAAATTACAAGTTTAAATAAATAGGTCCATGTGCAAAGGGTGTCATTCATTAGCAATAATTAAAACAAGCTTTGTAAATATATTACAACATACACAAAATATTTCTTTAAAGCACCTGAATATTCTTTGTGGAGCTTAGGAAAGGTGTTTTCTTAATTCACATTAATTCACCCACAATACCAAAAGAGTTTAAGAATATCAAAACCAAACCTGACAACCTCTATGTCAATCAAGAATCTTGACAGCTAAATCCTAAACAGAATATAAATATCAAAGTTTGAGATATTCAGTAGAAAGCAAAACAGAAATACTATTAGAATGTTTACCTTATTATATCAGATACTTTCTTGATCTCATAGTGGTCTCATTATGTCCTACAAGTTACTACATACTAAATTCCTACATGCTTAATTCTAAGAGTAACAGTGAAACGGCCCCTCATTCTAGCATTCCAAGGCTCTGCTTTATAAACCACCTTGACAATCCCACTTTTCCAAAAGATATTAGTAGCCTATCACATTTCTGCCTCCCATTTAGGTGACATATAATACACCAAAAACCAACCTGTAAAATAATAACTATTATACTCATAAATACCATAAATTATATAGAATATGCTATATATATTATCTAAACATTCCTACTTATCTTTATAGTTCTCCTACTAGGAAAACATTATTATTCCTATTTTATATAAGTAAACAGGAGCTCTGAAAGGTTAGTCAATAAGCGCCAGGGTCAAGACTGAAATGATAAGTCTGAACCCAAAGACCACGATTTCCAGTACATGTAATAATGCTTAGTAATGTTCACCAAATATTCCAGCTCCCTGCCTTCAGAACACAGGGTAGGACTGCACTTCTGGGCACTTTCCTACTTAGGTGAAGCCATGTGACTAATTCCGACAATGAATGGAAATGAGATGTGTTTCTGCTAAGCCACAGAATTTACTTGCTGGAGGGAGATCCTCCAGAATGCTCTCTTCTAATAAAGTTTAAGATGGTGACAGCTTGAATAGTTTGGGTCCTACAGTACAAAATCATGGAGCAGGGCCCTCACCCAACTTGCAAAATGTAACAATACAAGAAACACTCCCATGTTGTTATGTGACTCCAAGATTTTTGAGTTGTTACCATAGCACAACTTAGTCTATCCTGAATGCTACCACCAGTAATCCCAAAAGCCAAATAAACACATTTTAGTGGTTAAGAATATGAAGAGAAAGGAAAAAAAGTTAAGGTCCATTCAGCTTTTTCAAAGGGGATTCATGTAAGTCTGGCATTAGGCAGTTGCTAAAGTCATGTAAAGTAGATGACTAACTGCCTAATGTGTCCAATTTGTGATCTAAATGGTTTTCTTTAGAACTTTCCAACCTCATTAGCAATAAAACTTATGATTTAGTAAGTGGTTCTCAACTGGGGGCAATTTTGTTCCCAGGGAGACATTTTTTGTTCTTACAACTTTGGAGGGGGATGATACAGGTACTTAGAAAGGAGATGCTGCTGCTAAACATCTTACAATGCCACAACAAAGAATTATCCAACTCAAAATGTTAATAGTGCCACTGATGAAAATCTCTGATCTAGGTATATCAGGCCTTTCCAATGTCAGTCACAAGAGTAGGGGTGGGTGGGGGGTGGGGGAAATGCCTGATTCAAAAACAGCAATTTTTCCATCAGGATTTGGCAAAGTGAAAAAAACCCTTACTTACTGCAAATTAAAACCACAATGAGGTACCATCTCACACCAGTCAGAATGGGTATTATTAAAAAGCCAAAAATTAACAGAAATTGCCAAGGATATGGAGAAAAGGGAACACTTATACATTGTTGGTGAGAATGTAAATTAGTTCAACCCCTGTGGAAAACAGTATGGAGATTTCCCAAAGAATTAAAGATGTAACTACCATTCAATCCAGCAATCCCACTACTGGTTATCTACCCAAAGGAAAAGAAATCATTCTATCAAAAAAACATCTACACTCATGTTTATCAAAGCACTATTCACAATAGCAAAGTCATGGAATCAACCTAAGTGCCTATCACTGGTAGATTAAAGAAAATGTGGTACATAGACACCATGGAATACTATGCAGCTATAAAAAAGAATGAAATCATGTCCTTTGCAGCAACATGGACGTAGCTAGAAGCCATTATCTAAGTGAATTAACACAGAAACAGAAAATCAAATACCACATGTTCTCGCTTATAAAATGAGAGCTAAACAATGGATACACATGGACATAAAGATGGAAATAACAGACAGTGGGGACTCCAAAAGGGTAGGGGAGGTTGATAAACTACCTATTGGGTACAATGTTCACTATTTAGGTGACAGATTCTATAAAAACACACATTCCAGCATTATAAAATATACCCATGTAACAAACCTGCACATGTACCCTTTAAATCTAAAATAGAAAATTAAGAAATAAAATGAAATGAAAAATTTTAAAAACTCATGTAATTTACTTTTTAAAGTGAGGTCATTATTTTTGTTCATCAACTCATGCACTGAAGTTATTGATCCCCATGTTAATCCTATATTTGGTTAAAATTATAAACAATAAATAAGACTTTTTGTCAATACAAGAGTGACAAACAAGAGCTAGATTATATATCATCCCTATTCACGGAAATAAAAATTCAGCAGCCTTATAGAAAGGCAGCAATTTGTTCCAGTATGTCATACTAGTCATCCTGATTATACTGAAATAAGACAACTATAAAACTTCTTCATGGTCAGTATATTAAAAAAGGTTTTAATTTTTTTCTAACTGTACACTTATTTTATAGGATTCTTATATTTGTGTAGATTTATTAAAATCAGACATTACCCTAATTGGTATATGAAGGTAAATTAGCTGAAACATTACTTTTGGAAGTTAAGAAAAATGAAAGCTCTGTTGGGTTCCCTTTCTCCCTTCAACTGACCAAAAGACTTGAAGAATTCATCCAAGGGCAAGGTAAATTAAAAAGCAGGCCTTTTGCGAGCAAGCACAATTCTAAATCATATCCATCTCTCTATTCCCAGCAGTCTGTTAACCTAATGCAACTTCTTACTCATATCCTATCCTCTCAACTGATAGTCTGTCAACAAACATTTTTTAAGCACGCAATGCAGACAGGCCAGGCAATGTGCTAAGTATTTTAAGAGCAGTGAACAAGAAATTCTTGTTTCTAAGCTCTTAACACAGTATGGAAAAAAATAGATGAAAAACAACTAAATTCAAGTAAGTGATTACAAGTGTGTACGTATTAGAAAGAAACAAGATTGGGAGGAGTCTGAGGAGGGTTGTCTCAGAAGGTACTATCAATATGTAAACTGAGACTAGAAAGACAAGGAAGCTGGATAAAGCAGGTTGGGTGAAACATTCAATTCTGAATGGTAGTTCCAAGACCTCAAGTGGGAGAGAACAATGGTGGGTTAAAAGACCCATGTGTTAAGAATTAAAACCTCATGAGCTCTAAGATAAAGACTTAAGACAGGAGGAAACAATCAATGTATGAGGTAACAGAACAGGCAGAGAAAAATTTCATCTGTTCGATAAAAGTTTAAAAAAAAAAAGCATGAAATCACCAAATAAATTCTCAGAAGATCAACTGATCTAGTCCTTCAGCTACTTCATAAGAACCTGTACCAAGAAGGCACTATATTAACAATTGTGTGAAAACATTAATTTGTACAAACTTCCTTCTTACTGCTCCACATTCTTGCACACAAATGTTTATTCTTTATTTTAACATCTATGGGTCTTAAAATATTTTTCAAATTCACTTACCCTAAATAAACATTCATTATTCTAAAAGGTTCTAAGATTGTACCTGATTTCTAAGAGCTATAGCTTAAATGGCTATTACTTTATTTCCCTCTACTTCTGGGGCATAAGCTATGCTCATATATTTATTCAAAATCCCTTAAAATGTAAGAATCTGTGTGTGAAGACAAAGTAAAGGCTGGATACAAAGCAAAAGGAGTTTTCTCCACTTCTAAATTCTTGAATTGTTAAAGAATGACAATTCAAGCAAATAAATGTTGATTTAATTCATTCATTTTTTATTCTTTTTTTGGCAAACATCACATAATATAAGCAAAACTATGCGTTCACTATAGTTACACACATTCTTTTTTGCTTTATACAAGTTGTAAACAAATTTAAGTGAATAAAATTCTTGGCTAAAGACATATTCCAGAACTCTGACATATACTTTTCAGAGTTAGGACAAAAGAAAGCATATGTAACTTCCATTAGACCATCATCATATGAAAAAGTAAATTAGCATATGCTGCTTTTAAATTAACATCTGTCATTTTATTTAAACACTTTTTTAGGTTATAGCTAAAATGATATTTATCTGAAGTTTTAGGAAAGAACAGAAGCTGACCATACAAATCTTGTTCATAACCACATTGGCCACTTAAATTAAAAATATAACAAAATTGAAAAATAGACATATAACCAAAAAGATTCTAAATCTTGTAAGGAAAAAAAGAATAAAGCTGCCAATAAGTTATTTTAAAATACTTTAGATGTAGATAACATTTATAATACTGGGTTTCATAATATCTTGTTTTATGGCTTCCTAATGTTGACATTTTAAAGTAACAGATTACTTCAAAATAAACCCAAAGCATTTAGTGTTTTACAATTTCAATTTCATTCTTTTGTAAATTTCAGACACCAAAAAATTCACATCAAGGGTTACAAAACAGGCATCTTCAGAATATAATTTGTTTGGCAGGCAGAATGGCTTGTAATCTTTTGAACTGGAAAGCCTTCAGGAAGTACTTACTTGCTATCAATGACCCTGCCAGCTTCCCACATTGTTACCTGCTGGGCGTGTGAAAAGACTGACACCCCATTTTTCATATAAACCCAATATTTACTTATAAAAATTAGTTGTACTCATGGAGCAAAAATTCAAATGTTATAAACGATACTAAATCTTACTAGTTTTATCTCTAGTTTGGGAAACACACATCAAACTAAAAAAGTCTCATTTTCATAATATTTCCTTACATAAATTATGAGAGACATTTGTATATATCCTCTTAGAAAGAATACTGTTGTGAGTAACCTGAAATCTGAGCTAGAACAACCATTCATATACAAAACTACTCTATACAAGTCTTAGCTTCCAAACAGTAGCTTTCAACTTCATTCATATATGTAACATAAAATTTCTCAAATATTTGAGTTGAAGGAAAGGTGACATTAATAAGGCTAATAAAATAAGTGGCAAAGGTTTTATTCAAATCCTAGAGAATGAGGCAAGAAGGGAAATATCTGGTAAGACAAATCAGAAAAGAGGAAGAATTTCAAGTAAATGTGGTCTTGGACCTTTTACACTGCTACTCCCTAAAATTGCACAAGGTAAAGGCCACAAAATGCTTGTTCCTTCAAGGAAAGCAAAGTAGAAAACACAAAAGGAAATATAAAAATGTGTAGTTATGAAAGACTCAAGAGATGATGGTACTAACTCCAGTCCGATGCTTAAAAAATACGAAAGAATAACAAATGCATTAAAAAGACAGTAACCTATTAGGTCTTTTTTAAATTATACACAAATAAAAAACTAATCTCTAATTCTTTAGAGATTTAAATTTGACAGAGAATACCTATTTACCTTTGAATTTATCTCACTTCTTTAAACAACTGAATCCCATCTAAATAAATATTTTTAAATTATTAATTATTAAAGCAAGCTTCTTAGCTTGCTTTGATAAGGCTATATATATTAGTAATAAAGCTTCACTGCATTAGTCTCATCGATACCATGGTTACTGCAATCAAGTTCATTTTATAAGCAATAATTAAATTGACCATCACCATACTACATTATTGCAATGACAAAGATATTGGGTAAACTTCTTCAAGACAAATTACATTGAAATGGTTATTTTGAAAGTTTTTAGGAACAGGCAGAAAAGGGAGAATTAAAAACATTGAAAATTTGTTCCAACACAAAACAGAATGTCCAGGATCTTACATAAATGAAAATATCAGCTAATAGGGGACCATCTTGGTCTATGAATGGTGTTCTCTACAATGAACTTAACAAATTTTTAAAATTCCACTAAGAAGACACTGGTTAAAGTTTATCTCTGACATATTTCTAAAAACACCTGTTAGTAGCTTTGCCATAAAACTGATATAAGGTAGTTGTGTTTTTCAGTAGCATTTAGAACAACCCAACACTTGGTAGAAATACTCAGTTCAGCACACTGTATTAAAACATAATTGTACAACATTGTATAAATTAGCTGCAATTTTCAGTAACTATGTTTACCAACCGTGTAACCGAATTATAATGTTCTCCTAAGCCATATGCATGTCTCATATATCTGAAATTAAAAAAAAAAAGAAATGAGTAGTTTTGATGAAAGCAATTTTTCTATATATATATGCTTATTATATATATATATAAACCAATGATTCTGAATGACTCAGTCCACATGGGTTTCACTCAATAGACTATGTGGACATATTAATTAAGAGTTCAACACCATTTGAAAAGTGGCAGCAGTCAGCAAGATCTGGTTCAATCACTGGGGTAAAACGAAAAGGCTGAGATGCTGAAGGTTCAATCAGCTTAAATTGTCATCTAGCCATTGATGACTATCTTAATAGGTTTAGCTAAAAAATACTAAAGCCAATAGCAAACCCTGCATGCTGTATTTCAGAAGAGATTTCTAAATCATGTAAGATATTTTCATAAAATGAAGAAAAATAAATCTAAGGAATAAACAGGCAACATGAATGTATTTCAACTTTTAACACTTGTTGAAACTTTTAGCATTACTAATGTCAAACCAGGACAGTATACAAACTAGTCCTAAAATGTTATAACCTTTAGAAATGACTTTATTCTAAACTCACACACAAAAATAAATCGCTAGAGGTTTAAAAAATTATCTAAGTCACATATTTTAACACATATAATCTAAATTTTTTAATATTCCTTTTTGTATTAATTGTGAAAAATAAAACAGTAAAAATGTCTAGGTACTTACACAAGTATTAGTGGTTTTTTTGAATATTCTTCACCAACTATAATGGGAGGAGAATCTGCCTGTATTATCTCTATTGGTGTTTGTAAAATGTGAGACAGAGCTCTTAGCTATAGGAAGAAAAAAAGTATCAGTAAGGAAAATAAAAATGTAAATCACATTCAAATATGTGTGAACGGGCAACCAGTCAGAGCAGGGATACGCTGTGTTCACCACTGTACACAGAGAGCCTGGTATATACTGGGCACTTAATAAATATCTGTTGAATAAATAAATATAATACAGGTTGAATATCCCTTATCCTAAATGCCTGGAACCAGAATTGTTTTAGTTTTTGAATTTTTCAGATTTGGGAGTATTTGCATATACTACATGAGATATCTTGAGGATGGGACTCAAATCTAAACACAAAATTCATTCATGTTTCATACATATCTTACACACACACCATGAAGGTAATTTTATACATTTTAAATAACTTTGTGCATGAAACTAAGTTTGAACTGTGACCTGTCACATAAAGTCAAGTGTAGAATTTTCCACTTGTGATGTCAGCCCTCAAAAAATTTGATTTGGGAGCATTTCGAATTTCAAATTTTCAGATTAGGGATGCTCAACTTGTATTTATTAAATCAAATGCAGAGACTGCTCAAGCCCTGCCTGCACAAAAGCTTTGTAAAAAATATCAATGCCACAGTTAATGAAGAGGGGCAATGGGTAGACTAGGTATATTATACTAGTCTACTTTTGAATACGCTTGAAAATGTTCATAACAAAAAAAATTTTTAAATACCATTGCTCAAGCACCGGACCAAATAAATTACAATGTGAGAAAATGGGCAGGGGGAAGAACAAAATATTTATTTTTTTAAAGTTTTTCAGATGATTCTAATCTACAAATACTGTTGACAACCACTGTTCTATAATTTTCAAAGAGTAGAATATGTATATGAATTGTACTGCCCTATCAATGAATTTCTATTTGATTAAAATATACAATTTTAAGTAATTTCATACCATACAATATAAAATTAGAGCCTAAAGCCAGATGAATAATGGTGAATATTGAACATTAATGCTAACATTTTTAAAGACTTATTATGATTACGGGCCAGGCACAGTGGCTCACACCCATAATTCCAGCACTTTGGGAGGCCAAGGTAGGCAGATACCTTGAGTCCAGGCATTCGAGACCAGACTGGGCAACATGGTAAAACCATGTCTCTACAAAAAAATACAAAAATTAACCAGGCATGATGGATCACTTGAGCCCGGGAGGCAGAGGTTGCAGTGAGCCAAGATCACGCCACTGTACTCCAACTGGGGTGACAGAGTGAGACCCTGTTTCAAAAAAAAAAAAAAAAAAAAAAAAGACATATGACCAAACACTCAAGCATTTTAAGTACTTTATGTGTATTAATTCCTTTAATCCTCTCAATAACTTTATGGGATGGGTACTGTCGTTATTTTAAAGACCTAGAATCTGAGGCAAAAAAAGGGTTACAAGACTTGTCAAAGTCACTTGAACTCAGGCGTTCGAGACCAGCCTGGGCAACACAGGGAGACCCCGTTTCTACAAAAAATACAAAAATTAGCCAGGCATGGTGGTGCAGCTACTCAGGAGTGGGAGGAAAGCTTAAGCCTAGAAGATTGAGACTGTAGTGAACAATGATGGGTGGCACCACTGCACTCCAGCCTGGGTGACAGAGTGAGACTCTGTCTCAAAAAGAAAGTAAAAATCATAATGCCCCGATCTATGGGGGCACTATGGGATATGTACTTGCCCCATTACAAGAACATTCCATTGATGAACATACTCCTTCCTGAGGTTTTGAAAGAATTTAAGAAATTACTTCAAAAATATGGAAAGCACTCTGCTGCATGGTGGTAAATCAAAAACGTTCCTTTGAGGTACATTTTTCTTATACCTAAAATATCATTTTTAAGAAACTAGCATAGAATAGAGGATGCGAACCAAACTCTGGGAATCCTACTATGCCTTCTAACTTCAGAGATCATAGAATGATTTTCTTTAATAACTTAAATTTACTCTATTGTGAAAACTGCAACTCTTACTTCAAATGAATTCACAGATGAAAAAAATGTATAAGTGTCCCTCAAAAGATGTTTTAAAAGGTTTTTCTTAATTTCTTGATTTAATCTCTAATACTCATATGAATGATCCTTTTAAGAAAGTTCAAGCATTTTTAATTATTCCTAATGTAGTAGTAACAAAGCTACTATGAACATTTCCTGAGTTTCCGAGGCATACAAAACTAATGGATACAGTTCCCTCTGGTGGAAATGCACATACACAGCAGTACTAAGAAAAAGATTTTGGGGCAACATTCATGTTGCATCTTCAAATGAAGCAGTTCTTAAAGTGAATTATTTAGAGCCACAGACTATTCATGATGATTAATCATCATTATATATTACTAATCGTACTGCCTAGGTTCATCCATCTGGCACTTCAGCTTACAAACTTTTATGCAGGTACTCTCTGCCTTACTTAATGCTCAAAAATGCTCAACTGAATACACAGAGAGGGTTTATTATGGCCATATAGTAATCAAGAAACTCAAGCTTGGGAGGATGGCTGACTCCCCTGTGGCCACAAAACAGAGGGGTGGAAGAAAATGCCAGGACCTGAACCCAGAACTTTCTTTCTTATCCTATTTAATACCCAGGCTGCTTCATCACCATCTGGCCTACCTACCTGTTTTTTTTGTTTGTTTGTTTGTTTTTAACAAAACAAAGTTAACAGTAAGATTTTTTTAAAATTAGAGCTAAAAAGTAATCTTGATAACTTCCTGTAAGTGACTGAACATACTGTTTTCTTACATATGAATTTAATGCACCAACTACTGCTTTCAAGTAAGTCAGTCACTATCAATTAGGAATTCAAAATACGATTTTAATATATATGTTGTGGTAGGATTTGGCCTATAATTTCACATAATTTTTTTTTTCCATTTCTGATGTAAAAAAGATATTTTTCCAATAGTGACTTTGATCAGCTGAGCTACTAGGCTAAATTTTACTTTACTTCAGTAAAATTTTCATTTTCCTAAGTCCAGAAAATCAAATGTATTGCCAATACTACTATCACGATGAAAAGACTTACACATATGTATTTCTAACACACAGATCTAACACTGAGCTATTTAAAATGTAATAGTGTTTCAATCCCTCAACATACATACTTTAATCACAGACCTAATCATGTTAACTCCCTATTTCTTTGTCAGTTGAGAAGAGCAAATATATAAAGAAAAGGAATCTTCAAAGAGAAATTGGGATCAGCTGAGAAACATCTAAAAACTACAGAAGGGATTTAGAAATAATTTAACAACCCACAATCACTATGAATAACTACAAACTTACCTCAAGCTGACCTCCCCATGCAGCTGTGTTTACAATATCTTCACAGTACTTCTGAAATTCTTCTGTAGAGATTAGGTCAGAATACAGCACTTAATAATTTTTGTAACTCATGTTACAAAATCCCTTTTATAGTTCCCACAATTCCTGACAAAAATGCCCAAGTTATGAACATTCTCCTTCTCTACCATTATCCTCCAGAATCTAATCTAACTCCCAGGTCCAAACTTAATTCACCCCAACTTTCTACCACATTTCCATCCAAGAACAAAGCAGTCCATTTCTGCTTTTCTTCTTCTGTTGGAGGCCCAGATACCCTCCCTATATAACAAACCTACCTCACTCTACCCCAAGCGTTGACCCCAAAAATTGCCACCATATTCACTATCTTGACATGTGTTTTGAAGCCCAAACCTGCATCCAAAGGAATACCATGAAAGACAAAAAAAATGTAGTTCCTGTATAATCAGGTTTACTGTAAGACTCTGGGAAATATACGAAGAGAATTCGAGTAAAAGTACAGATGAATTGAAATTCCTTCCCCAGAGATAGCGTCAAACAGTGCCTCCACTTGTTATTTTGGAAGCACTTACATTACTTGCATAAGTATCAGTTCTAACCAAGGAAAAGGCTTTTCACATCAGCCCTGAGAAATAAAAGACCTAATCACTAAATTTACAATGGGTATATTTTGTGCATACACCTTTTTACACAGTATGTTAAAATGGAAAACAATTATCCTTACTACAGAGATGGAAGGAAAGAAATTATGGACATCTAGAAGAAAAATATGTCTCATGTGTTTGTCTCATACCCTGTTAAATCCTCAGCGTTCAGAACAGTGCCTAGAGTAGTGCTTGGCACACAGCGGCCTTCAATTAATATTGGTTGAATAAATGGAGATAATTAATTAAGTCTTTTGTGTTTTTCTCTGACTCAGCATACTGAACTGCCACCTCCTCTATGCCCTACAACTAGCGCAATTGGGGAGTTTCAATGATTCAGTAATCATTTGGGAGATAAATGACAGAAGAGTCATTTATCACATTGCCTATGCATATATCAAAATATATGGAAAAATGTGTTTTATGTCCCATAGCAAATTCTGTTTATGTAGAAAACAGCAATGACCTAAAACAGCAAGAGATAAGTTAACATTTCCAATATGACATCTATGGGAAATTAATTCACTACAGAATTAGATTATGCTTAAGTCATTCTTGAAATCTATCAACAGATACCTTAAGCCATGCACACTAAAGGAGACACACTTGACTGCCAATGCTCATTCTTATCAATTCTGCATCACTCTCTACCTTTCCTCCATGGAGGACAGACTCCACTAAAGGAAAGTCAATTTTAACCTTTCTCTCTGCAACCCATTCTGGCCATATGACTTGTGGGAACAATGGATACTGCCAAACCTGCCATATTCTCTCAAGGACTAATAGTCCTCTATTCCATTCATTACTACCCCAAAACCTATTCAGATTTTTACTTGCTCTCTTCCTCATCTGCTAGTTGTGTACTTTTTTACTTCCTCATAAATATTTTATCTTAACTGTGATAGTATTGTATAGAATAAAGCAGGTTATTAACCCATTTGTTTTACTTGAACACTAATCTTCCTAATTATAGCTTATTGTAAATAAAAGTAAAGTTCCCAAATTATAAGATAAAAGCAGGAAATGGTTTTCCTAGTCATTCTCTCCTTATGGTCTTCAGACCCTATATATACTTCCTGAAGCTTACCTTCCTCAATACTTCACTTTGTCAAATAAGAACTTACATTTTTTTCAAAAATGACTCTTATTCCTACTTCTATCTTACATAAAATGATTAGCATATTATAATTACAAAATAACTAAGTAATTAAGAAATCTTAATAGAGAAAAATACACCAACATCTATTAAAATTACAGAAAATAATTCTGCCTAAATCTTGTGATGTTTTTTCCTCATAAGGATCATCTGGGTTCTTCTTACGCTCAGTGCTGGGAAGCACCTTATTTAAAAACAACTACAACAAAGCAACAATAAAACATAGTAAAGAAAAATAAATTACCTGGAGTATACATATCTCCTGTATTAGGGTTTGTTAAAAATGGCAGAAAGTCTTCCACATGGCTTTGCATATACTCAGCGGTCTGACTTCTCAAGGCAACCACAGTCAGAGCACAATCCTTTTCTTTCAGTTGATCTTCAATGGCTTTATACATACAGTGGCCATCAGATGGAATCTGTTTAATTTCTAACTGTCTAGCTGCCAATATTTGAGCAAGTTTCTCACTTTCCATATGTCTGGCTCCTGTTAAGTTTTCAATTTCAGCTTCAGCTATCCGTTCTTCTCGCTCCTTTTCCAATGCAGCTTTCTTTTCCTAAGAAAAGCAGAATGCATGAAAGTTAATTCATAATAATTTGGACTAATTCTCATTTATTAAGGGAAGGGAAATGTAAAGGTCTCAAAACTTTCCGGTGTTTATTCTCCCTTCTCGCACAAACACTATCACATTGATCATCTCAAGAATTTTCTACAAGGTGAGCTCCTTACTCTCTTACTCATCTGTGTGTTTCCAGCACCTTGCTCTATACTGGACATTAAGAAAGCCCTCTAATTTTTCTTTAAAGTCTACTTAAAGGCTACATGCCAAGTTTCTAAAAACCTTACTTACTGATTTCAAAGTATTCTCTTAAGACTGAGTTATCCTAGGCCTTAAAGCACATTATTATTATATTAAAGCCCAGGCTAATCCAGGCTTCTTATCAGTCCACCAGTAACGTGTTAATATGACACAGCCTTTAAAAGGGTACAGGCAGACACCCTTTTTATCAAGCTTTTTAAAATGTCTGTATACACATACATTTAATTAACAAATATTTTGTAAAAAAAAAATTAAAATATAAGAGAGAGACTCAAGCTCCCCATAACACCACTGCCATCCCAGTGCTTGCTCTAGAGGTTTGGTATGCATCCTTCTAGATTGTTTTTCCATTCATTTTAATAAATATGGTATACTCTTGAAAATATGTATAAATTCTTAATAAAAATGGTATCATATGTTACATTCTACAATTTGCTTTCCTTATGCAAATGTCTGATAAGCTCCTCCCATGGAAACATATGCAAGGATGGAGTGGGGTGACGGAAATGAGAGATTTGTGACATGAAGAATAGACAGGAGGTGTATAGGGAAGGTTGGGGAAGAAGAAAGGAAAAAAAATTCCTAACAGATGGACTAGTAATGATCAAAAGCCAGAAAGCACTATATGTTTCATAGCTAAAAACAGTTCCTAGAGCTACAGTGCCAGAGAAAACTGTCAAGAGATGAAATTGGAGGCAAAAAGCATAGGCATATAATTAATATACAGTAGGTCTATACTTAACATAGGACTAAAAAGAAACTACAATATACACAAAGTATTTATAGTGCTTTTTTCTGGATGACGGGATTCCAAAATAAGTTTTATTTTGGGGTGTGTGTATGTGTATGTGTGTGTATGTCTGTATGTTTTTCTGCATCTTTCTAATTCTCTATCATATATTTTGTTTGTACACTCAAGCGGAAACTGCTTTATAATTTAAGAATAAAAACTAAGTTATATAAATTTTGACATTAATAAGTTACAGTGAAGGATTTGGTAAGCCAAGAATAGGAAAAGGTAAAGACTTCCATAACACTAGCTCTGATTTCTCCTTGGAACAAAAGTGAATGGGAAGGCAAGTTTCAATTAAACTTATTGTCATGTACCTGTACTACTTGCCTGTTATGTGCCATGCTAGATGAACCTAAAGTGATTTCTAAGTTACCTGAATCAAAAGCAGTAATATCTCCCTAATAAAACATAGCCTATTTAAGGTTTGTATAAGTAATAGGAACAAATTTATTTCACTGTGTACCTAGAACTGTGGATCACAGAGGCATAATATCTTAAAACACAAGATGGCACTATTACTTTATAAAAGACTAAAAAAGTTTCAGAGGGGAAAGGAAGAATAAGCACCTTAGATATCATCTAATCCAAAACCCCTCATTTTCCTCTTCTGAGGAAACAGCACGCAGAAAGATTTCCAAAGGCCATACAGCTGGTAAGAGCAGAGCAGGGACCAAGGACAACACAGAGAGCTCCTTCTATCCAGGCACCTGAATCAGAATAAAAGTTGGAGCAGATGGGAGCTGGAGTTAATGATGTCATGTACTATTTACTGAAAGAGTGGCACTTTATCTTATCTGCAAAACTGTTTAAGCCTCTAAAATACTAATTCTAATCATTTCATTTTTTTCCCTTCATGCTTTGCTTCATTAGAACAAAGCAATTGAGTTTCCTTTTCAGGGCACTAGGTAAGAAATCCACTGAATTCTTTTTCCAGCAATATATAGTTTCCCAAGAGCACTAGGCACTTTGGTTTCTACAGCTATAGTAGTGGAGATAGAATGGCACTAATAAGTTCTAATAAAAACGTATAAAAGATGAAAATAGCATGTAAATCATAAATATATTGTCAATAAAACTACAGTCATGTTGATATAGTAATATAACAAAGAAGATTCAAAGGGAATATTAAGAGCTGGACACCAGTCCTGGGTTTGTATCAAACTTTTAGTGTACAATTGAGATAACTTGGGTCTCTGCTTTCTCATTGGAAAATACAGAAATTGAATTCAATCTCATTCCAGCCCTCAAATTCCATATTTTTGAAACCCAGCTCTTCTAAGTTCTATTTTAGACTCTTTCTCTCATATCAAAAAGTTTGTAAGTTCTTTGAATAAAATACTGTTTTTCTAGACTAAAAATAAGAGATATGCTCTACAATATTCCACGATATTCTTAAAATAAATCTTGACAAAGTTTTATCACGTTTTTCTTCCAGAGTTGTATCCTTCCCAAAGATAAACATCATTAATTAAATGACTTTGCATTCCTTGGTGCTTCTAGCAAAAAGGAGGTTCCAAATAATCTAACACCCGATTGTGCATCCTGACTTCAGGTTCCATTTTCTTAAGCATTATAAACGTTTAATGTTTTCTGTTCTAAAATCCCATTAATATAACCCTGTAAAAACATTACTTGGGCATTTTTTCTACCAAGTGTTAAAGCAGCTGACTATAAAAGATACTAAATGGTTTGAGAGTATAACTGACAAAAGTATTAATTCCAGTTGTGCAGTATCTTAGGGAAAAAGTAACAAAATTTTTGAGAAAGGTAAGGGAGTTTTCGTTTTGTTTGTTTTGTTGTTAGAGGTCCAGCTGGGGAGGAACAAGTTTTGATAAAGATAGGAAGAACTTGTGCCCTTAGGTTTTCCAGAATTAAATAGGCTATTATAAGATGTTTCAATTACTAAGTAGACGTAATTCCAATGTTTTGTTATGCTACTGGCATGCAAAAATTCTGCCCTTCCTTTTTGATCTATAGAAGCTAGACAATTGTGAGATCATCACAAAAGAATGCATATCCTAAGCAGACAATCTCCAAGATTCCATGAGATCTAAATTTTATGAATCTACAAAATTCACAATTATATTTACTCAAAAATAAAATTCTACACAAGAATGAGAAATGTTGGACTATGTGCATTTCATCAGCTTGCAAACAAAAAAAGACATTGCTTTTAGGTTTAATTTTTTAAGAGGCATAGTATGCACTACTTAACACAGAAAAAGACATTGCTTTTAGGTTACATTTTTAAGAGGCATACTATACACTACTTAATATAGAAACAATACTATCATTTGTTGACCCATTAGTTCTCCAGGCCTTGTGTTAAAGGCTTTGGAAATAGTACAGTATTTAATATTCACAATGAATTAGCTTATGAAGTAGCTATAATTTGCCCCCGTTTTATAGATGTGAAACTGAGGCTTAAAGAAGAACCGTACCCAAAGTATAACAGTAAATGAAATTAAAACCTCATCTGTTTGACACTAAACTCCATGCTCTACTAAATTACATACTATGTCATAAGATGCAAAATGAATTTAAAAATATGCATTTAAACCATAGAAAACATCAAGTGTTAATAAAATAATACTCGCAACTAAAAAGACTGAATTTAATCATTTTTCTTTTTCAAATTCAAAGGGACTTACCTATCTAATCTCATTTCCATAATGCTGATATGAACTAGCTACTTCCAATAAATCAGTTTCCTTATAGCTCTTCAATAATGCAATATATCACCCCCACATTTGTTTTTGTGCATGCTGCTCCTCCTATTTGGAATATCCTATCTAAATAATATTTCTTTCAAATTCCAACCCATTATTAGCATAATGAACTTTCCCTTCTCTAAATTTTCATAATTAACCATTATATAGATACCTACATAATTCTCTAAGAATTTTGTATACCTACACATGTTAACTTCTAGGTTCAAATCCTTATTTCTCACCCAATGGTATAGTTCTTGGCTAGGGTTGTGCATCAGAATCCCCTGGGCCCACATTCTGAATTTTTAAGTCTGGGATAATATATTTGTAAAAAAAACTACTTTGCACTCCCACTCCCAGCTTCGCTCTCCTATGAGAGCTGCAACCTGAATACGTTATTTTATATTATCTTAGGATCATTTTCTTCTCCATAAAATGGGGATAAGAAATCCTACTTCACAGGATTATTGTCAGGACTAAATGAGATGTCATATAAGCAGCTTAGCATAGTATGTGACACACAGCAGGTGCTTAATAAATGTTAGTTCAAGTGCCTAGACAAGGAACTGCATCATTTTTTTTTCATTCTCTTCCTATAACAAGACCTAAGATAGTACCTAAGATAGTATTGAACACACAGCACTAACTTATATACTTGGTGACATGACTTTCATACCCGTCTCTTTTGTGCTTTTGATATCCGAGGTGGCTGATTCTCAAGCACCAAGTTTGAAATGTTAACAGCAACAGAATCTATCTGAAGGAAACAAAAAGCATTAACAAGTCAATGTACTTATTAAATTACTGAAAATCATAAATATATCTAATCCCACATTTCAAATTTGAGTAACAGCAATAGACACTGTATTAGATAATATGGTTTTGTCTCCTGTTTCTATTTTTATGGAAGAATTTGACAAGTTCCCAAGAAGTTTCTTTCAAAGATCATGCTCATCCCTGCATGCTTTCCTTCCTTCTTAGAATGCCTACTCCATTAATCTAAATGCAGTACTGTACTTCCTGTAAGCGCCAACTCATTTAGCACTCCACTCTTCTTTTCTCTGACTACTGCCAGTACATATAAGATAAAGGTCCTGTGCTGGCTCAGTTCATTATTACCTGCATAACCTCTACTGGCAGCAGAGGCCTTTTTCCATCTTAATTAGCCAGAACCTGATGAGTACTAATCCTTGACCCTAGTAGCAAGTTGAGCTTTTCCTACCCTACCCTTTTCCATCTACAAACTGATAACTGCAGGCAGAAAATATATTTAATTTGTAATATCATTTGATATTATAATCAATCCTAAATGGCTAGTGTGTGTTTGCTAGAGTAAAAAAAAAGATGCTAGACTTTTAACTATAAGGATGAGTAGCCATTATTACTGCAACTCTAAGGTAAGCCAGTTTTTAGTATAACACATGCATAGAACAACTCAAGGCCTTTAATACACAGAGACAGAAGTCTGCAAAGGCTGTGTCCCAAATGATCAAAATATCAAAATCAGATAGAGACTTCAAAGAGTGGCTATCAACTATAGTGAAATTAGGAGTCCTGTGATTCTTCAGAGGAAGCTGTTAAAATTTACAAACATCTATATTGACAATAGGCAAGATAAAAGAGATGCATCTGAAAAACAAAAAAGCAATGGCATTAGTTTTTGGTAGTATTCAGAAAAGAAAACCAATTTAAATTAATGAAACAGATAAATAGTTCAAACTAAAATGGGAGTTTGTGTTTTAACAGTAGGACTCCATGTAGCTTATGAATCAAACATTTTTGTCCTTGGAAACCTGGGAAAGAAACCTCAAAATGGAAAGGTCTGAGGGAGCAAACAAAACTATCTCATTAATAGAAAAGATGGGGAGACAATTAGGAACACAATTGTCACAACACAATTTAACGCCTGGAGTATCATATATGCCTTGTTACCTGGAGATGAAGTACATTAAAGGCAAGGAAAGTTGGGAACTTGATAACTAACAAAGTTAAAGAAATTTAGACTATATTTAATGTAAGGACCATTATAAAAAGCACAGACAAGCTGTACTTGTCAACAGCAAACCAAAAATCAACCAAAATTTAAGTATGGCAGATTAAGATTTTACATAGACATAAGAACTTTCTATCAAAGATGGAGTGAGGTTGTGGGGTCTATATGACCCTTCATATCCAAAACCCATACAATAAATACCACACTATACAAAGCTGTAACAGAATTCAGTATTCACTTCCTGGAGTAAGATAGTTCTCATTTGGAATTCTGGCTTTGGCAATCAACAGCTGTTACGACTCCTGGACAAAGTTCTTAATCTCTCTAACCCTGTTTCCCACTTGAAAAATGGGATTATGTATACTTACTTCATAGGTAATACCTCACAGTGTGTTACTGAGGTTAAATGAGATAATACATATAAACCAAAGTATTTGACACATATATATTAGATCCAACGATAAAATAAATATTAGTTAAAATTATGAAAGTTAGGATGCTCCAACTTACCCAAGAAACATCAGTAAAATTTCATTCATTACAACTTGTTAATAAAGCACTTTTATAACAAAAATGACTTCACGTTCACTTTCTTGATTCTTACAAAAACCTGTGCTTAGAGTGTAGAAATATTTGTATCGTATTATATATGTGGGAAAATTTGAGCTCAGAAAGATTAAGTAACCTTGCTCAGGTTACAATCCCATTCAGTCGCAATTCTGGGATCAGATGCCTGGTCTTCCAACTTTGATTTGGTGAAGCTTCATCTTTTGGGCAAGTAAATAGGTAAAGAAGTATAGCACTTTCTTTGCCGATCTCCCTTATAGAAACACACTGCCCTGTAAACTTGGTCACAAAAACATTAATGAGAAGTGATGCATGAGCATAACTAAGTGATTTCATTTCCCTACCAATTTTATGATTTTAGATAATAAACAGTTTAACAGGGCCGGGCACGGTGGCTCACGCCTGTAATCCCAGCACTTTGGGAGGCCGAGGCGGGTGGATCACAAGGTCAGGAGATCGACACCGTCTTGGCTAACATGGTGAAACCCTGTCTCTACTAAAAATACAAAAAATTAGCCGGGCGTAGTGGCGGGCGCCCGTAGTACCAGCTACTCGGGAGGCTGAGGCAGGAGAATGGCCTGAACCCGGGAGGCGGAGCTTGCAGTGAGCCAAGATTGAGCGTGTTTTGCAAAGCGAGACACCGTCTCAAAAAAAAAAAAAAAAGCAGTTTAACATTTAACAGAAGTGGACAGCTGTTTTCAAATGGTGTAGGCAACGACAAACATTTATTTCACATACCTTATTCTCCTTAGTAGTCAGCTTCAATTGCTCCAGTTCCTCTCTATGTTTCTGTTCCATTTCTTTTTCCAACTTGGCCACATCTTCGGTGAGTTGCTTCCTCCTCTTCTTGTCATTCTTGGGAACAGCATTCTTCATGCCCTGAATTTTGGCTGAAAAGCCATTAAAATCATTAAGTCAGACACGCAGGAGTAAAAGGAGATGAGAAACAGGAACCAATAAGGGGATGGTAACGGGCGAAGGGTACAGAAAAAGTAATTATGGAAGAAAGAGTCATCACGTAACAGGCAGCTACAGAGAGAGAAGATCCCAGATAAAGCTGAGACCAAAAAAAAAAAAAACTTCATTAACAAAATCTTGAATATGTTTCGGTTGTTTGGCGAGATAAGAGAAGGAAAAAAACCTGACTGTAGCCAGTTTTAAATCTTTCCGGTATCCTTTCTGAACCTCCTAAACTGAGGCGGGTCCATTCAAAATACACCCATTAGGGACAAGTATCGGTAACTGGGGCAGGTATAGAAAAGGGAGGCATCGTGGGTTTGGGAGCGGACCAAGACGGCGGCTTCTAGGTATTTTCAGACACCTGCACCCCGGCGGCGGCGCGGGGTAGGGGGCACGCCGCAGGCCTCAGAAGGGGAAGCCTCTGAAGGTTGGGGAATTAAAGGGCCGCCGGGGTAGGTGAAGAGAGAAGAGGCCACTTGCTACTAGGGGAAGTCTAGGGTGATCCAGATAAGTCACGCCTTGAGATTCCCCAGAATCGACCCGCCACGCGCCCTTCCCCCAGTCGCGGCGGCTTCCAGATTCCCACTTCCTTCCGCCTCACCTTGCAACTCCTTCTTCTCTTTGCGATGCCTTCTCAGCAGCTGCTCTTCCTCATCAAGCTCTTCGGTCAATACCGCCTCCATGACGACCAGGTACCCCAGCACACGCGCTAGAAGAAACCTGCACCGGCTAGTAGGCACCTTCCACCCCTCAACCCTCACCCGGGGCTCCATTGGCTACGGCTGGGACCCAGCCCCGCCTTCAAGGCGGCACCGGATCTAAGCAAAGCCACTGCAAAGACGAGAAACTTAAATGGGGTGCTGCGCGTGCGCGCTACCGTGACCCTGCCGTGATGGGCGGGGCGGCAGGGGAGGAACCAGACTGCGAGCGGAGAAGCGGAGTTTGCAGCCTCGGAATTGGCTAGAGCGCCAGAGCCGAGTCAGCCATAAAGCTACGCGCTAGGCTCTTGGCCCTGACGTGAGGCGCGCAGAGATGGCGTAACGGGAATAGTTTTCAACGTCTATTTCATTCCCTGCTTCAGAGGACCTCTTTAATCTTTGATTTTGGTCCCTGTTTCTAAGAAAAGCAACTGAAAAGGTAAGAAAGAAAAATAACGCATTTTAATAAAGCCGTCGATAATTATCAATGGGAATCTTTGGGCTGTTTGGGGCTGTGTGGAATTAAATTATGTTTATTGTCTCCAAGGTCGTAATACCGCCCCTGAGAAAAAAGGAGCAGCGCTAAATAATCGAGAAAATGCCTCCTCTTGAAACGGATATAGAGATGGAAACAAGATATAAGAAGGATTGAGAATCATATAATACAGGAGCTTAAACACCTATGCGCGATGATAAAGAGGGTACTATTAGAGCGCTTGGAAAATACCAGGAAGTTGAGAGAGTTAACAGAAGGGCGCACGCTGGATTGGCCACAAAATCGAATTACTGAAGTAAGTGCAAAACGACAAATTGTCACAGAATACAGAGAAAAGGGGAAAAGAAATTAAGAGGAGAAAAAGAGAGATCTAGAGGGCCGGTCCAGGAGATACAATCTATGCATAATAGGAATACCTGAAACTGAGGACAGAGCAAGTGGAGCTGAAACAATAAAGGATCTACTTGAAAAAATTTTCCAGAATTGAAGAACGAACTAGATCTACAAATGGAAAAGGCTCATAGGATACCTTTAAAGTTTAATGAAAAGAAAGCAGCATCTAGACATATCCGGGTGACGTTTTTGAATTTCAAAGACGAAACATTTTACAAGCATCCAGTCAGAGAAAGCAGGTTACTTACAAAGGGGCAAAAGTCAGGCTGACCTCAGATTTTTCTCCTGCAATTCTAAATGCCAGAAGACAGTGGAACAATATCTAGAGTGTTAAGGGAAAATAATTTTGAGCCAAGAATTATATACTCTGCCAAGTTATCATTTCTTTACAAAGGAAACTGGAAGACATTCTTAGATATACAGGGGTTAGGAAAGTATATCAACCAAGAACTTTCCCTGAAAATTTTGCTGAAGGATTTACTGCAGCTAACAGAGAACCTGAATTAAAATAAGAATAGGGAGGCAATTGTATGAAAGAACTGATGGTATGCATTAAAACTAGTTAAGGAGCATTAAGTTTAAATTGTTATGTATAGGGCATTAAAACTAAATACAAAAATAGAAACATAAGCTGGGTGTAAAATTTCAGTTTACGTTTAAACTGGAAGGGCATACCACATGTTCAATATATTGGACAAATACTGTTTTATTTTTAGCATGTAGTATTGTAGATACAAATACGCATGTTCTTAAGCTAAACCTAAGTAAAAGGGCTTTGTCACTGTAGATTTGACAAATAACATTCTAAATGTCAAATCTGACAATTGGAAAACAGTACAGTTTTATTTCCCTTATTTTTAAGTATAGCAGGAAAAAAATAACAAGTTTGTCCATGTTACTACTGATACTGTAAAGAAACTTCCAAATCACTGGTTTGGGAGGGGGTGGATACATCCTCATTTTCTGTACATGATGCATGGGGAAAAACAGTAGTTACTGCATCATATAGTTCCAAGTAAATCATATAGTTCCAAGTAAATTTGACATGGAAATAAGTGTTAACTACAAAAATAGAATATATACATTCCAATGTTTGGAAAAGAAGTGGTAAAAAGAAAAATAGCAAAAAGACACTAAAATTAGCAAAAAGTAGATTGACAGTACAGATGACCTATAAACTGGTTAAATAGCCCTATTACAATTGAAATTGGGTCAAAAATCAATCTCTAACCTGAGATACATTTGTATAAAACAAATGATCAAAGAGTTTAAAGATAATGGAAACTATAAATCATAGAAATGGCAACATTTTTCTTAAAATCTAAACATAAGACATTTTATGTAAAACATACAATATAGGATGTAACATTTAACAAACTATATGGTAAATAATATGACATTAATATATAAAATATATGTTCCAGATCTTGATGTGGGTGATAGTTTTACTTATGTACATCGATATACATCTATTTAAAAACATGTACATTTAAATTGTTGCATTTTATGTATTTAAAATTTATTGAGTAATCCTTCTGTATGTATTATTAAAGAGAATATAGCAAAAAAATATGTTGGACTATGACTTCAACATTTATGATTTCTTTTTTTAGAGACAAGAGGGTCTTGCTTTGTAGCCTAGGGTGGAATGCAGTGGCAACATCATAGCTCACTGCAGTCTCCCAACTCCTAGGCTCAAGTAATCCTCCTGCCTCGGCCTCCCAAAGCACTAAGATTACAAATGTGAGCCACCAACCCAGCGCAGTTACAGCTTTTGATAAATCAAGTAAATGGGAAGTTAAGAGATAAAAGGTAGTTAAATAGTTAAAATATGTGTGTAATATATATATTACTTTTCTACCTTATTTTTGCATTCTCTTCAAATTATCCTGAAGCATTTCTAAATGATTTTATACTCAAATGTAGAGAAAACTTTAACATATTTCTAGAAAGCACTCGTGACCACATTACAAAAAAAAAAAAACCCTAGAAAATAATAATTTTCAACCCTGAAAAATCACACACTTGGAATTTTTTTAATGTTCTTAAATAATCTTTCGGTCAAAGAGGAAATTATAACAAATACTGATGATTTAGGAAATACAACAATGAAGATAATTATACTTTACATGCTATGGGATGGATGTAGAAAAGGCAAGAAACAGGAATTAAAACACTAAGTGAAGAATGGAATATGCATGGGAAGGACTCAGTAACTAAAGTTCTTCAATTTTGCTACCTTTCAAATGAGGAAGTAGTCTGCCTTCATAGTGGATTTATCCCCAATATGTTATGAGACCACAATTTACTTATTTCTCCCAATTGAGCTTTAATGTAGCATAATGAATTCTGAGCATCTGACAATTGATTCTCAAGGAAAGGAAAGCCCAAGTCTCCTTTTTTCTTTCCCCTCCCTGCACTGTTTCCCCTTCACAGACCTCCATATAACAATATTTTAATGTACAACACTTTTATTGAAAAGTATGGCCTTCAGAAAAACAGCATTGGCATTACCTGGAAACTTGTTAGAAATGCAGTATCTCAGGTCAATAGCAGCATAGTATTAGATTATAAAATCTTACATATTTACAAGACTTCTCAGCACAGTGCATTATACATTGTGAATGCTCAGTAAATGCTATCCAGAATATATGTAGAAAAAAATATTTGGATGTTGCCAAAACATTAATAGTACTTATATCTGTGTGGCAGCTTTTTGGATAGTTATTTACTTCTTTATGTTTTTTAACATATATTAAAAAGCTATTTTGCTTTTATAAATTAAACATTTCCGCAGAAATTTTGAAAAGTATATAGATGATGATAAATGTTACCTGTTGTATTAGTACATTCTCATGCTGCTATAAAGAAATACCCAAGACTGGGTAATTTATAAGGAAAAGAGGTTTAATTGACACAGTTCTGCATGGCTGGGAAGGCCTCAGGAAACTTAAAATTATGTCACAAGGTGACAGGAGAGAGAGTGCAAAGCAAAGAGGGGAAAAGCCCCTTATAAAACCATCAGATCTCATGAAAACTCACTCACTATCATGAGAACAGCATGGGGGAACTACCCCCATGGTCTAATCACCTCCCACGAGGTTCTTCCCCCAACACGTGGGCATTACAATTTGAATTACAATGAAGATGAGATTTGGGTGGGGAGAAAGAGCCAGACTGTTTCACCTATGATCCCACCATGTAGAGAGACCCTGAAAACAGTATATTTCCTTCTGGTCAATTAAATTACTATTCAAATTTAGAATAATACTATATATAAATTTCTGCTTCATTCACTTGCAGTTATAGACATTTTGCCAAGTCAATTATTTTTCAAAAACATTTTTAACCGCTGCATATTTTCCCATCACACAAAATAGCTGTCACTTTTTAGCCCTTATCTTGCTTAACTTCTCAGCAATATTTGACACTATTTACTGCAATATTGGCATGATTGACTCTCCCTTCTGTCCACACTTCTACAAAAACCCAATGTGCTCTTCCCACCCAGCTGTCTTAGTTTCCTGTTTAACCTGCTTGATTTCTCTCCATAGCAGTCAACGCCATCTGAGATGTCCTTGTTAAATTGGGTGTTGCCTGTCTCCTCTCTTGGCTTCTATGATACACCCTCTTCCTTTTTATCTCCTTTGGTTCTGGATGCTCCTTATTGACTCTTCTATCTCTTCCTGAAATTTGCTGAGTTCCCTAGGGCTCTGGCCCAGGCTCATTTTCACTCTACATACTTTCTGCCAACTTCATCCCATTCTTCAATTACCACATCTATGTGCCAACTGGACCTTTCTCTCAAGTTCTAGTGTGTATTAAGATTCTCCGGATAAACAGAACTAAAGGAATATAATAGATATGTAAGAGGATATTTATTATGGGAATTGGCTCACACAATTAAGTTGGTTCTCTGGGTTTTTGGTTTGTTTAGTCTTTTGTTCTTTTAAACTAAAATTTATGTGTTTCCAGGATTCTTTTTGAAATCTTAGTACATGACACCACTCTACACCCCAGACAGCCCCGTATATTCTGGATTCATCTCTGATCCCATTTACTCCGAGTCCTAGAGCTTTAGCCATATTTATTTTTTTCTGTGTTTACAAAAATCAGATTTCCTCCTGTCACCAAAGTTTTGCCTAGGTGCTTCCTTGACTTGGGAAAAACATTCCTGAAATTTTGTAAAACTGACTTTTTGTTATTAAGGTCAAAATTTATGTTTCACTTCATCAGAGATGCCTTATGTAGTAACAACCTACATAATGGTATCCACCACATTCATATCATCTATTGCAAGGAACTGTCAATCACTTTGCCTGCTCTATCACTGTCACTTATTACTGTCTGACAGAATCTCCTTTTGGCTTTCTAAAAACAGTTTTACTGAGATATAATTAACATGTAATAAACTACAACCAATCAGCCAATAAGTGGCACTACTGACCTTTTGCTTGCTCATGTTGGGAACCTTAGTGTAATTCTTGACTACTTTTTTTCCCTTACCCTTTAATATCAACAAATAATTAAGTCTTAGTTTCTAAATATGTTTCAAATCAATCCACTCACCTTTAGTTCCACTAGCACCACTCTAAGTCCAAGCCCGAATCATTTCTCACCTGTATTATGAAAACGTGCTTCTCTCCAGTTTATTCTTTATAACACAATAAGAACTTTATAAAATTCAAGTCAACTTAGGAGTTTCAACTTAAGTGGGTTCTCAATAAAATGTATACTTCTTAATATGCTTCTCAAGGCCCATTCCAGTCTCATCGCACACCACACCTGATATAATCTATTTGAGCCTTTCTGGACTTCAGTGCCTTGAACTTCCATACTTTCTTTTCCTCGAGGAATGCAGTGCTTCTGGAAATAGAGCTTTCTTACCACTGGAAATATTTATCCACCGTCACCCCTTGACCGCCCTGTCTAGAATTATTCACAGTTCTTAACCATTCGTTCTCTATTGAAAGCACCCTATTTATTCCCCCTTTTAATACTTTTACTTGCCTTCTATCTGTTTCATGAACTTGAATATAATGAAACATAGAATAACTAGGTCTGTCTCGTTTGCCTTTGGGTCCTCATTACTTAGTATTATGCTTAGCCCATAGAAGCCATTTAATAAACATTTTAATCAAGCATGAACTAGATGACTACTTAGGGATAATAAAGGCAGATAAAAGAACACTTAAAGTCACCTTCAGCCTTAAAATTATACAATTATGGAAGTATTGTCCTATAATTTATGCTCAATATTTTTCAACTGTAGCATCAAACCAGCTCATGGTAATTAGAAGACAAATCTTGTCTCTGTGATGATGTTTTACCCAATGGCAACCTCTGCACTAACTGGATATCAGTAAATGAAAGGAACTATTTTATAGAACTTTATCTTTTGGCCTTTCAATTTTCTAGCCTGTCTCTTAATTTATATTGTATTACACTTTCTTCAAATATTTTCAGTTGCAATATTTTAAAATCTCTGTTTTGTTTTCTATTTTCCCATTTCCAAATTCTTTTTGCTAAGTTATTTTTCTTCTTCTTTCATGATATATTTTTTTCTTTTACTTTTCTCTGAAAACTTACATGGCATCAGGAAAGAATCCTATGTGTGAAACTTAATGGCAAGTTGGTACTCAGTATCCACTGCAACTTTACAGAGTTGAAAGAAGTTTCAAAGATTGGAAAGATAAATAATACATTTTTCATATTCTCTTTTCTGTTATCTCAGGGCCACTACTGATTAGGACACTTATGGAGAACGTGGGTAGCACTGAAGCAGCATTCTAGTTTCCAGTGCCATCAACCTCATACGTATCTACCTGGTCTCTGATCGAAGCTACCGTAATGTGTTCTTGAGGTCAACATGTTTTGTGGAAGTCACTGTATTTGCCCCTTTATGTCAATTACCTATTATAAACCGAGAGAAATGGGAAAATTAAAAACCTGTTTTGAATTATTTTTAATGCAGAACTATTTTTTCAAGTGAAATCTTATACAGAAGTCTGGTATATGAAACAGATAAAAATGAACCAATGAGATTGAAGGGAATGAGTAGCATGTAATCCTGCCCACTCTTCGGAGAATTTGAGGCAACTTTGTAGAGCCTTAGGAGTTCAGTTTGTATGTTACTGGGTAATTTAAAGCAGAAATTTTAATCTGACTGCACTTAAGAATCATCTGAAGTGTTTGTATTGGTTAGTCTTATTTTTAATACTGATGTCCTGGTCTCTCTCCCCTCAAAAAAACTCTGCTGCTGGGACCAAGCACATAGATGCTTTTTAAAAAGCTCCCGAAAATGACTCTAATATGCAGCCAGGATTGAAAATAACTACCCTACACAGCATTTTTCCTGATTCTGAGCACTCAGCTTTTCATTGATTTTCCCTAGGGCAAGTCCTTCATCTTATTCTGGGTCCTTGTGTTTTCTTTCTGAACCTACAATTTCTCCATAGGTCCCATGGTTTTCAAAATTTCTCATTTTCCATTTTCTGTCCTTTTATATTACCTACTTGAAAACCACAGTCATCTTTCAAAACAAAACACTGCCTGTTTCTTAGGTCTTTATTGTGGGCTTGTTATTCCTCAATACAAATTTACATAAAATAATAACAATTAAGACATGGGCCTTGGTGTCAGAATTATTTTATATCTTTCTTATTAACTCTGCAGCTTACCAGCTCTGGATAAGTTAAAGGACAGCTATAGTCTTACTACATAGAATCATTATAAGGAATTGGTGGAGTGATCCTTATAAAGTGTTTGCATGGTACCTAGCACAGAGAAAGTGCTTGAAGTTGTTAACTGTTATGGTTACAAAATATGTAAATAATTTTTATTGTCCAATTTTCTCTCTTCATATACACTAAATTGTTCTAATTCTTGAACCACAGTAACAACGTGTGAATGACTTATGCATTCAGTGTGTCCACTCAACTACTATTTATTAAGTACCTGTTATGGTCTATGAAAGGAACTGGCAAGACAGTCATTATTCCCCTTAAATATTCCCAAGTGTTAGTGGTCAAAGTTTCTCTCTGCTGAAAATGAAAAGTACCCCGTAGGATGGAGGAAACAGCCATCTTGAGGGCTAAATCTGGTCTAACATAATATTTGTTGACCTGTTACTACAGTGTTGCCACATATGCTTTGTTGGTTTTTTAATTTAGCCCCCAAACATTTTAAAAATCAGATCATTTCATGTTAAAAGAAATCTAGACTTCTAGTTCTCTTGCAAATGTGAGCTCTGACAAACATTGAAATTATAGAGTAGCAGGGGTAGTGTGCCCTTTATTTGGTGCATGTCTTCTGCAGGTTCCCAAGTTCTGCTGTTCTCTGTTGTTGCCTCATCACTGAGGCCAAATGTCAGTTGCTGCTTACATGCATTTGAACAGTTGTTATTTTTTATAGTGAAATTAAAGGTAAACTGTTTTGATATCCATGTTTCTACCAAAGGTAAGAAAACACAAGCCAAAAAGACACAGATTTCAAAAAAAATAAGAGAAAGCATAATTCTTTATGGAAGTGAAGAATAGTCTTTTTATCTAAGTATGCCAAAAAAAGCATGTATAAAAAAATACAATTTAAGATGCCATTATGAAAAAACTCCAAGTCAGTGTTTACTAACATCTTTTCAGTTTTAGGAAGGAGGCAGGTTGTCTTGCATCTCATTGGATCTCCGGTACTACCTATTTCTTGAAATACCATAAGTGCTAATATATACTTGCAATAGATAAACATGAGGAGTATTACAAATACAAGAGATAGCAGGAACTATTTTAATATTAAGAGATATCAAATATGCACGCTAGGATTAATAAATGAAATAATTATTTTCCTTCTTCTACAATATTTACTTAATCTGGAGGCAGAAATACATGTTGTCTCTCTTCCTGCTTCTCCATCAAAATCCCGACCAAGTAATCAGGATCTTTGAGAATCACAATAAGAATTACAGCCTCATGTTTGGATTTTTTAAATTTAAATTTTAAATTACTCCTTTCCACTGATATTTATTGAGAAACTGCTATGCTCCAGGTACTGCGATAAACACTGGGCAAATGTTGGAGAGCTAAAAAGGCATATTCCTCTTATAAAGACATTATTTACTTGTAACAAACAAGTAAATAAATGTATTAGTCAATATGTAAGTAAACAAAAAAATGGACAAGCACAAATTATATTAAGTACTATGTAGGAAACCAATAGAGTACTGTAACAGAATAATAAGGTATATGGGATGGGGGTGGGAATCTGTTCAGAGATGATCTACCTGAGAAGGTAACATGTAGGCAGAGATCTGAATCGTGAGGAGTCAGCCTTTCAGAGTAAGTGGAGTAGGCACTTCCAAGAGAAAAGCATATTCCTGGCTATTTGCCTATCAATGTCATCTTGAACAAGGGTTAGCAATCTCCTACCTGTACCACAGATGCTATGTGCCACCTCCATGCTACCTTTGCCACCAAGAGATTCAATGTGATGCATGATTTGAAGGTTCCTCATCCTGATACCCTGTGGAAAGTAAAATCAGTGACAAATAAAAGCAGATCATTATCTCAGGTAGAGTCTGCTAAAGATGATACTTGCTTGTCAGTACATGAGTATCCACCCTAGTAAAAAACCACAGAAGAAGTGGGATTTATCTTCAATGTTCTCTCACTTCCCCTTCCAAGTGCCTCTCCTGCCTTCTGATGCTCTTTCCCACAAGTTGCAGGCAAATAAAGCATGTATATTACTCTCTTTTTATCCAGAGTTGCTCCTTGTCCTTATATGAAGTAGATTCCAGACCTCACAATTGTATATGCCTACCCTTCTACTCCAACCCCTCAAAAAAAGAGGAAGAATGAAAGAATGAACAAGAGAAAAGGAAGGAAGAGAGGGAGAGAGGAAAGGAGGGAAGGATGGTCCTGAAGATCACAGTTCGGTGCTGAAAAAAGCATTTCTATTAAACTTCAAGACAGAATGAATGACCATAGCTAATAATGTACCTTAAGCTTTTCTAGAATCTTTGTATTAAAAAAGTTGATTGTTACTAAATGTATTTTAATCTCATAAAATTTTAGGAATTTAAATGAAGAATTTCACAAAGGGTAAGAAAAATTATATATTATATTTATAAATTTGTCATTATGATTCTCCCATTGTGGAAAAAAAAACAAAATCTCGGTACCCCAATTCACAAAGCCAAAAGGAAGAAAGTAAGCTGAACGCTGAGTCATGCAAGAAACTGCTCGCTTTTGTTCCTAAGCTAATAGCTACAGATAAAAGGTCAGATATCTCCATAGGTAGGTACTCTATGTTCACCTTATGTAAAGTGCCAATTTATTGAGCGTAAGAGGATTACCTAATTGACTATTCCCCAGCCTGCTCCTTTTCTCTTGCAACACATGGAGTCAGCAATGGGACCATATCCTCTCTCTTTCCCCTCCAGCCTGCTTTCCCCCTTTAAATACTGAAGCCCTCAAAATCATCTTTCTAAAAAGGTATGAACCATAGATTGTTCCTGTGGATTTGTGTTTCTTTCTTCCGGGCATATCCTTAAGCTTGGCAAAATAAAATTCTAAATTGATTGAGTCCTGTCTCGGATGCTTTTTGGTTTACGCTATCAAGGTTTGGAAGGCTTAAGACATGTCATTAAGGTACTTTATTTCCTTCTAGCATTTTGATTATACTGAAATTGGGTAATTAGTGGTGCCTGTTTTGAGTAACATGGTGAGTAGAATTAAGAATGGAAAGCACTGGGAAAGGGAAAACAAAAACACATCAAAGATTTCCACCTTTACTTCCTTAGTTTTTTTAAAGAAAAATTAAATGTATTATCTAATCACAAGCTACAAATTAAAATATTTGATTTACTTTTTCAGCAAAAGTTATAAATTATCGAATAGAAATTGGGAAAAGATATGTCATTTTTAACAGTGTTAAAATCTTAGTTATACTCATTTGACTAGTTAGTACAGCTCTTATTTACTTATTCTACAGACAGGTACACTCTTTTATCCTTGTATAGAAGTTACTTTAATTTTTTAGTATTTAAGTTATCCTTAAAATACAACATGAAGCTATTTTACCATATATAATTTACTTAAATATTCTTAAAATAACATTACTTTTAAATAAAATATGTATGTGAATTTAAGAATTCCTTTCTCTAACTCCAGTCCTCAAATGTGACCACTGTTAATAAATCCACTTAATATAAATATCATAATACAAACAGCAGCTGCGTGATCCTTACAAGCTGTGTTAGTTTCCTTGGCCTGCAGTAACAAAGTATCAAAATATGGGTGGCTTAAAACAATAGAAATGTATTATTTTATAATTCTGAAGGCTAAAGTTTGAAGTTAAGATGTCAAAGCCATGCTCCCTCTGAACACATCAGTTCTCTCAGATTTATTATTTCCTTTCCTTTGCTAAATTTAGGTTTTATTTGCTCCTTTGTGCCTAGTTTTTTAAAGTGGAAGCTGAGGCTGTTGACTTGAAATTTTTTTTCTTTCTAATACAGACAGTTTCATGGGATAATTTTTTATTTGAGGATTGCTTTAGAGCATTCCACAAATTTTGGTTTGTTGTGTTTTTTTTTCCAATTCAAAGTACTAATTTCTCTTTTGATTTCTTCGTTGATACATGAGTCATTTAGCATGTGCCTTTTTTGGAAAACTTTATGTTTTGATTTATTTTAGGCTCACTTAGAAGTTGCCAAAAAAATAGAGTTCCTTTATACTCTTCAACCAGCTATGCTGCCGTAAAAAAAAATAAAATAAAATTATGTCCTTTGCAACAACATGGATGCAGCTGAAAGCCATTATCCTGAGTGAATTAATATAGAAACAGAAAATTAAATACCCATGTTCTCACTTACAAATGTGAGCTTAACAATAGGTATGCTTGGATATAAAGATGGAAACAATTGACCCTTTTTGGGGACTCCAAAAAGGGGAGAAGAAGGGAGCAAGGGATAAGAGACTGTCTATTGAGTACTATGTTCACTATTTGAGTGATGGGTTCACTAGAAACCCAAACCTCAGCATTACACAATATACTCATCTAACAAACCTGCACATGTACCCCCTGAATTGAAAATTAAAACACGTGTGCATGCGCGCATGCGCACACACACGCACACAGAGGAAACTGCCCCTGATGCAATACTATTAGCCATAGACTATTTGGATTTCACCAGTTTTACAAGCATTCTTTTTGTGTGTTCTGTACAATTTTACTGCATGTATAGATTTGTGTAACCACCCCAAAATCAGGGCACAAAAATGTTCCATCACCTTGAAGAAACTCCCTTGTACTGCCTCTTTATGGTCATACCCTCATCAGAACTCCAACTTCTTCCAACCTTCTTATCATCCTTAAACTTACTTCCTCATCTATGCAGTTGTTCTGGCCCTTTTAAATGTTCTTTTATAGTTTGAATATTTTGTTAGGAGAGTCTTAGCTAGTACACTGTTTTATTATGTTAATTTTTGTGTAGTTTTTGCTTTGTGGATAATGAAAGGGATGTTTTTCTATTCTATTTTCTATCTTGTTACTGCTGCTTCACACAAATTACTGGTCTTTCTAGCTGCTTTTTTTCTTTCTTTTTGGTTGCTCTCTCTTCAATTCTTGTTTCTTTCTTTCTCAGTCTTATCTCCTTGTCAGAGGAAAAAAAATGTATTTTTCCTTTACTCATGATGAATAATTTTCTGACTTCTGTTTCCCCACCTTCTAATATCAGTGCCCAGAAAGTATAGGGCAGGCTGTTACAGGGGTTAGTTAGCACTGTCCAAATGGTCAGGAAAAACTGTACTGTGTTCTAGATCAAATCCGTACCCAAGGGCACCTAATCTAGCTGTGGAGGTACAGTGGCAAGGTTATCAGCCCATCATTAGTGGGCTAATCAAAGTGATTCCCCAAACATCGATTTCTGACAGAAATTCTATATTCCTAAAAAATCTTTAAAAGATAGTTTTGACAAAAAAAAAGAGATAGTTTTGACTAGAAAAACTGCATCAGAAAATTTACAAGTATTTGATCAGAGACCATAGCAAAGGAAAATGTGAAACATTACTATCAAGTTAAAAGGTTATTGTAAGGCAACAGTAACTAAAATTTTTATGTTTACTCTTGACAACTATTATAGTAGTGCATGAAATTATTAGAACAGTGACTATTTTCCTTTTCAAATTTTAAAACCAAAAGTAAAATTCTTTATTGTATAAAAATAGAGATTATAATGCAGACTACCAAAATACAACATATGTATAATTTACCCTAGAAAGGAAAAAAATATTAATTGTATTATATCTACTCCAATTTAATTATGAGGTTTTTTTAAAGTTGTGTCTTCAGTGAAGATAAGAATCTCATTATGTTAATGGCTCATATGAAGGGATTGGAATAAATAATTCAAATAATAGGTAAAAACCTTTGGGAGAATAGAACAAAGACATGGAAGGCAGCTAAGATAAATGACCAGCTGCAAATAGCCTTGGTGGAAAGATAAGGAGGAAGAGGAATAGTGTAGAATTGAGGAAATGATAAAAGTGAACAGCCTAATTTTCAAATTCAAGAGGAGAGCATCCTAATAGAATTGAACAAGATACATTTTTGCAGACTCTGACTAAAAACTAATTATTAAAGGATTATCATAGCTACCACCATCTGTGTATGGCTTCATACTTCTCAACATAAGCAATCTCTATATGAGAGGCAGACATGTTTTAAAAGAAAGGATTTGGGACCAGATGTTTTGGATTGGGTTTCCAATTTCAATACTTAAGGCTAGTAACATAATGAGTGTTTCAGTGTCTATCTCAGTAAAATGTATATACTAGTAGTGTCTGTTTCAAGGATTGCTTTGAGGATAAATTGGGATGATTCACAAAATGTAGTAAGCCCTCATTAAAATGTGTTAGCTAGTGTTAATATCAAAGATAACCCAATTTATTGTCAGAAACTTTTTCACTTGAGATATAAATAAAGTATGAAAATCCTTGGCTTCCCCAATTGGCTCAGCTTTGCATCTCTCCCATTTTTGACCAGGGCTAACCTGTAAACCTGTGTAAAAAAATAAGTAAGACAAAATACATTTTTTAAAAAAACAAAACAAAACAAAACAAAAAACGTATCCACCAGGGCCATGGTCAGGATATCATCTGGCCTCTGCTTAGGAATTCTGAGCTTATCAACTTGTGTCCTCCAAGCCACAGCTTTCCCCCATATTTTCCCAGTCTACATGTGCCTGGGTGTCTGCCACACCCACCCCCAGCTCTGATTTCTGCTGCTAACTCTTATGCTCTTCCTTGAATTTAAACCTACTTCACTAATACCCAACAACCTGTGGAGCCCAAGCTAACCCTTTCTCCACAGGTTAGACCTGGGCCTCTAATTATTGGCTTCTAATTCTTCATCAGCTGGTTCAGTGCTCTTCTGATTTGAATTTCAGTTCTTCCTAGATAACCTTGCCACTGTACCTCCACAGCTAGATTAGGTGCCCTTGGGTACGGATTTGATCTGGAACACACTACAGTTTTTCCTGACCATTTGGACAGTGCTAACCAACCCCTGTAACAGCCTGCCCTATACTTAAATAAATTCTACGTATTCTGCTTACTTTTGATACCCCACCTTTCCCTTTCAAACCAATTATTATTTCCTAGGATACCTCTAGCAAAACCAGTCTCAATTGTGGTATAATTGGGTATAAACCTGTGGAGATGTTTCATGAGATAAGAAATTGAGGGTTGGATATATATGGCTCAATAGTATTATCTGTCCCACTTATTTATTACACAGGTTTACTCTGAAGTGAGAATCTATATACAAAGCATCTTTTGCATTATAAATTGTATGCACATACATACGACATTTCATTTCTGGCTCACCCTTCCTCTGCCTTTCTAGTCATGCCTTTGTTTCCCTGGTATGAATATCTAATTATATTGTTCTCCCTCACTTTCTTATTTCTCTTCTTTCTTATCTTCTACCCCCCATCCCCTATGTCCCTTACATTTTACTTTTGTCATCCAATAGGTTCCCATTTCTATATGAAAGGTCAGCTCTTCTCTGAGTCCAGCTTTTACACTAGCTCTCTTCCTCTCCCTGGTGCACATGATAGGACTGAACAATCAAGGCTTAAGACCTAGTAGGTGTACGCATGTTCTCACTCATAGGTGGGAATTGAACAATAAGAACACATGGACACATGTGTGCCGCCCACCCCGGCCTTCCAAGGTGCTGGGATTACTGGCGTGAGCCATTGCGCTTGGCTTAATCTTTTAAGTTTTTTGTCTTCTATGTTGTCTGGGCTGGTCTCAAACCTCTGGCCTCAAGTGGTCCTCCCACCTTGGCCTCCCAAAGTACTGGGATTACAGGCATGAGCCCTCATGCCTGGCCTATATTTTACTTTCTTCTAAAATTTTAAAGCTTTATATTAACCAACTCATATTAACTAAGCAAAAAATTAAGAAGAGTTGAGATTTTTCTCTGAGAAAATATATGCACTGAATAGTTCATGACTAGACTAAATTTAAGAGTCATAGAAAAACCATGGAAGGGGCTTGCCTTTGTGTTATTGTGTCGATATATCCTTCTGTGGTAAGTAGAATAAAGGCCTACCAAAGATGTCCACATTCTAAACCCCAGAACCTGTGAATATGCTACCTTACATAGTGTCTTAGTTCATTTGTGCTGCTATAACAAAATATTTGTGACCGTGTTATTTACAAACAAATTTATTTCTCACAGTTTTGGATGCTGTAAAGTCCAAGATCAAGGTGCCAGCCAAATCGGTGCCCAGTGAGGGTCATTCTCTGCTTGCAAGATAGCGCCCTGTTACAGCATCCTCTGAAGGGAATGGATGCTATGTCCTTATGTGGCAGATGGAACCAAAGGGCAAAAAAGGGATGAACCCACTCTCTCTAACCCTTTTATAAGGGCCCTAATCCCATTCATGAGGACTCTGCCCCCATGACTGAGTCACCTCTGAAATACCATCACATTGGTGATTAAATTTTAGCATATGAATTTTGGGGGACACATTCAAACCACAGCATGTGGCAAAAGGGACTTTGCAGATGAGATTAAGTTAAAGATACTGAGATGAAAAGGTTTTCTTGGATTATCCATGTAAATAATCACAAGGGTCCTTATAAGTGAAATGAGAAAGCAAGAGAGTCAGAGTCAGAGATTTGAAGATGCTTCATTGTTGGCTTTGAAGATGGAGGAGGGAGTCAGCCAGGAGGTAAGGAATGCTAATGGTCTCTTGAGGCCAGAAAAAGTAAGAAAATGGATTCCCCACTAGATATCCCACAAAGGAATGCAGAATTCCTGACTGCTTGATTTTAACCCAGTGACCAAGGTTAACCATTTTGGACTTCTGACCTTCAGAATTATAAGACAAATTTGCATTGTTTTAAGACACTAAGTTTGTGGGTAAGTCGTTATGGCAGCCATCGGCAACTACTACATCTTCCTAATGTATATAATACATATATATATATATATATATATGTAATTGGTAAATTAAAATCCCCACCCATTATGCAGGCCACTGTTAGAGACAGCTGAGTAGGATCAGTTTAGCTAGTCTGACTAGTTAGTGTTGACTAATGTGGCTAGGGTGATCGGTGAGATCAGTGAGAATATGTGACAAGTGAGGCTGGTAACAAACTGTCCAGGCAAACAAGGCGGTATCCCTCAGAAAGACTGAGTGACATGAGGCATATCAAGTGTCAGATGACCAAAGAGGGAGAGCGGCCTTCAGCGTGAATGTTCAATAGGTGTGAGAGGAACCAAGTGGGAAACAACACTCTACCCACACTTTCACTAAAGGTGAAAGAACAATGAGTAGAATGGCACACATCTGAATGCCATTTAATTTAAGAGTATCATGTACTCTGGGCTTAACATGAAGCAAGAAAGAATGAGGACAGGAATTCTATCAGAAAAGAAGACAGTTTGACATTTCATGGGCTGTAAATCACAGAGAATCTAAAGAAAGATTATATACAGAGACACCACATAGACAGTAAGAATGTTTTAAACACAGCAAACATTGAAAGAGAAACTACAAACTAGGAAAAAATATTCGCCTTATTTATTACAGGTTTATAACTTTCAAAAGTTGTCTGAGACTGCAGGTGTTGGGCACTTCATACAGGGTGTTGCAGCAGGGAGAATATCCAAAGAGAGTATTTTCTGGAAAACAGGAAACAAAGAGGCTTTCTATGACAAATTAACAATGTTGCCAGTTTGTCTGCTTTGGTCAGAAGGTATTGCAATCCTTTAGACAAGAGGTATCTGTGAGAGAGAACATGAGAGTGAGAGTCAGAGTGATTTGACCTGTTTGACTCCATTACCTTCTGTTCTTGGAACTGTTCGCTTAAAGAAGGAAGTAAAAGGAGTGGGTCAGTCTCTCAGTACCAGGAAACATAGATCAGTGTCCAGTCAAAGAAGAAAGTTTTACATTTCTCCATGGAGCAAAAGGTCCACATATTTAATTAATGAAGGTAAAGAAATTCTTACAATTCTTTCTATATATTTCTTTAATAGTTAGGAAATACACCTGCTGCTGTAATTGATAAACCCTGAAATCTCAGTGACTTAACACAATAAAGTATATTTCTTACAACACTTCAAAACCGGTGTTCTTAGTGGGCAACTCTCCTATAAGTAGTGATTTAGTTTGCCAAGATCCTCCCTTCTTGTGCCATTTTCACCATGTGACTCCTGTGGGCTCCTTTGGGGTTCTTTCTTTCCACTTAGCTTTGAGTAGAAAAGAGTGTGGAGGATCATACAAGGAAGGTTTTCATGGCCTACATGGTCTACAAGTAGTCTACATCACTTCCACTGATGTTCCACTACCCAGAATTTGGACATATGACTACCCCTAAGTGCAAGAATGGCTGAGAAATGTAGCTTATCTGGGTTTCCAGGAGGAAAAGAGAATGGATTTTATAAATAAGTAAGTAAAATTTTAAATAAGAATTATAATTAAAAATATTAAATGATAAATAGATGAACTCCCTAGTGGAAAAAAAATGGCCAATACCATTGACCAATAAAAATATTAAATATTCAGAATCATTAAGGATAAAACTAAGATACAAAAACATATTTCCCTATTAAACTGTCAATATTAAAAATAATGATAATACCATGTTATTTTCCTATGCTGCTGAGAAATAGTCTCAGACGCTGTTTCAAAAAAAAATGTGTAAAAATGTTTTTTCAGGTTTCAGAGGACAATTTGACAGTATATATCTGAAAGACTTTTAAATGGGTATAGTCTTTGATCTAGGCTTCCAATTCAAAAAAATTATCAAGAATAAATAATCAGAAAAGTATTCAAAGATTTCTGTCTTTCATATTCTACATCACATCGATGAGCAAATCATGTTAGATCTAGCTTCATAATATGTCCAGAATCTGATCCCTCTTTCAACCTCCACTCCTTTGTTACCTATAATCCGATTTTCACATAGTAGTCATTGTAATCCTTTTAAAACTTATGTCAAATAAGGTCACTCTTCAAAAGCCTTTAAGAGCTCTATAGTTTTCTCATCTCAGAGGAAAAGCCCAACTGGCCCCATGTGATCTACCCCATCGCAGTCCATGACAAACTTCTCTGGTCTAATATCTACTTTCTACCCCTTCTCTCCTTGCTCCCTTTCATCGGGCTACACAGACTTCATTGCTGTTCCTACACGAACCAAGCATGCTTCCTCTTCAGGGCTTTGCTGTTGACCGTCCACATTTCTGCTTCACTGTCTGTGAAGCTGATCCTATTCCCTCCATGTAAAAAGCAATGTGCTCCCTCCACCCACCTTTCCTATTTCCTTCAATAATATTTATCTCCATCTGATATACATCCTTGGTAAATTGAATTTTGCTTATCTTCCTGTGTTGTGATGTCAGGAATTTTGTGTCCCTTAAAATAGTGCCAGGCACCTAGAAGGTGCTCAGTAAACATTTGCCAAATGAATGAATAGTAAAATATTATAAAAATTCTGAAACATTGAAAAATAGGAGACTGGTTAAATAAACTGGGATGGTTGACTTAAAGGCCATACAGTCAGACAAGATGGAATCAAAAGCATAAAATAAATGAGAATGTGATTCTGTATCTCACTGGAGGAAGTGCTGGAAATACCAATTTCCAAACAGATAATAGTTACGTTTCTTACCCAATTGGTTTCTGAAACCATCGGAAAGGGAAGTTTCTCATCCTAAAGTTACTTTTACATGTATCAACTAATTCTATGGTCTCAAATAGATTTCTCTGTGAAGTAAGTGTGTGTGTGTGTGTGTGTGTGTGTGTGTGTGTGTCCAAGGGCTAAATGGATTTTTTTTAAAGTAATCTTATTATTTGCAGATTACATTGGTCATTGGTCAGCTAGGGCTGCTACAAAATAATACCACAGACTGCATAGTTTAAAGATCAGAAATTAATTTTCCCACAGTTCTGGAGGCTCCAAGCCCAAGATCTATGTCCAGCAGGGTTTGGTTTTTGGTGACAGTTTTCTTCCCAAGTTGCTGGTGGCCTTTCCATGATGCATGCTTGTGCAGACAGCGAGCGAGTGAACAAGCTTTTTGTGTCTCTTCTTCTAAGAACATTCATTCTACCAGATTAGGGCCCTATTCTTATAACCTCATTAACCTTAATTACCTCCTAAATGTCCTGTCTCCAAATATAGTCACATTGCAGATTAGGCTTTAACGTGTGAATGGCAAGGGGAGGGGCACACAATTCAGTCTCAGGTATATTTACCCTGTTTATTAAAAAAGCAAACAGTCACTAAACCTATTTTGCATCACCTCAACTAATATTGCTTTTTCCTAGGCTTTCTTTTTAAGATTTATCCAAAGATCCTGAGAATATACTGAGTTAAACTAATAACCTTTTGGAATACTATTCTAGTTGAGATCATTAATTTGGAAACACTAGCAAAGCGATTAAGTGATAAGAATAATACATCAAAACCAAATTTTGTTAGTAGGAAAAATACACTGTTCAAAGGTTAAATAAATGTTTTAATGAAGAAAAAGAACTCACTTTTTAAAAACTGTTTTGTTGGGCACGGTGGCTCACGCCTGTAATCCCAGCACTTTGGGAGGCCGAGGCAGGCAGATCACGAAGTCAGGAGATCGAGACCACCCTGGCTAACATGGTGAAACCCCTTCTCTACTAAAAATAAAAAAAATTAGCCGGGCGTAGTGGCATGAGTCTGTAGTCCCAGCTACTCAGGAGTTAAGGAAGAGTTTTTTGTTTTTTCTTTTGAGACGGAGTCTCGCTTTGTAGCCCAGGCTGGAGTGCAGTGGCATGATCTTGGCTAACTGCAAGCTCCGCTTCCCAGGTTCACTCCATTCTCCTGCCTCAGCCTCTCAAGTAGCTGGGACTACAGGCGCCTGTCAGCACGCCCGGCTAATTTTTTGTATTTTTAGTGGAGACAGGGTTTCACCGTGTTAGCCAGGATGGTCTCGATCTCTTGACCTTGTGATCCACCCGCCTCAGCCTCCCAAAGTGCTGGGATTACAGGCGTGAGCCACCGCGCCCAGCCCTGGAGGCAGAGTTTGCAGTGAGCCGAGATCTCGCCATTGCACTCCAGTCTGGGTGACAGAGCGAAACTCTGTCTCAAACAAAACAAAACAAAACAAAAAACTGTTTTAACCCTAAGACACACACATACACACACACACACACACACATTTTTCAGAGAAACTTGTTTGAGACAGTGAAATGTACCTGACAGTGCTCCTTCAAGGCAGCAATGATAATGCTTAATTACACACCAAGCTAGCTGTGTAGGGTCTGGAAACATCAAAAAGTATTTTTGACCAAAATAATTTGTTACAATGGTGATAAGTGGTCACATTTTCAATGTATGTTGGTAATCTTCCCAACTTCTTCTTACACTTGTGTTTATCTCCATGGTAGGAAGGAATGGTTTGTCTCAATATTGTCCCAACTTGTAACCCCAGCATTTAGCACCAAATACTTATGTTAGTTAAAAATGTTTAAATCAAGGGGAACATGAATTTAAGGTAACAGTCATCTCTCTCTCTCTCTTTTTCCCTCTCTCTGCAGGTTATTAAATAAGCCGAACTTGTAGAAGTATAAATCAGAAATGTTTATAGTTTTCTCCAAATACTGCCACTAACAAGACCATTTTAAATTCCCCTTACCTCCTGTAGCAGATATCTTATCACATTATCACATCTTGGAAAAATTCTATAATTTCCCAGTGCATTTCAGTGATTAAAAACCCACTTTGTTGGCCAGGTGAAGTGGCTCACACCTGTAATCCCAGCCCTTTGGGAGGCTAAGGCAGGTGGATTGCTTAGGAGTTCCAGACCAGCCTGGGCAACGTGGTGAGACCCCCATCTCTACTAAAAATACAAAAATAGTTAGCCAGGTGTGGTGTCACACAGGCTGTAGTCCCAGCTATTCAGGAGCTGAGGTGGGTAGATCACTTGAACCCAGGGGTAGGGTGGGGGAGGTTGCAGTGAGCTGAGATCATGCCACTGCACTGCAACCTGTGTGACAGAGTGAGACCCTGCTGAAAACAAAAGCAAAACAAAACAAACACTTTGTCTAAAAATCAAATTTCCTGTGCAAATGGAAGATTTTCTCTTTGTGGCTAACTTCTAGCATTGTGGCTTGAGGGACCTAACACAGGGAAGGAGGATATGATTTTCTTTTTATTTCTTTCCTATTACCTACATTGGGGACAATATATTTTGCCTCTGGTTCTCAGCTTCTTCTTCCCTCTTGGATATTCTAGCTTCTCCAGTGAGCGGACACAAGGATGAATCAGAAAGATTCATTGGGCCATTAGTGAAGTCTTCTTTCCTGTGTTTGACATTAATTGCTGGGCCAATAATGACTGTCCATTGGCAATGCCCTCTCAATGGCAGGCACTCAAATACTGGATTTATAGAGGAGACACAAAGGTGAGTTATTTCAAAGCCTTCCCAATCCACAGCGTCCTGCTTCACCTCATCTAACCCTCCAAGGCCCTTGCATTTACTGGTATACTCCATGGGCTCTTGTTGCTGGTTATTTCACCCAAGAGTTAGCTTTTTTTGTTGGTGTCAGCATGATGGCATAAGTGCAGCTATTTTTTGTGGTGCTCACTTTGCCTACCGGAAACTTATATGCTCTCATCAAAGCAGAAGTGATAGCTGAGCTGAACCACCGGCCTCTGTGTGCCCTGCCATCATTCTCGAGTTGTTTTTTTTTCTATTCACATAGACTTTCAGAAGATTGACTAGCCTATGTCCTAACCTAATGTATAACTAGAAAATTAGGTGCTGATTTTCCTTTTTTTCAGACACCCCCAGACTTTGCCAGTGACTCCCTTAGAGTCTGTCTCACTTGGCTTTTTGGGGAGGGGCAGGAGCAAGCCATAGCAGTGCCTCCCAAGCCAAAAGTCATGACTCCAATAATTCCCGTTTACCTCCTTCCTATTCTCCTGTTTATATGGACTGAGGTAATTGTGGTTATTGAGGGGCTAGTTCTGCTGATTTAGTATATGGGGTTCCATCCTCATTTTTGGATCCTAGCTATGTTTTGTATAACAGGGAAAGTTTCATACAACTTCAAGTTACATGTCCTCTATTGAACTTTGCATTTCACTCTTTTGTATTCCATTCTTTTCTTTTTTGGAATTGTTTGCAGAGCTTTTATTTTATTTTACTCTTATTAGCATCCTGTGAGATGCAGGACAGCTACTTCAATTTTGCTGATGAAACTGAGACAATAAGAGGCAACCTAGGACTAATTACTTGAAAAAAAAAAAAACCTTTACTGAGCACCACATATGTGTGTGGTGCTGTGCTAGATGCTACAAAGAAACAAGTAGTCTCTGCTCATGTATATGTGTCAAATAGAATAAAGCTATTTTAAAATGCTGTTATCATGGTAAAAAAAAAAGTCATGCAACTATAGTAGGGGAGAACATAATTTCAACTCTGGCATTTGAATGGGTATTTAAAGGATTGGCAAGAACACAAACGGTTGGAACTCAGGACCACAAAGTCCGTAGGTTTGACCTCTTAAGTTTTCTTGCAACATCAACACTAACAGAACTCCCATGATGCCTCTTACTGAAGAACTGCTCACCTGGGAGGAAACCATGTGGTCTTGCCTTTTCCTCGAAGTGTTTGGAAATAATACAGGGAAACAGGATCTCTTCTAGTTCTATTCCACACCTATACCTTAACTTTCACTAGGCTTCTCTACTGCTGCTCTGGGCTGTTGACTGGCTCTAGCCCTTTGTCTTCCTCCCTGGACTCTTCTGTGACTACAGTTAAGCCTTCAACCTTCCTCTATTATTCCTGCAAAATGTTGTGCCCTTTTAAATTCCTGAATATGGCCTTATTCTCTCAGGATTATTACTCTGTCTGCTGGAAAATATACTTCTCATATTGACTTTAGAATTTCATATTAAACTTCCTTCCAAAAGCATAGTGTTCCGTACAGATCTCTCCTCTGTCATTCTCTATGTTTTTCTTAAATGACATGTTTGTAGCTGGACTAGATCACTATATAAGGCCCCCAAGGAATCACACCTTTCTGCATCCGTGCCCTTTTGCATGTGACATAGCCACATCTTCCATCAAGAGACTGAATTTATCCCCCTGACTGCTTCAATATACTCTGTCCATGTCACTTTCTCTGACCAATAGAATGTGGCAGATGCAGCCATGTGTGTTCCAAAACCTTGGACTTATGAGGGCTTGCAGCAACTGCCTTTGGCCTCCAAGGACCCTACCCCGAGACTGTCATGCAATGAAGAAACTCACAATGAAACTGCATTTGGAAAGAGAGTTTCAGCCAACCAGATTTCTTGGCTGAGATCAGTCCCCAGCTGATCCACCAGCTGAATGCATTGGCCTAAGTGGGTGCAGGTGAGACTTGGCAGAAAACTACCTGATTAACCCTAATGATTATTAAAAAAAAAATACAGTACATTGACAATTGATCCACTAAGTTTTAGGATGGTGGATTCTTATAAAGCAATAGATAAATAAAACAGAATATTGTACTAAAAATAGAAAGCAACAGATAAATCCACTAGAAGTTGGCACTGAAAGTACAAAGCAATAGATAAATGTAGCAAATTGATATTGCTGTAACAAAACCCCAAGTATATGGCATTGTCTTAAGGGCCAGGCACAGAACAATACTAAGGAGGAGTATGTGAAACTAGAAGAGTAGGGAGGAAATTGCTATTGGAGACTAGAAAAACAGAGGTGCACCAATTAACTGTTGCCTGTAGTAACTTAGAAAATAGAAAATGTTCCTAATGAACTTGTTGATTTCACTAATTTCCATGTAGAAAATTAAAAGCGACAACTAGCTTCTTTTAGCTGTGTTAAATAAGGTATTTTAAGAGAAAGTTTTCATTTTCTGTTGATGCCATAAAAATTACCACAAATTTTGCAGCTTAATACAAATTTTATATTTTATAGTTCTGCAAGTCAGAAGTTTATCATGGCTCTTATAGTGCTAAAATCGAGGTGTCAGCAGGGCTATGTCCCTTTCTAGAAGTTCTAGGGGAAGATCTATATCTTTGCTCTTTTGGGTTGTTTGCAGAATCCATTTCCTTGTGGTCTAGGACTAACATTTGTACGTCCTTGCTGCTGTTAGCTGAAAGTCTTTCCCACCTTCTTGAGCACACCCATACTCCTTGATCTCTTCCTCCATCCTCAGGCCAGCAATGGTAGGCTGAGTCCTTTTCTCACTTTAAATCTCTCCTGTGAATATCTCTGACTACAGCTGAGAAAGGTTCTCAGCTTTTAAAGACTCATAATTAGGTTTGGCTCACAAGGATCATCCAGGATAATCTTCCCATCTGAAGGTCTGCACCCTGTAATCATATCTGCAACATCCGTTTTGCTAAGTAAGGTAAAATATTCACTGGTTCCGGGAATAAGAGCATGGACATCTTTGGAGAGGCATTATTTTGCCAACCACAGAAATGAACTAAAGTAGGAACTTCCAGTTTGCAACTGAATTTAGAGGAAATATAGGGGGCTTAAGACAGTCTTTCATCCAGCAACAGATTCTTGATGTAAGAAATGGCCTCAGAATAAAGTTCAAATCAGGGATATGGCTGTAAAACCCTCCCTGAAGACCTCTGAAAGACTCAAGCAGTGACTTGGAGACTTCCTTAAATAGACAAGGGAGCATCTAAGAATTTGAAGGGCCTCAAATGTGACCCAAACATAGAGAAATACCTGTCTCAAAAAAAATATTATGTTTGTGGCTTTGTGGGCATGAGGTAAACCCCATTCAGATTCATTGGAAAGGCCTACACATTTCTAAGGAAGTTGTATCAATTTGGATTAAAAGGGACAGAGGCAGTTCAAAATGGAAAGAGCCCTCTGGGTTCCCAACTTTCTTTGCGGGGAGGCAGGCTGAGAAAGGTATGCAGCTGCAAACAGGAGCCATTTCTTATGAAAAAGACCAGACTTAGTGGGAAGGGCCAAGAGCCAAATATAGGAACAGATGAGGAAAAGGAGTAGCAACAGAGGCAGACTGTGCCCTAATAAGGAAGCATTACATGCCTCTGGGGTCAAAAGAGCTGGTGACATGGGCCCAAGTGGATTTCAGAATTCTGTGGTCCCGTGTGTTCTATGTACCTTCTATTCAGAATGCCCCCTCCCCCTTCTTCTGTCAGTTGTTATCCTGTTCTTGTTCCACTGTTAAATGTTGGGGGTTGAGACGGCTGGGAGAGAAGAAGGGCACATGCTTCGTCCTTTTAGTTCACAGGTCTCTGGATCAACAGATGCTGTACCCAAGGAGCTGGACCTGTGGAATTATCCCCCAGGAATTTTGACTGCACCTGGATTGGATTTAGGTGAAAGATACATAAAGTTGACTTTAGTGATTAAACTAGACTTTGGGGTGTTGGGAGTGGATAAGTGTAGTTTGCCTGTGAGGGGGATGTGAACCACAGTGACCAGTGGGCAGACTATGGTAGACTGTTATATAATAGCATCCAGTGGATCATGCCTTGTTGTGTTCCACACCCCTTTGCATTGTGACATTGCTACTCTTCACTTGAAGTGATGGAATCTGTTCCTCCACCAGCCTTGTGACTTCCTTTGATCATGACGAGGCCTCTAGGTGCTTGTTTTTTTCCAAGCAGGAGGCAGGCTGAGAAAGCCATTGATGGTGGGAGAATGTGATAAGAAGCGATGTTTGAGAACCAGAGCCTAGATCTTAGGGATCCCTTACCTTCCACCATCATCCTCTTAGAATAGTGTTCTGAGAATACGAGGTATATGAGGAAGTCTGGAATAAAGACTACATGAAGAGAATTGCCCAGTGAGCCCAAATTTCCCAGCTGAGCCTAGCCCCCAGCAAACCTGCCAGCTGAATGCTGCTGCCTGAATGTTCAGGCAAGTCTGACAGAATGGCCACCCAGTCAACTACAGAATCATAGAAAATAACAACTCATGTTGTTTTAAGCCACTGAGTATTGGTATGGTTTGTTAGCAGTAGATCGCTGAAACAACAGCTTAAGTACATTAGATCTCACATATTATCTGTTTATAGAGTATTTTTATTCCAATAGACACATTAGCTCATCTCATGAATAGAGATGGCAAAGTATCATAATCATAATCATAAAAATACCTTGGATTGATGAGTATTATTTAACAACTATTGAGAAACCATAAACCATAGTATGATCTTTAACCTAGAATGAAGTAGTACTCATCTCATAAAAGCCTTTTGCTTTTTGTGGAAGTTGAGATTGCTGCAAATATAATCTCAGTATATCTACTACCTTTTGTAGTGTAAGAAGAGTAACTGTCATGAGCCTCAAATGAGTTCTGCAGTAGAGAAACCATATAATGAAGTAAAGAAAAAAACAAACAACAACAAAAAAAAAACCTTTATACTGATCACTACATGGGCAAAAAAGAAGACAGTTGTAGAGGTATGATGGAATAAAAAAATTGATCAGTCAGATGGCAAAACTGTCATCTTCATCAAAATGCCAAGAAATGTTCTTAATCTTTTTGTGCCAAACATTTTGTTTTAGTAAGATTCTGGGACTGTGTATATTTGTTCATTCACTCAATTGTTTATTTGACAAATATCGAGTGTTTACTAATGTGCCAAGCATTGTGCTAGATACTGGAGATCTAGTTATAAATAAGATAGATAGGTTTCTGACCTCAGAAATTTGGTTGGGGCTGGAGTTGTCACAATGGAGTGTGACAGGTAACACGACAGAATACTATAGTAGTAAGATTTTGTTGATTTTTCTCATAATTTTCTTTAACTCAATAGTCTCCAGGCTGCAGTTATAAAAACACTGCTGTTCATTTTTGTAAATTACAGGCACTTTTGCAGGAAGTGCTACATCTTGATTCTGTACTTTCCAGGTTCCTGGAGACCTAGAAATGCCCTTATATCATATAGGGATCCTTATATTGTATTGTATCCTGATGCTACTGATCCACAAAAGATGCTGCGTGAGTGCAAACATCATTATTTGATTTCCCCTTAGGATTTCCAGCTGATGCCTAAGTGGATTTTTCTGGAAGAAAGAATGTATCTTTAGAAAGCAGAGTGAGGATCCTTCCTAATGTAATTTGAAACATAGTTTCGTATGTCTAACTTCTGCTTTGCCTCATGCTCACTGAAATCTACAGCTAGCCTCATTTTCCACTTGTTTTTGACTCTCTCAGGCATCTTGAGGATTGAGATCATGTCGTAGTTATCTTTTAGACTTAGTAAATGAGTAATAAATGTTTCTTTTGAGTGACTCAAAAATTATTGCAGAAAAATTATCATCCTAGATCATTACTATTTTTCTATTGCATTTTTATTTAGACATGTTCAAAACTTTATTTATTTTTTTTTTTTTGAGACGGAGTTTCACTCTTGTTGCCCAGGCTGGAGTGCAACGGCACGATCTCAGCTCACCTCTACCTCTGCCTCCCGGATTCAAGTGATTCTCCTGCCTCGGCCTCCCGAGTAGCTGGGATTACAGGCATGCGCCAGCACGCCTCGCTAATTTTGTATTTTTAGTAGAGATGGGGTTTCTCCATGTTGGTTAGGCTGATCTCGAACTCCTGACCTCAGGTGATCTGCCTGCCTTGGACTCCCAAAGTGCTGGGATTACAGGCGTGAGCCACCACGCCTGGCCTCAAAACTTTAATTTGTTTTCATATTCATGTAAACTACTTTTGGATAATATGACAAACCACCAAATAAAAAAGAAAAGAAAAACATATAAAACATGGCAAGAACTGTGTTTTTAAAGAAAAAAGTTATTCAGTGATTCTTGTCAAAGCATGGTAAGGAAGACTGTATTTAGGGCTATAGTGATAGGTATAGGGACCATGGCAGCAGGGTCTTGCCATGTTGAAGAAGAGATTAGGCTCAATTCTGAATGCAGCATGGACAAGTGGGAATTTATAGCCTAGGAGCATGCAGGACAGGGGCAGTAGATGGAAAATTACCAAGGAAATATCAGGGATAAGGGGGATTCTGACTAAACCAAGCAAACGGGATTCTTGCTGAAGACAGAACAGGAGTTCAGGCCTCACATGGGGGATGCTGGAGGATGAGGAACCTGATCAAATATCAATATTGAGAATGGGGCTTCTTGCTAAATTAAGTTAGTAGGGTTCTTTGCTAAAACTGGATTTTATAAGGAAGTGCAGATGGGCCCAGCATAAGATTCAGAAACCTTACTTGTTTGACCAAGCAAAGAATCTTTGTCAGTGCTTAGGGTTTTTTGTGTTTTAACTCTGTTTTACAAGTAAACGATTATTTTAAAACTTTTGTCTCAAGAAACTTGTTTTTCGTTGTTTGACGTTATTCATAAACCTACTTACTGTATATGTGTCAGGGACAATAGGCTACAAAACCAAAACTAAGATGACAACCTATTTTGTAAAATGAAACTTGTAAAAGGCAACACACTGCATAGTTCCAAAAAGGTACTGTTACCAGAGTTCCAAACCGGTCAGGCCAACATTCCTGTTGTTAAAAAAAATCAATCAGGAAAAGTAGGGAATGCTGACACTTCCGCAAAGATCTACTTTCTCTTAGATAACAGATGTTGAAAACTGATTTCCCACAAAAAAACCCTAGAGGAATTGATAACCCCAGGAAGATGTTTTCTTTATATAACTGCTGCAAAGTTTGACAGCAAAGAGTCAGTCCCTCCTCCTCCTTAGGGGAGATAAACTTGATAATCTGCTTTTGCTCCAGTTTTCTTGTAATCAAGTCACAGGCCTTTCCTCTTCGCTAGCCCCTTTCAGGCTGCTTTTTATCCGTCTTTCCTAGAGCAAAGGACTTGTCCCCCTCCATCCCATTTACTCTCGACCCCCTTTCAGTTACTTGGCATCTTCTTTTCCTCGCGTTTCCCAGTTGGTCCTAATTTGTTCCCCTTTTCTCTGGCTGGCTGGGCTCCCGCTCCTCCACTGCTGCTCCTCCCACTCTGCGGGTTCTTTCTTTCTCCCTCCCCTCCCCTCCCCCAGCCATGCCTCCCAGCGCGCTTCCCTTCCCCCGCCTCCTGGTCCTGCACCCTCCCCTCCCCTCCCCCCGCTTCCTGCCTTGTGACACATCCCGGGCCCTCCCGGAGGCGGCAGCAGCAGCAGCTGCAGCGGCAGCAGCGGCAGCAGAGGCAGCAGCAGTAGCCACCACTCCGCCGAGGCCGCAACCCCGGCTCGGCCTCCCCAGGCCCCGCCGCTGCCGCAGTCATGGCTGCTGATGGGGTGGACGAACGCTCGCCTCTGCTGTCAGCATCCCACTCCGGAAATGTCACTCCCACCGCCCCACCGTACTTGCAAGAAAGCAGCCCCAGAGGTAAGGCCAGCGTAGATCCCTCTACTTTGCAAGGAAGTAGATTTGCAAGGAAACGCCCAGAAGGATAAAGACCTGGGAGCTCTAGCTTGGAGGTGGAGGTGAGCCTCTCGCTTGGGCTGAGGAAGGATGCTGACTGTGCCTTCCCAGGCAAGCCCGCCTGCCTGATAGCTTCTCCGCAGGGTTTTTCTGGTGGTGGTGGTGATGGTGGTGGTGGTGGTGGTGGTGATGGTGGTGGTGGTGGTGGTGGTGATGGTGTGTGTGTGTATTTCACCACTTCTTACCCAGGGCTACAGTATGTGACATGAATTTCCCAAGCTCTGCTTAGCTGTTTTCAGAACAGCCCCTAAGCGCAGCTAGGAGGTGGTGCAAATCTTTCACAATCATTCACAAATCTTTTTCCGTTGCTGAGAAACCAGGAGTATTGCTCACCTTGGCATCTGTCCTTGAAAGGGCTTTAGCTTGAACAATATGCTTCTGCTACCATTCACCCAACAGTGCTCTGTTCACTCAGTGAATTGCCATATCCAAAATGAATACAGTTAATCAATATTCCTAATATGTCTGAAATTCCTGCCCCTCCTTTTTACTCCTACTTTCAAGGAGTATGTGTTAGATTTAATTGTGAATGAGAAGGAAGGACCTTACTTCTCATAGAAGGGAAGATGGGATATTTTTAACACATATCTGGGTGAGATTGAAATTAACTTGTAAAAAGTAACCCAAATTAATAATACATATATTTCTATTTTTTTCTCAAGAAGAATAAAAAAAGATTAAATGCAATGGGATCTGGAGAAATATGGAATCTATTTACCATACTATTCGATTTATTTAAAAATCGATCGTTGTTCTAAGCCTTTTAGTTGATTACTATAGTAAATAAATAAGGTGGAGTCAGGCGTTACAAGAAAATGGAAGGCAAGACTTAAAAAAACCCACTTAGGTTAGTGAAAAGATTGGTCAAAATGGCACTTGCAAATGTTCCTTAAGTGCATCTCTCTCTTTTTTTGGCTAAATATGAGCAAAGTTTAAAAACCCAAGGAAGCAAAAGTTAATGATTTTGAAAATATAAGTAGGTAATGTTTCTTGTAATACAAGTTTTTAAGTTCAAGTCTGGAATTAGAGCTGATGTAGAGCAGGTTGAACTTGCTTAGTATTTAAAATTTCTATTTAACATTTTGTAACTTCAAAATAAACTATCTAGATCTTAATCCATACTTAACAAGAAGAAAAACAAAGGAAAAAGATGCTTAGCTGTAAATAATTCAGTGTGAGCCATGGCTTGAGAAATAAGGCACAGAGAGAGACTTGCCCACAGAAAACCTACAGGTCATTTTTGTTGGTCAGCATTAAACTTGTATCAGAGGACACCAGGCAAGAGAATTTCCTCTAATGGGCCAATTTGATATGAATATTTTACTGTTATCTAAATCGTATTATGTAGAATAGACTTAAACACTCACTAATGAATGTTTCAACTTCATCAAGTCAGCCTTTTATGGCAAAATGTTTGGCGGTTTATTAGGAGACAAAGTTTCAATTTAAGTATTTGTCCTATAACCTATTTTCATGCCCTCAACTAGTGGATAAGTTATTTTTTAAAAATGGCTACACTCAGGGATCAGCTTATAGACATCTTTATTATTTTCCATATATTTGTTTAACCTAATAAGATTCCTCAAACTACACAAGTATAAGTTCCAGTTCAGCCACTGAGAAAAAGTAGTGTCATTGTAGAAAACTTTTAACAACCAGAGAAATTCAATGACTTAGCAAAAAGCTGCTTCTGCCTTATGGTAGAATACATTTTTTCTTAATTGGTGAATGAGACAGGTTAGATGATTAGAGAAACTCTTAATTTCATATGACATAACACCTACTAAGGAAGAAGCATAAATGAGAGGTAAAAGCATTTTATTTGCATTTTGACAGAATATTTTTCTTCATAAGTAACAAACATTGTAATAAATATTATGAGTAATACACAAGATCTGGAAGACCACCACTATTCATTCATTTATTAATTTATTGGGAAGCACAATGTGCCATACACTGCTCTAGGGGAACAAGAGTGATCAATCCCATACCCTCATGAAGACTATATTGTATTAGGGAGAAAGAATAAATAAATACATGGCTGAATTATTTCAGATTGTAAAAAAAATTCTATCACTAGATCAGATGTTTTTGGTAGTTGAAAACCGTTAGGGTTGACAGTTGGAATTCAATCAGAAACAGAATGCACTTTCTGATAATGAATTTTAGTTAATGATCCCATTTACAATTATTCAGACTTTTATTTTTTTAAAAAAAGAAGTTAAAAGCTATAACTAGTGAATATTTTCTCCAATCTGACCCCTTTCTCTTTCTTTTACCTTCTAAAGTACAGGAATGTTAGTTCCCACCTCCAAGATGAAATAGTCCATTTCAGGTTGAAAGTCGGTGGAGTGTTTATTTCTAGACAGATTATTAATAATGTAGCAGGGAGCAGTTAGTATTGTGTGTTTGGTTTTAGCACAAGAAAAATCATGTGTGGTCTGTGTAACAATCCATGTTGGTTTCTAAGTGGAGCATGTCTAGTGTTCTCTACTGTCAGTATTGGATTCATGCATAGGAAATTGCTTCTCTCCTGCTTGCAGTGCTTCGTTTAATATACTTGCCAGTTTTTGTTTAGGTATAGAAATTAAAATTAAAGAGAGTTTTAGGCTCATCTGAAAGGAGATTGGAAGAAATACCACAAAATTTACACAGTTTTGATGTATTAATTGATTCCTTTATACATCTGCTAATTTTGTAGTTAGGATATAACAAAAGAATATGACCTTTGAATTTATAAGATTTTTTCTGTGAAAATTGTTTATATCTGGGGTTGTCTCATTATGTATTCAATATGGAAATGGGATTATATACTTCACTATAATTCATAAAGGGAAAATAATAATTTGTTATACAGAGGCAGACAGTTTGATTTACTTAGTTTATTATTCAGCAAATAAATATTTGAGTACCAGCCAAATCTGTGGTAGGAGAAGAAAAATAGTCATGGCTCCTCTTCCAGTGTAGTGGGGGTATTGAGAAATAAATTATGTAATCACACAAACAGATGCAAAATGCAATGGTGATGAAGACAGTGCTGGAAATATATGCAATACCTTGAGAGTATAAATTAAGATTTAATTTTGTTGAGGGAGTCGGGGAAGGCTTTCTTGATGCTTGAATGAGATCTGAAAGTTGAGCAAGAGTTAACTTGGCAAAAGGTGGACTGGAAGACCATTATAGGCAAAGAAAGCAGTATTGGCAAAGTGATCAGCAGGGTGGAGTATGACAAATACAAGGAACTTAAGGAAGGCCAACGTGGCTAAAATGGAAACAGCAGTAGGAAATGCACTGCAAAATGGGACTGGAGAGATAGGTATGGTGGATATTCTCCGAAGACTCTCTTTCCCCTTCAAAGAACTATGTCTTCTGATATTCAGTTTCCTCCCCTTGAATCTGGGCTGATGCCATGACTTGATTTTGACCTCTAGAATAAGGTAGAAAATATGCTGAATGACTTTGGAGGGTAGGTCAGAAGAGGTTTTACAGCTTTTATCTTGGTCTTTTGTAAAGTACACTCTGGGGAAAGTAACTTGTCATGTAAGAAGTGGAACACTCTGAGACTGCCATGCTTTATGGAACCTGAAACTAGCCTGGTAGAGAGAAAGATGCCTGACCAGCCCTCAGACATGTGAAGGGAGATGCCATCTTGGATGCCAAGCTCAATTGAGCCTTCACATGACTCCAGCCTTAGCCAAATTCTTACTACAACCACATGTGGCCAACTTGTTCTGCAGCAACAGATGACCAGAATAATGAATATGAATCAGCCCATCCAGGATATTGTTGGTCATGTTAAGGAATATTGCCATAAGCAAAGGGATGACTGGATTAAATCTTTATTATTAGTTTTTAAACCACTCTATAGATTAGAGAATGAATTAGAGGATTGGCTAGAGTAGACAAGAATAGATGACTTCCTTGATTATTGTAATAATTCGGGCAATTTAACTGAACTATTTCAGTAGCTTGGACTCAGGTGGTGGTAGAGATGGAGAGATGAAGGATGATGTTAAGGAGGTGGATTGAACAGGGCTTGATGATGGATTGCACATGGAAGTGAGGGAGAAGTGTCAAGGGTATCTCCTAGAATTCTGGCTATGCAACGTCATGGTGTGATTACCAGAACACCAGAAGACGGAGAACACCAGAAGAGGACCGAGTTTTGGGGAACACGGATAATGAACTTAGTTTTAGACATGATGTATTTCAGATGCTTTCAAATATCCAAGAAGAGATGTGACAATTGGATCTACAGATCCCATTTCTGGCAAAATGGGACCTGTAGTGTAGATCCGGTTGTCATATCTCTTCTTAGTCCTCGTTTCTTAGGACTAAGAAACGGGGCCTGGGCTGAATATATAAAATTGTGTGTTATTTGCATATTGGTGATAGCTAAATACATGGATGTTGATTCAGAACTTCCCAGGGCCCTACCATAAGATGTGCTGTGATGGAACATACATGTGCTAAGGTAGTGATTAAAGCCTTCAGGCCAGAGGCCTCCAGTTTTTTTGGTTTTGTTTTTTTTTTCTTGAGACAGGTTCTTACTCTGTTGCTCAGGCCGGAGTGCAGTGGTATACTCATAGCTCACTGCAGTCTTGACCTCTCAGGCCCAACTAATCCTCCCACCTCAGTCTCCTGAGTAGCCACCACACTCGTCTAATTTTGTTGTATTTTTTATAGAGATGAGGTTTCACCAGCTTGCCCAGGCTGGTGTCAAACTCCTGGGCTCAAGCAATTTGCCTGCCTTGGCCTCCCAAAGTGCCAGGATTACAGGCATGAGCCACCACACCAGGCCCAGCGACCTCCAGTTCTAAGATGTCATACACATATTGTCATTTTCTCTGTGTACCACAGTGTGAAAAACTTTGAGGCGCTCCATATGAGATAACCTAGGGAGAAAGAGTAATCTAAGAAAAGGAGAAAGCCTGGACAAAGCTTTGAAAAACCTTCACATTTAATGACTAGGGAGAGGAAGGTGAATGTAGCTGCCGGCAAGGTGACAAAAACCAGGAGATGATAATATCACAGAGTCAAGAGCAAGAAAATACTTCAAGAAAGGAGTCTTCATGCAAAAGTTTAAGAAAGAGCAAAGATGGTAAGGACCAAAAATGTCTTTTGAAGTTAGTGTCATGGAGATCATTAGGGACTTTAGTGACAGTTGTTTATATTTGTTTATATTCAAGCTCTTTTTAAAGAATTGAAGAATTATCTATTTCCATCTAATGTAATATTCCAATGTACCTTTATTTTAATTGTAAACTGACCTCAAAGCAGCTTAACATAAATGAAAAGGTTAATATTCCTTTACTCTGAAGCTCATTTAGGTTTTCTATGAAGCGTAATTGTCATAATTGTGTTTTAGAAGACATTGCCATATCCTTTTCACCTTTAAAAAACATGTAATCTTGAAATTGCTTGAGAAAATGTTTTCAGTGAGTAGAAAAATAAAATAAATTGACTCCTGGTTTTGAGACATATCATTTAATATGTACTCTTATGCTTTCTTAGAAATCCTACAGTAAATAGGTTTATTTTTAGTGACTCTCATGTCCTATACCTGGAGAAATCTAAGGTTAGAGATAGTGTCTTAGTTTAAAGTTAGGTAAGGTCTTAGTTCATTTTTAACTATGTTCTACACTAGGCTAGACTTTTACTGAATTAAAGAGATTGAATACATTTTGGCAGTCTTTTAAATTGCTGAGTCTCCCTGCGTACTTGCAGAGTATAAGGTTGTCTGTGGATTGGCAGGAAGAGATGACACAGATCCAGGGACTCTTACCACATGCACAACCCATTGTAAGACTAGATTAAATTCTCACTTTACTTGCCAAGGATTCGGAAACCCACTGGAAGCCAGATTGTCACAATGAGGAGAAAAGGATGCAGGATATTTGAGAGCAGCTTCCTGAAGCTCCCCCAAGCCCCAGTAGAGTGTTCACCTGCTGTGATACTGAGCAAGCAGGGCCTTGGCAAATATGAGAAGCCTATTGTGCTATGCTAATGCTAATGCTCCATTTAAGGGAATTTTTTTCAAAATGGTTCTTGAATCAAAATTTGCTTCACTGAGGCCACATCCTCTTCAAGGAAAAATAGAGCCCACACATTGGTGAAATAGATCGGCTTCTAGCTTTCCAGTATGGTGGTGAGCTCATTTGCTGTTGTAGTCTTTTTGTCATTATTCTGTAGGCATCAGGCTCCAGGATTCTTATATTCTGTTTTATAATGCCCACATTTCCTTCTGTCTATACTGAGCATCTTTAAAATATTAAGAAATGTTTCATTCAGTCATCCTTTCAAATATTTGAATGCCTATTACAGTATTCCAGATGCTGGAGAGCTTACATTCCTGTGAGAGATACATACAGTAAGCGTTATAATTTCAGAGGGTGAAGAAAATAAAGCAACCTGTGAGGGTGGAGAGTAACTGTTTGGATGGCAAATGTTTGAGATGAGCGTCCAGGAAAGACAACTCAGAGATAGCAATCACCGAGAGACCTGAAACATGAGTTGGATCAGCCTTTGGAAGATTTACTGAAAGAGTGCTCCAGGCAACGGGAACAGCAAGTATAACACTTGCTATTTTAAAAACAAGGAGGAGGCTGGGCACTGCGGCTCATGCCTGTAGTCCCAGCTACTCATGAGCCTGATGCTGGAGGATCTCTTGAGCCCAGGAGCTTGAGGCTGCAGTGAGCTGCGATTGTGCCATTGTACTCCAGCCTGCGCAACAGAGTGAGACTCTGTCTCAAAAATAAATAAATAAATAAACAAAAACAAGGGACAGTGGGTTAGAGCATGGTGACTTAGAGGACAGCAGAAGAGGTAGAGGAGGTGCGAGGTGTAAATGAGGGAAGCCCAGGGGAGATTTCTATTCCACCTGCTGAAGAAGGGATTATGTCCTGAGGATAATGAGAAGCTATGGAGAGGTTGGAGCAAAGGAGAGACATGAAAACACTTTACTTTTTAAAAAAATCACCCTTGGTTGGCATGTGGAGGAGAACAGACTAATGAGACATGACACTAATCAGGATGCTGTTAGAGCAGAAGAGGCAACAGGGGACCAGGGTACAGGTGACAGAAGCACTGAGGTGTGGTTGGTGTCAGGATGTATTTTAAACAGGACTTGCTGATGGGTTGAGTCAGTGAAAAGAAAGGAATCACAAATCTCCAAAAATGACCCAACTAAGTAGGTACAAGGTTATATCTGAGATAGGCAAACAGGAGGAAGAGTTGGCCATGTGTTTGGGAGGTGGGAGAAGAACAGTGGAAGTCACTATTCTGTTTCAGTCATGTGGAGTTTGCAATACCTTTAGTTATTCAATTAGAAATGTGAATTAGGCAGTTTGTTGTACAAATCTGAGGTCTGAGAAAACTTGGGGTTGGAGAGCAAATTTCATTCAACAATTATTTATTAAATGTACAGTAGCATTTTCCTGGAGAGGGAGACGATGCTCTCAATTTCCTGTTTGTTTCCAAGGACTATGCAGACTCTTCAAGAATGTAAAACTTGTAGGGTAGAGCATTCTGTTAAAATTTTGGAAGGTTTGCCAAATGCATACAAATGTTAGCTAGATGGATATAGATATTGGAGAAGAAAGTTAACAGGAGGGATGTTCATAACTATCTTTGAGGGCAATAAACAGCTATCTGGGAAGTGATCTAAATGGAAACTGTAATACTTCCATTTGGGAAAAGCAGGTAACCCTGAATACACCTTGTGCTCAGGTGTTTTGTGTTTCTTTCTTTTTTTTTTTTTTTTTTTTTGAGACAGACTCTCACTCTGTTGCCCAGGCTGGAGTGCAGTGGCATGATCTCGGCTCACTGCAACCCCTACCTCCTAGGTTCAAGCAATTCTCCTTCCTCAGCCTCCCAAGTAGATGAGACTGCAGGTGCCTGCCACCACACTTGACTAATTTTTGTATTTTTAGGAGAGGTGGGGTTTCACCATGTTGGCCAGGCTGGTCTCGAGCTCCTGACCTCAAATGATCCACCCACCTTGGCCTCCCAAAGTGCTTGGATTACAGGCATGAGCCACCGCGCCTGGCCTGTGCTTCATTTTTAATGAGTAAGAGGTATTCAATAAATTGGGAATGGCATTCCATAGTAGCTCCTGAAAAGGAATACATTCTTCCTGCTGTTTCTGTTATTTTATGAGGGTTTCTATGCTTTTTTAGAAAAATTTTTGGTGGTAATGGGGGTGTGCAAAGGAGTTTATGTTGCTTTTGAACTTTTCTAGATTTTTTCTTTTCCAGTTGCTGTTGTAAAGTGAGTTCCTTTTCTTCTGTAAAAACCACAACAACCAAATGTGAAAAAAGCAAAAAGCATGGTTCCTTTTTCTGGACTTCAGGTGCATTGTGCAAGTATTGTGTAACTAACTCCCTTTAGAGTCCAGAGAAGGTCTGCCACCAGGTAGTGTTTGGCTTGGGAGACCTGAGGCTTTTTATCTCCGCCAGTTACTACCTGTTTGGCCTTGGAATCGTTACTTTACATCTCAGGGCCTCAGTTTCCCACATTTATCCAAGGAGTGGTGCATTATGTTTCCTTTGGCTTTTATATTTTATGACACAGTTGTTCTTAGGAAGCTGGACACACTTAGGAAAATATATCTATAAATTTACCTTTGGCTTTTATATTTTATGACACAGTTGTTCTTAGGAAGCTGGACACACTTAGGAAAATATATCTATAAATTTAAAATGTAGATGCTTGTTATCCTTTCTTATCTCACTCTTTTACTTCCAATGTCCCTCTTTCACCTAAATAGCTATTCCTTCCAGTATGCTTTTAGAAATGAGAAAGATAATATATTGAAGATTAAGGATGTTACATGACTCTTGTAAAAATTAGAAGCCCAACTAGCATGCACTGTTTTATTTCTCTGTAGAATATATTTGCATGTGTGTGCTGCATGATTGATTAGGGCATTTTATTCTAAGCATTTACTTCTAAAGGCAATGGCAAAATTTTTCTTCCTCTCATATTGAGATATTTAGGCTTGGTCAATCTGTAGTAAGGATTTTAAAACAGTGTACAAGAAAGCCCCGAATTTTTTGACATTTTTAACATGTGATTTCCACAGGGGGAGAATTTGGAAGACGGCATGTTACAATATGACATTTTATTGTTTGAGAGATTAAGTGCTAAGACTGACAATCCAGAGGAGAAACAATATAGAGAAATGATAGTGAGTAGACTTAAAGTGAGATTTTCAGACACCTTTTAGACCATTGGACATATCCAAATAAACATTGATTTCTATTAGCTGTATGGATTTTACAAACTAATATAAAGTTATTTTAAAGTTTTGTAACAAAAGCATTTTCCAAGTTTATAGAATTTGGTTGTCATGTTCTAGTTCTCTATATAAAATACCTTGCCAGGCTCAGCAAAAGTCGTATTTGGATTTGCTACCATCCCTTAATGAGGACATAGGTCATTATTAAAACTATCAGACATGCCTGAATACAAGATGACCTAAGTGGAAGCCATGTGGTCTTTTATGACCCAGCTTCAAAAGTCAAATATAATGTCATTTCTGCCATCCTCTATTTGTCAAAGCAGTTACAAATACCCAGATTCAAGACCTTACCTCTCAATGGGAGCAGTGCCAAAGAAGTTGTGGCTTTTTTGTAAAACCACCATAATAAGCCATGTCATATCCATAGAATGAAACAACATGATGCTGGAAAAGAAATTATTAAACTCTATATACAGTTATGGAAAGATACACTGTAAAATGAAAAAACAATGAGATGAAGAATAGTTTATAAGTCATACTCTCTTTTGTAAGAATGATGGAATAAATGAGAATATGTATATGTGTATATTACCTGTGCTACACTCAAGGAATACTTAAAGGATACATAATAATAACATAAGTGGAAATCTCTGAAGTAAGACTTGGCGAATGGGCATAAGGGTTGGAGTAACAATTCTGAGCATATGCCTTTTTACATGATTTTCATTTTTGAGCCATGCCAATATATTACTAATAAAAATTTAATATGTAATAAATACATTAAACTTTGGCTACATTATATTATTGGTATTTGTGAAGTTTGTCTTGGATTAGTACCTCAAACATGTTAACAAAGCCATTTTTTTAGGCTGTGTCCCCACATCTCTGTATAGGTCCTTGCAGTTGCATATGTTATTTCATCCTGCTTGATTACTCCAGCCTATAAAGATATTAATAGGAAGAATCCTGTTTTGAGATGGAAGATCTATTACTATCTATACACTTTTCCCTAAGACCATACTCATTGCCTCATACACTTATTAGCCATTTATAGTCTTTTCCAAATGAGATCTACTTTTTTTTTTTTTTTTTTGAGATGGAGTCTTGCTCTGTCGCCCAGTCTGTTGTGCAATGGCACAAATGAGATCTACTTTTTCTTCCTATAGGTAGATGAGTAGGAAAGGGATTCTTAAAATTGTAACATTTAAATTCTACACATTTGCTGAGGCTCCTTTCTTTCATGCAGTCTTTTCTAATTTCTGTTGCTGGAATATATATGTTCCCAAAACAATACCTCATATTTGTACTATATATCTTTTTGTTTTTGTTTTTGTTTTTTTGAGACGGAGTCTCGCTCTGTCGCCCAGGCTGGAGTTCAGTGGCACGATCTCGGCTCACTGCAAGCTCTGCCTCCCAGGTTCACGCCATTCTCCTACCTCAGCCTCCCGAGTAGCTGGAACTACAGGCGCCCGCCACCACGCCCGGCTAATTCTTTGTATTTTTAGAGATGGGATTTCACCGTGTTAGCCAGGATGGTCTCGATCTCCTGACCTCGTGATCTGCCTGCCTCGGTCTCCCAAAGCATTTGCACTACATATCTTAATACTTATCTATGCATATGATCCCATAAGGAGAGACAAGGAGGGAGACAGGATTCCTGTCTCATCAGGGAGCTCTACTATAGTCCCTTGCCTATGAACTTCTACATTTAGGCACTTAACAAATATTGATTGTATGAATGAATGATAGCCTGAGAAAATAAGGAAGGATGTCATGATGGTGATGATGAAGTCACTTAGGAACTGAAAGTTTTACAGGTTGCTGGAGGAATGTGGGAACAAAAGACAGAAGTGATCCAGCAGAGCATGTGGTCAGATCTTTGTCCTCATTAGAAACATCCACATGACAAAGGGAAGAACTCCATGGCTGTAACCCCTGCTTGCTACAGTGGGGGTGCCATTTTAATGGTTTAATTCCTAGATTTCTTTAGTAATTTCTTTTTTTTTTTCTTTTTTTGAGACAGAGTCTCACTCTGTAGCCCAGGCTGGAGTGCAATAGCACGATCTTGGCTCACTGCAACTTCCGCCTCCGGGGTTCAAGTGATTCTCCTGCCTCAGCCTCCCGAGTCGCTAGGATTGCAGGTGTGCACCATCACTCCTGGCTAATTTTTGTATTTTTAATAGAGACGGGGTTTCATGATGTTGGCCAAGCTGGTCTCTAACTGCTGACCTCTTGATCTGTCCACCTTGGTCTCCCAAAGTGCTGGGATTATAGGCATGAGCCACTGTGCCCAGCCATAATTTCTGTATTTTAAAATAAAATTCGATTAATCCATGGGCTACAGATAAACAGTAGAATTTAAGGGATTTATTCACTGGATATTCTCTCAACACCTACCTAAAAAAATAAATATTGATTCTAAAGACTCTTGACTTTCTCTGGCACTAGAGCTCATACAGCGGCCTTATCACATCACTTCAGTTATGAAGCAGCCGTCAAATTTAGATAATAAGCAAGTGGAATGAAGATGTGATGGGTATCACCATCCTTGCATCTTAACAGGTCTTTCCTAGTGGCACCAATCTCTGAAATTTCCCCAGGGATGTGGTGTTGCTTTTGGTATCAGTTCCGGGGACTGCCACTTGGCCATTCCTATATTAACCTATGGGCCAGGGAACAAAGTTGGCAATTTTACTGGTTGCCAAGAATATTTGTTCCAATTGTATATTCATAACTAATAAAATAACCTCAGAGTGGATCCCCATATCTACTGGGACCACTGTGAGTTGGATCTGGGCTAAGACATCATCTATCACTTGATAGCCGCTTTGAGTCCCTCTGGAATTAGCACTGTTTAACCACCAGTTTCTAGTAATTCCTGAACCATCTGGGTATTCTCTTTTCCCCAGTACACAGTCTTGTAAATAGCCTTGTAAATAGCCTCAGGTCTCTTTGCAGAAAGTTTGAAGGAAGATTTACAGTACACGTTGAACCTACTTTTGTTGGAAACTGGTTGAAAGATTGTGACTCTCTCTTTCTTGTGGCTACCAAAGTTGGGTTGCTGGTTAAAATACTTAGAGTTTTTTCTAAGATATACAACCAAGCAACATCTTTGCAGGTAACCCATCCATTTCAATCCTAGGCTAATTTCAATTAGCCACTGCCAAAAGTCCTGTGGCTCAAAATATTGTAATATCCACTACTTCTTCTTGCAATAAATGCACCCACCTGTATTCAGTGTTTAATTGCTGCTATTTGGCCTGTTACTCCAGGATTTCATCATCCTCATTGAAATCAGGCAGCACATCTCAATGGAGTCATCTCATACTGTAATGTCTGGTCTGCATTGGAGGGAAACCACAGCAGGATGCATGTGCTCCTCTAAATAATGTATTTATTGATGCCTTAGTGAAGGGAGTATGCTCTGGCCCTTCCCAGGGGAGGTAGTGAGGTATGAATATGCAGGTTTCATATGATAAATCCACTTCAACATTCCTAACTCTGTATACCTTTGATTGCGTTTTCTGCATTATTCTAGGGATATTCTAGCATCTCAGCCTCACTAAATGTAAGACCAAGTCTTCATCAACCAATTAACTAAATGTTTAAAGCTACTTCTAGCTTTAAAACAAAGATTGAATCCAGAAAATCTCGCTAAATTCATTATTGTGTTTTATTCTCTTTGGTTTAACACCCTTAGGATCCACTTCACAAGTACTCTCCAGGTTTCTGGAAATACATATTATCAAAATGTTGCAATTATTTTATGTAGAAGCTGCCTCTTACTGAATTAGACTTTGTATTTGCCCTTCTGAAACATGTTGAGATTTGACCTTAGTTATGGATCTTGAGACAAAGGGCTTGATGGTGGATTTTAAGAAGAATGGTCATCCCCTTGTAAGGCAACTGCCTCAGGCAAGGGCATTACAGAGTTTTCCAGCAAGGGAAGGCTTAGGTACAAGAAGGAAAGATATTTTCCACTTGCAGTGGAGGTTCAGAGTGACTCAGGAGTTTAACATTTTCAGCTCTGTTTGGGTACAATCAGTTGGTCTCATTCCAAGTTTTAGAGTTCCACTTATTTGCAATCAATGCCCCAACTTTCAATGAGAAACTTGATAAGGCTGTGGATTTACCTAGTAAGGCTGTGGAATTACTTGATGTTATAATTTTGCAATTTGCACAATTAATATTTCTGTTTGATTTCCAGCAATAAATTCTTTGTTTATTAGAAATAAGTGATACTTTTAAGGTTAAGATAGACATTCCCTGGTTCTCTAACCATGACTTGAGCTGAGAATTTAAAGACCGGAGCTTCTCATTTTCTGTCTGTAGAGGCCCAATGCATTCATAAGGATCCATCCACATCATAGTCCATATAATAATTATTACTACCATAATGCTCAAGTGAAGGAGCCACAAACATCACAATCAACTACTGGGGATAATCTGATTCATCAGGATGGCACCATGTGTCACAGATTACTACCATCCCATTTCCCATTGGTAAGGAGTTTGGCATAGCATTTAAGCTCAAGTTCACCAAACCACTTCTCCAATTCCATCTTTGAGGAATTGTTTCCTGAGATCACTTCTGATATGAATTTCTATATCAGTCAGGATTGGTCAGAAGATAGAAACCACAAAATGGAGTTTAATATAAAGAATCATTAACCAAGTATAAAGTTACTAACTAGGTAACTGTAAGGTAAACATATTACTCTAAGGTATCAAGGAGGTAGCAAGAAGCAACTGCCACCACTAGGGCTACGGGAAAAAAGGGAAGAGATTGGACTTACTAAAACCTAGTAACTTAGAGGAGGGGTCCTGCAGAACTGAAATATGACTTCTGAAGAAGCACTGGCTAGCTTGTGCTGGTGTCTCTGAACTCTAGAGAAACTCTCTGAACTCCTTCCTTGGGAAGGAGCACTGGCTATTTGGTGTGGGGGTCTACACAAGGAAGCTGGTTCTGGCGAATGTTGAAAACTATAAACTGACTTCAGTGTTCCCAGGGGAAAGAACTACCACTGCCAGGGTGAAGTAATACTCCTAGGGTGATGTTCAGAGAAACAGCAAGCAGATTGGGAGCAAACAGGTAACAAATAGAAGGAATAAGTCCCTTATTTCTCCTCCAGCCTTGCAGCCTCCCAATATCACCTCCTATTAAGAACATATCCTGGAGCCGGCTGACAAAACCAAAATGTGGTTTGCAGAGTTCCTGCTCCAGCATCACGAAAGAGAGTAAAGGTGGATTTGGAACTGAGGGTCAGTAACCTGATAACTAGCATATTTCCTTTTCAACCTGTCTTCAGCCAGATGAATTTTTCCAAGAATGTCATTGTTCTGGGAGAACTTGAGTCTCCTAAAATAGTTTTCTTTGGTTTCAAAGGTGGGGAGGAGCAGAAAGTGGTCTTCGTTTGCTCTGTATTGAACTGAACTGGAGAAGTGTGACACTAAAAGCAGCTAACCCATAGTGGCCAAGCTAAGTCTGTCCCTAACCTACATTCTGCACAAAGATACTAGGGAAAATGAATACTTGCAATGAAAATTAGAGGAGAAAAAAGCCAGGCTTTCCTCAAAGGCTGCTCTTTTATACTTTTCTTGCTCCTCTTATAATCGTAAAATATCTCTCATTTTAAGCTGACGTCATTTTCAGTTTTGATATAACATCTTTGTCAAGAGCCTGAAGGGCTGCATATAGAGGATGCTAATGTAGTAAGTGAATTAAACTGCCAAATATTGTCATTGAGGAGACGTATAAAGGAATAATTGAGATAATAAAGGTCAGAGCAATCCAACAAAACAATTTAAATCTTTAAAATACTGGAGGATATATCTGAGAAAAGATGAAATATGGATTAATACACCAGGATGAATTAGCAAGACAGAGGGGCTGTTTGGCATAAAATAGATAAATTAGGTAAATGTGATGAGAAATGTAATCTGATCACTTGTGGGTTTACAGGATATAATGCTTCCTTTTGAGTGTTTTAGAAAGATCATTATGTATGCCTTGTGATCCATAAACTATCATTCTCTCCCTTTTATGAGTCCGTTTTTCTCTGAAGTTTTTACTGTGAAATGATTCTTCTTTTTAAAATATATTCTAATTCCCCCCCACCCCGATTCTTCCTTCTCCTCTTCCTCTTAATTCTCTTTAACCAAGATTTCATTCTCCAGAAATCTACATTATCAGATGTTTGCTTGTTCCTAGAAAAATCCCCCCATTGGTCCTTAAATATTTTCCCTGTATTAAGTCATTATTTATTAAAGGAGACAGCTGTTATTGTGGAGCGATCTCCAGAACAGGAGTCAGCTCTTGGCTTTGCTGAAGTTGTGTATAACCCTTAAAAAGTCAGAATTTCTGGGTTTGTTTTCTCCTTTGTAAAATAAAGAAATTAGACTTCATAATTCCAAAGATTGTTTGAATTTCTAACATTGTTCTATTCTGGAGCTTTGAGGGAGTTTTTTTTTAGGATTAAGGACTACTGGCCTAACAAATACTGCTCACATGGAGGAAAAAAGCTTTTTAATTTAGAAAAACCCCATGGAGAAAAATGACCATTGTTTAGATAACAAGTAAGACTTTTCCAAAATGAGGAATTTTTGTGACTTTCAACATCTAATGATCCTAAGTTCTGAGATTACAGTGGACTTTTTAAATGTAGTGCAGAAATTTAAAATAGGTAGGATACTGGTGATCGGTTGTTTTAAAGTGAAAATATAGGCATGGTGGTGCATGCCTGTATTCCCAGCTACCGAGGAAGCTGAGGTGAGAAGATCACTTAAGCCCAGGAGTTCAAGACTGTATTGAGCTATGATTATGCCAAAGTGAAAAGAGACAAAATGAATAAATCTAAGTTAATTTAATTATTATAGGTTTAATCTATAATAATCCAATTATTAATCATTTAAATTAATAATCTTATTCTAATTATTGTAGGTTTACTAACTGTGGAATCTCCAGAATTACAAGTCCCATATAAGAGGAGATGGAGCTACAAGTAAATGTTTCCTTGAGGTAAAATCTGAGAGAAAGGGAAAGGCCAAAAGTACAAGAAATAATCTGTCTAAATCAGTTTAAGGCTGAAGTAATGGATAGAACATTGAAATGAAAGGCCAGGAAGCACTGTTTATTGTGGCAATTAGGCTGCAGCATCTGTCATTCTATTGATCTCTTGGATTGATTCCATTTATCTGGTGGGCCAGGCCAGTGTCCCCTGACTACTTCACCTCTCTCAGTGCATTATTTGGAGAGAGTTGTCTTCTATATAAAAGAAGCCCTTGTTTTCCATCAAGCTGCACTCCCCTGCTAGAACCTTAGCTCCTCTGCAAGGAGAGTAGGGTTAATGTATTAGGTTGGTGCAAAAGTAATTGCGGTTTTTGCTATTTGAAAGTCGTAGCAAAAACCGCAGTTACTTTTGCAGCAACCTAATACTTGGTGTTATTTTTCCAAGACAAATAGATATGTCTAATAAATTTTAGTGACTCGCTGATTTATTAATTAATTCAACCATTGAATAAACATTTAGTAAGCATCATCATAGACCAGGCATTATGACAAGCGCTGGTGAAGTAGCTGTGGACAAACCAGATGTGCCCCTGGCCTCGTGGAGCTTATGGTCTCTCTTATATTAGATTTATAATCTTCACTGCTTGTTCTGTCCATGTCCCTCCACTTCCCAAGCCTCCAAAAGAGTAGATTTGAGCATATTTCTGTCATTGAAGGCGTTTTTTTTTTGGCAGATTAAAAATTATATAGTACAAATCTTAGAAGAAAAATTCACAGGGTTTTACTGGCTCTAATGCCCTTTTAATGATTGTTAAGATCACCCTCTGAAATTTTCTTAGGAGATTTCTTTGAGCAAAGCTGAGGAGTGTATGGGTTGGTGTCCTTTTATGTAGTGTAGCAATATGTCACTTCCTCCTCTCCCCCTAATGCCCTTGTTTTCTTTATAAAACTGTCTTGCATTTAAGTTTCCTTTCTATCATACTGTGTAAGATAGAGACCTGGGATTACGAGAGAACTATGTAATGTTACTGTACAACTCAAGGAAAAGGCCAGAGAGGAAGCAACTTTTGTTAATAATGCTACTGCAAATAATTATTAAAATAATATTCATTATCATATACCAGGCAGTGTGTCTTGAATTTCTAGTGAGGTACATATTCTTTCCCCAAGAATAATGTCTTTATTGAGATCTGACAAAGTAATCTGCAAATTGCAAGACCTTAAGTATATTGTTGACTCATTGTTTCTTTAACATGTTTTTTTCTTCTTGATTAATACATTACAGGTCACTCTGGATCACGCTCAAATTCTTTTCATGGATTTAAAATTATTTTTATAATTTAAGACATGTACAGCTTCTTTTGAATTTCAGTGTTTGGCAGTGTTCTGTTATAAGCCTCCCAGAAACATAAGCATATCGTCATTTCAAAGTGGCCTCTTTCAGAGCCTTGGCTGCTGCAGAAATTTGTCTTATGAATCATTTGAACGAATACCACTTGTTGCTAATCCTTAGCAGTCTGAAAAAAATCCTATATTATAACCCAAGGATCAGGTAGAAATATGTGTATTTTAAACATACCAAAATGTTTTATGCTCTAATTCTTTTTAAAATATCACAAAGTTTAGGACCTAATACAGTGGATAGAAAACCTTTATTTCAAAAATAGCTCTTATTATGCTTAGCTATTGTGATTATATTTTATAGTGTTACAGAAGCCTCTTGAGATACCAGTTCTCTTTCGTGCTTCAATCATATGTTAGAGTGTGGCCCTTTCTAAATGTCCCAAGACAAAACTTTACCTTGGAAAAGTCTTCTATTCCTGTAGTTGAGATAGTTACAGAAAGGGGTTAGGCAGTCTCCTTTAGAAATCCCATTCCAGAGTAGTATATCAGGATTCCTTTTCTCAGACTTTTGTAACAAATATACACTTCTGGTAGATACTTGATTTTGAAAGTGGGCCTCCACCCTTCACTCACTCACTGAGTCAACCTTAGGACTCTCAAAAAAAACACTGTGTGTGTGTCTTTGTATTATGGGAATTTTCAAACATACACAAAAGTAGTGTGAAACTATGACCTTCCATGTCATTATATTCATCAGTTATCAACATTTTGCTACTTGTTTCATCTGGTTCCCCATTCTTTTTGTGGTGGTTGTTGTTATGGTTTTTGAAGTTTTTAATCCCACATACTACATTTTTTTACTCATAAACACTTTGGTGCATTTCTTACATTTTTAATGGTAGGTAAATTTTGAGACTAAAAATTGTTATATTTACTTTATTTTTGTTTTGTGTCTGAAATTAGCATGGTTCCCATTTTTGTTCCATGCTGAGAAGTTTAGTTTTCTTAGGTTCATTTTTGTTTCTTCTTGACTTCCTCCAACACCTTGTTTTATTCTTGTCATAGCCAGCAGTCATTATACTGGTTCCAATATAAAGACAGAGCATGACAGCTACATAATTTATATGTATGGATAAGCAATTTTAAAACTTTGCTTTCATCGACCATTTTTATTTCCTGGGAATCAGATCACTTGTGTAAAATTTTTATTGTAGGCATAAATTACCACTCTCCTGTTAGAGACTGTATGAATTTACTAATAGGAATGGAGTGACATTTTGAGTATAGATTAGTAAAAGGAAACTGGGTTATTGGGATAGACCTAGGCAAACATGATTTAGATTTTATCAGAGTTAAGAATTATTTTACTTGATAAGAGTCTCATGGATGTTTGTGCTCTAAAAGTAAGATAAATTGGCTAGCTTTGAAAAATAAATAAAAGAACGTGGGAAAATCTTGATTGTTTCTTCTTTACTTATATTGCCTCTATACTCAAACCAGCCATAGTAATTTCTCCAAGACTCTGATTCAGTGACTAATATCTTTTCAGCGGAGCTCCCACCTCCATATACAGCCATTGCCAGTCCAGACGCCAGTGGTATTCCAGTAATAAACTGCCGTGTGTGCCAATCACTAATCAATTTGGATGGCAAGCTTCACCAGCATGTGGTTAAGTGCACAGTTTGCAATGAAGCTACGGTAAGTGGAGATTTCCATTAGAAAAAATATAAATTGTTATTTGACATTTTATTCCTAAAGGAAGTACTTCAATAATGTTACTTAAAAGTATATGTGGGCTGGATACAAATATGGTAATCTTTTTTCCTGTCTTTTCTTCTGTCTCTCTTTCATCATAGGATACCTCACTGTGTTTAAAGCTAACCCCATTAAGAGAATTTCATGGTGAATTTAAATATAATGCCTTTTGGCTTTTTACTTTCAAAAACTAGACTGAGCATGGCAGTTACGTATAAATACTTTCAATATCTATCCACATCACAACTACATTCATTCTTGTTTTCATTAAAATGAAAATATTGTGTACTAAACTTCATTACAGATGTAAACTTTGCCCTATTTATGTGGAAAATTATTTGAAGTTATTTTATGTCTGTAGGATGTCACTATTGTTTTTCTGGGCTTTTGTGATTATGCATTTATTATTAGCATCTGTGCCAAAGTGTTTACAAATAGTTTGACATTTTATTCAATTTAGTTGATAGTAATTTAGGAATGTTTAAAATATTGAATAACACCTTTCCTTTTTTAAAAATTGAGCTTTGGGGAGCAACTAAATTTTCAGCAGTATTTTTATAGCTTCAAGTAATAAACTGGTAAAGCATACACTGGTTTAGATGAAATATATTTCTTTCATAGTTAGGCTTTATATATTACATTTTGATCTCTCAAAATCTGCAATTAAATATTAATTTTATCTTTGATGTTTTATTTTTTTCTCTTTAGAAAAGACTAAAAAAAGTCAGCCAGTGATTATTGTGTCTTGAAGGACCACAAAACATGAATACTTGACTTCATATGTTTTATAGAAAAATCATAAAATAAAACCTTAAGTTACAAAAGCAATATATTTCATTAGTTTTAATGGAATCCTTTCCTTTTTAAACACAAACAAACTTTGACAATCTGTACTTTGGTTAATTGCTGTGTTTGCATTTTCTTCCCTTATCCAGCCAATCAAAAACCCCCCAACAGGCAAGAAATATGTTAGATGCCCTTGTAATTGTCTTCTCATTTGTAAGGACACATCTCGGCGAATAGGATGCCCAAGACCCAACTGGTAAGAGATAAAGATTAATTCATTGATTCATTCATTTGTTCATTCAACAAGTATTTACTAAAGGTTCTTCAGTGCCAGGCTTTGTTCTAGAAAGAGTTTTTGTTTTCAAAGTCATTCCAGAATCTAGATTATTTTTTTGTTAAAGGAATGATAAGCTTAGTTTGAACTTAGTCATAGATATTTGTAGGATATAATATTCTTAAATGAGCAATGAATGTTTTCTTTGTGTTATGTAAGTACTTAATGCACTGTAATAAATCAATGACACATTGAACGTATTTAAAAATAATGAGGTCAGGCCAGTGGTTCATGCCTGTATTCCTAGCAATTTGGGAGGCTGAGGTGGGAGGATTGCCTGAAGCTGGTAGTTTGAGACCAAACTGAGCAACATAGTGAGACCCCATCTCTACAAAAAATTAGCCAGGTGTGACAGCATGCACCTATATTCCCAGTTACTTGGGAGACTGAGGCAGGAGTATCATTTGGGCCTAGGGATTAAAGCCTTCAATGAGCTATGACTGTGCCTCTGCACTCCAGCCTGGGCAACAGAGTGAGACCCCATCTGTTAGTCTCTCTCTTTTTTTTTTTTTTTGAGACAGAGTCTCAACGGGAAGAGTCTCAAAAGAGTTGGCTCACTGTGACCTCTACCTTCTGCCCTGAAAGCCTTCCCACTATAGCCTCCTCCTGAGTAGCTGGGACTACAAGCACACACCACCACTCCCAGGTAATATATTTTTTTTTTTTTTTTTTTTTTTTTTTTTGTAGAGACAGGGTTTCACCATATTGCCCGGGCTGTCTTGAACTCCTGGGTTCAAGTGATCCCAAAGTGCTGGGATTACAGGCATGAGCCACCATGCCTGGCCCATCTCTTAAAAAAAAAAAAGTAATCACTTAGTTTACTTTTGATATAATTAATCTTCACCTGCAAGTGTTTTAGTTATTTTTGTGTATCTCACTGTATATTATACTAATCTCTGCTGAATGTATATGTGCAATAAATTCTGGAATTATTCGCTCATGCCCAGTACCATTATGGATGTCCCCAGATACAAGTATATAAAGGCCTTACTTGTGTTTTTTTTCTGTGATCTCTCTAGCTTTTTGACCATTACATGAATCATGTACAGCCCTATCCAATGATAGACTAGAGAATAGAAATGAAAGCAGGATCCTGTTTGCTTTCTTTTCATCTCTGATTAAATACGCATCAAGGAATATCACACTGCTCAGAGAAATTTGGTTGTAACCCAGCCCTTCGGTGCCTTCATGGCACAGAGATTTTTGTTGGTATAGAATATTTTTAACTTAGTCTTCTACCAAACTCAAGTTGGCTTCCTAGATAAGGAAGGGTAACAACTGTTTTCTGATTTGAACTTACAAAAACTTGGAAATGACAGTTAAATGGTTGCCATTGATTAGGACCAATGCTATAATATATTGTTTCTATCCCAAGTACAGACTCATATTTTGCTTTTGAAAAACTGACTGTTGCTACTCTTTGTAGTTTTGCCTCCAGCTTGACATTTAATTCACTTAATTTATGAAACAAGTATAGCACATTTCATATTTTTGGCCATATGTTGCAGGTTTTGCTCTCAGTCCATTTGTGGGATAGTGAAGTTGTTTCCTTTCTCTTTTCACAGTAGACGGATAATTAACCTTGGCCCAGTAATGCTTATTTCTGAAGAACAACCAGCTCAGCCTGCATTGCCAATCCAACCAGAAGGTACAAGGGTCGTGTGTGGGCACTGTGGAAACACATTCCTGGTAAGTCACTGGACATTTGTCATTAATCTGTAAATATAGGTCATGATCTTACAGATTAGAGCACTGCTCATAGTCTTATAGTTTTGTCCAAATGCAAATTAATCAAAATATTAAAATAGAGACTTATTTAGGCAGACAATCAGAAGTGCAACTAGGATATAGAGCATCTTCTGTGAACTAGATAAAAGGTACGTCCTCTGATAAGTCCAGTTGCAAAAAGGATCCTCTCTATGTAGGCCAATGAGAAATCGTGCCCAGGCTTAGTTCCATGAGTATCTTGGCTTGGGGAGCAGCTGAGTCTTAGCCCTGCTCTCACCTGCTCAGCAGAGGTCAAAGTGCACAATCTCATGCAGTAGATTTGCTTCATGGCTTCTAGATTGAGGAAAAATTTGAATAATAATTTATCAAAAATTTTCTGACTTTTATAAATTATTCTTGGAGCAAAGGGAATTAACACTGTTACCCATAATTAGATAAAACCATTAGATAAAGAATAAGAAAGTATAAGTAATTTGATATGAGCAAAAGTTATAAAAGTTTTTGTTTTACTACTTCTAACTTAAACTTAGTTTGATTTTTTTTAAAGTTAAATTCATAATTAACTTACCCTGTCAGGAAGGATAAGGACAGGTTTTCTTTTATTGTTCAGCCCATATAGGAGACAAACATTTTCTTTAGAACTTGAATATGAAAAATATTTATCAGAGTATACACATGGGAGTCTAAACAAAACCTGCTGTCACTAAGACATGAATGAGCTTAAGAAAATATAAGTGGTTTGCTTTTTTTTATTTGTAATTTTACTTTTATTAAAGAACTTTATGTATATAGTTCTAAATGTCAAATGGGACTGCAATCTTCTCATCTAGCTGACCCCTAGTTACTGTTCCCAAAATGCTTTCAACTCTTTCAGCTACTTTATTGATAGTCACTTCTATGTGTTTATTTTTTATAATTTTTAAATTTTTATTTATTTATTCATTTATTTTTTGAGATGAAGTCTCACTCCGTCGCCCAGGCTGGAGTACAGTGGCGTGATCTCAGCTCACTGCAACCCCTGCCTCCCGGGTTCAAGCAATTCTCCTGCCACAGCCTCCCAAGTAGCTGGGATTATAGGTGCACACCACCACACCTGGCTAATTTTTGTATTTTTAGTACAGATGGGGTTACATAATGTTGGCCAGACTTCTATGTGTTTAAATTGCTTATCCTTTTTCTATTTGATTAAGCAATTTTAGACATTACCCACTAAATAGTAAACTGCAAAATGAGAACTTAGCACTTATACTGCCCTCCCACTCATATTCCTTTCCTTGCTTTCATACTCCCAGTCAAATTGCAACATTTTGTTTAATTAATACTTAGTGTTTACAATTTTTATGATTAGGTAAATTTTGTTCACAGCTGAACCAAGCAATGTGGTACATTTTTCTTGTGCATGCATTTTAACATTTTCTTGGACTTACAAATAATTGCCCCCTCCTTTGGATTTAATTTTCTATGTGTAAATCATTCATTCTTCTCATATTCTTGTGTAGAACTATAAAATACCTATTACTATAATTAATTGCATCAAGGAATCTCTTATTTAGGCTTCCTGCTACATAGTTGTCATCCTTCCCTTCACCATCATCATGAAAATTCCTTTTACCTCTTTCCTGTGTTGGATCCCATGCCATCCTCAGAGTTCTTAGTTTATTCCTTCATTTTGGTGGAGCACATCTACTCTTTGCTTTCTGAGAAAAGATGCAGGGAAATATTATATTTGAGCTCTTTTTCTCTTAAGTGGTTTTTAATCTGATCTTACATTCACTTTATAATTTGTCTAGATGTGCAATTCTAGGTTGCCAGTTGTCACCTTTCAGAAATTTAAAGTCTTTGTTCCATTGTTGATGAGAAGATCAACAGCTATTGTGATACCTGATCCTTTTGATATGACATATTTTTTCTTCTTTTTCTTTTTCCTCTTTCATTTTCTTCAGTGTTCTGAAATTTCATGAGTCTATGTCTTCGTGAGGGTCTTTTTGAACTCATCATTTGGATATTCAGTGGGCCCTGTTATTGTCCATTCCATTTTTTTGGTTTTTAATTTTGTTTTTTCATATTATTTAGTGGGAAACTTCATTATATCTCCTCATCTTAATTTAAAATTTTAATTTCAGATGATCTAACTTAATTTTTAATTTCTAGGAGCCTTTGTTTGTCTCCGATTTTTTAATAGCATTCCTTTTTCATGACATCTTTGTAAAAAGTAAAGTAGAGGTTCCTCTTCAAAGACTTTCGTCTCCGTCTAATTAGGAGTAAATAGTAACTTTTCTTAGAAGCAAAATTTATTCAAAGACCTGTGCTAACATTATTAAATATCTGCTAGCTGTAATAAAGAAATCAATGTACTTTATGTTCTTAGCTCCCACAATTTAGCCTAAATATTTGCCCTGGCATGTTTATACTGGTCCAAGCAAGCATTTGGTCATAGCCTGTTCCTCTTCTTATTTGAAGGTGTTTTTACCTTTCTCAGCATTCCACAAGTTACTTCCTCCTTCCTTTGTTCTCCTCTGCCTTTGCCTCTTTTAGAAAGTTCTAAGGTGTTAGCCAATCAAGACAAATACAGAATGCGAAGTCCTGTTCCAGCCAATAGAAACCAGACACAGCAGTAAGGTCGATGCATCAGGTTATAAATGACCCTGTCTCTTTTGTTCAGTGTACTCTTGTGGCAAAACTGCTGGCGAGTGTACCCTTTCTGCAGAAAGTATAAAAATGGCCTTGCTGAGAAAATTAAATTTATGTCCAAGTGCTATTTCTTTATGGCACCAAAGAACAAGCATTTCAAACATCTTTCTGAAGCCATTAATTACATTTTTTCTGAGGTATTCTTCTTCTTTATGCCTTATCTCTGTTTTCTCACTACTTTTTCTATTGGTATTTCTTTTGATAGAAGTTTTATGCAGAAGTTTATATTTGAGAGCAAGTCACTGATTGGAGTCTCTATGTATGCAGGCAGGGGATAGGTGAAAACTGTCTCCTCCTCGTCCTCTCCCTCCTTCTCCCCCTCCTTCCACTCTTCCTTATCCTCTTCCTGCTCCTCCTCCTCTTCTTTCTTTGTAAAGCTGTCAGCTATTAGTATCAATTGGTCTTTTTTTCTTTAGGGCAGATTTCTCTGGGGAAAGATCCTCTAATCTCTTGTAGGAGATATGCCCGAGAGACAGCCTTTTAGGAGCTAAGAGAGGTAATAGGGGTGAAGCTCTTACACGCTTTTCAAACAATAGACATTAATTTAAATCCTTTGTTTTTAGAGTGACTTTTTATTCGTGCCGTCTTCTGTGCCTGGTGTTCCTGGTCCACAAGCTCTATAGTCCAATTTCTCTACAGAATAAATCATTCTTCTCTTAATATATTGGGGAAGGGTGGTTTTCTGGTTTTGTGAGAATTTGCAATCAATACTTCTGTTTTTTTCCCAGCTTTATTGGGTTATATTTGACCAACAGAAATTGTATATTTGAGGTGTACAGCCTAATGTTTTGATATACGTCTATACTGTGAAATGATTACCACAATCAAGTTAATTAACATTTTGATTACCTCATATAGTTATCGTGTGTGTGTGTGTGTGTGTGTGTGTGTGTGTGTGTGTCTTTGTGGTAAGAATACTAAAGATCTACCTTCTTAATAAATTTCAAGTATATAATACAATATTGGTAACTATAGTCACTATACTGTACATTAGATCTTCAGAAATTATTCAGCCTGCCTAACTGAGACTTTGTACTCTTTGACTAAAATCTCCCCTTTCCTCACCCACCTCAATGCCTGGCAACCACCATTCTACTCTCTGCTTCTATGAATTAAACTATTTTACATTCCACATACAGGCGTGATCGTGCAGTGTTTGTCTTCCTGTGTCAGGCTTATTTCACTTAACATAATATCTTCCAGGTTAATACATGTTGTTACAAATGGCAAAATTCCCTTCTTTTTAAGGCTAAATAATATTTCATTGTATGCATATACCACAATTTCTTTATCCGTTCATCTGTCGATGGAGATTTGGGTTGTTTCCATATCTTGGTTTTTATGAATAATGCTGCAATGAGCTTGGGATTGTGATACTCCTGCTTTATCCTTACCCCAGCCTCCACCTTTAAAAGTATAGGGTCTATTCTGGGTCTTTCAGTGTGAAGCAGCCTGCCATTATTGGCTTATCTCTCTGTAGGTAGTTAAGTTTCAACATCCCTTTCGCTAAGTGAGTTGCAAAGTCCATCTGCTTTCCATTGTCCAAAAATTTGAAGTCATAGTCCCTCTTTTTTTATCCTTATGGTATTATACATTTCAAAATTCAATTACTATTATTTTAGTCAGGTTTGGAAAAAAATGGAAATGCATGCATTTATTCAATTTACTGTATTTAACCAGAATTGCTAGGATTTTTCTGATTTAGTAGGATATGTCTCCTTTGTTACATTTATATTTTATTGATTAAATCAGTGACTAAGTACGTAAATTAGAAAATATACTTGGTGGGGATAGGTAACAACTTTCTTTTTAAAAAGTCACTATAGGCTGGGCATGGTGGCTCATGCCCTGATATTCCAGTGCTTTGAGAGACCAACATGGGAGGCTCACTTGAGGCCAGGAGTTTGAGACTAGCCTGGGCAACATAGAGACCTCACCTCTACAAAAACATTTAAAAATTAGCCAGGGGTAGTGGCATGCACCTATAGTCCTAGCTACTCAGGAGATTGAGGTGGGAGGATTACCTGAGCCCAGGAGTTGGAGGTTGCAGCGAGCTATGTTCATACCACTGCATTCCAGCCTGGGTGATAGAATGAGACCCTATCTTTAAAATAAATAAAAATCAGTATATACTGATTTAATATAAACTAACGTACTCTATAGTTACCAATAGATATTAAATGAATTAACTAAATTAAATATATAAAGCATATTTGTTATTTTCTTTTTCATATGTGAACAAACTTTTGACAGTAACACAATTTTAAAATCTTCAATATAGATTTGTTTCAACCTACTTCTGGAGATCTCCCTTCTACAGCTACCTTGCATTCTTTCTTGTTACGTTTTATCTTCCAAATATTTGCCATGGATAATCCTTGTAGCCACATTACAAAAGGAATGATTTTATTTTTTCAATTATATATATTGAGTGTGTGTACCAGGCACTGAGCTAGGTGCTAGGGAAACAGTGGTGAACAGGAAGCACAGTCTCTGCTTTCATGAAATTTTCTAACCTAATAGGAGAGGAATGGATAGCAAAGAGACAAGCCTGAAAAAGCACAAGGCTAGAATTTTGGCTTTTATTTTTCAGCAAAGTGATGATGATAGTCAAGAATAGCATAAAGAATTTGAGAGAGAATTGACTGTACTAATAGGGTAGAAAAGGGAATGAGGAGAAAAGAACAATCAAAAAGACAGTTGTTATAAAGGTTTATATTTAATTTTTAGAATCATCTGGCAATGAATTCTAGAGAATGATCTAAATTGAGAGTTTAGGTAGATATGTATGTGCCATGGTTTCTATTATATTAAAAAGTAATTTGTACATTTAGATATTTTTCCCCAAGAAGAAAATTACTAAAGTAATGTGCAAGCCAGAGACTTACTTCTAAAGCTGGCTCTTTCAGAGACTAACTTCTAAAGCTGGCTCTTCCTTACTTAACATTCAGTGCAGGCAAGTGAATCATATTATCATATTAGCAGAGTAACTATTATTTAAAACTTTAATTCTTTAGCAAGAAAAGATGTTTTGGATTAAAATACAGTATTTAAAGATGATTTCAAAATTTTATAGGAAGTTTTTGTTGATTAGGGGAACACTGTATACACCTATAGGAGAGGTATTGGTTACTTTTGAGAGTTTTGGATTAATGAGAGATGCTCAGTATTATGAAGAATACACTGACTACAAAGTTCTTACAGCCTTATCCTTATTATTATGCTGATCTTGACTAATCTTATATTCTTCATAATATGTTATTTGCCCTTCACACTGTTAATTATTAGGTTAATTCATTTACTCATTTCCTACTTTGTTTTAGACTTAGCTTGCAAGGCTAAAAGCAATTGAGATAAGTTACAAAGATACACTAAGTTCAATATGATTGAAAATCAAATGTGAAAAAAAATCAGGAAAAATAATAATTAGGGCAGAAAAAAACAACCTGAAGTCATGCATAATATGAGTATGCTAATATTTAGTCTAATACAGTTGATAAAATCAGGCTGAATCTTAGCTCTGAGTTTTCTAGAGTCAAAGAAAAGAAAATATGACCTGTGACAAAATACTCAAGATATTTTATTGGAAAGATCACATAGGAAATGCTTTTCCTGAAATAATGAGCTCTCTCTCCTGAGAGAGAATTCTCTCAAGGATTAAGATAAAAGAACTATTATATGTGACAAGGCTTTTATTATTTAAAAAATTTATACTTAAAAATAATTTAATTTTGATATTTTACCCCCAGAAAAAAACACAATTGCTAAAGTAATATGCAAGCTAGAGACTAGCTTCTCCATATTCTCACAGCATCCTTCTGTTTATAATAACATTGTTTAATATACCAGTGCTATAATGGTAAGGTTAAATTTTCTAGGAATTCACAATATTTACACTATTCATACCACAGCCTAGCTGGGACCATGGATAAATGTAGAAAAGCCAGATTTGCGTTTTCCAAAGTGTATTCAATGGCACATTTATTTTATAGGTTAATAACAGGTGTTTGTGAGTAAAGAGTTCCATGTTCGTTGGGAATTGCTAGGATTAAAAAATTAAACAGAATTTAAAATAGGATATTCTTTAGCAGTTTTAGCATATACCATTGTATATATTTAAGAGGGAGTTTTTATGTTGTATGTCCAAACATTTTTTACCCTCCAAACCATTTTGAGATCATCTAGCCTGAGTGGTGATTTGAAGGGCATTGTTTGAAAAATAATTTCCCAGAAGAATGAATTGACTTATAAAGCCTTTAGCTAGTTCTCCATAAATGCAAAGAAGTTTCTTAACACAACTGAACAGCAGAGTTTACTATTACATTTCTGTAGGGCCCATGGTCTCTGTTGCTGGTAAAAGGCATATCCAGATACTTTGTTAATCAACATTGACTGAGGGTTGTTGTTCTTTAATAAAAGTGAACACAACTTAGTTCTAACTTTGCCCTGAAGTGGGCCAATTTAGTACCTTCAGGCAGGGCCAGATTTTTTTCATTTGTATCTAGGGACAAATGGGTGCCATAGCAGAGAGGGATAATAGTTTTAACTTGAACATATTTCAAAGTGTTACCAGTTGCCTATTGTATCTATCTGTCTATCTATCTATCTATCTATCTATCTATCTATCTATCTATCTATCTCAGTAAGATACTATAAAATTAAATTATTAGTTTTAAGCAATATAGCTTTTTTTTTTTTTTTTACAAATCTTCTAAGATTAGTTGCAAAATATATCTTGGGGAAACTCAATTTATCCATTACATGTTATAGAATAGTTAGAAATAAGTCAAATTTTAGAAGATCTCTACTAAAAATGATTGGGTTTTAGAGAAGTTGCTTTTAATCTTGCTGATATAATTAAGATTTTTTTCTTTTTGGTATAATGAGACTTCAAGGTCTGGCAATAAAATTTTAAGAATCCAGAGGCCAGATTTTAGATGAGAGAACAGTACTAAGTCAACTTCTTTTCCAAAGCATAGGTTTGGGATTCATTTGAATAAATTATAAGAAAATTATTCTAATAATAGATGCTTTTTGTTATTAGTTTGCTCCGTTTAAGTGAGTACTTGCAGATAACAACAAAACCAGATGTGGTAGGTTGCTGGCAATGTAATACATTAATTACAGAATAAAGTCCCTACTGTTTGTCAGTTATCATTGATTTTATCATGCATAATTTGTGCTAAAATGAAGAACACTATAAAATGATAACATTGGACTAAACAATCTCCTTAGGCATCATCTAAAATACTGAAATTCCTATGTCAGTCTGTTAGCCTTAAGTCTTGGATTTTGAGTTACTCTTGACTCAAAGGTTTCATAATTACCTTCTCAAACCAGTTTGCTTCTTTTAACTATGAAAAACTTAAATTTTTTATTTATAAATAACATTTGAAATGACATTACAAGTTCAGTAACTATCCTAAGCCTGTAACAGAAACATAAAAAAGCACTTAATAATAGTTCTATATTCTTCCACTGCTTAATGTTCTATACCAATTTCTGTAGAAATCTATATTAATATCTGTTTAGCACATTAACTCAAGAATTTTTACTTTAAGAGCAGTTTTAAAATAAATTAACTTGTTGCAAATTGATATTATAAGTAATTCTCTCATAATTAATGAGAGAAATATTCACTCTAGCTTGAAAAATAAGTGCCCTTGGTTTGACATTTGCAGATGTTTAAAAATAATCATTTTGTAAAGAGAGTGAACATTCATGTAAAGTTTTATTTCTCTTTTATTTATCTTGGGACTATATGTTCCTGTTGTGACTAAGCGAGATCATAACAAGGTTAACTAAATTTCATGAGATTTGAAATAAAAATGAAGAGAAAGGAGTTTAGGAAACCCAAATTTATATTTTCTTTTCTTAACTCTAATCATAAAAGAAAAAAGTATGCATCAGATATTTTCTAAAAGGTATCTTCTATTGTGTGGAAAACGTTTGAATATCCATAAGTTATTGAAACCCCCGTATCTAGAATTTGAGCCTTCTGAAAAGAAAAATTGTTGGCCTAGATTTCCAAATGAAACAATTTTAATAAAAATATGTTGTTTTGATGATAAACTGCCAAAGTACTTAAAGAAATTTTCCCAAAACTATCAAGGAAATATACCCTTTATAAGGAAGTATATAGAAAAGCAAACAAGATAGAAGAAGATTGTTAGAAAGTCATTTAACAAAATATATTTCATGGGATAAAGATTTACTTTAAATTTATATTGCATATTCCTTCAAAGACTATCTACAACCAGTAAGTCATTTCAAGTATCTGAATAACATTCATGTGAGGAAGGTAGCACATTTATTACTTAGATTTACAGGGAAGAAAATTGTACTAAGCAGTGTGTTTTTGTTATATTGTATAAGCAATGACAGAACAGGAAACAGTTCCCGACTTTTTAGTTTATGTACTTGGTGACTTTCTCACATAAGTAGAATAAATAGTTTAATTTTAGTAATGAATCTAAATATTCAAGTATTTAAAAGGCCAGCCCTCAAGACTTAAAAGAAAAATAACTTTGATGGTATATGAAATATGATTGTATTCGTTGGAAGTGAACTGAGACTTACTGAACAAGATGACCCCAATTATGGTATTACATTCAGTATTCATGTAAAGCAAACCTAGATTGCGTCAGAGCATTGGAAAAGTCATGGGAACTATTTCAGAGGAGGATCTCATATTGTATTTTAAGAGAGGGAGAGAAGTATTGGAGGGAAAAACTCATGTAACCGTGAGAAGGTGATTGCTTCTGTTGTGATCCCTGATGACATTTAAAGTAAAAGAAATGTCTTATCAGATTGGATAGTTTTCAGTTGTTTTCTTTTCAATTCCTCTCTTTGTTTATTTTACAGTGGATGGAACTGAGGTTCAACACTCTGGCAAAATGCCCACACTGCAAAAAAATGTAAGTTCCCTACCATTGGAAATATTATTGAGAAATACTTGAGACAAATTTGAAGAGTTCAGAATTTTCACTTAAGTAGATTTTGATTTTAAAACATGCTGTGGAGTGAATCCATGCCAATGTATTTATGCTTTTTAAGACTAAAAAGATATCCTAAAACAAATATATCCCATTTTGAAATTAAAATGATTAGGCTTGATTATCATCATCTAAAGGGAAATCAATTTCTATTATAAGAAAGTGAAATTGCTAAAAATTATCAGTAACCTGGTTAGGATATTATAATCTGTTACAAATAATCTAAAATTTACATTTATAAAATGGGCTGTAATCTAGGAGAAAACTCAAATTGTTCTGGACTTCATAATTAGGTGATTGTTGGCCTTTTTCATCTCCTGCCTAATAAGATTATTACTGATAGCAGCATTTATATAATTATTTGTTTATCTTAATTATTTAGCCTATTTCTCTCTATTCCTAAATGATGCACCTAATGAAAATAATGACAATATAAAATGAAAAATAATAGAAGATATTTTGATTAAAGACATTTTATAGCATCTGTGTTGGGGGTCCCAAGACTACACCAGGGTTCCTTGGTTTTCTACAGGGACTCATAGAAATTAATATATAGTTGTACTCACAGGTATGATTTATTATAGCAAAAGTATGCAAAGCAGAATCAGCAAAAGGAAAAGGCAGATGGAGCAAAGTCTGGAGGAAACTAGGGACAAGATTCCAAGGGGCCCCTCCCAGTGAAGTACCCCAGCAGTGAATTATTACCATGCATGTACCATGTTGTCTACCAGGAGGCTCATTAGAGACTTAGTACCCAAGGTTTCTACTGGAGCTGGTTACACAGGCACATCCTACCTAGCACACACCAAAATTCCAAATTCCTGTTTGAATGGAATTTATGTTTAGCATAAACCATACTGTTTACACAAACAATTTATACATAATAAGCCACTCTTACCAGTTAGGGAATGATGGGAATTCTCCCCAAATCTAAATTTCTAGATGCCAGCTAAGGGCCAACCTTACAAGCAGGGCTTTCTAAGGATAGCAGTCTCAGGCCTACTGTGTTAACTCTTTTCTGCACTGCATCTATTTTGATAATAAAATTATAATTTAAAAAATTATTGTTATCCTCTTATGTATGTGAATTATAACTGAAGCAAAGTAAATTAAACTGGAATGCTTAGACAATCCAATTTTTATTATTGAAAATAAGAGGTTTGAAATAATATTCATATTTTAATTTGTGTGATCCTTAGTATGATATAAATACCTTATCTACATTGAGAGTTGAGAAATCCCAAGAATGGTTTATAGGAGAAAGTAATTAAAAAGTATTTGGAAGTAGAATATGTGTAGCAAAATATCTCCATCTCTGCTAGATCTGATTTCAACTAAATATAGCTCTGTAAGAATAACTTTACAGCATATCTTAGCTTATAAAAAATAGTTTCTTTTTTATTTGTGAAATTAATCATTCTGATTCCTTACTGAATCCAATAGAAGTCTGTACATGGAGAAGCAAAGTGGATAAACCCTTAATACGTGCACAAAATAATATATACGTACTTGAGGAACACACCTATACTCCCCCCTCCAAAGTATGTGAATATGCATATGGATGATACATATTTCTGGGTATTATGTGTATTTTCACGAAAATGTACAAAATTAAATTGCAAATATATTCACCAAGAACATTAAAATGGAAATAAAGATCTTATAGAAAAGAAAAGGCAGAGACTTCTTTTTTTTTGAGACAGAGTCTCACTCTGTTGCCCAGGCTGGAATGCACTGGCACGATCTCAGCTTACTGCAACCTCCACCTCCGGGGTTCAAGCAATTCTCCTGCCTCAGCCTCCCAAGTAGCTGGGACTATAGGCACACGCCACCACGCCTGGCTAATTTTTGTATTTTTAGTAGAGGCGGGGTTTCACCATTTTGGCCAGGCTGGTCTCGAACTCCTGACCTCGGGTGATTCACCCGTCTCAGCCTCCCAAAGTGCTGAGAATACAGGCATGAGCCACTGCACCTGGCCTGACAGAGACCTCTGTGGTTAGCAGACTGTGTGCTAAGCAGAGTGATAGTTGCTTTATATATACATATATACTAGCTGTAATCTTTACAGCAATCCTGTAATACAGGGATGATTTTTGTAATTTTACAAATCAGCAACTGTTAAGAGAGGTTAAGGATTTTGCTCAAGGGACTTGCTTGGTTAATTATTTTCGTACAATGGCAATATTTTTACTACTAATAAGGAAGTATTGAATGTCTGAATACTCCGTGATTTGTTAAAATATCACAAGACAGTGTATTAATATGAAGAAGAATTTGTATCAACTACTTAGGGAACAACTTACATAGAAATTCACATGGAATAAATCAGCTTAAACATTATTCTAAGAGGAAGGTTTGTAGAATCAGAGTCACATGCTAAACATGGGAGGACTCAGAGCATTCATTACTTATTTGAGTGCAAATACTGTGACCACATGAACACTCCTAGCTGGTATCTAGATTTATTTTCTTTTTGAATGTTTTCCTTCAGAGCAAAATGATGGGTCATCTGTTGGAGTAAGATTCTGAGACAGAATTTTTTTTCTTTAAACACAAATATCCTAAAATTAGTTTTAAGTTACAGAAGTTGGTAAATTTATTACTGTGAAACAAGTGTGTTATGTGCTTTTATCTCACAAAATGTATGGGGAAAGCTTCCCCTAGAGCTCCAAAGACTGAGGGGCATTTTCTCATATTGCTGTTTCTTACTCGAATGGTAGCTGGTACTATGGTAGCTAAAGGTGATGTTGTTCTTTTAATTAGGTGGCTTGTGGCCACTGCCAGACTGAAGGTGTACTTGTAGCATTCTGAAATACAGTTTGGACTATGTTTCCATGCAAATGTTATAATGGACCTATGACTAGTAGAGACATTGATTTAATCCATGACAATTATCATTGAATATCATTTCTTTTACATCACTGATGTACTTTTGTGAATCACCTCCTGCCATTTTAAACAATAGTGGGCTTATTCTCAAGTGTTATCCATTTATTTTGCCATCTAGTGTTATATTTTATAATTATTCATTAATTCAACAAACAATTCTGTGCTAAGTACTGATTGCTTGAAATAAAAGATATAATCTTGCCTTCAAGGAATTTAGTCTTGTGGGCATAGTGGGGAGAATAGTTAATTACTATAAAGTTTTAAGTGCTTTGAAAGAGGTATGACCAGAATGCTCTGCTTTGAAGAGTCCCTAATCCAGATTAGAGGGAAAGGGATCTTGAGTGAAGGTTTTCAGGAGGGAGTGATATATGAACTAAGTTATAAAAGATGAGTGAGAATTGTGTGAAAAAGAGGGTGCACTGTAGAAGGAGCTACCTGTGCAAAGGTACAAAGGAGTCAGAGTATAGATGTACTAGTAAGGAAATGGAATGGATAGGACTGAATGTGAAAGAATGAGAGAGAGAGAGATTGGGATCAAGAATGACCCTATTTCTGAGAGGCTGTAGAACCATTCACTGAGACAGGACATGCAGGATCTAGAAGAAATGTGTCTGGCAGAAGATGATAAATTCATTTTCAACATATTAGATATAGAATAGTAGGTTTGCTAGATTGGTTAATCATCATTCCATCTATCTGCTTTTCAAAGCAGCAATCTTGGATCAATATAGCCATGGCTTCTCCCTTCCTTCACCAAGATAACTGAGAGTTGAAAAAATTCTGTATTCAGTTCTTTACAAATGTATAGATTTGTAATTTATCTAAATTGATCTATATTCCTAAGTGTCCTTGATTGACTTCCCATTTCCCAAAACAGCTATCTCCAGATATCTACTATTCCTCCTAAACCCCCACCTCAGTACCCCCAACTCTCCAGGTCTCATCCAATGAATTGCCTCCTATCTCTGAAATAATTGAGGCTATCTGTGAATTCTCTCATTTTTGTATTTCATACTCGTAAACCTGTCTTTATCCATGCTCACTTCATTTCCTCTTCTCAGAGGGATGCATGTCTCTTCTTTCCAAGGCTTATACCTTCATTTGATTATTGCACCCCATTCTCTTTGGAATAAGGCACAATTAGCTATCCATCCCCAGTGGGCCACTGAATTTGCTCTAATGAAATTCACATCCCAATAATAAATTCCATATTTTGATTCTCATCCTGCTTGTTTTCTCTGTAGCATTTGATACTATTGATCATCCTGGGTGTGCTGATTAATTTTAGGTGTCAACTTGACTGGATTAAGGAATGTCTAAAGAAATGGTAAAGCATTACTTCTGGATATGTGTGAGAGGGTGTTTCTAGAGGAGACAGTGGACTGAATGGAGAAGATCTGCCCTCAATGTGAGTGGACACCATCCAATTCGCTGGGGGCCCAATAGAAAAAAAAAAAGCAGTGGAAAGGCAATTTTCACTCTTCTGGAACTTGGACACTCTTTTCCTGCCCTTGAACATCAGAACTCCAGGCCCTCTGACCTTTGGACTCTGGGACGTACACCAGTGGTCCCTCAGCTCCGCAGACCTTCCTCCTCAGACTGAGAATTACGCCATTGGCTTCCCTGATTCTGAGGCTTTTGGACTTAGACTGAGCCACACTGCCAACAGTCCAGGGACTCTTACAGATCCCCTGTTGCAAGACTTCTCAGCCTCTATAATCACAGTAGCCAATTTCCTTGATAAATTGCCTCTTATCTATTTCATCTATCTATCTATCTATCTATCTATCTATCTATCTATCTATCTATCTATCTATCTATCTATCTCCTGTTGGTTCTGGCTTTCTGGAGAACCCTGACTAATACAATGGTTTCTTTTCCTTAAAGTTTGTTTTCTTGGTTTCCAGATACTGCTTTCTCCTGGGTTTCTCCTACTTCTCACAACTCTTCTTTGTTGGCTTTACTTTCTCTTCCAAGTTGTTAAATTTTGCTATTTTCCAAAGTTGGAACTTGACCGCACTTTATCCGGGTTTTCTCTTATGTTCCTATGTCATTTAGATGCCATTAAATGACCCCAGATATTTCTTTGGAGCTTCAGATTTAAATATACTATCTCTATTCACTATCTAGCCTAGAATTATTTCAACTTGATATCTCATGGTCATTTCAAGCACAACCTGACCCAGCATTCCCACCTTACTCTGCAAACCAATCTCCCATGTGTATTGATAAATATATTATGTTTTTCTTTTTCACCCCCTACATTATTTCTAGAAAAAGAATATATTATTTTAATGAATGTTATCCTGTCTGTCCAACTGACCAACCAAGAAATATTAGTGTATTTTTTATCATTCTCCATATTTAAATGGTAATATCCTATCAATTATGTCCCTTGACATTTTAATTCTGTCCTCTTATTCTCATGATTTCTACTTCAGTTCATGTATTCAGCATCTCTCACCAGGACTATTGCATTGGTTTTCTAATTTATCTCTTGACCTCCAATACTGCAATTATCTATTCATTTACTAGAGTGGTAGTTCCTAAATGCATACGTCATTTTAGATTCTCTGGCATCAAATCTTTTAGTGGCTCCCAATTTCTTAGCCATGGCATACAGTTGTGCAAGTTGTATGCTGCACAACCCGAAGAGGTACAATTTCCATTGTTATTTTAGGTTTGTATATTTAGTTTCATATAAATTATTCTGAGGACTTCTTTTACTTATTGGCATAAATGTACCATATGGTTTACTATCAGCCCATTGCCTAAAATCCAAAATCAAACTCCAAACTTCTTTTAGTCTTTGCCTAACTTTTCTAGGGATATCTTTGTTTTCTTCTGTCTCTACACACACAACCTAGTTATTTCCTAGCCCCAACAAATTGCACTTCTACTTCCACAAACATATTATGCAGTTTCTTTCTTCTGTTCCTGAGTCTTATCCTGCTAGACCTAGAATGGCCTGGCTACTCCTTTCCTTGCCCTTGTCTACCTAGAAAACACCTATTTAACCTAAAAAATTAGCTGAAACATCCCTTGCTTCTACTCTTCATCTGTAGAAACATTCTGTGGCACAAAGGTTATTCTGCTGCTTATTCCTTGAACAAATTTTCTTTTCACACCTGAACAATTCTAATGTAATCAGCTGAAATGACTTACTCCCCCATCTATTCACATTTTAAGCTATCCTTAAGTCTTGTGTAATAAAGCCATCCCTGGCTGCCTTGTCTGAAAATTGTAATGTAAAGAACATTGTTTGCCGCCTTTTCCCCTTATAAATTCCTGTAGCACTAGCTACACTACCATTTTCCAGGTGTTCTTCATAATCCTAGTGTTTCATAAGGTGTTTTTGTGAAGCGAAAGATTAATAATTTGAAGAGTGAATAGTTAGATGTTTGAGAGCATTGAATGGTCTTTTCAGCTTGGAGATTCACTGTCCACATTTTTGTATATGCCCTTGACTTTCACATGCAGTAATATAAAAAACCAATTAGCTGTAAAAATCATCCTTTTAAATGCATAGCTCAGCTCATATGACAGTTGGGGACCAAAAATGAAGATTAAGTGACAACCAGGACTATCCTGAAGGTATATGCCAACACTAGGGATCTACAGCCTTGGAAGAATGAGAGAGAAGGCATTGGCCTCACACAAGGTAGCGGGGTTAGAATACTGCCTCCTCCCAATAAAGTACTTAAAGTACTCTTCCCCTGGAAAAGAGTGAGTTAGGAAAAAGAAATCAACCAGAAAAGGAAGATTGCAGAGGAAAAAATTTATAAGAACAGTGAATTTAGGTTTATATTTTTATATCACTTATGCGATCTAGGAAAACCTAGTTCCAGAAACTGACTTAAAGTTTAGGGTTAGTATCAGTCTAGGGAGCCTGCGAAAAGCAAATGAAAGTTCTGTATGTAGGAAAGCACCCCCAAACTATGCATGCCAAAATTTTTTTATATTGAGATCTGCCAAAATAAGTTTTCAACAAAAGTTACTAGTCATAGGAGAAAACAAGATTCCAGAAGCATAATCAACATTGACAACAAACAGCATAATTAGACCTCTAAAAACTTCAGATTTATAATTATTAAATATGGAGTATGTTAAAACTATGCCTAAGATGTTTTAAAATAAAAATAAGAGAAAACATGTAAGACTATTTAAAAATTACCAGGTACTCACAGAAATGTATATGTGAGTGTTTGTAGCAAATTTGACACATGCAACAGCTTGGATGAATTGAATTTATGCTGAGTAAAAAAAAAAACTTAGCCATACAAGGTTACCTGCAGTAAGATTTCATTTATGTAACATTTTTCAAATGACAAAATTGTAGAAATAGGGAACAGATTAATGATGGTGTGGCAGGCACAGGGTGCGGGATGGGCAGAAAGGAGGGTGTGGTTATAAAAGGATCCTTACAGTGATAGACTGTTCTCTATTTTAGCTGTGGCAATAGATACATGAACCTAAACGTGATAAAATTGCATAAAATTAAAGAAAAATCCATACTCATATACCTGAGAAATCTGAATATTGGTGGATTATATGAATGTTAATATCCTGTTTATAATATTGTATTATAATTTGCAAGATTTACTATGGGGGAAATAGGGCAAAACGTACATGGTATTTTTATGTGTTATTTATTACAACTGCTTGTGAATCTATAATTGTCTCAAATAGAAATTTGCAAAAAATAACCAGATAGATATAGAAAGAAACAATAGAACTTCTAGAAATTATTACAGAAATTAAAATGCACGTACGGTTTAAAGAACAGATCAGCTAAAGGTGAAGACTAAAGTTGTGAATTGGAAGATAGAGGTAAGTGAATTACCCAGAATCTAGCATAGAGAGACAAAGATGAATGTAAGATTAAGAGAAAATATATTATTAAGATGCCAATTATATATCTGATCTGGAAGGAACAAATAAAGAATGGGATATGGCATTTTAGGAGATAATCTCAAATAATTTTCAGATCTATGAAAGATATGAATTTTTATATTCAAAAAGAACAATGAAATCCAAGCAGGATAAGTAAATGTGTTACAGTGAAATTGTAGAAAACCTAAGAGAAATAGAAGGTAATTAAAAGCAGAGAGACAAAAGGCATATTTTCAATAAGAAAAAGATAACAGTTCTGTCAGCAAATGTCTCAACAGCAAAAATAGAAGCCAGAAAACAAGTTTTAAAATACATCAAAAATACTAAGAGAAATTAACTGTCAAACTGGTATTATACACCTATCTAAACCATCAAAGAATAATGAAGGTAAAATAAGTATATTTTCAAAAGCAAAACCAACAAACTTACAAACAAAACCCAGGGTATCTACCATCCTGGTACCCTTACTAAAAAAAAAAAAAACTGCTAAATGATGAACTAGGGAATATGAACAAATATTCCAGAAGAAATTTCTGCAGTGCAGGAAGGAAAGGTAAACCAAGAAATTGTAACAATTCACCAGAAACACTGACTGTATAAAATAGCCAAAACGACAGTACCAATTATATTAATGCTAATAAGTTTTGAGAAACAAAAATACAATAAAACTGAAATATTGGAAAACAGTAGCATTAAGATGCTAGTGGAATGTTTGGTGTTAAAACTTTCTAAAATCTTTATATTTATCAGGAAGATGGATTTAATAATTGACTTTAGTTTTTAAAACATATGAAAGTTAAAATTTTAAGTGCAACTGCCAAATGAATGAAATAAATTGTAAAACTTTCAGAATAATAAGAGGAAAATGAAATGAAAGAGTCATGGTCAATATAAAAGAAGTCTGGAAATAAAGGTAGAAAAGCAGAAAATACAGGAATAGTAGAAAGCCAAAATAAGGTGTCAGAAATAGTCCATGTATATCATTAGACTAATCTTGCTAGTAAAACTTAACAGTAATGGTAAGACTAGATGTAAGAACAGCTATATACAATTTGAGGAAGGAACACATGAATATTAGAACATAGAATGAATGTATAAGGATAGAAAAAGATACAACCATAAATCACTAACCAAAGGAAAAGACATACCAGGCAAACACTAGCCAACATTAAAATGTAATGTTAATATCAATTAAAATAACAGAGACTGCTGTTTTCTCCTTCCTTTTATTAGTAGACCTCTGAATTTGACTAGCCACTCAGCTAGAGATGGATTTCCTAGCCTGTCTTGCAGATAGTGTGGCCATCTTTAAGTTAGGACCAATGGAATGTGAACAAAAGTGATGAGTACAGTTTTCTGATACTCTCCTTAAAGACAAAATTGCCTGTCTTCGTTTTTTCTCTCCTCTTTGAATTGAGTGGAAAAGCCAACTGGCAGGAATGTTGTTACCTGTGTAGAGTTTGGCAATACCAATCAGGGAGTACAGCTGACTACCAACCCTAGGCTGTACATTTACCTTTAAGTTTTATCTGCTAGAAAAATAAACTTATTTTTAAACTTCTGTATTCTGAATTTCTGAATGTTACGTTCCTTTCTCTCTACAACCTCACCAGCATCTGTTATTTTTTGACTTTTTAGTAGTATTAATTCTGACTGGTGGGAGATGGTATCTCATTGTGGTTTTTATTTGCATTTCTCTAATGATCAGTGATGTTGAGCTTCTTTTCATAGAATTGTTGGCTGCATGTATATCTTCTTTTGAAAAGTGTCTGTTCATGTCCTTTGCCCACTTTTTAATGGGCTGGTTTTTTTTTCTTGTTTAAGTTCTTATAGATGCTGGATGTTAGACCTTTGTCAGATGCATAGTTTGCAAAATTTTTCTCCCATTCTGTAGGTTGTCTGTTCACCCTGTTGATAGTTTCCTTTGATGTGCAAAAGCTCTTTAGTTTAATTAGATATCATTTGTTCATTTTTGCTTTTGTTGCAGTTTCTTTTGGTGTCATCATCATGAAATCTTTGCCTGTTCCTATATCCAGAATGGCATTGCCTAGGTTGTCCTCCAGGCAACCTATATAACTATAAATGTTATAGTTTACATTTAAGTCTTTAATCCATCTTGAGTTAATTTTTAAATTTGGTATGAGGAAGGAGTCCAGTTTCAATGTTCTGCATATGGCTAGCCAGTTATTCCAGCACCATTTATTGAATAGGGAATCCTTTCCCCATTGCTTGTTTTTGTCAGGTTTGTTGAAGATCAGATAGTTGTACGTTTGTAAGTGTGTGGCCTTATTTCTGGGTTCTCTATTCCGTTCAATTGATCTGTGTGTCTGTTTTTGTACCAGTAATATATATTGCATGTAGATACCACATATGTACTAAATATGTAAGAGATTTTATGATTAATAAGTGCTTGTTGGTCATTGCCTTATCCTGTGAGGAGATGGCACTTGAGTTGTGGAGTAGCAGTAGGTTATTTTTTTCAGAGAAGATTTCTCAGATGTAGTGACTATTTAATTTGAGTGATGAAAAGAGAGCACAGGTTTTCTAAGCAGAATTCATGCACTGAAATTAATGTACTAAAGTGTATTCTCTTGGCTCACAGAAAAGCCGCTCTAATATTCACTTAGAAACTTTTGACTTATTCAGTACATAATTTTAATAAGCTTAGTTGGCTTCTAATAAATGGTATATTACAAACTGCCAAATGCAGATGCACAGGCAGTGATAAGAAACAACAACCAGATGTGATGTATAAGGCAAGAAAAACCACCAGTGGATGCATAGAAATTAAAACCAAAAATAGACTAGGGCTAAATGTTACATAAAAGCAATGAATCCTGCATGCCCTAGTAACTCTAGATAGCAAGCTGTACAATATAGTAATTAATGGTGGTCCCCAGGTCATCCAGATGTTTGTGTTTGGGCTCAAGTACCCAGGAAAATTTACGATGTATATTTGCAAAAAACTTCATCAGTTTTTCAAAAAGATTTGGAAATTAAAGGAAATAATTTTGTATGCAAAATTAACCTATTTGGAATCACATGTTTCTAAATCATGCCTAGTAAGTGATGAATTTCTGTATTTTACTTATTCATCAGACATTCTTTGAGAGGTTATTATGTGTTAGGCATAATCTTGACACTGGCCACACAAAGGTGAATCAGATACTTCTGTGTCATTCACTAACACGATGCCTTGCATATGGTATATAGTAATAAATATATGTACGTTAAGACAGAGAAGAAAGTGCTAATTTGGCTACTAATCTCTGCTATAACTTATATCATTTTGAAAATTACCACAATTAGATACAGAGAGGGTGAATACTATTAGATTTGGAATTTCAATTGAGTAGCACAGTAGAGGGCTTTTAGCAGTATGTATTAAAAACAATTCAAAAAGTTTAATCCCTTTAATTTGTAATCCTAATTCTAAATTTAAAAATCTTAAGAATGATTAAAAATAAGCACAATGCTTTTAAATGATACTTTGTTGGCATTATGTATAATAATGAAGATACTTTAATGTACAATAGTAGAAAATTTTTTAATTATGTTATATTCATCCATCAGAATTTTAGTTTGAGAATATTATGGGAAAAAGTTCATGCTATATATTGGTAAGGTACAAAATTGGCTACAGGAAAGTATGCAAAAATACTGAGTGACTATTTTATGATATTGGGATTATAGGTAATTTTTTCTTTCCTTTTTCTTCATTGTTTCTTTCCTTTTTATTCTACTTTCTAAATTTTTTACATAAACACATACTCTTTTAACTGTAAAAAAATCAAATGCTATTTGTAAGATAGCTGTTTTTCCATTCTGAAATAGATTTTTTTGGAAATAAACTTTTATCTTGGGAGATTAGTAGGTACTACAATGGATTTCTGTGGATATTATCAATGACCAAGGCTTGAACTTTGTTTAAAGCCACAATAATATCACAAATTCACCCTGAACGATTTTGTCACCCATTAAAAATGACATGTTTAATGCATGTTCTTGTCTGTAAAGTTGAAGCAATGAATAAAAAGTATATAATATTACTAAAGCCATAGATAAGAACTCACAAAAATGAAATAGAGAATTTTTATGTAAATACTTAATGTTCTCTTTTGCTTTCATGAATTTGCAGCTCCTCAGTGGGTAGTGCACTTCCACGAAGACGCTGCTGTGCATATATTACCATTGGAATGATATGTATTTTCATTGGAGTTGGGTTAACTGTGAGTGTTACACTTTGATGTTAGAATTCTGTCCTCTCAACTTTATCAGTAGTCAATCATGAGGCCTGGGACAACCTTCAGGGATTCCTGAAGAGGCTGCCTCCTTGGCATGCCAGCACTAGAAGCTTCTGAATGATTATGAGCAATCAGAAACCCAATCCATGGACCTCTTTTTGATTGAACTCGCCCATCCAAGTGAAACGGTGTCTTTTTACCTCCAAAAGTCCTTACTGTTGGGGATTTTATCATCTATTTAGCAAAAGCCCATTTAAAAAAAAATCAGTGCCAGAACTAATTTTTATGGCTATGGGGTCTCTTATTATTCAAAGCAATATTCATTCAGCTACAGAGATCTAAAAAAACCACTCTTCTCTTTATCCAAATCAAGCAGAGATTTATTACCAATATGAGGATGGCTTGTTTTTAGAGAAGACTGGAGCTAAGCAGTTAGCATGGGGATTATGCCAGAAGAGGAAGATAATCTCTTTGGCTGCCATTTCCATGCTCCTTTGTTTGTCAGTACAACTAGTCCCTTATTATTAGCAATGTCCTATTGTGTCCCATGATAGTAAGAAGTTACATGGATTAAATTCCTTGTAGAGATAATATAGTTTAGTGTGCTTTTTTGTTTACTTCATAACATTTATAGTTACTACAAGTAGCAGTATGGTCTATCAGTTGCAGTCAACAGATACACCTACTCTTATAAGGACTTTGTGTATTCGGTCTGGGGGTATATTTCATAACAATCACATGTAAGCTGATACAAGTTCCCTAAGCAGATATTTTTTAAAGTTTCTAATATTTTGTTTTTATATTGCTTTTTATTTTAGGTTGGCACCCCAGATTTTGCAAGGCGATTTCGAGCAACCTATGTTTCTTGGGCAATTGCTTATCTCCTAGGATTGATCTGCCTTATCCGAGCTTGTTATTGGGGAGCCATAAGAGTCAGTTATCCAGAACACAGTTTTGCATAAGCTTGTTTATGATTCAGTAATGCAGGTGAGAGTGTCTAGCAGTTCTTGGTAAGCTACTCTGGACATCTTTAAATTATTTATCCTAATGGATTCCATTCTGGTTTATGTATAATCGTTTCAAGACTTTGGGAGTCTTTTATGAACAAATGCTCATTGCACTATATTATATGCAAATTGTTTTGCTGCTAGGTTTTCAAAATTTGAATAATAAAGCCTTTTCATGTTCTTTTACATCTCTTATAGATATTTTTGGATTTGTTACCAAACATTACATTTACTCTCACCCTTTTATTATTTTTAAATAAGTTATTTCATTACTTGCTGATACATGAGTATTCCTAAGTGTTTATAAATATTTCTATAATAGTTTCACATTTATATTTACATTTTAATTAAACAGTATCAAAATTGCTTGCTTAAAACCTAAGCAATATGCATTTTGCTTGAACTGCTTACTGTAACTTTAACCTAAGATTATAGTGACCTTATTCAGGAAAAAAAAAAAAATTTAGTGTAACTTCAAAGACTTGACATTCTTGTCAGAGGAAAAAAAATTTCTAGATACTGTTTGCTTGTTTTTTGTTGTTTGTAGAAAGATAAAATATTTTGGTAGTAATTTAAAATACAAGAACGAATATTTATTTGTCCACAGTTGGAGATGTTGGATAAATGTCTTTTCTCAAAGATCACAGGACTTTTGTCTTTCATTTTTGCCTTTTTATTTACCATTTATAAAAGATCTGGTCTGGATTATGGAATTTAATGTTTATCAGCTCTATGTATTCCTTTATAGAGGCTTGAGGAAGTATTTCACATAACATGTTTTATAATACTTAACCATTTATCCAAAGATATATTTACATTGGGTTGTGCCCCTTTCCCTTAGATCATGGTAAATTTTTCTTATTGAGGTAATTATGTACTACTTATATTTGAAGGAAGCTTATGACATTTTACAGTAGCTAAAATGTTGAGATTAGAGGTACTTTTACTATTCTTCTCAAAGGTAACTGATCAGATAATTACCCAAATTATTCAAGAAAATAGATCAGAAATAAAGAACAACATAATTTTCTAAGAATTCATTGAAATTTATGGAATCAGCTCTCGCACTGCCCATCTTTGCAGTTTTGAAAAAGAAATTGCTTAATCACAAATGTTCTACAGTCTTTAAATGTAGTAGAATTAGACAGTGAGATCATCTGAGTAAATTGATTGGTGATTCCAGAGATAAGACTAATATTTTAAATTATTTATGATACTGATTAGTATAAAAACGTACTCATCACAGAATTTGAAGCAAAATACATGTACACTTCAAAGAGTAAATGACAAATGTATAAATGCTGTAGCTCAGGATTATATGTACCTTTAAAAATACACTAATAAAGATTATTGTTCAAAAATTACCTTGTTTTATTCCATTAAAAATAATGTCACTTCCAGAGTTGCCTTGAAATCTTGCTGTAAAGTTTTCATGTTTAGGAATGTACCTGTTTCTTTATATAATATTCATTTATGTTTTTTGTACTATTTTCAAATGGTTTTATTTTTAAAATATAGTTTTTAAATCCATTTGTAATACACTTGATGTTAGGTATAAAATAATCTTACTTCTTTTCCTAATGGTTAACTAGTTGTAACAGCATTGTATACTGAATAATCCATTCTTTCCCTCATTGATTGGAAAGCTCACATTAAATTATATGCTATGTCATATTCCTTCTGGAATAATAACTTTATGAGAGCAAGAACCCTGGTAGTCTTGTTCACAGCTTTATCCCCACTTAGAACAGTTCTTAGTGTACATGTGCTCAATTTACGTGAATGAATATGCATGAATGAATAAATGGTTGAATGAATTGCTATTTTAAATTCTTATATACACTTGAATATGTACTTTATATTTTGTACCAGAATGTATAGGTAAGTATTTGTATAACCTTGGGTTAAGAAAAAAACGTTCTAAGTAGAACTTAAAAGAAGAAATTATATAGGAAAGGATTGATACAATGAAACAACAACAACAAAATCCCCAAAATACTTCTGTATGATAAAAACCCTTAAGCAAAGCCAAAAGACAAACTGGTGAAGCTATTTTCAAAATAGGAGAAAGACTGTAATATCAGAAGGGACTAACGGTATGAAAAAGCAATTCACAAAATGACTACAATAGGTCATAAACTGTTTTTCGATTTTTCTTTTTTTTTAGACAGGGTCTCACTCTGTCACTTAGTCTGGAGTGCAGTGGTGTGATCTCGGCTCACTGCAGCTTCCACTCCCCTGGCTCAAGCCATCCTCCCACCTCAGCCTTCCAAGTAGCTGGGATCACAGCATGCGCCACTATGCTGGGCTTTTTTTTTTTTTTTTTTTTTTGGATTTTTTGTAGAGATGGGGTTTCGCTATGTTGCCTAGGCTGGTCTGGAACTCCTAAGCTCAAGCGATATGCCCAGCTCGCCCCCCGAAAGTGCTGGGATTACAGGTGTGAGTCACCGCACCCAGATCCCAATTTTCTAATATTTGAAGAATGTAAGTTAAAACAAAGAGATACTATTTTTCACTTACCATATTAACAAAGAAGTAGAAATTACAATAATACCCCTGTAATGCTGAGGACATTGGAAACACACACACACACACGCACACACACACACCACATATTCTTTGATCTAGTAATTCTCTAAGAATTTATCCTAAAGGTATTGTCAATTTTCTAATAAAGAGTAAAAATATAGTCCAATAATCCAATAACATGAGATTGATGAAATAAATTATGGCACACCTATACAATGAAATAGCAGACAATCAAGAATATGACAAAAAATTTCATCTATTGAATTGGAAATGGCTCGCAAATTGTGTGATACATAGAATATGATCCACATTTTAGAAAATGTATTTTATGTGTACATACTGAAAAAAACTAAGGAAAATAAACCAAAAATATTAGGAGTGGTTATCTCTGGGTGAAGAGAGAGAAATTATTTTTACTTTATTTTTGAACTAGATTGTTGGAAAGTAGGTTTTACTCTTGATGAATAGATAATAGTAGTATATGATGATTACATCAATATTTGTTAATTTTCATTTTGATTCTTGAAAAGTTTTAAAATGAGTTTATTAAAATCCAAACCAATGACGGTCATTGATAAAACCTTAAGCTTTAAAGTCAGAGAATATATATTTAAGCTTAGCCCTATGTGAGTTACCTAAAATTTTTAATTAATTAAATTCAAATTTATGAAACTTTATACTCAGTGTTGTCTTTTGTTATTTTGTTTTGTTTTGCTTTTTTAAGTAGAGCATGTCTTCCAGTGCCTAGGGAGCATAGAAAATAACTGGGAAGAGGTTATTTGAAAGAATACACCATAGCCATGAATCAGAAAAGGAATGATGTGTTTGTCCCTTGCTGTTCAAAGTAGCAAAAATTGCCTTAGTTCTTCTTAGAAAAGAGAAAAATGGCACCATGACCAGGTATTCTTGAACAAGTCATTTGTGAGTACATATATGTTATTTTAGAAGAAAAAAGGAAACTTGATATGTGCCAAGTAGAGTGCTAACCTCACAATACATGCTGTTTAAATATTCACAAGAACCTAGGAAGCAAGTACAGCATTCTTGTTTCTATTTTACCAGAGGAAATTGAACTGCTGCTCCCACAGATCTGAAAAAGTAGATGCTGAGTAGGACAGGAATCTGCATTCAAAACAATCACTCCCTCATGATTCTATTGGAGATTTTTCCTGGATCACACCTGGAGAAGAAGAAACACTACTACACCATGTAGAAAATATTATTACGTGTTTATATCCACTTTGGCATTCATATTTTCACATACAGAAAAATGCTGTGATTTATTTTATTTTATTTTTTTCCCATAAGTTATTGGGGTACAGGTGGTATTTGGTTACATGAGTAAGTTCTTTAGTGGTGATTTATGAGATATTGGTGCACCTTTTGTTTAGCTTTTGTTTAGTTTTGATATGGCTATACCTGCACTCATATGCTATGATAAACCTCTACAGCCATTTCCCTGTTTATGATCTGCATAAATTGCTATAAAATCTAAGTTTTCATTTATTCAATGTATGTTTCTGGTATGCTCATACATACATATGTAATAAGCAATGAAGACAAAAGCCCTAGTGTTTATGTAGCCACCTTACGTATGTTAACATTTAGTCTGTCACAGTTATTATTCTACCATTGAAGAGGCTAAGACAGATTCAATAATTAAAGGTCACTTAGCTTATATGTGAGGAAGCCAGATGGAATCAGTCTGTCTGCTTCTGAAATGTGTCTGCTTTCCACTACATAAGGTTTTATTATTTCACTTTGTAGTGAAAAACTTTTGATTTTTGTGCCCTCTGCTGTTCATTGTCTGTAGGTCATCTGTAGAAAGAGAATTATTAGAAAATATTTGCCCAAAATAGTCATTTCAAAAGCATAGAATAATTTAAAATTTTTAATGAATTTGATATTATATCCAACTACATTAATTTTAGAGCATTTTGATTTATGTAGCAAAATATTATTACATGTATTTTCTTTTTTATAATTAGCATAAAATTATAGGAAGGCTAAGTAAAAATATTTTTTTTTTCTTTTTTTTTTTTTGAAAAAAGGTCTCACTCTGTCAGCCAGGCTGGAGTGCAGAAGCAGAATCTCAGGGCTGACTGCAGACTCAACCTCTCGATCACTACAGTCTCGGTCTCTGGGACTCAAGAAGTCCTTCCACTTTGACCCCCTGAATAACCGGGACTACAGGTGCACCGCCATGCCCGGATAGTTTTTTTTTTTCTTTTCTGTATTTGTAGACAAGTGGCTTCGCCATGTTGCCCAGGCTGGAATGGAACTCCTGAGCTTAAGCGATCCGCCTGCCTCGGCCTCCCAAAGTGCTGCTGGGATTAAAGGCATATGCACCCAGTCAGAAGTATTTTCTATTAAATATGAGGAAATTGACATGCGATGAGTTTTAAATAACAATTGTATTTTCTTTTTCTTGTAATTGCAATATTTATGAAAATGATTTGTTAGCACAAAATGCTAATAAAAATTTGTACAGGCTTTTAATTTTAAAATTTGTTTTACATATGCAGTTACACATTTAAATAAATACTATGTTCTTTATATTTTGCTAAACATGCATATGTTTGACTTGAAGTGGAATATTAGATTAAAAACAGAGAAATAAAGAGCCTATTTGTTTTCTTTTGGGGACGGCCTCACAGAGTAAGGATCAGATCAGGCCAAAGATTTAAGAAGTAGGTCTAGTTTGTAATACAGTAAATGAGAGTCTTTGATCTAACAGTCTTTTCAATTTTGTAACTAAGAGTTATTTAAGGTAACTTATTAAATAGGAAGTGATCGCACACATTGCTCTTATGAAATTTTGAATGCCCTGGGTGGCCTGTTGATAGGTGTAGGTAATAATGGTAGGATATACAGAGTTATGGAAAAGTTCCCAGTGTTCCAATAAATTTTTCTGAAAAACCTTGCCTCAGTATCTCATATTTCCACATGAGATATACCTTTGGCTTAAGATAGTGGACATTTAAATAATCTTGAAAATGCATTACATTTTTTATTTTTTTAATTATTTTATTTTATTTATTTACATTTTTAAGAAGGAGTCTCACTCTGTTGCCCAGGCTGCAGTGCAGTGGCGCAATCTCGGCTCACTGCAAGCTCCGCCTCCCAGGTTCATGCCATTCTCCTGCCTCAGCCTCCTGAGTAGCTGGGACTACAGGCGCTCGCCACCATGGCCAGCTAATTTTTTTGTATTTTTAGTAGAGACGGGGTTTCACTGTGTTAGCCAGGATGGTCCTGCCCTCCTGACCACGTGATCCGTCCATCTCGGCCTCCCAAAGTGCTGGGATTACAGGCGTGAGCCACTGCACCTGGCCAAAATGCATTAAGTTTTTATTAGTTATTAAGCCTCAAGAAAGAGTTTAGGAAACGTGGAGAATTCCCTAGCTTATGTAAGGCCATGTGTTTTTTTTTTCTGGTTTCTTCCTATGTACCTGCCTAACTCCTTTATAAACTTTCCCTTCTACCTACCATCCGCCATCCACAGATCTCCTTTAACTCCCTCCTCACCAATGCAGACTTCAGTACCTGGTTTTTATTCTTATCACATGCCACTGATTTAAATGTCAATGTGAATGGCTTATCTAATACTGCAGTCTGGACTCACAGTTCTTCGTCAAGTCTAATGACCTTTATTTTCCTTTCACTTCTGGTATTCACCTCTACAGCGGCATGCTGGGTGGTTATACTCAGAACCACTCCATCTCAACTCTCACACTCAGTTATCCCACTGTCTGAAAATACACCTCTTTGAAAATATACCTCTTCTGTCCGGAAGTCTCACACTGTGAGGACTTCAGGTTTATTATTCTTTCAATTTATCATCCCTTCCTTTATTTGCCAATGAATCTCACAACCACGCAGGTAAATGCCTTTATAAATTTCTGATCTTCACCTTCAGCTGACTCCTCAACAGTGTTCACCTGTTTTCAGGTGAACATTCCCCAGAAATGCTATCTCAAAATTTGAAAGTCCTACTGCTTTCCACAGTAGACCCCTTCCACTTATACTGGATAATCTCTACTTCACCTATTCTTGCTTTTGTCCCTTCCCTTCACCTACAATCTAGATCCCATTCTCTTGTGCCTCCTCAGGCAAATCACAGTATCTTTTTATTTTTTTCCTGTATCGCTCTGGGTGCGCAAGTCAATAACTGGCATCACTATTTTCCACTTTCCACTCTCACACTCTACACTGTTAGCAGTTTTCCTTATTCTCTCAGCTATGTGTACTTTTCTTTCCTTATGGTCACTATCTACCTTTACTTATGGCTCTCAATAAACATTGCCTGGATTACTGTAAACCTCTGAACCGATTCCTCTGCCTCTCTTCTTGTCTTGCCTGATGCCTACTCTGCTTCCCAATCCATTTTTCATGTTGTCATTTAAGTAATTTTTTCCCAAATGGTCATAGAATACTATTAAACCCAAACTAAAATCCTTCAGTGTCTCTCCATATCCTTATAAAGGAGATAAAAGACACTTCATCTTTTATTAGCCTAATATCAAGCCACTACCAGGCAGTCTCTTGTATTTTGTGTTTCTGCAGTACTGAATTACTGATGTTTTATTTTATTGGCTGCTGCTCTATTCCTGTATATCTCTGGGCTTGTTCTTTCACCTGCAAGGAATACCCTTTTCTAAGTGGGTAAATGTTTTATCCTTAAAAATCCTGCTCAGGCATTACCTCCCCTGTGAACCCTTTCGTGATGTCTCTTCTCCATCCTCCTACCGTTCAACAGAAGTATGCCTTTCCATGTAGTCCTTCTTTTATTCCACGTAAACATTTCTACTACATATACTATCTTCTATTTCATATATAGGCACTATTATTAAGCTAGCGTTCTCTTCTTGCTAATTTTGCATCAGCCTTTCTCATCATATTTCAGTTTTTCTTTGTAACCTCAGTGTGTATCAGCCTTTCTCGTCGTATTTCAGTTTGTCTTTGTATCCTCAGTTTCTAGCACATAAACATAGGTCTTCAAAACCTTTGCTGAGCTGAACTGAGCTGAATGAAACTAAGTCATTATTATAGCTTTTAACACAGGGGTTTCTAACCACTGCCCTCCCCCAGACCCCAGACTGGTACTGGTCATTGGCCTGTTAGGAAACAAGCCACACAGCAGGAGGTGAGTGGCAGGTGAGTGACTGAAGCTTCATCTGCATTTACAGCCCCTCCCCATTGCTGGCATTACTGCCTGAGCTCTGCTGCCTGTCAGATCAACAGTGGCCCATAGGAGTGTGAACCCTATTGTAAACTGCACATGCGAGGGATCTAGGTCGTGTGCTCCTTATAAGAATCTAATGCCTGATGATCTGAGGTGAAACAGTTTCATCCCAAAACCATACCCCGCCCTTCCAGTCATCCACGAAACCAGCCCCTGGTGCTAACAATGTTGGGGACCACTGTTTTAACACATTCCTATAATAATTATGAGCATCTGTGTTGTGTGTTTGTTAGTGTATCCTTCATAAAATGCTTCGTAAATGTTTGAGGAATAAATGAATAAAAGGCGACTATTGGCAGGAGGTTGGCAAGGAAATCATTTGGTAAACATGAGATAATGCTACCTCTTCAGCTTTCTGAGTTGCCAGGCTTTCAGTGGCACCACCCAGATTTAACAATTAATTTACTGAGTTGAAATTGTCTGTTTGCATATCTGCACCCTCACTAAACAGCACATACCATGAGATCAAGTAACCAGTTTGTATGTGTGTGTGTGTAGTTCTAGGTACTGTGAAAGTGGAGTTAAATAAAATATGAAAATATAAGTTTAAATAAAACCTCTACTTATAAGTAGTAAGACACATTATAAATTATTATCCTTCTAACTGGGATATCTATTTCCACTGTTGCTTTTTCTCAATCCATTCTCCAATTCTTTGAGTGGCCAGAGCAGGGCAGGAAGCAGGGATGGGGGGCGGTGACCAAAGTAAATATTTACTTAGAATAAGAAAATCAGTGACAACAAATTACAGATTTTTAAAAAGATGATAAATACCACAAATATTTTAGAAATTCAGTAAAATGATATTTTAAATTAACTACCTGAACCATTGCTATGTTTTTCCTATATTTTTAGTTTTCATTTTTTTATTGCCTCATCATTTGACAGTAATTTTGTAATGCACTTTCCCTGGTGATAATGAATAATGTGGTAGTCTTTTCAAAGCAAAGTTAGTCAACATGTATTTTTTGTTATTGAAAGCTTAAAAAAGTTATTGCAGTTTCACAATTTGTTATTGGTAATAATGCCAATTTTTAGTATTGCTAAATTTGGGGAAACTCATCTTAAGGTTCTTAGGTGAACTCTGTGATTTCAGGGCACTTCAAGTTTTCTCAGGCAGTGACTAACCTTTAAGTTGCTAAAAGTCATTAACCTGTTTGTTGTCAAGTTCTTGTTGTAAAGGTATGAATTCTAGATTATCCTTGTAGATGCCAAAATTTTATGTCATTATCAATAAGATTTTGAAAAGTTTCGATATGTTTATATGGTTCATTTTTCTTCCTCAATTATCAAAAAATCAAGGAGTCTGTCTAGTCTAATTTCTCTCTTCCTCTCAATAAATTACTAATACTGATCTGAATTGGAATTCTTCCAATTTACATTTTTGTCACAATAGTTTCTACTGACTTCATACAGTGATATGCACAAAATAATTTTATTGTAAGATGTATATAAAATTATACATGCTTCATTGTTAAGTATATTCCTGAAGAAGAAAACTTCTGTTGTGACTAGATGGATGAGAACCACATCCTGCACTTAAGATTTTCTACATCTGGTGGTTGGAATATATTGATTCCACTGTGCAGACTTCTGGTGCCTCACCCCAAGGGATGCCCTTTTATCATGACCCATCTCTGACCCTGGACCCTAGGTCTCTGATGCCAGGCGAGTTGTCTCAGTGGATAGTAGGAGTGTTTCTGGAAGCCATTTCTAAACGGAGACAGCTCCAATAACTTGACTATACATGGAAGTGCTTGTGAAACTTCATACCTTCCAAAATGGTAAATCCTGATAGTGCCCCACTTAAAACCGTTCAGTGTTTGCCAGTGCATTTTCAACTGTCCTTTTGGTGCTTGGGGACGTGAGGGACTGCCACCTCCACGTCCCTCAGTACAAGCAGACAGTCCCCCTCTGGGGACACTCAAAGATAATGAAAAATTAGCAAAAGGATTGAAGGTGAAGATTAAAAAGAAATGATTCGGATGGAGTTGCCTTAATTCATTTTGTTCCTTTCAGGATGGCAGTCTGTGTGAAACGCTGTATCCCTGGTCTGAGGTAAACCAGGTCTCAAACATCTTCCTCCCTGCCAACCCGAATCCCGACACCCACTAAATGCACCAAGGGGAAAGCAGCGCCTGCCAGCAGCTCTGACGGGGGACAGGAGTAGGGTGGACTCAGTCGTCAGCACGACGGCGGCCTCCCTCACAGAGGCGGCCTCCCTCACAGACGCTGCCTGGAACCCGCCGCCAAGCCCCCAGCAGGCGGCCCGCCTGGCGCCTCCCAGTCTTCGCACAAGCAGGGCCACGGTCTGGGGCCCCCAAGGCCGTTCACGCGGGCGCGCCCCGTCGAGGGCTAGCCTGTCAGCGCCTCACTCGCGGCCTCCTACCCTAGACGACCGGCTCTGGGTGGCGCCGCTCCAACCCCACGCGCCCAGCTCGCCCGGGAAAGCGCGCGCCACCCTTTTAACGGTTCTACCCCGGCAGGGGTGCGGCTGCTCTCGAGGCTCAGCGCCCGAGGCCACGCCCCGCGCCCGCCCTGGGCCCGCCTCGTGCCCCTCGGAGCCGCCTCCCGCCCCGCCCCCCGCCCCTCGCCCCCCGCCCCTCGCCCCCCGCCGCCGCCACCGCGGTCAGCCAGCGGACCAGCGGCAGGAGCCGTTCCCCGACGGGCAGCAGGGCGCTCGGCCTCCGCGTGTGGGCTGAGCGCGGCGACGCTGCTGCCCCGAAATCCCCGTGGATTTTGAGTCGGTAAGTGGCTAGGGAGGATGAGCGACACTGGGGGACGGAAGTCGGGCCCCGTGGTGTGGAGGAGGCGGGTGGGCGCCGTCTCCCAGGCCCGACCCCGGGAAAGTTGAGGCGAGGAAGAGAAGCTCTGAGGTGGGTCGGGAAATCTCTCAGGGCCCCTTCAGTACCCTGTGGACCCTGAATGGGAGTGGGATGGGAGCGAGAGCGTCGGATGAGGGGAAAGAAAGTGTAGGGGGCCAGGGGAGCCCGACGGAGGGGCAAGTGGCCGAGACCAAAGCCATCGCCAAAAAAGGAGCTAAGTACACAGCTCCCCTTGGCTCTGCCCCAGCACCTGGTGCCAGGCGGTGGGAGGCTTTCAAGACGATTTGCCCCCTCCACCCGGTGGCACAAGGTTTTCATTGCTGGTGTTTTAGTCAAAGCTACGGAAAGGACAGTTACATGACTAAAGTAATCACAGACACCTATTACCTGGACAGCTTTAGCCCATCCGAATGTTAAATTGTGTTTTGTTTTGAGAAATCCCTCAAATAGACCAAAAAAAAAATTAAATTAGTTATAAAGAGAAGGCATGAAATGGAAGATATGTTGGAACTCTCCAAGCTTCTAGTTTTTTGATATTTTCGTTTTAATTTTTCCTTAATAGTGCAACCAGATATATGGAACGTGAAATGTCTTTCACCACTTGAGTCATAGGTGGTTTATTTCTTACTCCCCGATGTTTCCTGTATGTTTCTCTTCATCTATCATTTTGTCAGTGTGAGCAGTTTACTTACAAGCAGTATTGGGTTTCAAGGAATCCTAACTTTGTAATGTTTTGAAGTTGGAAATTGAGATGAAATTTTATCTGGTTATCATATGGGAATTATACACAAGGTAAATTCAAATATGGTCTTTTCATTTCATTATTTCACTTTATATGATCTTATTTCTCAACGGCAGCGGTAGCATCAGTACTTTCCAAAGAAGACTAGAATTTATATTGGAGTTTAAGTATAGTACTCAGCTTCTAAAAACAGTGCATAGTATATTTCATATGCTGTGATCTATGGTTAGTATGGCAGTATACCATGTCTGTAGCGTGAGGAAAGCACAGTACTCCCTAATTTATTTAGTATTCTAAGAAAAATGGTAAATTGAAGAAATGGATATTATTAGCATATACCAATTTATTCTGCATGGCCTTATAAATAAATGTTACTTTTCACATTAATTTTTAAATCTATACACGCAGTGTCCACATGTAATAAATGGACAGTCAGATATCTTTCTTTTATGTAACAAATAGGCAAGTTTTGATATAAAGGTGTGAACTTTGTAGTCAAATCCTAATATCTAGCACTTAGTAGCTATGTGGACTTGGGCATGTCTCTTATTTTTCTGAGCCTCAGGTTTCTTATCTGTGAAGTGGGACTAATAATAATTTTCTTCCACCGTTCATATATGGCTCAAAATTAAATGAAATTATATTTAGTATGTAGTAGGACCTTAAAAAGGCATCTTAATTAAAAAATAAGATTAATAAGATTTTGGCCAAAGTGGTCAATGTATCTGCTTATTATCCCATTGTATTTTAGACAATTCTAGGTTTACTGGTAATATCAGGACTGATAAGGCCTGAAGATTCATACTTAGGTAAATTTTTTAAAAAGAAAAGGAACCTAAGATATAGTTAGTATTGCCAGGTGTAGAATAGCAACTGTAAATAACTAACTGATTTACCAATATTCTATTCATACAACTTGGTCTTTAAAGATGATTTGTTAAGTGTGTGTGATCTTGAAAAAAACTATTCAGCAACCATTTCTCAGTATGTATTAATAGAAAGTTTTTTTGGAGACATTGGATCAAAATATCCTTTAAAAAACATTTATACCACAAAACTATACATTTACATTTTTAAATTTACATTTTACAACCTTATGATAGGCCCACTACTTGCTACCCAATGTTGTAGGCAGAATTCTGTTTATTTTGTAACTGTGCTTTGAATCGTTGATATGATACATGGCTACTCTAGGTAGCACCAGTAGCTTCAAGGGAAACTTTTTGATCTCTACATTCCATGGATGAAGCAGGCATTAGAGTTTAAGACTGAATTTGTTTTGTATAATGACTTTGTAGTGCAGTTAAGTCTTTATTATTTTTAACTAAACTGAGAATTAGGTTTTGGTTTATGGAGTTCTGCCTTAATTATAATCTCGTGACTCAGTTTTACAATAATAATTACTTTTTATAAATACTTAACCTTTTTCATTAATAACATGATGGTGGAATGTACTATGCATTGTAATCCCAAACTTGTCCCCTATAATGTCAGTGTTTCCCTGCAGGCATCGTTTACTTTAAAAAAAAATATTAAACAGAGTACTGAATGACACCATCTTTTCTAATTTCCTTAACTGATGTGGATTTATATACAGGGAGCCATTGCTGTATCTTTCCTACTGTAAATTGAAGGGTAGGTGGCACCAAAAGAGCTTTGATTTTTTGTTTATTTACTTGTGTTGCAAAGTCATATAATGGAGTTCTGTAATCCCCAACTCTTGAAAATCCCTAGTTTGAATACTGTGGATTTGCCTTGCTCAGCGATTGGAAAAGACTTAACAACCTACAACTAAATTTCAGCTGAGCAATGAAAAACAACGAAGTGTGTGCCAAAGTACTCTATCCTATTGTATTCTGATTCACTAGTTTCATATGGGGAACAGGATGGAAAGTTACTACATACTAGTATTAGGGTCTTAACTAAAATAGCTAGGATAAACATCAAATAAAGCAATGTATATTAGGTTGCTTTTTGGTCCTTATTTTAAATATACTCTTCTACATAGAAAATATTAATAACTTTATTTGAAGTATTTTTTCTATTTGTGCTTATAACTTTTTTTTCATCTTGTTATATCCAATTGTATTGCACAAAAAGTACAGAGAGCATTAGTTTTGCCACGTTGAAATACTAGCTAACAGACACATTACAAAGCTGGGTTGGTATTAACTTGAAGTACTTGCTGGGTTATCTCCAAATAGTAACTTTTGGGTGCTTACTTATCATTCCTAATTTTGAGAGGTTGTTTATAAGTTTATAATTTTAACATTTGAATTATACATGTCCAAAGATATTTAAAAAATAGGATAAAGCATTTCTGGGAACTTAAAGGGTTACTAACTCTATCTTATACTTGGTGAAATAGGCACTTAGACTTATGATTTGCTTAATATCATATGGTTACAATTATTTCTGGATAAGCAGGTGCAAAATCAAGTGGAGTTTTATTTTTGACTTTGTCTTGATGGGCATCAAAATTTGGAAATCTTGTGTCCCATACAGGTGTCAGATTTTAGTTGCAATGACGAGGTACTTAGCGTTTATAGAGTTTATTTAATAAATCTATGTTGCAGATACTAGAATACAAAAATAAATAAGGTCTGGTTTTTGTGGCCTCAACTAACTGATAGTCCAATAAGTAGACATGTAATATATTTACTGTGATATATTTTAGAAAAAGTGATAAAATACAGTAGGGACCAGTGAAGGAGGAATGTAAGGAAGGAGGAATTATTATTATTGTTATTATTATTTTATTATTAGAGAACTTCATGTAGACTATTTTATTTAACCTTACCTGTTGAGACAGGGGGATATTTTCCAAGGAAGTGGCAAGAGCTTGATCTTGGTCTTGACAGATAAATAGCTGTTTGGAAGAAGAGCAGCAGAGATAGTAAGGGAACTATAGACAAAACACTTGAATGTCCAAATATATGGTGAAACAAAATAACATTAATATTTTGGAAGTAGCGTGAACAGAAATTAAAGACTGATTTTGGAATCAGAGGCTCTAATTTAGCCCATCAAATTGAAGGCAGTTTTACCAAGTGTGGTCCAAGGGAGTTGGTGATGACTTTAAAGGAATACAGGAGTTAAAGTTATTAATTAGATTTTAGATATGTTGAATTTGAGGTACCTGTGATAATATATAAATTGAAATATTATTAGACAATTAGAAAAATAGAACTGGAGTTTAAAAGAGAAGTAGATTCTGGAAGTATAAATTAGGGCATATTTATCATGTAGATAGGAGGTTGCAGCCGTGAGCATAGATGAGTTTTAGCTAAGAAGACCAAAGCCAAATTCGGAAGAAAGACAGAAGAAGAGGAATCAGCTAAGGAAGTTAGAAGAGACAATCGAAGAAATAGGAAACAAACCAAAAGAACATAGCTGGGGCAACATAGTGAGACCCCATCTTTAAAAAAAATATATTAGCTGGGCATGGTGGTTCATGCCTGTAATCCCAGCTATTTGGAAGGCTAAGGCAGGAGGATCTCTTGAGCCCAGGAGCTTTAAGTTGAAGTGAGCTATGATTGTGCCACTGCAGTCCAGCCTGGGTGACAGAGTGAGACTCTGCCTCAAAAGAAAAGAAAAACAGAAATATAGAGTCAGTAAAGTTAAAGAAAATGTTTCAAAGAGGGAATGTTTAACTGTGACAAATGCTATAAAAGGAGTCTGAGTATTGCATATTAAATGCTTTTTTGTGTTTGTGTTTTCCACTTTAACTTGTAAAATAGGCATCTTAAAAAAAGATGTAGTTATTTGTATACATGTAAAGCATCTTGATTATTTTGTCCAAAAGATAAAAATGTATTTTTTTGTCTTCTAGTATGGAACCTCAAAGTCTTTGTGACAATGGAAACCAAAAAATTAATTGGTAAACCGCTTCAACCAGCAAGACCTGTTCGTCATCTGACTTCTCCCCCAGGTGAGTAATAGATTGTACAGTTCTTTAAATATTAATGTGTTAATGACTAATTAGTATTTGAAAAGCTAAATAATATATAAAGTATTGTTTCAGGTGGATATTTAAAGAAATAATGAAAACTAAGAGTTTGTATTACTGAAGGAGAAAGATTCTTAATTACCTACCAATCTATAATCTACCAGACCAACAAAAGTAGGAAGAATAACCCTTGACTGAAAGTAACTTTCTGTGTGTGTGTTTTTTCTCATGTCTCATTTTTGTAGGCTTCTGGCTTCTGGTCAGAGTGATACTCCCAGTACAAACTGTGCCCTGTGATTATGATAACTGCAGGGCAATCATGCTGGAGAGAGAATTTAACCTTTTAAAAGAATAAGTACGTAACTAAATGCCAAAAAAAAAATATTAGCACAAATCTTAAAGGTTCTGTAGTAGTTGTGTCATACTTGTGCTCTGATAGAGGTTATGGCTGTGTTTGAACTAGAACAGGTCTAATTTCAAAATATCTATTTTAAACATTCTAAAATGTTTTTCTTTTGCCCATGAAGCTATTCTTTTGGAGAAATTCCTGAAATACCTGGTATTTAACTTCTAAATTGGAATATCAGTCTTTTAATTCTGTTCATTACTTGTTGCTAGAATGGCTTCTGTGTCTACTTTAGGTGATACACATATAACTTTTTAAACTTTTTCTTAGTCTGTGTATTCAGCTGAATTACTACTTATAAATGGGAAAATATAGATACTTTGTTGAGTTTACAAATGAAGCAAAAAAGGTAGAAGTGGCACCAGTTTCTGTCCTGTGTTCATTTTCCCATCATTGGATCCTTCAAGGAAGATGATAATCTCCACTTTGGTTATGTTTGCTCTCAATATGCCTGTGACTTATGTCAGCTAAATGAAATTAATGGATCTTCTGGGACCATAGCTGAATAATGCTGATTCTGTATACTTCTGGTGCAGTGGAAGCGGTTGTGTAGGGTCAAGTCTCAAATTTTATCCTAAAGGAAAGAATGTAAAACAATTGCAGCAGCTCTTTTCTGTGACCAGACTTTCTCCAGCAACTCCCACCCCCCTTCATCTCTGCAGATCCAATTTTTCACTGATTTCTCTCCAAGGTTGTTACATGGAAGAATGAGAATGAGAGGGGATGCAAGGTGGGCAGGTAGCCCTGGTATCTTATTTAGTTGTACCTTCTTAAGATCCAGACGCAGAGTAGGGAATTATTAGGCAGAAAAGTCTAGTAAATCAGAAATTAATTTTGGTGTTTCTTAACACGCTTACATACTCCCTGGCCATCTCAGATCTCTAAAGGAATCACTACGTTTTCTTTTAGATTCAGTTTCAGATTTAATTACTTCATGTTGTGAAACCTATGTGATACCCCAAACCTATTCCGTTTGCCCTAGTACTTTCTCTAAATCTCTCAATAAGCATACTGCTTATCAAATTGTATTATAATCATTATGTATGAACTTGTCTTTTAAAATACACTGTGAACTCTTATCTCTGAACTCTTTTCATGTTTGTGTGTCCATCCTTTTAACACAGCATCTGACATTTCATAAGGTTGGATGAATGTTGAATAAATGAACTATCAGAACACATTTCAAAACAGTGCCAAGAATATCTTGGATACTTAAGCTTTTTAGTTGATTATATTATTTATTGAAATAATAGATCTATGAAATTGTTTTCTTCCTCTCCTAACAGGAGCAGTGTTCCCTTTCAACTTTCAAAACGAATATCCATGCAACACTCAGTGCATACAAAGTGGAGTTAGCAGAGTAAGTCTTAGAAATTATAACAGAAGGAAATATTATAGATTGGAAAGTAACATGTGTTAGATGGCTATTGTGTGCCAGATACTATGCTTATATACTTTATAAAAATTTATGTACATATGTTAAAGATAATGTAACACCCATTTATCTGTCACCCAGCATTTTTAAGTCTAAACATTTTGCTATATTTGCTTTAAAAAAGTTTAAAGAAAAACAACTTCACATATAGTTACAAACTCTATATATATGCTTCTACCATCGTATTTCCTTCCCGTCCTGCCCATGGATAACTATCCTCAATTTATTTTTTCCATGAATATATTTGTACTTTTGCTATGATAAATATAATTGTTTTATTTGTTTTATGTAAATAGGATTTTGTCATCTTTGCTTTAACATTTTATTACAAATTTTAATTTTTTGACTAAGTAAATTAGTCACAAAGTTTAAAATTCAAAATATACAAAATGACATTTATTGAAAAGTTTCCCTCCAGTCTCTGTCCCAGTCTCCTATTTCCTCTGATCAGAAGTAAGCATTGCACCAGTTTCTTAGCCAGATGCATTGTACCAGTTTCTTACCTAGATACTATTTCTTTCTCTCTCTGTCTTTTGTTTTGTTTTGTTTTGTTTTTGAGATGGAGTTTCACTCTTGTTGCCCAAGCTGGAGTGCAATGGCACCATCTCGACTCACTGCAACCTCCACCTCCAGGGGTCAAGCGATTCTCCTGCTTCAGCCTCCCGAGTAGCTGGGATTATAGGCACCCGCCACGACACCTAGCTAATTTTTTTTTTGTATTTTTAGTACAGATGGGGTTTCACCATATTGGCCAGGCTGGTCTTGAACTTCCAACCTCAGGTGATCTGCCTGCCTCGGCCTCCCAAAATGTTGGGATTACAGGCGTGAGCCACTGTGCCTGGCCTCTAGATACTATTTCTTATCCAGGAATAGACTATGCATGCACAACCATAAGTATATTTGTAAATGGAATACTAGGCAACTTTACAATGAATAAAGCAGTTAAATATGAACTGATATAGAACAATCTTTTAATATATGTGACTATACCACATTTTTTTTTCCATTTTCTGTTGATGGGCGCTTGTTTCTATATTATAATAAATGCTATTGTGACTGCCATCTATATGTTTCATTTTTACATGTTTGAGAAGTTTTCTGTGGCATAAAGTTAGAGTAGAATTACTAAGTATTCTTAATTTCAACTTTTTGATACTGCCAAATTACTCTTCAAAGCGATTTGTATGAACAGGGGCTCTGATTTGTCTATGTCCTCACCTTACTATTGTCAGACTTGAACATTGGGTGAGACAGAGGATGAGAAATTATATATTTTGGTTGGTTTTAATTTTTAATTCTCTATTACTTGTGAAGTAGAGCATCTTTTCATATGTCTAGTTTGACCATTTGGATCTCCTCTTTTGTGAATTGCCAATGCAAATTATTATCCCATTTTTCCAGGATTTTATTCTTTTTGATTTATATGCCTTTAAAATATGTTCTGGATTCTAATTATTTTTCTTATGTGCATAAAAATATTTTCTTTTCCAGGAATATGGTCTGCTAGAGAGTCATTTTTTATGTGGCATTTTTTGTTTAAAAGTTTTAAATATTAATGTAGTGATATTGTCAATGTTTTTCTTTAGGATTTCACTTTTAAAAAGTCTTCCCATTTCCAAAATTAAAAGATGTTTTCTATATATTCTTCCAAAAGCTTTGAAGATTTGCTTTCATATTTAGGTGTGTAGTCTACCTCAAGGTGATTTTTTGGATGGTGTAAGATAGAAATCTAGTTTTTCTCCTATAAGCAACTGATTGTAAAGCATAATTTATTGAATAATTCATCCTTTCCACACTGATTTATAGTGGAATCTTAATTATATAATAATTTTTCATATAGATATATCTGTTCTGGGCTCTTTATTCTGTTCTAGTGATCATTTTTGTATCTCTGTATAATCAATATCATGATGTCTTAATTACTCTGGCTTTATTATGAGTTTTCTATAAGTCATAGAAATGTTGTATTTGTTCTAGCAGCTAACATTTCCTTAATTAAATACAACAGTAATATTCATTACTTTTTGGAACCATTGACCTTCTTTCACTTTATATGTAAAAAATTAATATGTTAACATTGCAGTTTTATAGAGAAAAATCAAATTATGAATTAAATTACTTCTAAACGTACAGTTTTGTCTGCTGCTTCAATTATAATGCAAAGGCTATTAGAACCTATGTTAGAGATACTTGATATATTTTCAAACCTACCTTTATTGAGGTATAATTTACATATAGTAAGGTGAACTCATTTGTTCAATGACTTTTGAGAAATATTTATGCTATGTAATGAACCCCACAATGAAAATCTTCCATCTTCCTCCAAAATGTCCTTATATCCCCTTGCAATAATTTACCACTTACACTTAACACTAACCCCTTGCCCTCCTTCTTGCCCCACACATCCACTGATCCGCTTCTTTTAATGATAGATAAGTTAGTTTTTACTGTTCTAGAGTTTCATATAAATGAAAAATATCATGTATATTCCTTGGTGCTGGGTTCTTTTGCTCAGCGTTATGTTTATGAGATCCTTTCATGTTGTATATATCAGTAGTTGTTTTTTTTTTTTAATGTGGAATAGTGTCCTACTTTAAATATACAACAGTTTGTTTATTCATCAGTTGACAACATTGGATTGTATCTAGTTTTTAGATATTATAAATAATGCTACTATAGACTATCATGTACAAATCTTTGTGTGGAAATACACATACTACCCAGGAGTGGAATTGATAGATCATATAGTAAGTTTGTTTAGCGTTATAAGATATCATAAAATGTTTTCCAAAGTGGCCATTTTACCTTCTCATCAGTAATATGAGGGAGCTCCAGATGCTTCACAGCCTTGCCAACATTAGAATGGTCAATCTTTTTATTTTTAGCCATTTTAGTGTGTAAGTAGTGGTATCTCATTGTATTTAAATTAACATTTTCCTAATGTTTAGTGAGATTTGGCATCTTACCATGAACTTCTTTGACATCTGTTTTTCTTTCCGTTTTTCTTTCTTTAAAAAAATTTTTTTTGATGGCGTGTCTGTTCATATCTTTTTGACTATTTCTATTATTTGGGTTGTTTGTCCTTTTATTATTGAACTGCAAAAGTTCATTGAAAAATCAGTATATCATACATGCATTAATTTATTTCAAAACTATTATGATCTGTTGATTTATGTCTATCTTTATGTCAATATTGCACTTTATAGTCTACTGTAGCTTTATGATGTCTTGAAACCAGGTTGTGAAAGGTCACTAACTTCGTTTCTAAAATTTATCTTTACAATTCTAGGTCTTTTGCATTTGCATATAAATTTTAAGTGAGCTTGTCATTTTCTACAAAAAGTCTATTGGCATTTTGATTGAATTTATAGATTAATATGGGAAGAATTGACATCTTATGATCTATTAACATGACATATCCCTTGATTCTTTGTATTTTCCAGCATAGGGCTTTTGAACATCATTTATAAAATTTATAAGTGTTTCAGATATTTCGATACTGTTGTAAATGGTATTTTTTGTAAATTTTAAATTTTACTGGTTGGTTGCTAGAGTTTAGAAAAATAATTGATTTTTTATAGTGATTTTGTTAAACTCAATTATTAGATCTAGCAACTTTTTTTGTAGAGACCACCCTTACATTCTTGTGCTTATTATGATGATAATTTTACTTTTGTTTGGACTGTAAACACACAATCATTACTAATGTTTTTTTTCTTTCTGTGTTGTCTTTTAACTTTAAAAACTAAAAGAAAGAATTTTATTTTACTTTCATTTATTGCCTTTCCAGAACTTTTTATTTCTTTGTGTAAATCCATGGCTCTGTCTGGTATTATCTTTCTTTATGAACAACTTCCTTTAACCTGTTTTTCATTATTTCTTCATAACAAAGTATTTGAAAATTTTGGCTTAAAACAATAGCTTATTTTTATCTTTCATGGTCTCCTGGGATGACTGGACTGAGCTGGCCCTATCTCACTTTAGTGTAGTCATGTAGTTGCAGTCAGATAGCATCGAGGACAGGAAGCACTTAAAGGCTTGACTGGACTGGATGATGAAAATGGCTCACTCACATGGCTGTCAGTTAATACTGGCCATTGGCTTGGAGCTCAGCTGGTACTATGAACTGGAATGAGCACCTACAAATGGCCTTTCCAAGTGGCTTGGGCTTCTTATAACACTATATCTGGGTTCCAAGACTAATGTTCAAAGGGACAGGAGATAGAAGTTGCCAGTCTCTTAATATCTGGGACTGGAAACTAGCACTGTGTCACTTCTGAAATGTATATTGGTAGGAGCAGTCATAGATTTTGCCAAGATTTAAGTGAAGGAGATACAGAGTGTACCTCGTGATGAGAAGAGTATCAAGAATATGTGGCTAATTTTGATCTGTTTCAGAGTCATTTGGATTTCCTCTCCTCTGTGTTACCATTTCTTGTCCTTTGCCCATTCTCTTCTATAGGCTTTTTTATTTTTTAAAAAATTGTTTTCCTGGGAGCTCTTTTAGGTGAAACCATTTAAGATACGAATTGTAATTTTTTTTCCTGTTTACCTTTTGTCTTTTGATATTGCCTAGAAATCTCACACTTTAACTTTTCATTCTAGGAATGGAGAGTGATACGCATTTGTCTCTTTTATTCTCTTTCCTGATCTGAGTGGTATACATTTGTTTAAGATGAGTGACAAGAGGCTGGGAACATTCTTGCTATAGAATATAAAAGGGCCAGATGGGGTGCTCACACTTGTAGTCCTAGCACTTTGGAAGGCTGAGGTGGGAGGATCACTTGAGCCCAGGAGTTTGAGACCAGCCTGGGCAATGTAGCAAGATCTTGTCTCTACAAAAACTTTTGAAAAGTAGCTGGGTATGGTGGTATATGCCTGCAGTCCTAGCTCCTCAGGAGGCTGAGTTGGGAGGATGACTTGAGTTCAGGAGTTCAAGGTTACAGTGACCTATGATCACGGCACTGCACTCCAGCCTGGGTGACAGAGCAAGACGCTGTCTCAAAAAAATACAAAAAGTCTAAATAGAAAATCTGGGCATGCATATTGGGGAATTGTGCCATTGCAAAGAGCACTTGATTTGAATAAAATTATAAGAAACTTGATGCTTATCCTGCTTTACTCCTCTGTTTAACCTTTTACATTTCCTGAACTAGCCATATTTTCCCATGCTCTTCAGTACAAGGCTATTCCTTTATTCCATAAACATTAATTTTTCATCAGTTTGCCAGGCTAACTCCTACTGATCCTTCAAGAGTCAGTATAAGCATCATCTCCTATGTAAAGCCTTTCCTGGCATTTCTAAGCCAAGTTCGATACCCTGACTCAGTCCTTTTATTGTACTTTCTGCATATCTTTATTACAGAGCTTCTCAAATTTTATTATGATTTGCTCTTTTATTTTTCTGCCTTTTAGTTTGTGAGTCTCTGAGAACAGATACTGGAATGTCATGTTCATCTTTGTATTTCCTGACACAAAGCACAGTGCTTGTCATGTCATAGGCATTCTGTGTTTGTTAAATGAATGAGTTCAACGGGTCCACTACTACACATTTGGCACCTTTGCAAGAATTAGAAGAGGATTGAAAAATTATAGAAAAATACAAGTTTTCTTTTTTTTGAGTAAGATACTTTGCTGCTCTCTGCTAGAAAATATACAGCATTTCTGTGGTGAATGGTAACCCTTTAGATGCATACCCTTCACAAATTTACATAGTAGCCTTGAGTTTCAAAACCTAGCTCAGCTGTTTCTTATCTGTGTACTTTTGGCTTGGTCACCAAACTCTTCTGGTCTGATTTTCCTTACCTATAACATAGTGATCATAGCACTTGCCTTATTCCTTATAGGATTATAATTAAATGAGATAACATATAGATAATCACTGTATAAAACTTTTTGTAGGTGTACTTTTTACATGCTATTATTTGAAATAATCAGTATTTTAAGTTTTTAATATGTACAGACATGACAAGGTACAATTTTACCTTCAAGTTTGATTTTAGATCTTGCATTTAAGTAGATGTTACACACTTAGTGAAATGTGCATCTGCTAAAATTTCCGGAGGCAAGAAATTGTTTTTTTTTTTAATTTTTAGAATACCATTTTATAGTTAATTAAATACAACAGTCTAGAAGAACTTTGGAGAACCCAAATCTTAGGCATTTTCCATTTTTTTCTCCTCTACTTAAAAAGCTCTACTAAAACTTGATTTCTTTTTACATTCTTGTTTCAAGAATTTTCTACATTCTTGTTTCAATAGTGTAGAATTATCTCCATAGACTTTATTGTGTCATAGCATTAGATAATTAGTCCTACTGCCTTTAGGTGGAGTAGTTAGCATTCACAGAAATTTAAGGAATGGCTTACAACTTGTCAATACAATGATTGATGGAGCAGAGATATTTATTTTTAAGGATAGATGTCTCCAAAGAAACCTACCTTCATGATTTACCTTAATTCAGGGATGGTTTACAAACTGATTTTTGTCAGCACAAGAGGAGATAATCTCTCAGGGGTAGATAGTATTAACCAAGTTTGTAAAACTGGTTTATAAAATCAGAACACCAATTATTTTATAATGAGAAATCTTGATGTCTTGCGTTCTGGGTTCCTCTTATTGGTACAGCTGGTATATTGTTTACTTCTAGGGAGATTTATGGAAAGCTAAATTGAATCTGAGTATGTCTTGGTGAGCATGGGATCAGAAGAAAAAGATTTAGGTAAAAATGGATTTTTAAAATATCATCAGATTAGCTTAGCCAATCTTATCATAAAGATGGTCTTGCAAGTGAGACTGGAAAAACTCTGCACTAAGGCGTCTCTCTTCAAGACATAGAGCTCTACCAATGTTTCTGATTTTCTTCCTCTCATTGGATACATCAATTTTTCTTATTTCTCTTATTTCCAAGGCATTAGGTGAAACAGTCCATGGGCTTATAAAGCGACATCAGTCTCTACTTCAGAAATTAAAAAAGTAAATACTCTAGTATTATTGCAGAATTTTTGTGAATAAAAATGTGTTGTTTTCATCAATTAAATTTTCTGAATGGCATTTTTGTCAAGAAAAAATACTTTTAATGGCTATGGAATTATTTATGTTTAGGACAATAAAATTCATCTTTAGTTTTATATTCCTTTTCAACAATAATTATAATAATGCCAAAAAAACTGTAGATATATGTGAATATATTTTGAAAGATGTTTTTGTCGCTCATTTTAAATAAGCAGACTTATAATGATTGCTTATTACTTAGCTCCTACTAAATGCATTTATTATTAGGAAAATATTTTTGGGTAGTTAAACTAATTATATAAAATTTTAAAACCTGAGTTAAAAAGTTTATTTTCTTCATGTTTAACAGTGTAAGACGAATGGAATGCAAGCCTTTTCTCAAGGTCTTAATGAGCAACAGCAACAGCAGTCTCCAGTTAAGAAAGGTAAAATTTTATCATAATTCCCAATTTTATCATTGAATGTCTTAGCATTCATATAAAGTTAATATTACTTTATCACTTAGATGCAAACTTATATGAAATTTTATTATATATTTTTTGATTGATTTCTATCTATATGAGTCAGGCTACCACTTTGACTGCTTTCAAGGAGAGACCAGAATACAATGGCTTAAACAAGATAGGAGTTTATTACTAGGTTTTCTATATCACATAAAATTCTGAACTGTTGTAATGATCTTGCCCTGTGAAGTTTCTATTTTCCCACTGTTCTGTTATCTTATTGCTATGCCATCCTCAACACATGGCTTCCATCTCATGGTCCCAAGATAACTGCCTCTGCTCCTGCCATCATGTTCCTGTGTAGCCATTAGGAAGGAGGAAAGGGGAAAGGAAGTTTCCCTTAAGAGTATGACCCGGAAGTTGCACATAGTACTTCCACTTACATCACATTGCCAGAACTTGGTCATACTTTGCCTACTGGCAGGGTAGACTGGGAAACATAGTCTTTAGCAATACAGTTAATTCTATTACTGAAGCAAAAAGAAAAAACTGCTCTAGGGGAGAACCAATAGTCTCTCCCACACTAGCTATTTTAAAAATAAAATAAAATGATTTTAGTTTCCAAATTTTTGTCAATTAATGTATGTAGTTTAAAAGTTTGAAGTATGAAAAGACCATTAATTTTTTTCTTCTAATATTTATCCTCATATTTCTAAATACAATTATTTCCAAATTTCTTAATTTTTGAAAACTTTATATTGACATTTTATCTTGGTAAATGAGAACTTACATCTTTCACATCAGTTTCTTCACTTCTTCACCTTTTCATCTCCCCACCACATAGTTATTTCACAAGTTTCAATTAAAGTGTTACTCACTCTTTATACTACTATGACTGTGTAAAATATAACTGCTTAGCCAAGAGGTGCACATCTCCCTTTTCATACAGTTTATTGTTTTTTCTAAAGCGAATGTTTGCCTTATTTTTCTATGTTATCTATTGTTAACTCTTTTACTAAAATGCTCCAACAACTCTGTCACACTTGTTTTATACTATTTATGCTCAAGTATATCAGTTCTTTTTTTCCTTACATGGGACATTCCTTTCAGAATACTCCATTATCCTATTCCAATATGGACTAGTTGTTCTTTAGTACTAATGTGCAGCTTTTTTTCCGGAGTGGACTTTTGTTATTATCTTGGGATATCCCTTTATAATCCTTTGGTTTCTTTTTTAAAAAATTGAAGTGGAATTCACCCAGTCACCATTTTAACCATTTAAAAATGTACAATTAAATGGCTTTTAGTACATTCACAATTGTTGTGCAACAATACTACCAATTTCAGAACATTTTTATCACCCTAGAAAGAAACCTCATACTCATTAAGCTGTTACTACTTTCTCTTCTCTCTGCTTAGGCCATGTAGTAGACACTAAGCTATTTCTGTCTCTTTGGATTTAGCTATTTGGTCATATCATATAAATGGAATTATACAATATGTCACCTTTTTTCAATTTATTTTTTAAATTGATATATAATAGCTGTACATATTTTATATCAATTAAAATAATTGAGGGCACGTGATATTTTCATAACTATGTACAATGTGTAATGATCAAATAAGGGTAATTGAGATATCCATCACATTTACCTTTCTCTTGTGAACAATATGTGACCTTTTGTGTCTGGCTTCTATCACTTTCCATAAGGTTTTCAAGGTTCATCATGTTTTAGCACTATTAGTAGTTTATTCCTTTTTATGACTAAATAATATTCCATTGTGTGGATTATGCCACATTTTGTTATCCATTTCTCAACTGACACACATTTGAGTTGTTTTCACTTCTTGGCTATTGTGAATAATATTGCTGTGGACATTTGCGTACAAGTTTTTGTTTCAACACTTGTTTTCATTTCTCTCAGGCATATACCTAGGAGCCGACTTGCTGGATCATTGGTAGTTGTGTGTTTAACATTTTAAGGAACTGCCAAATTGTTTTTCACAGCAGTTCTACCATTTTACATTCTTAGTTGCAAGGTACTAGGGTTTCCAACCTCTCAATATTCTTGCTATTATTATCTCTGTTTATTATAAGCAATCCTAGTGGGTGACAAGTGGTATCTCATTGTGGTTTTGATTTGCATTTTCTTATGATTATGATACTGTTTTTTCGTGTGCTTGTTGGCTATTTCTATTTCTTTTTTGGATAAATGCTTTATTCAAGTTGTTTAACAATATTTTAACTGGGTTGTTTGTTATTGAGTTGTTTTGTTATTGAGTTGCAAGACTTCTGGATATTAGACTCTTATCTATTATCTATTATTCTCCTTCCTGCCACCATTCTCCTTCCAGTGTGTGCATATATATATATATATATATATATATATGTTGTCTTTTCATTCTCTACTGGAGATTGTGTTATTCTCTTGATAGGGTGTCTTAATGCACAAATTTTTTAGCTTCGATGAATTTTAACTATTTTTCCTTTTGTTGCTCGTGTTTTTGGTGTCATATCTAACAAATCATTGCCAAATCTAAGGTCATTAAGATTTACCCGTTTCCTTCTAAGAGTTTTATAGTTTTAGCTCTGGCATTTAGGTCTTTTATCTATTTTGAGTTAATTTTTATATATGATGGGAAATAAAAGTCCAACTTCATTGTTTGTCATGTGGGTATCCACTTGTCCCATTGTAATTTGTAAAACAGGCTATTCTTTTTTCATTGAATGGACTTGGCACCTTTGTTGAAAATCAGTTGACTATAGGTGTATGTGTTTAATGTGTTTATTCCTGGACTCTTAATTCTGTTCTCTTGTTTTATATGCCTGCCCTTATGTCAGTACCACATTTTTTTGATTACTATAGCTTTGTAGTAACTGTTAAAATTGGGAAGTGTAAGTCTTCTAACTTTGTTCTTTTTCCAAATTGTTCTGGCTGTTTAGGGGTCTTTGCAATTCCATTTGATATTTTGAGATCAACGTTTCCATTTCTGCAAAAGAGGCCATTAGAAATTTGATAGGGATAGCGTTGAATTTATAGATCACTTTGAGAGGAATATTGCCAACTTAACAATATTAAATCTGACAATCCATAAATATAAGAAATCTTCCCATTTAGGTATTCTTTAACTTCTTTTAGCAATATTTTACAGTTTTCAGTGTACAAGTCATGTACCTCCTTGGTTAAATTTATTCCTAAGTACTGTATTCTTTTTGATGCTATTGTAAATGGAATCTTTTTATTATTCATTGATCATATATAAAATAAATTTATTTCATGGGGGACATTACTATGAATTTATGAAAATGAAAAACATTATGAGAATATTATGAACAGTTAGTTGTATGCCAAAAACTAGATAACCTACATAAAATAGAAAAATTATTAGGAACACAGAATTTACCAAAACTAACTCAAGAAGAAATATAAAATCTGAACAAACCTATAGCAAGTAAGAAGATTGAATTAGTAATTAAAAACCTCCCAACAAAGAAAAGTTCAGGACTAGATTGCTTCTCACCAGTAAATTCTACTAAACACTTGTCTACTAAACACTTGAAGAACAATTAACACTAATCCTCAAACTATTCCCAAAAACATGAAGAGGGGTAACACTTCCAGTGAGGCCAGTATTATTCTGATACCCAAAGGCAAAGACATCAGAAGAAAAGAAAACTGTAGCCAATATCCCTTCAAATATAGATACAAAAATTCTCAATAAAATACTAACAACTTTTTATTATCAACATAGTAAAAAGATTATATACCATGTCCAAGTGGGATTAATCTCAAGAATGCAAGGGTGAGTCAACATATCAAAATCAGTAATAATACACCACATTAACAGGATTCAGGGGAAAACACATGATCAACTCAATTGAAGAAAAAGCATTTGACAAAACACAACACGCCATCAAGAACAAGATAAGGGTGCCCACTTTCACTGTTTCTTTTTTCAATGTTATGTTGAAAGTTCTAGCCATAGCAGTTAGGCAAGAAAAATGATAAATGGTATTTAAGTTGGGAAAGATGAAGTAAAAGCATCTCTATTCACAGAGAACACAGTCCTATACAGATGTTCCCCAATTAGGATGGTTTGACCTATGAGTTTTTGATTTTACGATAGTTCAAAAACAATATCTGTTCAGTAGAAACTGTACTTTTCTCATGATGCTGGGCAGCATCAGCAAGATGCCACTTCTAGTCAGCCATGCATTTTCATCTTTTGCTATTTTTAACTTATAATGGGTTTATTAGGATATAACTCCATTGTAAGTTGAGAAGCATCTGTGTATATAGAAGATCCTAGAGAATTCACATAAACTATTAGAGCTAATAAAAATAAATTCAACAAAGTTGCAGGATGCAAGACCATTGTTGTTTATTATTTTAGTAATTTGAGTCATTTTTTTCCTAATCAGTCTTGGTAAAGGTTTTTTAGTTTTTATCTTTTCAAAAAACCAACTTTTTTTTTTTTTTGGTGAGTCGCCTAAAGACAGCAGAGACTTGGTTGGTGAATTCTTTATTATTATTATTATTATTATTATACTTTAAGTTTTAGGGTACATGTGCACAATGTTCAGGTTAGTTACATATGTATACATGTGCCATGCTGGTGCACTGCACCCACTAACTCATCATCTAGCATTAGGTATATCTCCCAATGCTATCCCTCCCCCCTCCCCCCACCCCACAACAGTCCCCAAAGTGTGATGTTCCCCTTCCTGTGTCCATGTGTTCTCATTGTTCAGTTCCCACCCATGAGTGAGAATATGCAGTGTTTGGTTTTTTATTCTTGCGATAGTTTACTGAGAACGACGATTTCCAATTTCATCCATGTCCCTACAAAGGACATGAACTCATCATTTTTTATGGCTGCATAGTATTCCATGGTGTATATGTGCCACATTTTCTTAATCCAGTCTATCATTGTTGGACATTTGGGTTGAAAAAACCAACTTTTGATTTTGCTGATTTTCTCTGTTGTTTTTATAGTCTCTATTTCATTTCTCTTCACTCTGATCTTTATTATTTAGTTCATTTTTTTCTAGTATTTGATTTAGTTTGCTCTTTTCTCCTAGTTCCTTAATGTGTAATGTTAGATATGGAGTTATTTCTTCTTTTTTAATATAGACATTTATAGCTATAAACTATGATCTGAACACTGTTTTTGCTGCATCTCATAAATTTTGATATGTTGTGACTTTGCTTTCATTTGTCACATATTTTCTAAGTCCCCTGTTGTTTATTCTTTGATGCATTGGCTGTATAAGAGTGTGTTTTAATTTACACATATTTGTGAATTTTCCAGTTTACTTCTGGTTTTGATTTCTAGTTTTATTTCAGTGTGGTCATAGGGCATACTTTGTATGATTTGAATCTTTTTTAAATTTATTGAGACTCTTTTGTGGCCTAACATATGAGTTCATCCTGGAGAATGTTCCATGTGTGTGGAACATGTGTGCTGTGGTTCCATGTGTGCTTCAGAAGAATGTATATTCTGCTGTTGTTGGGTAAAGTGTTGTATATATGTAATTAGGTTAGTTGGGTTGTGGTGTTCATATTCTGTTTTCTTGTTGATCTTCTGTTAAGTTTTCCTATCCAATATTGAGAATGGGATATTGTAGTCTCCAGTTATTAATGTTAAAATGTCCATTTCTGTGCTTAATTCTGTGTTTTTCTTTCTGTTGTTGGGTATATATGTGCTTACAATTCTTATATCTTCTTGATGAATTGATGCTTTTATCATGGCATAAATGTCCATTGTCTCTTATAACAATTTTTGTCTTAATGTCTATTTTTGTCTAATGTTAGTATACTCACTTCAGCTCTCTTTTGGTTACTGCTTGAATTGAATATCTTTTACAGTCTTTCAGTTTCAACTTATTTTTGTCATTGGATCCAAAATGAGTCTCTTGTAGACAGAATATAATTAGATGATTTTTAAAAATTCATTCTACCAATCTCTGCCTTTTATAATAATTGAAAAGTTTAGTACATTTACATTTAATGTAATTAACTGATAAAAAAGGACTTAATCTTCCCATTTTGCTATTTGTCTTCTATACGTCTTTTTTTGTTACTTAATTCCTCCATTATATTTTTGTGTTTAATAGATATTTTCTAGTATACTATTTTTATATCCTTTTAGTTTGCTTTACTATATTTTTTATGTTCCTAGTTGCTGTGTTGGGTATTAATTTAATATATAACAAACTAGTTTGAATTAATATCAACTTAGTTCCAATGTTATATAAAACATTGCTCCTATATATATTTCTAAAGTCACCTTTATGTTGTTGTTGTCATAAATTACATCTTTACACATTCTGTAATATATCAACCTAGATTTATAATTATGCATTTGTATGCACTTGTCTTTTAAATCATATGGGAGAAAAGGATGAATTTCATACTGAAAATTTATTGATGCTTTTATATTTACCTGTGTAGTTACATTTACTGGTGTTCTTTATTTCCTCATGTGGATTTTAGTTGTGTACTATCCTTTAAGTCTGAAGGATTCCCTTTAGCATTTCTTGTAAGACAAGTTTACAAGCAGTAAACTGTCAGTATTTGGTTATCTGTGAATGTCTCCATTTCTGCTTCATTTTTGAAGGAGCTTTTGTCAGATATAGATTTCTTGATTGACATGTTTTTGATTTCAGCACTTTAAATATGTCATCACATGACTTCTGACATCCATAGTTTCTGATGAGAAATCAGCTGTTTATCTGATAGATAATCTCTTGTAAGTGATGAATTGCTACTGTCTTTCTGACCTCAAGATTTTCATTGACAGATTGATTATGATGTATCTATGTGTGAAGAATCTCTTTTATTATACAGATAGATGCTCCTTAATTTATGGTGGGATTACTTCCCAATAAACCCATCATAAGTTGAAAATATAATATGTTGGTTATGAGAGTCTTTGGCCCAGAGAGTCTTTGGTCACAGAATCACCAGTGCTTAAAGTTGGAAATCTTGAATTGCTTTCACATCATCATAAAGTCAAACAATTGTAAGTCAAACCATCATAAGTTGGGGGTTGTCTGCATTCTATTTGTAGTTTGTTGAACTTCTTAGATGTATAGATTCTTTTTTTGTTGTTAAATTTTGGAAATTTTATTCCACGATTTCTTCAAATATCATTTCTTCTCCTTTTTCTCTCTCTTCTCCTGGGACTCCCATTATTTATTTGTTGGTATGCTTGATGGTAATCCATAAGTGTCTTAGGCTCTGTTCATTTTCTTTATTCTTTTTTCTTTCTACTCCTCAGACTGAATAATGTTAATTGAATTCCTTTTAAATTTGCTGATTCTTTCTTCCACCTGCTCAAATCTGCTGTTGAAACCCTCTCATGAATTTGTCATTTCCGTTATTGTACTTCTCAATAATTTCTATCTGGCTTCTTCTTATAAGTTCCATCTCTTTATTGATGTTCTCTATTTAATGAGACACTCTTCTCATAATTTTCTTTAGCTCTTTGAGCATATTTAAAATAGTATATTGAAAGCCTTTCACAAGTAAATTCAATGTCTTGGCTTCCTTACTGAAAATTTCTATTTCTTTTTTTCCAGTGAATGAGCCCATCCTTTCTTCATTCTTTGCATGCTTTATAATTTTTGTTGTGGTGGTTGAGAACTGGACATTTTGAATGTTATAAATGTGGCTGCTCTGGAAGTCAGATTTTCTTCCTTCCCTTGGGTTTGTTGTTGCTCTTTGTTGTAGTAGTTGTTGTTAGCTTAGTGACTTTTCCAAACTAATATTGTAAAATCTATATTCTTTGTCATGCATGACCATGGAAGTCTCTGTTCTGTTATCTTAGTGGTCAGCTGGTGATTTGACATAATTGCCTTCAATGGCTAGAACCATACCAAACTGAAAAACAAAGAAGCCCCTCTTTCAGCCTTTGCATAAGGCCTCTATGTATTTTGAGGTATTACCTCAATTCTGCCTTCACCTTCATTTCCTGCTTGGTAGGAATCTGAAAGTCAGCCAGGAGTGAGTGCTTAGGATCTTCTCAAGTTTTTCTGTGAACATGAGCCTAGCTTTGACATGCATGTGGGCTTCTAGAAAGAATATTTGGGATTCTTTCACTGCCCTTCTACCTCAAAGCATCCTGTTTTTTCAGTTTTTCCTCCGAAACTTTTTGGTATGCCTAATGTTTGCTCCAATTGTTATCCCTTGTCTCAGGTGGAAGCAACTGATACATTTTCCTGTAAATGTTTGGACAAATGGACTTTGGGCAGCAGCTTTAATGCTAGGAGAATTCTTAGTTAGGTGTGAAGTACAGGCAAGCTTCTCAAGATGGTTCCTCAGGGAACTATAAGAAAGGTCAAAACAAATAATCATAATTTTTTGAGAATAAAGTCTGTACTACTCCCTCCAGTTCTGGGAACCTATAAAAGTAATGAGGGCTGTTGTCTTCAAGGCCATGGCCTATCTGGGGGATGGTCCCAGGTAAGTTAAATGCCACAAAATTTTTCCCAAATTTAGCTATTTTTTTTTCTTCACTAAGTATTCCCCTGGTTTTTACAGGCTTTGGGTTAGAGTCCAGGGTTCTGAGAAAGTTGATTCTGACAGTTTTTATGAGCTTACTTGTTGTTTTTGTGGAGTGAAAGACTTTTAGAGTTCTCTACTTGGCTATTTTCCCTGACTTCACTTACCTCCATTTCTTGAATTTTATGTTTTCTTCTTTATTGATTTATGTCCTCATTTTGCTCAAGTACATTCTCCAGGAGTTTCGTGAAAAAAGGGTATTGGGTTGGTGAATTCTTTGAGTTTGCATATTTGAAAATATCTTTATTCTGTTCTCACACTTGATTGATGGTTTGGCTACGTAGAATGTTCCAGATTAAGGATGAACCTCAAAAATGTTAAATGAAAGAAGCCAGACCCAAAATTTTTGGTAAGTTAATTTTTCCTCGATGTATTTCAGAACTGTGTATTAGGAACAACACATTAATAATTGTTACCTGTTAGTTGATAGGATGTAAGGATAGTAATTCAACCCTTCTTATTCCTAGTCTTTTCATGTGTATCTTTTTATATCCATTTACTTTCAACTTATATGCCTTTATATTTAATATGTGTCTCTTGCAGACAGCATATAATAGGGTCTTCTTATTTTTTAAATCCACTCTGTCAATTTGTAGTCTTTAATGTAATGTTTAGGGGGTCAGTAAATTATGGTTTACAGACCAATTCCTGTTTTTATAAATAAAAATGTATTGAAACATAGCCACACCCTTCATCTATATATTATCTGTGGTGGCTTTTGCTTTTAACAGTAATACATATTTCTTAAAATAAAACTTAGAGAAAAAAAGGAATCTGTTATACTTACCCACCTATTTACCATCTCTTTTGCTCTTCATTTCTGAACAGTAAAGTTTCCATCTAGTATAATTCCCTTCAGCCTGTAGAAATTCCTTTAGCATTTCTTGAAGGTCACATCTGCTAGTGATGGATTCTTTCAGTTTTACTTTATCTGAAAATGTCTTTCCTTCACATGTATTTCTGAGGGTTTTTTCCCCCCCACTGGACATGAAATTCTGGGTTACCGTTCTTTTCTTTTAGCACATTAAAAATATTATTCCATTGTCTTCTGGGACAGCATATAATCTGTCTTGGTGATTGTTTCTGGTAATCATTTCTGATTTGAAATCTGCAGATATTTGAAACATTGTTCTCCTTGAAGATAGGGGCCCTATCTTGGGTCCTATTCATTATTACCTAGCACAGTTCCTGATACATAGTAAGATGTACAATAAATGTTTCTTGAATTTATTTTTATTGTGTTAAGTTTTTAGTATTGATTGAGACTTGATAGACTCATTAAAGTAACATTTTGGCAGATCTGAATTGCCCAATAGTTATTACTGTGGTTATATTTTACACAAGATCATTTTACTAGACCTGAATAACCAGATGAAAAAAGCCATGCATTTCCCATTTTCTTAATTATATTTCTTTCATTGTTTCCTTGGTTACTTGGTTTTCTTTCTATGTAAAAGGAGAATTGGAGGCAGTAGATGCTTGTCAAAGCCTTTTTTCTCCTTCTCTTTTGCATAGACACACGACTCATCATTTTATATAATGAATAGAGGACATCCAGAAAGAAATGAACCAAAAAGTGATCTAGACAGCCCTACATTTCCTAACATTATATTTGATGTTTAATATCTACAGAGAGAATTAAATACAGCAGAGATTTCCTGTTGAAGCTCTCAAGTGTTTCCATCTGCAGAAAAAAACCAGACTTTCTGCCTGATCATCCCATTGTACTGCAAAAACCAGTAAGTAGTTTTCTAAGTTTGTATTGTAATATTATATTACAAAATATTTTTCTTTAACATTTTCATCAGACTCTACCTCTAGATTTTTAACCTTCCTTATTATAAGATATAAGTAATTCAGAAAACTACAAAAATCTAAAGATATAACCAATTATTATAAAGTAACTCTGTTCAAAAAATAGAATGGAATAGCTGTATTTTGTTTAAGAAATATTTTTAATGGAAAGGTCATGAAAATATTATCCCATACTCTAAAAGTTTTATTTTTTCAATTAAATTATATTGTCCACCTGGAATTAATTTTACTCTATGATGTGAGGTGGGCATCAAGTTTTACCTTTTTCTACATAGATATCCAGTCATTTTAAAAATATTTATTGAAAGGGTACTTCTCTGACATCTTTGTGGCAATGTATGCATGGTCTGTTAATGGGCTATCCATTCTGTTCAATTAGTCTTTTTATACATTATAACAAATCATCTCATGTATTTTTCTTTAACATGTCTTTGCTATTCTTAGCCCTTTATATTTCTGTGTTACCTTATCAAATTCCATCTAAATAAATACACATAATAAATACATACATGCATCTCTTAGGATATTCATTGGAAAGGACATGGATTTTGTCATCAGACATGGCTTCAAATTGTAGCTCCATTCTGTGTACCGGTAGTTCGAACTTGGACAAGTCACTTAACCTCATTGAATTGCTGATAAGGATGATAAGTTTTGCAATTGCTGATAAGGATGATAATCTCTGGCTGTTAGGATTAATAAAATAATGCATGAGATTACTGAGTATGATACCTTTCTCTCATTATGCTTTTAGTAAATGATTCCCATTCTTTGTGGTCTCTACTTACATTTGACTGGAATTTAACTTCCTATTAGAGTTTTCGTAAATACCTTTATATAGGTAAAGGCAGCTAGGACTCTTCTGAAATGAGATTCAGAATATAGGTATACTGAGAACAGTTCGAATGGGAGATAAACACTACTACCTTCTATCTCCATTTTTGGTATTCTAATTCTTTGGAATTCATAGTATTTTTTTCCTCAAATTATAATTTTTAAAAAACATTATGTTGTTCATAGTTTATATTAATATTTCTTAAACTCCCTAACTTTAGATCTCTAGCCAATTCTTTTTAAAGTTAATTAAAGCAGGAATTAAAATTTTTTATAATACTTCTCATGCATAAATATTAAATAAGAAAAAATGTACTTGATGTTTCAACTTTCCCACCGGTTCAAAGATCTTTGGGATATGTAATCCATGGTCTGTAAGAATAAATGTAAACTTCAGTGCTATATAAACTATAGTCACTTTTTCATTTGTAGACTTTCCATCTTTAATAACATTTTATTGTGTAAATAAAAGCTTGACATACACTTTTTAAAACAAACTTGTACATTAGAATTCATTTTACTTGTGATTTACACATTAATACATATTTTAAACCTAGGTGCCACAGAAACAGAAGAACAGGTTTGGAATACAATTTAATATATTTTAAAATGAGTTACATATATTTTAAAAACATGAGCCGTTTTGTTATTTGACAGTTCTAGTTACTTTAATAGTTTCTATGGTAACATGCATTTAAATCTGTAAACACCTGGTACGTTCACAGTATTTGGTTTGATAAACTAATTAGTAAAAACTGTATTCAATCAATTGATAAATTAACTTTTTCTTTTATATTACAGGAAAACAACCAAAGTTTTAAGTAGCATTTTAAGAACAGATGAATTTAAGTTTGGACATCTGCAAATGAGGTGGATCTAGCAACAATAACTGTAATGGACTGTGACAATTCAATTTATTCTTAATTTTGATGGTTGGCTATTTGACTTCTCTAAAAATGAGAAAGAGCTATTTTAAAATATAAAGAATTTTCTAATCAGTTTCAGCTTTGCAGGAGGTTTCCTGCATAAATTGGGAAGTAACACTGGAAAGTAGGAATTTGGTTAGTGAAGTGGGAAGACTGTATATTTATAATTTGCATACTACTTGCAATTTTTTGTTTTTCATCACTTGTAATAATGGAATGGAAATGTAAGCTGTAAAGACTCTCAAATATAAAATATTTGCTACAGTGTATATATGGTACATAATTGCTTGTTGCTTTTAAAGTTCCTTCTGTTGTTCTGCTTCCCACTGATTTCATACCAGCTCATGAATGGATCATTACAGTCTCTCCAGAGGCTTAGAATGATTCAGAATGTTCAATGCATAGTTCTCAATAAACAGGAGGCAGAATTTTTAATGGGTATTTCTTTTCAGATATATGATTGGTCTCTAGGTTTTTGATAATAATATGGTCTTAAATTCATAATTACTAGCAGAGATTGATAATTTGGAAACAATGGTAGTGAATGAAACTGAAGTTGAAAAACGGCTGCTACTTATGTCACTAATCAGACCATATGAATAGCAGAAGTTGAGCAATTTCAAAGTAAAACTGATATTTTTATTTCCAAAGGAATTTAGACATTTGAAAATAATTGACATACATTAAGTTTTAATTCGATAATTTCTTATATATGGATGAACAATTTTTGGGTTTAAGCTTTTAATTCCTAGAAATTTTATACATTAAATCTCCTGCAATTTGTCACTCTGGATGTTACTGTTTAAAAAAAAAAAAAAAAAGGGTTTCTTCCAGAAAAATCTGCTGATATATAGGTAAGTAAGTGTAAACTCTCCCTAATTCTATTTCTTAGATCCCTAGGTCTATTGGCAAAAAGTTTGTTTCACTGAATTTTGAACTCCTAAACCAGTACTTTTTTTTTCACTGTTTTTTGAGCTTGTTTCCCAGATTCAAGCTTGTATTCCATGTTACGTTTCCCATCTTGGTCTTTTAGTGACCTCTTTTTTTTATTTTTTAATTTTTTAAATTTTTTTTTATTTTACTACTTTGTTCTTTAGGAAAATGGGGTTTTAAATAGAAAAAAATCTTCGTTAACTATAAACTTATTGTTTACTTTAGGATGAGATATTTATACTTAGGTCCCAGTTTTTTCTTTTTTTTTCTTTTTTCTTTTTCTTTTTCTTTTTTTTTTTGGCCCTACTAGTTTCCTTTTCTACTATAGGTTCCAGTATATATGTGTATGTGAATACACACTCACACACATTCACATACATACAACTCTCACAAACATACACAAAAATACATGTATAATTTGTATAAGAGCTGGGGTCAGAATGACCATATAATTATATTGGTTTGCTTTGTTATTTGCCCGTTCTCAAGTCATTCTAATTCTTGTTTCAGAATATGATAGAGCTTATTCCAGTTTGGAATCTGCAGATCCCTTCCACTTAGTACTGTTAATGAAAACAGAACCCTTTTAACAAGTAATACTACCATGCTACTTTGGAAACTGCCTAGTACCCAAAATATTTGATATGCTTTTTGAGTTGGATACTTAAATGCACCAACCAAAGCAATGTTTTGATTGGCTATAATTTGTATTTTTGAAACCATTTACAACAAACATTCTCAAGAAGAGTTTGTATGTCAAAAGTCATTTAGGTTTTAAAGTCTTTTGATCTTTTCTTACTATATACAATCAGTCTGCAGAGACTGTTATGTGTCTGTTTGCCTTTGTACATATATATAGCTTGTTTGAATAATCATTGTGCATCTCCATTAATGTTGTTCTTTGCTTTGTATATAAATTAAAAGAGTTGACCCAGGTGTTGTTACACAGTGTCTGTCATCCTTAGAGTTGACCAGAGGCACACAAATACACACACACACACACACACACACACACACACACACACACACGTGTGTATGTACAATATATCAAAATTTACTACTTATTTCTAATAGAACTATGAAAGGATTTTAAAATTTTATTTATACTGAATGAGAACTGAGAGTATACAAAGGTATTGGTAAAAGTTGCTGTTTCATGAATTAGTTTGAGAAAATATTTTAGGTCAAATTTATATTTAAGAAATAAAATTTTATTAGTTCAATCTTCCTTTTTTCCTGAGTTTTTCAAAGGGGGAAAAACAGGAAAATTTTACCTTATAATTTTCCTCAAAGACTTATAGTTTCAAAGGAATTTATACTAGAAAATAACATGGCTATACATTTTTATATGTATTGTATTTTCATTAGCAAGGTTTATAACCAGAACAGATTTTTATTATTAAAAATATTTAATTTCTGAGCTTGTTGAGCAGAGTGTAGATAGTATACTATCTACAGATAGTTCTATAGGTAGATAGTTTTAGTCATTCTAGTGTTGAAATTCGAAAACAGATGTCTTCTGTCTAATACTTTCACTACTATTTTATGACTTCCCTAAGATTTTGTGCTTGTTTTATATTTCTTAGTTATTCATTTGGGTTAAAATTTTATTTTTCAAGTATTTTGAAATCATTGTTTACATGCAAATATGTATTTTTCATAAGAAAAGTTAGCTGTCTGTATCGCATACCAAAACTATATAGCATAAAACTTGAACCACATTTTTCCAAACAGTCTCTTCTTTCTTGATATATTTAACTTACATAACAAAGAATTATGATGCTAATAAATGACACAATGTTGCTGTATTACTAAATGGTACTCCAACTTATCACAGGATTGTTCACTTTTGAAAAACCAGTCTATAACCTGATACGTGGATAGAGATTCTATAGGTTACAGCCAAGGTTGTTTGATGCCTATATACTAACTTTTTAACTAATGCAAAGATAGTAGTCATAGGGCTGTGAGTTGGGTTGGGGATGGAGTAGACATTGTTGAAGAATAAACTTCACTCACAGTTACTTAAAAATCACAAAACGCTGATTTAACCCTTTACAGTATACGACAGTTTACAAAATCTGCCCTATGAAGTAATACTCTAAAAGTTTCCACTTTATTTTTTCTTTATCATAACAGATTCATTTTCACAATATTATTCCTTTATGCATATGCTTTTTTCCACATATTAGGATTTTGTCACTAAAAGGTTTTAGGTGAGTTACAATGTAGCAAAGCATTTAGCATTAAATATTGAGAATATTAGTGAACTTTGAAAATTGAGCTAAAATTCACATGAATTGATAAAGTTATAGAATAAGTTTTGAAAGAGTGCACTTAGTAAATATACCAAACAAAAATATACAGTAGATTAACAACCGCAGATAATTTTCTAATTGACGTTTTAGATAAGAACACCTGTTTTGCACTTGGAACCATAAAGAAAATGTCTAGGAACATCTAGTTGTTCAGGATCCACCACGAAGCTGAAAAGAGAAAAATGTTTTCTAAAATAATGAAAATAACTTATAGGGCAAAGAACATTCAAGGTGCAAATTATTTCTAAAGAGACCATTCCCCTTACCTTTAGTCTGCATAATAACTTATCTTTCTAGTCACCATTTCCTGACTATTTGAGGCAAGATTGAACTCTTCCTATGCACTTGTTATTTGTACCATACCTTTTGGCACTTTGTTGCAGTCTAAAATTTTCTGTTCTATGTGAATAGAACTTGTTTTGGCAACAAGTTTATAAATGCACTGAAGACAGAATCATGCTATTGTTCTTATTAGAATCTACCCAACACTGGCAGTAGTTAGGCCATATATATATATATATATATATATATATATATATATAATTTATATACCCAATATTTATGAAATCCTATATGTAGAAATACCATATATTTATACATATGTACATACATGCACCTGCATTTATATATGTATATACATATATGCATATGTGTACATATACATACATATATGTACACACATAATATATACATATAATATGTATACATGTATGTATACATATAATACATATGCATTTGTATACACATACATATATGCATATGCATACACATAATATACATATATGCATATGTATACATATATTTATAAATATATGCAGCTTATGTATAATATATAATATACATATAAATACATGTGTGATTTATTATACATATATTTATACCTATATGATATTTATAAATACCATATATTTATACACATAGGATCTCATAAATATTGGGTATAAGCAAGTAGGTTATAAATAATATTTTAGTATATCTGTATGTTAAAATTATAAATGTTTATCCCAGTGAATATAGATATCCTGAAAACAAACCAATGGCAAAGATGTATGATTGGTGGAATGCTGTAAGAAACAGATAAATGGAAAGGATTGAAATTTGCTTTCAAAACTGTTCAAGTAATTTGCTGGCAATAGGATCTTTTTTTTTGTATCCTGTTTTCCCATAACCGTAGGTTTTTCTGTTATTACCAATGGACATTCTGCTCCACAGACCAAGTTTATATACTCCTTTTGTCTGGGTGGTTTGGGCTGCCATATTCCAGTATGCTTCATTTGAATGATTTTATACTTGAGAGGTCATTGGAATATATTATAGTGTATATTTTCATATCTGGATGCAATCTGGCTTAGTTGCTTAATTACTTTAGATGTATCTTAGGTAAACCACTTAGTAGTCTTAACCATAAAAAGCAATCTTACCAGAAATCATAATTTGTGAGTAAAATTAGAAATACAAACTTATTCATACTGCATTTTTAAATGTAATATCTGCTTTTTTTCTTTCAGATTTTAATTTTAGGTATAAATATGTGCAGCTATTTATTTATTTATTTATTTATTTATTTATTTATTTATTTATTTATTTTGAGACAGTCTCGTTCTGTCACCCAGGCTGGAGTGCACTGGCACGAACTCAGTTCACTGCAACCTCTGCCTCCCAGGTTCAAGTGAGTCTCCTGCATCAGCCTACCAAGTAGCTGGGATTACAGGTATGCACCACCATGCCTGGCTAATTTTTTGTATTTTTTAGTAAAGAGAGGATTTCACCATATTGGCCACTGGTCTCGATCTCCTGTCCTCAGGTCATCTGCCCACCTTCGCCTCCCAAAGTGCTGGGATTACAGGCGTGAGCCATAGCGCCCAGCTAATTATTTTTATTTTTAATCTTCATAACCATTATAACACAAAATGTACAAAACTGGTTTTTAAAAATAGTGTTAGAAGTTATATGGCCATTAAAACCCATAAATAATATTTATATGCTAGCTTCTGCTTACTGGAATAGGCCTGCTGTCACAGTGATAAAACTTTAAAATAAGGTGGGATGTCCCAATAAATGTCAAAATGTTGTAGGTTTTAAAATTGTGTCAAAAATCAAGCCTAACTTTTCCTCTTGTTCTACGAAATTCCAGTAATCATTGTTGAAATTAAATGTAACATGAAATTAATACAAAATAGGGCAGCAATTAAAAGACATTAAATTGTATTGAGCCTGGATTCACAGAACAAGAATTGATCCAGTTTTATCTGTAGTCAGTTTTTCTTTCTAAATTAGGAAATGCTCTGAGAGAGAAAGAGTAATATATGTGCCAATGACACTAGTAGTGTCTAGAAAATAATTCCAGATAATGATAAAGTTGGGTCAGAAAACTATCAGATTAGTCCACATTTTCAATTCTTGCTATAGCATTTTCCCCCTCACTGATAATTCAGTAGCCTCCTGTTCTATCCTCTTTTCCTACTCTATTTTTGATCAGGTTGTTTCTGTCCTGGAAAGACTCAAGACACTAATAAGAACAAGCTTTGTTCCTTTCTTTCCACATTGGTTTGGGAGAGATGGAAATGGGTGTGATGACAGACACAAAAATTACAAGTGTCAGGACTTCGTGGAAATTTTGACCGAAGACCAATATATTTATGATGATGCCAAAGTCCTATTCATTCCTTCATTTAGGAAATAATTTCTTCTTGCCATATACTGTACTATAGTAATACTGTAATAGGGTAGGGAATGTGAAGATAAATAAAATGTGGATCTCACTTTCCTGCATTCTATGTACAAAGCTTGCAGCAGTCATATTTACAGAAGTTGTATTCTAAGATTTTTCTCCCTATTTTATTTTATTTTATTTTAATTTTATTATTATTGTTTTTTGACATGGAGTCTCGCTCTGTCGCCCAGTCTGGAGTGCAGTGGTGCGATCTTGGCTCACTGCAACCCTCCGCCTCCTGGGTTCAAGCAATTCTCCTGCCTCAGCCTCCTGAGCAGCTAGGATTACAGGCATGCCCCACCATGCCCAGCTACTTTTTGTATTTTTAGTAGAGGTGGGGTTTCACCATGTTGGTCAGGCTGGTTTCGAGCTCCTGGCCTTGTGATCCGCCCACCTCAGCCTCCCAAAGTGCTGGGATTACAGGCGTGAGCCACCGCGCCCAGCCTTCCTCCCATTTATAACATCATAACACTATACATCCCCCACTCATCCCCAGGAGCACTGTATCTTTGCATTTTACTCTTTTGGTTTCCTTGATACTCCACTGCTTAAAGAAAGGCATCTCCCCAAGCTTCTCTTAGATATTTTGTTCTTACCTACATACTTTCTTACCAATCCCAGGCTTCAACAATCATCTTGCTGTGGTTAACTCCTGAAAATTACATCTGCAACTGGAGTCCCAAACTCTGGCTATTTCCTGGTGCAGGTTTTTTTTTTTTTCTTCCCTGGCCTAGATTATTGCCCTAATTGGTTAATCTCTCTCCTCTCCATGACATCCACCTTTCTCCCTCCTGTCAGTTATTACTGATTAGAACATGTCACCATCCCTTTCAAAACTTTAAATTACTCCAGGTTGCTGTTCAAAAGCCTCATTATGACATTCTCAACCTCACTTCTTACTCTCTCGTCTGTCTCCACTTGTACTGTAAGTTTTATGCCTTAGTGACACCTTTGCACCTATAAAGCACATTCACACTTCTTGCATTTGTTCATGTCCAAATTTACCAAAGGACCCTTCCTCTCCATCTTTACTTTTCCACATCTCATCTTTTAAGGACTAGCTCAAGTCATTTTCTTAAAAACTATTAAAGAAGTAATCACTTCTCCAAGTCCACAAAACACATATTATCTCTAATGGTGACAGCTATTTTATTCCCTTAGCTGGGTTTTTTTTTTCTGCTAAAATTTGTCTTTGCAAACGTTTCTGTGAAGCTGGACAGAAAGCACTTTATGGGTAGGGATTTTGCCTTTAGTTTGTACCCTTTGTAGCTCCCAACACAGTGCTTGTTCAGAAATGGAGCTCAATCAGTACCAGTAAATTAGGCTAAACACCCTGATGCCTAGCACATATTAATACTCAGTAAATATATATTTAATCAGTAATTGGATGGGTAGATGAACAAATTGTATCCAGTACACTAAATTACAATATGATAAAATATTTGAATAATTTTTTGAAATATGATTTGGTGGTACTTCAAGTTTGTTAATATGATTAGCAAATGACTAATGGTTCAGTATAGCTGGGAATACAAATAGGGTCAACTAAGGACAAAATAGAACAAATATATAGATCTTTTATTTCTTCCCCCCAATCTCAAATCATAAAATATATAAAGAAATAAATAAGAGAGTACCATTGATAAAATATAGAAGGAAAGAGCATACTATCTTTTACGAAACAAACAAACAAAAATACAAAAGGACACAGAAGCATTGTAAACCCAGGATAATTACCAGGAACTAGCATTGTAGATGTGAGTTCTGGAGTTTCCAAGAAATCCACATTACTTCTTTGGAATGTCTTGCTATAATTTGTCTGAAGGTGGCTGTATAAATAATTATAGGTTAAGGCTGTGCATTTTTATTTACAATCTTCCCAAGTACAGCAGAGATCAAATTTGATCAAGATGGCAAAGTTTGGGATGATTTGGATTAAATAAGCTCCTGGATACAAGCTTCTTTTAATGGTTGTTCAGCTTTCAAAAATGACTCAGGAGTAATTTAATAATTGTCATCAGAAACTTTTTTAAAAAGGTTTTAAACCAGGAGAACATTACTTTTTTAGAGGATAAAAAGTAGATTTTATTGCACCAAATTTAAATATATCTTGTTTAAAAACAAGATAGATAATAAGACAGACTGTATATTTTACATTTCTAGATAATAAAAATAAATCTAAAAAGCTATGTGAAAGTGTTGGCCTGGAAGCAGAGTCGAATAAGTTACCTCGTTTCCTTCTATGGCTGAAATACTGTTGGTGTCATTTTGCCTTCCTTATAGCACAAAGTGCCTTCAAAATTGCCACAAAAATAAAACTTTTAGGTGAAACATGGATCAACTGAATTTCCAGGTATTCTATTACTTCCATCACCATATTTAACACCCTAAACATGGACTTATTTAGAGAGCTGTATTCTCTGTACCATTTTAAACTGTCAGGAATTGTTATATACTCTCAGAAGAGCAAACATTTCTTTCATTCCATTTTAAAATTATATGTTTGTTTGCTATTAGTAATTATTTTAATTTTTAAAGAAGCTGATTTATTTTAATTTTTGACAACGTCTTGAATTTCCACTTTATTTTTAGTGTTTAAAGACATTTAGAAGGTATTGGGCTGCAATGACTCTAAAAATTATATGTAGTTTTATTGTAAAATAAAATAACTGCACAGACTATCCTATGAAAAATTAGGAGGTAAAGCTTTTTTTCCCACCTCACTTTTGTCCATCCTTTTTCTCCACCCCCACCACTACCCTCACCAGCTTTAGACACTCATACCCCCTATCTATATCTTCTTATCTGAAAACATCAGTAAAATGGTAAGACTCAAAGTGGGATCATTACCAAAAGTATTTGTACTTCAAGAGAGAAGTGGTTTCTAAGCTATTAAATACATTTTTTAAAGTGTGTAGAATTCATGGTAATGGGCAAATGGGACAGGTTTTAAGGTAAGGTAAAAGAGAATGGAACTTTCCTACAAATCCTAAAATTACATCATGCATATTGCCACCTTCCTGGCTTCACATAAAATCAGGCTTGCTCACAACTTACCTATTCCATACACTACTATTCTCCCAGAACTCATAGATCATGTAGCGAGATTCATTTGAAAGCTTCTGTATAGAAATACTGAAATGGAAAATAAAAGGCATAATTAGCTACTGGAAATTAAAGATGCAAGCTAACTTTTCTAATATCCATATGTAGTATGAAACAATCTTATCCATTAATAGAGGAAACAATCTAAGGTGCCTGCATGAAAATCAAACAGATTTGTCAAGAATTTATTTATTCTAAATATGTCTGTTAGGCATAAGTGTTTTTGTTTGTTTATTTGTTTGTTTTTTTAGTTTTCTGGTTTTGCATCATGAAAACAGTCTCAGTATATTGCAGACATCACAAATGTAACTTTTGCAAAATTGTGTTCATTCATTCAAAAAGGTTTATTGAGCATCTGTTGTGCTAGGACCAGAAAAATGTGAGTGCATGCTACCTGCCTTTGCCCTCAAATGTAGCTGTTAGGATTGGCCCTATCAACCACCATACCTCTGCCAAATTCTTAGCCATACAACATTCCTGTATTGACAGATTTTGTGTGGGTCCTGCTCTATGCCATTTGAGTCACTTGGACCACACTACTGCTATACAACTGACTCCTAGTTTGCCAATACCTAGTGGCTCTCTCCCTCTTTCTCTTTTTTCTCTTTCTCCCTCTCTTTCAAACTCTCTCTCCCTCTGACACACACACACACACACACACACACACACACACACACACACACACACACAAAGTGCCTGTTGTCTCTGGATGAAGTTTGAGAGTCCATATTCTGGCCATAATTGCAAGGGTTTTTTGTTTGTTTTACTTTTAAATTTCTTTTCCAATTTGGGTGAGACAAATTTGTTCCTTCCAGTCCTTTGACTAGCCCGAAGGAGGAAAAAGTCTACATAATATGTTTTGAAGGAGTGAAGAAAGCAGGCTGGCTGAAAACATAGGTTGAGGTGACTGCGAATTTAATCCTATAGCAATGAGAAGTCACTGAAGGATTTAAAGCAGGGAGAGTGACGTGGCTAGAGCTATATTTTAAAAGATCCTTCCGATGGCACAGTGGGTTTTGTATGGAGGGTATTATAAAGTAGAAAGAACAGCTGGAAAGATAGTGAAATAGCATAGGTGAGAAATGATGAAGACCCAAATTAATTTTGAAACAATAGAGACAGATTCATAAACTTAAGAGTGGGAGACAAAAATAAAGATGCCTTTAAAAACTGAATTACAAAAATACAGATTGTTCAGCCTAATGGTTCATAATATATTCATATTAGAAAGCAAAACGAGGGGTTAGAAAAACAATAAGGCTTTTGGGTTAACAAAGAACTTACCAGTAAACTTAACAGTAAGAGAACACATAACTTAGCAGTAAAATAGTTGATTAATGTAGATTTAGGATTTACCTAAGTGTGACCAGCAGGTGGCAGTAACTACACACAGAGATTTTAATTTTTTTTTTCTTTAGTTCTGCTTGTGTTCTTTTCAGTTGTTTATCTAGTTTGGTTCATTAAGGTATGATGCAGCAAATATTGTTTTTAGCTCAACTTCAGATTTTCTGGAGAAAGGTTTACTATGGAATCATAAGAATTAAATGGAAGGTGGAATTTGTGATTTTCTAATCCCAGGAGTTCATGAATGTGCTCTTTGGGGGTTCACTAAATTCCCAGAAATGATCTGCAAATGAATGTGCATATATATGTTTTCCTAGGAAGAGAATCTATAGCTTTCATCATAGTTTCAAAGGGATGTAATCCCCAAACATAACCTTCAACAGTATACTGGACAAATTACAATCCATATCAATTTTCTTAAGGATAAAGTTTAAAATACTCAGCCTTGTATTTCAAGCTCTTCATCAACTGCTTCCTGAAAACTAATTCATTTGTTTACTTATTACATTAAAATCCTACTTATCCTGCTATTTGAACCTTTCATTTTCCAGGCTAGCCATAAGACCATAAGATAAGAAATTCATAAAATTTTAGCATAATGCTAAAGCTTTTGAAGGAGTAAAAAGGAGGACAACACAGTATGAAATGGCAGTGATTTAAAGTATAGCCCAGCAGACCTTCCACCATCCACCATTTATTAGCTGTGCCACCTTGATTCCAATACTCAACCTCGGTTTCCTTATCTGTCCAATAATGATAACAATACTTTGAGAATTAAAGTGTTACATGTAAGGCCGGGCACAGTGACTCACACCTGTAATCCCAGCACTTTGGGAGGCCAAGGTGGGCGGATCACTTGAGGTCAGGAGTTCAAGGCCAGCCTGGCCAACATGGTGAAACCCTGTCTCTACTAAAAATACAAAAATTAGCTGGGCACAGTGGCATGTGCCTGTAATCTCAGCTACTCAGGAGGCTGAGGCAGGAGAATCGCTTGAACCCAGGAGGTGAAGGTTGCAGTGAGCCAAGATCAAGCCACTGCACTCCAGCCTGGGCAACAGAGCGAGATTCTTTCTGAAAAAAAAAAAAGAAAAAAAAAAAAAGAAGTTACATGTAGAATTCTTAACTCAGTACTTGGCTTATTGTGTGTGTGTGTGTGTGTGTGTGTGTGTGTGTGTGTGTGTGTGTGTGTATGTGTTGTTAGCCCAATAGCTAAAAGGAAAGTATCACTTTTATTGGGCGAGTAGCTATGAAAGCTAAGCCTTAATGGTGTCTAAGCTAAGAAGCAAAGCTAACAGAAACAAAAGGAATGGGGTGGGAGGAAAACCAGAAAAGAAATGGAGGGAAAATGCACATATCTATTAAAGCAATGAGAAGCAGCAAGCTAATAATATAAGTATTAATGGTGGTGGTGGTGATGATTTCTACATGTATTGCTCTGTTCCAGGGTCTAATTTAAGCATTTTCCATAGATAAGCCATTTTACCTTCACAGGTACTTTGGGGGTCATGTGGCTACACTGTCCATTGCCTCCCCAAATAGTACTCTCCTCTTACTAACATGACTCTGCCACTGTTCAGTTTGCAATACACCCAATGTACCACTCAGTGTTGGACTGAGAATACCCTGATAACCTTACTCCTCTCTGCTGGACACTTGTTTCCTAGCCTTCCCAGTGGCCAGCAATGACCATGTGACTTGAATTCTGGCCAGTGAGATGCAAGGGGAAGTATGCTGGGAAGCAGGGACTCTGGGAAAACATTTGCATCTTCAGGATCAGACATGAGAGGAGAGCTTGTTGGTTCTCCCTTTTTCTTCCTGACTGTGGGCCATCTGGTGAAGAGCCAGAAGGCACATCTGAAAGACAGACCTGGGATCTTTGATGACAGCATTAAGCTGTAGAAGAACCTTGAGATTGTTGCCTCTGACTTCTTTTTGAGAATAATAAATGTACTTATAATATAAATGACTGTTACTGTGCTTACTCTAGATTGCAGTTGCAAGCATTCCTATTTGATACCGGAAGGTGCTGTTGTCATCTTTGTGTATTTATTTCTCCATTGTTTACAGATAAGGAAACTGAGGAATGGAGAGACGAAATGTCTTGTCCATGGTCATCACAGCTGCTAGTGAGTAAACCAGACTTTGAACTTAGGCATCTTTGCCTCCAAAAGCTGCACTCTGACAAAGAGTTAGGAAACCTAATAAAGGTGACTGACAAGAAGCAGATGCAGTGATGAAAGTGCAGATTCTGTCTCAAAGGCACATGGGTGAAAGTGCTAACCAGAATTGCTTTACAGAATGGGTACTTTCAGTTAAGGGCCAAAAAGACCAATATGGGGCAATGACATTTAAGGACATTGATATTTGAGACTATACCATATAGATAATGACACACAATGATCACACTGAGACAGCAAGAAAAGTCCAATTGTGAAATAATTTTTAGAAAGATTTGTCAGCAGTTGTTAAAGGCTTAGGGCTTGAATGATTAGCTTTCGATTATTTGTAAATGTAAAACTGCACAACAACACACCTGTGATTTGTTTCTTATGTGATTCTACTCACCCGAAACAGCCTGTGTCTTTCTCCTTGAAATCTTCATACTTCCTGTGACACTTAACACTCATTGGCTAAAGCAAGAGTTCTTTGGCTAAGCTGTCTTTGGATGCAGGCCCCAAAAGCTTCAACCTCGAGCTTTGGGAGACCTTGAATATTCCTGGATGCTGGAAAATGTGTCAGTGAAATGGCTTCTGGGGGAAATGGATGTGGCTCAGGAACAGGTGGGATTAAAGATTTTAAATGAGGAAACTGCCCATAATGGACGGGACTTTCCCTCTTGGCTTCTTCCTTCCCCATGTGCATGTCCTACCTTAAATCACAAGCAAGGCCTAACCAGTGAAGAAAAGACATGGCAAGAGGGCCAGTCCTCACATTTCTCCATACCAAGCTGTGGGTCACTAATTTATTTCGTCTATATAATTACTGATTAATGAGGCTGGGCACGGTGGCTCACTCCTGTTATCCCAATACTTTGGGAGGCCGAGGTGGGCGGATCACTTGAGTCCAGGAGTTCAAGACCATCCAGGGCAACATGATGAAACCCTGTCTCTATAAGCAATACAAAAATGGCCCGGCACGGTAGCTCATGCCTGTAATTCCAGCACTTTGGGAGACTGAGGCGGGCGGATCACGAAGTCGGAGGTTCGCGACCAGCCTGGGCAACAGGGTGAAACCCTGTCTCTACTAAAATACAAAAAATTAGCCGGGTGTGGCAGCACGCACCTATAGTCCCAGCTACTTGGGAGGCCGAGGCAGGAGAATTGCTTGAACCTGGGAGGTGGAGGTTGCAGTGAGCCAAGATCACGCAAGCCTGGGCACTCCAGCCTGGGCGACAGAGCGAGACTCCATCTCAAAAAAAAATAAATAAATTAGCCAGGCATGGTGGCATGCACCTGTACTCCCAGCTACTTGGGAGGCTGAGGTGAGAGGATCACTTGAGCCTGGGAGGTTGAGGCTGCAGTGAGCCGAGATTGCACCACTGCACTTCAGCCTGGGCAACAGTGTGAGACACTGTCTCAAAAATAAATAAATACTGATAAATGATTAATGATTCAGTGTGCCACCATTATTTCTTAAGGATGTCTCAGAGTTGATTCTTACAATGTAATCCTACATTCATATTCCTTAGGCCCTTGACATGGAGTTTTGAATATATTCAAATTCTCGAATTTCGTAGCTGAGTGACTTTAGAAATCATTTTGTTCTATTTAACGACTATGAAATTTTAGGCCATGAACATGATTTTAATTGTGCTCTACCTTCATAAATGAGCATCCTATTTTCCCAACTGGAGTCTAAGATCCTTGAAAGCAAAACTATTCTCTTGTTCTCTGGTGTCAAGAATGGTTCTGAGAACATACCGTGTACACCACTTATATTCAATTGGTACCTCCCTATGACAAAAACGGGGATTAATGAGCCTTCATGATTACAAAATAAGTGAAGAATAGTGTGTGTATGTGTTGTATCAAACAATGTGTGTGTATATGTTATAAACATGAGTCCACATAATCTGCTTGAGTTTTTCACTAACTTAACTTTTTAAAAATTCATCTAACTACTAAAACAAAACCTCTGTAACTCCCCATACTTCAGAGTCTCCTAATCAAAAACTTATAGGGCAAAACCTCTAATTCAGTGGCCTGAATTTAAGAAAGCAAGACCTTGTTGTAATTGGAACAGGAGTGGACTTGTGTGTTCTACCCCTGGTTAATCACAGAAAATCCAGGAAACTCTAAGGATGACCAAATATTGACAAGAAGGATTAAACGCTAGTTTTAGAGTCAGACAAACTTTAATAAGTTTTTTTTAACCCATCTGAGCCAGTTCCTTCTAAGCTGGATGTAATATGTGCCTCTTGATTATTGCTGTGAAGACAAGAGGATAGGCACAGTGGCTCAAGCCTGTAATCCCAGCACTTTTGGAGGCCAAGGCAAGAGGATCGCTTGAGCCTGGGGGTTCAAGACCAGCCAGGGCAACATGGCATAACCCCGTCTGTAAAAAATTTTTAAAAAGTAGCCAGATATGGTGGCATGTGCCTGTGGCCCCAGCTACTCTGGTGGCTGAGGTGGGAGGGTTGCTTGAGCCCAAGAAGTTGAGGCTGCAGTGAGCCATGATTGTGCCACTGCACTACAGCCTGGGCAACAGAGCAAGATCCTGTCTCAAAAATAAGAAAATAGGTGCAAAATGCCTAATCTTGTTAGTCCTTAATAATATCTGTTTTATTTTATGGAGGTATTTTGTGCCTAATCATGATGAGACTAAGCTAAACATCATGGGAGAACAGAACCTCTGACATTCACAGAGATTTATTTTCTCAGCCAAGCACTAGGCAATTGTGCTGGGTGCATTGGAGCATGACTGATGGCATCAGTGGCATTTGATTATCAATTGATACAGGTAGAAAATTGAATTTGATTAACTGGTACAACTGAAAAATTGAATGTAGACAGACACACTGGCATAACATCTATACCATATATATTCCATATGGGTGTAGTGATTCCCTGAGGCTCATTCCATCTGATATAGTCTACATTTTGATAATTCCAGTAAAAGAAATTACCTGAAAAATCAGCAATAAGAAGTGAACGAAGAATTGTATGAAACAAACCAATCTTGCAAAGTAAACAGAGAGGCTGAAAATCTATCTTACAGGAAAAAGATGCTCTCCTTTCCTCTACTTCACAGCAGGAGCTGATGGAGCAATTTATTGTGGTTATTGAGAGAATGGAATTTGCAGCAGGCGGCACAAATCTATCCACTCTCTCACTCCCCCACAGCCTGTTTCCCTTTCCCTGGGGCTGTTCTAGTAGCTCGAGGTCATTTTCCCAACACCCATTAAAGTAGTGTTTCTGAACCTAAAAAATAAACTTGTGCGCCTTTTTTATAAATATAAAACATGCACTCAATCCCTGGAGATTGTAATACACTGAAATAGACTTTATCTTCTCTGTATCCTCATTAAAAAGAGTTTACTGAGCTCTATTTTGGGAAGTTTACACTGTGAACGGTGTATATATAGGTACTGTTTGCATTTTTCTTTTTTTTTGAAACAGAGTCTCGTTCTGTCATCCAGGCTGGGGTGCAGTAGCGCGATCTCGGCTCACTGCAACCTCCGCCTCCGGGGTTCAAGCGATTCTCCTGCCTCAGCCTCCTGAGTAGCTGGGATTACAGGCACATGCTACCATGCCCAGCTAATTTTTGTATTTTTAGTAGAGACGGGGTCTCATCACGTTGGTCAGTCTGGTCTCGAACTCCTGACTTCGTGATCTGCCTGCCTCGGCCTCCCAAAGTGCTGGGATTATAGGCGTGAGCCACTGCACCCTGAATTTTTAAATATTCAATTTTATTTTCAAATGAGTGGGCTCTTAAAAACTACACATATTCCCACCTTTGCAAGTCTTGAGTCACTGAAGTAAAAAGGACTAAAATGGGGTTTTGATTTGTGCCCTCTGAGTCTGGCGTGAAATAGAATAATAAAAATAATCATGGAAACACAGCATTTCCTGTGTTCTTGTTTCAAAGGCACTACTGGAAGATGATGAGCTGTTAGTGGCACTGAGGAAGTACTGTACTCATACTCTAGAGAGGAGGTCAGCCACCCAGACAACCAGGAAACAGTAGTAAACGCAATAGTGACTTCAGCTCACGTCTTCAGTGGATGGGAAGCATTGTGCTGAGCACTGCATATGGACTGTCTCACTGAATCCTCCCAACCATCTCATGAGCCTCTTGAGGAGGAAACTAAGGCTTAGAGCCAGTGAGGGTCTTTCTCAAAACCACAAAGCTAGTAAAATTCCATGTTTATTTCCAGAGCCAGACTTCTTAGCTAGAGAAATATTCTGCTGGGGTATGAATAAAATATAATTAATTGAACACTGAGAGGAAAAGCAAAACACCCAGAGACATGAAGTATCTGTTTATGCACACATGTACACACACATACACAAACACACACACATTTTCTAAAAACCTTCCCAAAGCAACATTTGAAGAGCATTATGAAATATAGTTTAAGCAAGCTCATAAGGTAGGGTTAGACTTGGTTGTGGAAGTTTTCTAAAAGCAGATGAATTTGGACCTGGGCTCTGAACTTGAGGCAGTGCATGGGCTGGCAGAGACTTGCAGCTGGGTGCACATTTCTGAGAGGAAGAATAGCCAGGTCTGAGGCACAGTGGGGAACAAACAGATTATATCAGAAATTCTATCTGTGCATCACCGAGGCAGAGTGTTTAGATGAGGGAGAACAAATAATAGTAGTGATATGGATTCCTGGGTCTGTCAGTAGGATTAAATATAGAGTCAGGACAAATGTCTAGCCTTTGATAAGATACTCATTAGAGAGTTACTTTAGGTTCCCAGTTAAGGGAATTCTATGATAACTGTTTCCAGAAAATTATTATAGTAACTATTTATTGAACCAGTTGGAGTGAAAAAATTGAAGATGAGGAATAGTATATTTTAGTAGCTTGAGATATCCGAAGCCTGAGCTGGGTGGTACCCATGGAAAGAGGAAAGAAAAGATCTGCTGCTGCTTCATTTTCTTTTAATGACCAAGGCCTGAAATCATGACTTCAGGGATGCCTGCAATTTCCTAATGGCTGAAATGGTCATTAGGCCACAGGGCGTACTGCCAAGGGAGCAATCACAGCTAGATGTCCTAGAGTTGGCGCCTCATCTACCAGAGATGATTTTAAATCAGAGTGTGGGCTGCCTGGATGCAAAAGGGAATTTCAACTTATTTGAAATTCAGTCTCTTCATTCAAGTTGTTCTATTTCATTTTACTTGGTGCCCCAATGATCAGACGACACGGGGTTTAAAGATTAGACGACACGGGGTTTAAAGATTAAAGAGAAAACATTCAGTTAAAGGCAGCAAATGACATCACCCAGGTGGAATGCTCTGTATAATTTAATGTGAGGATTCTCAAATATCTGTCTTCTAGACCCCCAGCCTTGTCTAAAGTAAGAAATGCCTTCACTGTATTCCCAGGCTGCCAAAGGCCTAAGGTGCAGGAGTCGGAGCACTTACCGCAAGCATCCACTTTGGGAGGAAGCACTCTCCACGTAGTGTTTCAGAGCGAGCTGGAATTCTTCCAGGTCCTCTTCTATCACAGACATCTGCCGCTGCACAAGCATGATGTGCTGCCAAGGAAGGGGCGAGGGTCACTGCGTTGGCTGTCACGGAGCCCGATTTAAGCTGACTCCTACTGCCCATCCCATTCCTCCTCACAAAAACAGATGATTGTCATCCAAAAATATGACCAAGGAAGGCCATGACTATTCCAAGTATAAAACTGTATAAAGGCTGTAATCTAGGCAAGATATTTTCCTTGCCTCTAGTCCCAGAAGCTAAACAACGTGTTCTTTACAATGACGTGTTTCCCTTTAAAAGCAGTGATTCTCAATGACTCGAGAAGTTTTAAAATTATCTTTATATCAAAATCTCTGGGAGTGGGGCCCAGGCACTGCTATTTTTAAAACCTCCCTAAGTGTCTGTATTGTGCAGGCAGAGCTGGGATCACTTCCCTATAACAACTTACCAATTTTTAAAGAGAAGTCCTATTGTTCATTGCACAGCTCCAATTTCTTGAATATTTTGTGATATTAGACATAAGTGACAATCATTACAAACAACTAGATTTCAAAAAAATTAGTAACTCATGCATTTCCAAAGGTATATCAAATATTACAGGGTTGTCAAACACATTAACTACTTACAACAGGCCCTGTTCAAATGGTAATGGCATCAGATGGTGCTTGTTTTTAATGGATCACACTGGATTGGATGCCAACTGTTTCCTGTAACAAATCCTATTAGCATTATAGCAATTGTAGTTTCAAGGCTTCCCTCAAGATCCGCCTGTGGGCTTCTCATGGAATTTTAGATATCAACATTAGTTCTTTTCAAGAATTGGTAGTGAAAGTATAAAAGTGCAAATCAAAGTAAGGATTGGCATGAATCATAAAAGTGCATAAACAAAAACAAAACACAAGGTAAGGATGATCTAGAATATGAGAAAAATAACTTCCACAGTAATACCAGCTATGTAGCATGAGAGAATTAAACCCCTGGTCTACTGTTTTCTATTCCAATGGGTTTCTCATTTCATGTCAATAGCTACTATTTGTTGAATACCAATGATATTTTAGAGGTTAGGTATTCAGTATATTCAACAAATATTCCTACTTTTGTTGGACTAACCAAAGCACATGGGTTTAGTATTAATAACTAAGTAGGGTTAATTTCTACCAAAATAATGATGGATATATCCTTTTCACAAAAATCTGCAGGGACCTCTTGGTTGGACATTTGTGATTACTAACTCAGATAATTAGGAAAGCTCATGGGCTTTCCTAATGAGATATATAAATACATCCACCTATTCCATCATAATTCTTTTCGTCTAAAGGCAATTCTTACGTGATCAAGTGGGATGGATTGTAAAAATAACCAGAACTCTTCACTACCCTCCTGAACTCATGCCCTTTGACTAATTTGACTTTTTAGCTCCTCTCCTCAAGACATGGATTCTATTTTCCCTCCCCTTGGATCTGGTTTGGCTTTCTAACCTGCTCTGGCCAATCAACGTAGCAGAACTGACAGTGCACCAGTTTCAAATTCAGGCCCTAAGAGGCCGGTGGATTTCCACTCTTTCTCTTGGATCTCTGAGATTACCATATGAACAAGACCTGCTACAGCAGGGGCCAGCAAACATTTTCTGTAAATGGATGGGTAGTAAGTATTTTATTTAGGCTTTCTGTGCCACATGGCTCCTTTTGCAGCTAGTCAACTCTGCTATTGTGTAAAAGCAGCCACAGCCCACACATAAACAAATGAGTGTGGCTGTGTTACAATAAAACTTTATGAACAAAAACAAGAGGTATGCTGTAGTTTGCCAACCCCTATATTAGAGGATTAAAAACCACATAGAGCACACTTGAGCTCCTAGACATACGAGAAAGCTCAGCCAAGATCAGCAAAGCTAACATACAGCTTACTAGAGATACAAGGAGCCCATGTGAGACCATAAGAACCAGCCAGTTGATCCCAGCCTAAATTGCCTACCTGCAAAATTGTGGTTATTGTGTTAAGCCACTGAATTTGGGGATGCATTATTATGTTACCAATACCTAACTGATCATTCACTTATGTACATTGATGTATGAGTTGGAAAAATTGAGCTCTCGGCTTCCTAGATTGGGTTGCAATTTCCAACTTTGCAACCCAAACCAGATGTATCTTTTCCCCCTCCTTTCCTAAGATAGTTACACAAAGAAATCCATTTAAAGAGCCCCAGATAATCTGCCTAAGTTTGATGACTATTCTGACAAGCGGAGCTTTTTAAATAATAGTTAATTTAAAGTAGATTTTCTGAAATCCAAAAAAACGCTTAAATTTTCTGTTCCGGCTAGGCCGAAACAAATTGTAGGATGTGGGGTTTGGGAGAGGTGGAACAGGAGTCCTACTATCTTGTTAATATTTCTATGTGTCTCTTGTGTCAAATACACAGCCTGAAGCTTACTAAAATGTGGGATCCCAAGATATAGTTAGCTCAGAGCACTCTGTCATGGTTGAATATTCTTTCATGGTGCTACATTTTTGTTTCTCTATTATAGGAGTAGTAGTATATCATTTATCATTTACCTTATAGAAATTTTGTTGCAATAGAAGTATGGCTGGATATTTGGAATGTCTTGGACTAAATAGTGCTGTGTAAGTATGAAAGGCCAGTCTCAGTTCACAGGATAGTATTTGCCAGTGACATGAGATTTTGTTGCATCAGCCTTTGATTTCTTGGAACATTTCAAGAAATGTCATCTTTTTTAGTCTTGGGACACAGAGGCATGTTTTAAATACAACTTATTTTTTCATGTTACTTTGTTCTATTTAGTACATTTACAGTTGTGTTTCAAATATGTCTTCAGAGATACCCTAGCCTTTCTTGTATGCTCTCACTGACTCTCTTAACAACCATTGTAAAACAAGACTTATATTTTGATAGTCGCTGTTACATTACTTGAGAATAGCCCCCAAACCCTTAGGAATGTATGGCAGAATGGAATGACTTCAAGACATTATCCGTCGATTTTATATGGGTGTAGAGAGGCAGAAAAAAACTAGGTTTGTAGACTCATTGTATGATAAGCTATTTTAGTGTATTACAACAACAATGTGCTGAAGAAAAGTCTGAGTTTTTGAAAAGCACAAGAATGTGCTCAAATGTTGTTTAAAATTATCATGACTTTTTAAAAACCTTTGAATGAAGAAAATATCTGGAAAATGATCATCTTACTCCAGTACTCTTTTGGTAAGAAGTGCCATACAGGCACATCTTTATAATATGCTTGTTATAAATCATTTGGAACATTTGAATATTTTGATCTAGCACTTGAGTGTTCTTTCAGTGCAGTGTTAGAATCATTCGATGTAGTAAGAGATATATAAGTTTTTTTTAAAAAAACTTCTATTTATTATGATTTCATCTTAAGTATTATGTCATTTTGGAAGTATTCCTTGGTCTCCTAAATTGAGTTCTGTCCCCTTACTGTGCAAATCTGTACTTTCCTATAATAATCCTCATCACATTTTATTGTAGATTCTGTATAATTTCCTTCTAGTTTGTTTTCTAGCCTATAATATTCACCACTTTATTTCCAGACCCTATCTCCAGGCCTGGAACATAGTTGGTGATCAAGTTATTTGTGGAACAAACACATTAAAGATGCTTTTGCTTTTAGCCATTGACTAATCTTAGAATTCCCTTAATAAACTATTTATTCCAGGAGAGGATTTGAGGTGGCCCTGGAAACTCAACAGCACTGCATAATTGTTAGGTGCTCTTTCATCTGTCTCCACCATCCTGTCCTCTTTTTCTTTTCTTCCTTCTTCTTCAAGAGCAGGCATATAAATTGAAAAGAATTAGCTTCACTTTTCCTATGTGGCCTTTAACAAGTTACTTAATTCTTTCTCAGTTTGTCTTCTGATACGTAAAATTAGAATAGTGGTACTTATATCACAAAGTTTTGGGAGGACTAAATAGAATTGTGTGTATAACGATCCTTTCCATGACAGGTACTAAATAAGTGTTACATCTCTTACTCTGGGCTGAGAAAAAAAAAAATGGACTTAAAAAAAGAAATCATTTCCTGGACTCATCATTATGTAACGGCTCATTGCCCAGAAAACTAGAGATGGCAGTTGCTAGGGTTCAGGACTTTTGCTGTGTGCTTAAACAAGCCTGCCAGACAATCTGCTCTGCTCTTATGGTAGGGAATCTCATAAAACAATCATCCATTCATCCACAACCTCGCTAGCAAAGAGCAATTCTACTTTACAGGCTAGAAATCCACTAAACACTTAGGCTGAAAATGTTAGAGCATGGTGATGAGCATAGGTCTGGGGTTGAACTGCAGGGGTTCAGCTATGGTAGGTAAACTCCTTTAAACCTTAATTTCTTCATTGATAAAATGAGTCTGAGGATAGCACTACCTCATTTGGCTGGCTATTGTGAGGATTAAGTGAGTTATGTATGTGTTTAGTACAACACTTGGCACATAGCAAAGGATCAGTAAAGATTAGCATTTCAAAAACCAAGTGTAATACAAATTTATTCTTTGCTTTCTGTCATAGAATTTATTTTTCCAAGTTCTCAAGCATTCACTAATGGAAAAGGGAAAATACCTCTCTACTCAATAAATTCTAAAACTGGTTTTGGGCATCAGGATAGATCATTTAACACATGGTAGGATGGAATTATGAGCACTAGAGCACTAGCTATGAAATAACAGTGAAAAATGATTTTGGTCATTCTGAATATAGGAGGTTTTACAGGAATTTATAGTAATGCACTTACTACCATTAATTAAAAAAACAACTTTTAATGACAAATATCTTATTGTTACTTCTGAAAAAACAAACCAATTCAAATTTTTATGTCTATTCCCAAAGAGCATAATTGCTATACCTCTATATATGGCTGGAAATAGGGAATATCCTTTTCTGCTTTTAAACAATATTGAGAGCTGAATGACCTTCTTCAGTCTTATTTGTTTAAAGTACTTCTATGCACTACTGAATTAGTAATGTTTTGTGTGTTGATCTTTTAAAATTGGCCTTGGCTTTGGCTGCTCAGGGACCTGCAAATGGAATAGCTGCCTCCTTTCACAAACAATCCTTAGACAATTTTTCCTCTTCATAACTAGAGAGAAAAAATAATCTCACATTAGAAAATTATTTAAGAATAGGCAATTATCTCTCACAACATTAGATAAGTTATATTTGTTTTTCCTTTGTCTGGAGTATAGTTTTTCCTCTATGCAAACCTACGAGAAGATAACAGATGCATGATCACAAGGTTAACAATTCCTGTGCCTCCGGGACTGCACAAATCCGCTATTCTTAGTATGTATATGTGCTCAACACCCCTCTCCTCTCTTTCCCATGAAAGTCTACCATTTTAAAATGTTGGGGTCTTGAGGAATTAACACAGACTACATCCCTGTCTCTGGAGGGATAAAAGCACTAGACATGCAGTGACAAATCTAGCTTATCGGGGTAAAGTATTCATAACTATAGGATTCTAACAGTAGCAGCCATGATTAAACTTTTCTGAGACTCCCACAAAGCTTCCTCTGAAGAATCCCTTTGGATTATGAGTTTGGACAGATGGGCAGGAGCCTTACACATAGGTGGGTCTCAACTTCATCTATCATGTAGTCAGTGCTTGTGCACAATTCAGAGATGAAAGGTTATTTCCTACCTTGGTTTCATATAAATGTGTGACCAATCCTTTGACATCTATAAAGTATATAATACATCTAAGGGATTAAAAAATGATTTTTCTCCTAGTTACCCAAGATTTTAAAATCCAAATTTTCACTAAATGTAAATATAAACATCCAACTTCCTGAAACAAAATGTACTATGCATGTTTGCCTCAACATAAAGTAAATAATAAAGCTTGGTATGTACTGCTTTTAATTATTTGCTAACTTCTTTTTGTTGCATCTTAATGTACTTTTTAGGATCCCTTTGTCCATTCTTCTTCTGTTTCCAAAAACTGCTGCCACTCTGGATGGACATCTTGTCCCTAGGGATACAAATGTTCCCTTTTGCATCAATTTATTCTTTGAAAAATTATTTCTGAGCATTTTCAATGTGCCTGGCCCTAGGCTAAATGCTGGAAATATAATAATGAACAGAACCAGGTTTCCGCTCAGGTATATCCAGTGTACAACATAGCAGGATTTACAAAATGTTTATGATACAACTTAAATGTTGCCCTTCTCTGCCAGTCATATTCCTTCAATTATTCAATAACTCATTGATTTATACATGTATAAAATTTTCATTTTGCACCTATTACATGCCAGGTACTTTTGCAAAAACTGTGAAGTAGGTATTAGGTTTACACAAATCACAATGTAGAAACAACACTACTGAATCTTATAAAATGAAATACGACTACTTGGTTTTTCAATTTTTCATTGAGATAACTAATTTTTGAAGAAATTAAATTATGTTTTTAAAGAATATATTTCTAACATTTTTACCTGATAAAAATACTTACAGATTTAGTATTCCCTTCAATAATTTCTTCTTCTGGTGGTTCGAGTTTGAGATCCTTCAATAAGAGGAAGAAATGGCAGAAAAGAAAAAAAATTATATCATTTAAAACAATGCCATATATTCAAATCATAGTTCTCTCATGGCTAACATTGAACCAAAAGAACTTCATTATCTTAAAGATGAAATAATACTGATTTTTTTAAAACTCAGCTGTTCCAATAAAGACTCTTTGTACTTATTTATCAATTGTAAGAAGCTGTTTTAGACGTGTTCAAAGTATTGCTTTAAATTTACTTCTTGAATGCCATTAGAGAGCAAAGTGGAAGAGAAAGGTACATTAAAACAGAGAGGGAAAGGGTAGGAAGGTAAACGAAAGAAAAGGAAACAGAATGACTAAGCCTAACAGTCTGCTTTATTTTGCTATGAATGAGTATTGCCACATTTCTACATTTCTTGGGACATCATTATAAACATTAGTCTATTGTTACAATACATTTATACCCTGGTGTTAATTTTTCTTTATTAAATAGAAAGTGAATTAAAGAGTAAATGAAAATACGATTGACATTTGCTAAAAGTGAAGAACTCCTATAAAGACCGTGAAGTCTTAAAAAAAAGTTTTTTTTTTTATTTCCATAGGTTTTTGGGGAACAGGTGGTATTTGCTTGTACAGGTAAGTTCTTGAGTGGTGATTTGTGAGATGTTGGTGCACCCGTCACCTGAACAGTATACACTGAACCCGATTTGTAGTCTTTTATCCCTCATCTCCCTACCACCCTTTTCTCCTGAGTCCCCAAAGTCTACTGTGTCATTCTTATGCCTTTGCATCCTCATAGCTTAGCTCCCACTTATGAGTGAGAATATAGAATGGTTGGTTGTCCATTCCTGAGTTACTTCACTTGGAATAATAGTCTCCAGTCCCATCCAGGTTGCTACAAATGCCATTAATTCATTCCTTTTTATGGCTGAGTAGTATTCCATCGTACATACACACCATAATTTCTTTATCCACTCATTGATTGGCGGGCATTTGGGTTGGTTCCACATTTTTGCAACTGAAAATTGTGCTGCTATAAACATGTGTGTGCAAGTTCTTTTTTGTATAATGACTTCTTTTCCTCTGGGTAGATACCCAGTAGTGGAATTGCTGGATCAAATGGTAGTTCTACTTCTAGTTCTTTAAGGAATCTCCACACTATTTTCCATAGTGGTTGTACTTGTTTACATTCCCACCAGCAGTGTAGAAGTGTTCCCTGTTCACCACATCCATGCCAACATCTATTATTTTTTAATTTTTTTATTATGGCCTTTCTTGCAGGAGTAAGGTAGTATCACATTGTGGTTTTGATTTACATTTCCCTGATCATTGGTGATGTTGAGCATTTTTTCATAGTTTGTTGGCCCTTTATATATCTTCTTTTGAGAATTAAGACCTTAATGTCTTCTGTGATGACCAATGAATAATGCTAATGTCCTAATGTCCCCAGTGAAACCTAGTGCTTCATCTCTGAGAACTTCATTCTGTGAATGGCTATCCTAGCATTGTTTCCAATGAGGATTATGTAGAATAACTCCTTCAAATAAATAAGAAGTAAACTGAAAACTGTAGAAATCCAGACTATCTGAAATAACATATGCCTGTTAATAATAGAGCTATGTTGCTCTAGCTGTGCTGTTATTTTGTGGTGGAACTTTCGGCAAGGTATTTAACTTCTGTGGGGTTCACTTTTCCTGCTTTGCTGTAAATTCTCTATCCCTAAATCTTTACATAGCTGCCTTCTTCTTGACTTTCACATCTCAACTCGAATATCACCTTATTAGAGAGAACTTCCAGACCACTCATTTGGAGTTTTCAACCCCCTATCTGTATTATATTGCTCTACTTTTTCTTTATAGCACTTTCCATTATTTTATATTATCTTGTTTCATGGATTTGTTGTTTTTTTGGTCTGTCTCTTCAAAGACCAAGGATATTCTTTTCATCACTGCTGTATTTCCACTGCTGGAATAGTACCTGACACACAGTAGGTACTCAATAAATGTAGAATAAATGAATGGCTGAATGAATGCCCTGTCTAAATCATAGCTTTTCTATGAGGGCAAAATTATATGTAATGTATACAGATGTGAATTGAAAACTAAAAAGTACTCCACAGATAGAAACTGTAGCCTAGTAATCTCCTTGACCACTATTTCCCTGACACTAACTAAGGTACAATTTCAGTTCTACCTTTCCTGATCTAAGGTATGAAAAACTTAAAATAAGTTGTATGAGTGTGACATCCTGAATTACATCCTTTCAAATGAGAATGTCCTGTGATCTGATGATACACTAAGGACTTAATGAAGAATGAAGAGCTTTTATTGTTGTCCTTGTTGTTATTTTGTTTAACATTAAAGGTGGGGTTTTTTTTTGTTTTTTATTTTTGTTTATTTTATTTTATTTTATTTTTTTGAGATGGAGTTTTACTCTTTCGCTCAGGCTGGAGTGAAGTGGCACGATCTCGGCTCACTGCCACCTCTCCCTCCGGGGTTCAAGCGATTCTCCTGCCTCAGCCTCCCAAGTAGCTGGGATTACAGGCGCACACCACCACGCCTGGTTAATTTTTGTATTTTTAGTAGAGATGGGGTTTTGCCATGTTGGCCAGGCTGGTCTCGAACTCCTGACCTCAGGTGATCCACTTGCCTCAGCCTCCCAAAGTGCCGGGATTACAGGCGTGAGCCACTGCACCCAGCCATTAAAGGTGTTTTCTACAGGGATCAAGCAAAACACAAGACATAACCTCAGTATATTCCCATAAATTCTCATGGAGGCTGAAATGGATACAAGGAATACCTAAAGAAACCTATTTATAGAAATTGCTAAGTGTTATATTCCCCTACATGCATAGAATAGGGCTTGGTTTCAGTGCAGGAAGAATTTATCTTAAATACTTAATGCAGAGAAAAGATAACATATGTTCCACTGCAGGTACACTTCCTTCTAATGGGAAGATCAAAACTAGTGTTAACAACTACAGGAGACAAGGTACTCAGCAGTGAAATGACGTACTCAGCCACTGTTTGGCAATTGGGTAGTTTTTCTCTAAAAACCTAATCAGCACAGTACAGAATAAGTTGTAGAAGAAAACTGAACTTGCACTGCTTCTCCATTCATTAAGACAGCTCACACTGAGCTCCACACAGCTGGAGCCCCATGCTGAAAACCATCACATTGTACTTTTAGCAAACCTCTTATACACTGTCCTCAAAATGAAACCCTTTTATAGGAAGGGAGGGAGAAAAAAAGTCTAGAAAAAAAAGAAATGTCACATACTTTGATTTAAAGTTAGAAAAAAAGGCATAAGTTTGAGCCATTCCTTTAAAAATAACTATAAAAATTTCAGATACCAAATAAAGACAGTTTTGTCCAAAAATTCAAAACCACTTTAAAAAGAGGTATTTGTATTTTTAAATGAATCTGGACTTATTTAGCAAATGAATCCTTATGTTTTAACAAGCTTTAGTTTGCAAATAGAGGTCCTGGATTTGATCTTCCAATATTGGAAAACTAATTTCCATAGCCACTATTTTTCCTACAAATCTTTTTAGTTTCAGCTCACATATCAATAAAATAAGAAAGGAGGAAAGTTGATTTGCAGCAAGCTAGTAGTTTAAGTATTTGCTCCAGTAAGTGTTCAATATAAATTTAACAAATAAAGGCACCATGGCAGAGGGACAAGAACTCTATAGGGTTGTTTCCCCTTAACTTGGCTCTTGCACAGAATCTCCTTTTCAGAGACCTTACCCATCCTCACGACATGAGGGTTCATCTTTGTGGAAATATGTCTAAATACCTTAACCTGTTGGCCTGACTTCTCTCCTTCTAACATCTAACTAGGTATTTCTGCCTAAGTGTCCCATTGTACCTTGAAATTCATACATCAAAAACACTAGTTCACCTTCTCACCTTACCTCACAAATTCTCTCTCATGTGTCTCTTCCTTTTCTGTTAATGGTACAATTAATTGTTTCAGAAACACAGGCTCCAATCCTCAGATTCTTATTTGAGCTCCCCCTGTTCTTAACCCATTCAATAGTGCTGTTAATTGCACTTCAAGTGTTTCAAATCTGCCATTTTCTTCTCACTCATTAGCTTAATATAGGCCCATCTCATATCATACCTGATTTCACTGGGTTCAGTTTCACAAACCTCCTCTTCAATGCCATTTTCTGAGCTGGTATTAGTGTCTCTGAGCCTCATTTTTCTTGTTTTAACCCATTTTGCATTTGTTTTAATTCACTTTGCATCTTGCTGCCCAATTTCCTATCTAAAGGATTTTTTTTGGTTTGTCACTTAGCTGTTAAAAAATAATAAATGCCTTCTGTTGTTTCCAAGTCCAAATTCCTTAGACTATTATTTGAGGCTATCCATAATCTGGCCCTCTTCGGTCCATACAACCTTATTTGTTACTACTTCCCTACATGAAAGACTCTTAACCAGGCCAATCTACTGAACCTTGCAGATGCCATCACCTTGCTCATGCCATCACCTTACCTGAATGCCCTTTCCAGCTATCCTCTACTGAAATTTTACTTCTCCATAGCAAATATTACTTTCCTTGTTAGTTTGTTAGCTTATCAGCATTTATTCCAACTTTAATGACAATACATTTTCTTTTCATTGAATTATCTCTTCTTCTTTCTGTACTGTGCTCTGGGATTGTTATCAAGACTTTTCCCCCTCCCCTATCCAGGAGGCCAGCAATGCAACCCTACCATGACCAACCAGACTCTTCCTTCTGGGAAGCAGAATTTTGAACAGAAGGCCAACAGACTGGAAATGGTAGGAACTCATTTATTGCAGTGGAGGTAACTTCAGAGACTGTTGACTATTTCTTGCTATTTAGATCTGTAGGGTTATCTTGTCTTCTGACTTTTCCAAATTCAGACCTCTGGACTATCTGTTGATTCTGTGAGTACTTCCATATTCTTCCAGAAAACTCTCTTTTTTATTAGAGAAATGATTTCTATTGTTTGCAATAAAATTTTTAATTAAGTCACCATTTTTAAGGCCCCACTTGAACTCTTCCTGCCACACAAAGTCCTTCCTGAGCACCCCAGGTCACAGTGATCAACCCATCAGGTGAGCATGGATAGATTTTAACATCTGATCCATTCCTTTAACATGTCTCGGTCAGTCATTCAAATACTTACTGACCATGAACTATGAATCCCATTCTGTGCTACCATATAATTTTTAAAAAGTCTGTTATCTCTCTTGCTCTGCCTTTTTAGGAGAATAGCTTAGTTTTATAAGTAGACAATTGCTTTCTTCAAAGTCAGTGCTGTCACAAACATAAATGTTTCTCCCTTGGTGCCTGACATGTGCAGAAAACACATTTTTTTCTTACTGATTGACAAAAGTTGTCTCTCCTATCAAAGATGTTTAAGGAGAATATCACTACAATAACAGGACTACTTGGTACTAACTAAATTAATAAAAAAACAATAACTAAGAACATAAAATGTAGTTCTAAAGAACTCTTCATCACATTCTAACTTGCTTGCTTAGATAGTTTTAATAGCAAACCATCGGTTAATGTGCTAATTTCCAGAAGTTGAGTGTGGAATCTCATCTTTTAGTAGATAGCACTGCCATTTTCCTGAATTAATTTGAAAGATTCCCAAGACTTCAACTTATCCCTAAGTTAAAGGGATGTTATCCCTTCAACATATTATCCCTAAGAGCTGTCATTAGCATCATTCAAGCACACTGTCACCTAGTTCATTTGAAAATGTAAGAGCCAGGCAGTGCAGTAGATTTATTTAACTCTCAACTCCACATCCTATTTTAAATATAATTGGGAGTGGGAGGTAGGGGGAGAATTAATGTAAGCTTCTGTATTTAGCAATGACAACAAAAACCTCAAATAACTACCAAGCAGCCATTCATAGAATCATTGGGATCCTGGCTGTTATTCTATCTATGGGGCAGTCATGGATATAAAGCAATGGGGAATATTAGGTAACAATATCTTGAAGAGTGGAAGAGAGAATAAAGAAAAGAAAGCACCTACCTTCTTTTCCAGTCTATCAATTAATTTCTGGAGTCTATTTATCTGGGTCATCCACTGGTTGTCTTCTTCTAATAAGCCTGGGGCCAGGGGGAATCATGAGGGCAATATGTTAAACTTTAGACAGAGAAGAAATGCTTGGTTATATCAGAGCTTTCCTTCAACCCTGAAGGAAAGATGCAGTGTCACTGACTGGTCATTTTTTTAAAATGTATTCACGAGTGCTTTCTAAGGTATTGATTTCCATAGATCCATGCATCCCAGGGGTTCACTTCCACAGGCCTGTTTTTTAATGTAATTGCCTATTTGGCCTTTGATATTCAAAGAAAAGATCCTGCTGAGCCATTTACAAAACCCCGTGATGTAGTTGGTTTTCTTTTGCAAACAGGAAAGCATCAATCAACAATTCTAAACTTACTTGTAGGTCAGTGGCAAGAGCTAGTGAAATCATACCCCTGACCATAGCAAGGTGTAAATTGCTACGATAAAAAAAAAAACCATAAGGGCAAGATAGTTGGTGTCTCCTTTCCCAGGATCTAACTTGAGTATATATACATGGACTCTATAATCATGGCATAGTGGTTAAGAGTGCAGACTGGAGCCTGTTGATCTATATTCATATATATAATATATACATACATATGTATTTGTAGGTATGTAGTGTGTGTGTGTGTGTGTGTGTGTGTGTGTGTATCTAGCACCAAGTTAAACGTTATAGAAGTTCTGCTACTATTATTGTTTTTATTAACATTGTTATGCAAAGGGAAGAGTTATGATCTGAGCCTGTGCACAAATATCCTGGCATATTTGTATATACTGATTGCAGCTTAATAAAAATGTTTTCATAGGCATTTGCTGAAGTAGTATTGTTTAATATTTCTTGAAATCAGAATGTGATTGAATTCAAGACTATAAAGCCTTGTGTTAGCTTTGAATGCAATAAAGACAAGACCTAAATTATAAAGGGAGAGTGATGTCATCAGAATTTCCTTCTCCACCTGCCTTCTTGGAGGAAGCACCTTTCAAGGCCCACCAAATTATGATGTAAAAATGAGCACTGGCACTGCCACAAAGAAGTGGCTACAAAAAAAAAAAAAAGAGAGAGAAAAGAAAGGGGCTGATTGGAGAAAATATTACAAATATACTAATAAAATTTATGTTTTTTTTAAATTCTAATACAATATTTCTAATCTGGGTTATTCCCAAAATAATTTAAGGTGGCTGTCACATCAGAGACCCAAGAAAAGATATTTTGGACTATTTTCTAAATGGTTAAAATGGAAAGAACAATCTATATGTTGCTTCAGGAGCTTAGCATTGTCATTTTCTAGTTCCATGTGGTAGATCATATTATTTTTCCCAATTCTTCAATTTCTTCCTGCTATAGAAGTATCTGTATATACCCTTGCACCACAACTTTGCAGTATCTCCTATTATAATGAATGAAGCACATTTCCCTCCCCATTGTTACTGTGCTTGACATGTGATTTGTTTGGCCAATGGAGAGGTACCAGACAAGATGCACACAGTACATAAAACAATGGTTTTTAATATGCATGTATAATTTTGGGCTGGCTGCATGTGCTTCTGACACCCACTAGGAGAAGAAAATGATCCAGCTGTTGCTTATTCCAGAAGGAGGCTACATGAGGAGTGGGGCCAAACTCAACCTACATACAGCCTGGAACCACATCCAACTGAAATTGCCCAAATCACCAACCATAGACTCATGAGAGAGAAAAACAAGTATCTACAGGTGTAACCATCAAGATTTTAAGGTCGCTTCACAATAAAAATGGACTAATATTCCATATGACCTTGGACAAATCACTTAACTTCCCAGGCTTGTTTCCTTACCTGTGAAATGGAGAAATAGGGAAATTAACATCTATTTTATCAGGTGTCAAGATAAAATAAGGCTTTATTCATAAAAATACTCTGAAATCTTTCAAGTACAGTTGGTGAAAATATAGAATATAGCTTATACCTTGATTTTCTGAATATTAGATAAAGACTCGTGTTAAAATGACACGTTCAAGTGACATATGTGCATGTATATATGCATGCTTTATAAAAATTACTCCAATATTTAGCAACATGAGTTTGCATATTTCAAATTGATTTTAAAATGGTTATAAGTGACACAGTTAAAATTTAATAACCTAACAATTATGGGTATGGTTTAGCCCAGTAAATCTTATATCACATTACAAACTTCAAAAACACCAGCTATGACTAATCCTATTATGAAAACAAGGATCCTTTCCCCAGATGAACTTAGGATAGGCTTAGGGAGGCTTGGAGATCTAGAGCATATTAGGGTAGAGTCCCTTTATTTCAAGATCATGGGGGGTCCTTATAGACGTCAAGTCTTTTAGATGTTAGCTGATGAAGCTACTGCCTTCCCTATTCACCATCTCTCTGTGTGCTTTCCAGGCACAACTGCTAGGATTCTGACCATGCTGATTTTAGGCTCACCACCCCAGTTCTTCATACTACACTCTTCACTGCTTCTGTCTCAAACTTACTTGGTATAAGGAAAGTGTTCCATTACTATTGTCTTATCTGTTGTTTGTTAAAATAATCAATTGGAAAACGCAAGATAAATAGACTTTGACAAATAAAAACAAATGAAGGGTATGTTACCTGGACCGCTGACATTAAACTGAGGGCTGTTTGGGGAGAAGCTGTTGTGTCTCTGGACTCGGCGGCTTGATCGTTTTCCAGGCCATTGAATCGACAGGACTTCTGGCTTGGCTGGCCCTTGCCTTGATCAACAGAGATAACATTTAACCTTAATGTTAGTGCTTCAGTCTCTTCCTTCAGGGAAGAGATCTTCATGCGTCAGTCATAAAGGTTTTCTAGTGCAGCAAAATGAAAACTTATGAGAATGACTGCTTGTAAATGCTCTAGAAACCCAATGTAATTTGGTACTACAGTATGTGAACCTAAGAAAGAGAATTCTGAGCTTTCTTTATTCTTAAAATTCTGAGTAAAAATTGTAATTTAAGGTAGGCTTTTTTCCTTTGTTGGTCAACTTTCAGTGGAAAAACGTGTATGCAGCTATTGTATTTTGTTTAATTTGAAAACACTTATGGAGTTTTTTCTGTAATTCAGTTTTTAATTTTTTGGATCAAAGCTATACATCCATATATTTTTAGGAGTCAAATGATTCTATAAATCTTATTTCAACAAACAGGAGCTCCCTCGTTTCACCCCCATATCATATTCCCACTCCTCTTTCAAAAAGGCAACACTTTTTAGCAGGTGTTTACTTTCATATGAGTATATGTTATGATATGAAAGTAGCATATGTTAAAATATATATTATATACAGTATATCTTATATACTATATACAGTATATGTTATATACTGATATGAAAGTAAACACCTTCTAAATTATCAGTATATAACATGCTTAAATTGCTATGTCTTTAATTTTTAGTTTTAGGCTTTATCTATTAACTTCACAATATGAAAAGCTCAGGCCAATGATATACAAATGGAAATGTTGTAAGGAATTTCCAGGAAGGCTGCTTAAAAGTACAGATTCAGCTAGAAGGGATCCCTTTTGTCTTTCCTTAATCTTCTTTCCTGGTTGGAATGTGAACATGGTAGCTGGATCGCCAACAAACATCTTGGTCTATGAGGCAAACTTGGCAATAGTTTATTATATTAATATGCACTTAATATGTGAAAAAGAAAGAGTGTCTATGATAAATCTGTAAGGACATAATACTTAAGCTGCCTCCAACAAGATTTCTTTATAGGAGATATAATCCCTTGTGTGTAAGATATAATCCTTCTGTGTTTAAGACAAATCTAAGATTAATGTACTCATCCAAAAATTTTCATTATCTATCAGCTAGGGAAGATTCCTTTAGCCTTTCTCCTGTGTTGGATGACCTCTGATCCCCCTTTTACTAGATTTCATTTTTTTTCTTACCTGACTCCTTTGTTTTGGTGGAAAATATCCCCTAATTGCTTCATAAGAAAAGGTGCATAATGAAAGGTAAAATTCTTGAAACATTGCATGAATAAACATCTTCCTTACTTTATTGATGGTTTTATGGCATACAGATTTCTAGATTGCCAATTGTTTTGAAAAATTTGCTCCATTGTGTTCTATATCCCAGAGTCACTAGTGAAAAATCTAGTGTTTTCTTGATTATTTGCATATGGCCTGGTTTTTCTCTCTGGGAGTTTTTAGACACTTGTCTTTGTTTCCAGTATTGTGAAACTTCATAATGATGTATTTTGTGTTGGACTTTTATTAGCATTATAATGAGCTCTTGATCTGTTCTATCAAACTGGACACATATTCCAATTCTGACTATTTTTCTTAAATTCTTCCTTTGATAATTTTTCTGCTTTGTTCTCTTTCTGGAATTGCTGTTTTACAAACAGTAGACCTCTTGGACTGAGCCTCTAGTTTCCTTATCTCTTATATTTCACCTCTTTGTGGAGATTTCCTCACACTTTTATATTTCAACCTTCCTCAGAGAATGTAATTTTTGCAATCATAATTTCCAAGACCTCTTTTGTGTGCTTTGAATATTATTTTTAAAGCATTCTATCCTTAATTCATAAATGCAATATCTTTTATTTAGTTTTTGAAGGTATTGAAAACTTTCTTTTGAAATTTTTTGTCTGCTCTCTGGATTATCTGTTTCTTTCGAGTTTCTTTTCTTGTGTTTGATTTGTCCTTTTGGTTGACCCCATACATTTTAGAAGGAGGAACTACAAGTCTGACTGGAACCTCTTTGTTTGTGGCAGGGATTGCCAACTTGCAGTCTTCACTGTACAGTGGCCTGGCTGGGCCTATTCTTCAGGGAACCTTGACCATTGGCATTGTTAAGTCTTTTCTCTGGGATTAATCAGATCCCTCAAAGAAGCACGCCCCAACTGGAGTCTGAGCCCTGTTGTTAGTACTCTGGGAGTAAAATATATGAAGGAGATTTCACATCTCACTCTTCAGTATGGTGACTTTCAGTTAGTATCTCCTTTGTTAGTATTGTGTCCTATCAGCTGTGCCAGGTATACATATGCTCACCTTCTCCAGACAGCTTATGTCTGGGGTTCTTCAAGGATCGGGTAGGAGCAGTCACTATATAGCACTGGGTGGAGCTTCCAACAATATATCAGCCCTACCTTCACCCTCATTTTCAGTTCCACATGGTACAGCCAAGTCTTGAGCTTTTCTGAGGTTCTGTGATACCAAATATATTGTATCTTGGCTTCTTACATTGCCTGCTTCAGTTTCAGCTTTCTCAGAGCTTCTAAATCAATTTCCACTAGATTCACCTTCTCTCCACCTTCCAAGTTTCTGTCCCTTTGGCTCTTCTTCTATTCTTATTTTTGCAGGTTAATGCCTCCTTTTATCCAGGTACTTTTATGTCATGTTTTGAAGGGTTTAGAGAGAGAGCAAAAGAAATCATACATTTAATCATCAATCTTTAACTAAATCTCCCTATGAATTTTCCTATGGTATAAAAAAATCCAAGTTTTTGGCCAGGCGTGGTGGCTCACGCCTATAATCCCAGCACTTTGGGAGGCTCAGGCAGGTGGATCACCTGAGGTCAGGAGTTCAAAACCAGCTTGGCCAACATGGTGAAACCCCGTCTCTACTAAAAACACAAAAATTAGCTGGGCATGGTGGCAGGCGCCTGTAATCCCAGCTACTTGGGAGTCTGACGCAGGAGAATTGCTTGAACCCGGGAGGCGGAGGTTGCAGTGAGCAGAGATTGTGCCCCTGCACTCCATCGTGGGCTACAGAGTGAGACTCCATCTCAAAAAAAAAAAAAAAAAAAAAAAATCCAAGTTTTTGGCAGCTTTGGTGGTCAGGGGAGTAGGTGATTAGAGCAATCCTCCTCTATGTTCAAGCTAAGGAAATCTAAGCTGTCTAAACTTTTATAACCACCTGTTTGTGAAATTAAAGCTTTTCCTCACTTCTATAATAGACAACTATCAAAAGGAGAAAAATAACTTTCAAGTCAAGAAGGAATTAATTACGTTCCTGGATATAGAAAAACTTTGGGAAATAGAGCAAACTTGTGGATTCCATTATAAAAAGGAAATCCACATATAATGAAAACTGTGTTCCTAGAAATTTAGTTTGTGAGGAAGAGAGTTTTATGTAAGAGAATAGGGGACCCCTAGGGGGAAACTTCCATATAACATACTTATTATTCTTGTCATTAGCTATTACGTACTTTCTGAACACATGGAATTAATGTAATTCACATTTAGTCAGTTTGCCAGGGCAGATACAAAGAGTGTTGTAGCATGCCATCTGAAAATTCCACCTCTGTGGCATTCCAGCTGTACACATCCTTTCTCTCTCAAATATCCATTTTTACATGAATAGACACAGACATTTTGCCCAACATGGCATGTCTACCTCATTACTGCAGGATGAATGATACTGTGTGATTCTCCCCGGGGCTGATAGATGGAATAGATGACTTCCCTAAATTTGCTATATTCCAAGGAGTCTTTGTATCCCTAGGTTTCACAAATATTAAATCCCAAAGTAATGTTGATGCTGAAGGGAAAGCAAATTATCACAATCCTAGAGATTTTAATGATACCTGCAGGTTGTAACTCTTGTTTTTTTGTTTTTTTTTTGAGATGGAGTTTCGCTTTTGTTGCCCAGGATGGAGTGTAGTGGCGCGATCTCTGCTTACTGCAACCTCCGCCTCCTGGGTTCAAGTGATTCTTCTGCTTCAGCCTCCAGAGTAGCTGGGATTGCAGGTATCTGCCACCACCATGCCGGGCTAATTTCTTTGTATTTTGAGTAGAGACAGGATTTCATCATGTTGGCCAGGCTGGTCTCGAACTCCTGACCTCAGGTGATCCACCTGCCTTGGCCTCCCAAAGTGCAGGAATCACAGGTGTGAGCCACCATGCCTGACCTGCAGGTTGCAACTCTTGACTGTGAAGGGCATCACAAAATCTTCCTTTACAACATAAAAAAACTGATGAATTGGCTGGGAGTGGTGGTTCAAGCCTGTAATCCCACACGTTGGAGGCTGAGGTGGGTAGATCACCTGAGGTCAGGAGTTCGCGTCCAGCCTGGCTAATATGGTGAAACCCTGTCTCTACTAAAAATACAAAAATTAGCTGGGCATGGTGGCAGATGACTGTAGTCCCAGTTACTCGGGAGGCTAAGACAGGAGAATTGCTTGAACCCGGGAAGCGGAAGTTGCAGTGAGCTGAGATTGCATCACTGCACTCCATCCTGGGCTACAGAGTGAGACTTTGTCTCAAAACAAACAAACAAACAAAAAACTGGTGAATTTTTGTTTGCATCTTTCTAGCTTTTAAGATCTTTCTGAACCCCAGATGACTGTTAGATTGGTCTCCTCAGTGTTCTGGGTCCTCACCAACTGCTCCTGTGTAGCACTCCTTTCACCTAGAATTCCTTTCATTCATTCACTTTCATATGTTTACCATGCAGTTGTAGTAAGTAGAGGGGACTTATGCAAAGTCTCTGCCATCTAAAAACTCAATGTCTAATGGGGGAGATAAACAAGGAAGGGGCTGAGATAAGTAGATATAAATAGAGGGCACTATGGGAATACATGGTAATGAGGTGGGAAGTATAAATGAGCAGTGAAGGCTTCCCAGAGAAAGTACTGTCCAATCAGTGACAAGACAGACGAGGAGAAGTGAGCCAGATGAGAGATGGGTAACATGAGATGGGTGAGACGGATCCCTCTAGAGAGAATCTCATTCTGCCATTAAAATTCATCCTAAAGTTCCACTTCAAGTCTTGTCTTCCCATCAGGCGTTTTCACTGGTCTCTTGATTGACATCATAGGAAAGGTATAGTTTTTCTCTCTCTATCTTTTCCTCACTGATGAAGGTCCCAGGGCTCTCCTCACTTTTGGTGGCCAGCTGATAGGAAGATATAGCCTTGGGAGAGGAGACACAGTCCCTTTAGGTTTGGGCATAATTCACGTGCTTCAGTCTGGTTCATCAGATATTACGGGCATAAATCCATAGTGGTACCTTATTTTCTGTTTGCTTGTTTATGCATTTCTTTATAAACCTCTCAGGGGGAATATCACAGATTTGGGGTGGGATTTTGTCATTCCTGGGTGTCTTAGTCAAATGCCATACAACAGCACCCCTTAAACTGCAGTCAGACATGTAACATTTCCCATTATTTGAAGCTGTTTTTGAGTGAGAAATCCAGAAGTAAAAGGTTCGTTAATCCTCTAGTGCCTTCTACTTTCCTTAAAGTCTATATTGTCATGCTCCTTCTCATTAAGCACAGCTGCTAGGCAGCTGCTGGCAGCAGTCACAAGAGTTCAAGGCTAGCCTGTGGCCTAACACAGAAAACAGTTGTTCATTAAACATTCACAGCATGGTGGTAAATGCAGAGCACAGGTTTTCAGGGGATGACTGTAGAAAAAAACAAAAGCGCAGGTGAAGAAGGGGAGTAGAGCACTTTTTCAAGCCTCTTCTCAGGTGGCAGATGACTGATTCTAAAAAGGGAGTTCCCATTTTATTTCCAGAAAGTCCAAACAAAAGAAACAACACAGGAGGCCTCATTTTTCTCATTAGGAACATGAAATCCATTTCACTGTGCTTCAAGACATTCAGTTATCCTCTGCTCAAAGCTGAGGAGGTGGGTTTTGCTTTTCTAAAGTGAATTGTTATACTTTGCCATTTGGTATAGAATCACCCAACGCAGTGAAAACAGGAAGTTTATGATGTAGAGGATGCTTCACAGATCTGCTAAAGAGTACTTCCCTGTGACAGTCAGCTGCATGGGCTCATTAGATTCTGGAATTACAGGATTTTTTGTTAGAAGTTGGTGGTGCTCACTCATTTTGACATTGTAAACACATGGTTGAAAATTCCACTATTTTGGAGATGTCCTAATAATTATGTATCAGTTAATTTGTTCAGGAAAATTGGTCCTGCAGGGTAGTCTATTATCAGCCTGTTCAGAAAACTTACTGTTTCCTTCTCTCTAATTTAAGATGTAAAAGTTAGATAAAGCACATCTATAAGTTTAAAGTAACACATCTGCCAAAATATGCCCCAGGAGCAAGAGTTTTGCAAGCTTCTCTAGCTTGCAAAGTATAAGCAATGACAACTCAGAAAAATATCAACTGTTGGCTGGGATCACCTTGATGTGTGCCCTACACATTTTTAGTATAGGTGTCTCTTAAGCATTAGTGCCTTTATTTATATAGCTATTGCAATATGACTACTTATTTTCTCAGTGATACCTATTGGTGGCATTGAATTTTGAAATAATTTCCATCATTCACTTTTCTCCATTTCCTGAAATAATTAGGCTTACTGAATTATCAGGTCTCCCAAGTATATCCAGGTTCATGTAGTCTGTAAGGGTCTTTCCCATCATTTCCACATTTTCAAAATTACACCAAATTAACAAGGAAGGGGTTGAGATAAGTAGATATAAATAGGGGGCACTATAGGAATACACGGTAGTGAAGTGGGAGGTATGAATGAGCAGTGAAGGCTTCCCAGAGAAATTACTGTCCAATCAGTGACCAGACAACCAAAGAGAAGTGAGCCACATGAGAGGTGGGTAACAGGAGGTGGGTGAGACGGATCCCTCTAGAGAGACTCTCATTCTGCCATTCAAATTCATCCTACAGGTCCAGTTCAAGTCTTGTCTTCCCACCAGGCTTTTTCACTGATCTCTTGATTTTGCAAGACAAGCTCAAATAGAGAAACTCCATGAAATTGACTTTCTCATCCTTCCATCCCTCTATCCATATTTAATCTTTTAATATTCTGAAAACAATTGGCAATGTATTTCCTCTTCTCTACGGTATTTATTATCACTTTGTTCTTTGCAGTATAGTTTTTGTGTTCATGTCTTATTTATATGATAGACTTAGGCTTCCTTAAGGATTGACATTATGTTAAATGTATCTTTATATTATTCATAATACTTTAAAGTCTTCTCCATCTACTAAATTTTCAATTAAAATTTGTTGACTCAGCTGGGCTCAGTGGCTTACACCTGTAATCCCAGCACTTTGGGAGGCCAAGATGGGTGGATCATCTGAGGTTAGGAGTTCAAGACCAGCCTGATCAACATAGTGAAACCCCGTCTCTTCTAAAAAATACAATAAATTAGCTGGACGTGGTGGTGTGTGCCTGTAATCCCACCTATTTGGGAGGCTGAGGCACAAGAATTGCTTGAACCCGGGAGGCAGAGTTTGCAGTGAGCCAAGATCGTGCCACTGCACTCAAGCCTGGGTGACAAAGTGAGACTCCATCTCAAAAAAAAAGAAATATATATATATACACACACACATATATGTATATATATACACACACACACATATGTGTGTGTGTATATATATACACACATACACATATATGTGTGTGTGTGTATATATATACACACAGACATATATATACACGCACACACACACATATATATATATATATATATATATATATATAGTTTACTAAATGACTGACAGTAAAAGAAAAAGTAGAATGGTCTTTTTAGAGGCAAATAATAAGGCAAGCAACCAGTGGAGGTCACTGTCATTCTTTTTAAATATATCAATTCTCTTTTTTAGTTTTTGCTAGTGTAAGTACAATGCCTCTCAATTGTTTTTTCATGAACATAGAGTCACTAAATAGACATCAGATGAAAACATGTAAATTGCCTTTCTTGACGGGTTTGCTCCTCAGTAGTTTCCATGGCACATTCCAGGGAATTCTGGAGAGACTGCAGCTGATTCAGGGTTTCCTTCAATAAAAATCTAGTTACGAATTGTTCCAAATTGGAGGCTTCTTGGTAGTCCTAAGGGTGACAAAACAAATGCAATTAGAAGTATGGTAGAAAAAAATACCCAGGATTTTTTTTTTTTCTTTTACCATGTACCCATCAATCCCAGATTGATCCTAGAGAGAGAGGGTGGAGAGAAGGGAAAAGATCTGTCGAGCCCTGGAGGCTACAGCATCACTCTCATCCACCCACCAGGAGATGAATAAAAAAGCTGCAGAAATGACTGGAATATCTTGCCTCCCAATATACCTGCCTCAAGATTAAGAAAAAGGACAAAACCAGCAGAGTTGCAAAATAGACATCTGTAGAAAAGAAAAAATAAATATCCGGTGGCGGAGGGGGAAGATCAGAATGTGACTAACTCAGGGTTTGTTCTATGTCTCATTTGAATGTTGACCACGCCATCATATATTTTCACTATTACCAACAAAATGCAACCATGTTTCAGCAATTGGCTTAATTCACTCTTGATGTATTTATTATGCTTGATCCGTATTATGCTGAAGACAAAGAAAATTATGTGTAGTTATTTAAAATTCAGAAAATGTTAGGATTGGAGTATTTAAATGGTTTACTAAATCTGCTTATGTCTTTCCTTCAGTAACTTTACCTGAGGCTCATTGACAATTAACTTCTAGGACAACACCTGAGCCACAAAAGCAGCATTCACTGAAACAGCCCCAGGGTCACTGCAGAGGTCACTGCAGACTGAATAAGTGTACTTGCCAAGCTTACTCAAGGTAGATGGGTGAGCTGTGGATGGTACCACCTGCTGTGCTTGTCTCCCTAAAGTCTCAGGGAGAACCAACAACAAAAACCAGGTTGGTGTGGAATAAGATGGTGACAGGGCCACTCTTTCAGATCATGGGACCAGCCAGTGAAATCTGATTTTCTAGAATCTTGAGTGGAAATGGTACATTCAAGTTCAGCCAAGGAAAAGATTTATTTGTCTCTGTCCCTAAACAAAATTTTTTTATGGCTGAAAAGACAAAACACAAAACGACTGAGGGTGATAACACAATACCACGGATCCTGATATGCTGAAGAAGCTTAGGGCATAGTTATAAACCCAAACAAGTAAGATTTAGGTATCTAACCTTCCTGGTTCTCAGTTTTCCCACTTATAAATCACTAAGTAACTCTGGCATACATTCCAACTCAAAAATATTCTGTGCTTCTATCAACTTTAATTTAGGAAGAATTGGACTATGGCCTCCTGATATAGTTTACTTTGGAAGTTTTTCTAATAGAAGAATAATGTAATAGCATAGAAAATCTCATTTCTTTCTCAATTTGAAATAGTAAAAAGTTTCAATCATCAGCCTCTTTTTAAGCTCATTCATTACAGGTGAACAACACAGGAAATTTTCTTATCTACTGAGATGGTTAATATTGAGTGTAAACTTGATTGGATTGAAGGATGCAAAGTATCGTCCTTGGGTGTGTCTGTGAGGGTGTTGCCAAAGGAGATTAACATTTGAGTCAGTGGACTAGGAGGGGCAGACCCACCCTCAATCTGGGTGGGTACCAACTACTACAGCTGCCAGAATGGCTAGAATAAAGCAGGCAGGAGAAGATGGAAGAGCAGACTTGCTGAGTCTTCTGGCCTTCATCTTTCTTCTGTGCTGGATGCTTTCTGCCCTCAAATATCAGACTCCAAGTTCTTTGGCTTTTGGACTCTTGGACTTACACCAGTAGTTTGCCAGGGGCTGTCAGGCCTTTGGCCACAGACTGAAGGCTGGACTGTTGGCTTCCCTACTTCTGAGGTTTTGGGACTCAGACTGATCCACCACTGGCTTCCTTGCTCCTCAACTTGCAGAGGGCCTATGTGGGACTTTACTGTGTGATCATGTGGTGTGAATCAATTATCCTTAATAAACTCCCTTCATATAAACATCTATCCTATTATTTCTGTCCCTCTAGAGAACCCTGACCAATACATCTACCATATATAATAGTCCTATTTAAAAATTAAAAATTGCAATGTCTTTAAACTCCATTTAAGAAACTAACCGTAAACTAAACATAACCATTACATGCTTATAATAATCTTAAGAGTTTTGGGTGAGTTAAATCAAGCTAAAAATATTCCAAATATTTAATTTGATCTCATAGCTTGCTATTTATTGGTTAAAAAAAAACTTCAAAAAATTCTCTCTGAATGAGTTTTTAAAATTGAGGAAGGCTTTTCTTTGAGGTTGAAAGAAAATGTGATGATAGAAAAAAAGGTGTGTTTGAGTCTTTTCCCACAGTTATTTCCATATCACCAATGGATATTTTAAAAAATAAAATTTATTAAAATGAAGATAAAATATAATTGCAAAGTCAGGGATTATACCAACTATTTTCGCATCTCAGTATATACTATGACTAATATAAAGCAAATGATAAAAAGTTTTATACTTATTTGTAGACTGCATTGAAAAATGAAGAAAGCAAACATTTACTGAGCAATAAAGCATAGCATTGTCCTTACTCTTTTCTCATTTAAATGTTAAATATTTGCCATGTCAGAATTATAGAAAAGAGATTAAAAAATTATAGTTAGTCATTTTAAACATTCCAGTCATTGCAATTAGGTTTCAGCTTCTTTGACAGAAAGGTCATGTCTTTTATTTCTGTATCCCTTATGGTGGAGTAGAGGTTCATTCATACCTGATAGTTTGCAGATACACTCCTAACTCTAAGAATTTATTGCATTTGCTATTGTGATCTTACATACAAATATTTTGATGATGTTAAAGTTAGATAATTAAGAAAAGTTAAAGTCAGACAACTGGCCACTCATCATTGCTCCACCATAGCAAATCAGAAAGTTATGATTAGGCTAACCCTCTTATCTCACTCTGATGAGAGTTTGATAACCTTACTAGTGACTCTGTAGGTAACATTGAAAAGTGGCAGAACCCAGTTGGTTGATACATTTCTTTGATATAAATGTTGATGCCTTGAAATTGAGAGGGGTGGTGGGTGGGTTTAAGGTTTGGAGGATTAAATTTTTTGAGTCAATTATGAAGGTTTGCTGTTTTATACTACCCCTCATTGATAAGGAGGAAAAAAACCTTGTTTTCTAATATTCCTACTTATCCTTCCAGACTCAGCTTGTAACACTGTCTCTGTACAGATGTTCCTTTCCTTGAACCACCACTTCTCTTCATAGGATTAGGAATACATCTTTCCACTTCTATGTATTTTTGTGACATTTCTTCCCTACCTAGGATATAGAATTTTTCATAGGATGTAGAATTTTTCATTGTGATGTTGTGATCTGTTGTTCATTTGTCTATCTTCCCCATTTTAGGCTAGCTCTTTAAGCACAGGGATTATGTCTTATTCATCTCTGCCTCCAGAGTACTCAGAACAAAATTGCCTCATAGCAGCTGCCCCATAAATGCTTAAGAAATGTGTGAGAAACCGGGTCCCACATGGAGAGTCAGGCACCAGAGGGAGTGTCCAAGCTCTGGGAAGTACTCTTGCCACTGGCTGGTCACCACCTGCCTCCCCCTGCATCCAGCCCTTGCTGGTTGTAGACATTACCACCCGACTTGCCCAGTCATGTGGGCTCTGCAATAAAGAAAAATACAGCTTTGTTCTAACAGACTGTTTGTCCTCATTTTATTTTCTGGACCATTTGTTAGTCTCCTTCCCTTCCCTTATTCTGGATCTCAAGGTTTGAGACTGCAGACCCGGGTGGCACAGATCCAATCTTCCTTCCCTTTTCTCAGATATGCAGCAGATGTTCCTTTGGAAGGCAGTGGCAAAAGAAGCAGATGGAAAATTAAATAGATAACAAGCTGGAAAATGTCAAATCCTGGCCCTTTTAATTCTCAGCAAATGTGTTGGTAGCGAAGGTACAAAAAGAGATTTTTTGCATTCCTAATTCCCCAAAAGACTGGTATGTTGGCATAAGGCATGCATTCCTTTGAGCAAAACCTGTATTTGAGAGACTGGCAGAAAGAACTCCTACAGACAAAATAAAGTAGTTTAAAAATGTACAGATTATACTCATTATTCAGATTTTGCTTCTTTTTTTTTTCAAACGCAGTTTAATCCTCCATGTCTATCAGAAAGAATATGGGAAAGTAAAAGTTAACGTTATACTTCTCAGATCCTAATAATGTTCATTCGTGTCATGATAATTATTAGTTACACAAATCATTAAGTGGAAATTGTCAACAAAGTAGTATTAATACCTCCATTTTTGTCTGCGGAAAGCCAAAATGTAAACATTTCAATCTACACATTTCCTTTGGTGGAGCTGGAACAGGGCTAGAATTCATTTGAGTAAAAATCCTAGCATTGGAAGCATAGTGCTTTGAATCAGGTTTCTTAGAAAACTGTCTGTGCATCTTAATTTTCACATCATTTCTCAGTAAGCAAGCTCTGCCCATCAGGTTGATAGAATCATCTGAGTTAATTAGGAAAATTAGAGCATCAGTCTTCCCTGTTTGAAAATCAATCAAGTCAGTGACATCTAGGGTTAGTGTATTCTTGTTTATGAGGTCAGATAACAATCACATTTAGCAAGGGGCACTGCTTCTGACTGTCTTTTGGATTAACTCCCTGCAGCTCTCGCCATTCTTGTGTAAGACATCTGCAGCAGCTTCTATAACAGAAAAAAAAATAACTTTACAAAGATAAGGTTGTCTTTTGCTCTTTTCTACTCTATCCACAATTATTACTTTTTAAAATACTAAGTGGGCTACACACATTATCTATGTCCCACTTCTTTTAAATATTCTCAGGCTTTTATTTTAAATGGCACATTTTTTTTTTCCAAACTGGGAGACCACTATATCAAATTTAAGCCTTATAAAAATACAAAAATAAAGAACTGGCTCTTACTTGTCCTAATAATGGACAGAGGTTAATTCCAGCTAGTCTTTGCAAACCTTAGATGGCAAAACAAGATATCAAAATAATTTCAGACTACAGATTCCCAAGGATTAAGGAAATGATAGATTCTCAGATTAGTGAACGAGGAGACAAAATTATAATTTTGGATTAAATATTATTAAACAATTAATAAATTGAAATAAATTCTGAGCCCTATCTTAACCAGATATTCTGTAGTTTGAAATAAGTTGATACTTTAGAGATGAATTATATTAAGACCTTTACGTTGACAAACTCCACTTTAAAGGGCTCATCTTAAAGTCATCAAGAACTTATTTTGTGTAGGATTCTTTCCTCTGGCTCCTCCTATTGTTCTGTCTCATATCAGGAGACCCTAACAAGAACATAAGACTACTTGGATGTCTTTGCCTAAAGGACAATCCCATTCTGCTGGGAAGTAATCCTCTTCAAACATTAGGAATTTTAGAAAAATGCACATGGGTATGAGGATGGGGACATCTAGAGAGTCAGCCCAAATCTGAGATTAACTACTAGATGAGGACCCAGGTCACATTCATAGGTGTCTAATAACATAATGTAGTGGTTAAGAAGCTGGCTCTGAAGACAGTCACACTTACGTTCTGTGTTTATGCCACTTGACAGCTGTGTGAACTTTGGAAAGTATTCAACCTTTTAAAATCCCTATTTCCTTAACTATGGATAAGAATAGTTATCATAAGTTTGTTGCAAGTATTAAAATTAAATACAGCATGTGGCACACACAGTAGGGTATCTAGCTCATAATTTTTGATAAATGCTCATTATTGCTATTAACCCATTGGAGAAAGGATATTATAAAGTGTAATGGACAGATCATTGGCTCAAACTTCACAAGACCTGGGTTTGTTTGCTGTGATAATACTTCACCTCAGAATTATTGCTAGGACAAATATGTAGCTAGTGTTTGGCACATAGCAGGCTCTTCACAAATATTAATTTTCCTGAGTTATTTTTGACACATATTTTCTACTGCATATCTGCTACCTTGCTTATTCAAAAATGTACACCTTTTATATACATACTTGTTACCAGATTGAAGCTGTGATCCATGGAATTTGGTGTTTGAGGAGTGTCAAGTTTAATATGTAGAGTTCAAGTGCAAAATTTATCAAAAATTTTTCCATTCTTGACTTGATTCGCCTCAAGTATAGTAAATTAGTAAATTAGATATAGTAAATTAGACACAATTTATAATATATACAATCAGATACAATTTATAAACAGTACTTCTTGCATTCCCCTCTCTCTCCTCTGAATTCTATGAGCCATATCCTCCTATAGAACATCTTGTTTTCTAGAATCTTTCCAAAATTCTTTCTTAGTCTTTGATTTTACTCCTCTTTCTTCCTTTCTCTCCTATATCTTTATATGTATATTGGCTAAGATTTCTTCCTTTCTCCTCAAATTTGTATGAGTCTGGTTTTACTCATCTAGGCCCAGTTCTTGTTCTGTATCACAGTTGTGTAGAAACCACAAAATAGTAACAGGAGGATTTGGGGAAGATGGCCATGTTGGTGGCATAGTTTATAAAACCCTTGGAATCTTCACATAAAAACAGAGCAAACAACTAGAAAACAGCAACAACAAAAAGCTCCAATAGACAATGAATGCAACAAAACTAGATGACAAGGTGTCATCATCAACCTACAATTGCAGGTGGGTAAGGACAAAATCACTGACAGCCACAAGAGATGCATTGCATGGTGTTGCTGGATGTGTAGGCAGAAACAAAGGAACACAATGGGTTATGAGACAAACCTGAGAGCAAGAGAACTCCAAAGTAGCCAACAAATGTTCACTAGAATAACAATGGCTAATTTGAGAATAGCAACTGAAACTGGCAGTCATTTTATCCAAAAGTGGTTGAGTACAAAAATGAGAGAGCACAAAAATCTTAGTAAGTCCTAAAGGGATTGGAACTGTGTAGCCCCTGTGAACTCTTAAAATCGGTCACTCCAAGGGCTATGTCAGGAGGGACCTACACTGAGGAATTAGCTAGGAGTGGACTCAAAATTGAGAGGGATGGTCACAGAGACAAGAAATAAAAAGGGAGATTCAGATAAAAAGTTGGGGAGAGAAACAGAGCCAGAAAGCCTTGGAAGAAAAGCTGCCTTATTTTTTCAGTACTATAAGACAAACCACTTAAGAGGAAGCCCTGTGAAGTTAGAAAAACAATTTTGAACACAACTTCCTTTGAAAAAATTCAGGAAAACTGAATTCTTAAAAGCAGCAAAAAATTATTAAGGTCAAATCCTATGCAAGGTTATAATAAGAAAAAGAAAAATAAGAAGCACAATAACATCCCTGCAGACAATGAAAGCATACCAGAAAGACAAGATGACAAAACAGACCCAAGTGCAACCAAGTATTTAAAAATAAGCTAGAAGATATTAAGAAAAAGATTTCAAGAAATGAACAAAAACATAAATCAGAGTTAGATTAACTCAGAAATGAAGTGATAGGATTCAGAAAAGAATTAGTAATGGAAGAAAAGTATTATTTCCGAAATTAAGTCAAAATTAGAAGGAACATAAAAACAAATAAACATTACATGTAATACCTTAATAAGAGAAAATGAAAGGAAAGAAAGCTTTTAAAATCAAAAATAACAAAGAAAACAAATAAAAGGGATTTGAGAGGAAGTGACAAATGTTGAATATACAAAGAATATACAATATACTGATAATAGAATTTCTAAGGAAGGATAGAAACTAACAAAGGAAAATAACACTAGAAACTATTATTCAAGAATGTTTTCCTAAAATAAAATGATTTGATATTAAACACTGAAAGTATGCCATATGTATGAGAATATCGACTCAGAACAAACACATCAAGACATATTTTCATAAAATTGCTGGACTGACAAAGCAAGAATTCTTCATGCATGGAGACATATAGAGCAAATGACTTATGGAGTAAAAAACAAAACAAAATAAAATCTAGATTACCACAAGGTTTTCCAAAACCAACACTTTTATTCCAGAAAAAAACGTAGTAACATATTTTAAGATATTTAAAATAGAGCCAAGAATTTTGTATCAGGAAAAATTGTCTTTTAAGTATAAACGGTCCCCGAAAATTGTGAACATGCTAAAACTCAGGTAATATTGTTCTTGTGAGCCCTTCCTCAGGAATCTTAGAAAATGAGCTGCAGACAACCAAAACAACCAGGGAGACTTCAACATAAATACTGGTGATCTAGACCAGATCCAGGCAACATTTTTTTTTTTTTCGTAGAGGCCTAGACAGTAAATATTTTAGATTTTGTGAACAAGAGATCACATGAAAGCAGCCATAGATATAACTGAATTAGTTGGACTATGTTCATAGACCATATAAAATATATGACTGGCAGAATTTGGCCAATGGCTGGAGTTTGCTGATCACTATTTCAGTCACTGAGTATCAAAGGCTGCCAACCTCAAAAATAAAAACAACTAAAAGATGTGATCCTTGACAGGAGAACACACTATCCACTATAGTTTTGTCAAATTAGCCTCTGGATTTAGCTGACAATTTCTAGCAAAGATAGAGTTCAGAAGAACGTGCTTACTTGTACCATGATTGGCAATCAGTAAAGCCTAAACCATGAGCATAAGCACCTCTCTGGGCTCTGTAACGGATAAACTGTAAAAATATATAAATAAAAGCGATTGCAAGATAGCCTATAAATTAAAAGAAATGCAATACAGAGAAAATGAGTACAATTTAACTACAGTTTCTGGGAATGAAAATCTGTGTAATAAAACCATAATAAAACACAAGGAAGTGACTACTAGAAGGATCCATTGGTAGTTATTTTCAGGGGAAGGAGGAATCATAATTGGGACAGAGCATGTGGAAAGACTTCTGGGGTAACTGGTAGGTCAGGTTTCTAAAATCTTGGTGATGGATTCAAGAGTGTTTGCCTTATGATCATGAAGTTCTACATTTGATTTGTGTGGCTTTCCTTTTTGTTTTGTTTTACAATAAAAAGGTTAAGGTATGTGTAGGAACCAGTCTAGTAGAAATATACTATATTCATATGTTTGAGGAGCTGTGGAGTAGACAGATAGGGGCTGTAAAATACAGGACTCTTTGGCAGGCAGTAGGACAAGAAAATCTGTAAACACTTCCAAATTAGTAATTTTTAACACCTCTTATATGCCATCTTCTCAACTGCTAGCATGCATTTTTCTGGAGTGTAACGTAGAACCAAATGTTACGTTTTTAAGTATGAAGAGCACAGAACTATGTTCGTACATAAATTGGATTCAATTTATGTTTGTTGATATTGATGATAAAATATCACCAAAATTTCTTCCCCATAAATACACTGCTTTCCACCTTATTGCTCACACACTTTTCTTTGAATATCATTTTTAAGCTTGTGGAATACACATGAGACAAAGTTGACATAAATGATACTCAAAGGATAACACTCATTTGTAATGTTACTGTTCCTAAACAGTATATGTGTCAGATGGATAGTTCTATTTTAACCACAGTCCTATAATATGTTGAGTTAATAGGCCTAAGTTACTAAATTTGTCAGACACAAATACATTTTTCAAAATATCATATATGATCTCTGTGCTTTCAAAGGCGAATTATCCTTGCTTTTGATCTAAACAAATTTTGTGACAGAAGAATAATTGAACATTAAAATATTATGAGCATTTCTAAACAGCATAGTGTATGGAAAATAGTAGTTTATAAATATGTGAAAACTGACACATTTCTGGATTTAATTTTCCCTTGTGGCTCACTATGAAAGAATACCAAAATATTCTGGTAATTTTTTATTCAGGAAAAAATAACCTTTGGGAATAGATAACTTGCTCAGAATAACAAACAGGTAAGACTTTTTTTTCCAGTGGGATTTAAAAACCAAAATACTGTACTTCATCAAATATAAAGTGCCATTAATTATAAGATGCACCACTATTTTGGTATTTTATACACCACAAGGAAATAACAATATCACCAGTTAACTTTTATGCACCATCAATTGATAGATATATCCCAATTTCATAGCTGTCAGAAAAAGGAAACATATGTATCCTAGAAATAGTGAAATACATTGTATTTTTTATTACATTTCAATATGGCCTGTGACTGAAAGCAAGGGGTGTGGATGATCTGTCTGTACCTGTAACTTTATTGTGTTCTATATCCCACATTTAGAAATCAGGATTGAAAGACAGCACTATTTCTCACACATGTTCAAGAAAATGACTGGGTAACATAAGAGACTGGCTATAGCCTGAAATCATAGCCTGGGCTTGCCTTTCTTAGCATTGAGTTTGTGTCAAGGTCTCCTGGCATTTTAGGAGTATCTAGACAGGCTCAGAAGCTAACTGGAATTTTAATGGTCATCTGGAAAAATAAGCCAAGAGTTCATAGTATTAGCTAGCTAAAACAATGCAGTCTACTAATTCTCTCTCTCTCTCTCTCTCTCTCTCTCTCTCTCTCTCACACACACACACACACACACACACACACAAAATTGGGTGGATTATAAGAAGTAAAGACCCTCAAATTTTCATTATTAAAAATATATATGATATGGGAAATTAGCCAGGCATGGTGGCATGTGCCTGTGGTCCCAGCTACTCAGGAGGCTGAGATGGGATGATCGCTTGAGTCCAGGAGGTCGAGGCTGCAGTGAGCCATGTTTGCACCACTGCACTCCAGCCAGAGCAATAAAGTGAGAAGATATATATATATATATATATATATATATATATATGTGTATATCATATGTAAGGAAAAGGTGGATTATTCAAATCTACCTGCATCCTCCTTTCTGAAAAAGGTTTCTAGATGACTATACAGACTACTTAAAATTAGTTCTGAATGTCTTATTGATAAATTGGAAGGTAATATTTACATTAAACAAAATTTCTGAAAGTTCCAATTTTGGCATTAGGATTAGTTAAGTATCCTAAAATACTCCTTCTATAGAATGCACTATAAAAGGTAAAGTGTGGCAAATATTATTTGAATGTACAACAAAGCTTCTAAGAACATAAGAGAAAACCAAGAGCGTCAACAATGAACAGGAGACAAAGAGACTGACAGTAATCTTGCATTGAAGGCCTTGCTCTACTGTAGGCATTTTCTTTAACTGGAGACTCTTAAGTTCCAGATTTTAACAACTTTTGGAAGAACAGAGGATGAGTCAAGGTAGGGGGTTGAAGCTGGAACACTCAAAGGACCACATTTTTACTAAAAGAGAGCTGGGAAAAAAACTCTATGCGTGAACAAAGGAAGATGACAAATAAGTCTTCTCAGTCTTAATTCTGGGTGCAAAACTCTCTCCTGAAAACCTAAAATCAAGATTCAGTCCACTCAGCAGTCTGAGGTTCGAACTCCTATACCTGCATATTCAGGGAAGCCCAAAACTGAGAGATTAACTCACCTCAGTTCTGTATTGGTAGTATGTTGAGGCAGCTGGCATAAACAAAAACATATTCTCCGTAAAGAAATACATCAAATCCCCAATGATTTAATCAGCCAAGTATAAACTAATAGTGGAAAAATGCCAATCTACCCGCACATATCCATATCACACAAAGAAAAAAAGTATCATAAAAAAGAGTCAGCGATAATATGCTTCAAATGTTCAAAGACATAAAAAGGGTAATGAAAAGCAGGAGAAAGGAGTGAGAGACTATTGCAAGAAACCGGGCAGTTTTCAAAAGAGGCAGTAAGAACTTCCAAAAAATAAACATCCAATGGATATGTGAAATAGATTAGATACAGATGAAGAATAATTAGGAACTAGAATATTAATCTGAAGTAATTATCCAAACTGAAGCAGAGAGATGAACAATATGAAATAGAAGTGACAGAGAAGAGAACGAGAGTATTTAACTTACATATAAGGAGTTCTAAGAGGAGAACAAAGAGAACAGAAAAGAGACAATTGCTGATAATTTTGCAGTATTAAACAAAGGTATGACTCTTCAGAGTCAGAAATCACAGCAGATGCCCAGCAGCACAGATGAAATTAGCACCCAGATGCAATATAGTAAAACCTTAGAAAATAATAGAACAATTAATCTGCAATTTTTTTTCTTTCTCTCCTTTCTTGAAATCCACAGCTAAAACAATATGTATGAATCCTTGTTCCAACTGCCTATGAACCTGTGGCTATTAACTGTGCAGGCTTGCTCTTCTGTCTTCCACCAGACACTTAAACTCTAGGGTACAAGTGCTAAATTATCTGCACGGACCTCTTGAACCACTGCACTAACTTGGCTTAAGATAAGTCACAATTGCCCAACACTGCACATTACAACTCTCTGCAAACAAGAGTTTCAGTAATTCTTCATAGCTATATTGGACTTTCCCTGGCTTCTTTCTGAAGTTCCTGTTCCTGTATTTTGCCAAATCATTTGCTATTATGTATTCTAATTTTTCCTTATTGATTTATAGCATTTGTTTAAATGTTTTTAACACCAGCCCTTGGTAGTTAAGTTTTGCAAATTCTCTTGGTTTGTTTGTTTTTTCAATTTGTAAGTGCTGTCTTTTGATATACAACTTAATAAAGTGAAAGTTATGCCATACTATGTTCTAAAGGTATAGTTTATATTTTGCATCTTGTTTAAGAAATCCTTCTTACTCTAGTCATTAAACTATTTTCTTCTATACTAAAACTTAAATTTTTACACATGTAAGTCTTAAACTGGGATTGATTTTTGTGTATGGATTCAGAATTTAACTCTTTTGTTTTCATATAGATAAGTCATTTTTCTAGCACCATTTATTGAACAGTCCAGTATTTTTTTTGGCACTGATATGTCATGTCAGCTCTTTCACAAGTAAGATTTCTATACATTTTTGCCAGATCCATCATAAATTAGGTTTCTATACATGTTCTAACTATTGTTGGTTTATAGATATACAATTTTTTTTATTATTTGTCTTCTCTGCTAATTTTCTCATTAATTCTTTTGGAAATTTGCTTAGAGGTATATTGGACCTTCCCACTCAATCTTCTAGGTCTCTTAACTTCTTTTCTATTTTCTAAATCTTTGTCTCTCTAAGTCACATTCTCTGTGGTATCTTCAGTTGTGTCCTCTAGTTCACTAATTCTCTTTTCTACTCTATTTAATCTACCGTAAAACTGGTTTCCTGATGTTTTCATTTCAATTATTGTATTTTTTAAATGTTTAGCAAATCTTTTTGTGCTTTCTCAAATTTGTTTTGTCTTTTTTATATCTTGCTCATTTCTCCTATTTTTAATCCCACATATATTTATATAAATATATTAACATACTTATTATTTAGCTGATGATTTCAATATATAAAGTCTTTTAATACTGTCTGAAGTATGTTTTGAGATTTTTTTTTTTGCTTTCAGTACATATTCCTTGCAGGATTAATCTGTGGAAATTTTACCAGATCTAGATTAAGAGAGAATTTGATTTTGCTTTTGTCCAGTATCTGGGGGCACCATCATCTTGGAATAATTTTAAATTAAATTCTTGGCTTGAGGCTTTCCCCTCCACCCAGGAAAGTGATTTGGCCTGCACATTTACATGAGGGCTGACTTGCAGTTATAAATTCTCAGGGCAGACTTCTTTCCCCCTTTGTTTATTTGGTGCCCTGGATCACTAGGGGTAACTTTCCTTTCGAGGAACAGTAAAGGCTTTTGGGTTCCAAGTTTTTGCAGAAGGTTGTTATCAGAATCCTTACCTTGCGGGGTGCTGGTGGCTACGCTTTCTCTTGCCCCAGTGCTGAAAGTCTTCAAAACTGAAATGTAAGGTCAATGAATTAAAGCCACTTCCTACTGCTTATTTCTTTGTGTTCCCTCTTTCACTTACATTTTGGCCTCTGAGAAGTCTTTGCTTTCTTGCCAGGGCTTGGATACATTTCAGAAATGTAAAAATATATTCTATCCATTATTTTTAGTTTGTTTCAGCAACAGAATTGTTGAAAGAATCTCTTCCCCCAAACTGCTATAAACAGAAGTTGCTAAGTATTTTCTATGGATTCATTTATTTGGACCTCCCAAACTTGTCATAAGAGATAAAGTAATCTGCCTAAAGTCAGATAGCTAACAGGTAAGTTTTGACTTTTTTGTTCATGAGTAAGTAATCATTGATCCATAGAAAAAATTAACAAATAAAAAGCAACTGTTTTTAGTAACTACCTTAAAACTCTACTGACTTTTATTATAACAAACCTACAATTACAGACTAAAGTGGTTGAAAAGATATGTGACATGTTTTTTTCTGCAGATAAAGCTGTATGAAAATTTTAAATTAAAAATATAAATAACTTTCACTTTTGAAGTAGCAATGTTATAAATTAGAAAATACAGATTGGCAACATAAAATATTTTTAAAAAATTGTTCTAAAATGGGATTGCAGTGGTCGTTGTATAACTCTATAAATTTAATAAAAATATTTAATTGTATGCTTACACTTGGTTAATTTTATGGTATATAAATTATAACTCAATAAAGCTATTGAAATATCTATAATATATTGTTTTTTCAAAACCAACTACATGTACATTTTAAATCAGTTATTTGCACATAAAAATACATACATCTTTCCATGTCAATTGTATTCATATATGATATAGTTTTTAATAGCCAAATAGTATATTTTATATTTATAATTTATTCATCAATCTCATATTGTTGAATATAAACTAAAGATAGTTGTCTAATTTTTCTTAGTATAAACATTTATATGGTGAATATTCCTTGTATACATACTAAATTATTTCCGAGTTAATGTTCTAGAAATGAAATTACTAGGTAGAATAATACCTAAATTGAAAATGTGAGACATATTTTCTCACATTTGCCCTCCTACAGGTAGAAGGTCACTAAGTTTGCCCTCCTACAGGTAGTACTAATTTAAAGTCCCATTATCATGTTTAAGAGTCTTCATTTTCCTGTGTTTTTGAACAATTGGCATTATTATTTTAAACATTTTTAATTGATAGAAGTATGTTTTATTGTCAATTTAATTTATATTTATTTAACTATTGATAAACTTGAACATTTATAGAATATAAACTGTAAAATGTGTGTACAGGTACATTATATATATAATTTATGTGTGTGTTATACACACATGAAGAGAGACAGAGAGCCCCTTTGCATTAGTAAGTACAACGTAATTCAATTGACTCCTTTTCTACGTATGTAACTTAATAGTAATAATTGTTTGTTCGTTTGTTTTTTTAGAGTCTCACTCTGTCTCCCAGGCTGGAGTGCAGTGGCAGTGGATCTTGGCTCACTGCAACTTCTGCCTCCTGGGTTCAAGCGATTCTCCTACCTCAGCCACCCGAATAGTTGGGACTACAGGCATGTGCCATTGTGCTTGGCTAATTTTTGTATTTTTACTAGAGGCAGGGTTTCACCCTGTTGTCCAGGCTGGTCTCAAACTCCTGACCTCAAGTGATCCACCCTCCTCGGCCTCCCAAAGTGCTGGGATTACAGGTGTGAACCACCACACCCAGCCAGTAGTGATGTTTCATAACAGAACAATCTGAGAAGTTTCAAAAAATAGGCTTTTCTTATTTTTAAGAGAAAGAATAAAATATGTGGATTAGTACCTCTATTATTTATAGAATATTCCTTTGTAAATATAACTGTGCAAAGTACATTAAAGAAGGAAATAAAACATCCTTTTGCAGTATAGATTAAAATGCTTCAACAAATACTTATGTAACATTAACACACACACACACACACACACAAATACAGAGAGTGCAAACGAGGTTTTAGCCAAACACTAAATATAGATAGGGTTTGCTAATGAAGGAACATTCTCATTCCTCCATTAAATGTGTGTAACTACAAGGCTCAAGTTAGTGTGAGAGAGCGATACTATTCAATTAATGACAAGAACAGAGTATACATAGTCTGTTGAAGCGAAAAACAAAATTCAGGGTCAAATGGTCGTACTATACAAATTTCACAGGCAATCAGCAAACCCACTAAAGACATAGAGCTAGAAGGAACCACTGAATACAAATTGCTCATTTTCAAAAGGAAGGCCAGATAAATTAAGGAGACTTGCTGAAGACCACATAGCTCTCCTCGGCTAGACTAGAATACTGGTGTCATTTTCCTGCACCATTTTATCAAAAGATGTTTAAAGCACAAAACACGAAAAGCTTTTCGATTGTTCCCAGGTCTGTGTTAAACATACCTGGAGAGAAACAGTGGGTTCTAGTCTCATGAGGCTACAAGGGTCAAAGGCTCTTGATTATAAAACTGTGCCCTTGAGGGCACCGCTGGAAGGAAAGCTTTTCAAAGCTGAAAACCAGCAATTAAAAAAGGAAAGGAAACATCATCTATTTAAGCTGAGAGTAGCAAAAAGGCAGCATAATTTATAAACACCATTTTTTTTTTTTTTTTAACAGAGAGACTTAAATCATATCAGCCTCAGAAGGTTTTTCTCAAAAAGGTTTAACTGCCTTCAGGAAAAGATTTATCAAAGCCTATGCTGGAATGAATATCTCCAGGCTGCCAGTTGTTTAATTAATAATTTTATATTCATCTTTTATATTTGAGATAGGTTTTCTGTGTTTTATATTAGAGCACTAAAAAATATTAATGTTGAAGGGTAAATTTTTAGATTCTAATTTATAACTTCACTCTGCCTCAGTCTATTTTTTACCACTGAAATAAAAATGTTCAAGTATTTAGACTGATTAAAGTACCTTTATCTTACTGAAAAATCATCAAGAAACTGCTGGAGCAAAACTAATTCAGTTATTATACAAACAACAAAAAGAAATTTCAAGTAGGCACTTTGAGCCCCAGGCTTGGGGTCATATAAAAAAATGACAAAGAGTATAAGAGCGTGATGAAACCCTGACAGGGATCTTGATTATTTCTTACAAAAGCATTCATTTTAATCAGGGGCTTAGATTTTGCTCCTTTGCCATGGCAACAGATAAAGAATCCTGTACCTGGAAGGTTATAGTGATAGTCTTAATTATGCTCCCAAGAGGCATTGTGTTAACAGTTTAGTGATTGGAAGGGAAAGAACTAATTCTACCCAATTCTGAATAATACTTTTCCTACCCTTATAGAGGATAAGATTCTACACTGGGTTATGGGCTTTGCCATTGACTCATACTATGATTTTAGGCAAGTCTACTAACCCCTTTGTGTTTGTTTTCTCAAATATATGAAATGAGAACATGGGGCTCAGTTTCCATCCTGGAACTGGCTAAGTCTGTGTTCACTGGTTCATCTAGAGTTGAAGAAGAAAAGAACCATTTTTCCTCTTTGTTCCATTGGTGAAGCAATTCTGTCATGCCTACTCTACCCTTCTGTTGTTACTTTCTGGCCTCAAAAGTGATCAATGTGGGAAGATTCAGAGTACACAGAATTATGCTTGTTCTGTTGTGTGTAGCTTGACATTTCACATGACCCTTGAATCATCCCATATTGGTATATAAAGACTAAGGTCAGTTGCTCTACTCCCGAACAACTGCCTATTTTACTAATGAAATGAAAATAATTCTAATAAGGAAAATGCAGCAACACTAAGTTTACTCATAGAGAAAGGCAGGGGAAAGGTTCATGCCTTTACAGCACTGTATTAAACACTAAGGTACTCTTCAAGGCTCCCCATTGAGTGCTCATTGTTGTTTTAGTAATGCTTATTATTCTCACTAGTGTATCAGACTGTAGGGAGGAAGGAATGTTTCCTTTCTTCCTACATACTGTGCAGTTAAGGTCCCAGAATATTCTGAAAATAATATTTTCAGAACTATTCTGTTTCAATATTTTCAATAGTTTCAAACTATTATGTTTAGCTTCATGCTGGTATAAGAAACAAGCACCCACCTGAATTATGAGTTTCTTATGACAAAGAAGGAAGCATTGTAAACCTTTCTGAATCAAAGGTATAATAAACACATACAAAAATCAAATGTACTGTACAATATCACACACATGAGGGACAAGATTTGAGCATCAACATATTTTAAACTATGGCAAAGCTAAACCTAGGGAATTGGTTTTTGGTTCATCACTATTTCTTTCTGCACATCTCTCTGTTCCAGAGTTTCTAAACTTGCTCCAGCTCAAATAAATTTTGGGTCCCATCTCTTTACTTTTAGTGAGCTTTTAACTACCCTCTGCTAAGTTATTCAGTAACTAGGACTTTAGATCTTTCTATTCCCAGGGATATTTACTTTTAAAAACTTGTAAAGACTAGACTCTTAAAGACTGAAAAACCTTTGAGAGTAAGAGAAGTGGATCTTTAAAGCTGAATTTTCACAGATTCTTGAATTTTTGCCCATGTTCCTCAAATCACATCCTGGTATACACTATGGCAGTCACCAAGGGACCACAGAGAGAAACTGTTTTAAGTATGCTTAACTACCCATCTCCAGCTGCCACACCTTGGGGATCAGCAGTGTTCATGCTGAAGCCACATCCTCTCCAGTATTCCTTGCCAAGGACTAAGGATGGTGTAAGTCAGGGGGGACTCCTCTTATGAGCAGTCTTTGCCCTCGGGCGTCCCACTGGCATAGCCAAAACTTTGTCAGAGGCTCTCTGCCAGCCCAACTTCCATTTCCTCCTCTTTTCACAGGTGCCAGACCTGCAGGGCAGCCTGAAGGATCTTCCCACTGCTCTTGTTCCCTCTCCCCTTTACCTTCCAAGGGCATTTCTCCCAACATATCTCTTGCACTTGGCTTCTGTTTCTAGAGGATTTGAGCAGACACAGTATTCCATAAATACTTGTGCCACATGAACGAATCTCAGTTGGGATGAGACAAATGAACTATTAGGAAGGTGAAGAGAGAGCTGAGGAAAGTAGATTGTGTACCTACCATGTACCAGGTGCCTGACTGTGAGAGTGACTCAGTGCAGTTGGGCTAAAAGACTAATTGAGATAATGTATGCACTGTGGTCAACATGTATTATGCTCAATAAATAGTAGCTGTCTCTTTCTCAATAAACACTGAATTAAGTGTGAAAAGGACAGATGGGTATGAGATACTGGGCATTATAGAAGATGCAATGAGCCAGGCAAGAGAAGAAGACAGGGGTATTGGAATAGGAAGCACAGTCCAAGCAGCAACTAGGCTTCAAACTCACTTGGAGCTGCTACTTCTGTTGAAGTTTTAGGCCTTCTGGAGACTGTCAGTTCTAGGTGGCCCCAAATATCAAATGTGTTAATTTTTTAGGGTCCTGTGGTTTTACAGATTCCCAAATAGTTAATATGATGTCTAATCTCAGTGAAATGGGACAATATTGATTTAAATACAAAAGTTGTGCTACTCTAAGTCTAAAGACAAGGCTATATTTTAAATTTGGATTTGGGGCACTGAGTGGTGGTAGTGATGGAAGAGGGGAGGTGAGACTTGAGAGAGAGCATTGGGGTGAGCCTTGACTTCCTATCTAAACTTATTCTCATGGGAGCAGCCAGGCTTGGTAGTTCTTTTTTCCACTATCACTCAAAATGCAGCCTGATAGTGAGGTGTGTAATCATGGGCTTTTCTCAACTGTAATTTGATTACAGAGATGTTCTATAGGCAAGGAACAAATTTGAGGTCATATTACCTCCAAAGAAGATACAGGCTATAAGTAGGAAAGCTACTACAGAAAATGACAGAGGATAAAAAGCTTATAAAGAGATGATAATCTTATTCTGTAGCAATAGTAAAACATAAAAAGGAATTATTCTTTAAATCAAATGATTACTCTCACAGCCATTTAAATCATCTGCCAACAGTGACTTACAGGAGGTAAGTCCTGATTTCTTTTAGTAAATTAAGCCTACAAATGAAGGCATTCTTCATTTATTTCACGCCAATACACTTGCCACAAGCATTATCAGTTGAGTCTCCTAAAGTGTCATTTTTGAAACGTTAATAAGTTCATTTACATTTTCCCCAGACCACTGGGGGTCAATTTTCACTTGTCTATGCATATTATTTGACTGCTCTTTGAAATGCAATAAACTTTTCAAAGAATTGATAGTTTTTTGTTTTACTTTGTTTTTTAAACATAAGATAGTATTACATTTCAGCATTGCTGAAGCATGCAATCTGATAGTCTGAAAAAATAATTAGAACATCCATTTCCATAACATATATAATGACATAGCCATCTTAATTTTTTATTGAAACCATTGAGCCAGATACATTTCAAAGTTCAGAATTTTTCAGGGTCTAGAGAGGTAACACCTAGCATATGTCATGTAATTATATAATACCCACAGCAGGGTCTAGAGCAGTACCCTGTAATGACCATATTGGTAGTTTTGCAGCAAAATTCTTAATATTAAAATAGATTTTGCTACCAAATGGACTTTGGTGCTAAGTTTACCAAACAACAACAACAAAACCAAAACATTCCATTTTCAGAAGCTTTTGGATTTTGGAATCGCAGATAAGTGGTGGACCTATAGTAAATCTGTGCCCCTCAAAGGATCCTCTTAAGGATTGTGGGAACCGAAGAGGAAGAGTTGCCAATAATTTGGCTTGTAATTGAAGAAGAAAATTTTATTGCTGCTTTCTACCTGCTAAATTCTTTTTTTTAATTATTTTTTTTAAATTTTCTTTTTCTCAGCAAAGCAAGGTACTTCTATATAGAAGGAACAATGGAGTGCACACTTGGAGAAGGGAGGGCAAGGGGTTCTTATCCCTGACGCACGTCACCCCTGCTGCTGTGTCGTTCCCCTATTGGCTAGGGTTAGACCTCACAGGCTAAACTAATTCTAATTGGCTAATTTAAAGAGAATGAAGTGGTGAGTGCTTTGGCGGGAGTCAGGGCAGAGCAGGTAGCAGGTAATCAGAATGAGTTAGGGTGGAGCAGGTGATCCGAATGAGTTAGAGTGGAGTAGGTAATCGGAATGAGTCAGGGTGGAGTAGGTAATCAGGATGAGTCAGGGTGGAGTAGATAATCGAAAAAGATTGCTTTACGAGGAAGTTAAGTTTAAAAGTAGAAGGCAGAGAATTGAACATACTGACGTATTAGTTTGTTTGTTTTTTTTGTTTTTGTTTTTGTTTTTGTTTTTTTTTGAGACGGAGTCTCGCTCTGTCGCCCAGGCTGGAGTGCAGTGGCACGATCTCGGTTCACTGCAAGCTCCGCCTCCCGGGTTCCCGCCATTCTTCTGCCTCAGCCTCCTGAGTAGCTGGGACTACAGGCACCCGCCACCACGCCCGGCTAATTTTTTTGTATTTTTAGTAGAGACGGGGTTTCACCATGTTAGCCAGGATGGTCTCGATCTCCTGACCTTGTGATCCGCCTGCCTCGGCCTCCCAAAGTGCTGGGATTACAGGCGTGAACCACCTCGCCCGGCCGACATATTAATTCTTTGAAAAGAAATTTAGAACTCATACCTAACAACTCTTCCTCTTGTATTTCCTTACAGCTTTCTTTTCAAACTTTTTAAACATGTCTTAGCTTAGTTGTTTTGCTTGATTTTCCAAAAGAAGAAGCTTCTCTGGATAAGGTGGAGGATAGCTAAGGGAGGTTTTAGTAAGTGCCGTTTTTATGAACCTCTGCATCGACTTACGGATGCATGGTATGACACAGCACCCGACAAGAATAAGTATACCTATTACGGGTGTGAGGTAAATTCTTAAGACTCATCTGCAGAATGTCTCTTAGGCTGCATAAAATACAGACTTTGCACAAAACTTGGTCTAAAATGAGTAACTTGAAAAAATTATTCTCCTACTGACATCAGCTCGTTGAGCTTTAATTGTGCCTCTGATTTACATGAGAAAACATAAAAGGGAGTAGAAAGTTACAATTAAAGGAAGGAAAACAGTCCCTTTCAGCTACTGCCACAGATCTATTGTACAGAATACTTCTCTATGGAATACTTCCTCTATGGCCACAGGCCAGTTCCACTCAGCACTCCTCTCTTTGAAGAGGCCACAAATCTGACTAATTTTCATTTAACTTCATGGGGCAAGGAAGGGGGCTTCACAGAATTTCCTAATCTGTTTCTCTTTATCAAATACATAATCACTTTTTCTATCTGCTGAAAAATAAACCTGCAACAAAATGATCAAGACAGTAGAAAATGCTGTTATTATATTATTTGATTGGAGAGCAAAGGCTAATTTTTGTTTCCTATTATATTCCTTTTGATTACTAGCACATGGCAACACTCTGAACACAGTAGGTGCTTTTTGTGTCTATTAAACTGGATTTGAGGTGGCACCTGCTCTGTACATACATGCCTTTGGTTTGTTTCTTTTTTGCTTTTCAAAAGATTCCTATGCTTCCTCAGTGTTGAGACTACTTTTTCTGTTTTCTTTCTCTGGGATTCAGAGACACTGAGTTCTGCTCCTGGAGTTATTTATAGTTTTGGTAGCTAGGTCTCACATACCTCCTTTGTGCTTCCAAGAGTGTTGTAGGAGTATATGTTCTGTCACTGCAGATGATCTGTTTTCATCATATTAACAAGGAGATGGCTGACTAGGTGCTGTGCTTCCCTTTTAGTTGTTCCTTTATATTTTTATGAATTAATTTCTGTTTACTTTTGATAATTTTCTTAACAGACATTTGTGCCTCTATGCAATCATATGTGTCTGTTCCCATAAGCAGCAGCTTAGTCAATCACTCAGGGAAATACATGCATCTCTATGCATTCACCAGACTGAAGTTCTCCCAGAAACAAGCCCCTGTGCTTCATTAAACTATTGATTTGGTTGTCATAGATCAGCTGAAATGTATATCCTTAAAATGAAGGGAAGTCTCATGAAGCACTTACACTTATTATCTGTTTATCTAAAAAAATCAGCATGTAAAATTCTGACTTAAGGTTAAAATTTTCTCTGAAGGGTCAACATTCCAAATTTTTACTTAGATTATTAGTTAGCTGCTCTGTTGAATTCTCCCCTCTACCTTATAGAAATAAAATATTTTGGTTGTTGTTGTAAGAAAGAATCCATCATATCCATATAAAGCACCAAGCCACATGTTTAGCAATTGTTTCCAATAACAAAGTATGAAACTTGAGAATGACCTTGGAAGTAGAAAGATAACTAGTCCCATGACTATTATGCCTATATTGTGCCTATTATGGGCCACTTGCAGTACTAGACCCCCTACATGCATTATATCATTTTATCCTCCCAACATCTGACAATGAAAGAAATGAAGGCAAAAAGATTAACTTGGGCATATGCTAGCAAGTAGCAGAGCTAGGAATCATATCAAGTTTTTCCTAAGTATGAAATTGTTATTTCTGGAGACATCTCTCCATTTATCCCACATATTCTGATTTGTATAGTTTGGGGAGTGAGAGGTAGTTTTCCATATTTTAATGTATATAAATGACCTATGCAGAACTCAAAGGCAGAATTAACAAGGAAGTGAAAATAGTTTTATTCTTCTAATATCATGTATTTCCTTATATATTAAGGAAGAATTGGTCTCTGTTTAGCATAACCATTATTAAAAATATTTATGTGAGAAAAAATGTGTCTGGAACTGTTAGAAATATACAATTAAATATGTTATTTGTCCACTTTATATGATATTTATGCTATATGTGTCTATTTCTCCTCCTTGCTTTTTAGGTTATCAGCATGAAAATCAGCCTCTGTTTCTAAGAAATTCTAAAAATATTACTCACCTATGCCTATCATGTCCTGCCACATTATAATCTTGGTTACAGCTCTCAAAATGTCAGAGCAGATCATGAACTAAAGATGTGTCATAGGTAAAATCATTTAAAAGGCAAATTCAACATAATGAACTGAAGAAAAAAATCCAACCATGAGAATAGTTGATGTTGACTATAATTAAAAAAAAAATAGCATTCTTTACAAAATGCAAAACTGTATGAGCACTAGGATTAAAACTGCTAATCCCTTTCTTTTCCCCAGACCTCCCCAGCTAGCCATAAATTCCATCTGGCCCATTGCAGGGGGCCCTGATTGCCTCCTGCACTGCTGGAATTCAGGCAGGATGGAGATAGACAGTTTTCACCCCATGAGTTGGTGAGTTCAGAAAGAGTATTGTGTTGCTCTGGACAAGCAATCCTTCCAAATTTTAGAAACAGTCTGGGGATGTGTATTCAAGAAATCTGCTCCCTTTTCACGTTCTCCCTAGTCCCTTGGAAGGGACACCCATCTGGGCTGTCCATCTGTCCAGAATTGGATTGTGGTCGCCAAGTCGCTCTTCCCTTCCGGGTGATTGATTCATGATCATCAGTGATCTTCATCACATCCGCAGCTCCCCTGGGAGCCGATATATATTTTTAAAAATTAACTGAGTGCCTTAACTAGTAGCTGTCGGTGATACAGTGAGAGAGAAGACACTTCAAGACAGTTGGGATGACAGACAAGTAAAAAGTAAAAGGAGCTACCATGGGGATGTGCAAGAGGCGGTTTGAAAACACCTAATCTCCCCTCTACCCCCACCGACACCCCACTTGGAGGATCAAGAAAGGATTCCTAGGGGAAGTGACAGTTAAGCTAAGTCCCGTAGTATCACCAGGAATATTAGAGGACCAGCCAGATGAAGAGCAAGTAGGTAACTGGAGGAGCCCTGAGGAAGGACCTAGGGAGGGCAGAATGATGTCATCCACAAGCAAGGATCACTATATGGCAAGATCCAGTTGGGAGACAGAGATGGTGGGGAACTCAGAGAAGTGCAAATGGCTGAGCATAGCTGGAGAGAAAATCATCTGGTAAGGACTGGCACGAGGTGGAACTAGAGAGATGGGGAGGGTACCAGATGAGCAGGGAAGGCTCAGATTTGGGTGGGCCTGTGTGCTCTGGGCAAAGAGTCTAGACTTTGTCCTGAGGTCAATGAGGAGCCAATGTAAGGTTTTAAGGAGGTGAGGGACAGTCTTATTTTTTGGAAAGATGTCTCATCCAGCAGGATGGAGCATGGTCTGTAGACAACACTGGATGAAAAATAATGACTTCGGTGCTGTGACAAGGAATCCCTGTGCGAGTCAAGGAGGCTCTGCCTCATGTGGCCCAGACAGTGGGTTGCGAGGGAAGAAGATGGACGTGACCAACATTAAGGACAAAATCATTAGGAGTAGGTGACTGACTTGATCGTAGAGAATAAAGCAAAGAGCACAAGGCAACAAAGATCTAAAGGGGGTACAAATATGACAATCACCTTTTGCGGGGGTTAATAATCACATAGGTCATTTCTTTTTCATTTAAAATATTTATTTACTGTTAAAACATCATTTTAAATATTGTATGTTACAAAGAAAATTTGATAGATGTGATACTTAGCCAATGTTTTTTATGAAAATGGAAATTATGATGCTATCAATGTTTATTATAGTTAGATAGCTATTATAGCTATTAATGCTCATATTTGACTGAATGATGAAGAAAATCAAGGGACATTTCTCTCCCACAATAGAGAAAAAACCTATGTATTAACCCCTCACCCACCTCAATTTTATTTCATTGAAATGCTGATATTCAAAGTAATATAGAAAAACTACATGACCATGTAAGGAAGAGAGTGATAAGCTATGTCTTCTGATGCTCCTGAGAAAACCAGGAAAAATCCTTACAAATATTTTCTGAACATTTTGCATAATTGCCATTTTGCCTGTCATTATAAACCAAAAATTCTTGGCCTTTAGCTGCTATGTTTGGATAAACATAAAACTTTATCAAGTATAAAAGTATACTTGAGGCTGGGTGTGGTGGCTCATGCCTGTAATCCTAGCAATGTGGGAGGCCAAGGCAGCTGGATTGCTTGAGCCCAGAAGTTCGAGACCAGCCTGGGCAATATGGTGAAACCCTGTCTCTACTAAAAATACAAAAATTAGCCAGGCACAGTGGTGTGTTCCTGTGGTCCCAGCTACTTGGGAGGCTGAGGCAGGAGAATCGCTTGAACCTGGGAGGTGGAGGTTGCAATGAGCTGAGATCCCACCACTGCACTCTAGCCTGCGCAACAGGAGTGAAAGCCTATCTAAAAAAAAAAAGAAAAAGAAAAAAAGTCTTGACTAGGACAGCATTCAGTACTAATAACCTAAACTTTGTCTTTCTTAATTCCTTCTGTGACTGTCAACAACCAAAAAAAAAATCAGATCAAGAATGACATTTTTTAAAATGAGAAAAATTCTTGGTTCTATTACATTTTTTTATATATGGGAATAGGTAATATTTGTTGAAAATTGTGAAAAACCCTCTAGAATTCATAGAAATACCTAGAATATATAAAAATATACACAAAATGGCATAATATGTAGAATAGCTACATATTATGTAAGTAGGAAACTTACAAATAAACAATAAAGATCAATATTATGACTAAACATTATCCTCATTTTAGAGGTGACAGTTGGGAAACAAATAAGTAGATATGAGAGAAGTAAAGCTTTCCTAAGTGACCCTCATGTGACCAACTTTATTTCCATTATTCAAAAACTTCCAATATACCTCTGCTACTTAATGATTAAATGCTAAATTTCTCAGCCAATTTGCCTGTCAGCCTGGACACTCACAATGTCCAAAATTGCTTAATGCTTCAAACACTCTGTATTCCCCAAATTTCTATGAAAATGCATTGTGTTTCTCACACTTTTGTTTCTATTACTTCTTTTCCTTGAAGTGACTTTCATTCTCATTATTTCCCAGCAATCTTCGGCCATAAACCTTCCACTCTTTGAAGTTTATCTTCAATACTGTTTACTCCATGATAACTTTCCAGATTTACTGGACAAAGCGATGCTTTCCTATTTATTAGTCTTACCACATGTTGTTTAAACCTTTCTTATGAAATCTACTTAAAGTTTTGGATGGCAGATAGTCCTAAATTACCCATTTTGCTTTATGGTGAGACTCTTGAGGGCATTGTGTTGCAAAACTTAGATTCCTTTCATTTCCTAGAATGGAATTTCTGCTGAACCCGTGAATAAACTGAGTTGTTTTTCAGGGACATGGATTTTCAGACATTAAAATCTGGAACCCTCTTTGTTTGAAAGCTGATAGTTTAAAAATACTTCTTTAAAAACTTGTTTTAGGGTGACCATATTTAATATTAACTCAAACTCAGGAAAATGTATTTTTCATCTTGTTATATGTGTTTTGGCTCTATTGATATATATTCATTATATATACATTTGTATATGTGGCTTAGTTCTAAAGATAAAACATAATTGATTCTCATTATCTTTCAGAATTTTTACTGTATTAGTCTGTTCTCACATTGCTATGAAGAAATACCCAAGATTAAGTCATTTATAAAGAAAAGACATTTAATTGACTCACAGTTCCACATTGCTGGGGAGGCCTCAGGAAACTTACAATCATGGCAGAAGGCAAAGGACAATCAGGCACCTTCTTCACAGGGTGGCAGGATGGAGTGCAAGAAGGGGAAATGCCAGATGCTTATAAAACCATCAGATCTCGTGAGACACATTCACTATCACGAGAACAGCATGGAGGAAACAGTCCCTATGATCCCATTACCTCCACCTGGTCCCATCCTTGACACAAGGGGATTATGGGGATTGTAGGGATTACAATTCAAAGTGAGATTTTGGGTGAGGGCACAGCCAAACCACATTAGAAGCATTCAACTAATATAAGGGATAGGCATGTATGTCAGAGTTTCAAAAATCAATTTGATTTCTTTTAATGGGGTAGATATAAATGGAGGGAAAAAACAGATAAAGATTTTCTTCCACCACTCCACCACACACAAACACACACACACACACTCACACACACACAGTTAAAAGTTGACCACTATGGTAGTTTTAAAGATACATACACACAAGTGGAGTTTAATTCCGCTCCCACTGAGTGTGGGCTGGACTTATTGACTTACTTCTAGTAATAGAACATGGCAGAAGTGATCTGCCCACTTAGGCCTCCCAAAGTGCTGGGATTACAGGCGTGAGCCACCACGCCCAGCCCATCTCTCTCTTTACAATCACTTCTTTAGAGAAAGCCAGCTACTATATCATAGGAGCAGCCCTATGGAGAGGCCCATGTGGTGACAAATGGAAGCCACATAGCTGACTCTATTTCCTTGGAATGTGTCAGCAGCCATGTAAGTGAGCTCAAAAGCAACTCCTCAAGGACCTTAAAATGACTACAATCTCATGATAATCTCTGAATAGGAATCACCCACTTAAGCCACCCTTGGATTCCTGACCCACAGAAACTTCCACAGTAGATAACGATTACAACTAACAAATCCTTCAATATATTTTCTGTCTTCTCAGCCATAATTTTTGTCATCTTCTCAAGAAATTGACTAGAAACTATAATAGCTTCATGCCAAGGAGGACCAGAAAGCAATTCACAGGGATCAACTTAAGATCGCTATCCACATCTCAGCTGTGTGACCTTGAGGGCGTTAGCTGACATTTTTTGTCTTCGTTTCCTGTTACACTTACAGTGATAATCACTGAATCTACCCCAAGAAGATTAGGATAAAATACATTACTAAAATAAAAGTACTTAGGATTGTACCTGGAAACTGGTAATGGCTCCATAGATGTTAGCTATGTTATTACATTATTATTATTATTATTTTGGTTCATAAAATAAAGCTAAGTGGTCTCCCAGATAGACATTCAGTCTTACAGAGTAATAATACACAGCCAGTATTCTGAAACCTGCATGTACAACTGATGAAAACATCTCCTTCCCATACTGTCAGAAACTAGGCTGCTTGTGGCATAATTGGTAGTCCTAAAAAGTGAGTATGATCCATAACAGAAATTCAAACTGAAATCCAAAGAAATTGTAGGAAAGTTTCCCAGAGATCTCAGTCAATTCAATAACCCTGCACGGCTGTTAGAACTACATTCCATGTGTTATTACACAACTGACAGGTCACGGGATAAATCATTCCAAAGGGATGTCACACAATACCATGTGGCCCTGAGCTCTCTTGTCCTGCAGCCAAGGGGAAGCACCTATAATAGCTTTTTTTGCACATATTCATTTTCTTTTTGAAAGTACATTCTTTTGGATGTACTTATTTTGAAAATAAGAACTTTGCCAAAACTAATTAATTCTCAAATAACATTTAGTATTTCTGGTTTGCAATATTTAGTATTTCCTTTTTGTAAATAAAAATGGGAAAGAACAACTTCAACATGATAATAACTGATGCCTATCAGATCTGAGAAACACAACACAGACCAATTTTTAATCTCTCCCTCTGCACTTTTCCACTTCAGGCAAAAGAAATGAGTCATATCAAATTTAATTCTCGTGACAGAAGGAATCACATACTGTGCTGTTTATCCCCCATGAATGTCTGCATTAACTTCTCTCCCTTATCTAGCTTTTAGAATTTCAAAGTTCAGTTCTTCAGAAATGGGGCTGTATGTTCACTCAGGCAACTGTAGTTCAGAACTATATTTTTGGGCAAAGTAAAACAGCTTTTCTTTTTAAATAGAACAGTGTACTTTGTACTCGTCCTTTCATTAGGCAGAAAATTAACTCCCACTTTCTATTAGGAATATAAATGTTCCCGCTAGCAATCTAAGTAAGATAAATAAAAGAAAATCCCTACAAAGGAAAAAAATGGCTATTTGAAATTATAGGTACGTGAAACAAAATAAAAATAATTTATCACTATACCTTATTTCTGGTTGGGATGGGGAGGAAGGATTGGTAGGACTGTCTGAAAATAGAAAACAATCATGAAAAAAAATGATTACTAATAGGGACCTCTGTGGATTTGGGGTACACCAGCAGTTGACCTGGAGCTTCTACCTACCACAGCTCTAGCAATCTGTTAAGAATTTTTTTTAAGTCCCCTTGATTCAAGATTATTTGCAAGATCACAGTTTGCTATTTATACATTCATTCGAGAAACTGTAAATAAGGTGAAATACCAACTGCAGTCAGCATGACCTGACCCCTCCATCTGTAAACCACAGCCTCTTCTGGACATGAAAGAGGGCCTCTGATGGAACTAGGCTTCATAGCTGCCTCCTTAAAAAGTCAAAGTAGGGTCATTATCTGCAGGTTCTTCTCTTCTCTTTTTCCTTTATTAAAATTGCCCATTCTTTGAGACTCATTTGAGTCTCACCTTCTCGCTGATGTTTTATCTGATTACTCAGTGAGCACTGACCTCTCCCTTTTCTGAACATCAAGTTTATTTCTGGCCTATATCAATGTACTGCCAATTAATTAAATACATTATTTACTTACTTGTTTGTGTCTTTTCTGTTAAAAATACGTAAGAATAGGCTAATGTTTTACATGTTTGTATTTATGGAATTTTGCTACTCAAGCTTTTTAAAACTATGTTTGGTTTTGTGGAAAATGATCTTGTTCCCTTCAGACACAAGTTCTAAAGTGTAAGTCATAGTTTATTACTGCCTTGTGGTAATGAAGTATAATTTGAAATCTTATGTAACAACAATAGGTGTAAAGCATAGCTTCAAAGTTCAGATAAAAAAAATGGGAGAAGATAGTCAGGGCATTAAAGACTATATACAGACTGGTCAACTTCCCTAAAAGAGAGATTAGGTGGGTTGTTTCTTACAGTGCAGAGGTTCTCGATGTTCAAGCTGTAATATCAGTAAAGGATGATAAATGGCATGTCACGGACAGAACAGCTACTCAAGATGGTAGCTAATCTAGTTACCAAATGTGTATACAAAAATTAATCATTTTCCAATATACCACCAACATTATGTTAGGAAGTTAGAGAGGGTGGCCATTTATAAAACAACAAAAATATAAAATATATATGACCTGATTTAACAAGAAATGTTTTGAACCTATATGAGGTATCATAAAAATATTTAATGAGACATAAAAATAAGCTTGAATAAATGAAAAAATATATTTGTGCCTGCATGGGAAGGAAAAATATTACCAAGATGACAATTCTCTCAAAATTACTTTATAAATTTAATGAAAATTCCAATAAAAGTTTTTCCCAGAATTGAAAAAAACAATTATAAAACTTATGCAAACACGGCAAACTAAGGGCAAAAATCTCTGCTAAAGAAGAACAATCAAGACAGGTGCTGTGGCTCTCGCCTGTAATCCCAGCACTTTGGAAGGCTAAAGTGGATGGATCACCTGAGCTCAGGAGTTTGAAACCAGCCTGGGCAACACAGTGAAACCCTATCTCCACCAAAAAAACAAAACAAACATACAAAAAACAAAAACAAAAGAGAGAGAGAGAACAGAGAAGACCTGCACTTTTACATTTTCAAATATATCTAAGTATACAAGAATTAAGATAACGTGTTAATAATACTTAATACTAGAAAAGACAGTTTACCACGGGAACAGAATAGTGAGCTCTGACACAAAACTGAGTACATTATAAGTATTTAGCAGATAGTAAACCTGGCATTTTAAGTGTCAATCAAGAAATAGTATAGTTACCTATTTGAAAAAAAAAAATCAGTAGGACTCCTATTGGAATGCTTTCGGATCCTTTATAAATTCATCCAGAGCCCAGAAGACCAATATTTTTGCTTACTTCTCTCAGCTACAGTAGCCTTTCCTTTGGATATATTTCATTCTAGTAAGTAAAAAGCTAAATATCCATTGTTTGACATGGGTATGTAACTTCTCTTATTTTCTAATTAAATTTCATTTCTCTAATGACAACAAACTATGATAAAAAATATGAACTTCCTTGCCTAGAACTTTGCTTATGCACCTTCATCTTTTGATTTCAGGATTTAATTATGATTTCAGCATTTAATTATCATCTGCTTCTGTCTATAATTTCTTTCATATTTTCTTCACATATTACACTGAGCTCTGGACACCTACTTATTCATTTGTCAAAAACAAAACTGAAAATATTTTTAACAGAGAAGCTAAAAATCTTTATGCCTTTGCTGAGCCACAGCTGAACTCTAAAGACTTTGATTGTTTCAAAGACCAAAGGTACCTAATACCAGAAATGTTTTGTGTCATGATAGAACCTACAGCTGCATATTTATAGTATGTGCATATGGAACCACATAAACCTTAAATAAAAAAAAATTAAACGAGAATCACTTGGTTTAAATCTCATTATCTTTAGGATATTGATAAATCAACTAGCCACATTGTGACTCAGTTTCCTCATTTTTGAAATGTGTATATTACCTTTTGACTAACATTCCTTACTAAGATGTGATGAAGAGTAACTGAAATACTGTATATGAAAACATGTTGAAAACTCCAAGGTGCTATATGAATGCTAGTTGGCATTGACAGCTATTCCTCATTCTCTTTTTGGTCATAGCCACGGAAGCCCTAGTCTGGCAGGAAAGAAGAGTCATTAGGCATCATCTGGCAACTTGGCTTGGAGAAGTCAGATCAGTCACCAAGAGTCTGGTGGGGCTGCAGCAATGGCTAGAAAGAACCAGTGACATGATTGCCAGGTAGGTGCCAGTGCAAGTCTTGAGCCTGCCCAGACATTACTATGTACTCTGTCCTCCATCCTCCTAGCATATCCACCTTAGCCACCACCTTGTTGATGATCTTTGCCTGAACTACTCATCTACGCCACTGTGTGAACTCTATCAATAACCTCAAAGTGGTATTTTATCACCTTTAAATTATACCCAAAGTCATGCTCACATGAATTAGAAGGGTTAGGGCTCTCATCTCAGTTCTATCTCCTCCTTACCCAGTTAGAGGTGGAGGTTTCTCTGTCCAGGAAGTAGGTACTGCAGAGTCCTTCAGGATAACTAGGGTCTGATATGAGAGAATATGTTCCTCCTTACTTCATTGAGCAACCTTTCCAGAGGCATTGAGTTCCCCTTTGCCAGGTGTTGGGCAGAAGTCTGGCCAGGGTTGCATGGAGGATTCCAAGGCTTGGGCCTGACTCAGGGCTTCTGTCCTATTGAACCAAACTTGCAACCTCAAGACACTTCTCTCCTATTTTCCATCCTCCTAGTCTCTACTTCCTCTCCCCTAAGCAAACTCATTTTGACAGATAATTTCAAGGAAAAAAGAAGATGTCAAATAAACGGTTTAAAAAGTATTTTTTGTGGTTGCTCTGAAGTCCAAGGATAATTTTTTCATTTTATTTTTAAATACTTAAGGATTGAATACGTAAAGGATTGCAATGAAACTATCATGAATAATTAAAATGCTTGCCTTCTGTAAGCCTACAAGGGTATTTTACTATGCCACATATGGTATCATTTCAGCTTGGATATTTTGCCTAAAACAAGGGAAAATTTTAATAATAAGTCCTACATAAAATTATAGTAATGATGTTTGTCCCAAATAGAAATTCTGTGTCCTATTGCTATTTCATCTTTTTCATAGTAAGACTCAAATAAAATGATTGTGATCTTTAGTGAAAGGACTATGGAGCCCTGGGAGGCCCAGATGCTCAACATAAAAAAACTAGAGATAGAGGAGAGATGAAAAGATTGAGATAAAGGGATCTGTAGATGCTAAAATCAACACAGATCCTGAAGACAGATGTAGGAGAGTAAGAGAGAGGCAGAGGCCCGGCAGTGCTAGGATTCAAGTCTATTTCTTTCTTAGAATTATTGAAAATGTATTGTAGGCTGTGTTTGTTTGAAAAATAACTGTCAGAAGAAAAAATATATATACATTTTAATTTTGGAAAATTTCACGGCTGCACTCATTAAAGTAACTAACAAACCCCAAATAATTATTTTAAGAATGCCATTCTTCACTTTAGCTTATGATAATCTCCTTTTAAGCCCTACTAATAAACAGGGAATCCCATTTGTGTTTATATAACATAGCACGTGATGAATTCAGCCGTAGCATCAGAATTCTACATTTGCTTTTGAGATTACAAGCACTTCACATACTAATGCTGCAAGTTAGCTTATCACCTCTACCCTGTAGAAAGAAGAAAAACTAATTGACAAAGCTATTTTTTTGTGTGTATGTGAGACATTCCAAATTCAGACAGAGGGTTCTGGTTTCAGTTACCTCTGGGACTTTCAAATGGCCATTTGGAATTTGACCTATGGTGTTTTGTTCCAGAATAACAAGCAAAGTAAAATAATCCATGTAGCCCTTGAGGATATGACAAAAGGCTGGGGTTAAGGGAGAAGGAGGAGGAGGGAAAATAATGACGGATTGTATCTGTCCTCAGTCACTTCCTGGAGTTTAAGGTAGGCAGCTAAATCCCATTTTATCCATTCTCTGACACTGCAAACAGAGGTACTGCCAGTCAAGATAGATCACAAAAGGCTTGTATTTCATTTTTCATAAAACCCTAGAACAATCAGATCTTCCTACTGAGACAGGACTTTTTATCTGGGTAGAAATATAGAGAAAAATGCTAGATTTCTCATTCTGAAGGGTCCATGTGCTAGACAGCGTGAAGATGTCTATTCAACAGTGGCTTGAGAAACGTCAAAACTCTTGCATTTTACTCATCTTTGAGCTATTACACAAAGGGGCTTTTTCTAATTTTAATTTTGACTATTTCTTTTTTTTCTTTTTCCTTTTTAATTTAAATCAGAGACATATGTTTTTCTTGGTTAAACAGTATAATATGAATCACATGCATTTTTAAGGGTCAGTGCCAAGAAAAAGATTTTGTAACTTAAGAAACCAAAACAACAGGTTGACCTCAATTTAAATCCCACAAAATCTCATTGTCTTAATACAAGGAAAACAGCATGATTTTAGTGCATATTTCTGAGGAAATAAAGAAGATTATATAACTTGTTTTTTTCTTCCTATTAGAGGCAATCTGGAAGCTTCTTAAATTAACTTAGGAGCAATTTTTCTTTCAGGAGCAAAAGTATTTAGCTTTTGGAGCTATATGTGTGTTCATTTAACCAATCAATTAATTTAATCCATCAATAAATTTTTGAGTATGATTTTAATTGTCAGGTCCTATGCTAGGTTCAGAGTAAACACGGTAAGCCAAAAACAAAACAAAAAAACCTAAAAAAACAAAAAACCAGACACTGCCCTTCTCTCTCTTTACAGACAACAAATAAACAACAACGAAAACATTGCACAGTTACTCACTGATTATGATAAATTGCCAGCAAGGAACAGGTGATCTACTCTAATTGAGATGACCTTTTCTTTTTTTTTAGATAGAGTGGTCAGAGAAGACCTTTCTGAGGCCATGGTATTTAAGATGAGACTTGAAGAGCAACAAGAAGCTAGACACACAAAGCAGATAATTTTTTAATGGCCATTTCTGGAGAGAAGTTTCCAAGGGATGAAGTTATTATACAGTTTCCAAATATTCCTGAAGAGGTCTAAAGAAAATGTATTCTGATTCCACCTTTTACCTGTTTTCCTTTTTTTTTTTCTCTCTCTCTCTTTTTGGAATTTGTTATTTGGATATAGGATACACTAGGCTGGTGCTCCAATTTTCTTATATTTTCTGTTTTCCTTGAAGTTTTAGGGGACTTTCTGAACTTTATTTTTCAAAATTCAGTTGAGTCTTTATTGTTTTCCAAATATCAACATTTCTTACCCAGACTAATGAACTAGCCTACTCACTCATCTTTCTGATCCTATTCCTCTATATTATCCACCCCAATCCCAAGTTAATTCTTGTATGGTCTTTTTGAAAGACTGCATGAGGTTTTTTGTTTTTATTTCTGCTTAAATTATTTGCTGATTTATTTGCACTTAGGATACAGGCCTAAATCCTTAGCTTTGCTGACATCATGAAAGATGTGGGCCCTCCCTAGCACTCCAGTTTCATCTTACATCATGCCACTCTTTGGTACTTTATCCTTACTGTCCAGCTTCATTTCCTAGAGTGTCCTGTGACCCTCTTGACTCAGAGCCTCTGCACGTGCTGTTCCCTGTGTTTGTCTCCTTTGTCCAGCTCTACCAACTTCCTTTATCTCTCAGTGTTCAGGTGTCATCTCATCTCCAGCATGAATTAGATGTCTTATCTTGTGCTTCTCATTGGGCTATACTGTAATGCTTAGCACATTAGTCAGTTCCCTCATTGCTATAAAGAAATACCTGAGGCTGGGTAATTTATAAAGAAAGGAGGTTTAATTGGCTCACAGTTCTGCAGGCTGTACAGGAAGCATAGTGGCTTCTGTTTCTAGGGAGGCCTCAGGGAGCTTTCAATCATGGTGGAAGGCAAAGGAGAAGCAAGGCATGTCACATGGCCAGAGGAGGAAGGAGAGGGGCGGAGGAAGCGCCATACACTTTTAAACAACCAGATTGCATGATAACTCACTCATTCAACATCAGGAGAACAGCACTGGGGGATTGGTGATCCATGATCCAATCATCTCCCACCAGGCCCCACCTCCAGCACTGGGGATTACAATTCGACATGGGATTTGGGGAGGGACAAGATCCAAAACATACTACTTAGTTAACACACTTGTATCACCACCAGGCTGAGAGCTATTCTAACAGCTCTTTGTATCTTTGTATCCTCAACACAAAGCACAGTCTTTAGCATATAGTGTTTATAATTATGTTACAAATGAATAACATAGCTCATTTAGTATGAAGAAAAATAAACTATCAGTGATAATAAAGAATCTATAGTTGAAAATAGGTATGATTTTCAAGAAAAATCTTTTTCAAAGAAGAGATTTTTATAGAAAATAAACATTAACATTTTCTTACTTTCTTTGTTTTGCCCATTGCCTTCAGGATGGAAAGATTCAGGTCTTCAAGTGCTGCTAGTACATTCTCATACTCGCCCAAGTGCTGAGAAAAATATTCTGAAAAATGAAAATATTGAAATAAATTCATATTTGAGTTTAGGTAACCATAAAACAAAAAAATCAACTAATTATTTACTCCTTAAATGAGTAAAACAAAATGTCAGCTATAAGTGAAAACTGGAAGGTTTCCAAATAAGACTAAATAAGGTGACAATCTGCTCATTTCACTAAGACATCAAGAAAAAAGAAAAGGAAATCTGAATGATTACCATTATCCTTGAAGAAATGTTCCTTCCTACAAAAGTAGGAAAAAATAAATCTGAATCTACTGACAAGGATGTTTCAATAAAAAATTATTTTTGACAATGTAGTATTATAGATCTCACTGGGATAGTAATTTTAGAAAAAAGTTAAGTTACATTTTATTGTTTCTTGGAGGAAACATTTAAGGAAGTTAAGCTCTTCTCAAGGTTAAGAGTCAGTGATGCAAAACATGAGAGGGTCTTCTGTGGCACCTTCTATGTAACTGTCCCTGTCACAATCTTTTTTTTTTTTTTCCAACAATTTGGGCAGAGAAAAAGTAAAGTCTATCACTCTTTTCAGTTGCTAGGAATAAATAATATAGTGGATTTGTGATTAAAATTAAAAGTATGGAACATGAACTGATCCTAAACTAGTAAGTTGAAATATTTATAAATGCAAAATCTTATATTTACTTATAGAAATCTATGCATTTCTATAATGAAAGCAAACTAGCTTAACATAAATTTATATATTGAGAAGATCTAGGGTTTTCAGACACTAAAACATGAATAGTCCTCACCATTCCTGTGAACCCTTCCTTGGATGAACTGTAGTTTATTGCCATCTCTCTTTAATGTGCCACAGTATTTGTGGAACTAAATTAAAATGATAAATATTATCACATATAAGCCACTCGAGATTATGGGAATACATTTCAGCATGTTTGATGGAAACCGCCTTGATTAATTTATTTAATACTCTAGGAAATATTTGTTTATATTGATATTAATAACAACTGGAAATTGCCATTGACTGATATATTAGTTAGTGTACAGACTTCTTTTGAGAAGAAAATAAACACAGGTGGACACTAAATCAATTCCAGATCATGGTTGTCAAAATACAGTCTGTATACACTTAGGTTAAAAACAAATAACATATTTTTGACAAAAAGTAAAATGCATTCCTTAAAAACAATGTGGTGTAAACTATCTCTTATAAAGATTCTTTAGAAAGTGATTAGTTGGAAGATAAATAAAATATTTACTCCTTAAATACCTGCTTCAAAATAACATTTTAATTTGTGGTTATAATGTTGACTTTTTGATAAGGTTGACAAATATGTCTAACTTTATTTGTGCAATTATTTATAACAAATGAACACTCTTCATCAACCAGCGAGCAGTTAATGTGGCCGTAGAATATTCGTAAGTTGGAAAAATAATGAATATCAGAACTGAGTCTATACTATGTTGAAACAAGCAAAAAGCATAAGAAAAATGCCAAAAAGTGAAGCTGTTACTTCATTTTTATTTTAAAACTTGTATATATAATGCCTCAAAGAGGATTGTGACAGGGGTTTTAAATGCAAATAGACAAAAATATAAAGTGAAAACAGGTTGGGCATGGAGGCTCGTGCGTATAATCTCAGTATTTTGGGAAGCTAAGGCAGAAGGATCACTTGAGCCCAGGAATTCGTGACCAGCCTGGGCCACACAGCATGGTGGTATGTGCCTCTGATCCCAGCTACTTGGGAGGCTGAGGTGGGAGGATTGCTTGAGCCTGGGAAGTCGAGGCTGCAGTGAGCCGTGATAGTGCCACTGCACTCCAGCCTGGGCTACAGATGAGACATTGTCTAAAAAAAAAAAAAAAGAAAGTGAAAACAAAAAAATTGTTGCTAAAAAAGCAACACTCTCTCTCTCGATATATATATATTATATATAGATATCTATATATAGATACCTATATTATATATATAATATATATAATATATATTATATATAAGATATATATTATATAAATAATAAATAATAAATATAATATATATTATATATAATATAGATATCTATATATAATATATGTAGAGAGAGAGAGAGACAGTGATTAGTTAGAAGATAAATAAGAAAATACTTACTATATATATATATAGAGAGAGAGAGGTAAAGCCTCTTTTTAAAATAAATATTTCATTCATGGACATTTGGCTTAATTAGTAAAGGTTCCTGGAGAGAATTTAAGTTGTCTTTCCACTTTAAAATTGGACCTATGCACACAGATGCAGGCATATGCTGATAAAGCATATAAGAAAAACAATGACTAGAAGCTTCAGAGCTGACACCTATCTAGACTTCATTCTTTCTGTCCTTCATTCATCCATTTATTCATCTCAACTCTCCAAGTTAGAAAAAAAGAACAATCACTAGATAGTAAAGAAAATGACTGAGAAGGAAGAGAATTACAATACTTAAGTCATGGATAGGAGCTTAAGTTGGAAATCTAAGTGTAAGGATTATTTTGAGGTGGTGCAGCTCAGTGTCACTAAGGCTCTTTTATAACTTACTCACTGAGGGATATGGGTCAGGCAGTCAAGGCAAGGGGGCTCCAATAAACTCAAAGAGGGAAGTTAGATGAAAGAGCCAGACACATCCAACATAGATAAAGAGAGATAACTCCCCTCCACTTCATCATAGCGAGTGTTCACTTACTCATTCTGTGGCCTAACAAACCTTTACTTAGGGCCTTTTATGTGCCAGGTGCTATCATAGGAGCTTGGAATACAAAGGTGAAAAGACAGAAGCCCTAAAGTCAGAGAGGAGAGAGAAACATTCCAAGTAACAACTGCAATACACATAATCATTGTTAAAGACAATGGTTGAAGGGCCCAGATACAAGGTGCAATCCAAATAGAGGATAAGGCAGGAGAATTGCTTGAACCAGGGATACCAAGGTTGCAGTGAGCCGAAATTGTGCCACTGCACTCCAGCCTGGGTGACAGAACGAGATCCTGTCTTTGAAAAAAAAAAAAGAAAAAGAATGCCCAAGTCTGCCTGGGTGAGTCAGAGAGGGCTTCATAGGAGAAACACCAGCAATGGCTCAGTTAACAGATGAATAGGACTTAACCTGCTGGATACTCAGAGGAAGGGCATGGAAGCAGCTGTTTTCCTGTCATGTTTGCAGGAGTATGTGTAGTTCAGCACTGCCAAGACATAAAGAACAGGGCTGGAACATATTTGAGAATGGGAGGCAGCAAGGAAACAAATCCTAAAAGTCAGTGTTGGGAGATAAAGCTGTATGTGTTGGAAACAGTCCTTGCCAGATGCTCTTTGATCCTCAAGTCTAGGTAAGTGTTTTTGACCACCTGCATCAGAATCCTCTAGTACTTCACTGTCCAAAGTTTGTTTTGTGGACCAGCAGCATTAGTTTCACCTAGGAGCTTGTTAGAACTCAGTGTCTCAGGCCCACTTCCAGTCCTGTTGAATCACATTCTGCATTTTAATAAGACCCCCAGGTGATTTGTAGGCTTATTTAAGTTTGAGAAACACTACTCTAGGGTACTTGTTAGACATGAAGATAACTGAGAAGGTCTCATCTAGTAAATCACAATCTTTGGGTTGAGGGCGAGGTTCCCTAGGAGATTATGATGCAGAGTAAATTCGAGACCACTATGGGCAATGGGAAGCCATGGAAAGGAGAGTGACATCCTCAAATTCTCCTATCAGAAAAGGAAGGGATGCACTAAGGATGATTTGGGAATGTTGGTGACACCATCAAGAGAGAAGGGAGGTATCAACTGCCAGGAGGGATTTCATCACACAACTAGGACTATGAGCCATGCCAAAGCTTTGAAGTGGAATGAGCGGTGGAGTCCAGAATTTCAGCAGATCTGCAAACTCCAAGATGTGGTAGGCAGGAGGGAAGGACAGTGACATATTTGGAAGTGGCTGAGCTTGGACTAAAGTTTTATTCCAAGTTTCTCATGTTTGTGACTGATGTTTCTCATTTGAATCACAATACCAGTGTGAGTAGGGCAAATGTATATTGTCCTTAAGTCATGGCATTAGAAAGAATGACTTGGAACAAATATTGATTCCTTAAAATGCTTTCCTTTGGTAACTAGAAGAACTTCCTGAAGAAAAGACCTATTTTGTTGAAACCTGTATGTGGGTTTCATGAACTTGAGCAAAACAGAGTCATATTGCACTTATGGAAATGTGTGAAAACCAATTCTCATCAGTTTAAATGAAGTATCATTGAAAAGTAGAGTCTGAATATTAGGTATGATGAAAAAGTAGAGCACAGTTTATAAGCAGATGTAGTAAGCCTGTTATCTGTCAGGAAGCAGGCTATATTCTCATGGATATCCAGTGTGCCATCTTCTCTACTAAAATGCTAACAAAAAATTAGTTTCTACCTGCCTTTCTGTACTTAATCAGTGGTGTTGCATTACCAAACTACAGTTTTGTTCTGTTTTTCTATCCTGCACCTTAGTCTTTCAAGTTGTTGAGTTTTCAGGTCAGCTTAATAATTCTGTCAGAAGCAAAGGACCCACAGCTGCCACAAAAGTCTCAGTGGAAACTGGTCTTACAAAGTATTCTCATGAGTTTAGATGACTCTCATCTAAACTTCTCAAGCAGTTAGACTTTCTCAAGTAGTAGACTAGGTAGAAAAGAAAGTAATTGAGATGAGAGAGAGTGTTAAAACCCGCATGTTCTGAATAGGGAGGTCAGTCAGATCTAGAAATGTGGGCTATTTTGAGGGGATGCAGATAAGCGACACGCAAACTCTCTTACATCTCAATCATCAGTGACATGTGCCACTGGAGGAGGACACAGCAGTCTGGAGGAGGGCATAGAGCCTTCTGATTTCCTAGCACTCAGACTTGCTGGCACAGGTCTCTGAGCACTGTCCAGGCTCTGCCAATCTCTGCAGCCTGGGTGCTTAGTGCACAGCTACCGAAAGGAACCTTGGGTATGAAGGGAATAAGCTTTTATTCTGGAGTTTCCCGTACGCTCAGTTATTTTATTTTACTTTACTTTATTTATTATTATTATTTTTTGAGACAGAGTCTTGCTCTGTCGCCCAGGCTGGAGTGCAGTGGCCTGATCTCAGCTCACTGCAAGCTCCGCCTCCCGGGTTCACGCCATTCTCCTGCCTCAGCCTCCAGAGTAGCTGGGACTACAGGCGCCTGCCACCACGCCCGGTAATTTTTTTTTTTTTTTTTGTATTTTTAGTAGAGATGGGGTTTCACCGTGGTCTTGATCTCCTGATCTCGTGATCCACCCGCCTCAGCCTCCCAAAGTGCTGGGATTACAGGCGTGAGCCACCGCGCCCGGCCCCCGTACCCTCAGTTTTTATCCATCTTATTTATAGACTTCATATAACTTTTAAAATAGTTTAATATTTTGTAGATAACACCCGACTAGATGAGAAATTACACTATTAAATATATTCAACCTTCCTCACAAAGCTTTCTTACAGAAAGGCTTTCAGATCAAGCACATTCATTGCAATTATTCTTCGCTCATCTGTAAATATTTCAACTACCTATTCTTTTTTTTTTTTTTTTTTTTTTTTTTTTGAGACGGAGTCTCGCTCTGTCGCCCAGGCCGGACTGCGGACTGCAGTGGCGCAATCTCGGCTCACTGCAAGCTCCGCTTCCCGGGTTCACACCATTCTCCTGTCTCAGCCTCCCGAGTAGCTGGGACTACAGGCGCCCGCCACCGCGCCCGGCTAATTTTTTGTATTTTTAGTAGAGACGGGGTTTCACCTTGTTAGCCAGGATGGTCTCGATCTCCTGACCTCATGATCCACCCGCCTCGGCCTCCCAAAGTGCTGGGATTACAGGCGTGAGCCACCGCGCCCGGCCTCAACTATCTATTCTTAACTACCAACTTCAAGATCTGCAAAACGGTTCAGTAAAAATGAGTAAGGTTATGAAAACAGTCATAAACAGGGTAGGGCCAGGAAAGGTAGTAATTATACTCCTGAAGCTTTAGATTATAGCTAATTATGGTAGAAATACAAAATCAAAGCTTTAATGCCAGAGTTCAAACACAATTGCCTAATTAAAACTGAGTTATGTATTGACTGATCGTGATAAGATACGGCAAAAAAAAAATGCATTTAGGAAGGCCTTCACAATTGTATGTGAAGAGTGGATAATTTTGGCACTTCTATAAACTGCTGGTGGGTGTGCACCTTAGAGAAGCCTTGATTGAGGAATTACATGTTTGGGAATCTACCATTCAGAATTCAGAATTACTTGAACGTGAGTGTGAGAATAATGTATATGAGAATATTTATTTCAATCCTGTTTTTCCCATGGAAGGTTGGATTCAAATTGAAAATCCATTAAAAGGAACTTGATTGAAAAAAATTAAGGTTCATGAGACACTATGCAGCCTTTAAATAAAATGAAGGAAAAGGGGATGCAACTGCACTAATCATATAGTATAATCTCACTGTTGGAAAAAACAACAACACGTACACATATATATCAATGTCAATATACACATAATAATGTCTGGAAGAATATGTTCCAAGTAAATAGTAGAGCTCAGTATTGGGGACGACAATGAGTGGCACAGAAGATTGACATGTTAGCTTATACGCCTACATAATTCTGTTAAATTTTAAAAATAGTAGTTATGTATTACTTTCACAATTAAAATTACAAACACATTTTTTTCAAAATAAATATTTTAAATTCTAGGTCCTTAACTTAGTAACTGACAAATTAAGTAAAAGCCTCAGAATTAAAGTTTTACATACCTGCAACTTCTAATTGGCTTCTAGGAAAGAACATATGAAATCTACTTTTCATGCCAATCAAGTTCTGCCCCTCCCACGCACAAGGGGGAATTTGTGCTGGGTGTGAATTGACATATTTCACTTGCTAACACTGAAGCATTTGGCTTTGATTAGAATCCAACTTAAATATTTACTTTATATTCACAAAATAATGAGAAATGAAATGACACTCTGGAGATTAAAATGCATATTCTTGAACAGAGAGGGGGAGGATTATAACACATGACTGAATACAATCACTGGATTTAAAAAACACAGAACAATTCCTGTTGAATTAAAGCCCCACATACCAGTTCCCTAACTAAAGCTATAGGGGGAAAATCATAGCCAAAGCTTTTTCCATAAATACAGGATAGGGACCTAACTAGTTCCATTATAGAAAAAAGGCATATTTTTAAAATATTTTTTTCAGTAGAGGAGTAAGTGGAGATATGCTATCATACTTTAGAACTTGAAGTACTTTCAAGGAAAAACAGAGGATAACACAATATTCCTTAATGACAATAGGCAGGCAACATAGCAAATAAAGAAGAACCACTTAGTGTTTTTATCTTAAAAGCCCTTATAACAGTTTGCTTTGTCATCAGCTGTGGCCTACCCAGGCAAAGTTAAGTGAAAAACAAAAAATAGATATAAATGAATGATTTGTGGAAATAATTACTTTGGCCTGACATAGCTAGACATTTTAGGGAAATGGGTCTGCTACCTTAATGAAATTATCAAGATAATCTTGTGTTCTCCATTTTATCTTTTCACTTCACTGACCAGGACTGTGTGCACATAGATGAGAGTGGACCACAACTTGGCCTTTATGGTGACTGCTATTCATCATAAAGCCTCACGGCAATGGTCCATATGGGCACTTTCAGGTACTTAACCATGTGTGCACAATGCTACTATCTGACTGTGTCTGAAAGAATGGCATGATTTTCCCTGTTGGTATTTCATAACTAACAAAAGCATGTCCTGCTTTGGTACCGGAGTACCTTGCTCCTCCATAAACATATCTTGAATTTCAATTGGATTTTCCTCCCTGAACCTGAGATGGACACTATGCTAGGATAAGAAGCATGAGTTTTTTTACAATCATTGGAAAATCTGAAAGGTCGTTGTTGGAGATTATGCTCATTTTGTTCAGTTATTGCCTTGAAACCCTGTATTCTGATATTTTGTTCTCGTATAACATCTTTTGGTGTTGCTCTACCACTTTGATGAAATGGAAAATAACCACTCTTGAATATAAGAAAATGGCCTTTTTTTATGGTTTTGGTAAATTCTGAAACTGTAAGAATTAGAAGATGTTCAGGAAATGCTGATAGTTTCAATGAGGAGTTCTCAGACAAAACTCAACTCTAACTACCAAAAATGTTTTGAGCAGCCTAGACAATAAGATCGAACTTAAATAAAAGTATTATCTTAAACATTTATCTTAAAACATAAAACATTAAACCTTCCAGTATTCAGAGAAAGATAGCTCTTTCAAATGGAATAGTCTCATAATGTTCTATTTTTTCATAAAATAATAAAATTTTAAAATTTTACCTTTCCATATTTCTAATCTTTAACTATTGTTCCAACCATAAAGATGAAGAAAATAAATGAAGAGGCTATTAAACCAGGCATTTGTAAAGATGTATCTGTCCCCATTGAATCACTTGTTTTGCAAGTGACATTTACAACTCCAGAATGGTTTAGGCAGGTATGAGACAAAGTTATTTTTACATTTCAAGAAGAGAGCTTTGTAAGGTAGTAACAAAAGGCTCTGCACAATATATCATGCAGAGAATAATGAAGTTGTATTAAACATCAATTTAAAAATATATTCAAACTTGTGGAGAATTTGCTCTTGCGAAACTAATGTACTGATTGTAACAACAATTCTTCTTCTATGAACGAACTAATGAGGCCCAACTCTTTCTGGAGTGAAATACATACTTGAGCAAAATTCACGGGTAAAGATAAATCCCTTGAGATCTCGATTAATTTTTCCTTTGTGAACTCCTAATATACAACATTAATTCCAAGGTTGATATATATCAGACAATACTCTTTTTCCTTCTTAAGCAAGTAATAGGTTTGACTGATCTTAAAGAAACACTTACCACATAGCTCTTCTGTGTCAAGATTACTGAAAAGATGAAACAAAAAAAAACAGTGTTATTACTTTGGTAATATTTTTAACTACGTTTTTAAATAGTTAAATACAGTTAGTCTCCAAGCTATATTATTAATTGATGGTATGTAGTTAAGGTATTTCTCTTATAAATTCTACATTATTTAAATAGTCTTAGGTCAATTAACAATGATTATGTCAGATTCTTCGGACAAATAATTCCTGAGATTTATATTTTCCTCTGCAACATGATGGGGAAAAGAATGCATATTGGTAAAGAATGTAGGCTCTGGATCCAGAATGCCTGAGTTCAAATCCTGACTCTGCAATTTAACTTCTATATGACTCTGGCTACTTTACATCTCTGTGTCTCAATTCGTCTGACCCAAGATGAGGATAGTAATAAAAATTTCTGGTTCATGGGATGCTGTAGGGTTTAAATGAATTAATACATAAAGCACTGAACTGTAATTGGCACAAAATAAGCACTTGATGAATGTTAGCTATCATAAGTCCTGACTTGATAGAAATGCTAGAATTTCCTTCCTAAATTCAGCCTTTGAGGTAAGTTTGATTCAATGCTTATTTCATATGATTTCTAAAACAAAATAAGAAATCAAATTACTCATCAACAATATAAACCTATTACTCTTATGAAGGCAAATGCCAAACATCAAGATGAAATATTAGCAAATATAATACATGACTATCAGAAGAATAATGTCCTTTACCAAGAAAGGTATGGTACAGGAATGCAGATGGTTCAATATCAGGTAATAAATCATTATAACTTATTACACCATAACTTAAAGGAGAAAAATGATCATATTAGCAAATGCTGAATGGGAATTTCCTAAAAATTTAACAGTAATTCATAAGTTTTAGAAAGTTTAAATGAAATAGAAATAGAACTCAACCTTGTAAAGATGCTGAAGGCTATTAAAGAGCAATGGAAAATTAGTTAACTGAAAATCTTGACTTTATATAGTTGTCACATGTCAATGCTCAATGTAAATATTCTTCCTAATCCAGTTGTCCTTTAATTAGTAGCCAGGTTTGCTAACCAGGAGAGGCATTGGTATAAACATTCCAAACATTGGGTACTTTTATGAACTCTGTCACTCATTTTTAAAAGTTATTTTAAACTCAGTATTTCATTCTAGACACTAAATACTTGATCTTAGATAAATTATATCTTCATAACTAAATGAATATTTTTGCAAAGTAATATTTGCCACCAGGTAGAATATGTTAAGTGTTCTCCAGTAATTTTGGTATGCACTCCCATTCATTCATTAATTCCACAAACATTTATTGCTATGTGCCAGGCATTATTCCAACTGCCACAGATGTATGAGGTTGCAACATCTACAAACATGACTCTGTCAGATTACTTGTCTCTAGAATCTCAACTTAGAGGTAGACTCACACAGCACATAAACAATTTTAATGCAATAAAATAGTTGTTACGAGGGAAATAGAGAATTGGCAAAAGGTGTCCGGAAATATATCATAGAAGATAAAATTGTCAAGCTAAATCTCAAATGTTAAATTGTTGAGCTAAATCTCTAAATAGTAGTAGAGGAGGCAGCCAAAGGAAACACATTCTGGTTAAAAGAAACACTGTAATAAAAATTGAAAGTATGAAGAGCATTCAATTTCAGAAAACCGAGTAGTTTTTTTAGTTAGAACATAGATCAATAATGAGAGAATGGAACTAGATAATAAAAGGCCTTATATGATAACCTAAGAAGTTTCTACTTTACCTTTCTGTCAATTTGGAATTATAGAATACTTTTTAAATGGTGAATAACATGGTCATATTTGCACTTTAAACAGGCCCCTGACAGATGGGTTGAGGTTGGACAATGTATTAGTCTGTTCTCACATTGCTATAAAGAACTACCTGAGACTGGGTAATTTACAAAGACAAGAGGTTTAATCGGTTCATGATTCCACAGACTGTCAGGAAGCATGGCTGGGGAGGACTCAGGAAACTTACAATCGTGGCAGAAGGCAAAGGGGAAGTGAACACCTCTTACATGGTGGGAGCAGGAGGAAGAGAGAGAGAGTGAAGAGGGAAGTGCTACACACTTTCAAAGAACCAGATCTTGTGAGACCTTACTCACTATCACAAGAACAGCAAGAAGGAAATAAGCCCCCATGACCCAATCACGTCCCACCAGGTACCTCCCCAACACTGGGGATTAGAAATTCAACATGAGATTTGGGTGGAGACAGAAAGCCAAACCATATCATTCCTCCCCTATGCCTCCCAAATCTCATGTCCTTCTCACATTGCAAAATTCTATCATCCCTTCTAACAGTCCCCCAAGTCTTAACTCATTTCAGTGTTAACTCAAATGTCCAAGTCCAAAGTCTCATCTGAGACAAGGCAAGTCCCTTCCACCTCTGAGCCTGTAAAATCAAAAACAAATTACTTACTTCCAAGATACAATGGGGGTACAGGCACTGGCTAAATACTCCTATTCCAAAAAGGAGAAATCGGCCAACACAAAAAGGGCTACAGGTCCCACGCAAGTTTGAACTTCAGCAGGGCAGTTATTAAATCTTAAAGCTCCCAAATAATCTCCTTTGAATCCATATCTCACATCCAGGCCACACTGATGTGAGGGGTGGCCTCCCAAGGCCTTGGACAGCTTCAGCCCTGTGGTTCTGCAGGGTCCAGCCCCTGTAGCTGCTTTCATGGGCTGACATTGAGTACTTGTGGCTTTTCCAGTTACACAGTGAAACTCGTCAGTGGATTTACCATTCTGGGGTCTGGACGATGATGGCCCTCTTCTCACAACTCTAGTAGGCAGTGCCCCAGTGGGGACTCTATGTGGAGGCTCCAACCACACATTTCCTCTCTGCTCTGCCCTAGTAGAGATTCTCCATGAGGGTTCTACCCCTGCAGCAGACTTCTGAGTGGATATCCAGGCATTTCCATTCATCCTCTGAAATCTAGGCAGAAGCTCCCAACCCTCAGCTCTTGCCTTCTGCACACCTGTAGGCTCAACACCATGTGGAAGTTGCAAAGGCTTAGGGCTTGCACCCTCTGAAGTAACAACAAGAGCTGTACCTTTGTCCCTTTTAGCCGTGGCTGGAGCTGGAGCAGCTGCGGCCAAGATGCAGGGCTCCATGTCCTGAGGCTGCACAGAGCAGCAGGGCCCTAGGCCTTGTCCATGAAATGATTTTTCCCTCCTAGGCCTCCAGGCCTATGATGGGAGGGGCTGCCACAAAGGTCTCTGAAATACCCTGGAGACATTTTCCCCATTGTGTTACCTATTAACATTCAGCTCCTCTATACTTATGCAAATTCCTGCAGTGTTGAATTCCTCTCCAGAAAATGGGTTTTTCTTTTCTACCACATGGATGGGCTGAGAATTTTCTAAACTTTTATGCTCTGCTTCCCTTTTAAATATAAGTTTCAGTTTCAGATAATCTCTTTGTTCACATATATGAGCATATGCTGTTCGAAGCAACCAGGCCACATCTTGAATGCTTTGCTGCTTAGAAATTTCTTCCGCCAGATATCCCAAATCATCTCTCTCAAATTCAAAGTTCCACAGATCCTTAGAACAGGGGCACAATGCTGTCAGTAACTTGGCTAAAGTATAGTGAGAATGACCTTTATCCAGTTCCCATCTCCATCTGAAACCACCTCAGACTGGACTTCACTGCCCATATCACTATGGACATTTTGGTAACAACCATTTAACAAGTCCCACTTTCCCTCATCTTCCTGTCTTCTTCTGAGCCCTCCAAACAGTTCCAACCTCTGCCCGTTACTCAGCTCCAAAGTTGCTTCCACATTTTCAGTTATCTTTATAGCAATGTCCCACTTCTCTATTACCAATTTTCAGTATTGATCCATTCTGGGATTGCTATAAAGAACTACCTGAGACTGCATAATTTATAAAGAAAACAGATTTAATTGACTCAAGGTTTTGCAGGCTATACAGGATGCATGGCTGGAGAGGCCCCAGGAAACTTACAATTATGGTAGAAGGGAAACAGGAAGCAAACACATCTTATATGGCAGGAGCAGGAGAAAGAGAGAGAGTGAAGGGGGAAGTGCTACACAATTTCAAACAACCAGATCTTATGAAAACTCACTCACAATCACAAGAACAGCAAGGGGGAAATCCACCCCCATGATCCAATCACCTCTCCCCAGGTTTCTCTCCCAACATTGGGGATTATAATTCAACATGAGATTTGAGTGGGGACATAGAGCCAAACCATATCAGACAGAAAAAGGGTGAGAAAGGGGGCAAGAGAACAGTTTGCAAGTTACAGTCCAGGCCAGTTCTCAGAGTGGGGAATATAACCCAAGTGGCATACAAGGCCAGCCACTGAATGGGCAAGAAGAAATATTTGAACTTCTATTTGTATTTATATTTACTTTTAAACGTTTTGCATTTATCATTGTATAATTTTACAATGTATAAATGTTAATACAGTGGTGCATTTGTATAATTGATAAACAAATAAATCTATTTACCTATATCTCGACTGCAAGCTAAAAAGCAATACCTAATAAGGGAGTTTGATCAGTAACAGTTTAGAAGTCTCGGAATGATAGATAGAAATGAATAGATAGATGTAAAGGATTCTGAGGTAAAAACCAACAAAACTTGAAAATGTATTAGATTCAGATTAGATAGCTTAGAAATTTTTAATAGCATCATTGAAAACATTTTGGTCATTAAAACATGTCATTTCCTAATCGTAGTGTTTTCATAGCAGTTCAGACTTGAAAAGGACATAAAAGTTCATCTTGTTTTTATATTTGTTTTCCTCAGAATGGTTTGCAGCTTCATAATGAGATTTATTTTGAATTTCCAAAAGAATAAACAGCCCTAATCCATTATTGAAAATGGAATTACTTGGAATATATCATACAACATAGCAGTTTAGAATAATCTGCATGACATTAGTTCTACTTGTTCCTTAATAAGAGACAAGGTTTGTAAAATACTATAGTGTTTGTGGCTTCACATATTCCTTTATTCAGCTGTTTCTGTGCTACATTGTTAGTAGTGGGTAGCAAAACACTGTTGCAGAAGGCTTACATGGATGAATTCTAGTAGATGTGCCACGTTTTCTTTATCCAGTCTATTATTGATGGGCATTTGGGTTGGTTCCAAGTCTTTGCTATTGTGAACAGTGTTGCAATAAACATACATGTGCACGTATCTTTATAGTAGAATGATTTACAATCCTTTCGGTATATACCCAGTAATCAGATTGCTGGGTCAAATGATATTTCTGGTTCTAGATCCTTGAGGAATCGCACACTGTCTTCCACAATGGTTGAACTAATTTACATTCCCACCGACAGTGTAAAAGTGTTCCTATTTCTCCAAATCCTCTCCAGCATCTTCTGTTTCCTGACTGTTTAATGATTGCCATTCTAACTGGCGTTGATTTGTATTTCTCTAATGACCAGTATCACTTCAATTTATAAATAAGAACAAAGGATTGTGACTTTTAAACTCCTCCTTTGCTTTTCCTGATTATATTTAAGTTTATTTTTAGCTTCCTTTGCTTCAAAACTAAAATTTCCATACACTGTGAACCTAATTATGAATCTTTAAATTCTGAGTCCTAACTCATGTTTTACTGAGTTTTCTCTTCTTCACCCATCAGTCTGAATATTACCAGTGCAGAAGAATATTTTTCAGTCAGCAAAATAGTCTGCTAAACACTGCTATACCCCTTAATAGCCTAAAAGTGTTAATTGGGGCTTACAAAGACATTTGCAACAGTATTTGAGGCAGGAGAATCTGACCCAATAAGCAATATGCTGAGCTACTCTGATGGAAGTAGATGCACCCATTGGTTTATTGGCAGACTAAGCAAGTAACAAATATGCTCAGCCATCATTGTGTTTTCCATTTTACAAAGTAATATTATAATCTCTCAATTCATAAAGATAATTTGAGCAGATTATGTTTCCATTATCAACAGGGCAAATGTGTTGAGCTGGTTCTGGCACACTAACTAACAGAATGGCACCAATGGAAATCAACAGATGCAGAATTGGGAGATTAGAAGAATGATCAAATATCTGACCTTGCAAATATTTTTGAGTTGTTCTTAATTCCATGAATTATATTTGTAATTGGTCATATAAAAATCAGGTTAACAGCAAAGGGACAGTAAAGACTGTAGGAAACACTAACCTAGAAATAGATGTGCCTCCTGAAATAGATCAGGTGCTGCAGATACCAACTAAACTGAGTTGAGATCTATGAACTGGGTGAATTTAACCTAGAAGAATGTGGTGACATAATAGATGCAACCAAAGGGATATCAGGAACAGATGTTATTCTGATAGCCCAATAGGCAGGGGCCAATTGTTTCAGTCACCAGAGTACTGAGCCCATATCTGAACACTAGGGCCTAGCACAAACACAGGCCTTGCTTCTAGAGGAACAAGGATATTGTATGGGTTATTAAATAGGGGCTTGAACTGTGCAGTGAGCTGAGAAAGCCATACCAGGGTAGAAGTGGAGACTGGTTCCTATAATCAAGATAAATACTCAGTTGTCAGAAGCAAGATGATACATAAGGTAAGGCTGTCAACATAGTGCTCTTCAAATCCCTTCTGCTTAAGACCACAATTATTCCTAGAACCCTGAGTGGGTCAGAGCCTAAATATATAGAGGGCTATGAAGACTTGTATCAGAGAGCATTTGGCACCCAGTTGGCTTGAAGTCTGTCTTACAGAGGGTATAGTGATCATCACACACCCCTCTATCAGGAGTCTATAGGAGTCCAGTCTATAGGAGGTCCCATAAGCAAGACTCTGAACCTCTCTAATTCTGGGGCAAATTAGGGTCAGACTATTTTCATATATAAACACAGTACCTCATGTATGAGAGAGAAAACGGAATTGGAAAAACATATCATCTTATTTTTCTCAAGTTGCTGGGGATGAGCACTTCTTCCCTTTTCATTTTCCTGATTGAATTTTTTCTTATGTCTTCTACCACCTGCTACTTCTCATATTTGTTGGATTCCATGCTTGTTCTGCTCCGCCCTTCTTCCATTCTTCTATAACATCATCTCCCTATCACTGGGGAACTTGCCCTTAACAATGTGCTTCCAGTGGGGCTGTTGATCATAGTTCTCCATTTGCGCCCCACCCCAGTCTAACCCACCCTGGCCACAGACATGTGCATAGATGTATTCTCCTCTCTCCTTGGCTGTGAGAAATGGTACAAAATTGAGCACACTGAATAAGTGGGGCCGTTAGAATACTCCTTGGGTATTTTATGTCTGCTCTCTTAGGCTCCCCCTTACCTCTGAAGTGGCTAAGGTAAGATGACATAAGCCATGCGCCATCAAAAGCTATCCCCTCTTCCCCACTACATGGTAGAATCCCATCTACAGTAAAACAGTATAGGACAATCCTGACAGAGAAATGATGGGAGAGAGGGGTAGGAGAAGGAGTGGGACAGCATAAATGAATAAATAATAATAATGACCCCAAATCTTTAGAATCCCTGTGATAAGCTTTATACCGAGAGTCTCCACTTATGCAAGTCAATGGGTTATCTCATTCTGTTTACGCTGTGTTGAGTTGGGTTCTGTCACCTGAGGCTGGAAAGAGGCTGACTTAAACAGAGAAGTCACAATCAATGAGAACACTTGAAGGGGAAAATTAATCTTTCCCTCACATGGGACATACATTTCCAGTCTTCTACTGTGTTCATTTGTGTTTGTTGCTGAGTAGTTTAAGTCCCTCCCTCCCTCCATCCTTCCCCCCACTCCCTCCCCCTCCCTCCCTCTCTTCCTTGTTTCCTTCCTTCCACCTTTGCTTCCTTCCTCCCTTCCTTCCTCGTTTTTTTTTTCCACCAGAGTTGTTTCTTATCCATTTCCTTCTCTACCTGAAACTCTTCCAGAGTCTCACAAATGTTCTCCAGAGCAGTGCTTCTCAGACTCTCTGTGGTAAAGAATAAGATTTTTACATTTCCAATTCCTGCCAGATTGACATTTTTTCGAAAAGTATAAAAACTAATTACTAAATTGTGTGCTTGGATGTTGTAGCAATATCAAATTGCTATAAACGTTTCTAAACAACTCAAGTTTTCTTCCTATCTCAATATGAACAAGTAACACTTTGAGGACCAGCATCAGTCTGTGACCCGCACTTTGAGTCACACTAATATAAATAGCTGCTACAGTTCAAATGGGTTCTAATACTTCTGTTTTAATTTTCAGAATTTATTTCCAAGAAATGTGGGTTGTGTCAGAAACATTAGCACAATATGGAATAAAAACTAGCTTCTATTTCTGGTAGAACTGCTTCTTGTTCTGCCATTAGTAAGTAGTTTCCATTGTCTGATCTCTTAAAATAACTGGAATTTAGAAAATCCAATTTAGCCCAATTTTAACTAAAAAAAAGAAATAATTCTAGATTTTAAAACTTAGGAAATAATGTAAAGAAAGTATTAAATATAATAACACTCTCTCATCTCCTTATTACTTAGTGGAATTTCTATATAAAATGGCTTGTTTTGGCATATATAAATTGTTTTTGCTAATAAGGGGGTTCCACCAAATAAGTGGGTTTAAATTTCAGAAAACTCATGCACATATTTTTGTAAGTATACAAAAGCATCAGAAAATTGTCCTAACTTAAGAAAGCTTGGTATGACTAAGAATGTCTTAATCTTTTGAAAAATTGAAAAGAACTCAGAGAAATAAGAATGTTACTTTAGAGAATAGGAAAAATGATGGGTTTAGGGCATGTTTATACTTTTATTTTTATGCAATGAAAAATTGTTTTGCATAATTCTGAACCTGGCATGCCTCATAAAATGCATGCTTGATCTTTCTACTAGTATTCTAAAACCGAATGTTGTGGGCTTATTTCAAATATTGGTTTGCTTTTGAGAAATCAGTCTTTGTCACCAGGCAGACAGTATAAGAAAGGCAAGTAGAAACATACCAGAAAATTGCTCAATATAGCAGAGAAAGATTGGGAGTGAAAAGTACGTTCTTTTTTTTATTATTCTTCTTCTTTCAAATCAGTATTGGGTTTTCACCAAAATCCATTCAAGCGCTTGAGATGGACAAAGGGGGACAATCGATTTTTCTGGGGTTTACATATACTGATGTTACTGGAAGGGGAAGATTTTGCAAAAATTAAGCAATATATAAAGTTTAAAAATGTAAAATGTTAATTATAAGTGAAAGAGAAGGAAGATTATTGTGTGGGAACAAAACACTTGGGATCTATTTCAGTTTTCTCATGTACTCATAGCGAGTTTTCTGGTATTCTGAACTTTGTATGTGAGTTGGAGATGGGAAAATAAGGGAAATACTTTGTAAAAACATTTTAGACTTTTCATATACTTTATATTTCCAACATTCAATAGAATTTCTTCCAATCTACTTATTAATTTATCCCCTCAAAATATGGCTTGTTAGTGATCTTATATTTTAAAAATTCAGTCTCAAAGAAAAAACATATTAATTCAAACATAAACAAGTACAAAAGTCTGTGTACATATGCTGAACAATATATTCCTTCAATAGCCTGCATATGTCCCTTCAGGACCAATAAATGAACTTATGTCATTGGTTTGCTTCATAAAATACCTCATTTTACTAAGGTTTCTAAAACTAAAATTTGCAAGTTTATTTCAAATATCAACCTTGCCATTGAGAACTCCATCTGTGTCATCATACAGGTAGAATACCTCTGTGTTTAAATGGGTAATACATGCTCACTGCCCAACATCCAAAAGGTAAAAAGGTATCTCCAATGAAACTTCTGTTTCCCTCCCACTTCATTACCTAGCCACACAAGGACAGCTATTATTTCCAGTTTCATGTGTGTCTTTCCATGAATATTTTTATATTTCCTAACGAATTTATGCATATATCCGTTTCATCAGAAAGTAGAAAACTGTACAGGATATTCTATATTTTGTTTGATTTACTTGAAAACATATCTCAGACATCTGTCTTTATCCATATAGAGTATTGCTTCATTGTTTTTAATAGCTACATTGTTTTCTACCATAATTTATAGAATCTCTATTGAATGAATATAACTGTTAAAACAGGTCACTTCCAAACTAATTGAAAAGTATCTGATACGGAAAAGAGTACTGTATTAGTGTGTTCCTAACTATTCCTCCTAAGCCCAGGCAATTCCCTCTCCAATACATCCTCCATTCATCGCTATTAGATGACATCTTATTCTCAAGGTATTACTATCATGTTTCAAACTTGGACTTAAATCTGTACCAGAAGGCTGTATCCTGTAGCGGCAGAGAATCAAGAGATCTGGGTTTGCCCTGGCTCTCCCATTTACCAGATGTGTGATCTTAGGCAGGTTACTTACATTTCTAAGCCAGAATTCCCTCAAGTAGAAATTAAGGTTAATAATATTTTTTTCACAACATTGTTTGTGAAGATCGAATAACCTAATATATTCAATGTCTTTAGCCCAGTGCTTAATACATAATTAGTATCCACTAAAGTGGTAGCTCTTATTCCAAGAGACACTTAGATAATTATGCTTCAGCAGACCAAAGGGGTAAGAGACTCCTGGTCATTTGCCATGTGACAGCATTTCCTTTACTCTTAACCATATGGAATTGATTACTTTTCATCAGGAGAGGACGGTGTTGCAAAGCCTAGCCTATTCCATTTCTCGTGATAATTTATATATATGACAAGGTAAAGATAATAAATGCATGAGATGCTCTTTAATATTTATATCTTGCCCTATGTCAGGGAAATTTTCCATGCATGCTTCTTTGAAAGAAGCTCAAAAGAGGAAGGGAAATGTGGAATTATGTGTCATCCCTGCCAGTCACATCAGGTTACCTTGAGAGACAGAAGTCCCTATTTACAGAGCTTGCCTGTGGGTCAACCTCTCCTTGGCTGGCCCTCCTAAGATGGACAAGGGAGACATTGTAGAGGATGCCTTTAATTCTCCTTGGACATGGAAACAATTGTAATAAAGGCCTCATCACAGAAATCAGAGGAGCCACTGGAGGTGATACTTGACTGTTACCGAATGTTATATTGAATAGAAAATAAAGCAATCTGCAAAAGTGTCTTCTGTCTTCTTAGAGCATCTACTTAGAGCACTGAGCCTTTCACTCACAGTCTTATAAAAGCAATCTATTAATTAGTGAGAGATCTAGAAGGAAGAAAATATCACCCCTGACATTTAACTTACGAATTTCCCAAGGAGCCTCAAGGCTAACCTTCCCTCACAATACCCTAAAACTAGGGGGAATATTTTTGCCTTCATAGCTTTGTTCCTGCTCCACTCTGGATCTTCCTTCCTTCCTCTCATATCATCATATTGGGTTCCTTCAATGCCCTGCATGTGTTCTATCTTCTTTGCAATTATCTCTCTGACCACTGCATCATTTGCAGCTTTCCCTCTTCTGAACCCTCAGCAGTAATTCTTAGCCTTTTCTGCATCAATGTTGATACTGAGAATCTGACAAAAGCTATGAATAATCTTTTTATTCATCTATCCATCAATCAGTCTTGGAACTGAATATATACTTACGCAGAAAAACTAGCTTGGTGATCTGAGGATGTCCTAAATCTATCCTTGAAACCCTCAGGTTCTACAGCATTTGTCTCCAAATCAACCAACACAGCACAACCTTGTATTGTTATTTAGCTGATAAATACATCTGTTATCTTCATACTAGTTTAGTAAGTTCTTGAAGACATGGATAATAAGTTTTTAAATGTATTGGCATCATTTTTAGAGCTCTATAAATACTTCTTAAATACAGTTGCCTTCTAGGAGTTAGGAGTGTACCAGGAATAGCGATGAGTCATTGTGCAGTGATCCTCAAAACTGGCTGCCCATTAGAATCACCTAGAACGTTAAAAAAAAAAAAAAAAGAAAAAAAAGAAACAGAAAAACACTGATGCCAGGGCCATGACCCTCCTGAGAATTCTCATTTAATTGTTTCTGGGTACAGCCTTGGCCTAGTGATATTTTTTAAGGTCCCAGATTATTTTAACATGCACGAAAAGTTGAGAACAATTGGTGGGTGGCCGGTAGTGAAATTTTCAAAGTCAGATTTATCAGGTTTGAATCCCAACTCTTGTCCTCTAGCTGCATGGTCTTAACCAAGTTATTTTCTTGCTCTGAGGCTCACTTGTAAAGTTGCTGTGGGAGTTTGGCTTCAGGAGAGAATATTTCCCTGTAAACATTTTGGTGCAGCAATAATCTATGTGTAACTATGTTTTTCTCAGCTTCTGATAATACTATCTTTATTTTAGGATTACTGTAAATTTGAAAAAGTAAAAAAAGATATATTAAATATATATTTATTACATTAGAAAAAATGGTGAGCTCTGTTTCAATTGGCTGAGTAGTGCTGAAACCAGCTCAATTTTCCCACACAACTAATGTTTACGATTTTTTGGATAAATATAGAAATTGGCCCTCCCAATAATAAAGCTTGAAACTTACATTTGTCTTACCTGAGTTCCTTTGTCAGAAAACCAACTATCAGTCCTCTCAGATAGCATCAAGGGACTGAAATTCACCAGATCCCTGCATCCAGATGGTGAGACAGCAGACCCCTCAACCATCATAACTGACTAACCAACCACTTGCTTCTTGTTGACCTACTCCTCTTCCTTATCCCTCCCTAATTCCTGTTTTGGCACACATAGTTACATTCTTTCCCCACTCTACAAAACTCTAATTTTAGTCAGGTGGATTTGAGACTTATCTCCCATCTCCTGGCTGACATCATCCACATTAAAACCTTCTTCCCTAGCAATACTCGTTGTTTCAATGGATAGCTTTCGATACAGTGAGAAACCACAGCTTGGCCAACACCCAGGCATTCAGCAATAAAATTCTGGTGCTGTGACTTGGATTGCAGTGCTTGTGGCTCAGTGGCCACAGGCTAGAGAGATCTGGAAACCCTCCCAGCAGCTGCCCAGCTATATTCATCCAGAGGCGGGTTTTTGTTTCTCTCTCTTCCCTCACTGCTGCTGGCCCCAACCATATTCTTGATTACTTATGAAGGACAGGCTTTGAAATTTGACATCTGTATCCATCAAGGTGAGTGTCTTTTATGGGTACTAGACAGTGGGAGCTACTCCTCAATTTGGGGAATTCCAAAGGAATTTCCATTTTTTTGCAGGTTGGAAAAGCCCAATTGACTGGCATGAGAGTAAAAAACACCCCAACTGTTTGAGTTTGAACTCTCGTGGCTTGTTAGTCACTGCTGCAGTTAGATTGTATTTTGATAATTGTTTATTTGCTTATGTGTGTGTGTGTCAATGTGATCAAGGGAACACAGGATTTGATCTAGGAATGCCTCCACTTGGGTGCATTCTTCAAAACTGGTCTGAATATAGTTACGAGCCAATGGAATGAAAAGAAAATGATATTCTTTTGTAATGCTGTTTGGCCCCAATATTCTTCGGAATCTAGAGAAGTTTGGCCCTTCCAGGGGTCTTTCTGAGGAATTACATTTGCTGTTTTTTTTTTTTCTTCAAATTGTGAATTTTTTTTTCTTGTATTGTAATTGGCTATGACCATAAGAAGTAATTTATTCTTCAGTCTCAGATATTCATGGATATACTCTCTTTCTTTCATTAGAAATGTTTTTCTGGCAATGAGGAAGTGTTTAGCTGAAGAAGTTCAAAACCCTTTATATAGAGAATTTTATAAGTTTGCAAATATGTTAACAATATTAAGTGTGAAATAGAACTTCTATAAAATAATTAGAACAGAGTTTTACACTTAATGTTTTAAATTGTGGCAGATGGTACTGCTGATTTCAGGGGACTTCCTTGGATTACTCACATTTCTCTGATGTACTTACTACACCTGATGCCAGTTGGCAACAGGCTTCAGTGTCTTTATTTAAAGATTGATACAGCCTTTGATATTTTATTATCACATTCTCAGTGCTCATATTGGGACTTCAATTATTGCTACAGAGCAGTAGTGGTTAAAAATAAGACTTTATGGATTTATTAAAGGAGATTTTCATTGTTGTTTAAGTACATTTTAGATTAGGATTGACAAGTAAATATATTGTTGCAGGATGATACATTATAGTTTCTGCATTGTGTGAAGCTGTTTTTATTGAAAATCAAGTGATGTTTCAGAAGACTTTCTATAACAATTATGCTTCATGCTTAAAATAAAAATTCTTAGTTTAGTTTTAAAAATGTAATTGTTAAATTTCAATCTTATATTCCCAATATTTTCATAAACCTATATTTTGATAAAGTACTGAGTCACCACTTTATATCCACAAATGCAAATAACTAATGTATGAGAATTGAATAATTTTCACTAATTATTGTAAATTCTCCTGCTCTTTAAATGACTAAGAGGTCCAATTTCATGAAAGATTGAAAATAAATTGAATATCTGGGATAATATAGGAGAGGTTGACCAAGGAAGAATTGTAGCTTGGTACCAAGGTTAAAATGACATTTCTCTATTGCCTATCTTTTATGTTAAATTTGATTTCTTTTTCTTTAATTACATTTTTAACTTTGCTGATAGAAATTATGTTCCTGTGTTTCACATGAAAAAGCATATATATACTAGTTAAGTATATTGAGTAAAGCATTTTACAAAGTCATACATTTACAAATTTTTGAGAGGTTAGCCACTAAAATTAATTTCACAAGGGAAAATCCTTTGTTCCACAATATACAGTTTTTCTTCTTAGTTTTGAATTAGAAGTGGCATCTGTTTTAGTTCTTAAAATATAACTTGGCTGTTTCGCACTGTGTCTGAACATTGTTTTCTGTAGGAGTGGGATAGATAATTATATATAGTATCATAATATTCTTTGCATCCATGTGCCAAATAGGAGTAATATTTATTTAATCCTCTTAGATGCCTTATGTTACCCAAACATACAGTAAAAACATAGAAATTTAGGCACTTGTTCTTCAAGTCACCTGCTTGGGTCTCTTCCAGGTATACCTTCCTTTCTTTCCTGTTCTAAAGCCTTTTTAAATAAACCTCCACTCCTGCTCTGAAAAAAAAGTAAAAATTTATGAAATATTTTCTGATAAAAAGTTTATTTTGTGCTTACCCTAGGGAATGCTTTCACAATAGTGTATCATTCCTTTTGTTGGAGTTGGAATTTCTTCTGTTGTCAGCACTTAATTAGTCATGGCAAGTCCTACTTTTAAGACCTTTAGAGATTAGACAACTTTCTGTTTCATTAAGTCTTTTGTTCATTCTAAAAGTTGCCGCGTTACTTAGTTCAGAGGAAATCGGTCATCTTACAAGGGAGGTGATCATCTTTAGGAGGCAGTTTTACTAAGCTACCTTGATACGTGCATGGTAGCAAGTGCTGCACTTTGTCAGCACTCTGGGTCAAAGTATAGGCTAGAGGTAAGGATACTGGCAGACTTAGGGATGCTGGATAGACCTGTAGTTCTTTTAAAGTTTTGTTTTCAAAGGAATTTCCACAATAACACACTCATGTGCATTGATCAGACCAAAACACGTTCCAAATAAAATTCATGAGTGGATTTAAAATGTTTAGATTATTCAATTTCTGTTCCATTACTATTGAACTATATAAACTATTCCATTACTTCAGATATTTAAGTATCAACTTTAGTAAGCTCTTTTTGTTATTGTTTAAAGAAGGTTGCCCATGGATCTTTGCCTAATGTTAAAGCTGATCTTGTTTTTAATCCTCCTTTGAAATCCTTTCTAGCTCTGGGGTGCTTTGAGGGTGATTGGATTAGACTTCGGGATATCATTTCTCAGACTCAGACTTAGTTTTTAGAAATTAAATACACTTTTTTTTAAAAAAAGAAAAATTCTTCTATGCATTCTGGTACCTATATGAACAATACATTTGTTACTATGGCAATGAAGTCAGTAGATTGGAAACCAGTTATTCCTCCTCCCTTTAAAAAATTTGAAAATGTGTTAACAAGTGACTGAAACTGTTACCTTGAACAGAGTCTCCAAAACTAGTCTAGATTTTGCCAAATGTTTACTTTGTATTTAATTCCAGAAGATTCCTCAAGCTCTGCAGTCTAGGGGTGGTAACTGTGTTTCTATTATGCTTGGAGTAAGGTCAGGAGAATGTGCATCCTAAGTAACAGGAACCATTTCTCTTACCCCCCGGACTCCCTATCACTTGAAGATTTTACCTACCCCCAAACATATATAAAACAAATAGAAAATATATTAAGTAGTCCATCTAAGTTTGCTTCCAATAGGCTCCAGGTCCCTACCAATGTGCCTTTCTACTATTTGAAACTGAGGGACCAAGTCCTGCTGAAAACCTGGAAATCCCACCAGGCTGAAGACCAACTGTGACCACAACTGACCACCCACTCATCAGACAAGTTAAGCCATGGATTCACCAAAATTGGGTAAAACTAGTCCCTCAAATATCCCTCCAGAGGAAACAGTCATGGTATTGTGAGCCCTCCTACAACTTTAAATTAATATTCAAAGTCCAGCCAAAGACCTTACATAAGAAATCATAAAGGAACATGTGCTTTCCAGGCTGTTATTGTTCTCTAGATCCTTCCTGATTATAGATGGAAGGATAATTCACTAATTCATATTTCACAAGCTATTGCTTCATAAGCAACCTTATCCCACTGTTGGATATGTGACCCAAAGTTCCAATCTGTTCTGGACCATAATGACTCCTTAATCCAACCAGTTCATGCCTTTTTGCATATCTCTATCTGCACATTTGAACATCCAAAGACTCCTAAAAGAATAGTGTAATGAGTATGCCTTACATGGACCCTTTTAGGGACCAGGAAGACCTCCTGTTTCTATTTGTCATCCCAGAAAGGCTATTCCTTACTCTTCCTAAAATAAATAAATAAAAAGTCAAGCACTTTTTTTCTTTGATGGTGACCCAGACAGAACTCCATTTGATCAGGATATAAGGAATCAGGAAGACTTTTGAGCAGGCTTGGCTTTGTCTGGATTTGGTAATAATCTAACTGATCTCTGGTTAGAAAAGATAGCCTGAATGACTGCTTCTGCCCAAGATACAGTGACCTGTGCTCCTGAGGGCTACATGTTTGTTTGCAAACAAGAGAATAGGCCTTGGGCATATAGATGCCTAGGAAAGGAGACAAAGGGCACTGTCTATTAGGATACTCTGTCACCCCTTTTACAGTAGATAATGAGAGCTTGGTCAGACATTGGACTAGTTCTTTGAAATTATTCTCCAGGGTAACTAGAGGACTCTTGGAGAGAGATCCCAATTAGGGTGTCCCCAAGGAGTATTTGCCTGGGAGCATTCTTGACAGAACCAGATATTTTTTGGTTACACTCCCATGGTGGGGAGTAGCAGCTCATTAACATGTACTTAGAAAGCTCTCCATTACCCTGTGGATTATAGCAAGTGAAACAGTGACTGCTATTGTTGCCCAAAAAAAGTCTCTAGACTCCTTGGCTAGAGTAGTTTTAGATAACCACATAGCTTTGGAGTATTTGCTCACTGAACAAGGCAGGGGTATATGTAATTGCCAATTCATCTTGCTGTACCTACATTAATACATCAGTTGAAGTAGGAGTACATATTGAAGTCTCCCAGTTATAACATGTAAAGGAGAACAGACCTGGATTAGGGGACAGGTTTTCAGGATTCCTTGGTATTTTTAAAGTTGGGTCATCTACGTTATTAATTATCTTGGTTTTACACATCATGCTTAGTCTTATATTTAAATGTGGCTTAAAATGTTGTTCTAAAACTGTTAATGAGAGTACCCAGATCACAGTGCTCCAACAAGCCCAATGCTGACCAGGTACTCATGAGTACTTCAATTACAGACATAGCGTTTTCATTCCTCATTATCCCAACACTCCCTTTCTCAGCATTAAGCAGTCAAAAGATCAACACCAAGATTCCTCATGATTGATGAACCAATAATAGAAAGGGGGGACTAAAACCAGCCCAATTTTCCAATAGAACTAATGTTCAAGATTTTTTGAATAAATATAGAAATTGACTCTCCCCATCATAAAGCTTGAAACTTACATGTGTCTTATCTGAGTTCCTTTGTCAGGAAACTAATCTTCAGGCCTCCCAGATAGTATCAAGGACCTGAAACTCACCAGATAATAGCATCTAGACAGTGAGACACTAAACCCCTCATCCCCTATGATTGCCTAACCAACGATCTGCTTCCTGTTAACCAATTCCTTTTCCTTACTCTCCCTAATTCCTGTTTTCCCTTATGTAGCTACATTCCTTACCCACTACATAAATCCCTATTTTTAGTGGGTTAGGGGGACAGATTTGAGACTTATCTCCCATCTCCTGGCTGATACCACCCATCTTAAAGCCTTCTTCCCTGGCAATATTTGTCGTCTCAATGACTGGCTTTCTTCACAGCAAGCAACTGGACCTTGACCAAACCCCTGTTGTTTGGCAACAATACTAGTTTCTTAATGTCTTTATATAAAGATGAAGTTGAAAAGATAAAATTGAATATAGATTTTAATATTGTATTCTCTCCAAATAAACAAACAAATACTCTAAGAAGTATTAGTGAGCTGCTAATGGAGCTCACTAATAAATAAACAAATACTCTAAGAAGTATTAGTGAGCTGCTATAAATGAAAAAAACAAGATTTAAGCAAGTTACTCAATCATTCTCAAGTTCAGTTTTTTTCTATTTAAAATGGGTGTAACCAAGTTTAGGATGAGTGGGAAAACATGTAAAACCCTCAAAATATGCTCCTTCTAACATTCCACTTATTTCTGCTGAAGCAGGACATTTTCCTGTCCCATTCATGGGACTCACTGCAGTGTTGCCTCATTTACCCAGCCCGCAGCTTTCAACTCCTTGTGGGAGAGAGCATGTGAGAGAAAGAGGCAGGAACTGGAGTCCACGAGTGCTGGAACCAGCTGGCTGCTTCTGCACTGGCAGGAGTTACCTCCACTCACTCAGACCCGCTGCACTCCACCCCTCACAGGAGGCAGCATGCAGGTGAGCGGTTACAGGAGCCAGGGCAAGTGCTTTGCGCACCAGCAGAAGCAAACTCCATGCAGGCCCCATGGCAGCCTCAAGGGGGCTGCCTTTGACCCCTGAAGCCCCAGAATGTGTGTTACAGTGCTCTTTTAGCTCTGGCATCCAAGGACAGCTTAAGTGTTAACAGCTCAGTGGGTCCTCTGCCTTTTCGCATGAGGTGGCTGCCCTCCATCAGCGAGGGCAAAGGGCCAGTGTGATAGCCTTTTGCATCCACACTTGTGGCTCTCAAGCTCTTGTCCAGTGTTCAGGAAAAATGAGGTTGCACGAATGAATTGAAGGATGGTAAATGAACGGGATTTTATTGCTGATGAAAGTGGCTCTCAGTGGGAAGGGGAGTTGAAAAGGAGACAGGGCAGACACATAATCTTTCCCCAAAGTCTGACTGTCTTTGGCCAGATTCTTCTCCAAAGTTACACTGTCAAGCTGTCCCTCTGAAGTCAAGCCACTTCTCTCTGATATCCAGCCCAACATCCCACCGCTTCTCCTCTCTGCTGGCTGAGTCTGGGGTCTTTACAGGCAGAGGATGGAGGGCAGGGTGGGCCATGGGTGGTTTAGGAAAAGGCAACATTTGAATGGGAAAACAAGGATGTAGGTTCTCATTTTGGGCCACAGTTTCAGGCCTTTGGCTTGAGGGTGGGGTTTTGTCAGGGACCTGCCTCTTCTGCCTAGAATTACTCTGCCTCCTGTCCCTATCACTGGTACAACCAGTGTGTATGTACAAAATATTATGATGGAGAAATACAAACCTTGAAGCTATGATGTCCTGGTGTGATCCCTGATCCATCCTTTACAAGTGATGTGATAATGGGCAAGTTACTGAACTTTTCAGGGCCTCGATGAGTGGTGGTAATTTTAAAGGAGGTGACAGTATAGAATGTTTAGAACAGTACTTTGTACAAAGTAGGAATTCTGCAGATGTTAGCTTGCACCCTTCTTAATGGACATTCATATAATGTGAAATCAGGTATTTATCCCAATGAGTGAGCATGCAGCATATCGAGGAGAGGCTTCTACTGATGCATCTCTTCAAAAACAATACCCACTTTCTAAATAAAATTAAAAATAACAACAACAAAATTATATTGATTCATTTTAACTCATTTTAGTGAAGGTGACATTGGAGCCTGTGTACTGGGGAAGTAAAGAAACACTTAAAAACAAAATGGGGTTGGGGGTGGGGAGGGATGCACAGGTGGACCACAGACGAACTTAGGGCAGTGAAATTACTCTTTATGATACTCTAATTATGGGTACATGTTATTATAAATTTGTCTAAACCCATAGAGTGTACAACATGAAGAGTAAGCTCTAATGTAAACTTTGGATTTGGGGAGATAATGATGTGTCAATGTAAGTTCATCAGTTGTGACAAAAGTACTCTCTGATGGGGATGTTAATAATGGGGCAGGATGTGCATATGTGGATGCAGGGGGTATATGGGAAATCTCTGTATCTTTCACTCCATTTTGCTGTGAACCTAAACCTGCTCTAAAAACTAAAATCTATTTAAAAATGGAAATAAAAGATGCCCCCTTTTTTTTCTATACCCACAAAATACTTATGACACCAAATGTATGGGGTTTTTCCTTACATCAAGCAATTCTCCAACAGTCTGGATATCAATTGAGTGTCCTACAATTCAATTATGATCCTTAATACTGGGAGTTTAGGCAAACTCCACAGGTTATAGGCTTCGTCCACAAGTCTGCCCCTAGCCCACTGCAGATGCCAATTGCTGGTAGAGTGTCCTCAGGTTTCCCACAACTTCTGTCCTGTCCGGAGGATCCCGCACTCCCTCCTCAGGTTTGATAATTTGCTAGAATGATTCACAGAACTCAGGAAAACACTTTACTTACTATTACTGGTTTATTATAAAGGATACAACCCAGGAACAGCCAAATGGAATAGATGCCCAAGACAAGGTATTGAGGGCAGTGGTGCATGGAGCTTCCATGCCCTCTTCGGGTATACCACTTTCCCAGAACCTGCATGTGTTCACAAACCTGGATGCTGTCTTAACCCCATCATTTAGTGTTTTCATGGAGGCCTCATTATATAGGCAGTTGAGTAAATCATTGACCCTTGGTGACTGAGTCAATCTCTAGCCCCTCTATCCTCCCTGGAGGTTGAGAGTTTGGGCTGAAAGTTCCGATCCTCTAATCACTTGGTTGGTTCCTCTGGCAAACCAGCCCCCATCCTTCAAGACTCACCTTATTAGCATAAACTCAGGTATGGTTGAAAGGGGCTTACCATAAATAACAAAAGATGTTCCTCTCATCCCTAACACTCAGGAAATTCCAAGGCATTTAGAAGCTCTATGCCAGAAACCAGGGACAAAGATCAACTATATATTTTAATTATATCACAATATCATATGAAATGTAATAATTTCAATGGAAACAAAGAGGCTTGAACCCCAGTAAGAAGATATATAGACAAAGCACCAAACCCCTAGTTTTCCTAGTGACTAATCCAGTACTCTTTCCTCTCAGCTGTCCAATAGCGCATACATTCTGATTTGCATGGTGTTCTTGTATCACATGCTACACATTTATCAGCTCGCTGTATTTATGACAAACAATACTTTACATGATTCATCTTCCCTCCCTCTCCAGGGTTTGCTATTTGTTCCAGACTGCTGGTTCCCCAGGCCTCTCTGACATTACACCAGATCTTTTCAAGCCTAAATCTTCTTTCTGTTGTTCATTAATTTTACTGATTCCTTACTCAATATCCTAGTGGGAAAATGTGCTCCTTTATGCACAGGACCATCTTTAAGTTACTGAGATTATGATCAAGGGGCATTACTATCAAAGAAGATAATTTTTCTTCTTCCACAGCAACTTCATCAGTCGTGTTAAATCATTTCATTTATGAAAATGGGCCTTAAAATTAAACAAGTAATTGTCTTTTCCTATCTCCACCTTATTTATGCTCCTTTTGTCCCTCTAGCTATTTTCCACATCTCTACTTTTATCTCTCTCTCTGTTCCTTGCTGACAACTGGAAGAAGTTTAAGTGATTTGAAATTTCCTTGCTGACAGCTAGAAGTAATTTAAATGATTTGAAGTTAATTGGTGACTACTCTGTTTGACAGAGTATATTGAATTATTCTTTCCTTTTACCAATTCTGGCATATTAAATTAATGCTAGACCACAGTCCCTTATCTTTCTGCTTTGAAGAGTTCAAGTGCAAAAGCAGATAATTTTATTACAAAAATGGAAATTATAACCAAACACAATGATCCACTATGGCCGTTTTGTTAATAGTCTTGTTAAAAATATGTAATAGTGTACTCGGGAGGCTGAGGCAGGAGAATGGCGTGAACCTGGAAGGCAGAGCTTGCGGTGAGCCGAGATCACGCCACTGCACTCCTGCCTGGGAGACAGAGCAAGACTCCATTCCAAAAAAAAAAAAAAAAAAAAAAAAATTACTGGAAACTTTAAACATAAAAAAACTAGTTTTTTAGGTCTTCTGCTATAATAATACTATATCTAAAAAATAACAATTCAAATTATTCTGCTATATTAACCTATAAGTCAATCTTATCTGGACAGTTTGGCATATAGGAAGCACTCAACTATAGAACAAATGAGTAGGACATGGCAAAAACAGAAAAAAAAAAAAAAAAAAGCATTTTTCTTTTTTGAGATAGGGTTTTGCTCTGTTGTCCAGGATAGAGTTCAGTGGCCCAATCATAGCTCATTGCTGTCCTGAACTCCTGGGCTCAAGTGATCCTCCCACCTCAGCCTCCCAAGCAGCTGGAACTACAGGCACCCATTGCCGCACTCACCTAATTATTTAATTTTCTGTAGAGACAGGGTCTTGCTATGTTGCCCAGTCTGGTTTTGAACTCATGGCTTCAAGTGACTCCCTTCTGTGGCTTCCCACAGTACTGGGATTACAGGCATGAGCCACTATACCCAGGCCTGTACTTGATTAGATTGATGCAGTCTCCTTACTGGATGCACTAAATTTCCTGTCTGATATGGTTTAGCTGTGTCCCCATCCAAATCTCACCTTGAATTGTAGCTTCCATAATCCCCATATGTCATGGGAGGGACATGGGGTGGGAGGTAATTGAATCATTGGGGGTGGGTTTTTGTGTGCTGTTCTTGTGGTAGTGAATACGTCTCATGAGATCTGATGATCTTATTGATTGATTGAGATGGAGTCTCACTCTTGTCACACAGACCGGAGTGCAGTGGTGTGATCTTGGCTCACTGCAACCTCCACCTCCTGGGTTCAAGCAATTTTCCTGCCACCACACCCAGCTTATTTTTGTATTTGTTTTAGTAGAGACAGGGTTTCACCATGTTGGCCAAGCTAGTCTCAAACTCCTTACCTCAAGTGATCCGCCCACCTCAGCCTCCCAAAGTGCTGGGATTACAGACATGAGCCATTGCACTTGGACTGATCTGATGGTTTTATAAAGGGCAGTTCCCTGCACAAGCTGTCTTGCCTGCTACCATGTAAGAAGTGCCTTTGCTCCTCCTTTGCCTTCTGCCATGATTGTGAGGCCTCCCTAACCATGTGGAACTGTGAGTACATTAAACCTCTTTTTCTTCATAAATTACCCAGTCTTGGGTATTTCTTTATTAGTAGTGTGAAAATGAACTAACACAATAAATTGGTACCCAGTAGTGGGGTGCTGCTGTAAAGATACCCAAAAATGTGGAAGTGACTTTGGAACTGGGGAACAGGCAGAAGTTGTAAGAGTTTGGATGGCTCAGAGGAAGACAGGAAAATGTGGGAAAGTTTGGAATTTCCCAAACTAGAGAGTTGTTGAATGGCTTTTCTCAAAATGCTGATAGTGATATGGACAGTAAGTCCAGGCTGAGGTGGTCTTAGAGGGAGATGAGGAACTTGCTGGGAACTGTAGCAAAGGTGACTCTTATTATGCTTTAGCAAATAGACTGCTGGCATTTTGCCCCTGCCCTAGAGATATGTGGAATTTTGAACTTGAGAGAGATGATTTAGGGTATCTGATGGAGAAATTTCTAAGGAGCAAAGCATTCAAGAGGAAGCAAACCATAAAAGTTTGGAAAATTTGCAGCCTGACAATGCAATAGAAAAGACAAACCCATTTTCTGGGGAGAAATTCAAGCCTGCTACAGAAATTTGCATAAGTAACAAGGAGCCAAATGTTAATCACCAAGACAATGGGAAAAATGTTTCCAGGGCATGTCAGAGAATTTTGCGGCAGCCCCTCCCATCACAGGCCTGGAGGCCAAGGCGAAAAAAATGGTACTGTGGGCTGGACCCAGAGGCCCCTGCTGTGTGCAGCCTACGGACTTGGTGTTCTGTGTCCCAGCTGCTCCAGCTGTGGCTAAAAGGGGCCAAGATACAGTTCATGCCATGGCTTTTGAGGGTGCAAGCCCCAAGCCTTGGTGGCTTACATGTGGTGTTGGGCCTGTGGGTGCAGAGAAGTCAAGAACTGAGGTTTGGGATCCTCTGCCTAGATTTCAGAAGAGGTAAGAAAACACCTGGATGTCTAGGCAGAAGTTTGCTGCAGGAGCAGAGCCCTCATAGAGAACTTCTGCTAGGGCAGTGCACAAGAGAAATGTGGGGTTGTAGCCCCCACACAAAGTCCCCACCTGAGGCACTGCCTAGTGGAGCTGTGAGAAGAGGGCCACCATCCTCCAGACCCCAGAATGGTAAATCCACCAACAGCTTACACTGTGCACCTGGAAAAGCTACAGACAATGCCAGCCCCTGAAGGCAGCTGGGAGGGGGCTGTACCCTGCAAAGCCACAGGGGCAGAGCTGCCCAAGACCATGGGAAACCCCCTCTTGGATCAGCGTGACCTGGATGTGAGACACAGAGTCAAAGGAGATCAGTTTGGAACTTTAAGATTTAATGACTGCCATATTGGATTTGAACTTGCATGGGGCCTGTGGCCCCTTTGTTTTGGCCAATTTCTCCCATTTGAAATGGGTATACTTACCCAATGCCTGTACCCCCATTTTATCTAGGAAGTAACTAACTTGCTTTTCATTTTACAGGCTCATAGGTGGAAGGGACTTGTCTTGTCTCAGATGAGACTTTGGACTTGAGCTTTTGAATTAATACTGGAATGAGTTAAGACTTTGGGGGACTGTTGGAAGGGTACCATTGTGTTTTAAAATGTGGGAACATTAGATTTGAGAGGGGCCAGGGCACAATGATATGGTTTGGCTGTGTCCCCACCCAAATCTCATCTTGAATTGTAGCTCCCATAATCCCCATATGTCATGGGAGGGATCCAGGGTGGGAGGTAATTGAATCATTGGGGGCAGGTTTTTCCCATGCTGTTCTCATGATACTGAATAGTCTTGCGATCTGATGGTTTTATAAAGGGGAGTTCCCCTGCACATGCTTTCTTGCGTAATGCCATGTAAGACATGACTTGCTCCTCTTTTGCCTTCTGCCATGATTGTGAGGCTTCCCCAGCCTTGTGGAACTGTGAATCCATTAAACCTCTTTTTCTTTATAAATTACCCAGTTTGGGTATTTCTTTATTAGCAGCATGAGAATGGACTAATACACTATCTTAAATCTTTTGCTACAAAAGACTGCAGACCAGTCATAGCTAGTCTCTTACAATAAGAAAACTCTAAAACACTTACTAAGGTAGCTTTTTGAGGCTTGTACAACTATTGCAGTTTTATCTAAACAGAGATCAAGCAAAGTTCATAGATTCAATCTATTATGACATAATTACTGCATTTCCATTTTGATGGCAATAAATGTTATTTTCTGTTTCTACTTGAAGTATCAAGAGCTGCTTTAAGCACATTCACAGTGAAATAATTACTTCTGCAATTTCAATGTTAAACCAAAAGCTATTTTGTTATAAGAAGCCTAGGAAAGTATTAAATACCAGTGACCAAAAGGGTACCTATTGAAATGCAATATTAAAATGCAAGTTGGCAAAATTGGTAAAGTCAGTTTGGTTCGGAAAGGTAATCTTGTGTAACTCACTTTAAAATCAAACACCATCTCAGCTGTGTTCGGCATTACATTAAAGCTGGCATGAAGGTAATTAGGTATCATTTGTGGTAATTAAGGATATGCCACTTTTTGTTCCTTAGCCCAGCTTGAGCTCTGCTTCAGATAATTTAAGATGTACCAGGTGGCACTTCAGGCTAGAAAACTCTGTGGTCTCCCAGCAACTTAAAGGAAGATGTAAGTATTACTCTGTTGGCTTTCAAAAATCACTCAGAGAAAATCTACTTTTAAAATTAAGAACACAGATGATATTCAAAGAAGAAAAACCACCCTGCTGTTTAAAGCAAAAACCATTCCTCACTTTGGAAAATTTTTTCTATAATTTTTACCTGACTACTGACCTTTGATTTTGCATAAAGGCAAAAAATACAAGTCTCAAAACATTGTTTTTTTGAAAATCAAGTTCAATGAAAGCATTTACACTTTGATTTTTTTCTGGTGACAAATATTACTTGAAAGTTGCATAGCTTTCACTTAATACTGTGTTGTACCTTGAGGTTTAAAATGAAATATTTTCAATTAATGGAACTTACTGTCTATTTATACAAAATACTGCAATCAATGGGAGATGAACCAATACCTACTTTTAAGAGGCTTTATTTTTTTTGAAAACCAAAGATTAAAACCTCTGCAAAAATGAAAACATGAAGTAGCATACTGGGTAGTTCTAATTAGCACAAGTGAAAATAAATAAATACATAATATAAGTATGCATGCTAGGTATTTTAAAAAATATAAACCAAATTCTCTCCATCTGCTTTTACCCCACAGCACCTGCTATTATTTCCTTGTACTGAGTAGGCTGCTGTTATCTTAGAGAAGCAATGACAAGGCAGGCAACAGACAGGAGAGGGATGTGATAATTTTATGTGTCAGCTTGGCTTGGTCACTGTGCCCACACATGTGGTCAAACATTATTCTGGTTGTTTCAGTGAAGGTGTTTTGGATGAGGTAAATATTTAAATCAAAGGAATATGGACAAAGTAGATTGCCCTCTGCAATGTGGGCAAGCCTTATCCAATCAGTTGAAGGCATTACTAGGAAAAAAGACTGACCTTCCATTAGCAACAGGGAATTTTCCAGCAGGTTGCTTTTGGACGTGAACCGGAACATCAGTTCTTCCTTGGTCTTCACCCTGATGACCCACCCTGCAGATTTTAAACTTGCCAGACTTCATAATCGTGTAAACCAATTTCTTACAATAAATCTCTCTTCTTATAGATACACATCCTATTGTTTCTGTTTCTCTAGAGAACTCTGACTCAAACAATGGGCCAAATTTTTAACTTTTCAATTAAAAAAGTCTAGACCCAGGTGTAAGAGAAAAGATTTAGAAGAACGTAGCTCAGTAATAACTAAGTCAAGCCTTTTCATCTCCCAACTGGATAAAGATTCCCTAGAACAAGGGAGAAAGTGAAAGTGAAGAGAGCTTAGATTCAGGTGAATCCGGAGCAGGTGTTATCTATGCTGTTTTCCCCTGTAGGTCAAGCCTGTAAGATGAAAACAGTGGTGGAAATGATGTTGCGGGTGGGAGAGCCCTACAGAAGTTTAGACATAAGGACAGTAGGGAGGATCTGACAATAGGGAGGATCTGTGACCCATCTGCAGATAGAAAGAATGCTCTCTTCCATCAGCCTGGTGGGGAGCAGCAGACATATCTGCATGATATGTCTGGCCAGAAGGACTGAGATAATTTTGAAGAATTACTTGCACTAGAGACTGGTTTGAAAACACTATAGGGACCCTTAGGATCTGAGAGCAGTGGTAACATCACAGAGGGAGCTGGCAGACTTGAAAAGGGCTGGAGGTTAAGAAGAAAGGAGGAAGTGCAGGGACCTACCTCAACTACTAACCAAAGGTCAAGTGGGAATGAAGACACCCCTGCTGATGCATCATGGAGAACTAAGCAGAGAGAAAGAGATGCCTCTCCTCTCTCATGACTTTGCACTAGGTAACACCCCAGATTTGTATACAACCCCAAGGCATGGAGGAAAGTGACCCCAAGTTGACTGAAATTAAATTTCTAACATCTGGTAGGATTAAGACTTAAAATGGAAATTGAGTTACAGGAAAAAAAAAGTTCCATTTTCCTTTTCTACCCACCTGAGTTTCATGATCTGTTATACCTGTAAGGAAAAAGGCAGTATAGAATAGAGGAAAGATGGAGGGATGGATTCAGAAGACATGGGTTCCAAGCTAGCATTCATCAGTCATAATTTTGGGAAGTCCCTTAGCTCTGCTGAACTCAGTTTCCTCAAATGCAAGATGAAGAATTTAGACTAGAAGTTCTCTGCCAGAAGCAAGGATTTTTTCTTTTCCTTGATGTACATTGTCAGTGATCTAAAAATACAAGAGGAAGATCCAGCTTAAAAGGAAGTACTGCTGTCCAAAAATGATACTAGATTTTGCATTTGCACAGTTTCTAGCCCACAGCCAGTGCTCAATAAATATCTGTTTAAGCGAAATGAAGCAAATCTCAGAGTTCAGTGTTGAATTATCTTTGGGATCTTGCCACCTACTTTGTCTCACTGTTCTGGCGGATGAGCGTATAATAGTCAGTTGTCTCTAACAATAGACAATACAGCCAAGGAAAAGTCAACAAATTCATTCTCTGCTACACGCTAAGCAATATTAAAGATCTTCTATTCATGACCCTGCATATCATAGTTGCTTCAGAACTTAAAGAAAAAGAACAGAAGGAGAAAGCATAAAAAGATCCTTCTCTTTCTTTTGCTAGGGGAGATGTTTACTCGTAACTCTCTTATATATGATGGGGGGAAAGAGACCAGCAATTATACACTCATTCAACCAAAGAAATGGTGTGTGATATGGTTTGGCTGTGTCCTCACCCAAATCTCATCTTGAATTGTAGCTCCCATAATCCCCATGTGCTATGGGAGGGATCCAGTGGGAGGTAATCGAATCACGGGGGTGGGTTTTTCCCCTTCCTGTTTTCATGATAGTGAATAATTTCTTCACAAGATCTGATGGTTTTATAAAGAAGTTCCCCTGCACACACTTTCTTGCCTGCTGCCATGTAGGATGTGCCTTTGCTCCTCCTTTGCCTTCTGCCATGACTGGGAGGCCTCCCCAGCCATGTGGAACTGTGAGTTCATTTTTCTTTATAAATTACCCAGTCTCAGGTATTTCTTCATAGCAGTATGAAAATGGCCTAATACAATGTGAAAGGGACACAGAATAGTGAGGTAAACCTTACATGTTTCCATCTATCCCTACCTGCCACTTTCTGAGGCAACCTTTCTAGAACTTATAATCACGTACCATTAGCACTACCCATAAAGGCCTTAGCAACTTTAGTGAAACTCAAGGCACACACCATAAAAATCATGCATAATGTTCTGACATCCATTAAAACAGACAACAAAGGAAAAATCTCTGGCCATCTAAATGACAGCATTTTCTTGGCAGTTTGTGTTGTTACAGAAAATGCCTTACATTGGAAACGTCTCTGAGTGTGGTCACAAAACTCTAATGGTGCACAATGGCAGGCCAGACAGCCCAGCATTCATTTGAAGAGCAAGGATCTCTGCAGACAAGCTGCTCTAGCAGGCAGCCCACATGAAACAAACAGCTCACAGCAACCAATAAGCCCACCCACACAGCCAGGTCCTTGAAAGCCTGCTGATGATGTTCCCCTGCAGACAGCTTCTATCATGTGAGATGCAGCTTAACCAACCCTCACTCCTACCCTCCACCTATCTTTAAGGAATGAGAAACAATGGAAAATTTCAAAAAAAAGGCAACATCACATCTCTTCGTTAGGCATATAGATTTGTAGTGTATACAACTTCAAGCCCAAAGATGAAAGTTGACCTTTGAGGTTGAAGGTGGATGGACCTTTTAGGAGGCTTCCAATGGTCTATGATGTAATACTCCCCAGGCTCCACCTTTTTATTATTTTCCACCTTTTATTTTAAGTTTAAGGGTACATGTGCAGGATATACAGGTTTGTTATATATGTAAATGTGTGCCATGGTGGTTTACTGCACCAATTATCCCATCACCCAGGCATTAAGCCCAGCATCCATTAGCTTTTATTCCTCATGCTCTTTCTCCTCTCACCCTCACCCTCCCACAGGCCCAGTGTATGCTGTTCCCCACCATGTGTCCATGTGTTCTCATCATGTTGCTCCCACTTATAAATGAGAACATGCAGTATTTGGTTTTCTGTTCCTGTGTTAGTTTGCTAAGGATAATTCAGGGTCCACCTTTTAGAGAACTGCATGGGCTCCTGACTGTTAAAGCCTCCAAATTTTATTTCTCAGGCCTGAGATGCCTCCTCATGCCATTTTCATGCAAGGATTCAGATTGCTTTTCTGTAATTCTCAGAGCTGTCGCCTCCCCATTTTTCATCAAGAGGATTCTTTTCTCTCAATACTGAAACCCAGAATGCTCAGTTCCCCCTTTCCTTGTTGTCCCTGAAAATAAATCCCCAGGTCATTTTCACTGTTGCTGAAGTAAACCCTAAGGAGGAGAGAGGCAGGCAGAGTCCCCAGCAGGTATGACAGTTCTTAGCTTCCTTTCTTAGGTGATACCCACAAGCCTAAGTGGCCTCCAATATTCTCCTATTATTAAAAATGTGAAGTTGCTTTTGACCCTCATGCATCTCGATACTATGTTAATCTCTGTTTTCAAAGAAAACCCATTTTACAAGGTACTATTGCATCTTGAAGACATAGTGAGGGAAAAATTAATTCCTGTCAACTGAAGTGCACATTTCTAAGCCTCTTCAGAAAGGGAGATATTAATCTTGAAGGGCTCTCTGCCCAAGATAGGTCACTTCTATGCACTATTTTCCAATGAACTACCTCAACTACTTGGTCCCTTTTTTTTTTTTATTTTTTTTGAGACAGAGTCTCGCTCTGTCACCTAGGCTGGAGTGCAGTGATGCGATCTCGGCTCACTGCAAGCTCCGCCTCCCAGGTTCACACCATTCTGCTGCCTCAGCCTCCCAAGTACCTGGGACTACAGGCGCCTGCCACCATGCCCGGCTAATTTTTTTTTTGTATTTTTAGTAGAGGCAGGGTTTCACATGTTAGCCAGGATGCTTTCGATCTCCTGACCTCGTGATCCGCCCGCCTCGGCCTCCCAAAGTGCTGGGATTACAGGCGTGAGCCACTGCGCCCGGCTTTGGTCACTTTTTTTTTTTTTTTTTGAATAGATTTACCACTACCATTTTGTTCTTCCTCCTGAAATATTAGATTTCTATTGATTGAAGATATCTGTGTCCCCCACCACAAATAGCAGCAACATCCCCCAAAGAAGAGTTAGGACAATGTGCAGAGAACTAAATGAATGGTCTGGCTTCGCTGGTACTGCAATTTTCCCGTTGTGAACCCAAGAGCCGGCAATGAGCAATGACTGTGCGTTATGTGGTTCTGCACTCTAAGACCGCAGTCAAACAAACCTCATATATTGACATATCACCTCCCCTGGCTAGCAGTCTACACTGCTTTTAAAAATTTGCTCATACGTTTTTACAATTTTCTTGCCAGAAAATATTATTAGCTCCACTTAATATTGAGGGATAGTAAAGCAATAAAAAATTTGCTCGGCCAGGGCCTTCAGAAACAGAATGAAGATTACCACTCTGACAGATTCCAAAGGCAGTGAACAAAGTTGAATTTAGTAAGAAGCTGCATAGAATAACACTTAAGAGCCAGAGTGGCTTGCCTTAGTGCGTACTCTCTGGGCAATGTTGAGAAAGTGACCCAATCTCACTGTGGCTCAGGTTCCTTATGTGCAAAATGTGGTCAATCATAGATCTGTTGTAAAGATTAAGTAAGTTCATGAATGGAAAGTGCTTAGGTCTGGCACATGGTAAACGTTAACCGTTATTATTGTTAGTAATCCATAAATGTTATTATGGAGATTAGGGAGTCTCCCTGACTGTTAAATTTGAATTCTGAAGTCAAGTCACGTCTAACTCAATCCGTGAAGTCAATTCTGTATTGCCTATGCAAACTGAGCCATATATGTTAACCATTATTATTGTTGTTGTTATTATTATTGTTTTGCAACATCAGGGTATTCTTATTCAAAAGCTTTCCAGATCAGAAAGATTTAGGCAAAATCAGAAAGACTAGAGATTCAGATCTTTCAAAATCCAGCTAACATTTTTTAAAGCACAGCTGAAGCACCTCTTACCTGGTTTTGCTGTCTCCAGACTTGTCCTCTCCCACCAATTCTCTTTGCCTTGGGGAGATCTATCTTTTGAAAACATAAACCTAATCCAGTCACTCCCAGGTTTAAGACCCTTCAATGGCTTGGCACTGACCTCAGGATAGAAATTTGATTACCCCACTGATTCTCAAGCCTTTTACAGTTAGGTCCCCTCTTGGCTTTTCTAGCCTCTCTCCACCCTGATTCAGTGCTCTGCGCATGCTGAATGCCCTTCAGCTTCTCTAACATGCCACACTCTCTCTCGTCTACAGGCTTCCATATGTGCTATTCTCTCTGGCTGAAAACATCATCTCTATCTCCATCCTTATTCATACCTCTTCTTAGTAAAACTGTATGGCTTCTCTAAGAGGTCCTGGCTAACCATTAAGATAAGGTTAGCACACCCTGTTCCTCTCAAAGCACTATATCTCCCTGTCATAATTAATCAAGTTATTGCTTGTCTACTTTCTCTGCTAAACTATAAATCCCTTGTTTACCACCACTATATTCCTAGTAGCTGGTACAATAACTTGCACATGGAGAACACCAGGAACTCCTCATTGAAAGGGAATAGCAAGCTCAAGCTCAGTTTGTATAGGCAATACACAACTGACTTCACAAATTGAGTTAGACTTGGGTTGACTTCAGAGTTCAAATTTAACGGTGTCCTCTCTCCCTAATCTCCTGGATCCTCTTCCCAGGAATTCCTAAGAAACTTCACTAGCCTTTTGTGGTAGCCTCTTCCGATATTTAAACTGTTTTTGTTATAGAAAGATAAATATAAAATGATTTATTAAAAGTTGATTAATTATTTGATTTAGAAGTTAAGAGAGAAGATGAGTAGTGGTTCTTTGCTGTTTTGGCACAGAACACTGAAAGCCTGATAAAATGTATCAATCATCCCTTCCCTATTCCTCTCAAAATAAAAATAGGCAATATGCAATAACATTTTATATTTAATTTTATATTAAGTTTCCAGGGGTTGATTTTACCCAGGTTAAGAAATCTTGTGCAAGCAACTTTAAGTAACAAATCAAGGACAGAATTTTCTATGTAGTCTGACTGTGAAAGGGAAATTTCTGACATGGGTTTGGAAATATAGATTATAGCAGCTGACTGTGAAAGGGAGATTTCTGTCATGAGTTTGGAAATATAGATTATAGCAGGTATTTGAATAGAGTTGTTTCATTCAACTTCGTTTTGTTATAACATAGACAAGGGAAAAAATTGATTCCCCACAGAGGCCACTGTTTGTGTGGAGTTTGTATGTTCTCTCCACGTCTATGTGAGTTTTCTCCAGATACTCAGATTTTCTCTTACCCCTCCAAAGATGTGCACCTTATGTTTACTGGCCTGTCTGAATGGTTCCAGGCTGAGTGACTGTGGGTGTGAGTGTGCATGCACCCTGTGATGGGACAGCATACTGTCCAAGGCTGGTGCCTACTTGGTGCCTGAACTGCCAGAATAGGCTCTGGCCACCTGCAACCCTGAACTGGAGTAAGTGGGTAAATAATTGTCTTATTTGTTTTTATTAGTGTTTCTTAAATGTATATATAGCTCACACTTATTTCAATATTTAGTATTAGAAATGTTTTGGGTCTTTATTTAGAGGTTTTATGATGCTTTTATGACTAGAAATATGCTATGGGAACTTAACTCTTATTTACATCAATTAGCCTATGGTAAAATTGGTTTTGTTATATATTGTTTCACTTAAAGTCTCAGTTTCCAAGAACCTATCAATGATGTAAAGTGAAGACTTACTGTACTTTCTTCACTCTAGTGAATAGTTTCAATCAAATACAACAAGGATAATAATTTTTCGTACATTCAACAAAATTAATTAAAAAAACACACCCTTATTTTTTCATTGGAATATGTTTCTCTGACTATGCTCTATTTTAAAGACACAATCCCTATGAATTTTTATGAGCCAACCAGGACATAGACACAATTAGCTCTACGCACAATAAAGAGATTTTGAAATGTAAAATATAAAGGGCAAAAATTTGGGGCTAGGAATTCAGCATACAAGTTGAAATGAAAAGAAACAATTAGATTAAATAGTAAAACAAAAACTCAATGACTGGAAACCTCTTACAGTCCATTCTAATTTAAACAAGTCTGGTACAGACATAATGATTTGTCAAGCTCAAGCTTGGAAAAGGATCACAGCAAGAGAGCAACAAGAGGCAGAGAGAGAGAGAAGCCAGTGGAAGAGACTCAGAGACACTAGACACAATTCTATTATTTCCACTTGTATTTTAAAAATAAAGGTCAAATTGTAATTGTCCCTATTTGATTCTTGATGAATCCACAGAAGGGACCCTGATCAATCATTTTTCAATTACAGTAATTTTCCCTTCTCCAATGTTTCACTTTTCGTAGTTTCAGTTACTTGCAGTCAACTGTGGTCCAAAAATATTAAATGGAAAATCCTAGAAATAAACAATTCATAAATTTTAAATTGCTCACTGTTCTAAATAGTGTGGAGAAGCCTTTTGCAGTTGCACCCAGGATGCAAACCATCCCTTTGTCCAAGGTAACCACACTGTATACAATACCTGCCCATTAGTCATTTAGTAGCCCTCTTGGTTATCAGATAGGAAAAAACATAGTATACATAGGGTTCTGTTCTATCTGGAGTTTTAAGCATCCACTGTGGGTCTTGGAACTTATCCCTGGCAGATAAATGTACTGTAATGGGATTTTACTGCCCCATCTATATTATTTCCTTAGGTGGCTGGCCTTCGGCCAAAGTAGCACAGGTGACCTCCCTGCGATCAGCACATTACCCAGGCATCTCTGGCTTTTTGGAACCATTTTTTAAAGGTTAATTTCCCATTAATAATTTTTGACAGTTTAATTTTTGTAAAAAATGATGACTTAAATGTGTTAAAGTGCATTTTATCAACAATTAACTATTGCAAAGATCCTGAGTTAAAGACAAGCATAGAGATAGAAATGTTAAAGAACAAGAGTGCTTCTTATGCTCCTCAATCATAGTAAATATGAGCCATTGCCTTCATTTTGGCAAAACATCAGCCTCCATGAGATATTTGGAAAATAGTTTTCTATCCATCAGTATGTCTGCATCCCATAAAAATAAAGTAATATTCATTCATTTATGCATAATACATGGCACATGATATCACTGCAGATTAATAAATGCTTGTTGAATAAATAAATGAATAATTAGGGAACAAATGACTAATTTTTTGGAAGCTGCAAACTCAACTAGAATAATGGTTGTCAAGTCTGACAAACTGAATTTTCACTTGGAAACTATTCACAATTCAAACAAAATAAAAACTCTTTGTGCCACTCTGAAGTCAAAATTTATTTTAATCTGACAGCAATGAGGATGGTGGAAGATTGAGGAAAAGTTAGTTATGTAAATGATAAAACCCTATGGCCCACCACAGGTAGATTTCTAATTATTCTAAACTACCATTTTTAATCTAAAGTTGACTAAAAATAAGTTCCCAGGAGAACCTTAAAATAAAATTAAACTATTAAACCCATTAGTGAATGAGACAAGAACAATAACGTTCAGCTGATTCTCATGCCCAGTTTTCTTCTTCTTATATTTTAACTGCTAAAAGCTTTTGCTATTTAGTCTATTTTTCCCAGTGAGAAACCTTTTAAGAGATCAGAAAATATAATATTCGGTGTAGCAGGAGCTTCTTTTTAAGCAATGTTGGAGCGTCTTTTTAAGTAATGAAAACTTTTTTTAACATATAAACGAAGATCCAATAATTATATCAGGAAAAAGAAACTCCTCATTTGAACGTATTTTGTGTCTGTTAAAATATGAAAATAATCCACATTTACATCCAAAATTATATTTCACGGCCTTTAAGTCACAGGAGTAGAGAACTATTTTAATATAGCAATAGCATTCAAAAGTGCTTGAGTTTAACTGAGAGTCTAAAGTCAAATTTATCATTTATCCTCCTCCCAAACAAAAGGAATCAGTTCTCCTTCTGTGTTTGATAAGATCTGTTAATGGCATTACTCTTTCTATGATCAATCAGGCAGGGTCTAGACTCTAAAAGTCACCAGCAATGTGCTTTTGCACGCCTTTCTTACATCAAATCAAAATATCCTTTTTCTGTATCAGTCAAGTAACCAAGCACTTATTGAATGTATTACAGCAATTGCTGGAAGTAGTAGAGAACAATGGTCCTTGCTTCACAGGAATTTACAATTGTATTTGGAGACAAGATTAACATGCTAATGAAACAATTAGCAAACATAACAGAAGATATTATGTAATTAAATGGTACCTCTTGAAGGTGCAAACTATAATTACAGAAATTTGGAGAAAGCAAATGATCCAAAAGAAAAGGAAAGGTTAGTGAATACATCTTAATAATAATAATTATTATTATTATTTTGTGGCGAGTATTTTTATATTAGTCCTAAATTCCGCAAAATGGGTTCTTATGTTGGCTCCCTTTTAAAGCCAATGAAATTGTGGTCCAATGAAAGGAAATGACCACCCAAACTCCTCATAGACAGATAGTGGAGGGACATAAGCCCAAGCCTGGCAAGTCTGAGTTCTTTCTGCATAGCAATACTGCTTTTTATGGCATTGAGTGGCCTCTAATGCCTGGAAAACTTTACTATGCTAAGAAGAGCAAGGCTAGTCAGGCATAGCATGAGATTTGAGGAAGCAGGAATTTATCTCTTATCATCTCAAATGTTTATTGAGCTTGCAATATGTGCTAAACACTATGCTGAGAATCAATGAAAAGCAAGATAGTTATGGCCTCTGCCTTCGTGGAATTTAGGCTAGCAGTAAATCCCAGTCAAATAAACACCCTAATAAATATAAAATTGTAAATAATATAGGGGCTGTAAAGAGCAGTCCATGTTACAATGAGAATGCAGAATAGAAATTTTAAACTAATAAAGAAAGTCGATGCGGGCTCTTTTTTAAAAAAAAAAAAAAGAAAGTCAGGGAAAGCTTTCATGAGACATATAGATGTGTATATGATTACATAAACATGGAAAAAATACACAAGACCAATTTAGGTGATAAAGATTGGTTATGGGGGATAGTATAAGGATAGAGGGTAGAAAAGGAAAAGAAATCTAAAAGCAAGAGTTTTCCATGATTAAAATAGAATGCATACATAAAAGCTATGGTAACCAAATGCTATTGGTGATTATCTCAAGATTGTGAGGTTTCAGATATTTTATGCTCTTTCTTCTAATTTTCTATATTTTCAACTCTTTTTACAATAATTATGTACTGTTTATATTATTTGGTTTGTGAGTGTCTTAGTCCTTTTGGGCTTCTCTAACAAATACTTCAGACTGGGTAATTTATAAGCAACAGAAATTTATTGCTCACAGTTCTGGAGGCTAAGTCGAAGATTAAGACACCAACAGATTTGGTGTTTAATGAGGGCTTGTTACTCATCGATGGCACTTTCTATGTATCCTTACATAAGTGGAAGGGACACACAAGCTCCTTCAGGGCTCTTTTATAAAAGGGCACTCATCCCATTCATGAGGGTGGAATCCTTATGACCTAGTCATTTGCCAAAGGCCCTCTCTTTTAATACTATCACTGTGGATATTAAGTTTCAACATATAAATTTCCAAGAAACACATACATTCAGACCATAGCAGTGGGGGAAATATTTTCCTTAAAAAATTGCTCTTGAAAAAACCTGCACTTCAAAAGTAAGCAGTGACTTTTTGGTTATTTGTAATCTACATTTATTTCTAAAATTCTGAAATCTTTTTTTTTTTTTTTTTTTTTTTTGAGACACAGTTTCACTCTGTCTCTTAGGCTGGAGTACAGTGGTGCACAGTCTCAGCTCACTGCAACCGCCACCTGCTGGGTTCAATCAATTCTCATACCTTAGCCTCCCAAGTAGCTGGGATTACAGGCATGCGCCACCATGCCTAGCTAATTTTTGTATTTTTAATAGAGGTGGGGTTTCACCATGTTGGCCAGGCTGGTCTCGAACTCTTGATCTCAAGTGATCCACCTGCCTCAGCCTTCCAAAGTACTGGGATTACAGGCGTGAGCCACCACGCCTGGCTGAGAATTCTGAAATCTTAAGAATTCATGGAGAACAACTGTAACTGTTTTCTTAAACTGACCATTCTTGAGAAAAATGTACAGAATTGGTTGGGGCATTGGAAATGGAGGAAAAATACTGTCCACGAAGTGAGCACCATGTATTTTAGAGAGATTGGGGTTACAATTTTACTGCATTGATTTCATCCATCTGGTGGATATTGATGACTTAAGAAAAAAACTGCATTTATGTGAATAAATCATTCATCTAGCTTCCTCAGTAGACAATTTTTATTTTGAGCAGTAATTGATTTTACTTCACTAATGGCAACTCTTTCATGGCTGGCGGAAAGAAAGAGTTCAATTAAGTTTAAAAAAGAATTTAAACACATGTATGCTAGATGTAGCAAACCACCGTGGCACATGTATACCTACGTAACAAACCTGCACATTCTGCACATGTATCCCAGAACTTAAAGTAAAATTAAAAAAAAAGAATTTAAGCTTTTTTTTGGGAGGAATAGATGAAAACCAGAAAAATAATTCTCTAGATAAGAAAATATAAAAAAGATATGAAAAAGTTTGAAAAGGCCCTTAATACAAACGATTAAAGGAAACAGTAAAACTCTGTGAGTACTCTGAAGAGCAATAGAGAAAATATGGCAAATGCAAAGTGATGGGATGGAGGATGGCAGGAACTAAGTCTAAAAGTAGATGATGATTTCTAAGTATAAAGGTAGGATAGAAGGAGGGAAAATGTGCAAAGAGTGGAAACAATGTCCACAGAAAAGAAGAATAACATTTCTACATTGTAGCAACTCCCACACTGTAAAAACCCTACATAATAGATATAAAAAGAGAAGAGAAAAAGGCAGCAATTAAAGCAATTACCTCTATAGTATACATCAAATATATTCTACTGTTAGAGAGAATTAACCATCTTTTTATCAAGGATAAATTACTGAAAGCGATTTTTAAAAATTGCCTTGGAATATTTTGATTTCTGATACATGAAATATAAAGCAAAAAACATGAAATTTTATTGAGATGATATGGCAATGGAAAGAGCTTGGGTTTGGTTTTCAGGCAGACCTGAGAAAACCCCAGACCCTTAATCATAATATTGATGTAACTTTGGGCAAGTTATTTAACTTTTTGTATCAGATTGCTTAACTGTAGGCTATGAATGACAATACATTCTTATTTTGTTTGTTTGGTTTTTTTAAAGATTAAATAAGATGATACAAGTTAATTGCCTGGTACATAATCACTTCATAAATGCATTTTCCTATTCAATTAGAAATTAAGCATTTCCTTTAGAAATTAAATATTTTTAGAAATTATATAGAAACTGCCTTGACACAAAATTTGACTTGACTACCATTTTTGTCGGAGAAAATTAGAACCAGTTTTTCTTTTTCCAAAAAATTATAACTAAGAATAAACCATTTCCATGTCATTTGAAAAAATCCCTTTAACATTCTCTCCTTTATAAATTCTCCAAACTTTGCTAATCTTTTAATTATGAGGCAGAATTTGGCTTGTTGATTCTGCACTCTTCCTCCAGGGAAGAATGCAGTGCCCCAATCCACACTGCAGGTTGTGGAGTGGCCTGATTTAGAAGGAGATGGTAGTGATGCCAGTGAAATGCCTTCCTAGGAAAGAAGAGTTTTTAAAACCACTTTGGGTTTTTTCTCTCTCCATATCTTTGTGAGCTTATCAAAGATTCTCAAAGCAAGTAAATGGGTTTCAGTTAAAGCAAGTAAATGGGTTTCAGTAATTGTTGAAGTGAAAAGCAGACCTAAAAATCAGTGAATGATAAGGAAATCCGATGGCTACAGGTTAGTTCTAATATCCAAATGGAATCAATAATCGTAGGCCCAGTAATGGTTTAGAGTGAGTCCTGGTAAAAGTGTAAGACTTCAATTTTCAGCCTCTAAAAATGTGGTAAAAAGCACACCTGTATAGGATATAATCAAATAGTGTTTCTTAGCTTTGTACATAATTCTTCATAATTTTTAAATTCTCAAGAAATAAGTGTAGCACAGTATGTGAGAATTTCCCAGAACATCTATACTAAGGGGGTGATTACAGAGAAAGGCTAAGGAGAAGAAAACCAGATGTTACAAAATCTAAGTTTTGGAAGTTGCTGAAAATACAAAGAGCTGTCAAGACCATTAGGAGAAAAGAAGGGCATCAGAGGCATGGCTGTACTAGGAAGAGAATGGGAAAGCAGGACTCCTGGGAATGGAAACAATCAGATGGTCAGGAAGGGCGAGGGTGTCAGGGGATAGAACCCTGGGCAGCTCAGTGGGACCAGGAAGTCTGACAACAGAATTCTCCCTGACTTCAGTGTTTCCCATTATAGATAGCTGCAGATTTTCCTGATTGATCCCACAATTAGTAAGAACTCTCTGGAGTTTAAACTTCATGCCCCTTGCCCTCTTGGGGAAGGAGATTATCTTCCTCTAAAATATGAGAGGGTAAAGAGAAGTCCTTGAGGCTGAATAAGCAGTTATTTGATCTGCGGGGGACTCAAGTTTTGCCTGCCTGGCATCTATTCACCTTTATTCTGAAACAGCATCCTGGTTCTATTTTGCATTATGTTTTCTTGAAAATGCTGATTTGTCCAGGGATATGCATGAGATCTAAGCCAGGCTATCATAATTCAAAACCAGGAATTGCTGAGAGTTATTGGGAAATAAAAGCAGTTTCTCTGAGTATTTGCTAAGCCAGTGGCAATATGAACCTTGAGCTTCTAGTAACCATCTTGGCCTCTCAGCGAGAGGGCCCTCCCAAGAGAACAGCTAACACCATCAAAAGAAGAGGTGAGAGATGATGGGAGACAGATTTTTCAGCAACACCATTTGAGTAGCTACCTCCAGCACACATGAAATCTATCTCTGGTCCTATAAGACATGTGAGCCAGACAATTATTTCCTTAAGTCAGCTTAATTTGTTTCTGTCACTCACATCCAATAATTCTTGCCTACTACAAAATCATTTGCCCTGCTGTGACTTCTCTCAAGTAGGGCCTAAGAGGAGTTGAGAAAAATCTGTCAAAAGTATGTTATTCTCTCCACAGCTTTGTGGTTCCTCTGACTCCATCCCTCATCTGGCATGCAAAGTATTCTGAAAATCATGCCTCTCTCTCAAAAAAAGCATACATCTGCTGGCCTGTATCTGCTTATGCCAAGAAAGCTACTTAAAGCCTGGACAAAGATCAGCCCACTGCCTAGTTTCCACAGCCAAGCCTCGGTTCATGGATAGAAAGAAGTTCTAACTGGACTCTGTGTTCTCTGCTAGTTTACTGATGGCCAGTTCAGGGCTTGTCTGAATACCTGGAGCACAGTTCTGCCATGGCTCCTTGGCCAAATTTGTATTGCTGAAACCCAAGCCTGGCAAGCCCGGTTTGTTCATTGCATGTTAGTCTGATGTACTCTGGACTTTGATCTTTACTTTGTTCTCTTGATATATAGCCACACCATCTCTCTCTCTTTTCTTGTTCCTTCCTGTGTATCTCTCAGTCATACCACACTTGCTTAGCTGAGTACCTGGGACTGTGGCCTGCTCTATTCTCCAGGAACTTAAGTCTTGGTACTGCTTTCCAAGACTTCAGCTTAGTTGAAGATGGTATAAGCTATGTTAAGCAGGAGATCTCTCTTGTCCACTATTGGAATTGCAATAAGCTTTGTAGTTGCAATGTCATGCAGATTGTGCTCCATGCTCTTTGGACCAACTTACTGCCTATTCCATGAGCACTGACCCTTCCTTCTTTTTCTACTGCCCACAGCGTATGTCCACTTAAGCAGTGTAAAAGATAACTCAAGAAAGAAAGGGGCTTCATCACCTAACTCATCAAGCTTTAGAATGTATCTGCCTGCACAAATACAAGGTGAAGCACTTTTTCTGTTTCCAAAGGAGCAAAATTCTGCCATCTGAAACAAAACCTTTGAAATCATTACTTTCCAATTATTATGGGACTTTATCTCATTGGCACATGAAAACTGTCTTCAAATATTAGAAAGACTTGTCATAAAATATTCATATTCTGAACGGCCCTACAGAGCAGAACCAAGTAGAAGTTAAGAGAGACAGATTTCAGTTTGGTTTAAAAAAGAGCTTTTTAAACTTTCAGAGCTAGCTCAAGATGGACTATGCTCTTTTAGTAGGTGGTGATATTTTTGTCACTCTGGTGTGCTTCAGTGATTTAACAAGTACTGGGTTGAAATCCCAGTGCTCAGCACCCAAAAAATTGTTTTAGCTTGGAATAAAGAACACTTGATCAGAAGATATCAGTCATCTATCTCTAGCCACAGACTCCCATCTGAGGGCCCTGGGATGCTTTTCTGTATGTTCACTCTCTGACACAGAAGTGAAACGTCCATCTGGTCTACCATTTGATGTACCCTAACAATCTGGAACTCCAAAGTGCAGTGTGCTGGGAAAATTGGTTTTGGTCTCCAGGGGATCTCTCCCCTTTCTCTACTATAATTAACATCACAAGGATTTATGCTAAATTCATCATAGTTTCCTATAGCTAACTGCAAAATGTAGACAGACTAACTTTCTGATGAATAAGAACACTTTTGAGGAACCATGGAAGTTTCCTCTTAATGATCTTTCCTGTATTTATTCTTGCTCTTTAACTGGTGTGATGGTTCCAATTTGTAAGCTACCAAGCTATAGATTTAGTTTTTGCTAGGTTAGTTTCTTTTACAAACAAATTTTAAGGGCTCTAAGTATCTTTTCTGAAGAGTAACTTTATAAAAGTTGAGAAAAACGTGAGTTTAAAACATCTTTAATGAGTCTGGAAAGGGTGCAATAAGGCTCACTACAATGATTGAGAGATTAACAATTTTTTAAAAGAAAATGGAAGATTAAGCATATTTGGCCCAGAAATAATACAGTTAAAATGAGGCTTGACAAAAATCTGGGAAATTATGAAAGTTTTATAAGGTGGACATGATATCCTTCAGGTTACTTCAGAATATTAAATTGTATGCACTTCTCTTAAAGCTTGAGAAAAATCAAAGTTTTCAGCAATACTTTGCCCTGATGACAAAAACATATTTGACTTTCTTCTCCTTTGCCATGCAAAATATCCCAAGTACCATCAACAGAAAGAAGCTGGTCTTTTGTTCTACACTCAATCAATTACTATATGCAAGAAAAACTCAGGAAAACTTTCCAAATGTCTGAACATAATGAAAAATATCTATCAATTTAATAATTTAAAAGGTGATGGAAAGCTGGGTTTCCCATGCCTTCAAATTTCTCTTACTTTTACTCAGGGTTCTTTTCACTTCTAAAGTTGCTGCTCTGAATGAAATCTTCAGGATATATAGATTAGGAATTCTGGCAAACAGTCACTATACAAGGATTCTAATACAGCAACAAACAAGTAGGATGATTCATGGAATTCTCATTAGAGTGAGATTATACTGAGCACTGAGCTTAAGCTTGTGCCTGGGCAGGCTTGAAAGGTGATTACAACTGCTAGACACTTTCCTTAGCATATAAGGACATGTGGTTGATACAGGTAGTTTGGTTTTGAAATGCACTAAAAACATTCTCTATGATTAAGACCTGAAATATCTCCAACCTTGGTAATATTCATATACAAAAATCTTTGCAGAAATCTTTGCATAGTTATTTTGAGGTTAAATGTATTTGGGGTTTGTTTTTCTGGGATTTATTTGCATTCCTGAGAGAAAACCTGACTGAAAAGATCCAAGTAATTCCAGGGCATACAAAAGAAAAAAAAAAAAACTGCAGTGAACTACTCTTAAGGAAATTTCTCAAATGAACATATTGATTTCTTAAAATGAAAGATTAAAGAAATAAGTGACTAAAACAAAAGAGAAAAACCAGTAGAGTTAGATTTGGGAATTATGACTGCTATCTAAATTTGTGTGAAGAGGGCAATATATTTTTGTTTTCTTAAGACTTTTTTTTAAATAATTACACTACTCTATATTTATCATTTGTTCATTTAAAAGCAACTTATAAAACATGACCTTTTAAAGTCCATAAGTTTACATGATGCTTTTTTAATGTAATTTTATGAGGAATAATGTACTTAATTTTGACATTTAAAATAATTATACTGCACTATAGACACAAGCTCTAATTATGCTTCTGAACAATATTTGCTTTTCATAATCAAGCATAATATTTTAAGAGTATTTTCATGAGATAAAAGGAAAAAAATTAAGTAGCCAGATATGTTCTTATTATTTTCCTTCTTTCTTTCCAAATATTCTCAAAGTGGATAAGTCACTCCTCAAGCATGGCAAATATAATATTTGTAGCAAAAAGACTTGAATTTTTAGAGATGGCAGGACTGTGATTGGGTAACACTGTCTTAGAACATTCTTTCACAAGGAACAGAATCTTAAACAAGTTCAAGAAAATGCAGTGTATTAGGGAGATACCAATTTAATGGACTCCAAAGTGAAGTCACAACTCCAGACATAAGGAAAGGCAGGAGCTGGGTAGCCACAGGGGCCTCAGCAGCAAATGTTCATAGACTCTGACTCTCACAGCCTACCACAAACAGTGTGAGACAGTGAGTCTGACTGTTTTGGTCCAGGTTATGTATGACTGACTCCTTCAGGCCAGGCTGTACTCTTGATTAAATTAGAGTGGTCAGGGATATGAACAGAGGCAGGATTTGGAGGAAAACTTATCTTCTTAGAAGGTGAGTGGAAGGAGAAAATAATTGGCATATATAGTGCATTTGTTAAAATAATTAAAACTTGGATCATGCAAAGATAAAAGTTATCAGTTGCTTCAAATATAGCTCCAAAATTTCTGTGCCAACATTTGAATTAATCTCAGTAAAAGATCAAAGACTGACACTGATATCCCTTCTTAAGAAAAAAAGGAATTTCATGAATATAATTCAGAAGTCTCTACCTAATATACACTTTAGCTCCAAATTAAAGTTGAACATCATTATGATCAGAAAACACCTGTTACTAATGCATATGAGAGAAACTGGTAGTAATAATTATTCCTTTAGACTTACTGTATAAATCATTACATATACTTCTTTAACATTTAGTAGTCTTAAAGCTATGCCAAGTAATCCAAATTAATAATTATATAAATAAAATAGCAAAACAGGCTAACAAGATCTATTGAAAACTTTATTTTTCATTAGTATGAATAAATATTAATATTAATATAAATTAAATGTAACATATTAAAAATCTTCATAACACCCAATTCTGGAACTATTATGGCTTTCAATAAATATTCCAAACCCAAATGTTGTTTAAACTTCAATACTAATTGTAACGAGGAAGAAATAATCAGCATACATAACAAAGCATTAGCATCTCAACGTCCAACACCTAAGCCGCAAGGGGAGCCTCTGCTCTTTTATTCTTTAAAGCATCATATCCCAGTAAAGTGCAACATGGCTTTCTTTCTTTCACGAATAAACATTCTTCCCCAGTAGCGATTTAAGGAGTCAACTATTACCCCTTTAAGCCTGTCCTTAAGTAGATCCACAATTACCTATAAAGACGTTGCAGCCTGGCTCAATTTCCTTAATAGTTTTCCCTGGCCTTCAGGATAAAGTTGAAGCACTTTTGCAAACACAGAATGCAAATTCCATCTTGTCTGGTCCTTTCTTTCCTCTCCAGATTCATCTTTCACTCTCAGCCTTCCAGCTGATACTTTAGTAGTAAGAAACTACTTGTTGCTGCTCTTCACCTTCTTCTTCCAGGACTTTTCTCATGCTTCTCCCTCTGATTAGAATATTCTTCTCCCCACCCCTTTCTTTACCTAAGGAATTTGTAATCTCTCATAATGACTCAGATCCTGTAAATATTCCCCGAGCCTAAAAAATTGGGCTAAAATTTCTTCCCTTTTGGGACTTATGGTCCAAAAGTGTCCTGTACATAGCTCAATTACAGCATTTATGAATTATATTGATACGATCAGCTGATTGGTCTATTTCTCCATAAAACCATAAGCTGGTTCCATGTTGTACCACCAATACCTACTATGGACTTGATATGCTAGAGTTATTGTTGAGTATAGTTACCCATGAATACTGTTTCTGTCAACAAAATACTTAAGCTGTTTGATGAAGAATTTGAAACCCCAATGAAGTCAAGAAACTTCTAAATTGGTTGTTTAAAAAATATTCAACAGCTTGAGTAAAGTGAATTTAATCTTTTAATTTTTCTTAATAGTTAGCTTCAAAAAAATGTCTGTTTATAGATGTAGCCCAAGAGCATTTTCTTGGCATCTTGGCTCACTGCCTGGAGCCATCTCAACACTTTGCCTAAGGAAATATAATGATTTTTCAAGCAATGGACACACTGATAGGTCTGAAGACATGGTTGAAATGGTGGTTTTTCATATAAGCGTTTTGTAACTGTGACTGTCACAAATAATCTGATTTGGTTCAATTGCCCAAAACAAGCAGCATATTTCTATTGCTCTATACCCTAAAGTCCTCATTATTTTATATTTTTAAGCATAGTGAGAATATAAATAGAAACTTCAGAAATGTTATGCTAATACAAAAGAGAGATCTATATAGGCAAAATAAGTAAAAGAATGGATCACCATATACATTGGCTCTCCAGAGATAATTATGTCCTCAGGTAACAGTGATTTGGAATTCAGCACACCTGAATTGTCCAGATAACTGCTACAATTCTTCCTTTTCACTGTGTTAATGTAAGAATGGCCTAAGAATAATTTTTAAACAAAGCAAATTGAGATTAAGCCTAAATAACAAGGTAAAATTCTACTTTTTAAATTAATGGCAGAACTATATTTATTTATAATTTATACTTTGTTTTACATTCTGCAAAGTGGGAACAATCTAAAAACACTTCAGGGGAGCTTTCTACAAAAGATCATTATTTTCTGATTCAAAGTCAATTTTTCAGAGCAATTTTAATTACTAAAGAGGTATCTCAGAATTAAGCATAGGCAAACTTGGCAAAATATACCCTCTATATTGTTCTTCCCTTTCTTCTTCCTGGACATGAATGCATTCACGCTCTCTGTGCCTCACTTGTGGAATCCAGTGATAAAAAAGTTTCTTACTTAGTATTATGTGTATCAATGGTATGGAAAAGCTCGTGTAATTCTTCTCCACTGAGAACACCATCTGCAAAATATGCTTTGAATTCTTCAAAGGATAATTTTCCATCATCTGAAATGGCAAGAACAAAGAGACACAAATTATTTTAATTTTGTACATTGTTCTGTTTTTGCTTTATAAAACTTCACCCAAACGCTTGTTCATGTACACACGTGTACTCAAAAAGAAAGAACAGCTGAAGGTGTTAAAAAGAAAAATAATTTAATATATCTTTATATAACATAGAACACAGATGTGTACACTCTAATAAAATATAAGTCTACAAGGTTCTAGGTATTTTTTGGTTCATTTATTCACATGACAAACATTTAACATTTAATGAACCATTTAACAGGCCATACAAGAAAGATGTCCACATAACCAAATAAAGAGCTCAACACAGAGTCAATTATTTAGATGTTTTACCTTCATGGTACCAAACACATATAGGACCTAGCAGATTGCAGGATAAATATGATGTGTTTAATAAATGTATATCAGAGTTGTTATTATAGTCTAACAAACTATGTCCATTCCTATGCCCTTTAAATCAGTGAGTACCTTTAAAGCCAAAGACATTTTACTTACTGTAGGGCACAAAGGTGAAACCCAATCAGAGAGATAACATATAATAAAAGAGATCATAAAAGAGATAATATATACAGACATTATAAGTATTTTATACAGTAAAATACGGTTAATGCAATAAGAGACAGAGGTATTTTAACTGTATGGGAGTTTTGGGTAACAAAAGATTCTTTCCATTTGAGGGCCTGAGGGGTTTTAGTAGCATTCACCCCTGACTTTGGACAACAGGTAAAATCTAGATCAGCAGAGATGGAAGAAACACATTAATAACAGGCAAAAGATTTGTACAAAATGCAGCAGCAGCAAACCTAGAGAAACGAATGGATGAGAAAAGAGAGGGAAGCATCTTTCTCTCTGTGCAGGGAGCTAGTTTTTCAGTTATCTCAGATAAGCTGCCAAATAACTGTAAAAGATAGTAAGATCCCTTCCATCTACAATGAGAAAACTGAGGTTTAAGGAGGATGGAATTTGTCCAGGGTCACGAAACTCCTATAATGTACTTCTACCAACAACTCTATACTGAACAAAGTGGAATTTGTCTTTGAGTAGAAGAATGTTTGATTTAATAGAAAGAGCTCCTCTAGATTCATCTAGAACATTTTGTTTCCCCAAAATATGGCCCACACATTGCCTGGAGCACTGCTGAAATGCAGATTCCTAGGCCCCACAAGCGAATTAGAATCTCACAGAGGGCATGGAGGGGTGGGTAGACAAGAAATTTGAATTTTTATTATAAAGGATAAAATAAGCCTAATCATAGAATTACTTATTTTTTTCAGATAAGGACTTACAGACTACAACATTTTAAAAAATCCTTATTTGCAAAAAATATAAGTATAAATAGTCCTGGAAGGTTTTAAATTGTATTTCATTTTGCTTTTTAACACAAAAGGCACAATAATCTAATTTTCCAGTTAATTTTTGCTAACGTTTAACTGGGCAGACACAGCCTTAGAGGTAGAATAAATCCAGATCTGAATCAAGCACAGATCTAGGGACCCGATCTTCTGGGTCCTCCTGGGCCAAGCCAGCTTAGCGATTCAGGTGACATAACAACCCATTGCAAAATGAAGTTCAATCCCCAGGCTCATCAATTTCCTAATTTTGTGTTTCTGTTTTTGAATGAGGTAGTTTTATGCCTCATATGACTATTTTAAACTTAGCCCCATGTAACCTGATGGATATGCTAGACAAGACATAGTGTGGTATTTCTACTGTGTATCTCCTTGCTTTGATGAAAAATGTATTGCCAGGTTGAAAAACTGGACACAAATCAGACTGAGGTTAAAGAGCGAAAAAGAAAGACCTTTTCATGTACTGTTTAAAAAAAAAAATAAAGAAAAAAGAAAAAACAGAAATCGACCTGCTATTTCCATCTCCAACACTATGATATGTAGTGAATGTAATACGAATACATTGATGATGGAATATGTTTTCCTTGGTGAATGGTTAATATTTCTCAGGTGAGTGGAAACAGGCTATTACTGCACTTGGGTTGCCTGTGCACCCTGTGGATAGGGTGGGCCCCTGTAATACTGCTTTATAATTATGATAAGTAAGTGATTTCAAATAATAATGTGCATTCTATCAAATAAAAGCATCGATTAATAAGGGCTCTGATGATTCTCTGGGGCTAAAAGACTTTTATTTAGAAAAAAATCCTCTTATTAGAAAAAAATATATAAAAAGAAAAAGGAAGCATTAGCTTATAGTCTTGGCTTGAAGGGTGGAAAGTATGCTTTGAAAACCTGTTGTGACCACATGCAGTATTCCTGAAAGACTTCACTTTAGGTGGCCACACTTTTAAATAAGCAATTGCAAAGAGTTACTTTTGAAGAGTTGTAGACTAGAGCCTTAATGTTAAACAAAAGTATTACATTTTTTAAAGGAAAGGGAAAAATATTCCCTTGTAGTATGATTCTGTATTTATAAAGCAATTATAAATTTGTATTAGAAACATTTTATTCAAACTTCAACTTTCCTGTTGATATTTTCTTTTGAAATGGAACAACAGAGTTAACCTTTGATTTATACTGGTTTGGCTCACAGAATAGCCAAATCTTGTGAGGTCTGATTTCCTATGGTAATAAATTTGAACTTTTACCACCAAAGGGTACAGGTTTTTCAGCTTTTTCAACTGGAATTACATGCTTTGTCCAAGTTTATCCTGAAAATAGTTGGCCCTCCTCTGCTTTACTTAAAAATTATCCTGGCCTTATGTTCCAAATTCCAATAATTTTTTGAGATGGAGGCAGCAGAGTGCAGTTGCTTAGACCACAGTCTTGGGATAAAAAAATCTTTAGTTTTTAACACGTTTTGCCATTTGCTAGTAGGGCACTTTATCCACTCTTTCATCAAATGTTTATCAAGGTCCTAGTATGTGCCAAAAAACTGTGTTTTGTATTAAGAACATAGGTAGACAAGCTTTTATGGATCTTATAATTATGACACAGTAAATGGTACGATATAATAAGGGGGATTCTACGAGACACAGGGCGATGTGAGAGCATTTTGAAAAAAGAAAAAAAAAAGTCTAGCTATAAAGGGATAGGGAAGGTTTCCCAGAAGAAGTGGCACTTGTGATGAGACACAGATGAAAAATAGGGGTTAGTGAAGGAAGATCTTTAAAGAGAAAGAGTACTCCAGGCAGAGGGAATGCAAATGACAAGGCTAGGAGGCAAGAAAAGACTTGGGTTGGAAACTGAAAAGAAAAATCACTATACTTAGCCAAAGGGTATATATTTGGAGGATAGAAGGAAGAGTCAGAGTTAGATATGAAGAGGAAATATGAGAAACCATCAAAATTGTGATAAAGAGATTTTAATTTACCCCAAGAGTGCTCAGGAGCCACAGTCATATTTTGGAAACCTTAGTGTGGATAAGACTTGCTTTCCAAACTGAGCAACAGATGGATGGTATCACCATTCATTGCTAGAAAGAACACTGAGCAAAAGCATGGAGTGAGCCAAGAGTGTTCTTCTGGATATGTTGAGATTGGGGGTACCTGTGGAGTAAGTAGAGGCATCTAGTGCACAGTAGTAGAATCACAGGGGTCTAGAAAAGTCAATGGGCGATGGGGGCTTGAGGTGTATGCTTGGGAGTTACCAATACCAAGTAATTGACTTAGAAGTGAGTGAGTTCTCCCAGGGAGAATGCCTACAACAAGGAAGAAAAGGGTCCAGAAAGAATGTTGGAAGTACCAACTAATTCCTTTAAGTTTCAGATTTCGTAAATGCCTGGCTATTGAGAGGATTAAGAGAAAGGCTATATAGAAAACAATTAACACAGCACCTAGCACATAGTAAGAGTTCAACAATGGTAGATATGGATTTACTAGTTCACTCTTGCTAAGTGAAGATCATTTATGTGTTTTTAATTTCCATTTTCTACTATTCCTTGAAAAATATTTATTGAGTACACACAGAAAATGGGTATTTAAGGTATGTTTAATGACAGACTTTTTTTTTAGGTAATCAGGTTTGTAAATCTTAAAACTAGTGCTTCTTAAAAAAAAAAAAAAAGACTATTTAAACAGTAATTTAATGTCTCCTTCAAGCTGCATCCACAAACATGACAACAACTAGAGCTCTGATCTGAGTATTGCCCCTCCCCCACAGCAATTTTAATCCTGTTTTTGTGAGCATTTAAAATGATTATGCTCTCAAAACACTGGTTTTTCACTTATGTATTACTTTAGCATTTTTGAACACTTTAAATATTGTAGTTTATCAAAATGAAAACATCATGTTCAATAATAATAATGGAATCCTTAGAACCAAATGAACTCATAGAAATTATTACTGAATTTAATTACTCCTATTCTGACCTTTACATGTCATATATTTGTTTTAAAACAACTTACTAACAATATATAAATGAAAATAAAATACCTCTTCTGATTTTAGCTCCAACATTAAGCCTTAGATGTCATTTCTGTCCTTAAAACAACAAAAAGCTGAAAAACCTGAAATTCAATGACTTTTCTTCGATTCATTGGACAACTGAAGTCAGGGTAAACTGCTACCCCAAATCTGGAAAGACAGGTAAAAGCAGAGAATCACAGCTAAGACCTGCTTATTTGGAACAGAAGCTACTGTAGCCATAAACTGAGAGGGACCCTTTAATGGTAGTTTTGATGAATTGCTGGAGGCTGATTGTGGATGAGCATGAGAGGGAGAAACTGCTGGGGGTGCAGCCTTTGGGGAACCTCCATACTTTGGTGGGTTTTACCTCCAGAAACTTCACCAGTTTCTCACAGTGAGGAGGTAAGAAAGATTCCTTTGTGGCTCTGGCAGGGGAAGGGGAAGAGTTATCAAGAAATATACCCCAAATGTTCTCCCTAAAAAAAGATCTACTCTCCAGGTCAAAGACTTTACCAGAGCCCTGTCCCACCTGAGAGGACGGGCATTTTTCTCACCATAGTTTATACTAACCTTTCTTCCTCAACTAAGAGCATGGACAGCTAAAAAACACCTGCAAAAGTGTCAGCCCAGGCACACACGCCCACAAAAAGACTCAGATTTAATCATAAGTTTAGAGATCAAGTCTGCTTCCCCACTCCTTACCACCACAGAAGGACTCCTGTATGATATTGGTGAATGACAGCTGAAAGAGCTGCCAGACTTAGTCCTTTTGAGGGGGAATACTTAGGGAAACTCAGAGTCAACAGAAAAAACAAAAAGACACAAAAGGAATTTGAAGCTTCTGGCCCTACCACTAGAGCAAACATTAAACACAGCCCATCCTAGTGAGATTGACATAAATCCTCATACTAGAGGCCTATTTATCTCAGTTCCCATTACCTGATACATCATGCCAGGCTTTCACACACACAAAAATTCACAAATCATGCTAAAATGCAAGGAAAAGCACAGTCTGAAGAGACAAAACATGCATTAAAACCAGATTCAGATATGACACAAATCATACAATTATGAAACAAGAAATTTAAAATAACTATGATTAATATGGCTCTACTGGAAAAAAGTAAACAATATGGAAGGAGAGATGGGTAATGTAAACAGACGGATAAAAATTCTAACAGAGAATGAAAAAAATACTAGAAATAAATAAAAACTGTTACAGAAATGAAGAATACCTCTGTTGGGCTTATCAGTGGACTTGACACAGCTGAAGAAAGAATGAAAGAACTTGAGGATAGGTCAATAGAAATGTCGGTATTTCTCCTCCCCTGTGACAATTTTAATCTAGTTTTTGTGAGCATTTAAAATTATTATACTTTTAAAACACTGACTTTCTGAAACAACAATGCATAGCAAAAAGAGAATTTAAAAAAATCCAAGAACTCTGGGAAATTTCAAAAAGTGTTACATGTAATTGGAATACCAGAAGAAGAAAGAGAGTACAGGGCAAAAGAAATATTTCAAATAATAATGGCCAAGACAAAATTCATGACAGAAACCAAACCACTGATCCAGGAAGCTCAGAGAGTACCAAAGAGGATCAATCTCCCCTCACCCAAAACCAAACTCATACCTCAATATATCAGATTCAAACTGCAACATACCAAAGACAAAGAGGAAATGTAGACAGAACAAGAAGAAAACAACAAGCATCTCTGCTATAGAGGGCTAAGGAGAAGAATTGCAGTTACAGTGGACTTCTTGTCAGAAACAATGCAAGCAGTAAGAATATGCAGTGAAATATTTAAAGTATTGAAAGAAAACATCACAATCTAGATAATCTCTTCAAAGGTAATGGTGAAATAAAGTCCTTCTCAAACAAATAAAACTGAACAAATTAATTGTGAGCAGAATTGCTCTGCAAGAAATGTTAAAAGAAGAAAGAACCAAAATCAATATCTGAGCTTCAACTTTAGGACACTAAAGAGAGAAAAATAATTTAATTCAAAATAAGCAGAAGAAAATAAATAATAAAAATTAGGGCAGAAATCAATGAAATTCAAAATAGGAAAACTATGGAGAAAATAAACAGAACTAAAATATGATTGAAAAGATTGATAGACTTGATAAACCTCTAATCAGCCTAAGCAAGAAAAGTGAGAGAAAACACACATTATCAATATCAAAAATGAAGGAAGAGTTAATCATTGTTGTTCCCACAAACATTGAAAGGATAATAAAGTAGTACTATGAACAACTCTATGTCCATAATTTCATAATTTACCTGAAATGGATCAATTCATTGAAAGACACAAAACTGCCAAGGAGAAATAGTTAATCTCCGTAGATTGATATATATTAAATAATCAGTTATTAATAACCTTACAAAAAATAAAGCACAGACCAAATGGTTTCACTGGTAAATTCTACCAAGCATGTAAGCAACAAATGATAGCAATTCTCCATAATCTTTTTCAGAAAACTGAAGCATAAATAACACTCCCTAATTCATTCTATGAAGCTAGCATTAGCCTAATACCAAAACCAAATAAAAACATTACAAAAAGGAAAACAACAGAGCAATATAGCTAATGAACATAAATGCAAAAATTCTCAACAAAATATTAGCAAATCAAATCCAACAATGCTTAAAAATTACACACCAAGATCAAGTGGAATTTAATTCAGGTATGGAAGGCTGAATTGATATTTAAGAATCAATCAATGTAATCCACAAAATCAACAGGCTAAATAGGAAAAAATCATATTATATCAACTGATGAAGAAAATGCATTTGAAAAATCATACACCCATTAATAACTCTCAGCAAACTGGGAATAGAAAAAAACTTCTCCAACTTGATAAAAAAAACTACAAAAAAAATCTATAGCTGACATCATACTTAATGGTGGGAAAGCAGATGTTTTTTTCCTTAAGATTGAGAAGAAATCCTAGGAAGTATCCTTTTTCACCAATCCTATTGAATAATATATAGGAAGTCCTACCTGCTGCTAAGACAAGAAGCAGAAATAAAGGATATATATTATATAGATTGGGAAGGTAGAAACAAAATTGTATTTCTTCACGATGACATAATTATCAATGTAGAAAATCTCCCAAATTAGCAAAACACAAAACAAAAACCCTAGAGTTAAAAAGCAAATATACCAAAGTCATACGATACAAGGTTAATATACAAAAGTCAATTGCTTTACTTATTTCAGCAATAAGCAATTGGAATTAGAAATTTAAAACAATACCATTTATAATCGAAGCTGAAAAATAGTTTGGTGTAGATCCAACAAAATTGTAAAGGTTCTAAATGCAGAAAACTACAAAACTCTGATGAAAGAAATTAAATAGGATCTAAGTAAGTAAATAAGGAGATATTCTACGTCCATGGGTTGGAAACTCAATATCATTAAGGTGTCAATCCTTCCCAACTTAATCTATTGATTCAATGTTACCTCAACCAAAATCCCAGGAAAGTACTCTGTGGTGTTTAAAAATTGATTCCAAAAAAGACCTAGAATAGGAAACACAATACTGAAGAGGAAGAATAAAGTTTGAGGACAGACACTTCCCAATTGCAAGATTTACTGTAAAGCTACAGTAATTTAACCAGTGTTGTATTGTAAAACAATACATGCATAAATAAACTGATCAGAATTTAGAGTCCAGAAGTATACCCACACTAGTATAGTCAACTGATTGTTGACAAAGGAGAAAAGGCACTTCAATGAAGAAAGGATAGATCATCTTTTCAACAAATAGTGCATAAATCACTGGATATCCATGTATGAAAATTTAATCTAGACACAGACCTAACACCTTTGAGATAGCGAAAATTAACTTCAAATGGATATTAGACCTACATTTAAAATTAAAAATTAGGAGAAAATCTAAGTGACCGTGATTTGAATGATGAGCTTTTGGATACAACATCATAAAAGAAAAATTAATAAATTGGACTTCATTGAAATGAAAAGCTTTTGCTCTGTGAGGAGGGGAAACTGTTAAGAGAATGAAAGACAAGCCACAGTCTGGGAGAAAATATTTGCGAAACCCATATCTGAATAAGGACTTATATCCATAATATACAAAGAACTCTTAAAACTCAACAGTAAGAAAACAAAAGCCAACTAAAAATCAGCAAAAGATCTAAACAGACACTTTACCAAAGAAGACATGCAGATGACAAACAAGCATTTGAGATGTTCCATATGGTCATTAGGGAATTGAAAATTTAAACAGTAATGAGATACAAAACCTGAAAAAAACTGATAATACCAATTTTTGGCTAGAAAGTGGAGCAATGGAAACATTCATTACTGGTAGAAAAGCAAAATAATTTAGCCACTTTGGAAGACATTTTGGTACATTCTTATCTAGCAATCACATTCCTAGGTGTTTATCCAACATTTGAAAATTTTTTCCACTTAAAAACCTGCCTGTGAATGTATATCACAGCTTTGTTCATAATCACAAAAAATGGGAAACAAATTATTTTATTCATGTCTCTACTGAAGTAGCTCAACTGAAGTAGACGCATGGATAAAATAATTTGATACATCCACACAATGAAATATTATACAATGATAAAAAGTTGTGCTATGAAGTCATGGAAAAACTTGAATGAATCTTAAATCCATATTGCTAACTGAAAGAAGCTAGTCTGAAAATGTTACATAATATATGATTCCAATTTTATGATCTTTTGGAAAGGGCAAATTTATAAAGATAGCAAAAAGATCAGTGGTTGTCAGGAGTTTGGGGAGGTTGGAGGGAGGGGTGAATAGGACAAGAACAGAGGACTTTTGAAGGTAGGTAAACTATTTTGTATGACATGCTATGATAGATATATAACATGCATTTGCCAAAACCTATAGAAATTTACTGTGCAAAGAATGAACTTTAATGCATGCAAAATCTTAAAAAATAATTTAAGAGTTCAGGGAATCTCAGGATAGAATGCAGAATGTGACAAAACAATTTAACTGTATTAGGAATGTACAAAACAATCTCACTGGAGGGATTGAGGGAGAGTGGTGCTAACTTAAGTAACTGTAAAATAGTGAAGTCTATAAGCTAAAGGCAAAAGAAACTGTATATAAGACTGTGCTGTAGTCGATGAAGTTTTTTTCCATAGGCTATGAGTTAAACATTCTGATACTGGTACACATGTAGACTGGGATTAAACAATTATGTAAATAGGTGGCTGAGGCTAGGAGCCAGTTTTCTCACTATTGAGTAAGAGGATATGGACAAGCAAAGACAGGAGTCTAGAACGATCCATGTGGTAATGGATTAGAGTCTGAGACATTAATATAAACTCATGTTTAGCTCAGTATAGATACCCATGGGTACATACAGAAATATTTATAGATATGTGCATATACATGGGTTAGTATACACATATGTATTTCCTTGCTTCTTAGCTGAAAGGGCTTAGAAGCAATGATGACACATCAGTAACAATGAGCACAATTATCCAGACCTTGGTTTCTAATAACATTCTCTGATAAAAAAGACCTGAGTTCCTCAGAGAAATAATTTTTTCTAGGACTGGAGTAGAGATTATAAAAGATGAGCCTGAAGCATCTGTTAATACCAGAATGTAAAAACTCCCCACCCATAATTATGAGGGTATGTCAAAGGAACACAGTAGTCAACTAAAAGAGCTCCCAATGGCCAAAGAGGGAAAATTTGAAGAACAAAACAAATTGAGTAATATTGGATTATAATCCAAAGTATACAATAAATATCCATGTGTCCATAATGTTGTGAATAAATGTTAAATAAATAAATAAGAAAATAGACAAATCTCCCATGCAGAAGGGTTCTAAATAATTCATGGAAATACTCAACCATCAAAGAGGTAGAGCATAACTCCCCTCTCCTTGGGTGTGGGTTGGGCATAGTGACTTTCCTACAGAGTAAAGTATGAAAAGAGGTGAAAGAGTAAACTTTCCAGTGGAGAAAGCTGACAAATGCTACCTCAGCCAGGTGATCAATATCAACATCAGCATCCTAAATCATATTGATCATATGTATCCTTGATATGATGTAATGGCATTTTACCTCTGTGGTCTTTCTCTCCGAAACACATAATTCCAGTCTAATTAAGAGAAAAACACCAGACAAATCCCAAATGAAGTGCATGCTACAAAATAGCAGACCTAGTACTCCTTGAAACTTGTCAAGATTATCAAATCAAAGAAAGTCTGAGAAACTGTTTCAACCAAGAGGAGCTTAAGGAGACATAATGACTGAATGCAGTCTCAGTATCTTTGATGTGATCTTGGAACAGAAAAAGAATATTAGGCAAAAACTAAGAAAAATCTGAACAAAGTGTGGACTTTAGTAGACAAATAATTTATCAACATAGATTTATCAGTTACAACAAATGTACCATACTAATTAATTATAATGTGTTTAATAACAAGGGAAACTTGGTTTTGGGTTATATGGGAACTCTGTACACTAGCTTCACAATTTTTCTGTAAATCTAAAACTTTTAAAACAAAAACTTTTTTGAAAAATTAGTTTGGGAGGCCAAGGCAGAAGGATCACTTGAGGCCAGGAGTTTGAGACCAGCCTGGGCAACATAGTGAGACCCTGTCTCTACAAAAAAAATTTAAAAATTAGCTGGGTGTGGTGGTGTGCACCTGTAGTACTAGCTACTCAATAGGCTGACAAGGAGGATCACTTGAACCCAGGAATTCAAGGTTATAGTGAGCTATGATTACGCCACTTGCACTCCAGCCTGGGTGACAGAGTGAGATCTTGTCTCTAAAATAATAATGATAATAATAAAACATGAAAATTATGTAGCATTAAAATATTTTAACATATTAAAATATATTAAAAGCTGACTCTACATTATCAACATGGCAAAATTAGTTATACTTATTCATATTAGATATTGAAATATAACATATATTTAACTCAGTAATAGACTCAACAGATTCAGTTTCTTAACTCTAGACATTCTACCCTGGCTCCATGTATTTTACAGATTATTTGGAGAAATGAAATTCGTTTCATGTGTCACTGCTTATACAAGTGTGTGTGTGTGTGTGTGTGTGTGTGTGTGTGTGTGTATATATACATATATATATATTTATTTATTTAATTTATTTATTATTTTGAGACGGAGTCTCGCTCTTTCGCCCAGGTTGGAGTGCAGTGGCACGATCTCAGCTCACTGAAAGCTCCGCCTCCCGGGTTCCCGCCATTCTCCTGCCTCAGCCTCCCGAGTAGCTGGAACTACAGGCACCCGCCACCGCGCCTGGCTAATTTTTTGTATTTTTAGTAGAGACGGGGTTTCACCGTGTTAGCCAGGATGGTCTCAAACTCCTGACCTCGTGATCCGCCTGCCTCGCCTCCCAAAGTGCTGGATTACAGGCGTGAGCCACCGCGCCCTGCCACAAGTAAGTATATTTTGATCTGTTATTTTGCGAGGTACTTTTAGTCTAAATTTTATTGACTATAGTCACAATAATTTCTTGAAGTAGTTTCATCTTCTTATTTGTCTTTTCAGGAGGGTAAGGAAACTGAAATATGACAAGGTTAAATGATTCAGATGAGGGGCCGGAAAGCACGCCTCCCGAGACCCATTCCTGGAAGCGGGTCTTTAAAGCTGCTCTCAGTTTAAAATCAACCAAATGCTCAGATATCAGGTAGAAAAATAAATAATTCAGTCAAATGCTTGGCTCGTTACTGACTTGACATCATATATTTAGGTACTTTTTGGGGAAGGCTCATTTGTTACATCAAAATATTTTTGTCACTTGGAAATGTGCTGGGAAAATGAAAAAAACTGTCTTCATTCTGAGGGAATGAATGTGTATTAGTTTTCGTGGCTAGAAAGAATGTGCTCCTAATTTAGTGAAAAAAATCCGTTTAATGTCATTTCCATGGAGAATTAACAATAACATTTTATGTGAGCCTAGGAGAAAAGTAAGAAAAAAACACTTCTATTTACTCAGGCTTTCGTAGAATGACAGATGAAACGTGTCGGAGGAATATTTAGTTTGTAGCGGATGTAGATTCAAAATTAGCAACGTGAAGAATACTCCATTTGTAGACAAATTTCACTGGTAAATGAAAATTAAATATTTTAACACAGGCATTAGAGGTAGAAAGAGGAGTACAGTACATAATCGAATCGCTTGCATTTCCCCTCCTCTATACCTGCATTCTCACTGGATAATCACTGCTTTTTCAGCTAGTTTACCCTCCAAAAGAGGAACATCTGTTAATTTTGCCTGGTCAACATCTATTCTCTCTTCTTTTGGTAGAAACACTGATTTTTGCTTGAGAGATCATCTGCTGTCTCTCCAACTCTATTTGAGGTGCAGCTTTATGCACCCATCATCTCTGGGGGTGTGTATATAATCTAAGCCTAGAAAACCACTTCATCCAAACCCTCAGTTGTTGCTTTAAGGATGGGCATGTGACTAGTTGATAAATCAGAGAAAATCTTGAGATTTTTGCTAAAATTAATGTAAAGGAGAAATTCTCTCTTTATTCTGACCTGTTGAACTGGTGGGATGGGTTCTAGGTACTATCTCACCACCTTGATAAGAAAGCCTACCTGAAAGGAAGACCAACCAGACACAAACCAAAGTTGAGATGTAGAGACAAGAAAGGAGATAGATAAAGAGAGTAATTTCTGAACACCTAGATAAAGCTGTACTCAAAGCTTTACCATTTGGGGGGTTTTTCAATTATAGGAGCCAACAATTTCCCAATTTTACTTTAATCTGAATTAGTTTTCTGTCACTTAAACTGAATTGGTCCTAATTGATAATCATCTTTCTTTTTTGCTAGCTATCTGAATTTTTATTCATCTTTGGAGATTTATTTGAGGACAATGAGTCCATAAGCCTTCCTAGGCCATCCTATCCCAGAGACCTCTTCCTCCTCAGAACTCTAATGCATTAGGGTGTTTTCTCACTCATTTGGCTTAGTGATGCCTCTTGCATTGTGAACGCATTGAAATTATTGATGCTTCATTTGCTGTAGCTCTTCGCTGTAGCAGAGTTGTGCTGTTGACGTTGATGTTGAAAATTAATCAATTTTCGCCAGGTGCAGTGGCTCACGCCTGTAATCCCAGTACTTTGGGAGGCCGAGGCAGGTGGATCATGAGGTCAGGAGATCGAGACCATCCTGGCTAACAGAGTGAAACCCTGTCTCTGCTGAACAAAACCCCAAAAAATTAGCCGGGCATGGTGGCAAGCGCCTGTAGTCCCAGCTACTCGGGAGGCGGAGGCAGGAGAATCTCTTGAACCTGGGAGGTGGAGGTTGCGGTGAGCCGAGATTGCACCACTGCGCTCCAGCCTGGGAGACAGAGCAAGACTCTGTCTCAAAAAAAAGAAAAAAAAAAAAGAAAAGAAAAATATTCAATTTTCTCCATGTGCATGACTCATCTATCAAGAAGATGCTGAGCTCCCAGAGGACAATGTTGTCCCCGAACACCATGCCCCTTACCCCACCTCAAATCTCTAAGAGTTTAGAGTTTATTGACTAAGTTTTCTCAAATCCATGTGCAAAAATCAAAGGTGAGTTCCCTTTATTACATAAGTATATAATTTTTCCTAGTAACGTAAAATTTTGTAAGGGCTCAGTTTTTTTATAGTCTGCCTTCCTTAGTTCGCAAGTGAAGAAATCATATCTTTAGAACCTATAAGAAATTAGTGAAGGCAAAGGGGAACTGACATGTTTTGATTACTCACAATATTCTAAACAACATCCTTGGGACTTTAACTATATTTACTTGGCTTTTTCTTCCCAGTAGTCCTGCCAATTCTTATTATTCCTATTTTCAAAAAATGAGGAAATGAACTCAGAGAGGTTAATGAATTAGTCTAAGATCACATCCAAGTAAATGTATACTAAAGTAAATGTATTCTTTTGTCTTTGTATTCCCGCCATCTAGCACAGTCTCCGGCATTTAAAGAGCACTCACAAAATATTAAGCAAATAAAGGAATGAGTGAATGAACAAATGGCAGATTAAAGTTCCAACTCTCCATCATACCATGCCACCTTAAAACAGGAACATAGCCAAAATAATTTCAAATACTTTTGTCTTTTTTTTAAATTACACTGAATCATTTAGGATTCTCCATGTGGAAATGTTGGTATTTCTAGATTTCAACAGCACAATTCTGCTACAGAGATGAGCCACAGCAAATGAAGCATCCTGGTTAAGTGCTAAGACTTTTAGTTTAGAAGAAAATCTGGATACAAATCCTATTTACTCACTCCATGCCCTTGGACGAGTTCCCTATGTCTCAGATTACTCATAAATAAAATTGGGACAATGACAGTATCTTCCTTGCAATATTGTTATACAGATTAAATAAAATTATGCCTCACACAGCATAATAATCTTTTAATAAGATTGTTTACTGTTATTACTGTAATATTTTCTTGTAAAGTCTAAACCAATATTCTCATGGCCATAAAGAGTTGATAATATAGAGGCTATTACATTTTTCAGTATTTTTTAACAACTTAGGTGTGATTTTGAATATTAAGAAAAACACAGAAATATCACTTATTACTAGATCAACAGATATTCACAGGAGAACTCTCATAACTAAAAGTAACCAATATTACAACAAAATCAAGCTTTTCACATGTAAGGCACTTTCATAACCATAAAGAAGTTAATAGCCTCATTATCCATCTAGTTACTGAAGTCAGAAACTGGAAATCTGAAACATACACAACCTTGCACATGTCCACGTCAGTAAATGCCTTCATCTCTCTTACTTAACACTTCCAATTAATTACCAAATCTGCTAATTATATATCCAAAAGTATCAAATGCATTTTCTTATCTCTATCATCTTTGCCACTGATTTTCTGAAGTCTTCAATAGCTCTAATATGGAAATTTTTGCTGTATGCTAAGTGCCAGATTAAGGAGGCTTTAATTAGGGTTGAAGGTTTGGAAATAGCAAGAAGTGACTAGGTTTTGAAGATGTTTTGACAGTGGAGCCAACAGGCCCTGCTAATAGATTGGATGTGGAATTACTAGAGAAAGAGAAGAGTTGTGGAAGCCTCTGAAACTTTTGGTTGGAACAAGGGTTGCTTGGTGGTTCCTGTCCTGAGATGGAGACACATCTAGAGGGGCAAGTCAGGTGGCTGGGCGCAAAGCACCAACTCCAAGACACACGAGAATTTCAACTAGGATTATTGGTTTGCAAACAATAAGAAAAGCTGAATGACCAGGGCAAAGGCAGAACAAACACTAGTGCAGCTCTGGAGTCTTAGTAAGGTGGTCATGGACAGACCTCTGGGCACTGCCATGTGAAAAATTCAGCACCAGGACATTGTGATTGACAGTCCCGCCAAATAAGAATAAGAATTAGGATGAAAAGGCCGGGCGCGGTGGCTCACGCCTGTAATCCCAGCACTTTGGGAGGCTGAGGTGGGCAGATCATGAGGTCAGGAGTTCGAGACCAGCCTGACCAGCATGGTGAAACCCCGTCTCTACTAAAAATACAAAAAATTAGCCGGGCATGGTGGCACGCACCTGTAGTCCCAGCTACTTGCGAGACTGAGGCAGGAGAACTGCTTGAACCCGGCAGGTGGAGGTTGCAGTGAGCCGAGGTTGTGCCACTGCACTCCAGCCTGGGCGACAAAGTGAGATTCCATCTCAAAAAAAAAAAAAAAAAAAAAAAGAAAAGAAAAAAAGGATTAGGATGAAAAAATGGAAATAGGTAACACTTATTAAGAACTTCCTAAGGGCCAGGCACCTTTCCAAGAGTTTCTGTGTATGATCTATTTAATTTTCCAACAAGTCTGTGAGAGAGGCATTGCCTTTATTTCCACTTCACAGGTGGGGAAATTAAGTTACCCAAATTGCACAGTAAGTGGAATGGGGATTTGAGCCCAGGTAATCTGACTGCAAAATCATACATAAGCTTAACCCTTATGCTACATATCTCTGGGATCTAGATGGAGCAGAGTAGACGATTAAATTGCAGGAACAGAAAGGAAAGGAAGGCTGGGATGACAACCACAGATGCCCATTACAGAAAGCACTTAAGGTAGCAGCCACGTTTTGGGATAAGTCTATGCTGTGTGCCCTCCAGGATCTGGAGCAGGACCTGATTTTTGAGCCTTTGACAGCCCTTGGGAGCCATTTTGAGGGCTCAGGAAAGTGAATCTGAAATTTCTGTTTGTTTCTGTGGCAGCTGATAAACCCAGCTATGTAAAGATAAGAATTTTCCGTTTTCTGCTTTTAACAGAAAAGTAACACATTTATGGGTGTGAAAGTGCTTTGCATTTTAGAAAAAAAAAGTCATACTATGAAAATAGAAAATTTATTTTTCTTTATTTTGTTAAAAAAATCATTACATTCAGAACTTGCACTCATGGGTTTCTCCCACATATTTTGCAGTGGTGGAGGAGACATTTCTTGCAATAAGGTCATTGCTAGGGCACTTTTTTTAAATGAATCACTTCTAATAGACTTTGCTTTGACTTTCGAGCTGGTAGATGTGTAGTTGAGGTGTCTGCATGTACCTGAGAGTTAACATATGAGTACAGAGCTATGTGAGAACCCTACTAATCTATAAGTTATCTGATTCTCAGTTTCATTATTTTCCCAAAAATGTTTGCAAAAAGTATGAGGAATTATGAAATACAGAGCCTTATGTCAATGTCCCTCATTTCTAGGGCCCGGCCCTTAATCTTTACATTTTACCTGGAGCTAGGAGCCCTGATTAGAAGATAAGAGGGTCTGGAGAGCACAGTGCGGGGTGGTGATGCTTGACTGAATAGCTCACATCAAAGGGCAGCTTTATTCCCAAGTGCGAAAGACAGAATCACAGAGCTCTGCGGGACTCTGAAGTGTTGCTAGGTGATGACCCAGCCTTTATTGGAAATACTCATACGTACCGAACCTTTGTTCCAGCTTCTACTCAAGGTCATATTTTTACATGTTAATAGAATAAACCAAACTTTAGGTGACCGGTTTGGAAAGACTATTACCAATTCTTACATAATCAATTCCAAATTAATTGATCATAATCCAATGAAGTATTTAAAGTATCTCTAAATACATAAATACTACATCAACTATTCTTAGGCTAGGATTTTCATTGCCAACATTATTTTCTGGAGGTGTATTAGTCATTCATTCATAATTCAGACTACCAAGGAAACATCAAATGCATTAAATCAATTAAACTACCACATATTGAAGCATCAGAACATCATATTCAAGATGTATACAAATTCAGGCTCTAACTATAATTATATTTGTATATTTGTAGTCTGAAATACATACATAGGTGACATAGGTGCATATACAACAAAGTGAAAAAAAATCACCAAATATGAAGTGAAATAGACCTGGGTTCACTAATCTGGTGCTACTGTTAACATACAATGTAACCTGGAGAAAGTTATCTGACATCTCTGAGCTTCATTTGCTTCACTTAAAAAATAGGGAAAATAATAAAAATAGCTAAAAATATTGAGCAATTATCACTAGGTGAGATCAGGATAAGTGTTTCAGAGGCATAATCTCATTTAATTCTCAAAACAACTTTATGAGAAGTAATATTATTATCCTTCCTTTGCAGATGCGGAAACTGAGGCACAGGGAATTTGAACAACTTGCTCAAGGTCATAAAGCTAGAAGGAGGCACAGCCAAGCATGGGCTTGTGTGACCTCAAAGCCTATGTTCTCGCCACTGCTCTAAACTGTTTATTCTGTTGGCTTGTCATAATGATTGAAGACAATGTATATAAATCACAGAGGGTAGGACTCAGCTTGTAATATGTCCTCCATACATTTTATCGAACATTATTAATTAATAAACAACAGATAAATAACAACAGTGCTTTGTTTGATTAAATTATATATATGATTATATTTCTTCAGTGAAATTGTTGGTTATGCATTTCTTACAAATAATTCACAAATATTAATGAATGTCTGTGTTGCAGCAGGCATTTTGCTCACCACGGTGGACCTGGGGGTATGTGAAATAGGCACCATCTCTGCTCTCACAAATTTAATACGTGCAGGCTGCTGGATTGGACTAAAGTCCTGAGGAGAACTATAACAATCTCTTAGAGGGAACAGTGATTAAACAGGGATCAATTGTGCCACCCATATAGCCTTCCTACTTACTGATCAAGAATGATAGCAGACCTTAGCAAGTGCAAATCAACAAGAGGAATCCAATGGTGCTATTCACTACTATGAAGCTTTTCATTTTGCCTCTTACTAAGATTTCAAAGCTATTCTTGCCCCCCACCCCACACAAAAACAAATACTGTGCAATCTCACTTACATGTGGAATCTGAAAAAGTTGAACTCGTAGAAGCAGAGAGTACAATAGTGGGTGCCATGGGCTGGGGGTGGAGGAAATGGGAGATGATAGTCAAGGGTACAAACTTTCAGTTATAAGATGAACAAGTTCTGGGGCTCTAATGTACACGATGGGTGGTGATGAATGTTTTAATTAATTTGATTATTGTAAGAATTACACAATGTATACATTTATCTAATCATCATATTATATACCTTGAATATATTTGACCTTTATTTCCCAATTAAATATTTTAAAATAAAATATATTTAAATTTAAAAAATATTTTTGCAAATTGTATAAATACCCATGTATCATTTCCATTTTCATTCAACCTGTAAATAAGCTTCCTCAGAAGTTTTATATTTCTAAAAATTTGAATTTGGGTTTCTTTGGCTCAAAGCACTAGCATCTCTCCTAAGCAATCCTACTCTGAAGGCTATCTTTATGTTTAGGATCCTAGCCTATGATTAAAAAAAAAAACCAACCAAAAAAATCTCTCCAAGATGTCATTATTATAGCTAATCGTTAATGTGTATCCCTCCCACCCCACCCAATTTATCCAGCAGCTTCTCTTTTTTGTCAGATGTCAGATAGATTCCAAAAGCTAAATCTGTCCTCTGGGCAGGCGAACAATTATACTGCCTATTGCCTCTTCTTCCTTTCGTTATTCTGTCACCAATTATGCTGTCCACAAGGGACTCTATCACATGAGGGTCTGTTAGCAAGAGCTCAAATACATGTAGCAGCTGTCTATTTGCAAATACAGAATGCCATGAACACATGGTACAGAAGGATGCTTACTTTTATATGCTTTTATCTTCTCATTTACATTAGATTATCCACTATCCTTTTCCCTTTCAAATACTCCATATATGGTAAATAGCTTTATTTTTCTTTTCTACTAAACTCCACTGCAATAGAAATAACTAAAATGTTAAAAAGTATCTCAGATAGCCAAGTCATCACAGAAGAAAAAACAGCTCAAGCTTTCAGTAGCAATAGAGATGATATTAATCATAATAGCAGCAAAATGAGCAAGTGTTTAGTTGTTACTACATTCCAGGCACTTGCCTGGTAACTTTATGGATAGTCCCTCATTTATTATTCATAATTACCACATGACATGGTAGAGGTCATTACCTATGCTCTTTATAAGGTTCCTAGGTGGCATACTTGTGGTTTAAACCCAAACTGCCTGACTCTGCTTCCCTCCAACTTTACACTGAGAATGAGGGAGAAGAGTAAGGTGGGATGAAAGGCAGGGGGAAAAGTGGACAGAGAGAAGAGAGAGAAATAATAGAGCAGAACATCCTCAATCCTCTTTTATTTTAATTGTTATCATAAATTGACAAATTATAGTTGTATTTATTTATGGGATAAAAAGTGATGTTATGATTTTTGAATACAATGTGGAAAGATTAAGATTAATGTCTCTATCACCTCATATATTTGCGATTTCTTGGTGATGAGAACATTAGAAGAAATTTACTCTCGGTGGTACTAAAATGTACAGAACTCAATGATTAGCTATATTCACTATGCTGTGCAATTGATCTAAAAATAAATTAAACTTATTCCTCCTGAAACTTTGTACCCTTCAACTATTACCTCCCTACTCCTTTCACTCCCCCGCCTCTGTAGCCACCATTCTACCCCCTGCTTCTATGAGTTCGATTGTTTTAGGCTCGATATAGATGTATAAGAGGTATTTGTCTTTCTGTGTTTGGCTAATTTCACTTAGCATAATGGTCTCCAATTCCATTCATGTTGTCACAAATGACAGAATTTCTTCTTTCTTTTAAGGCTGAATAGTATATATACTGTATTTTCTTCTTAATTCATTAAACAAATGTCTATTGAGCATCTAGCACTGGCTGGGCATACCATCTACTTGTAACATAAGTTCCTTGCCTTAGAGAGGCACGCTTGGCTTAGAGAAATACAATCTCCAGCCAACAAGCAGTCTCCACCTTAAGGACAATAATCAATATGTGCCAAAGTGCTGAGAACACTCAATTGTGCTAATTTGTCCAATTGTGCTGAGAACACAGGGAGAGGGTGGGGCCCTGTCAAGGGAACTGGGGGAGGTTTCCCAGATAAGGTGTCTTTGAGCAGGAATGTAAGCAAAGCGTGAGTGTTCTCAAGCTGACTGAGGGTGGAAAGTTACAGGAGGCGGAGGTCACAGCAGGGTAACATAACAGTGTGGCAGATGGAGGGTGCCCAGGGGGACTGAGTGCTTCAGCAGCTGCAGAGGAGGATACATGAGGAAGATTTTGAGAAGTAAGAGCAGAAAGGCAGGTAGTTTGACAGCATGTTGGAATGGACATTAGGAGAGGCGGTAAGGAAGGCAGAGTGGGGGCAGGTGAGGAAATATGAGACGGGTCTGCCAATGCAAGTGACCACTTCATGCAGCACGATATTTGAGGTTATCATAAGCCATTGAATCATGTGCATTGTTTTGTTCAGTGCTTTTTGTTCTGACTGTGGATTATCCTAATTTTGATGGAAAGAAGAGAAATACATACAAAGGTAAGGGTGGACCTAAATCAGAGCTTTGGGGTCTAGGAAATGAAAGTATAGCCTGAGAAAACTAGGAGCTTGGGTGGAGAGGGAGCAAAAGCATTTCTGAGCTGGAGACTGCTATTAAAATACAAGGCAGGTGGCATAGAGACAGGTGGGCTATTCAATTGTACACCAGGCATCCCTGGGGCTGGATATCAGGCAAAAGACCAAAGGATGAGATGAGAAGACAAAATGATGCCATCATTATTTCTGTCTTTAAAAGTAATCAAATGGGCCGGGTGCAGTGGCCCATGCTTGTAATCCCGGCACTTTGGGAGGCCGAAGAGGGTGGATCACTTGAGGTCAGGAGTTTGAGACTAGCCTGGCCAACATGGTGAAACACTGTCACTACTAAAAATACAAAAATTAGCCGGGTGTGATGGAGTGTGCCTGTATTCCAAGTTACTTGGGAGGCTGAGGCAGGAGAATTGCTTGAACCCAGGAGACGGAGGTTGCAGTAAGCCAAGATCCCACCACTGCACTCCAGTCTGGGTGACAGAGAGAGATTCTGTCTCAAAAACAAAACAAAACAAAACAAAAAACCCAAAAACTAAAACTAAAAACAAAATAGTGAAATGCTTCAAATGGGAACAAAAAGCACATTTGAACTGACAATATATCAATCACCACAACACAGTCTGAGAAAATATTTTGATGGCCAAGCACAACTAAATATTATTGGGACTTGGGATGCTATTACATTGTTCCTTGGATTAATAATCTTCTTTTGTGTAGAAAGGTGTGTCTTGTCAGTCAAGCTTTTCTTGATCTGCCCGCATAAGGGTAAAATAGACCACAACATATGTCTTTAAACTGTCAGATCTGGACTCTGCCTGTAATCTCTCCCCATAGATAAATGGGATTTCAAAAAAGGGAAAGAACCCTTTGTATCCTAAATTTGTCAAGAAATTCTTGTCAAGAATATACCTCTACCATGGTACTTATAATATAGCAGCAAAAAGAAAAACAAAACAAAACAAAAACAAAACAAGCTTTTATTTGGTGTTCTCTGGGACAAAGTTTCTAGTGGAATAATAGAGTCGAAAGATACTGCTTATGACAACTTAGATGTTGTGCAGTCATCATTAAATCAACAGAGCAAGTTTTTACTTCGAGGTTGCCATCTCCTACTTCTCTGTTGCTATAGATTATCATTTCCAGGGCATACACTTCAAATAGGAAAGCAGTGGCCAGGAACAATGGGGTAGAGATAAAGCTAGCAATGCAGGTTTCCAGGCAGACCTCTTGGAGTACAGTAAAATCTCCAAAGCCATGTTAAAGCTCAGTGTGGAGAGTCCAGACTTGCGTGTCATACAGACCTGGGGTCCAGTCTCAGCTTTGTATTGTAATAATTCTAGGACATAATATGCACAAAGCACTTGGCCCAATGCCTGGCACACAGTAGACACTCAATGAATAGAAGCTGCTATTGCTGCAAAATTATTTTTTGGTGCATGAAAAGGAAAAGCCAGAGTCCAAATATGGCAGAGCTCCTCACTTCAAAGGCATAAACATTCCTTTCAAATGTAAATCCTTCTGCCAACTTCTTATGAATATTTAGGGCCTAAAACTTATCTAAAACGATCACTAGTACAATAAGGTAGTATTTTATATGTAATTTTCCCGGACTGTCCCCTTTTTCCTGATTATTATTTATAAGGTAATATAAAATGTAAGAGATTAATAAATAGATACTGTAGATTTTTGGTCTTACCATTTTTGTCTGCTCTCCTCAGTATCTGGAAAGGAAAAAGGAAAAAATTTTATCAGCATTTTAGATAAATATTGCAACGAACGTTACACTTACACATAATTTATTCATAATTAAATAAAATACATTCTAATTTTAAGTAAGCGTTTCCCAATTGAGATCTTTCTTTATAATATCTAAAACCTGAAAATGACCCAAATGTCCATGGATAAACAAACCGTGAATGAACAAACCAACTGTGGTATAGCCATACAATAGAATACTACTGAGCAATAAAAATGAATGAGCTATTTATACACACAACAACTTGGATAGAACCAAAAATAACTAGGCTGAGTAGAAAACCTAGATGCAAAATAATACCTACTTATAATTCCATTTATATAAAATTCTTAAAAATGCAAACTAATCTATAGGGACAGAAAACAGATTAAGCTTCCTAGGAATGGGCAGGGCAGGGGAGGGTGGATTACAAGAGGATGTAAGAAAACTTTTGCAGGTGATAGAGATAGTTATTATCTTGAATGTGGTAATGGTTTCATATATGTTAAAACTCATCAAGTTTACACTTTACATATGTGCACATTAATGTAAGTCAATCATACCTCAATAAAACTGGGATTCAACAAAACATAAAAGAAAAATAATACATCATGGGTAAAGAGTAACCACATGTCTATGCTATATCTACTTTATTTATACTTTATTAATCATATTATCTTGGACGTATTTTAAATTGTCTTGATGTATAAGAACTATTTGGCCATCCGGTATCCATTACTCTTTAGTAATGATTTCTAATGTTCTTCTGGAAAGCCTACATTTCCTACATGCTTGGCCTAGGTGCTCCAGTGTTGGGCAGGGCACTTATGTCTGACAAACACGGTGTCATATCCCTCTGGTCACGGTGACTGCTCAGGGATGAGCACATTAGGGCCAGTGAATGACAGGTCATGGTTTTGCCTGAGTGGTTAGGAGAGAGACATACTCTTCTTTCTGCTGACTTTGAACCTAGGAATATATAGGCAATGCACTGCTGTCATTCGTTTTGTTATTGGATATATTGTAGGTTGAATTGTGTCCTCCAAAACCAAATGTTGAAATCCTAATGCTCAGTATCCACGAATGTAACTTTATCTGGAAATAGGGGTTTGGGAGGAAAAGACTTTGATAAAATCCAACCTTCCTTCATGATAAAAACTCTGAACAAACTAGGCATTGAAGGAACATACCTCAAAATAATAAGAGCCATCTATGCCAAACCCACAGCCAACATCACACTAAACAGGCAAAAGCTGGAAGCATCTCCTTGAATGCTAGAACTAGAACTGGAACTGGAACAAGACAAGGACGCCCACTCTCACCACTCCTATTCAACATAGTACTGGAAGTCCTTGCCAGAGCAATCAGGCAAGAGAAAGAAATAAAAGGCATCCAAATAGCAAAATAAGAAGCCAAATGGTCTCTCTTCACTGACGATATAATCTTATACCTAGAAAACTCAAAGACTCCACCAAAAGCCTCCTGGGACTGATAAACGACTTCAATAAAGTTTCAGGATATAAAATAAAGGTACAAAACTCAGTAGCATATCTATGCAGCAATAGCATTCAATCTGAGAGACAAATCAAGAATGCAATCCCATTTACAATAGCTACACAAAAAATAAAATACCTAGGAATACATTTAACCAAAGAAGTGAAAGACTTCCACAAGGAGAACTACAAAACACTGCTGAAAGAAATCATAGATGACAGAAACAAATGGGGAAACATTCCATGCTCAAGAATTGGAAGAATCAATATTGTTAAAATGGCCATACTACCCAAAGCAATGTATACATTCAATACTATTCCTATCAAACTACCAATGTCATTTTTTACAGAATTAGAAAAAACTGTTCTAAAATTCATATGGAACCAAAATGGAGCCTGAATAGCCAAAGCAATTCTAAACAAAAAGAACAAAGCTGGAAGCATCACATTACTTGACTTCAAACTATACAGTAAGGCTACAGTAGACAAAACAGCATGGTACTGGTACAAAAAACAGATACAAAAATGAAACAGAATAGAGAACCCAGCAATAAAGCTGTACACTTACAGCCAGCTGATCTTCAACAAAATCAACAAAAATAAATAATGGGGAAAGGATTCCCTATTCAATAAATGGTGCTGGGATAGCTAGTAGGTCATATGCAGAAGAATGAAACTGGAGCACTATCTAATACTATAGACAAAAATTAACTCAAGATGGATTAAAAATTTCGATATAAGACCTCACACTATAAAAATCCTATAAGAAAACCTAGAAAATATCATTCTTGACATTGAGAAAAAATTGGCCTTGAGAAAAAAGTTATAACTAAGTTCTCAAAAGGAATTGCAACAAAAACAAAAATTGACAAGTGGGACCTAATTAAACTAAAGAGCTGGAGCACAGGAAAATGAACTATCAACAGAGTAAACAGAGAATCTAAAGAATGGGAGAAAATATTCACCAACTATGTATTCAACATATTACTAATATACAGAATCTGTAAAAATTATATTTCAAAAAACAAAAAAGAACCCCATTAAGAAGTGGGCAAAAGACATGAACAGACACTTCTCAAAAGAAGACATACAAGTGGCCAACAAACATACGAAAAAATGCTCAACATCACTAATCATCAGAGAAATGCAAATCAAAACCACAATATGCTATCATCTCACACCAGTCAGAATGGCTATTATCAGAAAGTCAAAAAAAACACAACCACATTCTGGAGCTGCTGCAGAGAAAAGGGAATGCCTATATACAGTTGGTGGGGATGTAAATTAGTCTAGCCTATGGAAAGCAGTTTGGAGATTTCTCAGAGAACTTAAAACAGAACTACCATTTGACTCTGCAATCCCGTTACTGAGTATATATTCAAAAGTAAATAAATCATTGTACCAAAAAGACACATGGCACTCGTATATTCATTGCAGCATTATTCACAATAGCAAAAATACTAAATCAACTTAAGTGCCCATCAGTGGTCAATTGGATAAAGAAAATGTGGTACATATACATCATGGAATACTACACAGCCATAAAAAAGAACAAGATAATGTCCTTTGCAGTGACATGGATGCAACTGGAGGCCATTATCCTGAGTGAATTAATGCAGAAGCAGAAAACCAAACACTGCATATTCTCACTTATAAGTGGGAGCTAAACATTGGGTACACATGAACATAAAGATGGCAGCAACATACACTGGGGACTAATAGAGGGAAGAGGGAGGTTGGGGAGAAGAGTTGAAACACTAACTGTTGAGTATTATGCTCACTACCTGGGTGATGGAATCATTTGTACCCCAAATCTCGCCATCATGTGATACACCCACGTAACAAACCTGCACATATTCCTCCTGAATCTAAAATAAAACTTTAAGTTATAAAAAGAAAAGAAATAGGGTTTGCTGATGTAATCCCATTAAGATAAAATATAACTGGATTGGGTGGTCCCTAAGTCCAATGACTGGGCATCTTACAAGGAGAGAAATTCAGAGATGCAGAGATAGAGGATAGAGACCACATGATCAAAGAGTCAGGTATTGGCGTGGTGCAGCTGAAAGCCAAGGATGCCAAAGTACTGACAGGTGCCATCAGAAGCAAGAGAGGAAGTATGATACAGTTCCCCCTCTGGAGCCTTCCCAGGGAGCATCATCCTGCTAGCAGCTTGATTTCGCCCTTCTCACCTCCAGAACTGTGGAGGGTACATTCTATTGTGATAGTTTGTTAGAGCAGCCCTAGGAAACTAATACAATATATAACCTGGAAAGAACCAACACCCAGGAAAGTAGTTTTCAGAGACTTAGGGAAACTGGGTCCAGATAGCACTCCTTGAGTCTCTGATTAAGTAATCTTGATGAGATGATCTCTGCTTTTTCATTACAGGAGCCAATACATTATTTTTTAAAACAATCTTAAAACAGTTTGCATTATTTTTCCTGCTAGCTGCAATGAAGTTAACCCTGATAGATATGCTAATAGAAAATAATCTGGATAACATACTACAGAGCTATGTTATATACAGTACCAAAGAGGATGCCCCACTAGCACATTGCAAAGACAAACTTTAATTGCTTGGAAGGGGCCCTTGAGGATGACTTTTTTTCCCTAAGTAACTTGTAGTTATAGTTAAATAACCAGAGCTACTCTTATATTTAGATCGTCACTTCTTGCTGGCCAGCTTGAAACATGAGCAATCATTTTTATTCCCAAGTTGTCTGTTTTACTGCTTTCTACTATAAAAACATTATCCTCCTTTCATTCTGCCAACTTCACGGAAATGAGGTATAGATAAATCTAATCATTGCCACAATGTGTTTTAAGATACTAGTATTACTATTAAAGATCTCACCAATGAAACTGTTCCAGCAACAGGTAGGTATCACCTAGACTCGCATGCAGAAGAAGATGGTCCTCCTTTTTTACTAAATTGATGTAATTACTGCAGGAGGACTGCTTTCAATAGTAAGAGTTATGCTTAAAGCAAAATGAGACCCAGATTATTTTTCCTCCAGAGTTAATTGCTAGAGGGGATTTTGAGGATTCATTCCCTTATCACAACCAGCTTCTTCCTGTCCTCTGCAACCATGGAGCCCCAGCTGAGAGTCAGGGAGACATGAAACGCATCCTATTTCTTACTTTTGGTTCATTCTAAGATTCTATTTCAAGCTGTATTTTGTCCTCAGGATTTTGAAGTAACTAGAATAGAATAATCACACACCACAGAGTTGGACCCAGGACTTCTGTTCATTTCATTTCATAAAGAACAATCTCAAGTAGCATTTAGCCTCTGAAAGATGAAATAAAAACAGCAGCTTTTGTTATTAAGACAGTTCTTATAATTAAATATGAACAGAACTGTCTCTGCTGCAAATTTTGCCTCTGATCCCACAGACTAATAAAAAATGTACTCCGGATGAGAATCAAGTTCATTACGTTATGGTACCAGAATAATCTGTGTCAGCCGATCTTAAGGTTGCTACCACTGGATAGATGGTAAATAAATTTAAATATTATGGTCAGGCTTAAAATTTGAAGACAGGCAATACTGTGTTTTCGCTACAATTCAAAGATTATCAAATAGATTCCTTTATTTCAAAAATATTCTTTGATGGCCTCAACTAAAATTCCTTATTCATCACTTTAAGTTATTGAAGGCAGGTGTTAAAATGTAAATGTTATCTTTGAAACATTAAAAGATGGACACAATCATAATTTACTGAACTAATATTTCTAAGTGCCTCCTACCATGAATCAGGTTAAGATTTGATAATGAGGTGAAATAGTCCCTTGGTAGATTCCTGAGAAACTAGAATATAAGACAGGGACTCAGGACTAATCCAGAACATGGAGTCCCACCACACAGGGTCGGCAGGAGTCTCTCCCATTAGAATGCCTGGTGTTGCCCAGGTGTCGCAATCATTAGACTGCCTGGGGTCAGATGGGAGTCTCTCCCATTACCAGGGTGGGTGGGCCCAGACTTCCAGCAGGTAGTTTTACTACCAGGCCACTGGTTGCCCTGAAACTGGATAAGGGGAAGCAGGCACTGAAAGATGGATGGAGAGAAGGAATCAGTGCACATATTTTCATCTTCTCAATTTTGCCTAGGGTAGGCCCAGTGTGGGAAAACAATTTTTAATGTATGATAACAGTAAGACTAAGTGTATTTTTAAATACTTTTTTAAAAATTTTTTAAGTTCCGGGGTACATGTACAGGATGTGCAGGGTTGTTACATAGGTAAACGTGTGCTATGGTGGTTTGCTGCACCTATCAATCCATCACCTAGGTATTAAGCCCAGCATGCATTAAATTTTTTTTTCCTAATTTCTGCTGTTTCCTATAACTACAAGAGTGACATTTGCCTTGCCAATGAGGGTAGACAATGATGGGGTTAACTGCCATCCTCTGAACTGGACAATCTCACTCAAATGAGCAAGTGTGTGTGTGTGTGTGTGTGTGTGTGTGTGTGAGAGAGATGAGGTGAGATGGGAGGTGTGTGGCTATAACAGAGTTCAGTCACAGAACCATTGCATCTGGAAGACTCATTCGGCTTCGACATTCCTCTGTGCATCTCACACATCATACAAATGAGCATATATGGGGCTTCAGAATTAAGTGTCCTTGTGAAAAGAAACTATTTCTTGTTTTCACCAAGTTCCTGACCATCTATGCTCTGTATCTTGCATTCAGAGTGTACATGAGTGTGCATGCTTAGACGAAGGAAGGAAGGGAAGACAAGCAGTAAAGTCATTCATCCCCCTCACAACTTTCCAGCCTCTTTCCCTCTTTAGCAGTGAAGTGGGGAACAGTCACTTCCCTTCCAGTTAAAAATCAAAGGAAAACTGATGGGAAAGGAAAGTGGCATTGGGTGGATGAAGTTGCTACTAATTTCGTTTGGGAATTTCTCTTGCTTTTGGGGATGAGTTGAAGGTTTGTTTTTCTCCCTTTTCACAGTAGCGGAGTTGATTAATGTAATGACTCAAAAGAGGAGACACATGCTACATAGACTAGTATTCCAAACTAGAGTTCCTCTTCTGTTAACTGGATTGCAGCAACTGGGGAAATGATAGTCCATTGGTGTAAAAGGAAAAGCAATAGTAATCCCTGTGGTCCTATGTGTTGCCAGGACCCAGTTGAGTCCCTCTCCTGTGGCTGGCAGGCATGCCATATGCAAATGCTTGCTCCAGCCTCAATGCACTGGCATACCTTGGCACCAGTGCTAGGTTTTCTAAGCCTCCCATCAGTATTCAAGAGTATTTATGATGAACCGATACTTAATTCTGTCATATTCTAGCAAGACAATTCTATAAATTAGATTCATGAAGAAATAGTCCCTGCATCAGTTTGTGGATTTAGCTACTGTTACTGTTATTTAATACACTCAGTGTGCAGCACTGAAATAACCATAATACTTCAAATTTATGCAATACTTTTTGCTTTGTTTCCATTTTCCCTTATTTCATACTCACAACAGCCTAAGGAAGTATCATAGTGATTACTATTGCTGATTTGGAGAGGATACTGAAGGAAAAGCCAACAGTTGTGGCAAATCTATCTCTGATTTTCTTGTTAAAATCTGTCTCTAGTTTCCAACCAGCTGGTCATGTATCATGTCATTAATAGTGTTCTCAGTAGCAGTTTACATCATTTCTTAAATGATTGATTATTCCAGTGACATTGCAATAAAAAGCACTGCAAATCAAAGTTTTCCTCAAATTTGGAAATTGTCTGTTTGATACAGAAGACACACAGAAAATTACCTGTTCCAGTTTGGAACAGGTAATATCTATCACCTATGTATTATAATATGAAGATAATTTTAAAAGTAATCTTTCTTGCTAGTGCCATAGAATATATTAAATCAAATAAATAAAGTGATGCATGTATATTTTATATTTTATTTTGCTAAAAGTGGTATGATCCAGAAATGAATAATTCACAAATCCCTAAGTAACAAATCATTTTTCATATCACATATTTCACCAGTGTTAGATTTTTCACAAAATAACTCAAAGAAAAGTGTAAACAAAATCTTTTCCATTTGACACAAAATCCAATGGCAGGTTTTTTTTGTAGACTCTAGCATTTTACCGACAAACAAGCATGTCAACACCTCTCATAGGGAATCAGTTTCCTATTTTTATTTTTAAATCTCTGAAATATAAAAGGCAAGACCACCCTATTCACAGACTACAAGTTCCTTTAGTACAGGGACCTGATGCTATTTGTTTACAGACTTGGAAACAATCATGCATACATAATAAAAAATGAAATTTTAATTTTCTCTTCGAAAACATTGCAGTTGAACACTTAAGCAATGGCTGGTGTATGAGTCAGGAGGATGACTTTCCATTTGTGTAGTTTTAATCCATTCATCTCCACACTATCACCGGGGTTTGTTAAGTGCTTTTTAAAAAGCACAGGGAAGCACTTGATCTCAATGGGGGACAGAGTGAAGATCAGGTCAGAATGAATGGAGGCCCCACTTGTCCCCTTTGAATCAACTCCATGGCCCCTTAATTGTCAGCCTCATAACTGACATGATTTCCAGGGGCCCTGACTTTTCAGGCATGTTGTGGTGCCCTTCTCTTTTCTCAGCTTACCTCCTCAAGTGCTTTATGGCCCTGAACAGCAAAACTTGAATAAGATCAGCCCGTTAAGCCATGAGCACCAATAATACCATCTGACTGACCCAAGCCAGGCAGAGATAAATGCTCATGAAGGATAAGGTACTTAACCACCTGATTGGGTGGCTGAATAGGAATGACCACACCTGAGATTTGGTGGGAAGGAGATGACCAGCCCAGAATGCCTGGATCACCAATTGGAGCCACCAGGTGATAAAGGGTGAAGGCTGCCAGTACACACAGTTGAACCTCACTTCTATCATTTGCCTTACAACAGTTTGAATTATTGATAGGAGTTTCTTTCCCTAGAATTAAAAAGAATTCTAGCCAATCCATTCAAAATAAACTTGGGAGAGCGCCTCACATCCTCCTATCCTCTTTATCTCTGCCTCACCATTATGATACTAATTGATTTCCTCATATTTTCATCTCTCCACAAACAAATGTATCTGGCTTCTGGCCCATCTCCCACTCATTTTGACTTTAATAAGAAAAGATAACTCAGAGAAGGGTAAAGGACAGAGCACGTAGCACTCCTCCATGTCCTTTGACATTTTCTATCATGCCTAAACAAGAAGCAGACAGAATTGTCCCCACTGAGATAGACACGACCTCCGGCAACAGCATGAATGTGACAACTGAGGGGCTGGGAGAGCCTGGAGCCCGGCAAGCAGCTGAGAGAAACCCCAAAGCAGAGAGAAGAGATAGGCAACAGACGGAAAAATAGAGAAAACAGAAACAGCAGGCAGGAGAGGAAAACAAAATTGAGAAATAAATAAGAAATAAAAGTGCTGTAAAGATAGAAACCACACCATACGGGAAAAAGAAACAGCACAGAAGGAAAAGAAAGGATGTAATCAGATCAGAGTAATGAAGGCAGGCAGTCGATACCGAAGTGAGAAATTGGACCAAAGGGAAAATAGTCAAAAGCTAGAATTCATGGAGGTGACAGTAGTAATTAGAACTTGGAGAGAAGGAGAATATCAGGGAAGAAAAAGGGAAAATAGAAGAGGTGGCAGTGACAAAAAGAATCATTATGAAAATGATATTTCCCACCGCTGTAAAAAGAAAAACAAATATGCTCAAAGTAATTGTTTTCCGAGGGGGTCTGGGGGAGGATAACGAGGGCATCTCAATCGCTGCTGCTTCCCTGGCTGGGTTGCTTGAGAGCATCCACGAGTGTGAAGGCTGCGAATAGGGCGCGTTAGAGAGATGAGTTGGGACACTGTCCCCACCTCACCCCCCACACCTTGTGCCTCTTTAAAATGTCCTATGCACTCAAATGTTGTCTGTTGTATTTGCAATAGTGTCTCTACGAAACCCAGCCTGTTGGAAAATCTAACTTTTGCAGTTTTCTTAAGGGTGTTAAGCCACAAGCTGCAGGTCTGGGACAGCCCTAGCTGCAAGTTAAGGGACAGTCGTTCCTCCTGCATTTGCATCGGTAGTTCTCGCCTGTGTTCTGGGGACAAAGCATTGGCTGGTCAGCACCTGAGCCGAACCCCTTCCTTTCGGGGAAAAGAAAGGTGCTGGGAAGCAACCGCCCAGCTCCCACCATCTGTACTTACGTCGAGGAAGATCGACATGCCCTTGGACAGGTGCAGAGCAGAGCTGAGCTCCTCCGAGGAGTTGTTGGAGGACGGCGATGTCTCCTGGGAATCTTCCATCCTCGGGAGCCCTGACGGCCTCAGGCGGAGCGGGGCTAGGCGGACGCACCGGCTCTGGCAAGGGCGCGGCCGCAGCTGCTGCTTCGCCGCCGCCGGGCTCTGGATCCGGGAGGGTGTTCGCTCCCGCGCGCGCCTCCCTCCGCGCTCTCCGCGCTCTCCGCGCTCGGTGTCCCCCCCTCCCTCCTCCGGCCTCTGCGCTCCCACGCGCTCCAACTCTCGCCTCCTCCTTCCCGTAGTTGACGGCGTCTGGATCCATGTCATCCCCGCACGTAGCAACGCGCGGAGGGGAGCGGGCTCTGCCCCCGGCACGGCCATCGGCCACGGCTGGAGATAGCCTGGGGACCCCTACCAGCCCCACGACGGCCCCAAGTGCAGGGATGGAGGAGGGCGTCCGGACAGAGAGAAGGGACGAATGGCAGGGCGTTTGTCCTGAGCAGCCAAAGCGCAAGGTAAGGACGCCCCCAGCCTCACCTGAGTGGATGCCATAAATAGGGAGGAACTCAGAGAGGTTCTACCTACTCTGCTTTTGGTCCCAGTGGCCTGTCTGCCCGACCTTCCCCAAAGGCGGGGGCAGGGTTCACGAATACCAGCAATCGAGGAGCAGCTGGTTTGGTGTAGGGATTAAGCCATTCGGTGTTATCTTGCGCTCGAAGGACTTAACCTGTAAGCCTCACTTTTCCTCATCAGTAAAATGGTTACACCGGTCTCACCCCAGAGGGTTCTGAGGCTTACCTATGGCAGTGCTGCTGACAAAGGCGGTGCTATGAACTCTGCCTAGAGTAGGCTTCGAAACGTTTGCTATGGGGCAAGGATTGTTAGGTAATGTTCAAATATGAAGTTTCCCAAAGTCACAAGACGAAGTCCTTATCTGTGTTTAAGCATTTAAACCAGGGTAATTATTCAATATTTGACGGCTTCTGCGAAGGCTGTAAAAATAGGAAACTGACCACACCTTTCATCAGGAGAGAGATCCAGTTTATTGGGCATCTAAAATGTGTATGTGTTGGTTACAAACTTGAGCTATCTGGGAGCGAGATAAGGCAAAAAAGAGGGAACCTTGTCTAAACAAGACTCTGCCTCTACCAGTGAGAACGGGTGAGGAGGATCCAGATCTCCATTTTGTGGCCTTTGGAGAAAAGTAAACATATTCTTCCTATAAGACAGGCCCACACACAACCAAAATGCTGATCAACATGTGAGTGTCTTAAAGGCATGTAAAACATGCTAGGGGTTTCTCAGGAGAGACAGGTTACACTCTGGCTGGGGGGACCAATAAAAGCTTGATGAAAGAAGCGGTATATGAAATGGACCTTAAAAATCAGTGGATACTCCATGCTTGATAGAAATAGAAGGAAAACACTTCCAGGCAGAAGGAACAGCGTAAGCAAAGCATGGCACCAGGAAAGCACGTGGAAGCTGGAAGTAGTCCACTGGGGATTCCTATAAACATACAGAATCCCAGATCCTACCTGGGCTTTCCAAATCCCAATACTAAAGTACTGTCTAGTCCAGAAATCCAAGTCCCCCTCACCCTAATGATTCATACACAGTTGCTATGTAGTAGGCTCAGGACTAGGGTGTGGCAAGTGGGGCCACTTGAGCACAGAATGTAAGGAGGCACTTGCTCTCAATCTCTATCCTGTGCTTGCATGATCCTGAGAATGATTTTCTTAAATTTTGCACCCTAGGTGTCTTGTTCACTTCACCCAAGTCCCACTGCTCCTTTGTAGATGGGTGCTTACAAAAAAAAAAAATGAATCCAGTTGTTCTCAACGCTGCCTGTACATTGGAATCACCTGGGGTGTGTGGTAACTTTAAAATGTGCCCACAAATTCATTGACATTCTTCCTATAGAGAAGTGGGTCCCCTCCCCTTAAATCTGAAAGATTGTGACTGCTACAATGAATGAAATGGAACAGAAGTGTTGCTATGTGCTTTCCGAGGGTAGGGGCATAAAAGCCTTTGCAATTCCACTTTTTACAGTGGATTTGCTCCTGGATTCTTGAACTTCCGTATAGGAAGTTTTTCTACCTTAAGCCACCATGCTTTGAGGAAGCCCAAGGTATATGGAAAGGCAAGTGTAGACACCTGGCTTACAGGTATAGCTAAGCAGAGCCTTTGCATTATCCCAGCCTCAGCAGCAGAAATGTCAATGAGGAAGCCTGCAAATGACTCCAGCTCCCAGCTCTTGCAGACATCCCTAGCCATGTGAGTTGTCCCAGCCAAAACCCCAGGCATCATGGAGTAAAGGCACACTACCAGTGCTGTGCTGTGTCAGAACAGTTGGACCACAGAATTGGGAACATAATAAAATGTATACCGTTTCATACAAATAAGTGTTGAGGTGGTTGGATTTGTAACAATAGATAACCAAAATAAGGAGCTAACCCTCCCTGCACAAACACACACACACACAAACCAAACTGATGCCTGTGCTTCATCCTCAAATTCACTTTCAATTAGTATGCGGTGGGCCCAGTGGATTAATGTTTGTTTGTTTGAAGATTTCCATGTGATTCTGATGTGCAGCAAGGATTAAGAATCACCAAACTTAACTGTGCTGTACATACAGTACAGGAAAAAAGTAGAATAAAATCTCAGAAAATAGGCAGAGGCTATAGGATGAAAATCTGTGAAGCCCGGGGATAGAACTCTGGACTTAATTAGGTAGAGAGTTAGAGACATTAAACTTAATCAGGGGTGAGATATTGATTGGAGCTGTGCTTTAGGAATATTCATCTGACATCTTTATGTGCATTTTCCTAATTAACTGCAAATTTCCTTACCTGAACAGTGAGAATAGACCCTTCTCTTTGACAACTGTTCATCAAAATAGATACAAAATCATTTAAAAAAAAAACATACTGGTCAACCCATCAGATAGACACAGGTCATTCAAATCACTGAAGGAGAAAAACCACGAGAAGGAGGGGGGCTGTCAACCATTAACATCAAGTTACTGAATTTATCAAAATAACATGTTGTTTATTCCTGCCATTGGATGAAGAATGGAATAGATTTTTCTGCAACAAGTGCAGTTTAAGTCTGACCCCTCTAACCCAAGTTGTGCGGGTCCCTCAGCCCTCAAATTCAACCACACAAGTGATAATATTTTTATGCCAATCCCATGGTAACAAGAATAGTTAATAAAGGAGACTTTCTCTGATTATAAATGAAGAACAGGAGAATAATCAGCAGTCATCATTCAAAACCAGGAAGCTGTTTGTAACACTTTAGTTACAAACACTTCAGTTACAGGAAGCTGTTTGTAACACTTTACTGACAATGAATGACATTTTCTGTACCTGTGGATTTGCTTATTTCCTCTAATGGTCTATCAAGGAGAAACATAAATTATTAAGCAATCAACCGATCATTATTTATTTTTATGATTCCTATGTGAACACAGGAATACATTCTGCTGTAACTGACTTCTCTTTTTAATGGAAATGTAATGTTCACAGAGGCTGTAGTAGAAAAAATGGCAATTAGATTCACATTCACAGACAAATTCAATAGGCTCTACGAAGTGGCAACCAAACATATTTTTATAGTTTTCTTTTTATCTAGATGGCATGCATTTTTGAAAGCAGTTTTCACACATTTTCGTGAAACACACATGCCTCACTGCTGTGCATAGTATCAGTCACAAACAGCAGACAACCGACTTGAGGGAGGAAATGCAACTTCTTTGTAGCAAGGGCCTAAAAAAAATAGAAATGTAATTCCAGATTCCAGCTCTCAGGCTTCCTATGATAAGACTTTGACGTGAAGATATTTCTAGCATTTCAGGAGATGATAGCTGTGTGGGAATATATTGTATTTCAATCCATCTCTGCCTTGTAGAAGAACTATTATCTAAACCATTTCAGACAGCTGGGAATCTATCTTATTTATATCTTAAATTCTAGGGAAGGTTATCCTTCCCTTTTGAGTGATGACTCAGAATCCTTTCAGTCAGGTTAGTGGACATTTTTGTTGCCTTGGCAGCTTAGGATCCAAATCCCCTTCCGCTTTAAGTGCCTATCCCCATGGTGTGTTTCCTGACTGGGGGCAGAACTCGCCCCTTCTGAAGGAAAGAAAGGAGATCCTCTCCCTCTTCTCTGGTAGCTGGAGCACAGGCTGAGAGCTAGGCTCAGCTGATAGGACACTTCACTTGTGTGTTTAAACCTGAATCAAGGGATGTGCGGGGAAGTTTATTAATGGCAGTAGACACTCACAGTGTAGTGTTGAGTGTGGCCACAGTGCCAGGGGAGCCCTGAGGATGAATTAATCAAATGGATAATGGCACTCTGTGATTTCAGCAGCCCTGTCCTCCAATCTTGATCTCGAGGCTTTCTGCCGACTTCCTGAGAGACCTAGTATCCTTCCAAAACTTTCTTTTCTGTTTTACCTTAGTCAAAGTTAGTTTTTTATGTTTGGATTCTGACAGATAAATTCAATTTAAATTTCTAGTGTTAAAGAAGGCCATAGTTAAGTCATTGGAAATAGCTGTTTAAAACATTTAATTATCTTCAGACATTTATTGATTGCTTGCTTCAATCCAGGCAACTGACAGGCAAGCTGGGGAAATGATAAAAAGGACTGGCCTTGCCTTTGCAGAACATACACAACTTAAGGAAACACTATTTTAATAGATAATTTTAATGCAGTGAGACAAGAGTAACACCAGATGTTTGTGGTGAAGGCTGAGGCAGGACAGAGAAAGAGACTTCTCCCCATAAGTGCCTATTCTGTGTGATCGTTTATCTAACTGAAGAGGGCAAAATTAGGACTCAGGAGTAGTAAGTGCCATGGGCCAAAATTATTAACTAATAATGGTGATCTTCCTATGAACTATTTTACCCTGAGGATACATTTTTGTGTTATGCCACTGTGTGCTACTAGCTTACTCAACTTGGAGCTCTTCCATTTTGAAGCAAAAAAAGAAAAGAAATCCTCAGTGCCTAGTATCCTCCCTTAACCCTATGTGTTGTTACAATTAGTGTTCCCTGTCTTTATCTTTATCACGGGCAAAATTTCTCATCTGTAAAAGCAAGAATGAGGTATTGTGTGCAAAGAGCTTAGTAAACAGTAGGCACAAAGCAGGTATTCAACAGTTAGTCACTGTTTTCCCCACCAGCACCACTGCTTTGCAACCATGTTGTTAAGAACAGAGAGACTTCACATAAGTACCCGGTAGGGTATGGTGTCTGGAACATGCGGGTCTGGTGAGCAGTGGTGGTCACTGTGACCAAGACATTGCTGTCTATTGTCCTGGATGCTACAGATTTTCCCCTCCTTCTTGAAACTCTTGCTTTTTCTTTCTGATCATGTTCCTCCTACTCTCCTTAGTCTTCATGGAGTCTCCTAATTCTTCTAGCCTTCTAGATGTTACATTTTCTAAATTGTACCCTTGCTTCATCTGCTCCCTTCCCATTCTTGTTCTCTTTCTTTCCTCCATACACTGATATTACCCAAGCCCATGATTTTTCATGTGTAGGCTGATGACTATGTAGATTCATATTTCAGTCTGACTGGTACACGTCTTCTTATTAATGTTTCTTAGGCATTTTGAATTGAGCATGTCTAAAAAGGAATTCATCATTTTTTCCTAATTATTTTATGCTCCATCACTTGTTGAATAACATCAACCTTCACCAATTCATCCAAAAGAGAAACCCCAAAATAAACTTGGACTCCTTCCCTCACTGTCGTTCACCCTACCTCTATCCCATCCTCACCTCTCTCTAATCAGTTGCAAGGGTTATCTTTGGAATCACTCCTCTCCTCTCCATCTCTATCGCCACTATATGCGACCAAAAACCTGTCATCTCTCACCAGGAGCAGTGCCCAGCTGCCTGTCTGATTTCTCTGTCTCCAATCTGGCTCTCTTCTCATCTGTACTTTATCCTTTCCACAGAGTGAGGCTTCTAAAATGCACATCTAAGCATAGCACACACCTGCTTAAAATCCTTCAGAGGCTCACTGGAGCCTTTAAAGTAAAATCACCTTTTCTGTGTCATCTCTTGCCTTTCTCTCCCTGCCTCCTTCCCAGCCTCAACATTCTAGCCACACAGAATTACTGGAGTGGCATGGAGTGGTTGAGCAGGCAAATTATGATATTCAAAAGACTGGTGCTCGAAGCCCAGCCTAACTTCTTATTATCTTTGGTTAATACTAAGGTATGTTATTTAGCCTCTGTTTTTCTCAACTCTCAAATAGAAATAAGAATGGTACCTGCTGCACAGTGTTTAGATGAGAATTCAGTTAAATAATGTATGCAAGACACTTAGCATAGAAGCCTGCACAAAAATAATGACAGAAAAAAATGTGTCTATTTATCATTACTTGTAGATCCCTGGATGTGCACTGCTCTCCCATGCTCCTGGGCCGTTGCCCTTGGCATTATCTGCCTAGAATACATGCCTTTCTTAATCATGTGGCCCATCACTTAGTTGGCTTTTTAAGAGTCAGCTCAGACATCTTTTCCTCTGCAGAAGAGCCTCCTCCCTGCTCCAACCCCACCAATCCCCCGGGCTGGATTGGTTTCTCCTCCTTGTTTCCATAGCACTCTCTGCGTACCCCTTTCACGTCCTTTATCATATTTTTAAAAATGATTTTTTAGTATCTTCTCTGCCTGCCTGTCTGAACTCTGAGATGCTTCAGAGTAGGAACTCTATTTTTCATCTGTATCTTGTGCCTGGTATATTGCTACACACATGGTAGGCACTCGAATGTGGAATGAATGAACAAAGGAAGGAAAGGCTAAATCAATCTTATACTGAACATAGGCATCAGAGTAAGAAATTGAATGATGTTAGCTGCTTCCTTGTCATAACGTCCAATTACGTGAATTGATGATTAAAAAGATACAGAGACAAAGCAGAGAGGCCTCAAAATCTGGTGAAAGATTTATAAGCATCGGCTTCTAGAGGTGGGCAGATCTGAGGGCTGGGTCACCAAGTGGCAAATTAAGGATGTGCTTAGGGAAACAAAGCACAGGAACCCTGCCTCCCCCAAAAAGAAAGGTTAAACTTTGATGAATTAAGCTACCATGTCACAGTCAGAAAATGCAGAAAACAGCTATTATAATTTTGCATCTACTTTTTTTTTTAATTAAGGGAGATGTAGGGAGATGGAAGAGAGGATCTGGCAACTCTGTATAGAGGCCCTGAGGGTTTTGCCCAGGTCCTAAAAAAAAAGGCTTAATTTATTTCAGACTTGGCCTATTCACACTAATGGGGACATTTAGGAATCTCACAGTAAATTCCTAAAGATGTGTTACTAAACCCTGGGGAACCATTAGGAAGAAATGCAGTAGGGGCAGGATTTGGGAGCCGCATCCAACTTTGCCATGCCAGCCACTGAGCCATGGGCAAGTCACTTAACCTGTCCAAGCCCTAAGTTTATTTCTAAAGATCAGATAATAATAGCCACTTCATAAGACTTTTGTGAGATTCATGATAATGGATGAAGATTTTGCTGTGAATACTCTATGGGCAGCCCCTGTCTGTTTTGTTCATTGTGTCCCAGCTCTCAGTGAATACTAGTTGAATAAATCAGTAACCCGTGCACAGTAGGATCATCATTATGTGTACAGTATCATGAACTTTATTAACCTCAAAGAGATGTAAAGAGAGGCAGGTGCATGATACTGTGAATGCCATAATGTGCCCACTCTTCACCTTGGCAGGCATTGTGGTAGTCATGACTTTCTTCATAAGCCTGTAATTATCGAGAGGGTAAAAGCACCCAGTTTCACCCTGGTTTCCATTTTCTGCTCTTGGTTGCTCCTTTATATATGCAAAGGGGCTTCTGTAACGCATTTGACATTTCCCTTAAACTGTGCAAATTAGCTTCTAATTAGGGAAATACATATAAAACAGATGGACCACTTAACAATTTCTCTAAACAGAACCCCTGAACGCTAAAATACGTTACTTAGCTTGTGAGTGAGCCAAGGTTATTTGAAACAATTTTAAAGTGATTTTTGAACTAGATTTATTAAGCTGCTTTTCACTCCATGAGTTGGAAATTATATTCTTCTATTCATGCAGCTATTCTTCTAGTAGACATTTCAGAACCAACAACATAAACCTGTTATAACATTTTTTAAGAACAAAATTAGTCCTTGTGGATCGTAGTTCACCCTTGAGGTGAGTAGATTCAATCCTATGTAGGTACTATATAAAGTACAGCATTTTATTTACATCTTTGCAAACGTTTTCCAAAGAATCTACTTTACAAAAGCAATTTACAGACTGAATTACACTTGGGAAAATTCTCAGAGCTTAACAACAACAGTGACTTCCTCCTTCCAATTTCCTTCACAGCTTCAAATTTGTCTTTTGTTAAAAAAAAAAAAAAGGAGAAAGTTTTGGCTTAAAAGCATTAACACTTTAAAAATTAACAATACTGATCATTTCAAAAATAAAAAAAACTTCTAAGTAATCATGAAGCTCTGCTCCACTAGCCTTAACTGATACTTAATGTCTAAGAAGTTGGACTTTTAAAATTCTTTTAAGTGAACTGCCCATCTTCCAATTGGCAAACTTGCTTTAGGTTTAAAAGGATTCCCTAACGTCACTGGATTCTCTTTGATTGTTGCTACTAGAAGGCATTCTATTAATTGGCTCAGGCTGCCATAACAAAATACCACAGACTAGGGGGCTGAAAAAACAGAAATTAATTTTCTCACCATTCTGGAGGCTGGGAAGTCCTAGATCAAGGTGTCAGTTGATTTGGTTCCTGGCAGGGGCCCTCTTCCTCTTTTGTAAACAGTTATCTTCTTGCTATGCCTTTACATGACTTTTTCTATATGTGTGTGTGGAGAGAGAGCTTTTGTGTCTCTTCCTTTTCTTGGTAGGATACCAGCCTTATTGGATTAAACCTCCACCTTTGCAACCTCATTTTAACAAATTAATTTGGGTGGTGGGGTGGCGAAAAATCCAGTCCATAACAGTCATCATTATAATGTGAAATTTTGAGAGAGGGAGAGAATTAGGTCTTGCACAGGTTCTTTTACTTCTGAACTGTGTGTCCTTAGGTCAATCATTTGACCTAAGGACAGTTGTGAGGATTAAATGAAATGTCTGACCTCTGGCTCAAAATGATTGCTCAGTAAAGTTCATTATCATTAGTTTATGTAATAAGCAATTTTATAAATCTCTTTGTAATGCCTTGTGAATATGAGCAAGAGAACAGGACACGCTTTGATGAACACTTTGATCTTTTTATTTTTAAAGAAGAGTAAGAATCATCTTTGATTCCCTTCATCTCTCACAAATCTGGTCATCCGCAAGGTCTTGTGAATTTGAACACATAAATAGTTCTGGAATGCACAGCCCTCTACCTGCCTGAATTTCTGCCCTAGTTCACCTCTCTGACTACCTCAACTCCAGAGTTATAGCCTCCTCCTGAAATACCTGACCTCTCATATTTCCTTTCCCTATTAATGTCACAGTCAGAGCAACAATCTTGAACATACTATCTCATTTTTTATTCTGTTCATAAATGTTCATTGGCCATCACTGACCTTGAGACTGAGTCCAAATATCCATTGTGTTGCTCTCAAGACTCTGCAAAGTCTGATTGCCTCTCTCCCCATGAGCCCACCTTCCAGACACACGCTCATACATGCCTATGCACACACATACATGTGCACATATACTTACCTTCACATGCACACATGCACACACACACACAAGACTTTGGGAAGGAAGATCACCAAAATGCAAAACATTAATGGCCATTTTTTCTGGATGAAAGTATTTCAAGTGACTTTTGACCTTCTTTCTAAATATTTTTCGTATTTAAAAATTACAACAAATGACTGCATACATTTTATAATCAGAAATATTGCAGTTATTTATATTTTTAAGCATTTCACATTAAGATAGATGGTCATATTATGATACCATAGCACTTGTCATAAATAAGAAGAGAATAATTTTCATTTTGGGTCTGCTTTTCTCCAATAGATCCACTGTGACTCTAACCTCAAAAGATTTGGTATGTATATCAACACCCCATAACATTACCTATGGTTTTATTATCACAAATGAATTAATTTCATTTGCTGTTAAGCAACAAGGCTGAAGCATGGATACATCAAAAATGCGTTATTCAAGGATTTCTATAGATGTGTCCGCATAATACCTTTCTAGCCATTTGTTCGGACTGTGTTCCAAACTGGGCACCAGTAGATTTGTCTCACTCTAACCCCATCCTTTCCCTTCCCCACACCTTTGCTCATGCCATCTTCTCTCCAGTATATCCAACTCTCTGCTCTCCCCTACCCCATATCTGCACTTGGGGAACTTGACTTCTTCCTCCAAGTCCCAGCTCACATGTCACCTCTTCTGCAACACCTCTCCTCCCCAAATTAATAAACCCATTTTGCAATTTACTATGATTCTTAAAATTCAGATTCCCTTTTTAACACCTTGATAGAATTCATAATATTAAATATTGTCAAGAATCCCAAAGAAAAAAATTTAATTTGCTTACATAAAGCATGAATAACTAGATTTGCAGTTCTAAATGAACAAATTTATCGTTTTATGTGACATGAACGAATCATGCTTGAAAATAATACTCAGTTGCAAAATGAGACAGCGATACAGTACAAATATATTCTAAAGCATTGAAGTTGAATAAATGAAATGACATGGTGGTTTTGAAGACTCTTACACTCTGAAGCTGGCTCTTGCTTCATAATGTGATTAGTTCCAAAGCACAGAGACCATAGTAAACTCCATTGTACTTCTTCCAGGGGTGGGACCACTTCCACCCAATGCAGACTGAGAGGAAGTGAGAGATAGTTGAGAGGGGGCTGGAGTTAAGAACCAGATCTGCCCACTGGGAGTGGAGGCCAGCAGACAGAACCTGGGATCCAGGAAGGAGGTGGCAGCCATATCCAAAGAGACTAATATGAGGCAGGATTGGGGTGGGAGAGCATTGGTTTCCAACACACGAGTTCAGTAAAGCCCTGGGGAATGCAGGAAGAGGCAATATTCCGAGTCCCAAGCAAATAACATCCATCAAAGAACTCTTACAGTAGTGATAAAACGATATTTTTTATTTCTGAAATGGAGCCAGGGCCTTTTAGAATCACATGTCCTTCTCAGAACTCATTTATCATTCTCCCACTATAACGTAGGTATTATTGTTATCCCCATTTCATTCACAAGAAAATTGAGCCTCAGAAATTTAAATAATCCCAAGATCATACAGTTTGCAAGAGGCTTGATGCTAGTTAGATGACCTTGTAGCCACAGTGCTTCTGCCATCTCTGCTAGATTTATGTAGGCCACAGTTTTGTCCAAGCTTCCAAGCATGATCCCAGAAGCAAGTGTATTAGGAGTAGCTCTAGAGACCTTTGCCAGGACATAACAACCAGGAGACTGGGAGAGTTCCCTATATTGACAAAATCTCCTGCATCTTGCATTTCATTCACACCTCCCACTTCAGTCCGCACCCTCCAAATTACTCTGAGGCACACTCACGTTCTTTCTGGGGGTACTTGTGCACCCTCCCCAGTCAGTCCTACTGAGATTAGACCACTATACTGCCTCAGCAGCCAGGCATTTGTCATGTGGGGCTTGGAGATGGGGAGAAGAGTAAGTTCCCATCAGGATGTAGATTTGAGCTGACAGTAGCTAAGACCCAAAGCAGCTGGGGAACTGGCACACAGCCTGGTAAAGGTAACTGGATAGACCATCACAGGCATGGGGCAGAGTACTTTTCCTGAATCTGGTACTGCACCTGAATTTTCGTACTGAGTCCAAGATTCAATAAACTGTCCAGAGAAACTTGGATGCTACATCTCTCTTTCCATACACTAGAGCCCTGCCATACTGGGGCCTGATGTGAAGCCTGAAGTCCTGCTCTTTAAGGAAGTCAGATAATGTAGTAAGTAAGACTACTTTGAGGGAATTAGAAAAATTATTCTAAATTTCATACAGAACCAAAAAAAAAAAAAAGGCTGAATAGCTAATGCAATCCTAAGAAAAAAGAATAAAGCCAGAGGGATCACATCACTCAACTTCAAACGATACCAGGTTATAGTAACCAAAACAGTGATACAGAAATAGACACATAGACCAACGGAACAGAATAGAGACCCTTGAAATAAAGCCACACACCTACAACCAACAGATCTTTGACAAGATTGGCAAAAATAAACAATGGGGAAAGGATACTGTATTTGGTAAATAGTGCTGGGAAAACAGGCTAACCATGTGCAAAAAAAATGAAACTGGACTCTTACCTCTCACCATCTAGAAAAATCAACTCAAGGCTGGGCACGGTGGCTCACACCTGTAATCCAGCACTTTGGGAGGCTGCAGCAAGTGGATCTCTCGAGCTCAGGAATCCAAGACCAGCCTGGGCAACATGGTGAGGCCCTGTCTCTACTAAAAATACAAAACAAACAAAATATCTAGGCATGGTGATGCACACCTATGGTCCTAGCTACTCAGGAGGCCGAGGTGGGAGGATCGCTTGAGCCTGAGGGACGGAGGTTGCAGTGAGCCATGATGGCACCACTGCATTCCAGCCTGGGTGACAGAGCAAGACCCTGTCTCAAAAAAAAATAAAAATAAAAAATCAACTCAAGATGAACTAAATATTTAGGGCTTAGGTTTAAGCATTAAGGTTTAAGCCCTCAAACTATAAAAATCCTAGAAGAAAACCTAGGAAATACTCTTGTAGACATAGGCCTAGGCAGAGAATTTATGACTAAGTCTTCAAAAGCAAACACAACAAAAATGAAAATTGACAAGTGAGACTTAATTAAGCTAAAGAGCTTCTGCACAGCAAAAGAAATTATCAACAGAGTAAACAGACAACATACAGAATGGAGAAATATGCATGTAACAGAAGTCTAACATCCAGCATCTATTAGGGACTTAAACAAATTTATAAAACAAACAAACCACCCCATTAAGAAGTAGGCAAAGGACAAGAACAGACACTTTTCAAAAGAAGACATACAAATGGATAACCAGCATATGAAAAAATGCTCATCATCACTAATAATGAGAGAGAGATGCAAATCAAAATCACAATGAGATACCATCTCACACCAGTCAGAATGGCTATTATTAAAAAGTTAAAAAATAACAGATGTTGGCACAGTTGTGGAGAAAAAGGAAGCTTATACACAATTGATGGGAATGTAAACTAATTCAGCCACTGTGGAAAGCAGTTTGGATATTTTTCATAGAACTAAAAATAGAACTACCATTTGACCCAGCAATTCAATTACTGGGTATATGCCCAAAGGAAAATAAACCATTTTACCCCAAAGACACATGTACTCATATATTCACCACTGCACTATTCACAATAACAAAGACATGAATCAACTGAGATGTCCATCAATGGTAGACTGAATTTTTAAAATGTGATATATATGCACCATGGAGTACTACACAGCCATAAAAAAATAATGAAATCATGTGTTTTGCAGCAACATGAAGGCTGCTGGAGGCCATTATCCTAAACAAATTAACACAGAAACATAAAACCATGTATTATGTGTTCTCATTTACAAGTAGGGGCTAAATGCTAGGTACTCATGGACACAAAAATAGGGCCAATAAATACTGGTGATTCTAAAAGAAGAGAGAGAGTTGAAAAACTACCTATTGGGTACCATGTTTGCTACTTGGGTGATGGAATCATTAGAAGCCTAAACCTCAGAATCACACAATAAACCCATGTAACACACCTGCACAGGTACCCCCTGAATCTTTAAATTAACTAATGAAATAAATAAATAAATACATTTTAAAAGAATGTTCTCAGGCAGTTTAAGCAGGGATCTGTTGCAGGAAGTCAGGGACCCCAAATGGAGGGACCGGCTGGAGCTGTGGCAGGGGAACATAAATTGTGAAGATTTCATTTTAATGGGGACATTTATCAGTTCCCAAATAATACTTTTATAATTTCTTATGCCTGTCTTACTTTAATCTCTTAATCCTGTTACCTTCGTAAGCTGAGGATGTACGTCACCTCAGGACCACTGTGATAATTGTGTTAACTGTACAAATTGATTGTAAAACATGTGTGTTTGAACAATATGAAATCAGTGCACCTTGAAAAATAATAGAATAACAGCGATTTTTAGGGAACAAGGGAAGACAACCATAAGGTCTGACTGCCTGTGGGATCGGGCAAAAAGAGCCGTATTTTTCTTCTTGCAGAGAGCCTATAAATGAACGTGCAAGTAAGGAAGATATCACTAAATTCTTTTCCTAGCAAGGAATATTAACATTGATACCCTGGGAAAGGAATGCGTTCCTTGGGGGAGGTCTATAAATGGCCGCTCTGGGAATGTCTGTCTTATGCGGTTGAGATAAGGGCTGAGATATGCCCTGGTCTCCTGCAGTACCCTCAGGCTTACTAAGGTGGGGAAAATCTCTGCCCTGGTAAATTTGTGGTCAGACCAGTTCTCTGCTCTCGAGCCCTGTTTTCTGTTGTTTAAGATGTTTATCAAGACAATATGTGCACCACTGAACATAGACCGTTATCAGTAGTTCTGCTTTTGTCCTTTGCCTTGTGATCTTTGTTGGACCCTTATTAGTAGTTCTGCTTTTGCCCTTTGTCCTCTTCCCTCAGAAGCATGTCATCTTTGTTCTGCTTTTTGCCCTTCGAAGCATGTGATCTTTATACCTACTCTCTGTTCTTACACTCCCTCCCCTTTTGAAACCCTTAAAAAAAATTGCTGGTTTGAGGCTCAGGTGGACATCACAGTCCTACTGATATGTGGTGTCACCCCCAGCAACCCAGCTGTAAAATTCCTCTCTTTGTACTCTTTCTCTATATTTCTCAGCCGGCCAAAACTTATGGAAAATAGAAAGAACCTATGTTGAAATATTGGGGGCAGTTTCCCCTGATAGGGATCAAAAGTTTTGGAGAAGTGAGATTGCTAAATTTATTATGTAAAACTGGAAGATCCACTAGTTGACTCCCTGGGAAAGGCCAAAGAACATTTCTTTTGGCAAGAAGGAATATTCTGGTGAGAGGGATTCTATAATCACTGACAAGCACAATGGTGGCTGTCCCCTGTAGGTTGATAGTGGAAGATACTGTTACAGAAGTGGGCTCCTTAATAACAACGGGAAGGATGGATCTCAGAATAGCAGAAGTCAGGCAACAGCATGTAACTACCAGAGACAAGACGAGTATGATTACTGTTATGGGCAGTAAGGTCAGAATGGCGGCCAGGGGGCCTGGCCTTCAAGAATTTATGGAGATGGCTCATAAAACATGGTGTTCTCAGAGGCAAGATACATGGATAGCCAGTTGTACACACACACACACACACACACACACACACACACACACACACACACACTCCCACAAAACACAAGCTGCCCAAAGGAAAGGCATCATCTCTCAGCCAGTTTTCAGACTTGAGACAGTTCTCAGAATTAATCATTAAAAGAGGAATTAAGCCACCTTGAATAAAGAGCCCCACAATACCACAGCAAGTATTAACTCCCAATAATTCCCCTAAAGGGACCTACAGATATTTACTGTGTAATTGTACACTGGAGATACCCATAGTTTTTGAAGGTTGTTGGATATAGAGTCTGAGCTGACACTAACACTTGGAAACCCTAAATCCCACTACAAGCCCCTCTTCCCACATTACAGCAGCAGTCAATGGAGGTCACATAATAAGTAGAGTACTGTCTTGGGTGTATTACCCGATTGGTCCACTGGGCCCACAGACCTACCCAGTGGTCATTTTTCCCATTCATAAGTGTAAAATAAGAAGAAATATATTTAGTTGGCTGAATTGTCACATTTGTTCCTTCCCCTGTGGAAGAAGAGTTACTGGAGTAGGAAAGGCCAAGTGGAATCCCCTGAAACTTCCCTTTTCAAAATAGTAAACAAAAAATAGTATCACACTATGGGTAGAATGGTAGGGATTAGTGACACTCTCAAAGACTTAAAGGATATAGGAGTGGTAGACTCCATCATATCCCCATTTAATTCATCAGGTTGGCCCTGCAAGAACTGAATACAGTCGATGGCAGTAGATACTGCAAAATTAGCCAAATAGCTATCTGTGCCAAATGTACTGTCTTTACTAAAAGAGATAAATATTCCTGTCTCTAGTATGTGGTAGGTGGCTATTTATCTGGAAAATGCATCCTCCAGCCATCAAGAAGGAAGATCAAAAAGAGTTCACACTCCTATGTGGTGTGAGTAAGATGTAGATGACAATGTATTCTCAGTTTTGCTCCAGTGCTAGTTAACTCTCCTGATATCTGTTACAACATTATTCAAAAGCATCTGGATCATCTCAGTATCCCATGGACCTTAATGTTGGTCCATTATATTGCTGATATTTTATTTGAAATTAATGGACATAAATTGGCAGGTACCCTAGATGCACTGATAAGACACATACTCCAGAGGGTGAGAGCTAAACCCTGAAACATTTGAGAAGCATGTTATATTGGAAAAACTTTTAGGGGTCAGTAGTGTGGGATATGCCAATCACTTCCTTCACAGTGAAGGACCTGTTATTTTGCCTTGTCCCTCCTACAACTAAGAAAGAAGCACAACTAAATAGGCCTCTTTGGGTTTTGGAAGCAGCATACATTGCTTGTGGAAATGCTTCAAATCATTCATAAAGTCATATGGAAGGCTACCTGTTTTGAGTAGGATTCAGAGCAAGAAAGTATTTTGTAGCATGTTTAGGCTGTGGTACAAGCAGCCCTGCCTAGTGGGCCATATGATCTGATATAGTTTGGCTGTGTCCCCACCCAAATCTCATCTTGAATTCCCTTGTATTGTGGAAGGGACCCAGTGGGAGGTAATTGAATCATGGGGGCAGGTCTTTCCTGTGCTGTTCTCATGATAGTGAATAAGTCTTCTGAGATCTGATGGTCCTGTAAGGGGGAGTTTCCCTGTACAAGCTCTCTCTTTGCCTGCTGCCATCCATGTAAGACGTGACTTGCTCCTCCTTGCCTTCCACCATGATTGTGAGGCTTTCTCAGCCACGCAGAACTGTAAGTCCATTAAACCTCTTTCTTTTGTAAATTGCCCATTCTCGGGTATGTCTTTATCAGCAGTGTGAAAATGGACTAATACATGACCCAATGGATTCCATGGTAGTAGAGCTTTCTGTGTGGAATTTCCAGCAAGGCCTAATAAGAGAATCACATTACAGATGCCTAAGGTTCAGGATGCAGGCCATGTTGCCTGCAGCAGAGAACTATATGAAGAATTAGAAAGCATCTTTTGGCATGTTTATGGGCCCTAGTGGATAGTGAGCTCATGATTATGGGACATTAGTTTACCATAAACCCTGAGCTATCTACCCTGAACTGAGTTCCGTCAGACTCACTGTCATATGATCAGCAGAAATCCGTCTTCCAGGGGAGGTGGAATATTTGGGATTGGGCTTCAGTATGTCTAGAAGGCAAGAGTAATCTAGAAGAACAGGTGAGCCAAACCTTCTACATCCAGCACTTTTGAACCAATACCTCTCCTTCAGCTCTCACTATAGTCTGTAGGGCTCCCTAAGATCAGGTGACAGAGGAGGAAAAAAATGCAGGCTTGGCTCAAAGTTGGTTTAGCCCAGTATGTTCTGCAGGTTGAAAATGGACTGATGATTAACTACATCCTAACACATGGGTGGCCCTAAAAGACAGTGGTGAGGTAAGCTCCTCCCAAAGAACAGAGCTCTTTGACAGAGAACCTCATAATGTATTTGTATGGAAAGAAAAATGGTCCGAGTTAAGACTTTACATAGAATCATGGGTAGTGATAAATGGCTTCACTGATTCATCAGTGACCTGGAAGAAGCAACATAAGAAGACTGGGGGCAATGAGGTCTAAGTAAAAGGCACCTTGGTATACCTGGGGAAGTGGGCACAAAATGTGAATATCTTTATTCTACATTAATGCCTGCCAGAAAACATTCAGTGCAGATGAGGCACTGAACCGCCAGGTGAATAAGATTTCTTGCCTGTCACCTCTGTCCTTGTCTACCCCTGTGCTTGTGCAATGTGCTCATCAATGGAGCAGGTGTGGTTTCAAAAATGGAGACTATGCATGGGCCCGAAGCTATAGGTGCCTTCTCACCAGGGATGATCTAGCTAATGCCACTGCTAAATATCTGACCAATAAGAAAGGGCACCCCTGAGCCCTTGATATGGGATCATCCTTTAAGGAGATAAATCAGACAGCTGGTAGCAACTTGATTACATGGACTACTTCTTCCCTGAAAAAGAGATAGAAATATGGGTTAACCTGTCCTTTCCATAGTGCTTCAAACAGTACCATCACCAGAGTACTGGCTTTAAGAAAAAATGATATCCTATATGACATTGCCTTGGACCAAGAGACTCACTTTATAGTAAAGGAGGAACAGTAGTGGTCACATGATGATGGGAGGACCCACTGCTCCTACAACATATTGTTTACAGATGCAATATACCTGCAAATGTGTAGCACTCTTCTTCAGGGTAAATGCCTGAAATCAACAACCTTTACATGGTATTGTGTTCCCAACAGATAGAACACTTGGATCTAGAAACTAAGTCACAGAAATAGAAATGGCCCGAGTCACAATCATTCCCAGTGACCTACTTGCGGAATTTGTGTTTCTCACCTCTGTAAGTTTAGACTCTGCAGGAATGAAGATCCTAGTTCCTGGAAAGGGAATACTTTCACCAAAGGATTCAGTAAAAGTTTTTATTTTTTTTATTGTACTTTAAGTTCTAGGGTACATGTGCACAACGTGCAGGTTTGTTACATACGTATACATGCAACATGTTGGTGTGCTGCACCCATTAACTCATCATTTACATTAGGTATATCTCCTAATGCTATCCCTCCCCCCTCCCCCCACCCCATGACAGGCCCCAGTGTGTGATGTTCTCCTTCCTGTGTCCAAGTGTTCTCATTGTTCAATTCCCGCCTATGAGTGAGAACATCTGGTGTTTGGTTTTGTGTCCTTGCGATAGTTTGCTGAGAATGATGGTTTCCAGCTTCATCCATGTCCCTACAAAGGACATGAACTCATCCTTTTTTATGGCTGCATAGTAATCCATGGTGTATATGTGCCACATTTTCTTAATCCAGTCTATCATTGATGGACATTTTGGTTGGTTCCAGGTCTTTGCTATTGTGAATAGTGCCACAATAAACATACGTGGCATGTGTCTTTATAGCAGAACGATTTATATTCCTTTGGGTATATATCCAGCAATGGGATGGCTGGGTGAAATGGTATTTCTAGTTCTAGATCCTTGAGGAATCGCCACACTGTCTTCCACAATGGTTGAACTAGTTAGGACTCAGTAAAAGTTTTACTAAACACAAAGCTGTGGCTGTTACCTGTGCTACCTATTTACTTTGGGATTATAGTTTCAATAGACCAGCAGACAAAGAAATGAGATACCATGTGGATAATCGTGAGAATATAAGGCTGGTGGTGTACAAGAGAGGCAGGGAGAAATATGCTTGGCAAACACATTATCCACTAGGCATCTCTAGGTCACCTCCCAAGTCCAATTTTAATTAAAATGGGCAAATTCAACTATGGCCTGATAAGCATATGGTAATCAAGGGCTCAGAACCCTCAGGGATGTGAGCCTAGGCCAGCCAGCAGGCAAGCCACCTAGGCCATCAGACATATGAACTGAGATTGAAAGCAATAAAGAATAGTGGTAAAGAAAGGTCATCATGAGTTTCACTTGCTTTTTCAGGACCAATAGCAACAGCGGGGCTGTAGTTTGTCTCACTAGTTTTCATCTTGTAATTTTTACTCAGAAATTATGACTAAACCAAAACCAGAAGAAGCTGTGAGTATATTGAGAAAACTTAATACAAGCGGTAAATAAATCTGAGTGGTGCCAAGTGGGCTGGAGCCAATGGTGGTGGTACTTTGCCCAGATGCCCTTTGCCAGGCCAGTGCACCTGTCCCCCAGGTACTGCAGGTGTTGGCTGCTGACAAACTTTCTACTGATGAGCACCATCTTACCTAGAGATATCCCAGTTGTGGACCTGGTCCCTCGTGGAGGGAGGTCAATCCAAAAATTGACTTCTGCAGACCTATTTTAGTAACATATTCCCCTTACCTCTGGAATGAGAATTGCACCCTTGGGGTCAGGAGATCAGGCTGAGGCTAGACTTATTCCTAAACTGTTGCTCAAATTCCTGTACTATTCTGGTTTTCTCACTCCCTGACTGGTTTCTTCTGAGAGCATTTTGACTATAAATTATTTGCCCAATCATTTCAGACTCTGCTTCTAGGGAACCTCAAGTAAGATAAGACACTAGCATAGTTAAAAAGGAAAGTATTAGTACTTTGGTGTTAGACTACCATGACAGATGATGGAATAGTAAAACTTGGATCTCTGAGCTAGGGATGCTTAATTCTTTTTAGAGTGTAGTTGAGGGTGGTGCTAGGGATTGGAACAGGGCTGAAAATGAGCAGGGAGATGTGGCAGTGGGAAGCGTCACCAGTGATGAGAAATGAAAATACCAGAGGATTGCACTGTAAATTCCAGGCAGTCCTAGCCAAGTCAGAAATAAACTCTGCAGGTTAGAAAATGTGAGCAGAAGGAAGAAGCAGTCTCTGCACTTGGGTGAACTGCCCTCATGGCAGTCATTTTATATTTGGGTCAAAGAGGTCAACAGGGATTTGTTGTCTTTTCTAAAGACAACATCCCACCCTCATGATCACTGCCTTTAACCAGGCAGACAGTGTCTCACCTCCTACAGGTATCAGCCCCTAGGTTATATAGTAATGACACTAAATAAACATTTGCTTAGGGAATGAATGCATCCTAAATCCTCATTGTCAGCTTGTGTGTATCTGAAGTGCCTTGAGTCTGCTTATCGTTGTATATAATATTCATAAATCATCTTGAGCCCCATAACAGAGGCTCTTTGCAAATAGGCTACAGTTATCTCTCTCTAAAGGATATGATGAAGATTAATTAGTTAATTTCATAAAGTGCTTCAGGGATAAAAACTGCCTTATAAGAACTAATTATAAATATCACATGTATAGATACCATAAATTCATACCTCTGAAGTTGAATAGAACTTGTTTTTTTATTGCTAGAAAGAATACTTACTGGAGTTGATATGCCATTTCTTTTTTATACCACTTAAGATTATTCTGCTGTTCAAAATGTAGGTTATGGGTATCATACCACAAAGGCAGCTGTGTCTTGCTGTGCAGCAAGGGAAGTAGCACCAACTACTTTTCATTTTGGGTTCATTCAACACTGCAGACATAACCTATTATCATTTAAAATACATTAAATGTATCAGAGTTCATATCATTGCTCTACTGTATACCAGCTGGGAAACTTTGGGAAAATCAGTAAAATGCTTTCTGAGTCATAGTTTTCTGGTTTGTCAAATAATCGAAACTATCCTGTGGAACTAAATGATACAATGCAGCTATAGACTTAGCAAAGCACCTGACTCATGGTTAGCACTCAGTAATTGCCAATCTAATGACTAAGTCAAACAGTCATACTGGAAGTATGTTACAAAAATACTCCATATTTTTCTTCCACTGTCTCCTTAAAATTTATTCATTGTGGGCACTTCTTAAATGTGCCACTGTATAAAAACACCTGGAAGGCCTCATACGTTTTTCTGCTCATTTTTTGGGTCACTTACATCACAACGCAGCCTCAGTGTGGTAATTAGAATGGCCATTTCTGTAGCAATAAATTTGGAGGTAAACTCTCCTTCCCGCTAGAATACAGTTGTAGCTAGATTACCTGATTTTGGAGCATGGGCCCTAGCCTTCTAACCACAATACCAGGCAATCCAGGCTTCATACTTGGTCCTTCAAGCCTGCGAATAGCATTCCATTCATAGGAACCTGGTTCCTGAGGCATGGAATCTGGTCCTGCAGGCATGGAATGACAGCCCCCTACTCCCACCTGGGCATGAAACTTGGCCCCATGCATTTCCATCCTTCAGTGTGAAAATGGACCCTCTACACATGGAAAATTGTATGCAGTCATATACCACACTCCACATATGTGGACTCGCCTCCTCCAAGCATACATTCTGTCTTTCTAAGTGTAAAATCTGTCCTTCTAGATATGGGAAGAGACCCTGCAGTCACTGCAGTATGTAATCTGCCTTTGTGCTATGGTATCTTAGTACATGAATGGAACTTGACACACTAGGCATGACGCCTGAGCTTTCAGATGCATAATCCAGCCTTCCCAGCATGAAGCATGGTCATCCATTTGTGAAAACTGGCATTCAGGCATGGAGCTTTGCACTCAAGGCATGGAACTTGGCCCTAGACATAGAGTTTGACCCTACAAATAAGGAACTTCGATCTCCAGGTGTAGAACACGAGCCTAGAGGAATGGAATCTGACCAACCAATTATGGATCTGGTTTTTAAGGCATTAATTTATGTCTTTTAGGTATAAATTATGCCTTTCCAAGCATAAAATATGGTTTTTCACATAAGATCCAGCCTTACAAGCATGAATTTAGATCTCCAGGAGTGGAAACCAGCCCTCTAAGCATGAAATCTGTCCTTCCTGGCCATTCAGTCATGGAACGTAGACCTCTAAGTACAGCATCCGACTTTCCAGACACAGAAAGTAGCTCCAAATATGAATCCTACTCCTCTAGGCATAGAATTTGGCCTTCTAGGTCTGGAACCAGGACTTCTACATGTGGCTCATAGACATCTAGGTATAGAATACATGTTGACTATCCAACATGCAAAACCTCGCCAATTTTGCACTACACATATGTAATCTTAATCTCCAAACATGGAATTTAGCACTATAATCATAAAAACTGATGTGTGGAATTTCCATCTCAGAGTATGACACCTGACCCTACAAGCATGGACTTGCCACTCCGCTAGTGGAAACACAATGTTCAGTCAAGGAACTTGGCCCCACAAACATGCAACTTGGCAATACTTGTGTGGAATCCAAATCTCCATGTATGGGATATGAACTTACCTGTGGTGAGTGTGCTACCTCAGACTGGAACCTTGCATCTGAGTTATAAAATTTGTCTCTCCAGGATATGGTCTCATGTCTCCCAAGCATGGGACTACTCTACACTACATATGCATGCTCAATATCCAAACATAAAAACTGGCCCAACAAGCATAGAATCTAGCATTCAATGTGTAAACTCTAAAATTGCATGCATAAAACCTAGCTTTACAAGCTTATAACTTGACACTTCATATATAGAACGTCATTTTCAAAGCATGGAACTTGACTCTACAAGCATGAAACATGATCCTCCAGGTATATAACTTCGTATTTCAGCCATACATACACACTCTCCAGAACTTGGAAACTGGTTTCCTAGTCATGGATCCTGGAATTCCATGTATTTAATCCCAATGTCCAAGTAGGTGAATGCACAGAGAATGGCTTCACATGTATCACGTGTGTATCTTGACACCCAAGACATGGAAATCTATATTTATCTCATAGATTTTGACTCTCCACATATGGAATGCAGTCTTCCTGGCAAGAAACCTAGAATTCCATGTATATAATCAATCTCCAAGGACAGAAACTCCACACAAGCACCAAACCTGGCACTTTGTGCATGGAGGCTCAATATCCAAGTATGGATATCCAATATACAAGTACAGAAGCTGGCATTCTATGTGTGGAATCTCAATTGCCAAGCATGGAGTTTGGACCTACAAATGAAACCTGGCACTTCCATTGTGGGTTACAAGCATGAAACTTAACCAAATGAGCTTGAAACCCAGTATTTGAGGCATGGAAATTGGCATTTCAATCCTAGACATTGACTCTCCAAAACATGGAAACTGCCCTACAAGGCATTATACCTGGTGCAGCATGTGTTATGGACTAAATTATGTCACCCTCAAATTCATATGTCAAGGCTCTGACTCCCAATGTGATTGTATTTGGAGATATAGAGCCTTTAGGGAGGTAATTAAGGTTGAGAAAGATTATAGGGTGGGGTCATAATCCTATAGGACTGGTGTCCTTATAAGCGGGGTAAAAAGAGGAAAAGACACCAGAGATCACTCTCTACCTGCATGCATAGAGAGGAAAGGTCATTTGAGGACACAGTGAGAAGGTAGTTTTCTGTAAGCCAGGAAGAGAACCCTAACCAGAAGCCAAATTTGCTGGCACCATATCTTGGACTTCTAGCCTCCAGAACTGTGAGAAAATAAATTTCTGTTGTTTAAACCACGCAGCCTGTGATATTTTGTTATGGCAGTCCGATATAATGTAAGGAATCTAAATCTCAAGTGCTATAAACATGGAACCTGTTATACTACTTGTGTAATTTGAATCTCTGAGCATAAAAGCTGGCACTGAAAACAAAGCATCTGGCTCTCCATGTGAGGAGTCTCAATCTCTGAGCATAGTATATGTCCTTAAAAAAAGGAACCCGGAGTTCTAGTGTGAAATCTCAAATCCAAGGATGGAACATGAACCCACAAGCATGGAATCTAGCATTCCATATGTGGAATCTCAATCTCCATGCATGGGACAGATATGGCCTTACATGTACTGAAACTGGCATTCAAAACATGGAGTCTAATGCTCAAATTATGTAAATTGGCACTACATTATGTAAAACTATGCATGATATTTTGTGCTTCATGGATATTATCTCAATATCCAAGCATTGAAATTGGTCCTACAAGCTTGGCACTTCCAATGATATGTGGAATATCAATCTTCACACATGGAATTTGGCCCAACAAGAATTTAACCTGGCATTCCACATGTGAAATCTCAATCTCAAAGCATATAACCTAGCCTTAAAATTATGCAACTTGGAGCTGCATGTCTGAAATCTCAATCACCAGACATGGCATCATGTCCTATAAGCATTATACTGATACTCTATGTGTGAAATCTCAATCTCCAAGCATGATCCAGAACCATATGAATCCACATGGAATTCCATGTGTAAAATCTCAAATTCCATGCCAATGGTCAATTGGAACATTGCTCAATTAAAATGAAAACTGGCACTTTATGTTTGGAATCGATATCAATAAGCATTTTACCTGGCCTACTGAGCATAGAACCAGGCACTCCATATCTATAATCTCAAACTGCAAGCATGAAACATAGTCTTATTTGAATGGAACCTGGCACTCTAGACATTAAACAGCAGTTTGAGGTATAGCCTTTGGCTTTCCAGGGCAAGGAAACTTCATTCCCTGGCATGGAATTTTGAACACACATATACGTTCTCAACCTCCAAGCACGGACTTGTTTCTAAAAGCATGGAAAACAGCATTTAGTATATGGAATTTCAATCTCCAAGCATGGTACCAGGTCTTAGCAGCATGGAAATTGGCATGTCATATATGGATTATTGATCTCCAGGTATGGACTACATCATCCCCAAAAAAGGAACTTGGAATTCCATGTGTGTAATTTAAATCATCAAGTTGGAAGCATGCAACATGCTTGGCATCTTAATCTCCAAACATGTAACTTGGCTTCATACATTTTAAAACTGTCATTCCACACAGGGAACATGAGGTCTGACTCCTAGAATTTGGCTCTCCAAGACATACAAACTTGTCTCCCAGCATGGAACTTATTACTACCCAAATGGATTATAAATCTGCATGCACACAACATTTCTCACCATGTCTGAAATATAATGTTTCATGTGGGGAACATGGACCAACAATGATAGGTTCTGGCACTCCATGTGTAGATTTAGAATATACAAATATGAAACTTGACTGCAGAAGTGTGGATTACGGCACCTTGGCATGTACATTTCCTCATCACTCATTGACATAGTTTATTTCAGTCCAGTTGATGAAACCTGGTCTCTAAGACATGGAATCTGGAACTTTCTGTATGGAATATCAATCTTCAAACATAAAACTTGGCCCTAAAGCAAGAAACCTGACACTTCACATGCAGAATCGCCATGATCCCTGTATTGAACATAACCCTTCAAACAAGATACCCAGATCTCAATGCGTGGACTTTCAAACTACAAGCATGGAACATGGCGTGACATGTGTGGCACTACAAACCTGGAAACTGGTGTTGCAATAATAGACTTTGGCTCTATAAAAGATGCAACACAGATTCCAGGCATCATACTTGGTACACCATGCATAGAATCTCAATCTCCAAGCATGAATCCTGACAATCAACTTGTGGAATTTCAATCTCTGTGCATAGAACCTTGCTCTAAAAGCATGTAACCTGGAACTCCACATTTTAAATACCTATTCTTTAAGCATGGAATTAGGTCTACAAGGATGAAATTGACACTCCTTATGAGGGTACCCAAAATCTACCATGGAAAATGACACTCCATGGTAGAACCTCAACCTACATATATGGAACTTGGCCTCCCATGTGTGGAGCCTTATATTTCAGACACAGAACTTGGCATTTCAATCATAGTCTTCGGCCAAGTCATGGTAACTGATTTCCTAGGCATTGTACCCATGATACTATGCATAAAGCCTAACATTAAAAGTATGGGACCTGATATCTATGTGTAAAATTTCAATCTTTGAAAATGAAAATTAGCCCTACAAACAAAGAACCTGGCATCTCATGGGAGGAAACTCTACCTCCATACATGGAACCTGACCCTACATAGAGAATGGAACATGGTACTATAAAGGTGGAATCTTAATCTCTAAGAATGTAACCTGGCCTTACAAGCATTGATCCAATTTGTAAAATCCTAAACCTCAAGCACGGAACATTGCCTCTATGTGAGAAGCTTAGCACTCAAGACACAGAGCCTGACATTTCAGTTAGAGAGGTTGTATCCCTAAGATATGGAACCTGGTTTTCTAGGCAGTGAACCAGAGATTGTGAAATCTCAATCTCCAAGCATGAAGCCTGAGCCTACAAGAATGGTACATGGTGCTTCATGTGTGGAATCTCAGTCTCCAAGCATGAAACAAGGTCTTACAATTGTGCAATACGGCAATCCAGATCAGGCATGAAAATTGGTTCTCCACTGAGACTTAGTATAACTTTCTTAGGGTCTAAACTTCCTGTAATGGAACCCAGCCCTTTAAGGATGAAGGCTGGCCCTCTAAGTGTTGAATGTAGCTATTTAAACATGAGTCCTGACCCTTCAAGTATAGAATCTTACTTTATAGGCATGGAAAGTCCATCCAAATGTGAATCCTGCCCTTCCACACATAGGATCATTCCTATAGGATCATTCCTATAGAATCACTCCTTCTAGAATCTCATGTGGAATCTGGAATTCAAGATGTGAATCAGAGCCTCTAGCCATAGAATTAGACCTTGGAGGCAAACCATGACTTCCTACCCGTTTGATGTCTCTTTCTCCAGGCTTAAAACATAGCCTTCTAGTGGTAGAACCAAAATTTAAAGAGATGTTATGTAGCCCAACAACTGTGGAATCTGATCATCTAGGCCTAAAATATCTAATCTGAACTTCTAAGTCTGAAATAAAACCTTCCAGTTTTGATATTTGACTGTAGACATGGAATATAATTCTCCATGTTCAAAACTGGCCATCTATAAGTAAAACCTGAATTTTTGAGTGTGGTAAGGTAGTTCTCCAGACATTGAACTTGACCCCCCATTTATAGAACTGTGCCTTGAGGTATGGAACATGTCACTTCATGTGTGGAATCACAGTCTCCAAAGATGGAAACTTATGAGCATGAAACTTGGCATTTCCAGTATGAAGTCTCAAATTCCATGCATGGAACATGACTCCACATGCAAGGCATATGGCAAACTATGTGTGGCCTTACAAGTATACAGCCTGGCACTTTGTGTGCAGACTCTCACTTATCAAACATGGAACACTGATATTACAAGTGTGGAAACTGGCAACCTAGACATGGTTGGTACCTGAATTTTCAGTTATAGATGCTGTGTTATGTAAATGAGCCAAAGATGGCCTCTGTGTATTGGTCCCTAAGTTATTTCTTCACTGCTGGTTGAGAACCATTAGCTCAAAAGCCTACTGATCTCACACTTAAATTTTTACACATTTAATTGTTTTAAAAATGCTCCCAAACAAGCATAATTTTGGCATTTAGGGCCAACCTGCTTTGCATATTCAATGAAACTACACCCAATATCTGCTAGCCATTGATAAGGTAGAGTCTTGTGGTTATAAGACACCAAGGTGCTGCTGCTGCCCTTCTGAGTTTTCTGACCCAGAGACACTCTGTTATGCTGCTGAATGAACATCACTTAGATACACAGCCTCCCTCTTCTATCCCCTTAACCCGAGGTTCCCTTGCCTCCTCCTTTTCTGGATGATGGCCCACTCACCATAAGCCTCTGGATGGACTCATCCTGTAGGGACTTCCCCTCTATGCCAACCTGTCTAAGCACCACACAATAAAGCTTATTGGGTGTTACTGCATCTTGTGGTCATATCTCTTTCCCTGATTAGCCCCAAATCTCTTAAAGGAACCCCTTACATGTTGCCACTCTGAGAAATGGAAACCAGTCTCCCAGGCACAAAATCTGATATGTCATATATAAAATCTCAATCTTCAAGCATGGAACTTGGTCATACAACATGGAATCTGGTCCTCCACATGAGATATGGCCCTAAAGGCATAGAACTTTGACCCCATCATCTCCAGCATAAAATCTAGCCCTCTAAGCAGGCACACTGGCCTTCCAGGTGTTTAATGTGGCCCTTAAAAATATCAACCCTGACTCTCCAAGCACAGAATCTGATTATTCAGACATGGAATGTCTCTGCAGAAATAAATCCTGCCTCTCCAAGCATACACACTTAACCTAGGTATAGAGCCTGAGCTGCTATATATGGATCCTTGTCTTCTGGCCATGGAGTAGTCTTTCAGATATGCCACAGGTTATGACCTATGTGAAGTATCTTTTACCAAGCTTGGACCCTCAGGTTCTTGGATGAAACCTGAATCTCAAAACATGTCATCTGGCCCACTAGAAATGGTTCCTGGACATCTAGATCTGAACTCTGGACTTCTAAATATCTAACCTGTACTTCTGGGAATGAAACGAGATGTTTTAGTCTTAGCACTTGATCCCTAAATATGGAATCTGAGTCTAAATGTTTGGAATTTGGCTATCTGTGGATAAAATATGGCTTTCTCAGTATGACATCATACATCTCCAGGTGTTGAATGTGGCCCTCAACTGTAGAACTGTGCTTTCACGTATGGAACATGCCACTCCATGTATAAAATCTTAGTCTTCAGCATGGAATATTATCTTTGGAATATGCCATTCAGTGTATACAATCTCAGTCTCCAAGAATGGAATATGACCATATAAGCAGGGCAACTGACACTCCATGTTTAGAACCACAAATTCCAAAAAGGGAACATGGCCATACAAATGCAGAACTTGACATTCCAGACATGGAACTTAGATTTTGGTCATGGAAGTTGGTTTTCCTAGACATGGAACCTTGCTTCCTTAGCATGAATAGTCAGATTCCATGCATGGAATATAATCTTTCAATCATGGAATTATTCACCCACCATTGGATATGCCCACTGAGGCATGAAATATGGTCTTATAAGTTTGGATTTTGTCCTCGATGGCAAGGAAACAAGCCCTTAATATATGAAAAATTCTTTTCTAGAGAGATAGATACATATATACTTAGATAAATAAGTAGATAAACACAAGTAGGCAAAGTATGGGTGTTTTTTTGGGAAAATTTTTCTGTTAATTGTCTTATTATAAGAATTAAGTTACTTCTAATTCTTTCAGAACAATGCTTGGTTCATAGTAAGCACTTGGAAAATACTAAGTGACGTTGTTATTATTGCTACTACTACTATCTCTTTTATTCATTTATTCCTTCATTCAGAAAATGTTCAATATAACACACATAGGGTTCCAGCATGTATTTGTTGTTCTTATTAAACAACAAGAATACTCATTCACTTGTGTGAATAAAATTTTTAAAGAATTTAAATACTTTCCTATTTTTATGTATAGCTGTATAGATGTGACTTGTATAAGAAACTTCATGCATTTGATAACATTCAGCATCCCTTCATGATAAAAATCCTCAAAAAACTGGAGACAGAAGGCACATACCTCAACATAATAAAAGCCATAAATGACAGATCCGCAGCTAGTATCATACCGAATGGGGAAAAACTGAAAGCCTTTCCTCTGAGATCTGGAACATGACAAGGATGCCCACTATGACAACTGTTATTCAACATAGTACTGACAGTCCTAGCTAGAGCAATCAGACAAGAGAAATATATGAAGGGCATCCAAATTAGAAAGGAAGACGTTAAATTATCCTTGTTTGCAGATAATATGATAAAGACTCCACAAGAAAACTATTAAAACTGATAATCAAATTCAGTAAAGTTGCTGGATACAAAATCAACATACAAAAATCAGTAGCATTTCTATATGCCAACAGTTAACAATGTGAAAAAGAAATTTAAAAAGGAATTCCATTTACAATAGCCACACATAAAATTATATACCTATTAATTAACTTCACCAAAGAAGTGTTATAACCAAATTAAATTTAAAGGAGTTTAATTGAGCAGTGAACAATTCATGAATCAGGCAGCCTCTGAAGTCAGAGTAGGCTCTGAGACTCCAGCGCAGCCATGTGGTGAAAGATGATTTATGGACAGAAAAAGGAAAGTGATGTACAGAAAATGGAAGTGAGGTACAGAAACAGCTGGATTGGTTACAACGTTTGATGGGCCCAAATTCGGTGATTCGCACAAGTGTATGCTATGGTCTACTTACACCTCCACTTGTTATAGTTCATGATGTACAGAGAAACCTCTAGGCCAAACCTAACATATGTAAGGAGGCAGCTTTAGACTGAACTTGGTTTAACAGAAGTGAAAGGAAAGCAATAAAACACTGATGAAAGAAACTGAAGAGGACACCTAAAATGGAAAAATAGTCCATGTTCATGGATTGAAATAATCAATATTGTCAAAATGTTCATACTGCCCAAAGCAATCTACAGATTCAATGCAATCCCTATCAAAATACCAATGTCATTCTTCACAGAAACAGAAAAAACAATTCTAAAATTTATATAGAACCAGAAAAGATCCAGAATAGCCAAAGCTGTCCTAAGCAAAAGAACAAAACTGGAGGAGTCACATTACCTGACTTCTAATTATACTACAGAGCTATAATAATCAAAACAGCGTGGTACTCTCATAAAAAAAGACACATGGACCAATGGAACAGATAGAGAACTCAGAAACAAATCCACATACCTACAGTTAACTCATTTTCAACAAAGCTGCCAATAACATACACTGAGGGAAAAGACAGTCTCTTCAATAAGTGGTGCTGGGAAAACTGGACAGTCATATGCAGGAGAATGAAACTAGACCCCTATCTCTCACCATATACAAAAATCAAATCAAAATGGATTAAAGGCTTAAATCCAAGGCTTTAAACTATGAAACTACTACAAGAAAACTTTGGGGAAACTCTCCAGAACGTTGTCCTCACAAAGATTTCTTAAACAATATCCTACAAGCACAGGCAACCAAAGCAAAAATGGATAAATGGGATCACATCAAGTTGAAAAGCTTCTGCACAGCAAAGGATATAATCAACAAAGTGAAGAGACAACCTACAGAATGGTGGAAAATATTTGCAAACTACCCATCTGACAAGGGATTAATAACCACACTATATAAGGAGCTCAAACAACTCCACAGAAAAAAAATGTAATGATCTGATCAAAAAAGGGGGGCAACAGACTTGAATAGACACCTGAAAAGAAGACACACAAATAGCAAACAAGTATATGAGAAGGTGCTCAACATTATTGATCATCGGAGAAATGCAAATCAAAACAATGAGTTATCATCTTACCCCAGTTAAGTGGCTTATATCCAAAAGACAGTAATAACAAATGTTGGCAAGGATGTGGAGAAAAGGGAACCCTGTATACTGTTGGTGAGAACGTAAATTAGTATAGCCACTATGAAGAACAGCTTGTAGGTTCTTCAGAAACTAAAAATTGAGCTACCATATGATCCAGCAATTCCACTGCTGGGTATATACTCAGAAGAAAGGAAATCAGTACCTCAAAGAGATCTCTGCACTCCCATGTTTGTTGCAGCACTGTTAACAATAGCTAAAAATTGGAAGCAACCTGTGTTCATTCAACAGGTGAATGAACAAAGAAAATGTGGTACGTATACACAATTGAGTACTATTCAGCCACAAAGAAGAATGAGATCCAGTCATTTGCAACAACATGGATGGAACTGGAGATCATTATGTTAAGTGAAATAAGCCAGGGACAGAAAGACAAACATTACATGTTTTCACTCATTTGTAGGATCTAAAAATCAAAACAATTGAACTCAATGATATAGAGAGTAGCAGGTTGGTTACTATAGGCTAAGAGGGGTAGTTGGGGGCTGGGAAGGAGGTGGAGATAGTTAATGGGTACAAAAAAATAGGATGAATAAGACCTGCTATTTGATAGCACAACAGGGTAACTATAATCAATAATAAGTTGTACATTTTAAAATAAGGAGTGTAATTTGATTGTTTGCAAATCAATAGATAAATGCTTGAGGGGCTGGATACCCCTTTCTCCATGATGTGATTATTTTGCTTAGCATGCCTGTATCAAAATATCTCATGTACCCCAAATATATACACCTACTATATACCCACAAACATTGAAAATTAAAAAAGAAACTTCATGTTAAATTATTTTTAGAAATCGTATCAGGATAATATGCAGGGCTGATGTAGGTGTTGGGAGAGTGGGGCCTTCATATACTGCTAAGGAAAGAAATTCTTGGCTTTTGTAGAGAGCCATTTGATGATGCCTGGAAAAGTCTTCAAAATTCCAATCTTCTGACCAATCATTCTGTTCCTAAGAAAAGTTCTAGGAATTTTTGCTTAGTCAAACATATAAGCAAAGATATATGTAAAAGGATCCTCACTGCATAATTGTGTATCATAATAAAACACTGGAAACAGCTTACTTATCTAACAGTAAGGGAGTGATGAAATAAATTAGGGTACATGCTACACTGGAACACCATGCTGCCCTTAAATGATCACACAGAACATTTTTAACCCCCAAATACCCATTACCTGTTGCTAAATGAAAGTGGCAGTTGGTAGAGCAGTTTATATATTTGATTCCATCGGAAAAAGCATGGATACACAGGCCCCAGGATGTTGGTGATAGCTGTCTCTAGATTGTGAGATTGGATACTTTTAACTTTAATTTGTATGTGTGTGTGTGTGTGTTGTTTATGTCTGCAGTCATTATGTAATTTAAAAGGAAGGAGAAATTTGCACAGGGAAAAAAGCTTTCTTTAATGAGAAAGGAGAATTATATAATGTAGATTCTGGTTTGCAATGCAGTCCTTTAAGGGAGTCCATCCTATTGTGTATAATTTTCTATTGCTATAACTCTTATGCCATCTTCTGGTCTAAATATAATTCAACTATTTGGGAATGTCTAGCATCAGAAAAATAGCATCACTTTAATGCTATTTCAGAAACTTTACTCATCCTGCTTATGATTCAAATATCTCTTTGCAAATCAAGTATAAAAATTGAAGTTGGCAACTTAAAAATTTATGATCAGAAAAAGCAGTGCCAGTGCAGCAGGAAGAGAATACTGAAAAATTTTGTCAAAATGTAACTTCAGAGAGATTAAATACACATATTCTTGAATTAATTTACATAAATTTTAAATACAACATTAATGTAGTTCTAAATATTGATTTAGATACATTATAGAAAAAACACAGGACTTGGAATCAAAAAGCCTGGGTTTGAATACCACCTCCAGCACTAAGTTATTACATAATCTAAAACTCATCTTCTCATTTACTTATTTCATCCTATTAAATGAAGACAACATCTGTCTTTCTCACTACCTTTAACGCTTTTCCTTCCTTATTTTGAACATCTGAGTTCCTATAAATCAATATATATTGCTGGCTATACACTTAGGAAATAACAAGAGACTTTAGTTCAGAAAAGATAACCCATTATCTTTTTAGGACAGCAAGGAAAATAGCTGTTCAGAGTTGGTTGGTAATCTAGAGTTTATATCCTAGAATTTTAAAAAAAATGTATGTTACTACTCCACATATGCTGAGATACAAGGAGTGAGATTGGTAAAATAACATTCCCTTATCTAGCATATAATGAGGAATAATCACAGACCTGGAGAAAATAAAACCCCAAAAGTGCCAAAATAGAATGAAAAAGAGATGAGCCCTAAGAAGATATAACATTAAAGTTTAGGTTCACTAATCTGCATACAAAATCACAACTATTTCCTGGTGATAATTTTTAAAGCTAAAGCCTGAAGGCAGCTCCCGGTTCCATGTCTGGCTCCAAAAGAGCTTTGGATATCTGCTCAGTGATTCTTAGCTCTGGCTGCTGACTATTAACTAGACTCAGCATTTTCCTCCAAACTATGGGGTGTTTTACACTTTGCTACTGGCATGCCCTGTACCTCAGATGGGATAGCCATCATTCTCCATTTATTTTGGAGTGTGCGTGATAATTAGTGAATATCTGTCCACAGTCCTGTACTCCACACCACTGGTCAGCTTCAGGAGAATAGGAACCCATGTTTTGACTCACCATTAAAACCCAAAATCTGGCAGTGTTTGGAAAGTAATAGCTGCTTTACGAATACTTTGGAATCAATGATTGAATGAAAATAAAGAGTCAAGGAAAGGAGATAAAAAGAAAGGAGGCCGGGCGTGATGGTTCACGCCTATAATCCCAGCACTTTGGGAGGCTGAGACAAGCAGATCACCTAAGGTCAGGAGTTCAAGACCAGCCTGGACAATATGGTGAAAACTGTCTCTACTAAAAATACAAAAAATTAGCCAGTCATGGTGGCGGGCTCCTGTAATCCCAGCTACTCAGGAGGCTGAGGCAGGAGAAGTGCTTGAACCCAGCAGGTGCAGGTTGTAGTGAGACAAGACCGTGTCACTGCACTACAGCCTGGGTGACAGAGCAAGACTCCGTCTCAAAAAAAAAAAAAAAAGAAAGAAAGAAAGAAAAAGAAAGGAGACAAAGATGAGAAAAGAGTGTCTGCATTTAATTCACACAATGTTTTTCTGCTGGCCATGATACTGAACGTGTCTTGTTTCACTTTTTTTTTAATGGCTGAAATAAGGCAAATTTTCTTTTCCCTCTTTCTTTCTTTCTTTCTTTCTTTCTTTCTTTCTTTCTTTCTTTCTTTCTTTCTTTCTTTCTCTCTCTCTCTTTCTTTCTTTCTTTCTTTCTTCTTTCTTTCCTCCTTCCTTCCTTTCTTTTTCTTTTCTTTTCTTTTCTTTTTTTTGTTGAGACACTCTGTCATCCAGGCTGGAGTGCAGTGGTACCATCTTGGCCTACTGCAGCCTTGACTTCCTGGGCTCAAGGGATCCTTCTGCCTCAGCCTCCCAAGTAGCTGGGACCACTGGCACACACCACCACATCTGGCTAATTTTCTTGAATTTTTGTAGACACAAGGTCTCACTATGTTGCCAGGCTGGCTTGAACACCTAGGCTCAAGCAATCCTCCTGCCTTGGCTTCCCAAAGTTCCAGTATTACAGATGTGAGCCACCATGCCTGGACGATTTTTCTTTTTTAAAAAGAGCAAATTATTTTCCTGGGAAAAATTTAAAAGTATAAAAATTATTTCAGAAAATAATATAGTAATTACCACCCTCCAGAATTATTCCCCACAATATCTTAGCATATGTGTTCCCAGTATGTTCTATGTGTATATACTTCAATAAATGAACACTATATAAGCATGCTGCTCTTTTCTTTCTCAAAAAAGAAATACCTTAGAAATATATAATTATTAAAGTAATATATACTCATTAGCTAAATTTAAGGAAGGAATTACTTTAGATCTGTGGTGTTCCATGGTTATTTATGGACCTATATTCTACCTCGGCTTCTGTATGTGGCATTACAGCGGCGACATTTTGATAAATACAGTCATAACAGCAGCACTGAATTATCAAGAAATGTTTACTTTGTGATTGGGATTCTGCCTTCTATGGCAGAAAAGTGTGTAAAAGGCTTTATATGGAATAGTCAATAATAATGTTTAACTATTAACCTTCAGATTTTATGTAAAAACTCTTTTGGAACAATTCACTTCCTTATTATAGTGTATCAATAGGTGAAGTTTTGCCTTATAAATTCCTATGTAGAGAGGAAGATAGTGACCTATTCAACATCCTGTCAAAAAGTTCACATTGGCTCTATTAACTGCATGTTTGACAGAAGTAAACGTTTAACTAACACATATTAATTAGGATGTTTCACTGAACTTACCAGTATTTGGCCAATTGCCAAAACATTTCAGGACTCCATAATTTTAGCTGAAAGTTGTAGAATCCTGTGCTGTTTCCCTGGAGTCTTAAAAAGAAAAATTATTGTGGTCAATTTGGCATTGGTGCTGATGGGGCAGAGGCTCTGGTCTACTTGACCAGGAGTGACTCAAGTGACCTTCAATTTCTCATGGATAAGTCTCAGGTAAATTGTGGTATTTTTAAAGAAGTGTCAAAAATCTGGTGCTATAATACAAATATATCAACATACGGTGTCTACATTTTTTTAAAAATGGCTTCAACTTTCACCTGTTATTAGTTTTATAATCTTTCTGATGCCTTGCACTATATATTAGTGATAACTCATCTATATATTACCTAAAAGTATCTTAGTTACATTTATCATAATGAGAAAAATCTATTCAATTTAAGATTTGACTTAAATTGTTTATGCTGTCATAAAAGCTTAAAATTGTTTAAATTGCTATGTTTATGTTTATGCCTTCATGAAAGGAATAAATTTTTTAAATTATGTTTATGTTTAAACATTTAAACATTGTTTAATTAAAGGTTTAAAATTGTTTATGTTTATGCCTTCATGGAAGCTTGCTTTTCAGAATGACATTTTTGAAAACAATAGCTGACATTTTCTATATATTTTATAACATAGAGGTATTCTTATTTTTCAATAGCAAGTGTCCTTTTATATTACTGTTCTCTTTTAAAATATTTTATTACATACATAAAAGATGCTCCCCTCCAGCCATTGCTAAATCCCTTCTAATAACACTACAGAATATATCCTTTTGTCTCCGAACCAAAATATGTGAGGGGAAACAGCTTAACATTACATTATTTTTATTTGCCTCTCTATGTTAATGGATATATAAAAATGTTCTGTTAAAAAAATTCTCTGTTGAGACCAATGCAGCCTCATTTCTTTCATTCAGAGAAATAAAAAGTACCTGTGTCTCTATTAAACACATCATTTCACGAAGTGCAAAGATTTAGAATAAGATCATAAAATAAGGGACAAGGAGCAGAGAGGGGAATTAGTCCTGGTTGCCTTAGGCATAAAGTTAAGAGAGAATGACTGCAGGTTTTGAGCCATTTTATTACTCTTATTTAGGTCAGCTTGACTTATTTCAAATTCTTACAGTCTGTTCTCCATACCTGTCTTCTGACTAATCACTGTACCTGTGCTGATTTATTTCCCTACTGTGACATTCTCTGTGGTATCAGAACAAGGGAAAATATTCTCTTGTTTGTGATATGATCCTACAATAACAGTTACTTCATGAGGAAGCAGTAGAGACATATATTTGAATGACAGTTTGGGAATGAATAAGCTAGATTGAGCAGTACCCTCAATTGAAACTAAGTTTACTGGACTACATGTAAGTTGGCTCAATGGGGTCAATATTTCTTTCTCTACTAGACCCCTCCTCTGATTCTGCAGCACTGCCTCAGGCAGCTGGGTCAAAAAACAGAACCTTTATCTTTCTCAAAGTAATGGAGGTTCCAGGGCAGAGTCAGCAGCCACCAGCAACAGAGCTCTGGACTGAATACTTGTGTTGGTAGAATGCAGGCCCTTTTGTATTTGGGAAAACAAACAAACAGAACATCACCATTTTGTTTTGTTTCATTTTCATAAATCCTAAGGGTGACACCAACTCACATTATCCAGAAATGGGAACAAAGTCAAAAGTAACACAATGAATGTGACTAGGCTCTTCTTAGCCTCACAGCACAGGACTCTAATGGGGCTGGCTAAGCCGGCTCAGGTATGATTGGGGGTGTCGTGCACTTCCCGAGGCGTAGCTTACCTCTCCTCTTAAGGGCTGGATTCTGTTTCACAGTTCATCTAGTTCATCTAGTTGCTGGTTGAGATCCTATTCTAACCTGGAGCACTTCCCTAAAACATCTTTTCCTTGATGTCTAGGAGCACTGCCATGGTCCACAGGCACTCCTGTGGTGTCCCATATGACTGAATCACCTCTCATAGATACTGGTTCATAGCATTAACCAAGACCGACTCTGTGTTCCCTTTCCCTTCCCAACCAGGTTGGTGCAATTAATTTTCTGCTGGTTATACTCACATTCTGCCTTTCAGTTTCCAACATACTCAATCCTAGGTTTAGCCAAAAGGATCAATCAATCCTCATAACCAAACCATCACCCTTGTGCTAGCCTTGCCATTCTCAGCTTCTTCTCCGGGGTTCCTACATGTGGAGTTTTTCTACTGCTTAACAGCCTACAGAGATGGTAAGTCTGTCTGAGAACCGACTGAACTTCCAACAAAACATGGCTTAATTAATGCAAGTGTTTACCTGTCACAACCCTCACTGGCTCTGGCAAAAACCAATGGCTTTATTCTCCGTGAAGAGATTGAACCAGGGACACAAGACATAGATATGGTGGTACTCTATGATGCATTGCCAGACTAAGTAAATGTCTCTATTTTGGATCATAGAACCCTGCTTTCCTTTTTCCCAATTTGGGTCCTGGAGTGCTGTCAATAAAGCTCACATTTCCCAAACAGGAGATTGGAGGATTCCTCCCTCAGGCCAAAGAAACAGTTCTATAAATCATAAAGCAGGGTTTTCCTTCATGAAATAGCCCAGCCAGTCTTTCCTCAGAGAAGCCAACTAGACAACAGCACTCACACTAGCACTCACACTAAGATCTTTTTTTTTTTTTTTCTGGTTAGATGGTCAGCTTTTTTTTTTTTAAATTTTATTATTATTATACTTTAAGTTTTAGGGTACATGTGCACAACGTGCAGGTTTGTTACATATGTATACATGTGCCATGTTGGTGTGCTGCACCCATTAACTCGTCATTTAGCATTAGGTATATCTGCTAATGCTATCCCTCCCCCCTCCCCCTACCCCACAACAGTCCCTGGTGTGTGATGTTCCCCTTCCTGTGTCCATGTGTTCTCATTGTTCAATTCCCACCTATGAGTGAGAACATGCAGTGTTTGGTTTTTTGTCCTTGCAATAGTTTGCTGAGAATGATGGTTTCCAGTTTCATCCCTGTCCCTACAAAGGACATGAACTCATCATTTTTTATGGCTGCATGGTATTCCATGGTGTATATGTGCCACATTTTCTTAATCCAGTCTATCGTTGTTGGACATTTGGGTTGGTTCCAAGTCTTTGCTATTGAGCTCTCACACTAAGATCTTATCAGCTTTGGAGTGCCTCACTCCTAAATTTGAACAGTATCTGAGGGTCAGTCAATACATGAGGAAAGCTTCAGGCATGAAATGCCAGAATAAACAGGGAAAAAAGGACAAAGAAACTTTCAGAGAACAGTAATAATATAGGGAATAGGAAAAAAATAACAATGAACAAAACTTCTATAATTAGTATCTTCTCAGAAATACGATATTAAATCTGTGAAACAGTATGCAATAAAAAAGAAGTTTCACTTGAAAACAATAGAGGAGGTTCAAGGTAGCTGACTAGAAGCAGTTAATGTGCACTGCTCTCACAGTGAAGAATCAAAGTGGCTAGTAAAGAGTAGTTCTTCAAGAAAATTAGAAATCACCTCTGGATCCACCAAGGAAGCCAGGGGCCTCACAGAGAACAGAGAGGAGCAAAGCCAGGTAGCTGCACACCCAGGACTGGCATGGAGCCAGGAGAAGCTCTCTAACACGGGAAAAGGTTGAATGAGTGAGAGTCCCCAGGGGATCCACACTTCCCACATGGACCCTCACAATCCTGGCCATGGGAGAACCCCCCAAATTCTCTGGGCCTCTAAAGTGACACAGAGAGACTCCTGCAGTTTTTGCACAGGCACCGCTCAAGCCCACAGGGAGCCCAACAGGCAGCCCAGTGCCAGCTGCCCTAGCCTTGATAGAGGCCACAGTTGTGGTGTGGAGGAGTGGTGGGACTGCCCTGCTCCTCCTCACCAAACAAGGTTTGGCTGGGGCTTCCAGCACAGCAACCCTGCCCCCACTTGAGCACTGTGGTGGTTCACAGCACTGCATTCCCCTGGGACAAAACTACCAGAGGTAACAGACAACATGTGACACATTTATGTGCTCCCAAATGAAGTTCAGTAGCTATTGGGTGGGAGAGAAGTACAAGGATCCCACACATACATCCCATAACTACCAGTTTCCATTGCTCCAGCTGAGGGTTCCCACCCTTTCCAGGGAAAGGCCCAGAGCACAGCCACCTTTCCCCCACCTGAATATTTCACCTGCAGCCCAGAACCCTTCTGAGAACCCAACCTCCAAAGGCCTGTGATATTCCTTTGGACTTCCACTACCTATGTGTTGGCCAGCCCCTGCCTGATAGTTTGGTCGGCGATCTGGGGGCCAGCCCGACCCCTACCCACCACAGCCAGTGCCTGAATTCTGGGCTAACCTGACCCTCGTCCAGCCCCTGAAAGACTCATACATGCTGTACATCAGGCCATCTAGGGACCTGGGAGTGGGGGAACTGTCTACCCCATTCCAACTCTACTGTCCCCTAGCCACTTACCTCAGGGCCTGAGGTCAGGCTGTCCCAACCAGCCAACACCACCACAACAAACACCCACTCACACTGGTCCAAAGATGGAGCCTTCTCTTTACAAGAAGCAGCAGTATTGCCACACTGGAGAACAAGCAAGCCTTAAAACTATATCAGGTTGAGTGATGAGGTTATACCTTGGAATGACTCCCATGGAGTCACTAAACAGGCATTCTGCATGGCTGTCAACCACATTGCAGCCTGGAGATAGACTACAGTGTGCATCTGAACTAGGAATCACAAGTCCTGGAAAACAGGATGTGATAGGGAAATAGATTGTGCTCCTGCCTATCTAGGATGGGGAGCTGGGGCAGCCTTCTCAATCCACCTGCAGAGATATCAGCACACTTCACCAGTAGCTCCTCCCAAGCACCCTCTTGAGGACTGGTGCTTGTGCTCACCATTGGGATATTCATGGGTAAACCAGGGGCACCAGCTCTGCCCAGCTGTGTCCTGCCACCTTCATGGAATAGGAAGCTTAGGACACTGGGCATTCTACTGTCTAGCCAATCACCTGAAACAACAGAGCACCTCACAGTAAACAAAGATCAGGTCACATCCAATTGCTAATGTAGCAGCTGACTCTTAACTGAAAACACCGTCTACTAGCTTGTAGCTTAAATGACACAGCCTAATAAAAAATGTGCTGAGAGAAGTGCATAGGATTACAGAAGCAAAGACAAAAGACACAACCCAATACAAGTCTTTCCAAATGAGAAGGAACCAGTATAAGAATTCTGCCACCATGAAAACTCTGAGTGTTGTAGCACCACCAAAGGCTCACTCTGGCTCTCCAGTGGTGATCCCTACCCAAAGTGGAGGCACAGAGATGACAGATGGGGAATTCAAATTATGGATTGCAAGAAAACTTAAATGAGATTCAAGATAAGGTTGAAAATCAACACAAAGAAACCTGTAAAGGAATCCAAGAAACAAAGGAAGAGGTAAACATCTTAAAAAGAAATCAGTCATTGGGAGGCCGAGGCGGGCGGATCACGAGGTCAGGAGATCGAGACCATCCCGGCTAAAACGGTGAAACCCCGTCTCTACTAAAAATACAAAAAATTAGCCAGGCGTAGTGGCGGGCGCCTGTAGTCCCAGCTACTTGGGAGGCTGAGGCAGGAGAATGGCGTGAACCCGGGAAGCGGAGCTTGCAGCGAGCCAAGATCCCGCCACTGCACTCCAGCCTGGGCGACAGAGCGAGACTCCGTCTCAAAAAAAAAAAAAGAAATCAGTCAGAGCTATAGAACAGAAACACTCACTTAAAGAATTTTAGACTGGGCGTGGTGGCTCACGCCTGTAATCCCAGCACTTTGGGAGGGCGAGGCAGGCAGATCACGAGGTCAAGAGATCGAGACCATACTGGTCAACATGCTGAAACCCCATCTCTACTAAAAATACAAAAATCAGCTGGGTGTGGTGGCATGCGCCTGTAGTCCCAGCTACTCAGGAGGCTGAGGCAGGAGAATCGCTTGAACCCAGGAGGTAGAGGTTGCAGTGAGCCAAAATCATGCCGCTGCACTCCAGCCTGGCAATAGAGCGAGACTCCATCCCCAACCTACCCAAAAAAAAAAAAGAATTTTAAAATACAATTGAAAGTTTTATCAATAGACTAGATCAAGCAGAAGAATTTCAGAACTTAAAGATCAGTCTTTTGAACTAATTCAGTCAGACAAAGATAAAGAAAAAAAGAATTTTAAAAAAGAAACAAAGTCTCCAAGAAATCTGGGGTTATATAAAGTAATCATACCTACAAATTATTGGCATTCCTGAGAGAGAAGGAGAAAATGTAAGCAATCTGGAAATCACATTTGAGGGAATAATTCAAGAAAATTTCCCTAATCTTGGTGGAGATAGAGATATCCAGATGCAAGAAATACAGAGAATGCATGCCAGATACTACACAAAATGAACAACATCAAGGCATATAGTTACCAGACTATCTAAGGGAAATGCTTGAGAAAAAAATCTTAAAGTCAGCTAGAAAAAAAGGTCAGCTCACATAAAAACGGTACTTCATCAGGCTAACGCACACTTCTTAGCAGAGTTCTTACAAACTAGGAGAGATTGAGGGCCTATTTTTTATCACTCTCAAAGAAAAGAAACTCCAAATGAGAAGGCAAGGAGGCCTCACCCAGTGAGGAAGGAGGGTCAGGGTCTGGCCTGAAGAGGCAATCTGGCCACAGTCTGCCATACCCAGTGTGCTCTTGAGGGAAGATGATCCATGATTCCCCTTGAGACCAAACTGTCCAGCCTTCCTGGCTCCAGCAGGGGAAAAGCATGGCCTAGAGGTATAGTGATGGCTGCTGCCCCTCCCCACTGGGGGGCTTAGTGTCTTAGGTAGCTAGCAGCTGCAGTGCTGGCTGTTGCCCTTCCTCTAGGGAGCTCATCCAAGGGTCAGTAGCCTCAAAGACTGAAACTAGACAAACTCATTAAGAAGAGACAGAACCAACAAAAAAACACTGAAAACCCAAAAGGCCAGAGTGCCCCTTCTCCTCCAAGTGATTGCAACACCTCTCCAGCAAGGGCACAGAACTGGAGAGAGGATGAGATGGACAAATTGATGGAAGTAGGCTTCAGAGGGTGGGTAATAACAAACTTCGCTGAGGTAAATGAGGATGTTCTAACCCAATGCAAAGAAGCTAAGAACCATGATAGAAGATTACAGGAGCTGCTAACTAGAATAACCAGTTTAGAAAGGAAGATGAATGACCTGATGGAGCTGAAAAATACAACATGAGAACTTTATAAAGCATACACAAATATCAATAGCCAAATCGATCAAGCAGAAAAAATAATATCAGAGATTGAAGACTATCTTGCTGAAATAAGGCAGGCAGACAAAATTACAGAAAAGAGAGTAAAAAGGGATAAACAAAACCTCCAAGAGCTATGGGACTAGATGTAAAGACCAAACCTACAACTAATTGGAGTACCTGAAAGAGATGGGGAGAATGAAACCAAATTGGAAAACACACTTCAGGATATCATCCAGAGAAACTTCCCCAATCTAACAAGACAGGCCAACATTCAAATTCAGGAAATACAGAGAACTGCACTAAGATACTCATTAAGAAGATCAACCCCAAGTCACATAATCTTCAGATTTTCCAAGGTCGAAATGAAGGAAAAAATGTTAAGGGCAGACAGAGAGAAAGGCCAGGTAACCTACAAGGGGAAGCCCATCACACTAACAGAGGATCCCTCAGCAGAAACCCTACAAGATAAAAGTGGGGGACAATACTCAACATTCTTAAAGAAAAGATTTTCAACCCAGAATTTCATATCTGGCCAAACTAAGTTTCATAAAGGAAGGAGAAATGAAATCTTTTTCAAACAAGCAAATGCCAAGGGAATTCATCACCACCAGACCTGCCTTAAAAGAGCTCCTGAAGGTAGCACTAAATATGGAAAGGAAAAACTGGTAGCAGCCACTGCAAAAACACACCAAAATACAAAGACCAATGACACTATAAAGAAACTTGATTAACTAGTGTGCAACATAACTAACTAGCGTCATAATGACAGGATCAAATTCACACATGATGATATTAACCTTATATGTAAATGGGCTAAATTCCCCAATTAAAAGACACAGACTGGCAAATTGAATACAATCAAGACCCGTTGGTGTGCTGTATTCAAGAGACCCATCTCATGTGCAAAGACACACATAGGCTCAACATAAAGGAACAGAGGAAATCTTACCAAGCAAATGGAAAGCAGAAAAAAGTATGGGCTGCAATCCTAGTTATTGACAAAACAGACTTTAAACCAACTAAGGTCAAAAAATACAAAGAAGGACATTACATAATGGTAAAGGGATTACTGCAGTGAGAAGAGCTAACTATCCTAAATATATATGCACCCAATACAGGAGCACCCAGATTCATAAAACAAGTTCTTAGCAACCTACAAAGAGAATTAGACTCCCACACATTAATAGTTGGAGACTTTAACACCCCACTGTCAATATTAGACAGATCAACAAGACTGAAAATTAACAAGTATATTTAGGACTTGAGCTCAGCTCTGGATCAAGCTGACCTAATTGATATCTACAGAACTCTCCAGCCCAAAACAACAGAATATACAATCTTCTGAGTGCCACATGGCACTTACTTTAAAATCAACTGTATAATTGGAAGTAAAACACTCCTCAGCAAATGCAGAATAACTGAAATCATAACAAACAGTCTCTCAGACCATAGTGCAATCAAATTAGAACTCAAGATTAAGAAACCCACTCAAAACCACACAACTACATGGAAATTGAACAACCTGTTCCTGAATGACTCCTGGGTAAATAATGAAATTAAGGCAGAAATCAAAAATTTATTTGAAACTAATGAGAACAAAGAAACAACATATCAGAATCTTTGGGATGCAGCTAAAATGGTGTTTAGAGGGAAATTTATAGCACTAAATGCCACATCAGAAAGTTAGAAAGATCTCAAATCGACACCCTAATATCACAACTAAAAGAACTAGGGATGCAAGAGTAAACAAATCCAAAAGCTGGCAGGACACAAGAAATAACAAAGATCAGAGTGGAATTGAAGGAGATAGAGACACGAAAAACCCTTCAAAATATCAATGAATGACTAATGAAGAAAAGAGAGAAGAATCAAATAGACACAATAAAAAGTGATAAAGGGGACACCACCACTGACCCCATAGAAATACAAACTACAATAAAAGAATATTATAAACACATCTATGCAAATAAACTAGAAAATCTACAAGAAATGGAAAATTCCTGGACACATACACCCTCCCAAGACTAAACCAGGAAGAAGTCAAATCCTTGAGTAGATCTATAACAAGTTCTGAAATTGAGGCAGTAATAAATAGCCTATCAACCAAAAAAAGCCCAGATGGATTCACAGCAGAATTCTACCAGAGGTACAAAGAAGAGCTGGTACCATTCCTTCTGAAACTATTCTAAACAATTGAAAAGGAGGGACTTCTCCCTGACTCTGAGGCCAGCATCATTCTGATAACAAAACCTGGCAGAGACACAACAAAAAAAGAAAACTTCAGGTCAATATCCCTGATGAACATCAGTGCAAAAATCCTCAATAAAATACTGGGAAATTGAATCCAGCAGCACATCAAAAAGCTTACCCACCACAGTCAAGTTGGCTTCAGCCCTGGGATGCAAGGCTGGATCAACGTATGCAAATCAATAAACGTAATCCATCACATAACCAGAACCAGTGACAAAAACCACAAGATTATCCCAATAAATGCAGAAAAGACCTTTGATAAAATTTAACATCCCTTTATGTTAAAAACTCTCAATAAACTAGTTATTGATGGAACACATCTCAAAATAATAAGAGCTATTTATGACAAACCCACAGCCAACATCATACTAAATGGGCAAAAGCTGGAAGCATTCCATGCAGAACAAGACAAGGATGCCCTCTCTCACCATGCCTATTCAGCGTAGTATTGAAAGTTCTGGCCAGGGCAATAAGGCAAGAGAAAGAAATAAAGTGTATTCAAATAGGAGGAGAGGAAGTCAAATTGTCTCTTTTGGCAGACAACATGATCCTATATGTAGAAAACCCCATCATCTCAGCCCAAAGGCTCCTTAAGCTGATAAGCAACTTCAGCAAAGTCTCAGGATACAAAATCAATGTGCAAAAGACACAAGCATTCCTATACACCAATAATAGACAAGCAGAGAGCTAAATCATGAAAGAATTCCCATTCACAAATGCTACAAAGAGAATAAAATACCTAGGAATATAGCTAACAAGGGATGTGAAGGACCTCTTCAAGGATAACTACAAACCACGGCTCAAGGAAATAAAAGAGGGCACAAAAAATGGAAAAACATTCCATCCTCATGGATAGGAAGAATCAATATCATGAAAATGGTCATACTGCCCAAAGTAATTTATAGATTCAATGTTATTCCCATCAAACTACCACTGACATTCTTCACAGAATTAGAAAAAACTACTTTAAAATTCTTATAGTACCAAAAAAGAGGCTGTATAGCCAAGACAATCCTAAGCAAAAAGAAAGAGGCTGGAGGTATCCGGGTACTTGACTTCAAACTATATTACAAGGCTACAGTAACCAAAACAGCATGTTTGGTACCAAAACAGACATACAGACCAATGGAACAGAATAGAGACCTTAGAAATAAGACTGCACATCAATGACCATCTTATCTTTGACAAACCTGTCAAAAACAAGCAATGGGGAAAGGATTCCCTATTAATAAATGGAGCTGGGAAAACTGGCTAGTCATATGCAGAAAATGGAAACTGGACCTCTTCCTTATGACTTATACAAAAATTAACTCAATATGGATTAAACACTGAAATGTAAAACCCCAAACCATAAAAACCCTAGAATAAAATCTAGGCAATACTGTTCAAGACACAGGAATGGACAAAGATTCTACGATGAAATTGCCAAAAGCAATTGTAACAAAAAACAAAAATTAACAAATGGAATCTAATTAAACTGAAGAGTTCTTGCACATCAAAAGAAACTCTCATCAGTGAACAGGCAGTCTACAGAATGGAAGAAAACTTTTGCAATCTACCCTTCTGACAAAGGGCTAATATTCAGAATTTACAATGAACGTACACGAATTTACAAGAAAAAAACAAACAACCCCATCAAAAAGTGGGCAAAGGACATGAACAGACACTTTTCAAAAGAAGACACTTATGCAGCCAAAAAGCCTGAAATAAAACTCAACATCATGATCATTAGATAAATGCATGTCAAAACCGCAATGAGATACCATCTCATGCCAGTCAGAATGATGATTATCAAAAAGTGAAGAAACAACAGATGCTGGCAAGGCTGTGGAGAAATAGGAATGCTTTGGTGGGAATGTAAATTAGTTCAACTGTTGTGGAAGACGGTGTGGGGTTCCTCAAGGATCTAGCACCACAAATACCATTTGACCCAGCAACCCCACTACTGGGTATATACCCAAAGGAATATAAGTCATTCTATTATAAAGATGCATGCACACATATGTTTATTGCAGTGCTATTCACAATAGCAAAGACATGGAACCAACTCAAAGGCCCATCAATGATAGACTGGATAAAGAAAGTGTGATACATATACACCATGGAATACTATGCAGCCATAAAAAATAATGAGATCATGTCCTTTGCAGGGACATGGATGAAGCTGGAAGCCATTATCCTCAGCAAACTAACACAGGAAGAGAAAACCAAACTCTGCATATTCTCACTTATTAGTGGGAGCTGAACAAGGAGAACACATGGACACAGGGAACAACACACACTGGGGCCCATCAGGGATGGCAAGGGGAGGGAGAGCATGAGTACAGATGGCTGATGCATGCAGGGGTTGATAACTAGGTGATGGGTTGATAGGAACAGCAAATCACAGTGGCAAATGTTTACCTGTGTAACAAATCTGCACATTCTGCACATGTATACTGCCTGGAACTTTAAGTAAAAAAACAAACAAACAAAAAACAAGTGTCACTATCTTTATATCAGATTAAATAGATGTTTTTTGATAGAGTCTTGCTGTGTCTCTCAGGGCTGGAGTGCAGTGGCACAATCATGGCTCACTGTGGCCTCAACCTCCCAAGCTCAAGAGATCCTTCCACCTCAGCCTCCTGAGTAGCTGGGACTACAGGCAGATGCCACCAGGCCTGGCTAATTTTTATAGAGACAGCATCTAACTGTGCTGCCCAGACTGGTCTTGAACTCCTGGACTCAAGTGATTCACTCACCTCAGCCTCCCAATGTGCTGGGGATTACAGGCACAAGCCACCTTGCCTGGCCGAAAATAGATTTTAAACCAACAACAGTAGAAAGGGACAAAGAATGGCACTACATAATGATGAAGGGTTTGATCCAACAAGAGAACTTAACTATCTTCAGTATATACATACCTAATATTGGAGCACGTGGATTCATAAGACAACTACTTCTAGACATTACAAAAGACTTAGACAGCCAAATAATAATAGTGGGGAACTTCAACACCCTGCTGACTGTGTTAGACGGACCCCTGAGGCAGAAAACTAACAAACAAATAAGCCCCGGATTTAAATTTGACACTTGACAAATTGGATCTAATAGACATCTATAAAATACCAAATAATCACAAAACATACATTCTTCACATCTGCACATGGAGCATACTCTAAGATTGACCACATGTTCCATCATAAAGCAAGTTTCAATAAATTGACAAAAAACAAAATCATACCAAACATGCTTTCATAGCACAGTGGAATAAAAACACTATCAATACCAACAAGATTCCTGAAAACCACTTGATTACATGGAAATTAAACTTACTTCAGAATGACTTTGAGGTAAATAAAAACATTAAGGTAGCAATAAAAAAATTTGAGATAAAACAGAGACACAACATAGCAAAACCTCTGGGATACAGCTAAAGCAGTATTAAGACGAAAGTTTATAGCACTAAATGCCTACATTAAGAAATTAGAAATATCTCAAATTAACAATCTAACATCACACCTAGAAGAACTAGAAGAACAAGAATAAATTAACCCCAAAGCTAGCAGGAGATAAGAAATAACCAAAATCAGAGAAGAACCAAATAAAATTGAGGCCCCCAAAATCCATACAAAGAATCAATGAAACCAAAAGAGGTTCTTTGAAAGAATAAACAAGATAGATAAAACACTAGCTAGATTAACAAAGAAAAAAAGAGAGAAGATCTAAATCAGTGTTAGCAGAAATGACAAAGGTGACATTACACTGGATCCCACAGAAATATAAAAGATCCTTAGAGACTATTATGAACACCTCTATGCATACAAAATAGAAAATCCAAAGGAAATGAATAAGTTCCTGGAAACACACAACATGCCAAGACTGAGTCAGGAAGAAATAAAAACTCTGAATATACCAATATCAAGTTCTGAAATTGAATAAATAACAAAAAGCCCACCGATTGAAAAGAGTCCTGGACGAGATGGATCCACAGCCAAATTCTACCAGATATGCAAAGAATAGCTGGTACCAATCCTAATGAAAATATTACAAAAAATAGAGGTGGAGGGACTTCTCCAACTCATTTTACAAAGCTAGCATAACCCTAATATCAAAATCTGGTGAGACACAGCCAAAAACAAAACTATGGGCCAATATCTCTGATACAGCAGCACACAAAAAGTTAATTTCACCACAATCTAGTAGGCTTTACTCCTGGGATAAAGGGCTCGTTTAACATATGCAAATCAATAAATGTGATTCACCACATAAACAGAATTGAAAACAAAAAACATGCGATCATCTCAATAGATGGAGAAAAAGATTTTGATAAGTTTCTACATACCCTTACAATAAAAACCCTCAACAAACTAGGCATCAAAGGAATATACCTCAAGATAATAAGAGCCATCTATTACAAACCTACAGCCAACATTATACTGAAAGGACAAATGCTGGAAGTATTCTTCTTAAGAACTCAAACATGAGAAGGGTGCCCACTCTCACCACTCCTATTCAACATAGTACTGGAAGTTTTAGCCAGATCAAGTAAGAGAAAGAAATAAAAGATATTAAATAGGAAAATAAGTCAAATTATTTCTCTTCACTGATGATATGATTCTATGACTAGAAAACCCTAAATACTCTGCCAAAAGGCTTCTAAAGCAATAAATGACTTCAATAAAATTTCAAGTTACAAAATCAATGGACAAAAATCAGTAGCATTTCTATACACCAATAACATTCAAGCTGAAAGCCAAATCAAGAATGCAATCCCATTTACAATAGTCACAAATAAATAAAATAAAATATCATGGAATACATGTAACCAAAGAGGTGAAAGATCTCTACAAGAAGAACTGCAAAACACTGCTGAAAAAATTCATAGATAACACAAAAAAATGGAAGCATCCCACACTCATGGATTTGAAGAATCAATATTGTTAAAATGGCCATACTCCCCAAAGCAATGTACATATTCAACTCTATTCCCATCAAATTACTGATATTTTTCATAGAATTAGAAAAAACTATTATAAAGTTCATATTGAATCAAAGTAGAGCCTTAATAGCCAAAAAAATTGTAAGCAAAAAGAATAAAGCCAGAGGCATCACACTACCCAACTTCAAACTATACCGCAAGGTTGCAGTAATCAAAACAGCATGATACTGGTACAAAAACAGGCACATAGATCAATGAAACAGAATAGAGATCCCTGAAATAAAGCTGCACACCTACAACCATCTAATCTTCAACAAAGTAAACAATAACAAGTGATATGGTTTCACTCTGCGTCTCCACTGAAATCTCATGAGGAATTTTAATCCCCACATGTTAGGGTAGGGATCTGGTGGGACATCATTGGATCATGAGGGCAAGTTTCCCCCATGCTGTTTTTGTGATAGTGAGTGCCCATGAGATCTGATGGTTTAAAAGTGTGGCACTTCTCCCCACTCTCTCTCTCCTGTCACCATGTAAGATGTGCCTTGCTTCCCCTTCCCCTTCTGCCATGATTGTAAGTTGCCTGAGGCCTCCCTAGCCATGCAAAATTATGAGTTGATTGAATCTCTTTTCTTTATAAACTACCCAGTCTCAGGTATTTCTTTATAGGAGTGTTAAAATGGACTAATACAACAACAAGTAATGGTGAAAGTACTCACTTTTCAACAAATGGGGCTGAGAAAACTGGCTAACCATATGCAGAAAAATGAAACTGAAGCACCATCTAATACCATATAGAAAAGGTAGCTCAAGATGGATGAAAGACTTAAATGTAAGACCTGAAGCTATAAAACTCCTAGATGAAAACCTAAGAAATATCATTCTGTAATATCCATTATCTATAAGGATCTTAAACAATTCAACAAGCAAAAACCAAATAACCCCATTAAAAAGTGGGCAAAGTACATGTACAGACACTTCTCAAAAGAACACACATATATGACCAACAAACACATGAAAGAACACTCCACATTACCAACCATCTGAGAAATGCAAATCAAAACCACAATGAGATACCGTCTCACCAGTCAGAATGGCTTTTACTAAAAAGTCAAAAAATAACAGATGTTGACAAGGTGGCAGAGTAAAGGGAATGTTTATACACAGTTGATGGGAATATAAATTAGTTCAGCCCCTGTGGATAGCAGTTTGGAAATTTCTCCAAGAACTTAAAACAGAATTATCATTCAAGCCAGCAATGATATACCCACTACTGAGTATATACCCAAAGTAAAATAAATGGTTCGACCAAAAAGACACATGCACTTATATGTTCATTGCAGCACTATTCACAATTGCAAAAACGCAGAATCAACCTAGGTGCCCAATAACGGTGCATTGGATGAAGAAAATGTAGTGCATAAACACCATGGAAAACTATGAAGTTATGATAAAAAACAAAATTATGTCCTTGCAGCAACATGGATACAGCTAGAGACTATTACCCGAGGCAAATTAATGCAAGAACAGAAAACCAAATATCACATGTTCTCACTTATAAGCGGGAGCTAAACATTGGGTATTCATGGATGTAAAGATGGCAACAACGGACACTGGAGACTAACAGGTGAGAAGGAGAGGAGGGGAGAAAAGGTTGAAAAACTAACTTTTGGCTACTATGCTCACTATCTGGGTGATGACATCATTTGTATCCCTGCAGCTGACAGCCAATCAGCCATCCAGCCTTTGGAATTGAACTAAAACGTTGGCTCCTTCCTGGGTCTCCAGACTGTCAGGCTACCCTGCACATTTTGGACTTGCCAGTTTCTATATAACACAAATCAATTCCTTAAAATAAACGTCTTTCTATCTATACAGACTTCCAGCTGGTTCCAATTCTCTAGATAACCCTAATTCAATCAGTAAGTCATCAAAAACTTGATGTTCTATGTACTGCACTGTGGTTTGAATGTGTCCCCCAAAGTTCAAATGTTAGCAATTTAATTCTCAATGCAACAGTGTTGAGAGGTGATACCTTTAAGAGGTCATTAGGTCATAAGAGCAAAACCCTCCTGAATAAATTAATATAGTTGGTTCATTATTGTAAGTGAATAGTTATAAAAGACAATTAGGTCCTCTCTTGCTCTCTCTTGCCTGTGATACCTTCTGTTGTCTTATGACACAGCAAGGAGTCCCTCACCAGATATAGGCACATCAATCTTGGACTTCCCAGCCTACAGAGGTGTAAGAAATAAATCTTTTTTTAAAATAAATTATCCAGTCTCAGGTATTCTGTTATAACAGCACAAAATAGACTAAAAGATACCTTTTCTTGGAAAAAGTGCTTCACCAAAATATGAGAGTCAACAAATAAAAGGAAAGACATTGCATCCAGGACATAGGAGAATTCCAAGGCTGAAGGAGAAGCAGGAGCCCATGAGGAGACAGCAACAAGCCAGAGAACAACCATTTCATCAGGGGGAGGGGTTGTGAGGGCTGAAGAGAGAATGTTTAAGACAGAGAGAGCAAGAGAGTCAGGGAAGAAAGAGGAAGAAATTCATAGACAAGGAAGAAATTTGTAGAAAAAGGAAGTTTTGACTGCATTGAGAGGTGGAGTATTTGGGGACAAACTAATGATGCCTAGGAAGTAACAGGAAAAAAAATCTCCTGAGAAGAAAAAACAGTAATATAAGAAAGAATATGAAATTATAGTACACTACATGGTTTAGTTGTGATAAGGCAAACACCAAATTGCAATCTTACTAAAAATTATGATTTATAACTTGAGAGAATGGAGGATAAGGAGGAAGTATAAGTTTAGCTAAATTATAATATTTCAGAAAAGGAAACCAACAAATATTAAGATTTAGAAAATCAAGAAATATCCGTATAAGAATTTTTTATTTTTGCATGCAATATTTCTTTTTAACTTATTTTTCTAATTTTATTTTTTCAATTTTTAAGTTCAGGGGTACATGTGCAGTTTTGTTATATAGGTAAACTTGTGTAATGGGGGGGTTTTTGTACAGACTATTTTGTCATCCAGGTATTAAGCCTGGTACCCATTCATTATTTTTGCTGAAACTCTCCCTTCTCCCACCTTCCACCCTCTGTCAGCCCTAGTGTCTATTGCTCCCCACTATATGTCCATGTGTTCTCATCATTTAGCTCCAGTTATAAGTGAGAACATGTGGTATTTGTTTTTTTGTTCCTGTGTTAGCTTGCTAAGGATAATGGCCTGCAGCTCCGTCTATGTTCCTGCCAAGGACATAATCCTGTCCTTTTTATGGCTGCATAGTATTCCATGGTGTATATGTACGACATGTTCTTTATCTAGTCTCCCACTGATGGGCATTTAGGTTGATTCCATGTCTTTACTATGCAGATAGTGCTTTATTGTACATATGCATGCATGTGTCTTTATGGTAGAATGATTTATATTCCTTTGGGTATATATCCAGTAATGGGATAGCGGAGTCAAATGGTAGTTCCATTTTTAGCTTTTTGAGGAATCACCTCACTGCTTTCCACAATGGTTGAACTAATTTACACTCTTACAAGCAGTGTAAAAGTGTTTCTTTTTCTCCACAACTTTGCCAGCACCTGTTATTTTTTGACTTTTAAATAATAGCCATTCTTACTGGTGTGAGATGGTATCTCATCATGGTTTACATGTTCATTTCTCTAATGATCAGCGATGTTGAACTCTTTTTCATTTATTTGTTGGCTGCATGCATGTCTCCTTTTGAAAGTGTCTGTTCATGTACTTTGCCCACATTTTAATGGGGTTGTTTGGTTTTCCTTATAAGTTTAAGTTCCTTATAGATACTGGATATTAGACCTTTGTCAGATGCATAGTTTGCAAATACTTTCTCCTGTTCTGTAGGCTGTTTGTTTACTCTGTTTATAGTTTATTTTGCTGTGCTGAAGCTCTTCAGTTTAATTAGATCCCATTTGTCAGTTTTTGCTTTTGTTGCAATTGTTTTGGTGTCTTCATCATGATATCTTTGGCCATTCCTATGTCCTAAATGGTGTTGCCTAAGTCGTCTTCTAGGGTTTTACATTTAGGTCTTTAATCCATGTTGATTTGCTTTTTGTATATGGTATAAGAAGGGGGTGCAGTTTCAATCTTCTGCATATGGCTAGCCAGTTATCCCAGCATCCTTTATTGAATAGGGAGTGCTTTCCCCATTGCTTGTTTTTGCTGACTTTGTTGAAGATAAGATAGTCATAGGTGTGCAGCCTTATTTTGGGACTTTCTAGTCTGTTCCATTTGTTTATGTGTCTGTTTTTGTACTAGCACCATGTTGTTTTGGATACGGTAGCCCTGTAGTATAGTTTGAAATTGAGTAGCATGATATCTCCAGCTTTGTTCTTTTAGCTTAGGATTGTCTTAGCTATTTGTGCTCTTTTTTGGTTCCATATGAATTGCAAAAGTTTTTTCTAGTTCTGTAAAGAATGCCATTGATAGTTTGAGAGAAATAGCACTGAATCTATCAATTGCTTTGGGCGGTATTCTCATTTTAATGATATTCTTTCTATCCATGAGCATGTAATATTTTTCCCTTTGTTTGATTCATCTTTAATTTATTTGAGAAGTGTTTTGTATTTCTCCCTGTAGAGATCATTCACCTCCCGGTTAGCTGTATTCCTAGTATTTTATTCTTTATGAGGCTATTGTGAATGGGATTGCATTCCTGATTTGGCTCTTGGATTGACTGTTGTTGGTGTATAGGAATGCTATCAATTTTTGTACATTGACTTTGTATCTTGAGATTTTGCTGAAGTTTTTTCTCAGCTTAAGGGGCTTTTGGGCTGAGTTATGGGGTTTTCTAGATATAGGATCATGTCATTTGCAAACAGGGATAATTTGACTTCTTCTCTTTCTATTTGGATGCCATTTATTATTTCTCTTGCCTGATTGTTCTGACCAGAATTTCCAATACTATGTTGAACAAGAGTGGTATAAGAGGGAGTCCTTTTCTTGTGCTGGTTTTCAAGGGGAATGCTTCCAGCTTTTGCCCATTCTGTGTGATGTTGGCTGTGGGCTGGTCATATATGGTTCAAAATTTTTTGGAAGTATGTTCCTTCATTACCTAGTTTATTGAGAGGTTTTTTTTTTTCAACATGAAGGGGTGTTGAATTTTATCAAAAGCCTTTTACACATCGATTTTAGATAATCATGTGGTTTTTGTCTTTAGTTCTTTTTATGTGATTAATCACATTTATTGATTTGTGTGTGTTAAACCAACCTTGCATCCCAGGGATAAAGTCTACTTGATTATGGTGCATACACTTTTTGATGTGTTGCTGGATTTGGTTTACCAGTATTTTGTTGAGGACTTTTGTATCAAGGTTTATCAAGTATATTGACCTCAAGCTTTTTTTTTTTTTTTTTTGTGTGTGTGTGTGTGTGTGTGTGTGTGTGTGTGTGTCTGACAGATTTTGGTATCAGGATGATGCTTTCCTCATAGAATAAGTTAGGGAGGAGTCCCTCCTTCTTAATTTTTGGAACAGTTTCAGTAGGAATGCTACCAGCTCTTCTTTGTACATCTAGTAGCATTCTGCTGTGAACCCATCTGGTTCTGAGCTTCTTTTGGTTGGTACATTATTTATTACTGATTCAATTTTAGAACTCATTATTGGTCTATGAGCAGATTCAATTTCTTCCTGGGTGAGGCTCAAGAGGCTGTATGTATCCAGGAATTTATCCATTTCATCTAGATTTTCTATTTTATGTGGATAGAGGTGTTCATAGTAGTCTCTGATGGTTATTTGTATTTCTGTGGAGTCGTTGGTAATATCCCCTCTGTCATTTCTAATTGTTTTTATTTTTATCTTCTCTCTTTTCTTCATTAGTCTAGCTAGTGGTTTATCTATTTTATTAATTTTTTCAAAAAACTAACAACTGGATTCATTGATCTTTTGAGAGTGTGTGTGTTTATGTGTGTGTGTGTGTGTGTGTGTGTGTGTGTGTGTGTGTGTGTCTAAATCTCCTTCACTTCAGCTCTGATTTTAGTTATTTGTCTTCTGCTAGCTAGCTTCGGGGTTAGTTTGCTCTGGGTTTGCTAGTTTTTTAGTTGTGATGTTACATTGTTAAATTGAGATCTTTCTAACTTTTTGGTGTGGTATTTAGTGCTATAAATTCCCCTCTTAACACTGCCTTAGCTGTGTCACAGAGATTCTGGTATGTGGTATTTTTCTTCTGGCTAGTTTCAAACAACATCTTTATTTCTGCCTTAATTTCATTATTTATGCAAAAGTCATTCAGGAGCAGGTTATTTGATTTACAGGTAATTGTATGGTTTTGGGTGAATTTCTTATTCTTGATTTCTAATTTTATTGTGGTGTAGTCCAAGAGAGTGGTTGTTATGATTTCATTTCTTCTGCATTTGCTGAGGAGTGTTTTGTGCCCAATTATGTGATTCATTTTAGAGTACGTGCCATGTGGCAGTGAGAAGAATGTATATTCTCTTGCTTTGAGGTGGAGAGTTCTATAGATGTCTATTAGGTTCCATTTGTTCCACTGCTGAGTACAGGTCCTGAATATCTTCATTAATTTTCTGCCTCAATTATCTGTCTAATACTGTCAGTGGGGTGTTAAATTATCCCACTATTAGGGGCATCTGCAATTGCTGAGGCTTGAGTAGGTAAATAAAGTGGCTGGGAAGCTCAAAATGGGCAGAGCCCACTGCAGCTCAACAAGGCCCACTGCCTCTAGACTCCACCTCTGTGGGCAGGGCATAGCTGAACAAAAGGCAGCAGACAACTTCTGCAGACTTAAACGTCCCTGTCTGAGAGCTCTGAAGAGAGCAGTTGTTCTCCCAGCACAGCGTTTGAGCTCTGAGAACTGACAGACTGCCTCCTCAAGTGGGTCCCTGACCCCCAAGTAGCCTAGCTGGGAGACATCTCCAAGTAGGGTCCAACAGACACCTCATATGGGCGATGGCCCTCTGGGATGAAGCTTCCAGAGGATCAGGAAGCAATATTTACTATTCAGCAATATTTGCTGTTCTGCAATATTTGCTGTTCTGCAGCCTCTGTTGGTGATACCCAGGCAAACAGGGTCTGGAGTGGACCTCCACCAAACTCCAACACACATGCAGATGAGAGACCTGACTGTTAGAAAGAAAACTAACAAACAAAGGAATAACATCAACATCAACAAAAAGGTCATCTACACCAAAACCCCATCTGTAGGTCACCAACATCAAAGACCAAAGGTAGATAAAACCACAAAGATGGGGAGAAAAAAGACCAGAAAAGCTGAAAATTCCAAAAATCAGAGCATCTCTTCTCCTCCAAAGGTTCCTTGCCAGCAATGGAACAAAGCTGGACAGAGAATGACTTTGATGAGTTGACAGAAGTAGGCTTCAGAAAGTTGGTAATAACAAACTTCTCCGAGCTAAAGGAGGATGTTTGAACCCATCATAAGGAAGCTAAAAACCTAGAAAAAAGATTAGATGAATGGCTAACTAGAATAAACAGTGTAGAGAAGACCTTAAATGACCTGATGGAGCTGAGAACCATGGCATGAGAACTTCGTGACACATGCACAAGCTTCAATGCCAATTCGATCGGGTGGAAGAAATGGTATCAGTGATTGAAGGTCAAATTAATGAAATAAAGTGAGAAGACAAGGTTAGAGAAAAAAAGAGTAAAAAGAAATGAACAAAGCCTCCGAGAGGTATGGGACTATGTGAAAAGACCAAATCTATGTTTGCTTGGTGTACCTGAAAGTGATGGGGAGAACGGAACCAAGTTGAAAAACACTCTTCAGGATATTATCCAGGACAACTTCCCCAACCTAGCAAGGCAGGCCAACATTCAAATTCAGGAAATACAGAGAACACCACAAAGATATTCCTCGACAAGAGCAACCCCAAGACACATAATTGTCAGATTCCCCAAGGTTGAAATGAAGGAAAAAGTGTTAAGGGCAACCAGAGAGAAAGGTCGAATTACCCACAAAGGGAAGCCCATCAGACTAACAGCGGATCTCTTGGCAGAAACCTTACAAGTCAGAAGAGAGTGGGGGCCAATATTCAACATTCTTAAAGAAAAGAATTTTCAACCCAGAATTTCATATCCAGCCAAATTAAGATTCATAAGTGAAGGACAAATAAAATCCTTTACAGACAAGTAAATACTGAGAGATTTTGTCATCACCAGGCCTGCCCTAAAAGAGCTCCTGAAGGAAGCACTAAACATGGAAGAAAACAACCGGTACCAGCCACTGCAAAAACATGCCGTATTGTAAAGGCCAGTGATGCTATGAAGAAACTGCATCAATTAATGGTCAAAATAACCAGCGAACATCATAATGATAAGATCAAGTTCACAAATAAAAATATTAACATTAAATGTAAATATGCTAAATGCCCCAATTAAAAGACACAGACTGGCAAATTGGATAAAGAGTCAAGACCCATCAGTGTGCTGTATTCAGGAAACCCATCTTATGTGCAAAGAAGCACATAGGCTCAAACTAAAGGGATGGAGGAAGATCTACCAAGCAAATGGAAAGTAAATAAAAAAAAAAAGAAGAAAAGCAGGGGTTGTAATCCTAGTCTCTGATAAAACAGACTTTAATCCAACAAAGATCAAAAGAGACAAAGAAGGCCATTACATAATGGTAAAGGGATCAATTCAACAAGAAGAGCTAACTATCCTAAATATATATGCACCCAATACAGGAGCACCCAGATTCATAAAGCAAGTCCTTAGAGACCTACAAAGAGAATTAGACTCCCACACAATAATAATGGGAGACTTTAACACCCCACTGTTAATATTAGACAGATCAATGAGACAGAAGGTTAACAAGGATATCCAGGAACTGAACTCACCTCTGGAACAAGCAGACCTAATAGACATCTACAGAACTCTCCACCCCAAATAAACAGAATATACATTTTTTTCAAGACCACATCACACTTATTCTAAAATTGACCACATAATTGGAAGTAAAGCACTCCTCAGCAAATGTAAAAGAACAGAAATCACAACAAACTGTCTCTCAAACCACAGTGCAATCAAATGAGAACTCAGGATTAAGAAACTCACTCAAAACCACTCAACTACATGGAAACTGAACAACTTGCCCCTGAATAACTACTGGGTACATAATGAAATGAAGGCAGAAATAAAGATGTTCTTTGAAACCAATGAGAACAAAGGCACAACGTACCAGAATCTCTAGGAGACATTTAAAGCAGTGTGTAGAGGGAAATTTATAGCACTAAATGCCCACAAGAGAAAGCAGGAAAGATCTAAAAATGACACCCTAACATCACAATTAAAAGAACTAGAGAAGTAAGAGCAAACAAATTCAAAAGCTAGCAGAAGGCAAGAAATAACTAAGATCATAGCAGAACTGAAGGAGATAGAGATGCAAAAAACCCTTCAAAAAATCAATGAATCAAGGAACTGGTTTTTTGAAAAGATCAACAAAATTGATAGATCACTAGCAAGACTAATAATGAAGAAAAGAGAGAAGAATCAAATAGATGCAATAAAAAATGATAAAGGGGATATCACCAGTGACCCCACAGAAATACAAACTACCATCAGAGAATACTATAAACATCTCTACACAAATAAACTAGAAAATCTAGAAGAAATGAATACATTCTGGACACATACACTTTCCCAAGACTAAACTAGGCAGAAGTTGAATCTCTGAATAGACCAATAACAGGCTCTGAAATTGAGGCAATAATTAATAGCCTACCAACCAAAAATATCCAGGACCAGACAGATTCACAGCCGAATTCTACCAGAGGTACAAAAAGGAGCTGGTACCATTCCTTCTGAAACTATTACAATCAATAGAAAAGGAAGGAATCCTTCCTGACTCATTTCATGAGGCCAACATCATCCTGATACCAAAGCCTGGCAGAGACACAACACAAAAAGAGAATTTTATACCAATATCTCTGATGAACATCGATGCAAAAATCCTCAATAAAATACTGCAAACTGAATCCAGCAGCACATCAAAAAGCTTAACCACCATGATCAAGCCAGCTTCATCCCTGGGAGGCAAGGCTGGTTCAACATATGTAAATCAATAAACTTAATCCATCACATAAAGAGAACCAATGACAAAAACCACATGATTATCTCAATAGATGCAGAAAAGGCCTTTGACAAAATTCAACAGCCCTTCATGTTAAAAACTCTCAATAAACTAGGTATGGATGGAACATATCTCAAAATAATAAGAGCTATTTATGACAAACCCATAGCCAATATCATACTGAATGGGCAAAAACTGGAAGCATTCCCTTTGAAAATCAGCACAAGACAAGGATGCCCTCTCTCACCACTCCTATTCAACATAGTGTTGGAATTTCTGGCCAGGGCAATCAGGCAACAGAAAGAAATAAAGGGTATTCAGTTAGGAAATGAGGAAGTCAAATTGTCCCTGTTTGCAGATGACATGATTGTATATTTAGAAAACCACATCGTCTCAGCCCAAAATCTCCTTATGCTGATAAGCAACTTCAGCAAAGTCTCAGAATTCAAAATCAATGTGCAAAAATCACAAGCATTCCTATACACCGTTAACAGAGAAACAGAGAGCCAAATCATGAGTGAACTCCCATTCACAATTGCTACAAAGAGAACAAAATATCTAGGAATCCAACTTACATGGATGTGAAGGACCTCTTCAAGAAGAACTACAAACCACTTCTCAACAAAATAAAAGAGGACACAAACAAATGCAAGAATATTCCATGCTCGTGGATAAGAGGAATCAATGTTGTGAAAATGGCCATACTGCCCAAGGTAATTTATAGAGTCAATGCCAACCCCATCAAGCTACCAATGACTTTCTTCACGGAACTGGAAAAAACTACTTTAAATTTCATATGGAACAATCCTAAGCCAAAAGAACAAAGCTGGAGGCATCACACTACCTGACTTCAAACTATACTACAAGGCTACAGTAACCAAAACAGCATGGTACTGGTACCAAAACAGATATATAGACCAACAGAACAGAACAGAGGCCTCAGAAATAACACCACACATCTACAAACACCTGATCTTTGACAAACCTGACAAAAACAAGAAATAGGGAAAGGATTCCCTATTTAATAAATGATGCTGGGAAAACTAGCTAGCCATATGTAGAAAGCTGAATCTGGATCCCTTCCTTACACCTTATACAAAAATTAATTCCAGATGGATTAAAGACTTAAATGTTAGGCCTAAAACCATAAACACCCTAGAAGAAAACCTAGGCAATACCATTCAGGACATAGGCATGGGCAAGGACTTCCTGACTAAAACACCAAAAGCAATTGCGACAAAAGCCAAAATAGACAAATGGGATCTAATTAAAGAGCTTATGCACAGCAAAAGACACTACCATCAGAGTGAACAGGCAGCCTACAGAATGGGAGAAAATTTTTGCAATCTACGCTTCTGACAAAGGCCTAATATGCAGAATCTACAAAGAACTCGAACAAATTTACAAGAAAAAAACACACAACACCATCAAAAAGTGGGCAAAGTATATGAACACAGATTTCTCAAAAGAAGACATTATGCAGCCAACAGACACATGAAAAAATGCTCATCACTGGTCATCAGAGAAATGCAAATCAAAACCACAATGAGGAACCATCTCACGCCAGTTAGAATGGTGATCATTAAAAAGTCAGGAAACAATAGATGCTGTAGAGGATGTGGAGAAATAGAAATGCTTTTACACTGTTGGTGGGAGCGTAAATTAGTTCAACCATTGTGGAAGACAGTGTGGCGATTCCTCAAGGATCTAGAACTAGAATTACCATTTGACCAGTAATCCCATTGCTGAGTAATACCCAAAGGATTATAAATCATGCTGCTATAAAGACACAAGCACACGTATGTTTATTGTGACACTATTCACAATAGTAAAGACTTGGAACCAACCCAAATATCCATCAATGAGACTGGATTAAGAAACTGTGGCACATGTACCCTATGGAATACTATGCAGGTATAAAAAAGGATGAGTTCATGTCCTTTGTAGGGGCATAGATGAAGCTGGAAACCATCACTCTCAGCAAACTATCACAAGGACAGAAAATGAACTACCGCATGTTCTCACTCATAGGTGGGAATTGAACAATGAGAACACTTGGACATAGGAAGGGGAACATCACACACTGGGGCCTATCGTGGGGTGGGGGGAGGTGGGAGTGATAGCATTAGGAGAAACACCTAATGTAAATGATGAGTTGATGGGTGCAGCAAACCAACATGCGCGTGTACACCTAGGTATGAAACCTGCAAATTGTGCACATGTACCCTAGAACTTAAAGTATAATTAAAAATAAATAAATAAATAAAATAAAGTCTCCCACTATTATTGTGTGGGAATCTAAGTCTCTATGAAGGTCTCCAAAAGCTTTCTTTATGAATCTGGGTACTCCTGTGTTGGGTCCATATACATTTAGAATAGATTTTCTTATTGAATTGAACCCTTTACTATGAGGTAATGCCCCTTCTTTGTCTTTTTTGATCTTTGTTGGTTTAAAATCTGTTTTGTCTGAAATTAAAATCACCACCTCTGCTTTTTTTTTTTTTTTAGACTGTCATCATGATGTTAGCTAGTTATTATGTAGACTTGTTTGTGTGATTGTGTATAGTGTCACTGGTCTGTGTATTTAGTCATGTTTTTTAGTGGCTCATAACAGACTTTCCTTCCCATATTTAGTGCTTCCTTCAGGAGTTCTTGCAAGGCAGGCCTGGTGGTGATGAATTCCTCAACATTTGCTTGTCTGAAAAGGATCTTATTTCACCTTTGCTTATGCGGCTTAGTTTGGCTGGTTATGAAATTCTGGGTTGGAATTTCTTTTCTTAAGAGTGTTGAATATTGGTTCCCAATCTCTCCTGCCTTTAAGATTTCTGCTGAGAGATCTGCTGTTAGAATGATGGGCTTCCCATTGTAAGTGACCTGACCTTTCTCTGTGGTTGCCTTTAACATGTATTCTTTCATTCCAACCTTGGAGAATCTGAAGATTATGTGTGTTTGGGATGATCTTCTTGTGAAGGATCTTACTGGGGTTCTCTGCATTTCCTGATTTTGAATGTTGGCCTCTCTAGCTAGGTTGGGAAAATTCTCATGGATGATATTCTGAGATATGCTTCCCAAGTTACTTACATTCTCCCCATCTCTTTCAGGGACACCAATGAGTCATAGATTTGGTCTCTTTACATAATCTCATATTTCTTGGAGGCTTTCTTCATTCCTTTTCATTCTTTTTCTCTTTTCTTGTCTGACTACCTTATTTCAGAAATCCAGTCTTCAAGCTCTGAGATTCTTTCCTCAGCTTGGTCTATTCTGCTATTAATGCTTATGATTGCATTATGAAATTTTGAAGTGTGTTTTTTGGGTCTATCAGGTCAGTTATGTTCTTTTCTATACTGGCTATTTTGTCTGTCACCCACTTTATCATTTTATTGTGATTCTTAGCTTCCTTGGATTTCAATGTACTCCTGCATCTCAATGATCTTCATTATCATCCATAATCTGAATTCTATTTCTGTTATTTCAGCTATCTCAGCTCAGTTCAGAACCCTTGCTGGAGAGGTGGTGCAGTCATTTGGAGGAAAGAAGAACTCTGGCTTTTTGAATTGTAAGATTTCTTTCTTTGGTTTTTCTCATTTTTATGGGCTGATGTTTCTTCAGTCTTTGAAGTTGCTGACCTCCGAATGGGTTTTTTTTTCCCCCCTTTTATCCTATTTGATGACATTGGGTGTTTGTGGTATAAGGTGAATTCAGCCAACTGGCTTCATTTCTGGAAGATTTTAGCGGGGCCATGCTCAGCTTCCAACTCCTGAACTGTGTGATCTAATTATTGGAAACTTGTATTGGTCCCCAACTTTGTTCTCTGGCTCCTTGAGGTTAGGAATCCACTGCACTGAAGGGTAGAGGGGGTGGGGAAGAGATGCTCCCAGACCACTGGTCATTACACTTCGATAGATGGTGTCAGCCAAAGTATTTCATAACGCAGTGGCAGCAGGGTGCATCCTCATTCATATGTCCTAGCAGCAGCGGCAGCAGCAGCATGGTGGGGTGTATGCTCATCAGCTGCATTAGGGTGCTAGGGGGTGCCAGGATGCTTGCCTTTGTGCCCATGTTCACCACAGGACAGAGGCAGCACAGCTTGGGGGATGGGGGTGCCCCCGCCAGTGACAGCGACTGTGCACACCTTCACTGGGGGTGGTGGTGTTAGCACAGGGGTGGGGCACTGCCAGGGTCATGTCTGTGTGTGTTCTCTGTGGGCTGCAATAGGGGTGAATGTTCATGGTGGGGGAGGGTCCACTGTTCTCTGTGCCTAGCTTCACTCTTGTGGCAGTGTTGGTACAAGGGTGGGATGCTGGTGGAAGTGGGCTGGCTGGCTCTGTGCCTGCCATGGCTCTGACTGCAATGGTGGTCCAGTGGGTGAAAGAGGGATGGAGTGTACTCTCATGCATTGGGAAGGCAGGGTGCACACAGGGTGCCAGTAGGGCAAAGAAGGCAAAACCCACCCATGCACAAATGCACCAGCAAAGCAATATGGGGGGCTGCTGTGGGCCTGAGGGAGACTGCAGTGTTGGGAGGGAGCAGGTAGACTGGTGCGTGGTTATAGGGGCCATCTTGCTGGAGTTCTCAGCTGGTTAGGTAGGTCTGCCATAGGCAGGAACTATGATACAGAACCCCAGGGCACCTAAGTGTGCCTTGCAATTAAGTGTGGCCAGTCTGGGGCCCCAGGAGAGACCAGCAGGCCAAGGGGTGCCCAAGTTGGAATGGTCCTTCCTGTCTGATGGGCAAGACTGCCCTGCAGAGTTCAGGTCTGACAGTTCCCCTAGGGTTAAAGTGTGCTATGGGGGCAAGTCGACCCTGGGCTGATGGGCTTCCCTGGTCATGGTCTGGTGCAGACACTCCTGCAACAAACCCTCTGGGCTCCACATCAGCTGGCTTGCTTCCCCTATCACTTCTCTAAGCAGCTCTCCTTGCCAACTTGAGTGTCCCTGGTGGGAGGGGTCTCCTCCTGTTGGGATTCCAGAGGCCCCTGGTAAGAGTGGGTTGCTCCTTTCCAGTTCAACTCACCCATTACCCTGGAGTTGTTGGGGGCCAGAACAAGTCCTAGTGCACAGTAGCCCCACGCAGGGTTCCTAGCTTCCTCTCCTTTCAACCCGGCTTCTGTTTCTTCTCTCCATCCACTCTCAGTGGGTTCCCTCTGAATATCTGTTAGGAGTGCTCCAGTCGTCTGGGTCCCTCAGTGGCAGCTGTTCCATGTGGCTGCGTCTAGTCAGCCATCTCGCCCTCTCTCACATAAGCATTTTTTAAAGAAAAATGAAGGCAAATACTAGAAAAAAATAGCTAAAAGAAGTGAAAGCAGTTGCTTCCTGTGAGTATGAACTATCTGACTATAGGAGTGGAATATGAAATAGCCTATTTAATATTACAAAACTTGCAGAAATATTTTATATTTTAAAGCACATATATGTAATTTTATAGAAGTAAAGCTAACAAACAAAAATTAAAATAATTGAAAAAAAAAAAGAAAAACCTAACTTTTGTTACATATGCTGCCAGGGTATCACAGTCTGTATTTCTTCTTATTGGCCCAATTTTATAAGTCCCTTAGACTTAAATGGCATGCTTAGGTTCAAAGAAAAGATCATACATTTAAAAATATTTTTATGAAAGAAGATCAATGTTATTACATCAACATTCCTATAAATTGAATGGATGTCACATATATGCTTCTTCATCCATTGACTGTTCCAATTTAGCTACCAGAGATTTTTTTAAAAACTGGAGTGTGGGTGGCCCACTAGTCAGATTTAACTTGCTGATATAATTTATAGTGTATAGATTATATGTTTGCATAGTTTTCTAAAATCTTTAAAAATTAGTATCCTCTTTTAAAATATGGAAGATTTAGCATAAAATCTTTAAGCATTGGTGTCCTTTAGAAAATTGTGATTTGGCTACATTGGGCCTCCATTCCCACATGGCTACATTAACAGAAGCTGAGTAAGGGACTAGTTAAATTAATATCATCCCACATGCAGTCATAAAAAAGAATAAGAAATCTCTTTATGCAATGAATATATACATATGTAAAACATAAATTAATAACATTAAAAACTCCAAAGACACAGAATAATACATGTAATATGCTACCATTTGATAAAAAATGAAAATATAAGTTTATATATCTAGTAGAACGTGCACAGAATGCTCTGCTAGCATACACAAACAATTGGTAATATCTGAAGGCAGGATCTGGTGTCTGGGGGACAGGAAGAAGGAATCATTTTTGTGACTATTGAATATTGGGCTATGCAAATATATACATCTTCAAAAACTAAAGGTGATTTTAAAAATTCAGAATTACTTAGCTCTAGAAATATAAATATGTATATATAATATATAAATATATAAATATAACTCTAGAAATATGAATTTATTTCTCGGTAGTATATATTCATATAAATACATAATAGCTTTTCCCCTTTTGATGGAATGCTTTGATACCACATCTGAGGATGGAATGATACAAAGCTAATTCTGTTTTGCACTTAAAAACACCAAAACTCAAATCCTGAAATCTTTCACTAACATTTCTTCTGTTCTTTTTTGATGTTGATATGTACTACTGAGTTTCCTTCTATGCCTACAAAACTATACCACCCAAAGAAAAAAATGTTAAAGACACCACATTACCATATCTACAGTGTTAATTCCTGAGAGTTAAACATTTCTAATTGCAAAGACAATATGTCTGCTTCATAATTCAATGAATTATTTTTAAATATTTCCTCTACCTGAATAATATTATTATACTAGAATGCCAATTATTTTTTTCCTCTTGTATTTGCTATGATAACAACCAGAAGGACTCTTCCTTTGATTGAGGGGCTCAGAAACATCTTACAGAACAGTGATCCCAGTTTCCTTCTCTGGATTTTAACTCCTTTCTAATCATCATATTCTTTGATTTCAATTCTGATTGAAGGGAGCTCTCATGTATCTCAAAGGTGAGTGAGCAGCTTTAGTGGACCATCTGTAACTACTGACTTAGCCTTATTTTATACAGACAAGCCTAGTAGCTGGGCAGATGTTAATGCCAAATTGGCTGAACAACCCACCAGACTACTCAGTGGACTTGAGTACTTTTGCAGCCCTGTAAGAGAACCCAATGCCAGTATTAAGGATATACAACACATGGGGGCAGAGTCTGTTTAGGCAGAAAATTGGAAGAACTCCATAGAGAAAAAAAGAGAAAGGAGAAATGAGGCCCTAGTTATTTGAGTTTTTGTCCCTTAAAGTAAGGCTGAGGTCTCTATTTTAGTTTTTATTCATGTCATAGTTTATTTTCTATCAAAAGACATCAAAGAATAAAGCAGTATTTATCTGAATAGGGTATGATTTTTTTAAACTACTGAAATGACAATGATGATAGTTATGCCAATTTTCTGAGCCTTTTAGGTTAATAATATATTTTTCTTGATGAAAACTCTTATAATAGAATTTTTAAAATAAAAACTTTTATTTTTATAAACTATCATAAAGAATGACTAATATTTTAACAATTCATGTGATTAGTGGGTAGGAACAGTAAGGTATAACTAAACACAGATGCTCAGTAAAGTTAAATATGTCTATAGTGCTTTTTAAAATCAAAATTGGAAAGGAGATATGTTAGCATATTGAAACCATTAAAGTAGGGTGAGTCACTAAAGATGATTAAGACAAATATCTTTTTCCTACCTCTTACTTACTTTTTGTAGCTTCTAAACTGTGATCTAGTAAGCCATTGCTTTAGACTAATACACCTTCTGTCCCCGATGGAAGGGAGCATAACATAGAGATTAATTAATAATGTCAATTCAGGAGAAAGTGCTCCCAAGTTCTAATACCAGCATCATCATTTACTAACGCTGTGACCTTGGGAAAGATCCTCATCCATCCTCTCAGGGGCTGAGTTTCTTTATATGTGAAGAGGAATGATTAATTGTAACTACCTAATGGATTTGTTAGGAGGATTGAGTATAATAACAACTAAAAGAACTTAAAACAGTGCCTAGTACATTGTAAGCGCTTAATAAATATTGGCTTTAATTGTTATTACAACTGGACCCAAAGAATTATTTAATTTTCTTGATGTACTTAATAACAAAGATATGCCCAATTTCCCAACTCCTGAAGGTCAAAACAGGGGAGACTGAGCTGTAATAAAGTTAATCTGCTATTTCTCAACTACCCTGATAGGACAACAGTTAGCCCTATGGTCAGCTACTGTGCCTGAAGAAATTCTAGTGTCAGAGTTTCTATGGCAAAGATCCCTTCTACAGGAATGGGGATGATTTTACCCCTTTCACAAATGTTGCTTCAATGTACCCCACAAAATTTCGGTTATATTGATTCAGTAATAGTATGAATCATGCTTGGTAGTAAGCAAGAAAAGTTATGATTTTGTAGATTATCCAGTTTTACTTATTGTTACAATGGGGTTCATGTTCTTTTGTGACTTTCTAGATCCTAAAGAGAAGCAGAACTAACTTGGGCATTATTTTGTCAAATAACCTTTATGCTCTAGCATTTCCCTCTTTTAATTCTAGAACTATTTTACGTATAATAGAACTTTAGATATTTTCCCACATGTCTCTGAGGCAATGCTGATATTTTCTCAATCTTTCTCTCTTTATTCTTCTGATTGGATAATTTCTAGTAGTTGATGGACTCTTTCTCCTGTACCCTGCTGTTAAGCCCAGCCAGTAATTTTTAATGTAATAGAATGCATTTTTAGTCCTAGAATTTCCTCATTGAGCACTTACTGGGTCCCAGAGGTGACTTTATGTTTTGTTTACACCTTAATTTGAGACGAATTTTGGAAAGTCATAACTCTTCAGAACCATAGTACACCCTTTTCACATTGATTCTCCTTGTTTCTACTTTAAAATAGTCCACTGAAATCAAACACCCTTTAGTAGAGCAGCTGTTTGTAGGGAAGTGGCAGAGGAAAACATTTATCTCAGACCTCTAGATAAGGTATAAATTCTCCTCTGATTTAACTCTCTATTGGTTGGACATGTCTTTAGTATCTTTCTTGTTCATATTCACAACTAGTTTACTCATATTCATGTGATTGTCCAGTCCATTTTAGCAACTTATTTTCTATACCACATCTAATGTGTCTTGTCGTTTGGTTAAAAATAAATCAGTCCATTCTAGTTTGTATATTCATCTAAGTAGCTTCAGGATAAGGGCTCCTAGCAGAAATTTTTATCAGATACCAGTACCAGGAACAGCTGTGCATCTCCTGAACAATTGGTTTGTTTGTGAATCTTCAAACAATCTTTTGTAGTACTGTGAATCTTGAAACTGATTGTTTTTCCCTCTTTGCTTTGTCACTAAAAGAAATTCAGAGTCCAATGTGTAGCTCACCTCTAAAAATACTACATAAACTTATGATAAAGATTTTGGTATACTAACCTTAGCTTGTTTTATTTTCTACCACTATTTTCTTTTGTACCAGATAGTCTCATCAATTTATCCTTTCTATACTTATGTGATTTGTAAGAAACATTAACTTTCAAAGTGTATGTAATTAATAAATAAATTTAATTACTATTCACAAATTGAAATGCTCCAAATTGTGATATTCAATCCTTTATATCCTAATCCTGGTGAGAAAAGTGTTGTGAACAACATAATCAATTTCCCACATCTTTGAATTATACACAATGTGCGTTTATTTTAAGCCTTGGTCAGTGAACTGGTTTCTGAATATTCTTATTTTGCTCCCACTCTAAGAAATATACCTTCTACTTGGAATTAATAAAATTTATTGAGATAAAGTTATCATTTCTTTGTAAGTAGCCTTGGAATCTTTAGTTTCTATGTGCCTATCATTGTAATTAAGGTTGCTATATTCCACTGTGTTACGACCATCATTGTTGGAGAGTATCTATAAACTTCCTAAAGTCAGATAATTTTTGCTTGAAATTAAAAGTCTTGACCTTTGTGGTAGTTACATTGAATATTCACTTTACAAAAATTAGTTGTGTCTAGATTTTGTATGAGTTTTTCTAAATGTAACACAATTCACAATAAAAAAAGTTTTTCATAACTAATATTACTAAAAGCCCAGCCAGATATAAAATTAATTATAAATATAATCCTGGGGAGATACATAAACAAATTTAGGAATTATGAAAAAATGTATTCAGCTTGGTCAACTGGTTGATCTGAACCAATTCTACTGCCAAGAACAACTAGAAAAGTTTGATAAACAATGTTTTTAAAAATATGAGAATATTGGTGAGCTACAAAGGAAGAAATGAATACCAAACAAAAGCACAGAGAAGAAAACCCAGAGAGGCAAGCCTGATATTTGGACTACTTTTCTGCAGAGACAGTAGCTAATTCTACAAGAGAAGTTTCAGAGGCTGGGAAGCTAAACTGAGCTTTCAACAGCACTGTGAGCTTAGGAGGGTGCAAACTAGAATGTAGAGGCTTCCAAGGAGAGGGAGGGCCCTACAAATCTCCAAATTTTAGGACGAGACCTCCACCTAAGGACTGAGGGTAAACTGATGTAGTCCAGCCCTCACAAGGACTGACATTCAGTTTTGAATCACCTCTGTTCCTGAGTGGATTAAGGTAAGCTGGTATTGCTTTTGTTCCAACAATCTGCCAGAAACAAATGCAAATATTATTTGAGATGAAGTTTACTTTAGACTTCAAATTACCTCTATAATTTTTCAAATACCAACAACTGGCATGAAATTTAAAAGATCAGGCACACAGGGAGACAAAACTACGGGATGGAAACCAAGAAAAACAACAGACAATATAACAGATGCTCAGATCATCCAGATAGTGACATTTCAGACACAAACACAGATTGTTTAAATCACAAGTAATAACAATATATCGTGTGGTTTAAATTATCTGTAAAAGTCAAATGGATGACAATAATAGCACAAAGTACAAGTGTATAAATCATAGTATAGTTTGGAAGATTCTTACCTTATAAGGAAGTGCTGTAATATTAATTTAAAATAGACTGTGATAAGTTAAGGATACATATTAAAATAACTAAAGAAATCACTAAAAATAAAAGAGTTACAGATAAAAATTTAAAAGAGGAGGTAAAATGAAATATAAAAAAATTGACTAGTCAAAAAGAAGGTAGAAGGAAATAGTGGAGTCTCAAGAAAAGATAGAACAAATAGGAAACAAGAAGCAAAATGATTGTTTTAAACCCAACCATACTGATAATCACATAAAAGGCAATGAACTAGATACTCCAATTAAAAAACAGAGAGTATTAGAGTGGAAAAAAAGCAATGCCCAACTGTATGCTATTTAGAAAGAAATGCATTAAATGTAAATACATAAATATATTAAAAGAAAAAATATGAAAATAGTAAGAATGAGAAAGAAGTATTTATATTAATAAGGCAATGTAGATGTCAAGAAAAGAGTACCACCAGAGACATCACCATTACATAATGACAAAAAGTTTATTCATTAAAAGACATATCAATTCTGTTTCACGAATGAGCAAATAACAGTCTGTGAACCAAATCTGGCCTGCTACCTGTTTCTTTCATTTTTTATATTTTACTTTAAGTTCTGGGATACATGTGCAGAACGTGCAGGTTTCTTACATAGGTATACATGTGCCATGGTGGTTTGCTGCACTCATCAACCTGTCATCTAGGTTTTAAGTCCCACATGCATTAGGTGTTTGTCTTAATGCTCTCCCTCCCCTTTCCCCCCACACCCTGACAGGCCCTGGTGTGTGATGTTCCCCTTCCTGTGTCCATGTGTTCTCATTGTTCAACTCTCACTTATGAGGAGAACATGCGGTGTTTGGTTTTGTGTTCCTGTGTTAGTTTGCTGAGAATGATGGTTTCTAGTTTCATCCATGTCCCTGCAAAGGATATGAACGCATTCTTTTTTATGGCTGTATAGTATTCCATGGTGTATACGTGCCACATTTTCTTTATCCAGTCTATCATTGATGGGCATTTGGGTGGGTTCCAAGTCTTTGCTATTGTAAATAGTGCTGCAATAAACATATGTATGCATGTGTCTTTATAGTAGAATGATTTATAATCCCTGGGTATATACCCAGTAATGGGACTCCTGGATCGAATGGTATTTCTAGTTCTGGATCCTTGAGGAATCACCACACTGTCTTCCACAATGGCTGAAGTAATTTACACTCCCACCAACAGTGTAAAAGTGTTCCTAGTTCTCCACATCCTCTCCAGCATCTGTTGTTTCCAGACTTTTCAATTGATTGCCATTCTAACTGGCATGAGATGGTATCTCACTGTGGTTTAATTTGCATTTTTCTAATGACCAGTTATGATGAGCTTTTTTTCATATGTTTGTTGGCCACATAAATGTCTTCTTTTGAGAAGTGTCTGTTCATATCCTTTGCCCACTTTTTTGATGGGGTTGTGTATTTTTTTCTTGTAAATTTGTTTAAGTTCCTTGTAGATTCTGGATATTAGGCCTTTGTCAGAAGGGTAGATTGCAAAAATTTTCTCCCATTCTGTAGTTTGCCTGTTCACTCTGATGCTAGTGTCTTTTGCCGTGCAGAAGCGCTTTAGTTTAATTAGATCCCATTTGTCAATTTTGGCTTTTGTTGCCATTGCTTTTGGTGAATTAGTCATGAAGTCTTTGCCCATGCCTATGTCCTAAACGGTATTGCCTAAGTTTTCTTCTAGGGTTTTTATGGTTCTAGGTTTTACATTTCTGTCTTTAATCCATCTTGAGTTAATTGTTGTACCTGTTTCTGTTTTAAATGAAGTTTTATGAATGCAGCCATCCTTATTTGATTACATATTGTTTTTGTCTACTTTAGAGCTACAAAGACAGATGTGGGTTGTGACAGAGACAGTATGACACCCAAAACCTAAATTGTTTACTATTTGGCCACTTATTTTTTTAAATGCAAAATTTATTATGTGCATACAGATTAATAATAGAGCTTCTAAATACAGAATAAAAAACTGAAAAAACTAAAGAAAAAAACAAGAAGTTCCAAATGTTTAGCAATCAAGTGGCACATTTATAAATAATCCCTGAATCATAAAATATTAGCAAATCAAATCAAGAAATATGTAAAAAGTTTAACACATCAAGACTAAGGATTTTTTATCCCAGGATTGGTCTCATGTTGTAAAGTTAAACAATGTAATTCACCACATTAACAGAACAAAACAAAAATTATATGGTCATTTTACTAGATCCAAAAAAATCGCTGGACATAATTCAATACCTATTTATGATTGTTTAAAATCTCAGAAAACTAAAATGAAAAGAAAGCTTATCAATCTGACCAAGGGCATCTACAAAAATTTGCAGCTAACAGTATATTTAATGGTAAAAGACTGAACATTTTACCCCGAATTCTTACCACTTATATTCAACATTGTACTAACCTGTACAACAAGAACTGCCAAGACCAGCTCAGTCAGGGAGACCCTAACCCAGTGGCGCTAGAGGAATTAAAGACACACACACAGAAATATAGAGGTGTGAAAGGGGAAATCTGGGGTCTCACAGCCTTCAGAGCTGGGAACCTTGAACAGAGATTTACCCACATATTTATTAACAGCAAGCCAGTCATTAGCCATGTTTCTATAGATATTGAATTAACTAAAAGTATCCCTTATGGGAAACAAAGGGATGGGCTGAATTAAAGGAATAGATTGGGCTAGTTAACTGCAGCAGGAGCACGTCCTTAAGGCACAGATCGCTTATGCTATTGTTTGTGGTTTAAGAATGCCTTCAAGTGGTTTTCCACCTTGAGTGGGCCAGCTGTTCCTTGCCCTCATTCTGGTAAACCCACAACCTTCCAGTGTGGGCATTATGGCCATCATGAACATGTCACAGTGCTGCAGAGATTTTTTTTATGGCTAGTTTTGGGGCCAGTTTATGGCCAGATTTTGGGGGGCCTGTTCCCAACAAAGAACTAACCATGAAATAAGGCAAGAAAAAATATATATATATAAATTGAAAAGAAAGAAATAAAACTCTCTTTATTTTAAGATAAAATGATACTCAATTTAGAAGGTCCAAAGGCATCTACAAAACAACAATGGGAGTTAATAAATGAATTTAGTAAATCCACAGGATACAGAATCAATGCTATCCCTATCAAATTACCAATGTCATTTTTCACAGAATTAGAAAAAATATTCTAAAATTCATATGGAATCAAAAAAGAGCACAAATAGCCAAAGCAATCCTAATCAAAATGAACAAAACCACAGGCATCACATTATCTGACTTCAAGTATATTTCAAGGCTACAGTAACCAAAACAGCATGGTACTGGGACAAAAATAGACACATGGACTAATGGAAAAGATTAGAGAATCTAGAAATAAAGCTGCACACCTACACCTAACTGATCTTTGACAAAATCAACAAAAATAAGCAATGGGGAAAAAACTCCCTATTCAATAAATGATGCTGGGGGAATTGGCTAATCATATGCAAAAGAATGAAACTGTACACTTATCCCTCACTATATATCAAAATTAACTCAAGAAAGATTAAAGACTAAAATATAAAACCTCACACTATAAAAATCCTAGAAGAAAACCTAGGAAACACTATTCTGGACATCGGCCTGGCAAAGAATTTATGACTAAGTCTTTAAAAGCAATTGCAACAAAAACAAAACTTGACATGTGGAACCTAATTAAACTAAAGAGCTTCTGCACAGCAAAAGAATAAACAGATAACATACAGAATGAGAGGAAATATTTGCGAACTATGCGTCTAACAAAGGGCTCATATCCAGAATGTACAAGGAACTTAAGTCAAGAATAAAACAAATAACCCCCAAAGAAGACATACAAGTGTCCAATAAACATATGAAAAAATGGTCAGCATCACTAATCATCATAGAGATGCAGATCAAAACCACAGTGAGATACCATCCCACATCAGTCAGAATGGCTATCATTAAAAAGCCAAAAGATAACATGTTGGTGAGGATGGAAAGAGGAAAAGGGTCAAGAGCTGCAAAACTTCCTATTTGATACTATGTTTACTATCTGGGTGATAGGATCAACTGAAGCTCAAACCTTAGCATCACACAATATACCCTTGTAACAAACCTGCACATGCACCCCCTGAATCTAAAATTAAAATTAAAATTTTAAAAATAAAAGAAGAATTTGAAAAACAATAAACAAAAATCTAATCTTTTTTCTTGTTCAGTTCAAACTTCTTATTTTGTTAAGCTTGTAAGTGTTATTATACTTTTCACTAGGGTTCATTTAAATTAAGCCTCAAGGGTTTGGAATAAAATTAATTAACATGCGTATATTAAAGAACATATCTATATATTTTTTAAAATGCAGATCTTCTATTCTGTTCTTCTATTTCCATAATGCCATTTGTTGAACACTTTCTCCTAGTTCAGTGTTTAACACTAAGTCCTTTATGTAGATCATGCATTTGGATTCTTATTACAATCTTGTAAGTTATCATTATCATTTTACAAATAAAGAACTGAGATTTAAAAATAAATCAGTTATATTTTTATACATAAGCAACAAAAATTGTTAAAATGTTAAAATATATATTTAAAAAGCATAAACACATAAAATACTTATGAACATTTAAAATATATATAAGACCTCTAAAATAAAAACTATAAATAATTGAGGTAAATTAAAGGAAGCCAAAATAAATTGAGAGATATACTATGTTTATGGTTAAGCAATAATATTGCTAAGATATTCTCCCTAACTTTACCTGTAGATTCAAATCAATCAAAATCCAACAGGCTTTGTGTTGAAATAAGATAATTCTAAAAGTTACATGAAATTTCAAAGTATTTAGACTAGCTGAAACAATCTTGAAAAATAAGAACAAAGTTGGAGGAATTAACTGTAAAGCTATACTACTGAGAGAGTATGAGTGTAAGAAATACAGATAGATTAAAGGAAGAGAGTCTAGAAAGAGACCCACATGTATATACTCAACTGAATTTTCAACAAAAATGCCAAAACAACTCAAATGGTGAAACCTTTTCCACAAATATTGCTGCAAAAACTGAGTATCCATGTGGGGAAAAAAATGAACTTCAACCAAAAATCCACTTAAACAAAAAATTTAATTCAAGGTGCACCATAGTCCCAAATACAAAAGCTAAAACAGTGAACATTTCAAACATTTTTTGTAACCTTTGACTAGGAAACATTTCTTTGATAAGACACAGAAAGAACCAACCATAAAAGAAAAAAAATTATAAATTTTATTTCATCAATATTAAAATCTGCTCATCAAAGGACCCTATTAAGAAAATGAGTAGACAATCAATAGCCTTAGAGAATATATTTGCAATACATATGTCCTACAAAAAACTTGCATTCAGAACATATAAAGATTATTAAACTTTAATAAAAAGACAACACATTTTTTTAAAAAGGGCAAAAGACAAGTCACAAAGGAAGATATACAAAGAACAATAACTACATGAGAAAATGCTGAAAATCATTTACCACGGAGAAAATTAATAGAAACATAAATTAGACTTAAAATATTTTTTAAAATACATTGAAGAGAGGAAAGAAAATGATTTGAAGTAAAATAAGAAATAAACAGGTACAAAGGATCCAAAAATTAGTGACAGATAAAGAAAAATGCACAAGAGTATTTAGTACAACTGGAGTTCCCAAAGGTGAAAAAAATTACAACCAACAGGTCTAATACTTAAAACTATAATCCAAGAAAGCTTTATGGATATAAAAGACCTGAATCTACACATTAAAAGAGCTAGGCAACCCCTAAATCCAAACTACTAAATATTGCTTGGATTTATTAACTCCTTTCTATCTTCACTGCTACTCCCTTAGCTCAGGCCCTCATCACATT